>NC_000011.10:69669571-70955696 GCF_000001405.40 Homo sapiens | reverse complement strand
GAATTCTGCCCTAAGACTGCAGCATCAACTCCTGCCTGAGTTTCCAGCCTGCTGCCCTGTCCTATGGATTTTGGACTTGTCAGCCTCCACAATCATTTAAACCAATCCCTTAAAATAAATCTCTTTGCATGTGTACACATACACACGTAAAGTACACACATACACAAATATATACATAGACACATATTACAAATATATGTGTAAATATATATGTATTTGTAAGTGTGTGTACATTCACACACACACACACACACACACACACACACACACACACCCCGTGGGTCTGTGTCTCTGGAGAACCCTGGCTGAAGCATAGGGGAACTGACTGGAGGAGTTGTTCCTGCCTCCCAGCAGCTGCATTCTGAAAGGGACTTCCACTGTTTTTTGGATACAGGGACTTTAGCACCTGGCATTGTATATTTGGAGAGGGCAGCCTTCTCCCCACGTGCTGTCATTCTGTCGGTCTCCAGGCTGTATTCAACAGTTTTTAACCAGACATCCAGAAGCAAAGAAAGGGTGGAGAAAATCAGGAAAAAAAGGCAGTGGCAATGAGAGACGTTCAGAATGGCTCCATTTTAATAAGGCCCAAATTTAATATGGGCAGGGAAGGACAAGGATGAAATGGGAGGGAAACGACAAAGAAGGCCTTGATGTGGATGTCTTTCTGATGAATGACACTGTGCTTGGTGGTTTGGGTACCTTTCAGTGCATGGGGGCACCCTGCCTAGTCCTGTGCTGAGCCCTTTCCATGTGGTCCCACGAAGCAGGGCCTCCTGTGGATGAAGAGCCCAGGTCACACAGCTCCTAAAGGGACAATGAACAGGGCATAGGCTGCTGCATGCCAGACCCCGTGTTCTTCCTTAACCCTTAACACTGCACATAGAAGGAGGAGAAAGGCCGAAGCCAGAAACAAAGAACTGAATTTCCAGTTCTCTGGCAATCAGGTGATGGACCCCAGCATCGCCACAGGCTAAGCCAGTGATGGCAGAGGCCCAGGAATGCCGTTGGCAATGGTTCTGTGTTGTATTGCGCTCTTCACTCAAGGATCCCGGGCAAGGCGTTTTTGGATGTGGCCTGTCCCCAGTGCATTCACTGGGGGAGGACTCAGCCCATGAAAGTGAGGGCGGATCTCCCGAAATGTCAGAGCCTGGCTTTTGCCCCCCAGACCCTTCGTCTGATTTCCTTTTGCACAGAGCTCCAAACTGAGTTCCCACATTTAGCAATTTAGCCAGAGGGGGATGAGTACATTTTCTCATGCCACGCATGGTAGTGGCTGCCAGAGCACTCTGCCAGTGGCTGTGCACTCTGCAGTTCCTCTGATCATGCTGGTGGAGGCAACTGTGTGGTTGAGGGACAGTCCGTGATGAAGGCTGCCTGACACCGTGGGTGATATTGTGGTTCCTGGCGTTGCACTTTTCAGAAACCCACGAAATCTGCTCAGCGGACCCTTCTCTTCCCTCCAGGTGGCTTTCTGAGTTTCTTTCCTTGTTAAATGAGCCCCAACAAGACTGTTTGGTTGTGCCTTCCCTGTTTTGTGGAAATCCACGTGGATGTGGGAACAAGGTCATGGCGTTTTCTCCCAGGACCTTCCTCTTCCCCGATGAGTGCCATGGGCAGGGTCCCAGGATGTCCCTGTTGTGCTGCTGTCTGCATTGCAATTTCTATGAGCTGATGTGGGCAAATTGTAAAGTTCATGTAAGACTGTCTATTAGACACACACACACATACACACACGGCTCTCCTAGAGGTGCACGTGCCTGTCAGTCCACAGGCGGGAGCTGGCCCAGCTCCCTGGCAGGGAGGTGCCAGGCCCTTCCTAACAACCAGCTCTCAGTGGGAACTGGCAGAGCAAGAACCCACTCACTGTGATGGTTAATGTTACACATCAACTTGATTGAGGGATGCCCGCAGGGATGGTCAAGTATTGTTTCTGGGTGTGTCTGAGGGTGTCGCCAGAGAAGGTGGACATTTGAGTTGGTGGGCTGGGAGAGGAAGACCCACCCTCAATATGGGTGGGCACCATCCAGTTGGCTGCTAGCACGGCAAGAACTAAGCAGGTGGATGCAGGTGGGATGACCTTGCCTGCTGGGTCTCCTGGCTTCCTTCTTCCTCCCATGCTGGATGCTTCCTTCCACTGCTGACCTGGAACAGCAGACTCCAAGTTGTTTGGCCTTTGGACTCTGGGACCTACACCAGTGTCTTGCCGGGGACTCTTGGTCCTTCGACCACAGACTGAAGGCTGCACTGTCAGCTTCCCTGGTTTTGAGGCTTTCGGACTTGGACTGGGCCACTACCTGCTCCTCTCTTCCCCAGCTTATAGATGGCTTGTTGTGAGACTTCTGCTTGTGATGCTGTGAGCCAATTCTCCCTTAAAAAACTCCCTTTCCTGTGTAAATGTATCCTATCAGTTCTGTCCCTCTGGAGATCCCTGATTTAATACACTCACTTCGGAGGGGAGGGCGTGGATCTGTTCATGAGGGATCCACCCCCATGGCCCGGACACCTCCTGCTAGGCCCAGCTCCCAACACCACCACACTGGGGATTAAATTTTAATGTGAGGATTGGAAAGGGCCAGTGTTCAAAGTGTAGCACTGGGTAAGCCAGCGTAATCACCAAGGTCCTCGTAGGGCACACACAGGGAAGGAGGCTGCGTGAAGGTGGAGGCGGTGGGATTGGGACGTGGGATGGGGGCAGAGATCAGATGGTGCTGCCAGGAGGTTGGGAAGGACCCTCCCCTAGAGCCTTCCTGGGGAACATGGCCCTGATGACACCTCGGGGTCAGCTTAGTGATGCCATTTTGGACACTGGCTTACAGGACTGCATGGAAGGTTTGTTGCTTGAAGCCACCTTGTTTGTGATCATTTGTTCCCACAGCCACAGAAAGCAGCTACCAGAGACCATAGGTGGGTGTCAGTTCCCACACTTCTGCTGCTCAGGCCCCCCCGGACACACGAAGCCAGGGCCGCCCTGCCATCTGCGTCCCCCAGAGTGCTGCCCTGAAGCAGCCTCACCTTTGCATGAAAATCGTCAGCAGCTTGGGTGCGTCTCTGCTGTTTGCCACCAACGAAAGCCACACAGAAAAGCCACGGCATAGGAGCCAACTTGAGAACAGTTTCAGCACTGAGACGGGTACTAGCTCCATCGCCACCCAGAGACTGCATTTTGCACTTACTGGGTGATTTGATAAAATCCCATTTATTTGAACAAGACAGCCAAGTAGCTAGACAGCTTGTGTCTATCCACTTTAAAAGAGGAGGGAGCAAATGCAGCTGGGAATTGGCAAAGGACTACGGTTTCCACAGCGCACCCTTGGAAAGGTTTTGTGTTGTGTCCAACACCATTTCTATGAACAAGATGGAACTTGTTTCCAGAATTCTATTCCTGGTTCTCAGTCACCCAAGAAGGTGGTTTATTTTGGGTCTGCATTTACTGAGGCACAAGACCTCGGCCAGGAGAGACGCCCCAAGGAAACCGGCCCACTCTCAGCCACAGATCTGGCCAGACGGCACAGCAGGGGCCTAGCATTCCCGTCTGCAGAACCTGGGTTTAAATCTGGCTTGGGTTTCTTCTCAGCTGGTGCCCCTGGGCAGGCCACTTAGGATTTACTTAAAAGTCTCCAAATGCTCCCTTACTGAGTCAAAGCGTTTGCCCCGTAAATTCATGTCTATCTAGAACCTGTGAATGTGATATTGTTTGGAACTAGGGCCTTTGCAGATGTCACTGAGTTAAGACGACCTCATGCTGGATTGGGGAGGCCCTAATCTTGAAAGATGTCCTCTTAAGAAAAGCGAAAAGAGACAGACACACAAGGGTTAGAACGCCACGTGAAGATGGAGGCCAAGATTGGAGTGATGTGGCCGCAAGCCAAGGAATGTCCTTGAAGTTGGGAGAGGCAGGAAAGACCCTCCCCTAGAGCCTTTGGGTGGGGGTGGGCAGCCCTGCCAACACCTGGAATTCAGACTTCTGGCCTCCAGAACTGTGAGAGTAGAAACTTCCATTGTTTAAGCCACCCACTTTATGATGTCACGGCACAGCAGCCAGGGGAAATGAATTTATGATGTCACAGTGCAGCAGCCAGAGGAAATGAATTTATGATGTCACAGCACAGCAGCCAGAGGAAATGAATTTATGACGTCACCACGCAGCAGCCAGGGGAAATGAATTTATGACATCACAGCACAGCAGCCAGGGGAAATGAATTTATGATGTCACCATGCAGCAACCAGGGGAAATGAATTTATGACATCACCACACAGCAGCCAGGGGAAATGAATTTATGATGTCACAATGCAACAGCCAGGGGAAATGAATTTATGACATCACCACCCAGCCGCCAGGGGAAATGAATTTATGACGTCATGGCACAGCAGCCAGGGGAAATGAATTTATGATGTCACGGCACAGCAACCAGGGGAAACGAATTTATGACATCACGGTGCAGCAGCCAGGGGAAATGAATTTATGACGTCACGGTGCAGCAGCCAGGGGAAATGAATTTATGATGTCACGGCACAGCAGCCAGGGGAAATGAATGTATGACATCACAGTGCAGCAGCCAGGGGAAATGAATTTATGACGTCATGGTGCAGCAGTCAGGGGAGATGAATGCAACTCCTCTCTACTTCTTTGAAATGGGGCTAATCACTGCAGTTAAGGGAGTGTCCAGAAGTTTGCATAGCATCACATATAGGTGCTGTAGTCTTAATGTGCCTTCAAATTCATGTGTTGGCCAGGCGTAGTGGCTCATGCTTATAATTCCAGCACTTTGGGAGGCCTAGGCAGGCAGATCTCTTAAGGCCAGGAGTTTGAGGCCAGCCTGGCCAACATGCAAAACCCCATCTCTACAAAAAAACCAAAACAAAACATAACAAAACAAAAAACACATACATACACACCCACACATACACACACACACACAAAATTAGCTGGGCATGGTGGCATGCACCTGTAATCCCAGCTACTTGGGAGGCTGAGGCATGAGAATCACTTGAACCTGAGAGGCAAAGGTGGCAGTGAGCAGAGATCACGCCATTGTACTCCAGCCTGGGCCACAGAGCGAGATCCTGTCTGAGAAAAAAAAAATTGTGTTGAAATTTAATCACTGGTGTGGCAGCACGAAGAGGTGGGACCTTTTGGAGGTGATTACATCATGAGGGTAGAGCCCCCGTGATGGGATTCGTGCCCTTGTACAAAAGGCTGGAGGTGGACCTGGTGCAGTGGCTCACGCCTGTAATCCCAGCACTTTGGGGGGCTGAAGCGGGCGGATCACCTGAGGTCAGGAGTTCGAGACCAGCCTGGCCAATATGGTGATACCCTGTCGCTACTAAAAATACAAAAGTTAGCTGGGTGTGATGGGCTGGGTGTGGTGGTGCTCGCCTGTAATCCCAGCTACTCGGGAGGCTGAGGCAGGAGAATCACTTGAACCCGGGAGGCAGAGGTGGCAGTGAGCAGAGATCTTGCCACTATACTCCAGCCTGGGCCATAGAGCGAAATCCTGTAATCCCAGCTACTCGGGAGGCTGAGGCAGGAGAATCACTTGAACCCGGGAGACAGAGGTTGCAGTGAGCTGAGGTCAGCGCCATTGCATTCCAGTCTAGGTAACCAGGGCGAAACTCCATCTCCAAAAAAAGGGCTGAAGGCAACTGCCTTGTCTTTCCGCCCATGAAGACACATTGAGAGCCACCACCTGTGCAGCAGGGAGCAGCCCTCCCCAGGCACCGCACCTACCGGCTCCTTGATCCTGGACTCCCGGCCACCAGCGCTGTGAGCCATAGATTTCTGCCATTTATAATCGACCCAGCCTCAGGTGTTTTGGCATAGAGGCCCCGACTCACTAAGACGCGCAGGTGGAGGGGTCAGACAGTGCCTCATGACTGTGGATACTGTCATCAGCATCAGCCCTACCGTAGGAACAGGCCAACCTTGGGAGCCCAGAGAGGCTGGCCCAGGCCACGGGGGCCCAGGGAGGCCTGCAGCATGGGCCAGGGCAGTGCCAGCGAGTGTGTGGGATGGGGACTTCCTTCCATGGCAGGAGGAGGTGGTTGTGTCCAGCCGGCCCCCCATGATCCCTGCAAACACTCCAACCGTGAGGCTTGGTGCCCTAGTCTGGAGCCCAGGTCACCCTGTGGGTTCCTGGGTGGCTATGCAGCAGGGTGAAGAAACATGGCTGGTGCCACCTCCAGGATTCTGGTCCATCTCAGGTTTCCTATTCTCAGTGTGAAGGGAGGGTGAGCAGGTGGAGCCTGAGAGTGAGGACGTCTCCCCACATGACGGGCGGAGTCTCTGAGCTTGTGCAGCCCAGGGTCCTGGGAGAGTTTGCTAAGATGATGCGCCCCCGGGGAGCTGCTTGCCGGGCAGCATGCCAGGCCTGGGGACGTTGCTGTGCACAGGGTTCTTCGCCCACTTTCACCCCCGCTGCCTGTGTTCTGTGGGCGGAGCCGGGAGGGGCGGTACTGAGGCTCTTGCAGACTGAATGAGGGAGTATCAGCTTCGATTTTAGCCTTTTCTCTTCCACATGTGAGTGACCAAGCAAATCATTATTTTTATTTCTTTTCCCTTCTTCTTTTGGTGTGTTTATCCAGTGTATTTAGAAGCAGCTGGTTGGCAGGGAGCTGGGCACTGGCTGGTACCTGCCATTCATCTTGTGATCAGTCAACCTCCTGCAGGGCAGGCAGTGAGTCTGGGCCCGGGGCCCAGCTCTCGTTTGGTTGATAGAATGAGCCGTAGTGTAAAGTTCACCGTCGGCCGTCTGGAGGTTGGATCTGACCCAAGAGAGCTTGATTGTAACCTGCCCAGATGTTAAAATTTAATTTTTTTAATTTAAAAAAAATTGAATGTGTTGCTGGTATTTAAACTTCCAGGAATTTCATTAAAAAATTCAGCTTTCCAGCTTCTCTTGAAAAATTAGGAAACGTGGCCACACCCAGGCAGCCTCTGTGCATGTGGACATTCGGCAGGGGTTGGGAGCGTGGCCCCTCTGGAAAGGCTGTGCTCTTCAGCCTGCCACACTCCCCACCGCTCCCTGCAGCCCGCCCCTGGTCCACCTCCTCCACGTTGCAGCGTCGTGGCCCTGCTGAGGGCACGCAGTTGGCGGAGTCAGTCATTTAGAAGTAGCTTCTTTTAAAAGTTCCTCTGAGTCTTATTTGGGATTCAGACTCTGTGTTCCCATAGAAACAGGGAAGTGGAAGTTGTATTTCTAGATTAGGGCGTAGAAACCTGGGTAACCCAAAGTGTGGCTGATGTTCGGTGCATATCTATGATGAAAAGTAATCAGGGATCGAATTCATTATTTCCACCAGTACATATGGAGTTTCTCGTAAGAGCCACGCTGTCTTCTAGGTGCTGGGGACACATCAGTGAGCCACACCACACTCTGCTCTCTGGAAGTGCACATTAGATAATTAACAAGTAAGCAGAGAAACGTGCAACATGTCGGGGTTGGTAAATGACAGGAAGAAAAATACAGCAGGGTGAGGGTGGAATGGTACGGAGCTGGCAATGCGGAAGCGAGTTTCCTTCACGCTGGGAGCCGAGGGCGGCTTCTGTGACATTTGGGGCAAAGACCAGGAAAAGAGGAAGGAAAGAGTGGGCCCTCAGGATGTCAGAGGGAAAGGCATCTCAAAGAGTGGGGCTGACACGTGCAAAGGCCCTGGGGTCAGTGCATGCCTGGGGTGTGTGGGAAGCAGCCAGGAGACTGGCTAGCTGCAGAGGTGGGGGTGGGATGGTGCCCACACCAGTGGTGGGAAATGAGACCACAGAGGGCCACGTTGCTTGGCAGGGACTTTACTCTGGGGGAGATGTACAGTGCCAGCAGTGCAGAAGAGAACTCTAAAATGGCATTTAATCTGTGCATCCGTCACCCACCCAGATGCTATCCTGGATGGGAAGCAACGTTGGTAAAATCTCATGAAGATGCTGAGTGAGGCATCTGGATTTGGCAGAATATTCTAGAGCTCCCTGTCCAGTCCAGTAACCACAGGACGCACATGGGTATTTATATGTAACTATAATTTTTTAAAATGTAGAGTTCAGGCCAGGCGCAGTGGCTCACACCTATAATCCCAGCACTTTGGGAGGCCAAGGCAGGAGGATCACCTGAGGTCAGGAGGTCAAGACCATCCTGGCCAACATGGTGAAACCCCGTCTCTATTAAAAATACAAAAATTACCCAGGATTAGCCAGGCATGGTGGTGGCACATGCCTGTAATTCCAGCTGCTCGGGAGGCTGAGGCAGAAGAATAGCTGTAACCCTGGAAGTGGAGGCTGCAGTGAGCCAAGATTGTGCCACTGCACTCCAGTCTGGGTGACGGACAAGACTTCATCTCAAAAAAAAAAAAAAAAAATGTAGATGTCAGTTACTTAAGCACATTTCCCATGTTTCAGGTGCTCTGCAGCCAGACCCTACTGCACAATGTTCTGGAAGTTGATGGGTTCTTAGTCCAGAATGCTGGCCTTGTTCCTTACATTTGGGTACTGCAGGGCTGTTTTCTAACCTTGAAACGTCACGAGTGTGTGTGTGTGTGTGTGTGTGTGTGTGTGTGTGTGTGTGTGTGTGTGTGTGTGTTGGAGAGGTGCCTCAAGAATTTCACCAGATTGGGGTCAGCACAGGGAGATTTTCCAAGTCAGTTGGTTAATTGAGAAGGGTTGGTTAGTGCAGAGGGAGGTTGAGCCTGGGAAGGGTTGGTTAGCGGAGAGGGAGGTTGAGCCTGGGAAGGGTTGGTTAGTGGAGAGGGAGGGTGAGCCTGGGGAAGAGTTGGTTAGTGGAGAGGGAGGGTGAGCCTGGGGAAGAGTTGGTTAGTGGAGAGGGAGGTTGAGCCTGGGAAGGGTTAGTTAGTGGAGAGGGAGGATGAGCCTGGGAAGGGTTGGTTAGTGGAGAGGGAGGGTGAGTCTGGGAAGGGTTGGTTAGTGGAGAGAGAGGTTGAGCCTGGGAAGGGTTGGTTAGTGGAGAGGGAGGTTGAGCCTAGGGAAGGGTTGGTTAGTGGAGAGGGAGGGTGAGTCTGGGAAGGGTTGGTTAGTGGAGAGGGAGGTTGACCCTGGGGAAGAGTTGGTTAGCAGAGAGGGAGGGTGAGCCTGGGGAAGGGTTGGTTAGTGGAGAGGGAGGCTGATCCTGGGAAGTGTTGGTTAGTGGAGAGGAAGGCTGACCCTGGGGAAGAGTTGGTTAGTGGAGAGGGATGGTGAGCCTGGGGAAGGGTTGGTTAGTGGACAGGGAGGCTGATGCTGGGGAAGAGTTGGTTAGTGGAGAGGGAGGTTGAGCCTGGGAAGGGTTGGTTAGTGGAGAGGGAGGGTGAACCTGGGGAAGGGTTGGTTAGTAGAGAGGGAGGCTGATCCTGGGAAGTGTTGGTTAGTGGAGAGGGAGGCTGATCCTGGGAAGTGTTGGTTAGTGGAGAGAGAGGTTGAGCCTGGGAAGCGTTGTTTAGTGGAGAGGGAGGTTGAGCCTGGAAAGGGTTGGTTAGCGGAGAGGGAGGTTGAGCTTGGGGAAGAGTTGGTTAGCGGAGAGGGAGGTTGAGCCTGGGAAGGGTTGGTTAGTGGAGAGGGAGGTTGAGCCTGGGAAGGGTTAGTTAGCGGAGAGGCAGGTTGTGTCTGGGAAGGGTTGGTTAGTGGAGAGAGAGGTTGAGCCTGAGAAGGGTTGGTTAGCGGAGAGGGAGGTTGAGTCTGGGAAGGGGTGGTTAGTGGAGAGGGAGGGCGAGCCTGGGAAGGGTTGGTTAGTGGAGAGGGAGGTAGAGCCTGGGAAGGGTTGGTTAGTGGAGAGGGAGGTTGAACTGGGAAGGTTTGGTTAGTGGAGAGGGAGGCTGTGAAAGAGAGGACTTGAGGTCACGTTCATTCCCACCAAGGGCTGTAGATCCAATAATTAGGAGAGCCATTCCTTGTGCGCTGGAAGGGTGAGCCCTCGAGCTCTTCCCCCATAACCTCCCACTCAGGGGTGCTGCATCCCCAGGCACCTGCAGCTTTGGTGGTAACCTAGTGTCTCAGGAGTCTAAAGTCATTCTGTTGTCTCTCTAAGCAAAGCCACCTGAGGTCAACCCTGCCCACATGCCCTGATGCACTCAGGCTGGGGCCTGCAAGGTACCTGCGGGTCAAGGCTCTCCATGAGCTTAGTGATGCTGAAGGCCTGGCAGGCACACAACCCTGGGCTCCGTTGTGTGAAATGAAGAAGTGGTTGTGGTGAGGTGGCAGTCTGGAGAAAACCATCCCTGATGGCAGCAGGAAGGGCTGGAAGCCGTCGGAGCTCAGCGTATTGGAGGCCTGGCCCTTCCACATGAGGCCGTAGGTGTGGCTGATAACAGCACCTTGGAGGAACCACGACCAGGCTGGTGGGGGCCTTGCTGATCTCACCAGCCTTCTGCCTTCACCTCCTCCCTCTGCTCAAGCCTCCCAGGCCTCCACTTTTGCTTTTAATCAAGCACAGGAAACACATGCTCACCCCAGGGCCTTTGCACTGCTGTGGACTCTGACTAGAATGCTTCCTCCAAGGATCTTATGGTTCATCTCCCCAGCAAAGCACCCCGAGGGAAGTCCTTCTTTTGACAAGAGCCGCCCATACACAATTTCCATCCCCTGCATAAGTGCCTCAAGTAGAAGATGGAGATGGGCAGCTGATAATCACCTGTCATTAAAGGAAAGCTGTCATCTCAAAGGCAGATATGAAACAAGCAGAACTAAATAGTCCGGGCAGAAACCAAGACAATTTGGGGAACAGAAGGGAATTTCCAAAGGAGATACTGTACCTAATATCCTCAGTGCAGTAAGAGAATATAATAGCATCTGTGAAACAGGGAGCATTTGAGAAACTCTTGAAGATCAATAATGATTGCAAAAAAATGGCATAGCAGTAATGTTGGAGATGAACACAAGGAGGCGGAAGAGAGCCCTGGAATCAGGTAGAATTGGAGGAGTCATCTTGTAGGTTCAGCATCTGAATAATGAGGGAGAAATAAACAAAGAGATCATCCAAGACAAAGCCACTGAGCAGATGGATGTGATTCCCAGTTGAAAGGGCCCTGGTGTGAGAAGACACCCCCAGGCAGGATGGAGGTCCTAAAAGCTCAGAACTCAGGGAATAGAAACAGAAACGCAATCTTAAAAGTTTCAAGAGAGAAAAATCAAGTTGCGCATAGAGGATCTGGGGTCTGACCTCTCAGCAGCCATATGGGAAGCGCAGTGGGAAAATCCTTTCAAACCAGTGTTCTAGCAAATCAGTGAGACGGTCCCAGAGGTGTTTCAGATGCACGTGTTCTCGAATCGGCCCCTCCTATGCTGCTTTCTCAGGAAGCTGCTGGAGAGGAGCTTCACCCAGAGAGGGAGTGAGCCAGGGGACAGGAAGACCTGGACTCCGGGGAGGGCCCTGGCACCGGGCAGAGGCCGGGCCGGGCCTGGGATGAGTGTGGAGCTTCGGCCTAGGTGGGCACAGGAGGGTGGATGGCTCTGGGAGAGGGTGACTCAGAAACCCAGGCAACAGTGATTGCCAGATGTGTTTCCACCTTACAGGAATAGACCTGCGCTCTGCAATTTACACCTCTGTCAGAACTTGGTGATAAATTCGTTACATGTAAATAGAAAGGCAGATTTCAAAACGTAGCTGTTATATACTCGAGGGAAATAGAATTGCAGTCGACTGCCTACCTTGCTGTGGACAAGATGTAGCTAGCCATAATAGCATAAACACAGGAACCATGATTGAACCAAGTGGGCCTGTGGCTGTCTTGGGCTGTGTGATAAATGAGTGAAACTCTCATCTTCCCTGGCAGGAAGTCAACAAGTAATATTTAAACAGAAGGAAATCAAGACGGATGATCAGATGTTTGCTATTTACAAATAGGCAGCAAGCACCTGAAAAAGCACTGTGGCGTGGGATGTGGTTGGCCCTGTGGTGAGGAAGGGATTGGGTGGGAGGGGAGCAGCTCATACCCCATGTAGAACAAAGCATCCATCCAGACAGGACATTGTTGCTGTAAAAGTTAAATTTCATTTGTTTAGAGAAAATCTTTAATATTACCTCTTCTCCGTCTCCTGATCTGGCACTGGGTGTTGCAAACAAGACTGCATTTCAGGGTCAGTGCTCCACAGCACTCAGGACTTGCCATCCTTCTGGCCCAGGCTCTTCTCCTGCCTCCTCAGCCCCTGTCCCTGCCGCCCAGGGGTATTGCCACCTGCTCACCCCATGAGTTTGCTGTGCCCTAAATCTGGACCCATTGCCATCTCTGTTTGCATGGGAAAAGCTCCTGGTTCCTCCTGGGTTTGGCCTGCTTAGCAGCCTGGCCAGAGCCCTAGTTCTCAAGGTGCTTCAAGCCTGGGCATCCAATTGAGTTTCCACCTAAGGACACTAGAGTGGGTTGTAGTCCTAGCCAGTTTCATGGGCAGGGCTCCATAGGTGCCCTCCCTAGCACGGCCACACTTTCTTTGTTGAGTTTATCTAAGAAGTGCCTTAGCCACCCTCTCTGCTGCTGAGCCACCTCCAACAGGGGACATAATCTCCTCCAGACACAGACAGACCCCTTTGAACATGTCGGTGACTGAGCACCATCTTCTCAATGATGTGATGTCTCTCCAGCCAGGTGAGACTGCTTGCTCCATCGCCACCACCTTTGCCAGGTGAACTCCTTCCCACCCCTCAGAGCCGAAGTGCTTCCTCTGCAGGAAGCTTTTATTTTGATTCCCACAGTACTTGCTGGGTACCTTTTCTGTATTGTATTACAATGAATGGTTCATGCATAAGTCTCCCAAGCTAAACTTTAAAGTGCTTTGAGAGGGATGCACTTTCCCATCTATCTTTATTCTCCTGGCACCCAGCACCAGACCCAGAACCCTCAGTAACAAATGTAAGTGAACAGGCAAAGGGCCTGTCTGGTCTTATGGCTCCATGTAATTTCTTGAGCTGGCCACTGAGTGGCAGTGTTAACCCGGTACAGCTTGGTGCAGAGTTAAGGAGGAAGGGCTTGTGAAATGCAAAAGGTGAGGGCAGAGTGCAACTGATGCTTGGTGAGATACTTATAATCCACTGTTTCTATCCTGAAGAAGTATCTGTCCCTGAATGTAAATCCTCAAGTTCATCTGTTAGAAGTGAAGTGGAAATGACACTCTGCTAGTCTGCTAGGTCTGTGCTATGGTTTGGATATGGCTCGCTTGTCCCCACCAAATCTCATGTTGAAATTTGATTCCTCAATGTGGGGGTGTTGGGAGGTGGGACCTAGTGGAAGGTGTTTGGGTTCTGGGGCAGATCCCTCATGAATAGCTTGGTGGTGTTCTCTAGTAGTGAGTGAGATTTCACTCTCTAGATGGGATTAGTCCTCATGGGAATGGGTTTGTTCCCATAAGAATGGCTTGTTATAAAGCCAGGACACCCCTCAGGTGTGGTTCCTCCTTGCATGTGTCTACTTCCCCTTTGACCTTCTCTACCATGTTGTGTTGCAGCACAGAAACCCTCACCAGAAGCCAAGGCGATGCCCTTGAACTTCCCACACCACAGAACCTTGAGCTAAATAAACCTCTTTTCTTTCCTTTTCCTTTTTTTTCGAGACAGAGTCTCACACTGTCGCCCAGGCTGAAGTGCAGTGGTGTGATCTCAGTTCACCGCAACCTCCGCCTCCTGGGTTCACACAATTCTCCTGCCTCAGCCTCCTGAGTAGCTGGGATTACAGGCTCCCACCACCACACCCGGCTAATTTTGTATTTTTAGTAGAGATGGGGTTTCACTATGTTGGCCAGGTCTCAAACTCCTGACCTCGTGATCCATCCACCTTGGCCCCTCAAATAGCTGGGATTACAGGAATGAGTCACCACACACAGCCCTCTTTTCTTTTGAAATGACCCAGTCTCCAGTATTATTATATTATTATTATTATATATTATATTATTGTTATAACACAAAACAGACAAAGACAGGCTGCTATAGCAAAGTGCTGTAGGCTGGGAGGTGTTACACAACAGACATTTATCACTCACAGTTCTGGAGGCTGGAAGTCCGAGCAAGGTTGTGGCTGATTCCATTTCTCATGGGGGCTGATTTCCTTCTCCCTGTGCCCTCATGTGGCAAAGAAAGAGTGAGCTGGCTCTCTGGTGCCTCTTCTTATAAGGACACGAATCCTATCGTGGGGCCCCACCCTCATGACCTCACCTAAACCTAAACACCCCTAAAAGGTCCCAATCCAAATGCCATCCCCTTGGGGATTAGAGCTCTGACATATGAATTTGGGAGAGTTGGGAGGGGACACACAATTTAGTCCATAGCGACCCCAACAGCAAGTTTAGGAGATATGTTTCAGGTCAGGAGTATTAAGTAGTTTTCTCAGTTTACCGTAATGCTTCTGTTATCTGTAGTTCTGCAATATTTTGCTTTCAACACACGGCCTGCTGTCATCCTTCAGATGTAGTTCTGGGAGGCATCGTGTGTCTAAGTGTGTCAGCCTCCATTTTTGTGCAGTGTGTGGAGTTAGCTATCTGTCTAGTTCATGAATAGATAGAACTCAGGGGAGGGGAGAGAGGACTACGTGTATTGAGTATCCACTGTATACACATAGGGGCCAGATACTTTATTGGTGTGACATGGTCCTTGAATGTTCTGCATGTTTAAATATTATGAACCAATTTTACCGACAAGCTTATGAGGAAGAATTGAAATTGGGGACTATCAGACACCAAACTTGTTTTCCATCAGCCCCTCTGCCTCCTGGGATTCAAACCCATAAATCTCTATCTTTGTCTCCCACCAGAAAGAATCCTTCAGAAGGGCAGAGGCCAGTCCCGTGGTCATCATCTCCCTGCCACATAGCACACTTGGGAGCTCAGCAGATATTTTATGACTAAAGGAAGGAAGTGCCCATGACCCCTGTGTGGTGCTTGTTCATTTAAGCTGGTGCTTTTTCAGCCATTTTTTCCTTTTTTCTTGCACCCTCCATGAAGTTTTAATGCCCCACATAGGCTGTAAATCTTTTTAGTTATCACTGCATTGCTGTGCTTCAAGCCCCCTCCAGCAACCAATGTTCACCCTCTCGTCAGGGTGTTGCTGTCACCCCTTTTGACAATGGTTTATGGCAGTTATAATTTATCCTCTGAGAAAAATTGAGTCGGTTCTGGGGGGAATTATCAGAGGAGGAGGGGCACTGGGTAATGGGAGAGATGCCTTTGTGTCCTGGGCCTGCTGTGATAAGTGACCACTGCCTGGGTGGGTAGAAACAGAAGAAATTCTTTGGGAGGCCAAGGTGGGTGGATCACGAGGTTAAGAGTTCAAGACCAGCCTGGCCAGCATGGTGAAACCTGGTCTCTACTAAAAATACAAAAATTAGCTAATTAGCTGGGCGTGGTGGCATGTGCCTGTAATCCCAGCTACTCAGGAGGCTAAGGCAGGAGAATCGCTTGAACCCAGGAGGCAGAGGTTGCAGTAAGCCGAGATCGCGCCACTGCACTCCAGCCTGGTGACACAGCGAGACTCTGTCTCAAAAGAGAGAAAGAGAGAGAGAGAGAGAGAAGAAGGGAGGGAGGGAGGAAGGGAAGGAGGAAGGCAGGAAGGAAGGAAGTAAGGAAGGAAGGAAGGAAGGAAGGAAGGAAATTGATTCTCTTCCAGTTGAGGGGTTCAGAAGTCTGAAATCAAGGTGTGGGTGGGGCTGCCTTCCTTCTGGAAGCCCTGGGGAAAAACCATTCTTCATCTCCTCCAGCTCTGGGTGGTGATGGGCAGTCTTGGTGCTCCTTGGCTTGTGGCAGCATCACACCAATCTCTGGACCCCCACCCCAGCTCAACCCCTGTGGTCACATTACCTTCTCTTCTGCGTCAAATCACCCTCTTAGAAGGACACTTGGGATACATTTAGGGCCCACCTGGATGATCCAGGATAGTCTCTGCATCTGAAGATCGTTAACTTCATGACATCTATGAAGACAAAGTTCACTTATTTATGGGCTCCAGGGATTGGGACTTGATCTCTTCTAGGCCGTTGTTCTGCCTACCTCTAAAGAGAGGAGCCACGCAGCGGGGAGGGCTGCGGGTAGGACGGGGCCTTTCTTGGTCCATCATGGGGAAGGGAATGAGGTGTGAGAAGTTCTGTAGGACCAGGGTGGACCAGGAGGGCCCAGGTCAGCAAATCCCAAAGTTGTTGAGCTGTTGGATGGAGAACGAAGCTCAGGAGAGGCCTTGGTGAGCAGGCTGCCCCAGACATGGAGCACCTTGCTAGCACCTTGCTAGCCTCTTTTTTGGAAATTATTATTTGTTTTATTTTACTATTATTTTTATTGAGACAGTCTCACTCTGTTGCCCAGGCTGGAGTGCAATGGCACAATCTCGGCTCACTGCAACCTCCGCCACCCAGGTTCAAGTGATTCTCCTTCCTCAGCCTCCCGAGTAGCTGGGACTACAGGCACGTACCACCACACCCAGCTAATTATTTTTGTATTTTTAATAGAGATGGGGTTTCACCATGTTGGTCAGGCTGGTCTCAAACTCCTGACCTCAGGTGATCTGCCCGCCTTGGCCTCCCAACATGTTGGAGCTATCCTCTTTTTAAACGTAAGTGCACGAGATCTTGAGAAGCTCCCAGCAAAACCCAAAGCCCCGGAGGGAAAGTCAGAAAGAACAGCCTGGTCCTCATCATCTTATTCATGAGAAAGAAAGTCACCCCGGGTTCCCTTAGGGTCTGTCATCTCCCTTTGGAAGGTCTTTCCAGCCTGTCTGCCTCCCTCTGTCCCTGCTGCCACCCATAGTTCCGGCGCCCTAGTGTCTCTCCTGGATTAGCCACCAGCTTCTCTCCCACTGCTGGTGGCCCAGACCCTCTCCTCACCTTTCTAGATTACACATGGGGTCGTGTCACTCCCTGCAGCTGCCCCGCTAAGAAGGGCCCTCTGAGTGTGGCGGTTATCACGTCACCTCCCTTCTCTGCCGTGCTCACTGCATTCCATGCTCTAGGTGTGTGGAACTGGAGTCCACTAGCCTGACTCTGACCTCTGGCATTTTGCATATGCTGTTCCTCTGCCTGGAACTCTCCTCCTCCTCCTCAGCTCCTGGGCTTCCCTCTCCCTGTCCTTGGCTGGCTGCCCATTGCCTTCTGGGCTCTTTATCATCTCCTCGACTAGAAGCCGCGTTTCCAAAGGGCAGGGACTGCCTGTGCTCAGCACATTCCTCAGGATTGACCCGTACAGGTGGCTGTGAGTAAATACTGTTTCTTTGGCTAAATCTTAGTGAGCAAAATGACACATATATGTATTTTTATAAGTCCCCTGATAGCCTCTGTGCCTCCCGTCTTTTGTTTCAGTAATCCCTTGAGTAGAGCTGCATGTAAGTTTTCAGGAACATGCCTTTCCTTGTTGGGGAGGGAATCCTGTATTCAACAATATTCCAGAGTATTAACTAAGTGGATCACATTCATGAAGTGGTTCTACCTTCGTTTGCTCCTTCTGTGTTATTTTATCCTCAGCACATCTCCTCTAGGCTCAAAGGGGTTAAAGTTGTGCCCAGGACACCCCCCTCCACCACACCCACACATACAGTGATGCTGGTCCCACCTGAAAACCCTCTCTGGGTTCCGTTCCGACCTTCACCCCACTCTGTCCCTAGCCAATTGGCTAATTTTGAGCCAATCGGATTTGTCCTTGGGGAAACTGGGATTGGGGCAGAGACTCATTCCTGCTGTAATTATGAAGAGCCCTCTGCTCCTAGGGAGGCAGAAGCTGGAGAAGGACATGCCAGAAAAAAATAAAGTGAGAAGGTGATATAGAACTGGAGAGAATAAGATAGATCACGCTCACACATGCACACACACACACAGGCATGCACACAGGCATCCACACACACATGCAAATGAAGAGAGAGGCCCCAAAGGCCCTCTGGCTTCTGAGAGGTCACACACCCTGCACTAGGTTTTTGTGAGATTCTGCCTCTGGGACTGAGCCCATCTGAGTGGATTTGTGTTCCTCAACAATAAGCGGTTCCTGAGTAAACAGGGACAACACCAGGACTTGACCTAGACCTTTTTTCTCCAAGCTTTGCCTTTTAAAAAATGTTCTATTGCCCCTCAAGAAAAAAAAAAAAGATGCACGCACACACACTATAAAGTACTCAAAAGATGGGAGTAGCCACTGTGACCGTGATCTTTGATAGCAGAATGCACATGATCCAATGGTGGCCACCCCCATCTTTTGCACACTTGCCAAGGCCAGGCCCTCTGGGTACTCCAGGTGCATTGGCCACCAATTGATGAAGGTAAATGTCCTCAGGAAGTTGTAGGATCTGGGAGACCCCAGGGGGCTGACGATGTCACTTGTCCATCATCCGAAGGTCACATAGGAGGGGCCTCACCGGGCTCTCAGGGAAGCGAGGTCCTGGGGAGCCTCCATCAGGCAGGCAGCAGTGATCACTGAAGGCATTTGGGGCTTTTGTTTTGGACACGTCCCTGTTACCACATGACTTGGGGAGTTTCAAAAGATTTCTGTGCTCCCGTCACTTGTTCTCCCCAAGGGATGTTTTCTTCCATCTCCTTTGAGCTTTGAGAGCATCTGTGCATCTAGTGTTTGGTGACTCTTAAACTCTTCTAGACACAGGCTCTATCGATCCTGAGGAACCCAGAGGTCCCTGCACAGCGTCTTAGCTTGTACAGGGCTGGTAAGTGACATGTTCTGACTCCACGCAGAGGACTGGGGTTTGTCAGGGCAGAAGTATGTGACTGATGCTACAAATCTCGGTCTTCCAACTTAAAAGCGACAGCTAACAGTGACATTTCAAAAAAGGTCAGGCCAATCAAGACATCTCAGGGAGGGAAAGGAAGGTGGAAGAGTCAGTACCAAGGAGAAATGAAGGTTACTTGGAACTGGAAACCCAGTGCTGGCTGAATCACCTTGAGGACTTACAGTGGGTACCAGTGTGCGTTACCCTTCATTGGAGGTGTTTTCCTGCTCACAGTCTCTGGCTGTTCTTTAGGGAGGGCTGTTGGGAACCCTGAGGGTGCACATGGGCTGGAGTCCGGGAGGCGAGGAGGCCTGAACCCACCCGGCCTGCACCAGCTCTCTATGAACCTGTTCGTTAGTGGAGAACTGTTTCAGCTCTGGCTTTTGGTTGCTAACATGATCTTCAGAGACCAAAATGATTGTCAACAAGATAGAGAAATAAATAGCAAAGACAAACACACAAACACATGGTCTTGCTTCTTTTGCCTGTTGCCTTATTTTAGTTTTACTTTTTTATATAATTCTCTCTTTTTTATTTTTTTAAGACAGAGTTTCACTCTGTCACCCAGGCTGGAGTACAGTGGGGTGATCTCGGCTCACTGCAACCTCCACCTCCTGGGTTCAAGTGATTCTCCTGCCTCAGCCTCCCCAGTAGCTGGGACTACAGGCACGTGCCACCATGCCTGGCTAATTTTTATATTTTTAGTAGAGATGGGTTTTCACCATGTTGGCCAGGCTGGTCTCAAACTCCTGACCTCAGGTGAACTGCCTGCCTAGGCCTCCCAAAGTGCTGGGATTACAGGCGTGAGCCACCGCGCCTGGCCTCGCCTGTTGCTTTAAAGGTATCTGAAAACTCTCGCATTGGTTTTAGTGCTATGATTCTTCTTCATGGGTTTTTCCTTTTTCTGAACATTTTGAGAATAAGCTCCACAGAGCTGGCATTTAAGGAATGGTGTTTACTTGAGAAAGAGAAATCTCAGTCAGCTGAGACATTAATGTGGCCAAATTGATTTCAATCCGTGTGAGACCTCAGCCGCAGGCCTCCAGGAATGGTGCTCACTTCAGCCGGTGCAGCAGGGACAGGTAGGGGAAAGAGATGGTCCTTGGCGGGTGTGAACCCAAGGCTGTTCATGATGGGCACGTCCAAATCCCTGCTTAACCTGGAATGGTTCACCTTTGCGGGGGCGGTGTAAGAGGCCCGCTCACATGACGAGGAACTCAGGGCAAAGAGTCGCTATGCTTTTCAGAACATGGAGTTTTAAAACATTCCCAAGTTGCTGTCTCTTGGAGTAGGCCTTTCAGATCTTGGAAAGTGTCTAGTTAGGACAGAGTCTGTTTTTTTCATGTCTTCATTCAAGGCAGCTGTCCCACTCGGGGCCCGGCACATGGTAGATGTGTTTGCTGATTAAATAAATAAATAACAGGTTAGCATCCCAGTTTCAGAAAAGACCTCATGTCCAGGCCAGAATAGACTCGGTTGTGGTTTTAGGTTTTAGGCTGTTGGAAAGTTCAGCATGACCCAGGGGGAGTGACCTCCTGAGATGGATTCCAGGTGGTTCAGAGGTGTCCTTGAACCCGTCTGCTTGGCTGTCACTCTCCCTTTCACTCCTGGCTAACCACGTAATAGGGGCTAATTACAAACTGAGGACTCGGTTCTTCAATCTGCAAAA
Organism: Homo sapiens; assembly: GCF_000001405.40. Lineage (NCBI taxonomy): Eukaryota > Metazoa > Chordata > Mammalia > Primates > Hominidae > Homo > Homo sapiens. The sequence continues at coordinate 70,935,383 of NC_000011.10, read as the reverse complement.
TGAGACTGTAGCAGACCCCTCTTACCTGTGTGGGCTGTGTTTCAGGACCTGGGTGGATGCCAGAAATGGAGGCTAGTACAGACCCCTACATGTATGGGCTGTGTTTTTCATCTGAGAACTGAGAGAGCTCCTGAGTGACAAATGGGTGGGTGGCCTAGACAGCACGGACACGCTGGACAAAGGGATGATTCACATCCTGGGCAGGACGGAGCAACAGGAGGCAAGATTTCATCACATTGCCCAGAATGGCACACAATTGAAAACAGGTGAATTGTTTATTTCTGGAATTTTTTTTTGTTTCATATTTTCGGATTGCATTGGACTGCAGGTAACTGAAACCGCAGGTAAGGAGGGCTCCTGTCATAGGCACGGCCGTTTACCCGTGGAGAGAGGAAGCAGGGCGGCTAGCTCCAGACCTGCCCCGTCCCTTCTCTCCGTGAATGCTTCCACACGGCTGCTGCGTCGCTTTGGTTTGCATCGCGGTCCCCGGCAAAATGCAGGCAGTTCAACTCCCATTTATTGAAAACCTGGGGACAGGACATTCCCCAGCAAGGAGGTCCTCCTCTTTGAACGGCCACACTGGTCTCTGGGAGGAAAATCACGCCACTCGTGATTTACCCACACGTGGCATGTCAGCCTAAGGGGTTCCCATTCGCCTCTTCTATATCATAATCAATAGTATTTGAAATATTCAGCAGCAGCATTTTCTCTTATCATTGGGACATAAAATAAGGAGCCTCCTTAATTGATGGTGGCTTTGATTTGATGGAATTTGGTCTGACAATTGCAAAGAATGCCAGGAGAGGCTATCTGGGGGTGACTTAGTCTGAGACCCAGTGGCCTTCCTGGGGAGCATCATCTCATCTGGCCTCGGAAAGCCAAGGAGCTTACCCTGTAGCAGGGTGGGGACAGCCAAGGACTGCTTCCCAGGCAGAGCCCCTGTGTTTGAGGCTGCACCCTGGGCGGGGCTGGGCTGTTTAGGAAGCAGAGGCGGCCTGAGAAGCAGGAGGGAGGCCGGCCGGCTGCACGGGCCTCCATTACCTGGGGTGAGGAACCTGAGTGTGCGGCAGGAAGTGACTACCTGGTTTTAATGTGCAGTGGGCACTGTTGTTGCTGCTGTTTTTTTTTTTTTTTTTTGGTGGTGTTGTTGTTGAGACACAGTCCCGCTCTGTTGCCCAGGCTGGAGTGCAGTGGTACACTCATGGTTCACTGCACCCTCCAACTCCCAGGCTTAAGTGATCCTCCCGCCTCTGCCTATGGAGTGGCTGGGACTACAGGCATGTGCCACCACACACCACTAATTCTTTTGATATTTTGTAGACATGAGTTTTGCCATGTTGCCCAGGCTGGTCTCAAACTCCCGGGGCCAAGTTATGCTCCCACTTTGACCTCCCAAAGCACTGGGATAATAGGCATGAGCCACTGCGCCCAGCTGTTGTTGTTTTGTTTGTTTGTTTGTTTGTTTTTTGTTTTTTTTTTTTTTTGAGACACAGTCTTGCTCTCTCACCTAGGCTGGAGGGCAGTGGTGCAATCTCAGCTCACTGCAACCAATTCTCCTGCCTCAGCCTCCCGAGTAGCTGGGATTATAGGTGTGCGCCACCATGCCCAGCTAACTTTTGTATTTTTAGTAGAGACAGGATTTCGCCATGTTGGCCAGGCTGGTCTTGAACTCCTGACCTCATGTGATCCATCCGCCTCGGCCTCCCAAAGTGCTGGGATTACAGGCATGAGCCACCACACCCAGCCTGTTGTTGCTTTTTTAAAAAATTACAATAAATACATATATACCCATTGTTGTCAGATCTTCCTGGTTTTCAAGAGAATTTAGAAATTCATATTTTTCTCAACTGTAGTCAAATACACATAACCTAAAATTTATCAATTTTGATCATTTCTCAGCATGCCCTTCAGTGGCATTAAGTGCATTCATGGGGTGGTGTAGCCATGACTACCAGAATTTTGTCATTTTCCCAAACTGAAACTCTGTCCCCATTAAACACCAACTCTTTGTTCCCTCCTCCCCCAGCCTCTGGTAACTATCATTCTACTTTCCATCTCTATGAATCTCAGAACTTTAGGGAGCTCATTTAAGTTTAATCCTACAGTATTCATCTTTTTGTGACTGGTTTATTTCACTCAGTACAGTGTCCTCAAGGTTCCTCCATGTTGTAGCCTGTGTCAGAATCTCGTTGCTTTTTCATGGCCGAATAATATTCCACCTGCATGGATGCACCACACTTTGTTCATCCATTTATCTGCCGGTGGACACTGAGCTGCTCCCGCCTTCTGGCTAGTGTGAATCATGCTGCTGTGGACATGAGTGTGCAAATACCTGTTGGAGTCTCTGGGTTGAATTCTTTTGGGTATAGACCCAGAAGTGAAATTACTGGGTCATATAGGAATTCTATTTCTGATTTTTCCAGGAACGGCTGTACTGTTTTCCATAGGAGCTGCATCATTTTACATTCCCAGCCACAGTGTGCAAGAGTTCCAGTCTCTCCACATTCTCACCAGCACTTGTAATTTTCTTTTTCCTTTTTTTTTCTATGTAGTAGCCATGCTAATTCACGTGAAGTGGTATGCTGTGCTTTTCAATAGTTTCTGTTTTCTGTGGCAACCACCAGGACAATATTGTATGGAAGGCATGAGCCTAGGCAGGGGGTGTAGTTAGGAGAGCCCCTGCCCCGCCAGGTGGTCCCCACATGGGGTCTCTGAGGCCTGGCCACTTCTAAGGTACCCTGGCATTTGCTTTGGTCAGTGTGTGCAGAAGATTGAATGCTTGAGGGTGGATCTCTACTCACACAATGGGAAGGTGTGGCCCAGATGCCTGACTTGGAAATTGGCTTTAATCTTTGTAAACAGAGGTAGTTTCCTGGGAATTGGTCTGAAGTCTTAGGGGCATGGATCTGCCTCTGGTCTGGACAGTTTCCATGCATCTGCTTCCCTTAGCGGGGCCGCACGTGCGCGGACCCAGCAGAGTCCTGCTGCTTCTGCTGCGGAGGGGGTCTGAAGACCCCTTATTCCTTCTAGCTCCCGGAGTGTCTAAGATGAGGGCTTGCTTTATATAGGACAAGATTTTAAGATAAAAATGAGTGCATCTGGAAATTAATATTTCCCGTGGCTGTTATCAGAGACACTGCCTTTGTTTCCTCCACGGAACTTTGTTTCGGCTGTTCAGATTTCCCCAAGGGGTGGATTTCCATGGCTAAGGCAGAAGCAACACTTTTGTCCAGAACCAGATGTCTACAAAATGTTTTCTTTTCTTCCCAGAACATCACAGTTTCAGCTTGAAAAAGACATTTCCACTCATTTCCGATGGAAGATACCGTATCATAGAGATTATGGTAATTCTAAGAAGTTTAGAGTGGGCTTATGGAAATTGGTAATAAATACTGCACGTAGAGGCTCTTTCAGTGTTTCTTAAAAAAATATTTGTTATGCTAATTTCGAATTGCTAGGATTTCTACAGGCTTGAAGATGGATGATGTTTTTCTTTCTTTATAAAAAACATTAGTATGATTTTCACTTTGGAAAAATAATAAGCGTCGTTGAGAGGGTATCTGCTCAGAAGAGATTGGCCCTTCAGCAGCAGGCAGTGGCTTTCTAGATGTGAGACCTCATTGCTGTGATAGACGCTTGGCGCCAGCACCTTGCTGTTGCCCTGTGTGCCACTAAGTGGTCTCTAATTATAGCTGTGTCCTTGGCATCCAGACACCTTCTCTTGCCCCTTTCAGAGGGGCGGGTGAGGGCTTAGAGATGACCTACGAAGGGCTGGCCCTGGTGACCGGTGGACAGTGCCGCCACCAGGAAGGAGAACACAAGGACGGGTGATTCTATAGCCTCTTCGGTTTCCCTTTCCTGACTTGCCGTGGCCACGCCAGCAGCTCTGACTTGTGGTCAAGGGTGTCCCAGCGCTGCCACCTTCTGAGGGCTGTTCGGAGGGGTAGACAGACATCTCTGGTGCTGGTTTCCCAGTGCTTTGTGCTATTCTTTTAAAAGACTGCTTTATTGAGATGTAATTCACAGATCATACAATTTACCCGTCTAACGTGTATAGTCCAGGGGTTTCTGGTATATTCACAGTTGTGCAACTATCACCATAGTCAATTTTAGAACATTTTCATCACCTCAAAAAGAAACCCTATCACTAGCCTCCCCTTAACCTCCCTCCCTGCAGCCCCTGGCACCACGAGTCTACTTTCTGTCACTATGGATTTGCCTATTCTGGACATGTCATGTGAATGGAATCATGTAACATGTGGCTGTGTGTGTCTGGCTGCTTTCACTGAGCATGGTGTGGTCAAGTCTCATCCATGTGTTAGCGTGTGTTGGGGCTTCATTCCCTTTCATGGCTGAATTTTGTGCATCCATTTATCCATTGATGGCTTCTGTAGCCGTACCCAGAAAATGCATTTGTGGGTGGGCATGGTAACTCATGCCTGTAGTCCCAGCACTTTTGGAGGCTGAGGCAGGAGGATTGCATGAGCCTAGGAGCCCCAGACTACCCCAGGCAAAATAGTGAGACCCCATCTCTAAAAAAAAAAAAACCGCTGGGTGTGGTGGGGCATGTCTGTAGTCTCAGCTGCATGGGAGGGTGAGGCAGGAGGATTGCTTGAGCCTGGGAGATTGAGGCAGCAGTGAGCCATGATTGTGCCACTACACTCCAGCCTCCAGCCTGGGAAACTGAGTGAGACATTGTCTCAAAAAAAAAAAGAAAAAAAAAAGACAAAGAAATAAAAACAAGAGAAAAGGCATTTATGTTTGCAAGATCAACCTCTGAGACCAATGACCTCTACCCAGATGTGGCAGTGACTTGAGAGTGGCTTAGGTTCAGCAGCTCACATTGGCCAGGTGAGATAACAGAGAAGGTGCTGGAATAGCATTAAAACAATAAATACAATATTAATAACTAACACTTTGTATTTGCATCAGTCAGCTTGGACCCAGTTATGCCTCATAACAAACATCCCCACATTCCCAGTGGCTTCAAGCCATCTGGTAACTGCGTCTAAAGGTTGACTATCAATTTGCCCCAGTTTCTTCTGTGTCCCAGGATCCAGACAAAAGGAGACATTGTGGTTCTCTGGGCAGAGGGAGCAGAGCACCGGCAGAGCATGACGTCTGTGGTGTGGGAAGGACATGCTTCCTTCCACAGGGAAGCAGAAGGCAGGACTTTCTGATCCTCATCCAGGGAGAGATTGAATGATTGGAACCAAGAAAATATTCTGCATTGAGGTTTACACAGTAGGTCCTGCACTTGGCCCGTAGCCTTATCTTTGTAAATAAAAATTTTCTGGAGCATAGTCATGTCTGTTCATTGAAATGTTACCTGTGTTTGCTGCTGTGCTAGGAGGGCAGAGTTGAGGAGCTGTGACAGAGACCGTGTGGTCCTCAAAGCTGAAGGTGTTTACTCTCTGGCTTTCTGCAGGGCTTGCTCACACCAGATGTGTATCCTCATCAGCATCCTACTCACCACTGTCATTTCAGTGACGGTCTGTGGCACTTAAAGCTCACGTTTCTGTAGTCACCCAGGATCTGACAGCTTTCAATATTGCAGTTGCTAAAAGAATGTCCCCCCAAACATGTCTGCATCCTAATCCCCCAAACCTGTGCACATGTTACTTTACATGGCAAAAGGGACTTTGCAGATGTGATGAAGTTTGAGATCTTGAGTTGGGGAGATAGTTTTGGACTATCTGAGTCAGGCCCATGTTATCACAAGGGTCCTTATAAGAGGAAGGCAGAGGGTCAGAGTCAGCAGTCATGTGACAACAGGCACGGAGGTCGGAGAGAGATTTGAAGATGCTGCCATGCTGGTCTTGAAGATGGAGGAGGAGCCATGAGCCCAAAAATGCAGATGGCCTCTAGAACCTGGCAGAGGGGAGGAAATGGATTCTTCCTTACTGCCTCCAGGAGGAATGCTGCCCTGCTGACAGCACACCTTTATTTCAGGATTCTGACCTCCAGAACAGTAAGAGCATACATTCACATTGCATCATTTGTTACAGCAGCAACAGGGAACTGACACTCACGTGCAAGTCACTGAATCTTCCCAGCAGCTCTTTGAGGCACGTCCCATTTTACAGATGAGGAAATTGCCCAGACCGAGGTTGAGTAGTAAGTGCCTCGGGGCAGAGCCACATTTAAACCTCGGCATCCTGTCTCTCCATTCTACCCCTCAGATATTTCTGCAAAAGCAGAGGCTTCCTTATGATACACACACCACTAACAGATGGCAACCTCAGGTACAAGTTCTGGAAGTCACACTAGAGAGTAAGGAAGTGACGAGCCCTTGGGCGCATTGTTCTCCCTGTCCTGTGGGTGGTGTTGCTTCTTTTGCTGAAAAAGTAGTGCCCTCCCAGCTTCTCTCTCCACAAGACACGTGTGCACCTCCACAGGTCTGCACTCCCCCAGGGTCTGCATTACCATTTGTCTGCTTCCTGACTCTGCCAGCCCCACCCTCCCAGGAGAGATGGGGAGTCACTTTCAGGTCACCCCCTACCGTTCTTCAGTGTGTGCATCTTCCTGCCTCTCTCCTCTGGTGTAGGCTTTTGGTGTGGGGGTTTGAAGGCAGCTCTACCACCTGTCCGGGTTCACGGTCGTAGGTGGGCTCCTAACTTCCAGCCCTAGGCACCTTTATCAGTGCTCATATCTTGGCCGGCTTGCAAGTTTTTCTCCCTTGGTCCTAATTCTGCCCCATGGATCCCATTGGAGGGGCTGGTTCTTCCTCCAGGGGACCACCTCCTATGCCCCCACCCAGTCTTCCTCTTCCCCCCCAGGGATCTGCTTTGAAACAAATGCCTTTTTCTGTTACCACAGGCTTTTCCTCCATTCTGAGGCCCTGTGATCCCATCTCGTGTTCCACATAAAAGCAAGCAGTAAACCCTTTGCTGCATCTTCTGGGGGTGAGGTTGTTCTGGCAACCATGCTCTGTTTCTCATGTCAAAAAATGCATCTTAGGACTGTCCTGGGCAGCCCTTGATCCATGCCAGGTGCGCCACAAGAGCCTGTTCTGCCCTGAATAAGGCTTTGTAGCAAGTTGACCAGCTGTCTCAGATCTCTGCCTTCCAGTTTTCCCCCTTCAAGCATACAAGCCTTTCTTTCCCTTCTAGACACCTTTGGAATGCATGGTGGAGGGGGCAGCTCCATGGCTGGGGTCTCCATCGACGGGAACAGGTATCGGCGACAATGCCCTTTTCCCTCTGGGTTTCAGGGCATGCAGTTTGTGGTGTCGACAGGCCTTGTATTAGCCAGGGTTCTCTAGAAAAATGGAACCAATAAGATACATGTATATATGTGTACATATATAAATATATACATATATATAGAAAGAGAATGAGGAGAGATTTATTATAAGGAATTGGCGCATGTGATTACGGAGGCTGAGAAGTCCCACAATCTGCCATCTGCAAACCAAAGACCTGGGAAAGCTGGTGGTGTAAATGCCAGGACAAGGGCAGAAAACGATTTGTGTTCAGCTCCAGCAGTCAGCTGGGGAGAGCTAATGCCCCCTTCCTCTTCCCTTTGTTCTATTCAGACCCTCAACGGATTGGATGGGGCCCACCCACTTTGGGGAGGGCATCTGCTTTTCTGGGTTTACCGATTCAAATGCTGATCCAGGAACATTCTCCCAGATATATCCAGGAACAGCCTCCCAAATAGACCCAGAAATAACAGTTTACTCTGAGGACCCTGGAACTCAGTCAAGGTGATGCATAAAATGAACTGTCACTGGCCTTGAAGGTCACCAGGACCCTGCCTGTGTCTTAATGGGAATTTCCATCTCCTTAAGATCTTGCCTGCCTTTGCTTGAACCCCTGCAGAGATGGGGAACTCACTGCTTGTGGAGATGGCTGCTCTCTGGGGTTCTTTTCCTTGTGTTGACTCGCCTGCCCTCTCCCCATGTCGGGCCCCATCAGTCCCAACCTGGCCTAGATTCGCTGGTCACATAGAACAAGCTGAGTCTCCTGTGCTTCCAACGGCTCTCAAGTCCGTCACACCAGGCAGTGAAATGACCCTGGGAGCATAGCAAGAGAGATGGGATAAACGGAATATTTTATTGTGAAATCTTTTCTGGAGATCGAGTTCAGAATCTTCATGAATATTTAAATGGAATTCAGAGTCAGCGTTCAGGGACTCTTATTTATTTTAACACTATGGGAAGTATTATTGTTTATAAAATAGCTACAAAGAATCTTTTGTCTCCGTGTGTTGCATTGGAGTCTACTTCTTATTACTCTAGGCCCTTATTTTTTTAAAACAAAGAAATTAACATATTGAGATGCCTTGGCAAGCACATGATGTGTGCCTGCCTGGTATTCTTTTTTTCCCTGCCACGTCGTGCGGCAGAGATTCTGATCACCGGCTTTTGCCTGTTTTAAGCAGGTGGAAAGGGACCCAGCAGGAGGCAGAAGAGAGACAAGTGGTTATTGGTAAGTAAGGATCAGATGCCTCCTCCAGCTCGAGTGGGTCAGACCATGGACGCCTCACACTTCTGCACAGTTCGTCCTCCTTATCCACAGATTCCATATTTGTGATTTTGCCTACTCACTAAAATTTATTTGTAACACTGAAATATAAAAGCTCATGCGCCTTCAGAGTTATTCACAGCCACACAGAGCAGTGGAGAGTCTGAGTCATCCAGCCCGCAGGTGCCCAGCTGAGGCTGAATGGGGCCACGCTCTGCCTTCTGGTCTCAGCTCTTGTACCCTAAACAAGTGTCCTTTTTGCCATCTCTTTAGTGCTATGGTTTTTGAAATTGTGTGCCGTTTGTTGGTGGTTTTGCTGTATGGAATGGCCCCTATCGTAGTGCTGCAGTGCTGTCTGGGGTTCCCAAGTGCGAGAAGGCTGTGGTGTGCTCATGAAGAAAACACACTTTAGAGAAACTTCATTCATGTCTGAGTCATAGTGCCATTGGCCGTGAATGCACCATTTTTGTTTTGGTTGTTTTGTTTTGGAAACAGGGTCTTGCTCTGTCACCCAGGCCAGAGTGCGGTGGCGCCATCTTGGCTTACTGAGCCAAGCATGTCCTTTCCACCCCTGCCTCCTGAGCTCAAGTGATCCTCCCGCCTCAGCCTCCCAAATAGCTGGGACTACAGGCACGTATCACCATGTTCAGCTAATTTTTGTTTGGTATTTTGTAGAGATGGAGTCTCACTCTGTTGCCCAGGCTGGTCTCGAACTCCTGAGCTCAAGGGATCTGCCAGCCTTGGCCTCCCAAAGTGCTGTTACTACAGACACATACCACCACACCCAGCTAATTTTTGTGCTTTTGGTAGAGAGGGGGCTTCACCATGTTGCCCAGGCTGGTCTCAAACTCCTGGGTTCAAGCAATCCACCTGCCTCAACCTTTCAAATTGGTGGATTACAGATGGGAGCCACCACACCCAGCCGATACAATGTTAATGAGTCAACAATATGTATAAATAAGGTGTCCTTAATCAAGAGTACACATAAAACTAGGTTATGTATTGATGGGTTGATGAAGGTGTGACCAGAGGCTCTCAGGAACCTAACACTGTGTTTCTCCTAGGAGCAACAGCTCAGTATTGCTAATTTTGTATTTGTGGCAGGTTTATAGGATGTTAGCACCGCAGACCATGAGAATAATCTCTTTACACATCCTGGACAATAAGAAGTTAGTGCTGTCTGCACACGGCAAGGCAAGCAGGGGAGGTCAAGCACCTCTCAAGTTCATGTTCATGTAACATCCAGTAGGCACGCTGTGCAAATCCGGCTTTTCTTCCCACTAGGGTGCTCCTACCAGTCATTTGTAGTGGATTTGCTTTTATATTTTAACCTAACACAAGCATGAAGCTCTACCATAGGAATGATTTGATTCATATGTTTTTTCTACCAGTTTTTAAGTATCTGACTTTTGCACAGGTGCATGTCTGCTTGGTGTTGATTATGGACACATGGGGTGGGGCACCAGGCACTGGAAGAGACATGTTCTGTGAACATGCTGTTTCCTTATTACACAGCTTGGTTTCCAGGTGATACCTACTCCTATTGGGCACCTAATCTGCAAGAATTAACAGGGCTTTCTTCACTTTGGCGGGTCATCTTTAATAAAAATGCTTGTTTTTTTCTTAGCACAGAGTCAACATAGCAGGGTATCGTTGAAATATTTATTCCATAACGTTGCTGATGAAATAGGGCATATATTTAACCATTGCTTTCTTAAACATACAGGAACTGCTTAAGCTTTCAGAAACAGCTTAAGGCTGCTGATTCATGCAGATATAAATAGTGGCCCACTGTGAAACCCCCACACATACTCCCCTCTGCAGTGTCGACCGCCATGGAGAGTTGTATCTGGCTTTGTCTATTTCCTGACCGCTTGGTGGAGGGAAGCTTAGAGTGCGCATCTCTGCTGGGCAAGTGGGTGCTCAATCTGCCCCCCTGTGAGCCCGGATGGTGATGGGAAGGGAGGGTCCTGGTGAACGCTTCCAATACAAAGTTAGCAGCTCCAGCCTTGCCTTGTTCCGGGAGTGGCAGACCCTGTGCTGTCTGCGTAGCTTTTCCTTTATCTGTTCTCTGAAATAAGCCCCATTTCTCTTATAAGGTTTTGTGGTGCCTAATGAGATAATAAAAGTGTAAAACCCTTATCAAGTATCAGGCAAGGGGCTGGGTACGGTGGCTCAAGCCTGTAATCCCTGCACTTTGGGGGGTCAAGGCGGGCAGATCACTTGAGGTCAGGAGTTTGAGACCAGCCTGGCCAACATGGCGAAACGCTGTCTCTACTAAAAATACAAAAATTAGCCGGGCATGGTCACGGGTGCCTGTAATCCCAGCTACTCGGGAGGCTGAGGCAGGAGAACCACTTGAACCCAGGAGGCAGAGGTTGTGGTGAGCCAGGATCGTGCCACTGCACTCCAACCAGGGTGACAGAGCAAGACTTTGTCTTAAAAATAAAAATTTTTAAAAAAGTATCAGGCAAGGGCATGGCTTTCCTTCAGCCCCACCATTTCGCTGGCTGTTGGACAGAGCCCCTGGTGTTTGACTCTCACACCTGAGCCCGGCCCCGAGATCCTAGGAGCAGCGTGTCCCAGGTGAGACTGGGATGCAGCATCTTACCCAGGAGGCACGGACTGAGCTCCTGTCCATGGAGAGACCTGCTCTGGGGCATGTCCTCAATATGGCAGGTCAGGCCGGTCAGTATCTGTACCGTCAGGAGGGACTCCTGGGGACTCTGGTAACGGTGCAGGGTGGTGGGGAGTGTGGCAGGAGGGATGCTGAGTCTTGTGCATTTGAAAGCAAAGGTTTTATGATGGCACCTAGGGCCCGGCAAGGCTTTCCCTGTGATGGTATTGGTTTCTGTGTAGTTGGCCAGCCTCCTGCCCCTGTCTGCTCCCTCGTGCCTCCCCCTGAGCAGACACGGGGCTCACTGCAGTGTCTCACAAGGGCACTGGGGGAGCCATCACTGGGCAGTGGTTCACCGGTCTGCATTCTTATAGGCTGGATGTCACTGGCTGGAAGAGAAGAGGAGCTGCCCAATTAGGCTAATCAGGGTTAAGACATTGATGCTTGGCCAGGTGTGGCGGCTCATGCCTGTCATCCCAGCGCCTTGGGAGGCCAAGGCGGGATCATCACTTGAGCCCAGGAGTTCAAGAGCAGCCAGGGCAACATAGTGAGACCTTGACTCTACAAAAAAAGTATATAAAAACAAACTGGGCATGGTGGTGCATACTTGTAGTCCCAGCTACTTGAGAGGCTGAGATGGGAGGATTGCTTGAGCCTGGGAGGTGGAGTTATCAGTGAACTGAGGTTACGTCACGCCACTGCACTCCAGCCTGGGCGATAGAGTGGGATCCTGTCTCTCTCAAAAAATGTTGCAAGCAGCTGGGCGCAGTGGCTCATGCCTGTGATCCCAGTGCTTTGGGAGGTGGAGACGGGCGGATCACTTGAGGTCAGGAGTTTGAGACCAGCCTGGCAACATGGTGAAACTCCATCTCTACTAAAGATACAAAAATTATCTGGCCATAGTAGCTCATGCCTGTAATCCCAGCTACCTGGGAGGCTGAGGCAGGAGAATCTCTGGAACCCAGGAGGCGGAGGTTGCGGTGAGCCAAGATCACACCACTACATTCCAGCCTGGGTAACAGAGAAAGACTCCATCTCAAAAACAAAGCAAAACAAAACAAAAAGAGGAAAGCTGAGGATCAGGGCAGTCATATTGGAGGGAAACAGTGGGGACCCATCATCTATTATCACCCCCTCCTGACCATGCAACTGCAAATTTCTTTCTTCTTCCTTACAGTTGATGGGTTTTTACCATCAATGACTCCCTGTCATAAAAAGTGTCAGTTGGATTGTGCCTGTTTGGGTTTTGGGTTTGGATTTCTGTGTTGTAGATTTATAGTAATATAATAGGTACTTTAACTCATTAATCGTAAGTTACAAATGTGTGGATTTTTTTTTCAAATTTATCTCCTTTCAACTTTGCTTATGGGTTTTTTGTTTGTTTGTTTGTTTGTTTGTTTAAAGTATAGGGGATGTTGTATTTTGTTTATGTCACCAGGTCAGCTTCCTCCCCTGCATCTCCTAGCTGTGGTAACACGTTTAGAAACTCACCACTCCTACATCTTCCTGTTCTTTATTACTTGCTCACTTATTTTCCATTTGCTTTTTATTCCTTTCTGAATTTTTTTTATGGGATCATCTTTCTTTTGCTAAAAGAAGTCCTTTTTAGAATTCATGCTGGTGATAGAATGCCTGCTTTGATTTTTCCAAAAATGTCATTATTTAGCCTTATTAATAGGATATTTTTGTGAGGTACAGGTTCTAGATCAGTAGTTATTTTCTTTTTTCTTTGTCACATCCCTTATCTAGTTTCTTTTGAAAGACTGCTGTCGGTGTGATTGTAGATAATGGCCATTTGCTATGGTTGCTTTAGAAATTTTCTTTGTCCTTGGTTTTCAGTATTTGTGTGCCTAGCTATGTTTTTTTCCTGTGTTTATCTCATTTGAGATTTATAGAGCTTTTTGAGTCTGTGGTTTTACATGTTTTGTCAGTTTAGGCTTAATGTATGTAGTACTTCTGCTCTATTTTTCATCTCTCCTTCTAGGATTTGATTCACATATATGTCAGAGCCTTTCAGTGTGTCTTATATGTGTCCGTTCTGTTTTCCATTTGTCCTTCTCTCTGTGCTTCAGTTTGTGCATTTTTTATTGACCAATTTTCCAATTTCCTTATCCATCTCCTACATGTAATCCGATCTTAAGCCTACCTTTGAGGTCCTTAATTGTAGACGTTGGATTTTAAGGTCTAGAGTTTACGATTGATTCCCTTCTGCATTCAATTGTTTCTTGAAATTCTCCATCTTTTCAGCTCCTTTCTTCAGTTTTACTTTTACCTTCTTGATCATACTAATCATTTTTAAGTTCTTCGCTGCTCACTCCAATATCTGGATCATCCATGGGTCTGTTTCTATTGACTGTTTTTTCTCTTTGTTTTCCAACACATGGTACTGTCTGTGGGAATGACTAGTAATTGTTTATAGAATGTCAGGCATTGCATATATATTTAAAAATTATGGAGACTCTAGGTAATGTTATTTTCTTTCAGAGAGGATTATCATTTCTTCTGTCAGGCAGATAGAGAGAAGCCTTGTCACCTTGATGCAGTCAGAGACTGAGCTGAGTCAAGGCTGGGTTGTAGTTTTGAGAGGATTCATTCTAACTCCAGTTCTCCTTTCCTTCTAGATTGTAGCCCTCAGCACTTTCAAGTGAGAGCCTCGTGTGCTTACCAGCATTTCTCTCCTGGGTGGGCCCTGCCCTCCATTTCTTATGCTTCGCTTTTTCACCTTCTGCTCCTCCCAATTTCAGAATTCGGCAAATATTGAAAGGAAAAGCAGCCGAATGCCTCATTCATTTTTCTACTCCTTCCTCTAGCCCAGACAACTCCCCTTCGGGTCTGCAGTTTTTGCCTTAGGAGCCCTACTTCACTGCTAAAAACTCCAGGGATTTCTCTACAGCTAGCAGGAATCGGCTCTTGGCCCAAGGACCAATTCTCAGTCCTTTTCCTGAGTCTGGGATGTACAAATGATCCTAGGGGAGAAGCAGCTTTAGCACATCTGCTCACCTCTCAACAGCTGTCCTCTTTCCAAACCTTGGCACCTGTGGTCTTTGTAGCTTCAGTAGATCCCTGATGCTTTGAAAGATATGTTTACTGTTGTCTTTTGTTGTTTATTCTCTTTTTGGTGGGAGCATTCATCTGCCTCTAGCTACTTCATCATATCTGTCTGTGCCCAGTGGAGGCTGATTCCGACCATTTCCTGAGTCTTTTGGACATGACCTCATAGTCATTGATAGCTTCCTGATTTTCTGGTATGGCGAGACATTTCAGATTTCTTGTCTCAGACATGGAATCAGCCATTTTTCAGGGAAGCTTGTTTCTTTTAGTCGAAACTGGTGTTTAAGGGCCACGTCTAAGTTTAAGGGGGCTTACTTTTTAGGTAATATGCATCATGAGTTATATTGATATTGCCTGTTGTGATTCAGGACAAGGTTTTGACTTAACCTCCTTGATCTTAACATCTGTATCGCCTTCAGCTATGCTAAAAACTTTAACTTTTAATGAGCAACATCACTCTTCTTTTGGTTTATTCTACCATGCACAAAAAATTCTTCACATAATGCTGCCAGCACTTACCAGCAATACTCTGCTGTAGTGGTTTCAGATTCTCCCCTGCAGTGGCGTGCTGTCACTGGAGTAGACCCCGTTAGGGACATGCAATTAAACTATTGTGCTTGAGAGACATTTGGAATAATTTCTCTCTATTTGTTTTTGCCAGCAGCTATGTTTAATTTTATTTTTGATTTTTAATGACTTGCTTTTTAAATTTTAATTTTGGTTTGTAATTCTATAGAATATTTGCATTTTAAAGTCAAATCTATAAACCAAGTTATACACAAAGAAGTTCCACCCTCCGCCTCTCCTTTCCACTCTTGTCTCTTCCTTCATCATAGGTAATCATTTTTTAAAATAGACTGGGTGTGGCAGTTCACACTTGTAAACCCAGCCCTTTGGGAGGCCAAGGCGGGAGGCTGGCTTGAGCTTAGAGTTTGAGACCAGCCTGGGCAACATAGCAAGATCCCATCTCTACATACATGCATACATGCATACATACATAATATTTCTATTTATAGAGAGTGCTTTTAAAATAATTATGATTATACTAGTAGCTACTATTTATTAAGTGCTTGTGTATTGGGTAGTACTGATAATTATGCTGTATGCACTATCTCACTTTAATTGACAAAATGCCCTATGAGGTAGGGTCTGTTATTACCTCTGTTTACACATGAAAACACTGAGGCTCAGAGATGTTAAGTAACTTGGCCAGAGTGCTACAGCTGGTAAACTTGAACTTGAGACTAGAAGCCAGGTCTTATCCCAACATGGCTATGTCTCTGCAGCTTTGGAAGCTGCCAGTTACCAAGCTTGGGTTGGTTGCTCTTGATTGATTATTTAAAAGACATCCATGGAATGAGCCCGGAGGACATAATGTTAAGCACCACAAGCCAGGCACAAGCATGATGCAATCTCACTTATGTGCAGAATCTTAACAAGTTGAACTCATAGAAGCAGAGAGTAGGATAGTGGCTACCAGAAGCTGGGAGGTTGGGGAGAGGGCTGGGGTGGTGTTGGTCAAAGGATACACAATTTCGCTGAGATAGGAGAAGTAAGTTTGAGATCAGCTGGGCACTGTGGCTCATGCCTGTGATCCCAGCACCTTGGGAGGTCAAGGCGGGTGGATCACCTGAGGTCAGGAGTTCGAGACCAGCCTGGCCAACATGGTGAAACTCTGACTCTACTAAAAATACAAAATTAGCCAGGTGTAGTGGTACACGCCTTTAGTCCCAGCTATTCGGGAGGCTGAGGCAGGAGAATTGCTTAGAACCTGGGAGGCGGAGGTTGCAGTGAGCCGAGATCGTGCCACTGCATCCCAGCCTGGGCAACAGAGTGAGACTCGGTCTCAAAAAAAAAGAGTTAAAAAAAAAAAAAGAAGTAGTAAGTTCTGAGATCTGTGGTACAACATTGTGGCCACAGTTAACAATGCATTGTATACTTGAATAGCTGAGAGAGTCAAATTTGAGTGTTCTCACCACAAAAAGATGGTCAGCATGTGAGGCGGTGTGCGTGTTCATCAGCTCGATTTAGCCATTGCACATTGTATGCATGTTTCTCTTTCTGTTTGTTTTTATTTTTTTGAGACAGGGTCTTGCTCTGTTGTTGCCTGGGCTGGAGTATAGTGGGGTGATCACGGCTCACTGCAGCCTCGATCTCCTGGGATCCAGTAATCCTCTCACCTCAGCCTCCTGAGTGGCTTGGACCACAGGTGCGTACCACCACACCCGGTACATTTTTAATTTTTTTGTAGAAATGGGGTCTTATTATGCTGTCCAGCCTGGTCTCAAACTCCTGGGCTCAAGTGATCCATCCGCCTTGGCCTCTCAAAGTGCTGGGATTACAGGCTGAGCCACTGTGCCTGGCCTGTATGCGTTTTTCAAAACATGTTGTACACCATCAGTGTATACTATTTTTATTTGTCAACTTAAAAAGTCAATTAAGGCTGGGCATGGTGGGTCATGCCCTGTAATCCCAGCATTTTGGGAGGCTGAGGCAGGCAGATCACTTGAGGTCAGGAGTTCAAGACCAGTCTGGCCAACATTGTGAAATCCCATCTGTACTAAAAATATGAAAATTAGCCAGGTGTAGTTGTGGGCGCCTGTAGTCCCAGCTACTCAGGAGGCTGAGGCCGGAGAATCACTTGAACCCAGGAGGTGGAGGTTGCAGTGAGCCGAGATTGCTCCGCTGCATTCCATCAGTCTGGAAGACAGAACAACACTCTGTCTCAAAAAAATAAAAAATCAATTAAAATAAGGATATCCATGTAGACTTTGGCACATTCTTCCCCAATTCCACTTCGACTGGCAGAGCCACCTGGGCTATACCTGGCATGGATGATGAAACTACAAGTGGGTGCTGGGTGACCTTGTGATTCTAGGACATAAATTGTATCAATAAAATTGATACCAATCGGCCTCTCTCCGTGGAGAGGGTACACGTCTGACTTGACCTGACCTTGTAGCTGATGCAGGAGCCCTGTTAGGAGAGTCTAGTGACCTTTCTTCCCTAGGCCCCCGCCCCGCATGGAGCGGCTGCAAGCGTTCTGCCTTTGGGAGATGAATCTCTTGTTGAGTTGGCTCTCATGGCAGATCAGTGGGCCACCTGTTTTATAGCAATTGCTTTTCTTTCCTGGGTCAGGGTCCTCACAGTAAAATGACTTAAAATATGGGTTGCCTTGAGATGTTCATCTGTTGGCCTTATTTAAAAAAAAAAAAAAAAAAAAAAAAAAACTTTTAAGTTCAGGGGTATATGTGCAGAACGGGCAGGTTTGTTACCTAGGTAAACACATGTCTTGGGGGTTTATTGTACACATTATTTCATCAACCAGGTATTAAACCTAGTGCCCATTAGTTGTTCTTCTCGATCCTCTCCCTCCTCTCACCCTCCACCCCCCTGAAAGGCTCCTGTGTCTGTTGTTTTTCTCTATGTGTCCATGTGTTCTTAACATTTAGTTCCCACTGATAAATGAGAACATGCTGTATTTGGTTTCCTGTTTCTGCATTAGTTTGCTAAGGATAATGGCCTCGAGCTTCATCCATGCCCCTGCAAAGGACATGATCTTGTTCTTTTTTATGGCTGCGTAGTATTCCATGGTGTATATGTACCACATTTTCTTGATCCAGTCTGTCACTGATGGGCATTTAGGATGACTCCATGTCATTGCTATTGTGAATAGTACTGCAGTGAACACGTGTGCATGTATCTTTATAATAGAACGATTTATATTCCTTTGTGTATATACCCCGTAATGGGATTGCTGAGTCGAATGGCATTTCTGTCTTTAGGTCTTTGAAGAATCTCCACACTGTCTTTCACAATGGCTGAACTAATTTACACTCCCACCAACGGTGTAAAAGAGTTCCTTTTTCTCCTCACCAGCATCTGTTGTCTTTTGACTTTTTAATAATAGCCATTCTGACTGGCATGAGATGGTATCTTATTCTGGTTTTGATTTTCATTTCTCTAATGATCAGTGATGTTGAGCTTTTTTTCATATGATTATTAGCTGCATGTATGTCTTCTTTTGAAAAGTGTCTGCTGATGTCCTTTGCCCACTTTTCAAGGGAGTTGTTTGTTTTTTTCTTGCATCCTTAACTTCCTGTGATGTTTGGAGTAGGCTGGGATGTTCAGCTGACATCGGGGCCAAGACCTGACTTGCTGTCTTCCTTCGAAGCAGCTCACTGCCCTGCTGCGTAGTGGCTTCTCTTGGTCGCTTTCCCTCTCCTCATGCTGACTTTTCATTTTCTGTGTCCTAATAAAAATTAAGCAAAGCATCCAAAAGCAATGGTTTCCTAACCTCCCTCCATACCCTCCCCACATGCACCTGGTGCTTAAGGTCGCAGGTACCGTGGAGATTGAGAAATGATACATTTGCTTATCATAGGAGGACATTTGTACATTAAGACACCAGAGCCTGCTGGGGTTCAGTTTCTTCTTGGACTCCATGTGCTCCTGGCTTCCCTTTCCCCAGGCTGCTTGGATACCTGCAAGCTTTCAGGATAGAGACCCTGGAGTCACATTAGCATTTTGCAAGCCTCTCTTCAGACAGCAGGAAGATGCTGAATGCTGTGCCAGGCGAAGGGAGGGCGAGGGGGCTTCTTGCCATTTAACTGACACAGGTGGATAATTAGGTCATCATCCTCTTGCCGGTGAATCATGCTCCATTAGAATTCTGGAAATAATTCCTGAAGCTTGCTGTGCTACTGTGTGAAAGGGTGGCGGGGCAGCTGTGTGTGTGTGTACACGCACACACATACACATGAGTGACTGATGCTAGGATTTAGCTTTTCTGCTGTCTGCCAGCCTCGCATTTCAGAAGTGCCAAGAGCTTTCTGTACCTCTGTCCACTGTGTGGCCATGTGATGGCCAGCCGGGTTGGCGAGGGGTACTGTTCTATGCTGCCTCCCACTCTGCTGCAACTAGGCCATTTCCATGTCCCCCAACCTTTCCCCCAGACAGTGCCCGTGAGTATTAAACTCAGCATGAACTGTTACACGGGGCATGGGGCTCGACTTATCTGAACTCTACCCTCTCCCAAGAGGCAAGGGACGGCCAAGAATGTCCTTTATCCCTCAGGATTCACAGGTAGACACATTGCCCGGTTTAGAATGGCTTTGGGCAAACCACTGAAAGAAGGTGGTAATTGCCCTTCATTCTTCTCTAATTCTTTTCTGCAGAAAATATGTAGGCCTCCCTAGACATGTCTGGCTCCCAAAAACAAGAGCAAGGTGATGTGAATCGGGGAAGAGCACAACAAGGTGGAGGGTGTAGTGTCCAGAAACCCATGTCTGTGTCTGCTGACAGCCAGGCCTGCGCTCTGAAATAAATGGAGGTCAGGGAACACACACAGTGTTTAGAATGAGAAAAAAATGATGTTGTGCCTGAGTGTCATAAGTCAAGTCATCCAGAAGTCTTTAAAGCATGGCCTTGATTTTATGACTGAGCAACGCATCTTTCTCCTTGGCAAGCTTAAGCAAGCCTCAAGGGAGTCCCCTTTCTCATAGCCACAGCCCCTCCATCATCCCGTCCGTCCCGCGAGGCAGGCAGCCCTTTTGTGGGGTGGGCTCCTGTGAATTCTCTTATGCCTGTTGCCTTTAACTCCCTCCTGGACCTTGCAGCCATGCTCTCGGTATTCTCAGGAGTTTGAGCACAGTTGAGGGCATGATGTCACTCGGGTGGGCTCGGCGGCCAGACCTGCTGATCTGATTCACTGAGTCCCATGTTAGCCATGGGAGTGGTTAGGCACTCCTGGGATGGCACCGTCCCTTCCCATACTTGGATGCAACTGATGCTGAAACTCTGCTGAACAAATGCCTGATAGCTATTCTTGGATTATTGTCTCTCATTATCTGTCCACAGATGGCACCATGAATCATAACTGAAAGAATTAAAATGTTAGGCGCCAGCGTGTAGTTGCTAGGGGATTTTTTTGGGGGTGTGTGTACAGTCTGCTAACATGTGCTGGCGGATTTGGGAACAGCAGCCCTGCACATTTGAGATGAGATTCCCAGTGGCAGCAAAGTGTCTCCGAGGGCCCAACGTCTGTGTTTAAAGAAGGCATCCGTATTTTTGAGGGATCATATTGGGAGCTGAGGATGAACGTGTCCCGCAAGCCAGCAGTACCCAGAAATCATCTGGAAAGTCATTGCCAGCCAATAGCTGTCGGCTTCACCCACAGATCACATTACTAAGATTAGGGAAAGGAAGCTGAGATGCAGCTTGTGGAGAGGAAAGTGCATTTCCAAAGTGAATGGTGTTGTAGCCTACAAGATTCCTGCTGTTTCCAGTTAAATACTTTAACAACTGAATTTTCTTCCTTTTTTTTTTCTTTCTTTCTTTTTTTTTTTTTTAAGACAGAGTCTCGCTTTGTCAACAGACTGGAGTGCAGTGGTGCGATTATAGCTCACTGCAGCCTCAAATTCTCAAATTCCTAGGCTCAAGGGATCCTCCCTTCGCAGTCTCCTGAATAGCTGGGGTTACAGGTGTGCGCTACCACGCTGGGCTAATTTTACTTTGTTTTGTTTTGTTTTATTTTATTTTATTTTATTTTATTTTATTTTATTTTATTTTATTTTATTTATTTTTTTTGTAGAGGTAGGGTTCTTGCTTAAGACCTTGCCCAGGCCGGTCTTACACTCCTGGCTTCAAGTGATCCTCCCATCTTGGCCTCCCAAAGCACTGGGATTGCAGGTGTGAGCTACCGTGCCCAACCCTCCTCTTCATATACTCAGCCTCTTGTGTGTGTTTGCAAGGGCGTTGTGTTTTTGAAAGGCCTTTCTGTGCGAGGCTGGGTTTTTAAGCTTCTCTCTGTATTCCCGGGAAGGCCCCAGCATGGACAGGTGGGAGGTGTGGTGTGATGACCTTTTTCTAGCCCCTGGTTTGAGGGGATGCCAGAAAAGCCTGGGTATTGCTCATGCTCTCCTGGTGCCAGGTGGATTCTACCTGAGAGGAAGACCGAGAGGGTCGGGGGAGGGACTCTGTGTCTCAGCGGAACCCCATTGCACACTTGTTCCTGTGGCTCTGTATGAGCCCCAGAGCCCGATTTCCGGAAACAGGCTGTCCAATGCAGCTGAGCAGGGTGTGCCTTCTCAGGGCCCTGTAACAAGATGCTGCAGTGGCAGTGTGGCTGGGCGGGGCCCTGCACCTGCTTTGAGGGCCCGACAACTCCTTACAGAAATCCCCCACCGCCGCCCTGTTCTCTGCTTGCCGCCCCAGTGTAAATATGCTAAATCCAAAAGTGGATTAATTGAAAAGCAATAAACACTCACAGCACTGCTCTAACGAGAACACCCTGATGCCAGCTGCTTTCCCTAATGAAGTGTGGCAGCATTACCTGAACAATGAGATGATTGTGTGGTTAAACGTGAGTGTTGTTTTCCAAATGGAAATGAAAAGACCGGCTCTGATTGAACCAGAAGCACAGAGAGCCTGGCCATCCGGCAATGACACCATGTAGGGTCCTAATGCCTGCTGCTCCTCGTCTCTGGAGAGGATGCCTTTTTAGGGTATGTTTCCGCATGAAGTCTGGGGCAGGGTTTAGAGCCAACGTCTAAACTCAGAATCTTCTCTTTTAGCCCCCAGATCCCAAAGTGGGAACTCTGAGGCCTTAGCTTATATTTTTAGTGGTTTTTAAATTATTTGCAAGGATCTTAAAAACAACATTGAGGAAAACCATCCCTGGTTCTTTGCTGTTTCTTTCCCTCTTGGTCTCCCTCCCTTCTCCTTTCTCTGTTTGCTTCTTTCTCCTGAACTTTTACCTGCCAGTTACAAGGAACTTAATAATGATCTTTAGAATTTTCCTAATACAGTAAATGCCTTTTGATTTTTTTTTGTTCCCGGAGGAATTGAAATGCAATTTTATGTTATTTAATTGTGTTGAATTTAATTCTCATACCTCCCATCCATTTTAGCACATAGAGCCCCCTGGGTATTCCATATGGTCCCTGAAGGGTCCAAGTTGTCATAATAGGGTCTATCATTTAGGACAAATGAAGGAAAAGAAGGAAAACAAATCTCTTTATATAATAAGTTTCTTCTTTCTCACTGGGATTAATTATAAATTGAATGCCTTTTTTTCTAAACGACATGACCTAACCTGAATTTATTTATAAACATACCAGGAGGCTGTGAGAGGATGGGAGGGTAGGTTTTTTTTTTTTTTTTAATTTCCTTTTCTTTGCTGGAGAAGTGGAGGGGAAAGGAAATGAATGAGGAACTGGCTTAGAATCTGTAGTTCAGTTCCCTGAGACTGTAAATTGATAAGTCCAGAGAACTGAAGGAAATAAGACAGTTTTCCCGGGAGATCTTTTTGTGGTCAATTTTTGTTCCTGTCTCAGAAATTGTTCCCCGATGTGACACATGATAGTGACTTTAATGAAATTGTTAATTTGGATTTCTGTAGAAGCTGACCAAATAAAACCCCGTGTAAACACCTGTATTAGTTCATTTTCACACTGCTGATAGACATACCCAAAACTGGAAACAAAAAGAGGTTTAAGTGGTTTTGAAGGAAGTCTGGGGGTGAGTGCCGATCTTCTGAGTGTGACGTTTCTTGCAGGAGCGCCCCCTTCATTTCTGCAAATGCTGAGGTGTTTAGAGATGTATCATCGTGGTGCACGATGCATCATCATGGTTTAGCATGTGGACTTACAGTTCCACACGGCTGGGGAGGCCTCAGAATCATGGCAGGAGGCAAACGGCACTTCTTACATGGTGACAGTAAGAGAAAAAATGAGGAAGAAGCAAAAGCAGAAACCCCTGGTAAACCTATGAGATCTCCTGAGACTTATTCACTATCACAAGAATAGCATGGGAAAGACCGGCCCCCGTGATTCAATTACCTCTCCCCGGGTCCCTCCCACAACATGTAGGAATTCTGGGAGATACAATTCAAGTTGAGATTTGGATGGGAACACAGCCAAACCATATCAACACCCAACTAGTCCAATTTTAAAAAATGTAGTTGATACCCCATAAGCATGATTTTAGCTTATATAATTTGTTAAACTTCCTTCACATCATTGAATGAAGTAAAATATTTTCTGCTTGCATAAGGTCACGTGGTAAGTGTCACCACCACCACCTTCATAAGCTGACTTCTCTTCTCTTCTCTTTTCTTTCTTTCTTTCTTTCTTTTTTTTTTTTTTTTTTTTTTTTTTTTTTTTTTTTGACAGAGTCTCACTCTGTTGCCCAGGCTGGAGTGCAGTGGTCCAATCTCAGCTCTCTGCAACCTCTGCCTCCCAGGTTCAAGCAATTCTCCTGCCTCAGCCTCCCAAGTAGCTGGGATTACAGGTGCCTGCCACCATGCCCAGCTGATTTTTGTATTTTTAGTAGAGACGGGATTTTACCATGTTGGCCAGGCTGGTCTCAAACTCCTGACCTCAGGTGATCCTCCCACCTCTGCCTCCCAAAGTGCAGGGATTACAGGTGTGAGCCACCACGCCTGGCCACTGACCAGTTCTACCACCATTCTCACTCTTGTCATTTTGGGGTAGGAGATGATGTTCCTGAGCAAACAACAATAGCCATGAGTTGTACTCCCTGGCCCATAGAAGCTGCAGGTGCACTCACAGCTTCTGTGAGGCTGATGTCTCCAGTTCTTGGCCTGAGTCCTGGAATCACTGCCTTTTTCCACCCTCTGGGAAAACGGATAATTAATTTTATTCTAATGATAGCAATGGTGAGGTTGCAAAAAAGGAGAAGTTGGGGGGCAAATAAAGTTTAAAACCACCTACTTCACACACACACAAATAGCCAAAATTAAGAAGATGGACAGTGCCAAGTGTTGTCTGTGAGAATGTGGAGTAACTAGGGCATGGAATGCTAACCCCCTGCTCTGAGAAGGCAGGTTTTGTTTTTTGTTTTTTTGTTTTTTTGTTTTTTTGTTTTTTTTGAGATGGAGTCTCACTATGTTGCCCAGGCTGGAGTGCAGTGGCGTGATCTTGGCTCACTGCAACCTCCACCTTCTGGGTTCAAGCCAGGGCAACAGAGCAAGACTCCATCTCAAAAACAAAACAAAACAAAAAGAACAACAACAACAAAAAAACTCATCCAACTCTGTGCTTAAGGCCTGTGTGTTTCGTGGCATGTACTTTTAGCTGAATTAAAACAGTACAAAAAATTAGGGGAAAGAGGCATGTGGAGACCTGTGCCTGTGGAGTGATTTTGGAGGAAGTCTGGGGGTGAATGCCGATCTTCTGAGTGTGACATTACTTACAGGAGCACCCCCTTCGTTTCTGCAAATGCTGAGGTGTTTAGAGAGGGATGCATCATCATGGCTTAGCAAAAATCGAATTATGTGCACATGTGCCCCCAGCATGTGCACATGCACGCGCACACACACACACACGCACCACCAAGCAACATGTAAACAATTGTGTTATCCAGTTTGGCAGTGTATTGATTTTCATCACTCTATTCTTTCAACTTTTTTTTTTTTTTTGAGATGGAGTCTCACTCTATTGCCCAGGCTGGAGTGCAGTTGTGCGATCTCAGCTCACTGCAACCTCTGCCTCCCGGGTTCAAGTGATTTTGCTTCCTCAGCCTCCCAAGAGGCTGGGATTACAGGTGTCCACCACCATGCCCGGCTAATTTTGTATTTTTAGTAGAGATAGGATTTTGCCACTTTGGCCAGGCTGGTCTCGAACTCCTGACCTCAAGTCATCTGTCCACCTCAGCCTCTCAGTGTGCTGGGATTACAGGTGTGAGCCACCACACCCAGCCTATTCTTTCAACTTTTTCGGTGGGTGTGACACTTTTCATAACCGAATCATGGGGATGGGAGAGGCAGTGATTGCTTCTGCTCCTGTGTGTCCATCTGTGACAATCGAGTGTGCGGTAGCCTCTTCCCACCCTCTGCTCCCTGAAAACAGACCACGTGAGGGGAGAGATTCTCAAGCCTTGTGCAGGCCTCAGACACCTCTGACCTGGGTGTT
The DNA here is from genome assembly GCF_000001405.40 of Homo sapiens. Lineage (NCBI taxonomy): Eukaryota > Metazoa > Chordata > Mammalia > Primates > Hominidae > Homo > Homo sapiens. The sequence continues at coordinate 70,910,313 of NC_000011.10, read as the reverse complement.
TGCGGGGGACCCTAGGTGTCCCTGAGGAAGGCAAAGAGATTCTGCGTACTCTTGTGCTAAGCAAGTTGTTCTGGGTTGAGTGGTGTCCCCCTAAATTCCTGCATTGAAGCCCTAATCCTCAGTACCTCTGAATGTGACTGTAGTTGGAGATGGGACCTTTGAAGAGGTAATTAAGTTAAATTGAGGTCACTAGGCTGGGCCCTAATCTGATATGACCAGTGTCCCTATAGGAAGAGGAGATGAGGACACAGACACACAGAGAGGGACCACGGTGTGAGGACACAGAGAGAAGGCGGCCCAGTGCAAGCCAAGGAGACAGGCCTCAGGAGGACCTAGCCCTGCGATGCCTTGATCTCAGACTCCAGCCTCCAGGACAGTGAAATGATAAGTGTCTGTGGCTTAAGCAGCCCGGTCTGTGGTGCTTAGTGATGGCAGCCTGATCAAACTCATACGCAAGCGTACCCCGTTGTCAGCCATGATTTCTTTCTTTGGTTACTGTCCTGCAGAAAATGGTGTTCAATTCTTGCTTTGGAACCAAATCTCGTTGCTAATCTCCCTCTTGCCTTTTTTAAGCAGGGAGGCTGTGCCTGGGCTGCTGTGCAAGAGAACTTTCTGTAGTTAGAGCCACACAAAGCCATGTGTGTAATGCCTGCCTTCTCCTAGGCTTTGGAATCGAATGGACAGGGCCTTCCTTTATGCAATGAAGAAATCTCACTCATTTGAGCTCTCGAAACCTGTTGTCTGATGTGCAGAACAAGGATCACGACAGCTCTACTTCCTCAAGGCATGCCGTGAGGGTGGAATTTAGAGACTGTATTTAGATGCTGGGCTGCGTGTCGTGTTGGGTAAACATGGGTAGTTATCATTATGATCAGCTTGATCACTCTCCTCATCATTACAGCACAGGAAAGCCAGCCTAGCAACATCTGTAATCCCCAGAAATCTCCTCTTCTCACTAGACTCAGCCTCCCTCATTCTGTGCCGTGAGTCTAGGGTTCCTGGAGGCCAAGTAGAAAAGTCTAACTGCCCTGTGGGCTCACGCCTTTCTAGCCCCAGGGTCCCACCAGAGTCACTCTTGAAAATCATTCCTCTGCAAACATCAAAGAACTGTTGCTTTTCTATCAAGATTTCTGGGAGCAAATGATGTCCTTCAATGCCATTGCTATTTCAAAGGAAAAATTTACATTTTATTGGCAAATCCTTCTGGGAGAGGGAGGTTGCATTTGGTCCACATGAAAGAATTATTTCCCATTCTTTTGTGTGTTTGTTAAACTTACACGCTGATGTTTTTCGAGGTTTTTATTCCCTTGACTGCCATACGTATTTCACAGGACAGAGGATAATACTGCCCAGAAGGTCTCTTCTACCCTAAGAGGGGTAAGGGGATGTGGCCTCCTCCAAGGAGGTGGCCAGTTTTTCCCCTGGCTGACGTTTCAACATCTTGGCTGGAAACTGAACGACTAAATGGAGGTAGATCAGTTGGGTCGCGGTTTGACGTTGATGTTGATTAGGTCAGAAACTTTCAAACGCTGAAAGTGGTTTTCCTCCTCATATATGATCCCCCACCGCCAACCCCTGGTTCAGCATTTCCCTTGTAATTACAGTCACCTTGGTGCTGAACCCCAGCATCCCTGGGAGGTAACTTGCCAATGTCGGTGCAGCTCTGGAGGCCTGGTCCGAATCCCAGGTTGCTGTGCAGCCTTCGGAGCTTCTGCTCGATCCCAGGACCAAAAGGACAAGGTCAACCAGAAGGTCACCCAGAACACCTGCAGATCCCCATGACCATGTCTGAGCTGCAGTCATGGCAAAATCGCAGAATGAAACTGTGGCAGGAAGAAAAGTGCAGCCACTCCCATGCACAGGCGGAGTCTGTTTCCCTCCTTGGCAGCTTGACATGCTGTCTATGTGGAGCACTGTCCTGAGGACACCGTGTAAGGAAGCCAGCCTGGTCTGCTGGGGGATGGGAGGATGCATGGAAGAAAACAGATGTGTTCCAGCCAACAGCGAGGCCCATGTGAGGCCATCCTGCGTGTGCCAGCCAGGCTGACCCTCCACTTAAACGCAGTCACGTGAGGGAGTCCAGAGTGGCAGTCCTCAGACCCATGCAGCCCTTAGTTTTAGGGTGGTCTCTTAAGCAACAATCTGTTTCACTGCTGCACTAGCAGGCAAAGTTCACTTTTCTTCCCAGTTTATTAAGATTTTTTTTTTCTTTTTTTTTGAGATGGACTCTCACTCTGTTGCGCAGAGTGCAATGGCACGATCCCGGCTCACTGCAACCTCCACTTCCCGGGTTCAAGCGATTCTCCTGCCTCAGCCTCCCAAGTAGCTGGGATTACAGGTTCGTGCCACCATGCCTGGCTAGTTTTTGTATTTTTGGTGGAGATGGGTTTTGCTATGTTGGCCAGACTGGTCTCGAACTCTTGACCTTAAGTGATCTGCCTGCCTCTACCTCCGAAATTGTTGGGATTACAGGCATGAGCCTTCATGTCTGACCCAGTCTATTAAGTTTTATCATGAATCTATGTTGTCATATCCGATGTGTCTTGATAAAATATTTATCCAAAATCCGATCCTGCAACTGTCAAAGATGATTATGTAGATTTCCCCTGCTTATCTGCTAATGCGATGAATTATATTTGTCAATTTTCTTATTTCTAAAATAAACTCACCTAGCCATGATATCATCTCCTTAATATATGGATCTCTGCATTCAATTTGGTGATACTGAATGGCGCTATTTTAAGTCATTTGCCAATTATTATTTGCTAATTAACTATTTTAATTCTCATGATAGTCATAGAAGAATCATACTTTTATTCTTATTCTCAGTTTCAGGAGCCTGAGAAGGGGGGAGGTTGTCTTTGGTATCGGTGCTAGAAGGCTCCCTCTGGGGCTGTCCAACGTCCAAGCCTGTGGTCCTGACCACCGCACAGTGCTACCTGAGTGAAATCTGGCCACAACCCAGGGGGTCCCCTTCACTCAGCCATGGGAGGGGTGCTGAGGGCTGGACCTGCTCCACCTTCTGTGGGACTGAGGGGCTGTTTCATCCCCAGCCTCTGGGGATACTGGCAGACGAGACCCAGGCAAGTCTTACTCAAATGCTCAGGGTCTTCCTCTAACCTGGGAGGCTCACTGGGTCACCCAGCATGGAACTGCTCCTACAATAGCTTCCCAGTCCCCAGCTGCTTCCTCTGGCCGGGGGTCCTGGCCCACGACTCCCCTGAGCCGGCACTTCAGGAGTTGTGGACATTGCTTGAGTCAGCCCTGGCTCTATCTGGTCAGCCCTGTCAAGTTAGATGTAAAGTCCCGGAGCAACCAGGGGCTTCTGGGTAATACACATCGATTTGCAAAGGCCCTGGCCCTGCATGGGGTTTTCGCAAAGCCCCAGGGAGCTGTTCTGGAACGACATAGGCCTCAACTGCCTCTCCAGATTCTGGGTTTTAGCCTGGGGATGGGCAGAGATTCCCTTGAAGTTTGCAGGGGAACTCGGCGACCCCTGACCTTGGTGAGCCAGGAGCCCAGGCCCACTCCCTGCCGTGCTTGGAGGATGCCTGTAATTAAAACATTCTTACCAGGCCCTGGGGTCTTTGGGCATCAGTGGCTTCCTGAGTTGCCACAGGAGTCTGAAATAAATGAAGCACCATTATCTGGAAGGAAACAAAGACGGGGACATCCCAAGTGCTCGGTTTCTCTCGTGCCTTTCCGAGAAGCCATTTTCCAGTTATGGCGAGGGGGTGTCAGGATCACAGAGCCGCCTCTAAATAGCTCTCTGTGTCGGGAGGCACATTTCGTTTTGGCAAGAGAAGGAGGCTTCGTCGGGGCGGTGGAGTGGCTTTCCTCCGAGTTCTGGCTGTGGATCCCAGGAGCTTGTTGAGCAAGTGATGAGGAGAGAGGTGGCCTCCACCCTCGCCTGGGCTCTACCTCTTGGCGTCAGGGAACAGGTCACACTGTGGGCACTGCAGCAAGTCCACAGCCTCTCCAGGGCCCTGGCCACCTGAGAGCCACACTCAAAGGCGACAGTCCCGCTCCATGGCGCCCTCACCACTGTGAAGAGCATTCGCATGTGCTGCCCATGTCCCAGCCCTGAGCAGGAAGGCAGGGCTTTGTGGCACCTTGTCGGAGCCTGGGGCTGGCCTGGGTGACAGGTGCAACAGGCTGGGCGCTGTCTTTGTCTGTTCAGGCTGTCACATCACAAAATACCATAAAATGAGCTGGGTGCAATCCTGTGATCCCAGCACTTTGGGAGGCCTAGGCCGGCAGATCACTTGAGGTCAGGAGTTTGAGATCAGCCTGGCCAGCATGGTGAAACCCTGTCTCTACTAAAAATACAAAAAATTAGCCGGGCATGGTGGCATGTGCCTGTAATCCCAGCTACATAGGAGGCTGAGGCAGGAGAATCGCTTGAACCCAGGAGGCAGAGGCTGCAGTGACTGGAGATCGTGCCACTGCACTCAAGCCTGGGCGACAAGAGCGAAACTCCGTCTCAAAAAAAAAAAAAAAAAAAAAAAAACATAAACTGGGTGGTGGCTTATAAACAATAGGCATGGATCTGTTATAGCTCCAGAGGCTGTGAGTTCAAGATCAAGGGCCAGCAGATGGGCTGTCTGATGAGGGCCCACTTCCTGGATGGTGGTCTTCTTGCTGTGTCCTCACATGGCGGAAGGGGTGAGGCTCTCTCTGCAGCCTCTTTTCCAAGGGCACTAATCTCATTTATGAGGGCTCCACCCTCATGACCTCATTACCTCCCAAAGGCCCCAGCTCCTAACACCCTCACACTGGGGCTTCCATTTCAACACATGAATTCGGAGGGGGCCTCAAATATCCAGACCATGGCAGAAATCCGCACGGCCACTGGGCTCAGGGAGAGTCATTTCGTCATTCAGAATGCAGGCTTACATGAAGCAGGAAGAGCATCACAGCAGGCCAAGTTCAGTGCTAGGTGGTATAGGATGCGGCACTTTGTGGTGTTCAGTGAAGGGTGTGCGGGTGGGCGTCTTGAGCCCAGGGAGGTATTTTGCACACAGTGCTGGAGCTGTCTAGGGAGCTGTCTTGAAAGGGGTTGCCTGATATAATAGGAGCAGTGGAATTCAGATCCTCAGAGAACTGTGGCGAGGACCAACCAGACAGCCCCAGGTCCTCCTCACCTGCCTGTCTGGCTGGCTCATTTCCCACCATCAAGCCTGTCCAGGTACTGAGTCCCTGTGGGGCTGTCCTTGCTCCTGGCACCACCCCACTCCACCTTCCACCATCCTGAGACCATGCCATGCCTAAGAGCACCCAGGCTGTTCCTCCCATTTCCCCACTGTATTAGTCCATTTTCACGCTGCCGATAAAGACATACCTGAGACTGGGAAGAAAAAGGTTTAATGGACTTACAGTTCTACATGGCTGGGGAGGCCTCACAATACTGGTGGAAGGCAAGGAGGGGCAAGTCACATCTTACATGGATGGCGGCAGGCAAAGAGAGCTTGTGCGGAGAAACTCCCCTTTTTAAAACGATCGGATTGACTGGGCACGATGGCTCATGCCTGTACTCCCAGCACTTTGGGAGGCTGACGTGGGCAGATTACTTGAGGTCAGGAGTTCGAGACCAGCCTGCCTAACATGGTGAAACCCCATCTCTACTAAAACTAGAAAAATTAGCCAGGTGTGGTGGCAGGCACCTGTAATCCCAGCTACTCAGGAGGCTGAGGCAGGAGAATCACTTGAACCTGGGAGGTGGAGGTTGCAGTGAGCTGAGATTGTACCACTGCACTCCAGCCTGGGTGACAGAGTTAGACTCCATTAAAAAAAAAAAAAAAAACCCATCAGATCTCCCACCGGGTCCCTCCCACAACAGTGGGAATTATGGGAGCTATGAGATGAGATTTGGGTGGGGACATAGAGCCAAGCCATGTCACCCGTGTTGGTCTTTAAGTTCCTCAGAGGCTGAGGGTGCAGCTTTTTAGGTGATGGCATGGGATTGCAGTCCACGCCACCTGCGGGACCTGAGCATGTAGCTTTACCTGCTGTGCTCACCAGCCCCCAGCCTGCCTGCACCTCCTGAACACGCTCGGGCCCTGTGGGCACCGAGCACTGTCCTTTGGCATGAGACTCAGATAATTTCCAGGCACCCACCTTGTGGCAGTCTGATCCTTCTCACCACTTACTACTTGAGTGGTTTGTTTCTGAGTTTGTGGGGCAGGCAACACCAAGCGAGGAACAAGTGCCCCCATGAAGTCTACAGGTGTCCTTGATGGGGTGGGTGCAAGGACTGGGTGGATAGCAGGGGCTGCCTAATTTAATACAGATTAGGGGTTTGGAGGAAGCACCAGGTCGAGGGTCTGTGCTGGGAATTTGGGGTGCTGCTCCTGGAATGGGCCTTACCTGCTTACACAGCATCAAAGTGGGGCATTTCGGGGAGAAGGAGGGTTTGGGGTTTGGCAGAGCTCAGGGCTCTAGGAAGATGTGCAGGTGGCATTTTCACCAGCTTTGCGGGGCTTTGCATCTGGCACACAGCACCTTCTCCTGGTACTGCAAAGCTGGACAATGGCTTAAGAAGAGAGGGGACAGGAAGTCTCTGCGGTGTTGCAATGCATGTGGCAGAAGAGACAACAGGGCTTCACAAGTCGGGGCTTCCAGCCAGTGGTCATGCACAGAGTATGTGGCAGGGGTCTGAACCAACCTCGAGCCCCGGGACCCCAGCCCCTCGTGGACAAGCCCTGGGTGCCTCTACTGTCTTTCCCAATGACGCTTGCCAATGATGAGTGTGATGGATCGAGTCCCCAGTCTTTCTGTGATCCTAAGTCCTAGTGGGCTGTGATTGTCATATTATAGGCTTCAAAGATGTGCTTCAAAGCTTGAGGCTAAGATAATGCTATTTTATTTTATTTTATTTTATTTTATTTTATTTTATTTTATTTTATTTTATTTTATTTTATTTACTTTATTTTATTTTGAGACAGAGTCTTGCTCTGTCACCCAGCCTGGAGTGCAGTGGTGCAATCTCAGCTCACTGCAACCTCCGCCTCCCGGGTTCAAGCAATTCTTTTGCCTCGGACTCCCGAGTAGCTGGGATTACAGGTGCCAGCCACCACGCACAGCTAATTTTTGTATTTTTAGTAAAGACGGGGATTCACCGTGTTGGGAAGGCTAGTCTCGAACTCCTGACCTCAGGTGATCCACTCACCTCAGCTTCCCAAAGTGCTGGGATTACAGGCATGAGCCACTGAGTCCAGCCGGCTAACTTAATGTTAGGTGTAAGCACTTGAGGTGCTAAGGAGGAGATGGTTGTCAATTCTTGAGTTGGGAGAATAGATGGAAACTCCCCCTTCTCCCCCAGCTGGTAGATCAGTGGAGGGGGGCCGTGCTGTCTCCTGGAGAGATGCACTGCCTTGCAGAGTGACTGCTGTTGAAAAAAAATGTGGGCTCCCTCCTGACATTCCTGCATCTGTAGGGGACCCTGTGGCTCTGAGTGCCAAGGGCAGAGCCCCCAGGGCCCCTGGCGGGGTGTCCATCTGCTTTCCTCTACTTGTTAATCCCAGTGCCAACTCTTGCAGGGGGCTTTGTCAGCACCAGCAAAAGGTTCCCATCTCAGATATGATTGCTTCATTCCAGGAAAACCCAGTTTAGGGCACTGAGGACTTACAACTGGGGGTGATTCCCACAAAAAAAATCCTGTGGTGCCCTCATCACACAAAACTTCAGCCATCGATGCCGCCTGGAACTGTAGATCACACTTCAAATGCAGGATGTCAATCATAAGGTCACAGCAAAGGCTCCAGAAAGTGATGCTAGCTCTGTCTTGGGGCAAGAGCTAAGGGGAGCCCCCTGAGAGGCAGCCCCCAAGGGCACAGCGAGAAATCCCAGCTCTGAGGGAGACAGGTGGGGAGGCGGCAGGGGCTGGGACCTCGGCCGCACACTTGGCTGAGAGGCCAGCGAGGGAGGATGCCCTCTGCATCTTCCCTGGAGGCCCCGCCCCTCCCTTTCCTTTGAGATCCACAGAAGAGAAACACAGACTGTTGCTTTGTGTTACATAACTCTTGTTTAAATGTCCATAAAAGGCCTTCCTCCTTCCCAGCCAGCAGATACGGAAGTGAGAATTAGGATGATTTAGAATGCCAGTGAGGCGTCTCATACAAATGCCCAGTGTGGTGCAGTGACACTGCCCGGGTGGCCGCCTGCTGCTCTGCTGTCCAGTGGCATGGCACAGAACTGGCTGCCCATCGTCTGAATTCTCCCAGCCTCCTGTCTGTCCAAGAGTGCCAGCCGGGCCCCGGGCCATGGAGACATCTTGCCTGTTGCTGTTTTTCAGGGCTCCCTCGTATGGTCTGTCCCCAGATGCCTCCCAAGGCCATGGTTTCTTGTCACCTCCTAGCCGCAGAAGCCAGGGTTCCCTTGGCTTCACATGTGGATTCCTCCCATGACTTACCAGTCGATGCCTTCTGTGCTGACCTCTGACCTTCCTCCCACCACACATCCATCTTGCCTGTCTTGCTGCCACATTCACCACGTCTGACATCCATCCTCCAAACCTTTGCCTGAGCTGTAACCTCCACCAGGTGCTCCTTCTCCGGGTACTCCAAAGCTGGCGATGGCTTGCAGAGGGAGGCGACAGGAAGTCTCTCTACATCCTGTGGGGGTAAGGGGCTCCTTCCTGCTCTGGGTTTCTTTAAACCCTAACATTTCCCCCTCAAGGTTGCATTATGGCCGTACCCTGCAGGTAGGCATCTGTCTGTATTACCGAAATGTTATTTGAAACAAGGAAGGAGGAGGACAGTTGAATTAATGGGGGAAAAACAGGCGAGCTGTAGAGAGCAGAGTTCTCATTTCTTCACTGGCTCCCCTCCAGGCCTCTAGGGCTCTGAAAAACCTGGACAAAGCAGCGTCCGTTCTTACAGGACTAGTCCTTCCCCTGCGCAGGGCACTTTTCACCATAGAAGATTCTGTGGGTGCCCAGCCTGAGTGTGGCTTGTCATAACCCTCGAGAATAATTTGTCATTTGTTGTTTCTTATGCTTCTATTTTTTACAAAGGTGTTTGACCTGTGATTATATCATAACTTTTTAAAAAAATGCCATAGTCCATGAAAATGACAGCATATTATAAGCTAAGGTGATTAGATGAAGAGTTTGAACCCAAACGGCTTGAGTGAATGTCTTGACTTTGGTGCTGACTGTGATGTGGAGCCCGTTCCTTATCGCTCTGTGCCTCAGTTTCCCCCTCTGTCGAGTAGAGATAATGGTGCCCACTTCATAGAGCTGTTAAGATCAAAAGAGGTCGCTCCTGGGAACTCACTCAGAGCAGCGTGTGGCACCTGAGCCTCGGCTGTGTCTCTGCTGTGAGTATTCTTTTCACTGCTGTGCACACCTGCAGCCACAGAGACAGACCCCACACTCTGCCTTCCTCATGCACCCAGACCAGCAGCCTGACACCAGCAATGCTGAGCCTGACACCAGCCTGACACTGAGCAATGCTGAGATGTCACATAAGACCCAGTTCCCTCTTCCTTCTCCCAGAAGACTTTTACTGGGAACCCATGATAAGCCAAGCATAGGGCGGGCAGTGCCAGAGGACAGGCAGGAGGCTGCTTTCTGCCAAGAGGAATTTCTAGGCCTTGAAATCATCAAGGGGAGAAACAGTCAGGCAATTATCACAAGTAAATGTTTGCATTGTTCTCATTTGCACTGTGAGTTGAGTCCTTTAGACCAGCAGGGAGGTGCCTGGGCTTAAGCTCCTAGGGCTTTTCTTTGGAAGGAGAATCCCGGAATCACTAGGGGATGGTCCACGTACGTGTTATTTCAGCAGCTGTCCTAGGTGTGTGTTCCAGTGCAGATGTGGGTGTGCACTTGTGTGTATCTGACTGCGCATTTTTGTGGGGCGCTGGGTGACCTGGGGGTGGATTACCTTTACAAAGAGCAGTCTGCAGTGTTTGAAGACATAGTCATCATTTTTCTAATCATAGCAAACTTTTTTTTTTTTTTGACACCGAGTCTCGCTGTGTCACCGAGCTGGAGTGCAGTGGCACGATCTTGGCTCACTGCAGTCTCCACCTCCCAGGTTCAAGTGATTCTCCTGCCTCAGCTTCCCGAATAGCTGAGACTACAGGTGCATGCTACCACGCCCAGCTAATTTTTGTATTTTTAGTAGAGATGGGATTTCACCATGTTGGCCAGGATGGTCTCCATCTCTTGACCTAGTGATCCGCCTGCCTCAGCCTCCCAAAGTGCTAGTATTACAGGTGTGAGCCGCAGCGCCTGGCCCATAGCATAGTTTTTTAGGGTTGATTGGCCATGTGCCACGCACTGCTCTAAACCTTTACTTGTGAGATCTCAATAAATCCACACACCAAACCTATTTCACAGGTGAGAAAACCTAGGTTTGTGGGTTACACGTAATGCCCAGTGTCACATAGTACCAGTCTGGATTTACACCCAGGCAGCCCAGGCCAGAGCCCATGCCCTCCACCTCTGGGGCCGCATCCCTCCGCCAGTCCGCCAGTATCACCTCAGGCATTCGGCAAGGGCTGGTCTGTAGGAGTGCAGGAGAGATGCCTGGGCCTGTGGGCAGGGAGGCCTAGTGCCATCCTGAGCCAGCACAACCATCAGGGACCTGGAGAAGGACATGTCTGGCTCAGCCTGAGCAGACCAGGGCATGGGTCCACATCACCTAAGTCGAGTTCCCAAAGCTGAGTTGGAGGTGGGCTATAGGAAGAGATGGCCCCCTTTTGGGAGGACGGCACCTCAGCTTCTGACTCTCTGAATGTGGCCTGGAGACATGCTTATCTCTAAAGCCACCTTTTCTACCTTCATGCCCAAGGGAAGCCGCCACTCAGGAGGCTTCCCCCACATCTTAGTCCATTCTCACACTGCTATGAAGAAATACCTGAGACTGGGTGATTTATAAAGAAAAGAGGTTTAATCGATACACAGTTCCGCATGGCTGGGGAGCCCTCAGGAATCTTACAGTCATGACATAAGGCACCTCTTCACAGGGTGGCAGGAGAGAGAATGAGTGTCAGCAGGGGAAATGCCAGACACTTATAAAACCGTCAGATCTCATGAGAACTCACTCACTATCACGAGAACAGCACGGGGAAACCACCCCCGTGATTCAGTTACCTCCCGCCGGGTCCCTCCCTCGACACATGGGGATCATGGGGATTATAATTCAAGATAAGATTTGGATGGGGACACACACAAACCATCTCACCTCACAGCTCTGCCCTGTGGTCCTGCCCGTAAGTCTTTGGGCAGAGACCATCTAACTGTTGAAACCAAGGGGTGGATCTGATGATCTCTGAATTCCTTTCAGGGTTATTTTGCCTTCTTCCTGAAGAGTAGCACACATTTGTGACCAGACAGCTCTGTTACCCTCTTCTGTCAAATCCATTAAGTCCGATAGTCTTCTTTCATTTGTCTTATCTCCATCACCTTCCATTCAAACTGGCAGAGTTCCTGCTTTTATAATCCCATACATTATCAAGTGATGTTCCAGCCATACCCTCAGTGTTCGTTTTGTTGCAATGTGGTTAGGCTTTTTCACTTTTTGCCGTATGGATAGACTGAGAATCTTCCAAATCTTCAAGCTCTGCTTCCTTTTTGCTTAACAATTCCTTCTTCGATTCATTTCTCTCCTTTTGCATTTTACTATAAGCAGTCAGGAGGATCCAGCTGCTCCTTCAGCACTTTGCTTAGAAATCTCTTCAGCTAAATATCTGATTTTATCGCTCACACAGTCTACCTTCCACAAAAATACTAGAACACAGTTGAGCCAAGTTCTTTGCCACTTTAGAACGAGCATCACTTTTCCTCCAGTTTCCAGTAACGTGTTCTTCATCTCCATCTGATATCTCAGCAGAATCATTCTAACATTCATATTTCTAGCATGCACCTCAAAACTCTTCCAGCCTGTAATCATTACCCAGTTCCAAAGCATTTCCATAATATTTTTAGATATTTGGTTTTTTTCACCAACACCATATTTATTAAATGTATACATATATATATATACACATATATATATGTGTGTGTGTGTGTGTGTGTGTGTGTGTGCGTGTGTGTATATATTTGGCCAGGCACAGTGGCTCATGCCTGTAATCTCAGCACTTTGGGAGGCAGGCTGATCACTTGAGGCCAAGAGTTTGAGACCATCCTGGCCAACATGGTGAAACCCTGTCTCTACCAAAAAAAAAAATTTTTTTTTAATTAGCCAGACATGGTGGCACATGCCTGTAATTCCAGATACTCAGGAGGCTGAGGCACAAGAATCACTTGAGCCTGGGAGGCAGAGATTGCAGTGAGCCAAGATCACATCACTGCACTCCAGCCTGGATGACAGAACAAGACCCTGCCAAAAAAAAAAGAAAAAAAAAAGTGTGTGTGTGTGTGTGTGTATATGTATATTATGAGACATTTCAGAATAGCCTGCTGCTGCCAGCAGCCAATAATTCTAAATAAAGTCCCAAATTATTACACAAATTTGAGCTTTAAAAATATTCTTTAAGAAAAAATAAAAACTGAAGAGCGAAGACTTTCTGAGGAATATGACCTAAAGGAAAGGTCCTTTGAGGCCTACAGATGCCCTAAGTAAGGAAGAAAAAACACAAAACCAAAAATCACCCACCCTACCTTACCAGATCACCTCATACACACAAGAAGAAAGGTTGATTTAAATTAAACAAATGAAGTAAGCCCATGTTGGGAAGATGTTATAGATATTTGTTATAGCCACACCCCACTCCTGGCACTAAAGTCTGCATTTGTTTATAATTTGTTGTAAAGAATTGGCTCATATAATTATGAGGTTGGCCAATTTGAAATCAGTAGGTAAGGCTGGAAACTCAGGCAGGAGTTGATGCCTTAGTCCTAAGGAAAGACTTCTTCCATAGGAAACCTCAATTTCTGCTCATAAGGCCCCCAGCTGTTTGGATAAGGTCCACTTACATTATGACTTGACATCAGCGCATTGTAGATGTATGTGTATTTCTCCAGGCTGGCATCTGAATGCCTGGCTCCTTTTGTGGGTTATATGTATTGCCCTGAGCCCAAGGTCTCTCCTTCTGAGGCACTGTGTGCCTTGCCCGTGTGGTCTCTGGTCCTGGCCTTCCTTATGGGTCTCCATGGCCATCCTAGGATACTTGGCTTTACCTGCCTGACTGCTCTCCCATATCAAAGATCATGCATCTTTAGGCAACAGATCTGTAGGGCCGGAGTTGGAACAATTTCCTGTAGGTGATGGTTTTGGTGCCACTCATCTGGCTGTGCATACATCTATGGGTAGAATTTTTCCCACATAACTGAAATCTGATGAGTTTTAAATGCTTTTTTTGAGGTTTCCCCTTCTTTCCAGTTATGTAGATTGGCATGCATCTAATCAGATAAACAGGGCTCCGGGGTGTCAGAGCTGGAACCAATCAAGCCCCGTGGGTACACAGGACATAGTCAATGGGGAGATTTCCAGACTCAGGCCTGGTTGAATCCTCAGCTGCTCTATGGGTAATTTGCCCCACATGCCTTCTGGACAGAGGCCCCCACTCATATAGGTTGTAGAGCAACGACAACCTTATCATCATAGAACAGCCAACTGCTTTGAGAGAAGTGAGTGTGGTGGTTGGCAAGGTGAGTGGATGAGTGTTGATATTGCGGCTGCCATTTTAAAGGTTCTGATTGGACTTCTTTTGGTGTTAGGCCTTCAATGATGTAATAGTATATGCAGAAATCATTGTTCTGCAGGTGACACTTAACTTAATGTGATTTTCACTTTGCAGGTGGCCATAATAGCAGGCAACTTTGAGCTGGCAGAATACATCAAGAACCACAAGGAAACAGACATTGGTGAGTAGGCACGTGGAGAAACTGTGTTGGGATTTGGTTTGGAGATGCTCTGAGGAATCAGTCACTCACCAGCTTTTTAAAATTCTCCTAAGATTGGTTTAGAGCCTGCTTTTAGCAAAACTTAACATAGTATTAGCCCATTTTCTGTCTCTGGTCTTAACTTTTTTTAACTTATAGTGGGGATGGGGCTAAGGAAGACCTTAGAGGTTAGGCTGTCTGAAACATGCCTCTCTAGAAGGATGATGTTCTGATCTATTCTGACAGTCCCTGTTGCAAGGTTTCTTTCCATGTGAACATCATTGATTTAGTAAAATGGGGAGAGGAACAGGAAGTGTTTAATTTATGCTAAGGGTTGGCTCTAGGATTCCCTATCTGATGTATGTATCTGATTTTCCCCATTAATGATAAAAATTGATACATGTCGTTACGCATTTGTCCAAACTGGTAGAATGTACAAGCCCAAGAGTGAACCCTAATGTAAACTATGGACTTCGAGTGACACTGTAGGCTCTCAGTTGTAACAAATGGCCCACTCCAGGGGGGTGTTGATGACTGGGGAGACTGCACGTGAGGGGCAGGGGCTCTCTGGGTAAGCTCTATTCCTTCTGCTTGGTTTTACTGTGAACCTAAAACTGCTCTAAAAATATGACATCTTTTTTAAAAATCTAAAAAGAAAAGAAATCAAACTGGAGAATGTGCTAAGCATCAAGCAATGGATGTAGGGCACGGCTCTTGATTGCTGAAACAAATTAATTTGCAGCTGATTTGGATGTGTTTATTGGAAGGTGCCGTAGCATCCACGCTTCTATTTAGGCAAAGAGCTGGTGACCCGATGAGGGTGGAGAGAGAGCCAGTGGCATCCTCTCGGCTCCCCTCTGGTTGCCTCTGCTTCACTTCCTCCGCAGTTGTGCTGATGGCCATTCCCCTTTTTAGTACCCCTTGTGCCAACCAGGAGGAGAGTCTTTGGGGCTCCTCCTCTCTCCCATCGCCCTGCCATCGGCTGGGCCCAGTCTTGCAACTTGGACGAGCCCACTGGCCTGTTTCCTCCAGCCCCGCGCTTCCACAGGACCTGCAGCGGGGAGCAGTCCCATTGGACCGGCAGTGGTGAGCTTTCGAAGATGGCATCACCCCATCAAAGGGGTCAGGGGGGTGCTCCTGGGTGTCGTTTATTGCCTGTGCCCGTCACCTCATTTTTGGCATCAGGGAAAGCAGAACTGTGTTTGGCTGTCGAGGCTTTACCGTGTGGCATGTGTGCCCTACGTCAACCACGGCCGGTACCTACCCCGCCTTGGAGAACCGCACGAGGATGCAGAGCCAGATGCATGGCTTGCGTCATCAAGCACCTGTGCAGAGCCTCGGGGCCTCCCAAAGGCTGCGCCTGACACTGACTTGCACATCCCTCCTGTGAGCCAGGGCAAATCACTTAATTGCTCTGAGATCCAGGGTTCTGCCAGGGCTGCCTCAGCACCTCCATGAGCGCGTTATAGAGATTGATGAGTTAATGTCTGCAAAATGATTTAGAAAATGAACTGAGCTCTCAGAGTGCCAGAGACCGTCTTCCTGCTGCCTCCCTAATATGAAAGAGCAGCACACAGGATAGCTTTGGTTTGAGAGCTAAAAATATCGGCTGCTGTGAAGGGAGTGGGACTCTCTTGACCAGGGGCACACAGTGAAGAAGGGAGGTAAGGGAGTCTGAGCACAGGTCCCGCCCATGACGACAGGGGTTGTTGCTGGCACCCCTGGAGGCAGAGCCCCCGCCAGCTCCACAGATCCTGAGTTGTCTGGGATGGTAACAAGCTAAGGGCTACCCCATTGGGCTACCCTCACTGGGGCCTGCACTGCAAAGAGGAAGGGGTGAAGTGGCTTCCTTATCCCAGCTCTCCACATGGAGCTGAGAGATATTGGGGCTGCTACCCCTGACCCTAAGTCTTGCCCCATGGAGTCACAGCCACCCTTCCTCCCTTCTGAGAAGGTAAGGTCCAGCCACTAAACCCCCCTACTCAAAAACAGGAGGGGCCAGGCGCGGTGTCTCACGCCTGTAATCCTAGCACTTTGGGAGGCCAAGGTGGGTGGATCATCTGAGGTCAGGAGTTTGAAACCAGCCTGGCCAACATAGGAAACCCTGTCTCTACTAAAAATACAAAAATTAGCTGGGTGTGGTGGCAGGCACCGGTAATCCCAGCTACTCGGGAGGCTGAGGCAGGAGAATCGCTTGAACCCGGGAGGCAGAGGTTGCAGTGAGCCGAGACTGCACTACAGCCTGGGCAACAAGAGCTAAACTCTGTCTCAAAACAAAAACAAAAACAAAACAAAACAAAAACCAGGCTGACTTTCCAAGTACGTTGAAGCACCGAGTTGATTTCACAATCCACCTTGGGAGACACTTGTTGTCTTTTCAGTTTTGGGATATAATTATGAATACCTTTCTTATTTATGATGCAGACAACTCTTTACGAACAGAGAGGTTTTTTTCATTATTATAAAAGGAATGCCCATTTGTTGGGCGAATACATTTTAATTACCCTTTACCTGTTCTGATCAATTGTTAACTGTAAACAGCACCCCCCATTGAGAGAGGGGGGCACCCACCACAGGCTCACGTGACTAACATATTTTGAAGTGCCAGGATCGAGGTTTGAGTCTCTCATGTCCGTATGTTTGTAAAATCCCCAGTCCTGCAGGAAAGAAGCAGGACTGGCTTTTACAATCAGCTTACGCAGGGAGTCAGTGTCTGTTGTTCCCTGATTTTTGGGCTTTCCCAGGGCCCCAAAGGGAAAGGATAGTTTAGAAAATCTATACTTGCCCATGCGGTTCCTTGTGCATCTACAAAGAAGAAGAAGAAAAAAAACCTCTTGTTTCATCTGAGTCATCTAAGGGTTCGTGATTATGAACTAGCAAACTGGCATCAACAAAAACTGTGCCATTTAGATCAATTGTGTTGAAAGTTTCCCGCAGAGAGAGATGAAGGGTGTGGAGGCTGAGTCCTCTAGGAACCTGACATCTCTCAATGTGTTGATTGATCCAAGCACAGTGAATCTGTTGTGAAATCCTGAACTAATGCCTTCTTAACTAAACCTGTAGGTTGGAACCCAATTGCTTCTCCCCCTCCCCTGTGGTCACCCCCACTTTGCATCGCCCCTCTGGCAGGGGCCAGGTGCTGGGTATGTGGTGGGGAGGGTCTCATACTCTCTTCCCCACTAGCTTGTGCGTTTTTTGCCTGCATGTGTCTTGCTAACTCCTGCATGCGGGTCTTTGCCCATTGTTTAAGAAAGCTGCCCAACTTCTGGGTGAATGAATGAGTAACCACAGTGAAAACAGTTAGCACTTACCAAGTACTACAGGCCAGCACTTCACGTACAGCATCACAGCCATGCAAACCTCCACGTCCAGATGCAGTTGTGGTCTCCATGTGTAGAAGAGCCTAGGCGACATGGCATTTGGGGTGGGGCTCCCCTAGAAGCTGACCTTGAGGTGAGGATTTGAGGACAAGTTGTTTATTGTGGAGGAGATACAGGAAGCACCAGCAGGGACTTAGGGAAGGAAGTCAGGGAAGGGCAGGGCACCAGCTGTACACATGTGTTCATGAGCAGTTGACTCTGTGGGCCCCGGAGGCTCAGGCCCCTGGGGTCCTCTGGGAACCTGCAGAGGGTGTGCCTGGTCATTATGAAGCAGTTCATGTATTTACCCACCAGTTCCAGCTCCTATGCGTGCTCCCTCTGGGTACCAAGACCCCCATCAGGGATTTGGGGAATTGCAGGGGCCTGTGGGGGTAAGCAGTGCACATACCTGGGAACAGTGAGTGCCAAGGAGATGCAGGCAGGGCACCGATGACATCTTAAATTCAGGACTTTTCCAGAGCCACATGCTGGAGGAATTGGGCAAACCAGATTTCAACCCCATGTCCATCTGATGCTGAAGTACTTACCTTGAGAACCTGTCCTTTCAACCACCACATGCTGCTGCCTCCTTGTTGAAGCTGAGAAAAACCTTCCACCATACAAGAGCTGCAGGCATCAGTGTGGACTGGGATGGGGCAGGCTGGGGAGGCTTCATAGAGGCTGGACCTAGAACCAGAGCTGGGAAGGTGGCCAGAGGGAAGAGGAGGCTTCCTGGGCCACAGATCACCAACAGGGCAGTCCCCCCCACCATAGTTAGAGGGGTATCTCCTCTCTGCTTCCTCATCCAGGCTCCCTCGCTCTAGGATTACTAGAGCTAAGCATTTGTCAGCTCCTAGCCAGCTCCCCAGCTGTGCTTAGAAGGCAGGGTAGGGCTGGAGGAAGATGATGCTTAAGACCGCATGGGGTGGAGCCTGGCGGCTGGAGAGAGTTGTCTGAGAATGGATGGACTGATGGACTAAGGTGCCAGCCTCATGACGGTGTGACGGTGCTGCCTGGCAGCCCCCGAGGGAAGCCTTTGTAGCTCACAGTGGTCTCTCACGAGGGTGGCTTGAGGTGCTCATCTTCTGAGCTTTCGAGAGACATCATGTTTTAGTCAGAACTGGTCCTGGCCACCCCTGTCCTCAGCCGGGGCTCAGAGTAACTTCTCACCCACAGAATCTGTTGTTTTCTCTGCAAAGCCTAGATTCCTCCACCTTCCACATTAACATTTCAAAGAGGAATGTCTTCTGTGGCATTTCTCACCCACCATGAAATTTTCAATTGTCACTGGGATGCTCCTTCCCAGAATGCTCTTAGCAGTGTCAGGGTGAGGGTCCATCATGGTCACCCAGGAGACCTTCAGAGGGGAGGTGCAGCCTGGCCCTCTACCCTGGGGGATGGAGACCGAGAGAGGGAGGGAGGAGGACACGCTTTTGGTGCTGCATAGTCACCTCTGTGGGATCACAGAATGAAAGAATTCCAACTATGAGACCTTGGAGGCTGTCCACCCAGAGCACCAGCAGAAGGAACCAGCCCTGCCAACACATCGATTTTGGACTTCTGGCCTTCAGAACTATGAGATAGTAAATTCTGGTGTTTTTTTGTTTTTGTTTTTGTTTTTTAAGACAGAGTCTTGCTCTGTCACCCAGGCTGGAGTGCAGTGGCGCGATCTCGGCTCACTGCAAGCTCCGCCTCCCGGGTTCACGCCATTCTCTTGCCTCAGCCTCCGGAGTAGCTGGGACTACGGGCGCCCGCCACCACCCCCGGCTACTTTTTTGTATCTTTAGTAGAGATGGGGTTTCGCTGTGGTCTTGATCTCCTGACCTCGTGATCTGCCCGCCTCGGCCTCCCAAAGTGCTGGGATTACAGGCGTGAGCCACCGTGCCCGGCCTCTGGTGGTTTTCAGCCACTCCGTTGGTGGTTGTTGCCACCAACTGAGCAGGACGATATGGCCCCAGTCTCTTCCCGTCTAGAGAGGAGCCCGCATACGCTGAGGAAGGCAGACTGCCTGTGCTAGAGGAGAGGCATCCTTTCTCCCAGGCTGTACTTGCACATGTCAGGTACCTGAAATGGCAGGTCCTGAAGATGCCTGCACTCTCACCAGCTCAAACACCTATGTGGTCACCATCTTCCCGTGACAACTCTTTTTTTTTTTTTTGAGGCGGAGTCTATCACTCTGTCACCCAGGCTGGAGTGCAGTGGCACGATCTTGGCTCATTGCAACCTCCGCCTCCCGGGTTCAAGCGATTCTCCTGCCTCAGCCCCCTGAGTAGCTGTGATTACAGGCGCCTGCCACCATGCCCAGCTAATTTTTTTTTTTTTTTTTGAGACAGTTTCACTCTTGCTGCCCTGGCTGGAATGCAGTGGTGCGATCTTGGCTCACTGCAGCCTCTGCCTCCTGGGTTCAAGCGATTCTCCTGCCTCAGCCTCCCGAGTAGGTAGGATTACAGGCACGCGCTACCATACCCGGCTAGTTTTGTGTTTTTAGTAGAGATGGGGTTTCTCCATGATGGTCAGGCTGGTCTCAAACTCTGAACCACAGGTGATCCGCCCGCCTCAGCCTCCCAAAGTACTGGGATTACAGGCCTGAGCCACCATGCCTGGCCTCTGTTTTTTTGTTTTTTTTGTTTTTTTTGTTTTTTTTTTTAGTAGAGACAGGGTTTCACCATGTTCGCCAGTTTGATCTCAATCTCTTGACTTCATCATCCACATGCCTCAGCCTCCCAAAGTGCTGGGATTACAGGCATGAGCTACTGGGCCTGGCCCAATTTTTTCTATTCTTAGTAGAGACGGGGTTTCACCATATTGGCCAGGCTGGTCTTGAACTCCTGACCTCAGGTGATCTGCCTGCCTCGGCCTCCCAAAGTGTTGGCATTACAAGCATGAGCCACCACGCCCAGCCTGGTGACAAGTCTTCATTGAGCACCTTTTTCACAGACCCTGTGCTAATTTGGAGATTCAGAAATATTTGCATGTCCCAGGCCCTTTGGGGGAGGGGATGACCATGGAAGATAATGTCCCTCTGTCCCCTTCTACCCCCCAGATCTAAAAGTGATGTTTGAAGGATGGTGGATCCTGTGCACCCTTCCTAGGTGGAGTGAGCTACTAATCTGTTGCTGTTTAATGGGAGCACACACCACACCCGCTCAGGAAAACAGGCTTTTCCACACACGTTGCTTCTCTGGCTGTTGCAGCTCCTACTCCCCCATGTCCTGGCCCCAGTCTTCCAGCTGCGTCTGCCTCCTCTGCTCTCTCTCCATCCTCCATTCCCAGGAGCCTTCTATGTTGCTGGCATCCGCCCCTAAGACAGCTTCTGAACCACCCCACTCCTGGTCCTGGTCCTGGTCCTGACTGTCATCTTGACTCGCCTGCCCTAACCCTCTCCTACCCACTGAGGCCCCCGCTGCCCAGCGGCCTGTATGATTTGGGGTGCATCTGAGTCCCTTGGGGAACTTGTGTGGAATGCAGATGCCCAGCGCCACCATCAGAGTCTGACTCAGTGGTCGAGGGTTCCTCTGGAACTGCGGTTTCAAATCCCGCTGGTGGTTCTCATGCCGGACGTCCCAGCACCAGCTCCTCCTTTGCTTCTCAGGACCTGCCAGGCGTTTCTGCTCATCCACATCTTTCGTGGGCCTGCTCAGGACCCAGGGATGGGCTGTGTACCCGGTTCCCGGGGCTGCCACAACAAATGACCACCAACTGTGTGGCTTTAAGCAACTGGAATTGACTGTCTCCCTGTTTTGAAGGCCAGAAGTCCAAAATCAAGGTGTTGGCAGGGCTGGTTCCCTCTGCAGGCCCAAGGGAGGAATCCTTCCTTGCCTCTGAAGTTCCTGGGCTTGTGGATGCATCACCCCAGCCTCCGCCTCTGTCTTCACATGGCTTCCCCTGTGTATATCTCAGAGGTCCTACTCCTTTCCCTTATACGGACTCCAGTCTCTGAATTTAGAGTCTACCCTAAATCCAGGATGATCTCATCTTGAGATCCTTCAACTCATCACACCTGAAAAGACCCTGTTTCCAAATGAGGGTGCAGTTTAGGTCCCACGGATTAGGACTTGGGCCCATCTTTTTGAGGACCACCATTCCACCCACTCTAGGGAACTCACATTGCTTCATGACTTTTGTCTTCTCAGGCTGTTACCTCTTCAAGGACAGATGGTATCTGATTCTACCGTCCCCACTGTGCTAGGCACGTGGTGGGGCCTCAGGCAATGCATGTTGGATGGATGGCTCCTCCCCCAGCTCTTGTTCACTCCAAGTCAGCCTTTCTCTCATCCTCTTTCTCTCTTTTTTTTTTCTTTTTTTTTGAGATGGCGTCTCCCTCTGTCGCCCAGGCTGGAGTACAGTGGAGCGGTTTCAGTTCACTTCAACCTCCACCTCCCAGGTTCAAGCGATTCTGCTGCCTCAGCCTCCCGAGTAGCTGGGATTACAGGCACCTGCCACCACACCCAGCTAATTTTTGTATTTTTAGTAGAGATGGGGTTTCACCATGTTGGTCAGGCTGGTCTCAAACTCCTGACCTCCGGTGATCCACCCACCTCAGCCTCACCCAAAGTCCTGGGATTACAGGTGTGAACCACCGCGCTCGGCCCTACTCTCTGTTCTTGACCTCAAACCTGCCTTCCCTGGTACCCGGTCTTGAGTGTCAAGGGTGGGACACATATTGGCAAATCAGTTGCTGCATTGAGTGTGTTTGCGAGAGGGCAATGTTTTATCTGACTCGAACATTTTCAGAGTCCAGGAGCAGCCGAGCTCAGAGGCACAGAGGAGAGGAGGCAGTTGGAGGAAGTGGGCTGTGTTGGGTTTGATGTCGTGAGTCCTCAAGCCAGGGATTTCTGGATTTCTGCTTTAGATCGTGGGTGGCCATGTGGCTTCCTGATTCTAGGTTCTGTGGCTTGGCTTCCTCCACCCCATATCCTCCATAACCTCAGGGTGCTGCTGTAGTCCTTCTTCCTCAGGGTGAATCTTTTGTCCGTTCCTGGCCTCTTGGGTGGGGGTGGGTGGTGTCAGATGATCACCAGAGGACTCTAGATTCTTCACCTGCCATTTGTCTATCTCTGTCAACCTCAGGAATCATGGCGTTTCTGCATTATGGTCTTCAGCAAGACTTGTCTTATACAACTTAGCTTAGGAGACATATGGATGAAGCGAGGCCTGTCCCTTAAGCCTGAGGCTGTTGGCTCATGCTTTGGCGTCAGGGCAAACCCTTGGTGCTCACAAGCAGAGCTTTCTCCTGTCAAGAAGTGGAGGTGAGACTCACCTTTGCCTCTATGGGGTTGGGTCACACTTCTCAATATGGGTCTGGTGGAAGCAAATTCCAAGCTAGAGGTGGGTGTGGGGTGGATGTTGGTGCTTCAAAGTGGGTAAATTAAAATACCACACATTTTTCTGACTTGCCGTGTACAGCCTGGTCAATGGGATGTTTTCCTTTAAAAAGTCTCTTTAAAGGATCAAGTGGCCTCCCTGCTACTGAGGAGGGATCCTTTGTTTCCCAAACACAGAAGCAATCAGTGCCAGGAAATCAGTGCCCTTACGATGCTGGAATGTGGCTTTAGGGGAGAAGACAATGAACACTGTGAGGTGATGAATGGGTGCTCTGAGGTCTGTAGAACCCAGAAATGGATTCAAGTGTATCTCTTTAAAAGAGAGGTTTCAGCCTGCCGCGAAGCGTTCTGTTCACAATCCGGCCAGCATGTATGTTGCTGTTGTCTGATGCTGTGATGCTGTTTCTGTCCCCTTCCTCTTAAAAAAAAAAAAAAATTAAATGGGACCTCTGTTTGGTGATTTTATTTGCCAACTCGAAGAAAGTGATGGTTTAAATGTGGACGTGAATACCACAGTTAATCCTTGCTTGTTGTCGTCCAGTGTTTAGCCGGCCAAGTAAATGAGCCCAGCAGGTTATAAAAGCTTTGCCATAGAGCCTGGACGATGGCTTCTGTGGGATGGAGATCCCAAATAGCAAGACTGTCCGGGTGCCGGGGAGCCCGCATCTGAAACAGTCGTGCACACATTAAGCATGTTGCCAGCTGATAAGCTTTGGACTGGGATAACCTATTTTTTACGGTCTTTGTTGTTTTTGCTTTTGCCCGGCTTTGTGGGGAGATGCACTGTCAGATGGATTAAATGACATGGGTTGTTCTTCCTCAACCGAACAAGGTTTGTTTTCATACATCTTGTCCTTCCGCAGCTATGGAGAGAGAAGCGAGGGGTTTTTATATTTTAAAAGGAGGCACATTGAGCTGATGTGTGAGTTTGGGTGCCTGATTAGCCGACGAAGGAATACTTGGATACTGTTGCTAGGTTTCAAGACCGGGTGCCTGTATAATTATGCTTTAGATATGTATAGATGATGAATAGAGGGTGGTGTTTTCAAACAGATTGCTTAATGTAATATGTTAGGGGTGTGTGTGTGTGTGTGTGTGTGTGATTGTGTGATTGTGTGTGTGAAAGTAAAATTCAGGCTGATTTTGAGCCATGATCCTTTAAAAATATACCTGTTTGCTAGATACTACCTGCTGTGAAATAAAATAGATCTGATTTGAAAAATTTCAGTTTACCTGGCATTTTGACTGTGAAATGTGCTCCTTCCAATGAGACACAAATGATGATCTGCAGTAATCACAATAGCCTTTGTGTTTGCAAGTAGAACCAGCAGCTTCCAAGGAAAACCCCAAATCCTCACCTATTTCATTTCATTAGATCAGAGTGGTCGGGGTCCCCGTTATTGAGTCCCCTCCTGTGCATGTTAAGAATAAACCCTCCCAAGGAAAGTCAAGATTGTATTTTTACTTAGCGTTCTGCAGCAGTCACACAGCTGTTGACCAGATTCCCATAGAATATTTTCAAAACAAATTGCCGGAGAGGAAGGACAGAAAACCCCCAACAGACACAGCAGTTTCAAGGCATATGGGAGCAGTCGGCCGCCTCTGTGACCTGTCTGTTGGGACTGACCTGCGTCTTGTCTCGTCCCTCTTCGCGGGACCGAGTGAGCTGTGCAAGTCTGCGTGTGGTTTCCGGTCTGTGTGTGTGTGGTGCTGACTCCGCATGCCGGGCTGCTGGTTTCATCCGGACATAACCAGCTCTGTTGTTCGTCTGCCACTCTGGAGTCTTGCTTGGTGTCATTTTCATGTCAGCTGAAGGGGTCGGTCACGTGCGTGTTGCTGTGGTCCTACTTTCTCCCGTGCGTATCTGTCTAGAAGTTTTGTTCCAAATTGTAAAGCGGAGTTGACTGGCGGGGATGGGATCCAAGGTGACCGGCTTTGTGTAAGGGCCACAGGTGGCCAGCGTGTTGGGTTGGGAGGGTATTTTTACATTTGGCCGATTTCCAGCACCGACGCCCAGGGAGTGTCCGCTGGAGGATCAGCCGTCTTGTGTGGCCTGCCCCGAATGCTGTGTACATGGTGCTCCCGGGGCAATTGTGGATTTTGTCCTGATGGGATGCTGCAGTGACAGTGAGGCCGGAGCTCCTGCCCAGCATGCATCTCTGTGTGCCTTGTCTTTGTTGATGTTCGTTACCACGTTCTGTCCACACCCTTGCCCCATGCCTCCTGCGCAGCCCCTTTACTCACTGGAGCCCGCCCTGCGGCCTGTCCCCTCTTCAGCCAAATGGAGCACTGTTCAGGGGGACTGGGTGGAGGACACGGAGTCCCTGGCCGCACTGACTCCCACACAGTGGACACGTGGCTGCTGGGAAGTGTGTCCCACTGCGGATCCCCCATGGTGCACACAGAGATCGACTCCTTCCGTCTTCTGGGTTGAACTCTTCCCCAAACCTGAGCTTCTCCCAGCTCTTTGCTCCCCGGTCCTGGGCAGTTCTCACCCTTAGAGAAGAGCCTTTCCCACTCCATCCCCCACGGAAGGGCAGAAGCTCAGAGAGTCTCCACTGTGCCCTAGCCTGACCCTCACCATGCGGTCCCTGCGCGGTTCCCCTCTATACAGCGCTCCCAGGGCACTTACGGGAGATGACTTTGTTCCCTGGTTCCCAACCACACGAGACCCCAGTTCTCTTAGAAAAAGTGTTGTATAACATCTCCTTCATTATCCTCAAATGAAACTCTTAGATAACATACCCTGACATACACGTGGAATTTAGAAAAGACCCCTGGCTGGGCGCAGTGTCTCACGCCTGTAATCCCAGCACTTTGGTAGGCTGAGGTGGGTGGATCGCCTGAGGTCAGGAGTTCAAGACCAGCCTGGCCAACATGGTGAAACCCCATCTCTACTAAAAATACAAAAATTAGCCAGGCATGGTGGCACGTGCCTGTAATCCCAGCTACTCGGGAGGGTGAGGCAGGAGAATCGCTTGAACCTGGGAGGCGGAGGTTGCAGTGAGCCGAAATCGCGCCATTGCACTCCAGCCTGGGCAACAAGAACGAGACTTCGTCTCAAAAAAAGAAAGAAAAGAAAAGATACCCATCGTGTTCTACAAAGCAGGAACACTGTTCTATGAAGCAGGAACACTCGGTGGGGGGGACCGGACACCGTAGGCAGGGAGAGGTCTGTCCCAGAAGACCCAGTGCAGTTTCAATGGTCATTCCCTTCCAATCCGGTCACCATGAACCCCAGAGCTCCTCCAGCAGCTGGGAGATGCTCAGCCATGGGTCGGGTGTGGTCCAAGGCAGGGCTGGCTTCCAAAATAGTCAACAGCTCTTAGGAAAGTTCCAAACCAAACAAAGCCCATGCTGTCTTTCATTGCATTCCTGGAAAATTCGGGGAGTATTAAAGCTGTGCAGATTTGTGTGGTGTTTCTAAGTAACACGCAGGAGGTTGTGCAGATAAACAGATTTTGCATTTGTCTGAACATCTGGTAGGTCACTCACAATCCCTAGGGGCCCGTTCCACGCATTGCAGGACTTTAGCCTGTCTGGCCCCTGCCCACCACGTGTGAGAAGCACCCCCTGACCCCGTTATTATCACAGCCCCGAGCCCTCTCTGGTGGGGTGGATGCCAGCCTGGTGGGAAACACTACTCGGGCATTCACAGGGTGTGCCCTGGTGCACTGGCCTGAGCCAAGCATGGGCTGGTGCATTCTCCTCTTGCTCTCTGCATCCATTCTCCCAGAAAGTTCCTCCCTTGCCCCTGAGCGCCACCCACCCCTGCTCCTGGCTCCCTGCAGATCTCTGTTCCTACCCTTCTGAGACCGAGGACTCTGGCCCAGCAGGTTGGCCTCTGGTTCCTCAGCTCTGACTCCTGCAGAGGGCTGAAGACCACCAAGGTCATGACCAAGGCAGATTCCTCCTTCCTGGTCCCCTCTTGTAAGGTGTTCCCTCCGTGCCCTGCCAGCATCCTCAGCGCCTTCTCCCCTTGCCTGGGCCTCCCCAGCCCTGCCTGGCTTTCAGGGCACATGTCCTAGCCCAGGTGGAGGCCGGGTCTTGTTTCCACGTGGTCTTGCCCACCCCTTCTCTGTGCCTCCGGCGTGGGTCCAGGAGGGTGGTGAGGTGCACCCTGGGGGCTTTCCCGGGCCCCCTAGTTTTGCTCTGTCCTGCTCCACACCGCAGCACACCCTCTCAGGTGGGCTCCCGGAGTCCTGTGTGGCCTCTGCCCCCTTTCCCAGCCCCCTTTGTTCTCTTGGTCTGGTCCTGCCTGCTCGGGTCAGGTTCTGGATTGTCCCTGCCCATGTCATTTCTCCACATGGAAGCCCTGCACCAGGTCCAGGGGTCAGGTGGACCAGGACTTTGTGCCATAGCTGAGGAGCTGGACTTTTGGCTGTTGGTTTCCTACAGATGGAGGACATTTATGTTATACCTGCCGTAGGTATCAGGGTGGGAAGGCTGAGGCCAGCATTAGGGGGTGCTAAATCCCAATGGGGCATAGAGTCAGGATGGCTTCCCAGAGGAGGAGGCAACTGCTGCCTTGATCTGAGCAGCAAAAATAGCTCCTGTGCCTTCAGCCCTTTCAGAGCCAGGCCTGGGCTCAGTGCTCAGTGCTCAATCCTAATGACAGCCCTGTTAGGGAGGCGCCTTCACTGCCCCGTTTTCGGCGCAGGAGGATGAGGATCCTGGAGCCCAGACACTTGACAAGGGTCCCCAGGGTGGGGATGCAGCTGGGGCTGGAACCGACAGCCCTGACTCCGGAGCCGCCCCTTCACTCCTGCTAAGGCTGCCCATAACACTGCTTCTCTCTCTGCCACCTTGACCTCTGGGACCCTGGCTCCTGCCCTCCCCTCCCACAGGCCGCAGGCAAGCCCGCCCTCACCTCCACCTGCCTCCTGCCTGCCCTGCAGTTTGCTGTTCACCTGCAGCTGTTTCCTCAGGACCTCCCCTCACTCCTGCAAAATCCACACAGTTCTGCCCTCCTGGAGGACCAGGCCAGCCGCTTGGCTTCCTGTGCTCGCAGATGCTGGGCCAGCGTGGACAGATGGCACAGAGGTGGCCTTTCCTGTGGACATGAGGATAAGCCACTGCCGCCTTTTAGCAAAGCCGTGGGGATCACCGTCCTCTCCCTGCACCGCCACCCCTCACCCCTGTGCTCCTGGCTGATTTTGCAAGCAAGTTTTGGGGTCTGCCCTACCTCTGACCTAAGCCTGCTTCTGCACAGACTAGCCCAGCTGGCCCCTGCTCCTGTTCTGTGACCTATTAATGACAAGGTCACATGTCAGCCTGCAGCAGTGACCAGATACTGCCAAGGTAAGGAATCCTTGGCAGCTTCTGTCATGATCTTTTTCACTGGGCCATTTTATCAAGGAAAATCAATTTCCCCATCACTCTGAGATATGTATTAAATCCCTTGCTTGTAGGCTATAGAACTGGTTCCCAGCTCCTAGCTACAGGCACAGCCCAGGGGCCTTTCTGCCTGCCTTCCACACTGCAGTGGCCCCTCTCCCGTCCCACCCCGGAGCTCACCAGGCCTGGAAACACTTGGTGAATGGGCCGAGCAGAGCCACCCGTTCTTCTCTCCTCCACTTCCTTCTCCCTTGCTCATTCCTTCCCTTTCCCCACTCCCTCCCTCCTCCTCCTCCTCCATGCTGTTTGTCTCACCTGCCAGCATCATGCCAGTGAGTCACCCTTTAACCCTGGTCCTCAGTGTGTCCCCCTGGGGGCTTGGGGAATTCACACTGATGTTTTCCGCCTCTCTAGCAAGGGTTCCCTTCCTGCAAGTGAATTTAAGGATCCAGGCTGGGTGTGGTGGCTCACACCTATAATCCCAAGACTTTGGGAGGCTGGGCTGGGAGGATCCTTTGAGGCCAGGAGTTTGAGACCAGCCTGGGCAACTTAGCAAGACCCTATCTCTACAAAAAATAAATAAATAATTTGCTGGGTGCAGGAGGCTGAGGTGGGAGCATCACTTGAGCCTGGGAGTTTGAGGCTGCAGTGAGCAGCCACAGCCATGATGGGGCCACGGCACTGTAGCCTGGGCAACAGAGCAAAACCTGGTCTCTTAAAAAAAAATAAAATTAAAGCCAAAGGATCTAGTATACTCAAAAGAGCTCTGGAATTCTAGAACTCTGTGCTCACCCATCCACCTGGGGAGAAAGATTATTGGGATCTACCCAGAAGAGGACAATCCAAGCCCCCTGGAGTTTACTATTATTATTATTATTATTATTATTAATATTATTATTAATATTATTATTATTGAGACAGGGTCTCCCTGTATTGTTCAGGCTAGTCTTAAACTCCTGAGCTCAAGTCATCCTTCTACCTCAGTCTCACAAAGTGCAGGAATTACAGACATAAGACACTGTAACCAACCCCATTAGCCATTGTTTTAAGATTTGTGTCTATCTTGTACCCCTGATTCACCCACCTGCTTCATGGTGAAGCTGTAGAAAGACTCTTGGCCAGGCAAGGTGGCTCGCACCTGTAATCCCTGTACTTTGGGAGGCCGAAACTGGAGGATTGCTTGAGCCCAGGAGTTCAAGACCAGCCTGGGTGAGATGGTGAGACTTCATCTCTACAAAAATTTTAGAAAATAAAATAATTAGCCAAGCGTGGTGGTGCAGGCCTGTAATCCCAACCACTCAGGAGGCTGAAATGGGAAGATGGCTTGAGCCTGGTAGTTCAAGGCTGCAATGAGCTATGATCGGGCCACTTTGCTTCAGCCTGGATGACAGACAGAGATTCTGTTTCTATTAACAAAAAGAAAGACTCTCAAGGTGCTTCCAGAAGTAATTGTCGTTCAGGGTTGGGATGCCCAAAAGTTGGTGACCCCAGGGAACACAGACTCAGAATGTGAAAGGGTCCTGGGAATCTTGGCAACCCCTGCTTAGTCTCATGACTCACAGACCCAGCGAGAAATCCCCCTTGGAGATTCTGCACCTGAGCAAATGTGGCTGATGGCCCTGGGAGCTCTATCCTCTCAGGATGCCTATCCACAGGTGGCAGCTGGGACCCTAGCCCCTTCAGTCCTCCTTGTTCTATGGAGGGAAAATCTATGCGTCAGTGGGGCAGAGGTTCTGGTGAGGGTACACAGACTGATGGGAGCAGACATCGTGTTCCCCAGCCCCAGCCCAGGGTCTCCCCATCCCAGCATAGGGCACAAGCCCAGGGGTGGGCGAGGAGCAGAGAAGAGTCTTGACTTCTGTGTTCCATGGGCACATGCCCCTGGCCTCACAGAGGGGGCATGCCCGCTTCCAGGTGACTTGAATGGAAGTCTCAGAAGCTCCTAATTCTGAATGGCTCCACCTGCCTCTCCGGCTTTCTCTTTTCCAAGCCCCTTCCAGGCAGCTCACAGGCAGGAGCTGTCCCTGCCCCATCTTTCAGTCCTCTGTTCAGGGTGTTCCTTTTCTCAGCGCACCTCCATCCATCTCCCCAACTTTCTTCGTAGACTCTTCCAGCAGCCCCCGAAGCCCGGTCTCCTCCCCAGCTGACCACAGCCCTTCTTTCGACCAGGATGCCCGATTAGTGCACCTGCCTTTTCACATTTAGAGTTATGGCTGGCTTCATAGACATCAGGGTGCATGTGCTGTTTATACCCAGGCTAACCAGGAAGCTCAGAGTAGACATCAGGCTGCCCAGGTTATCTATGCCCAGGCTAGCAGGTGAGCTCGGGATAGACATTGGGGTGCCTGGGCTAACTATCCCAAGGCTAGCCGGGGAGCTTGGAGCCCTGGCAGGCACAGCACCGGCCCCTGGGCCTCGCACTGGAGAGCTGCACAGCATCTACCACTGAGTGGGCCACAGCACAGCACAGTTGCAACAGCAGGGTCCTGAAACTCGGAGAAACATCTGGCTACCCTCAAAAGCCAGGAAGCTCTGTCACCATTCCTGGGAGAGGCCTGGGATCCCTGTGGACTCCGCTTTCCCTGACTCCTTGCTTGTGCCCTTCCCTGGGGAGTCCCTGGCTCTCCAGGCCTGGAAGCAACTGCAGGAAGCCAGCCGAGGCCCCATTCAGCTGGTGCCAGGAGAGAGGGTCCCACCGCCGGTGTCCTGCTGTCAGAGCCCATCGATCCTCCATAAGCCTGGGAGGGGGGCCCCGCATGGCCTTTGGGGCAAGGGATTCAACCCCTGAATTTCTAGCCACTGGCATTGGAGTCAGGAAATAGTCACAGAGATCTTAATTTTTGTTAATATGCAAAAGCACCTGGGTATTGGAGCTGAAGAAAAAGCGTTTGACCAAATCCCAGAGGGACGAGGGTTCCAATCCGGAATTTTCCGTGTGGTCTTGGACCAGCCACGGCACCTCTCTGAGCCTCAGAAGCCACCACAGATAACAACCTCTCTCCCTCACCACTCCCTGCATTTGAGACCCTCTTTTGAGCTGAGCCCGAATTCAGACAGAGAATCGAGAGTCCTTTCTTGAAGTGCCTTTTGGGATTTCAAATATCGGAGCCTCATAAGAATATGCTGGGTAGAATTAAATTGCACAGAGGAAAGGTTTCTAATTCTGGTTCTAATAAGCATAAGTGAAAAGACGTTATGGAGGCTTCAGACAGAAAAGGAAGAACTTGTACGCATATGTACCTAAGTGCTGTTGCTTTTAGCCAAGCCAGAAGGGACACATTAAACAGCTAATGAAGCAGCAGCAGTTCATGGGATTCTGGTCCCCAATTCTCCGTGGATCCAGGTGCCAGATGGAGGCATCAGTATACCCTCGTCCTTAGGACCACCGGGCACATGGGCTGCCCTGACCAAGGAGTCCACCAAGATGGGGGCAGCTTCAGGAAGATACGTAGCCTCAGGAAACATTTTCCTTCCCCAGGACCAGACTTCAGGATGTCCCCTGGGGGAGAGATGGTAAAGGAGAAGTCACATGACCTGGAGGGGCAGAGAGTCTGGCTGGAGCTGGAGGTGAGGGCAGGGAGCAGCCTCATTCCTGGCCTTAGACCAGATCCTTCTCCAAAATCGTTCAGCATTCATTCATGACCCTGGAACAAGCTCGTAGGAGTTAGTGGGAAGGGAGCTGCTTTGAGCCCTGGGTAGCGCAGCAGAGAGCTTGTCAGGGTCCCTTTTGATGGAGCAGGAGGAAGTTCACCTCTCATGGCAAACTCATGGACTCATTTATCAAGTAGAGGCTGAAAAATAAGAACAGATCCCATTCCAGTCCTCTGCCAGTCCCCTGTCCAAGACCACCCCCGAGGAAGGCCGTCATGGTGGTGCCCTGAGTTGGGCAAGACCATTGGCTTAATAGGCAGGGTCCAAACCCACCATGCAGCCCGAGGGAGGTCCCTGGGTTCCTGTGGGTTGAAACGTGGCTTTCCATGATTTCTGAGCATCAGCCACAGCCAATTAATATGGTAAATTGCTCCAGAAAGCAGGATGGGGAATTCCCGTGTGATGATGCCCTGTATGTTTGTTCCGAATTTTCTCCCTTCTATGTGGAGGGGAAGTTAGGGCTGCATTGAGAGGTGTGGCCCAGTGTTAGGGTCTAGACCTTGTCGAGGTCCTCCCAGGGTCCTGCCTTTGGAATGACTTGGTCATCAACTCCCAATTCCCAGTTCTCCATGAATATTCATCTGCATCCCAGCTCAGCAGGAGGGAGCTGCGGCTTGGTTTTGTAAGAGAGATGTGGATGGGGCAGCCTTCTGCAGTGCTGACTTCATCCACAGAGCGAAGGCCATAAAGGCGACACCTTCCTTCCTGTGTCTGGGACCCCCAGTGCCCTGCTCCTGAGGCCAAGTCAATGGCGGCTGAGCCATTCTCAGAACCGCTGACTCTCCCTCCTGCTTCTCTGCATTCTTCGCCGGACTCACGCTGCACAAAGGCAGGTGTTAACGTCTTCTCTTTTCCCCAGCACACCCAACCAATATGGCTTCTGCCACCTGGTAGGTGCTTGACAAATATTTGTTGAGTCAATTGCTGACTATTCAGACCTGTTCTTTCCTGGTGCAGGAGAGAAACAGCCACTTTCTCCGCAGGGAATATTTATAGAATGTGCCCGTCTATCCGTGTCTATATTTGGCTTCCCTCTGCTTGGCCTCAGCCTTACTCCTTGAGTAAGTAAGCTTCTTACTCCTTGTTGCTCTGGCCAGAGCTTCAGGAGTCCAGCCAATGACATGGCTTTGGGTATCAACCATCCTTGAACCAATCACAGTGGCCAAAGGTGTTCATGTTCTATCCCCTCTATCAGGCCCTTGGTAGAGTCCTGGGGAGTCTCGGATGTGTACAACCAGAGCTGGTGAAGTAAGGAAAGGAAATGCATGACCCAAGAGGGCAGAGTTCTGCTGAAGCTGGTGGGGAGGGCAGGAGCCGGGATCTCTCCCTGAAATCACGGTGGCTTCATTCAGTTCCAGGCAGCCAGCAGGCAGGGGAAGGGTGTTCTGCCAAAGAATAGAACAGCAGAAAGTCAGGCGACGTATGCCGGCAGACCCAGTGGCCGGTTACTATAGAAATCCGGCCCAGGAAGCCTCTTGGCTTATGTGAGGTCACAGGCTGGCCATCGGCATAGGGTGAGGGCTCTGCCCAGGCCTCCTGGCCCTGACCCTGGCTGGGGCCCTCGGAACACCTGCCTGCTCTCAGAGTTATCCAGCGAGCGGGGCACAAATTACATGTTGATGCGTTCCAAAAAGAGGGGAAAATAATTCAGAACACCATTGTTGCTCCTTTAGTTATAAATTATCCGTATTCTTTTTCTGTGTCCTGAAGAGAAATAAAAATATCAGTGAGGAAGAGATGGGAGGAAATTGTGTGGCTGGGACAGGAAGCAATAGTTACTCCTTTCTCACCAGGGCCATGTGTGTGTTCCAGCTGTTAGAATCTCACCGGGTCTCAGTCCCTTGTGGAATTCTCCAAGGTCCAGGTGGTGAGGCCCTTTGTTGGCCAGTGTCCAGATGGCCCAGGCTGAGAGGCAGTCACGGGACCAGAGTATTGGAGTGGCCACTAGACAGGGCGCTCTGCCTCAGCATGCTGGCCCCTTCTGATGGAACATCCCCTACCCCACCGTTGCTCAGAGCATTTCACGAGACTCGACTCTGCGCTCAGCAGCAGCCCTGTTATTTCCTGCCTTCACTTGCACAGACCCTAGAAGTGTTGTCACCTGCTGCAGCCCACATGGATGAAACACTCCTCTGAACCTCAGCTTCCCCGTTAATGAATCAACATGCAATATATGCATGTGTATGCATGTGTGTGTGTGCGTGTGTGTGTGTGTGTGTGTGTATAATTTTTTTCTTTTTTTTTCTTTTTTTTGAGGCGGAGTCTCACTCATCACCCAGGCTGGAGTGCAGTGGCGTGACCTTGGCTCACTGCAAGCTCTGCCTCCCGGGTTCATGCCATCTTCCTGCCTCAGCCTCCCGAGTAGCTGGGACTATAGGTGCCCGATACCACGCCCAGCTAATTTTTTGTATTTTTAGTAGAGATGAGGTTTCACCGTGTTAGCCAGGATGGTCTCCTCTCCTGACCTCGTGATCTGCCCGCCTCGGCCTCCCAAAGTGCTGGGATTACAGGCGTGAGCCACCGCACCCAGCCAAGTGTGTGTGTGTGTGTGTGTGTGTGTGTGTGTGTCTATATGTGTGTGTGTGTATTATGTATATACATGTGTGTATATTATGTATATACGTGTGTGTATATATGTATATATAATTTTTTTTTGAGATGGAGTTTCACTCTTGTTGCCCAGGCTGGAGTGCAATGGTGTGATCTCGGCTCACTGCAACCTCCACCTCCCGGGTTCAAGTGATTCTCCTGCCTCAGCCTCCCAAGTAGCTGGGATTACAGGCATGCACCACCACACCTGGCTAATTCTGTATTTTTAGTAGAGACGGGGTTTCTCCATGTTGGTCAGGCTGGTCTCAAACTCCCAACCTCAGGTGATCTGCCCACCTCGGGCTCCCAAAGTGCTTGGATTACAGGCATGAGCCACTGTGACCAGCCTCTTTTTTTTTTTTTTTTTGAAACAGTGTCTCACTCTGTCACCCCAGCTGGTGTGCAGCAGTGCATTCACCGCCAACTGCGGTCTCGACCTCCCAGGGCTCAAATAATCCTCCCACTTCAGCCCCCCAAGTAGCTGGGACCACAGGTATGCGTCACCACACCCAGCTAATTTTTATATTTTTGTAGAGACGGGGCTTTCACTGTGTTTCCCAGGCTGGTCTCCTAGGGTCAAGTGATCCACTTGCCTTGGCCTCCCAAAGTGTTGGGATTGCAGGCGTGAGTCACCATGCCCAGCTCCCAGACATGCAATATTTGTTGTTGTTGTTGTTGTTGTTGTTGTTGTTGTTGTTTGAGACGGAGTCTCACTCTGTCTCCCAGGCTGGAGTGCAGTGGCGCAATCTCGGCTCACTGCAACCTCCACTCCCGGGTTCACGCCTTTCTCCTGCCTCAGCCTCCTGAGTAGCTGGGACTACAGGCGCCTGCCACCACGCCTGGCTAATTTTTTTTTTGTATTTTTAGTAGAGACGGGGTTTCACCAAACATGCAATATTAATGCTTTATCATCATGTTCCGAAAGCAGAGCTCTACTGGGGGCGGAGTGAGTGACGCTGTCTGCCCCAGGTACACGCAACAGGAGGGCACTTCTATTGCTTCATCTGGAGAGAATTCCAAATAACAATAAAGCCAGCTAAATGTCCCTTCCCTTTTAATGATCACCATGTCCCCCCGTTCTAAAAATTGCCAATGATAAAATACTCCTTCCCCCAATCGTTGGTCTAAGATCTAAGCAATTGCTACAGTTGCTGTTGAAATGTATCTGTGAACTTCAAATTAGCATCTTTTTATAATGTATCCTTTAGTGAATACCATATTCTGTATGAACATTAACTTGGGGAAGCCTGTTATAGTTACATGTGGTTCTCAGGCATGAGTGGGCTTAGCTACAGCCTTTTGACTGGAGTGAAGTCTGCAGGGTCCGGAATGGCCTGGTCTCCATGCCCTGTGATCACCATTCCTGCTATTACACGGTAGATTTGAAACAGACATGAGGGCACAGTAACTATAAAGACAAAGTGAACTCGTGTTCCTTCAGTGCTGTCATTCTAGGTAGCCACTCGGAGTTTTCATCTGTGTTTAAAATTTGAAACGGCAGTGGATGTGAACTACAAGGTGGAATTTTTTTTTTTTTTTTTTTTTTTTAGTAAATGCAGATATGCAGATTTCAATGCTTACATGAACTATTTTATTGGATTTGGATAATACCTTTAAAATTGACATTCATTCTTTCAAAATATTTGGTTTTAAAACTGATGCACAAATCAATAAAATGATGGTTATTACATGACTGTTAATGAAAATAATTTTGCCATACAGAGGAAGGGCATGTGCCTGTAGTTCCAGCTTCTCAGGAGGCTGAGGCAGGAGGGTT
Source organism: Homo sapiens (assembly GCF_000001405.40). NCBI lineage: Eukaryota > Metazoa > Chordata > Mammalia > Primates > Hominidae > Homo > Homo sapiens. The sequence continues at coordinate 70,874,445 of NC_000011.10, read as the reverse complement.
GCTTGAGTTCAGGAGTTGTAGGCTACAGTGAGCTACGGCTGGGCCAGTGCACTCCAGTGTGTGTAACAGAGACCCTGTCTCAATAGATAGATTAGATAGATAGATAAATCATGGATAGATAGATAGATTACATATAAATAGATTAGATAGATTAGATAGATTAGATTAGATTAGATTGGATTAGATTAGATTAGAGGGATAGCTGGATGGGTGAATGGATAGATAGATGGAGTATATAGATATGGATGGATGGATGGACAGATTAGGTAGGTAGGTAGATAGATTAGATAGATATGGATAGATGGATATGGATAGATAGGATAGATTAGATAGATGGATTGATAGATAAGATGGATGGATGGATGAATGGATGGATCTATAGGTAGATGGATAGATGGCTAGATGGAGGAATTTCTGTGTACTGTTCACATGTTCTTTAGTCTGTTCAAAAATGTACTTTGCATTGGGATGCTGCCCCCAGCCTGCCTACATCATGCCTTTTTCCTGATGACACGTGTTCCTGTCACTGACGCCCGGGAGCTGTTTTTGAGGGCAGCTTGCCCAGCGTGCTAGTGACAGGAGGCTGGTGCTAGGAATGAAGGTTATTTGGTCTTCTCACTGGCATCACTGTTTGGTATTCTAATCCCATGAGATCGTTGTAAACAATAGCAAAGTTGTTCATGAACTGGCAAAAAAAAAAAAAATGGTAAATGGAGGAAGCAATGGCTGGCTGTGAGCAGGGGACGCACTCAATGTCCTTTGCAGAGTGAGCAGGGTGGATTAAGTGGTTGCTGCGGGCTCTGGCCTGTGCTGCCATCTTTGCAGTGACCCTGAAGAAGAGAACTGCCCCAGATGGGACTGTGGAACGTCTCTCCTGAAGAAGCCCCGAAAGGGTGTGTGGCAGCCGCTCCTCCTTCATGGGACCACTGCTAGAAGGTTAGGGATCCCAACTGCCTCACCTCTGGGCAGCCCCTCCTCCTCCACGGAACTGCTGTTGGAAGGTTAGGGATCCTGCCTGCCTCCCCTCTGCTGTTTCCCATTTCCTGTTTGCCTATTGAAAGTGTCTGGGGCCGTTGGGCCCTCCTGTCTCATGAATGGGTGTGATTCCTGGAAGCCCTGCAAGTCTCGACCTTGTCAGCTCTCACCTGCCCTCCTCTTCCTCATGGGTTTTGTCAGAGGATGTTAATGCCTTCCAAGCAAATTGTATCAAATGCATTTGAAAGGCAAAACTCATTGTTTAGTGTCTGAGAATAGCCTCTGAGTGCTGGGATGCCACGGTTGCTGTGGCAACGGCTCTTTGTTTTAGGGAACCACAAACATATCATTCTATAAACTGCAGGGCCCAAGCTGCAGGTTTCACCTTCCTGAGGGTCGCCACCCGGGAGGCAGAGGCACCAGGATGGACGTGGGAACTACCTCCGCTCTTCCTTTCTCACAGGTGCCCAGGATGTCTTTAGCTTTTGTAATGTTTGGGGCTGGGGGAGGTGGAGGTCATGAGTGTGGGGAGAGGGCAGACAGTGGATATGTGCTCCTCCTGCCCCGAGGAGCTGGGCTCTACAGGGCATCGTGGGGTCCCTTCCTCTTAGCAATCAATGCCATGTTCCACTGTGGCCCCAGACTCCAGCACCAAGCAAAGCAGCCCCCACGACCCTTAGGACAATGAGGGGTGAAAATTGCCACCCATCAGTTTTCAAGTGGTCAGTGTGGAGGAAAACAGGGACCCGCAGGTGGCCAGAACGTGGAGGAGATACACCAGGGAGCCGGAAGTAATGTGGTCCAGGGACCCATCTCTCATTCCACGTAGCTCACGGACCTGTGTGCCCCTGACTCTGGTCTGTGGGGGGCCCCTCTGTATGGGGGCCCCCTATTCCCTCCATCTGAGGGTCTCTCTTCCCTCCATCCAGCCACTTGGTCGTTTGCACCCACTGTGTCCACCAAGCGCTTCTAGGGAAGGGTCTTGTCCTTTTTTCTCCCCGTCCCGCCGAGCCTCCACCTCCAAGCCTGCATCCTACTTGTCTTTCCTCTTCATGCGTGTGGGGTTTTTTTCCCCTCCTTTCCACTGTGCACCCCGTCTCCTCTGTAAACTTGAAGGTAGGGAACTCTGTCTTCACTCATGAGTACCTTCCAACACGAGCTCTCAGGAGTAAAGACAGAGTTCCCTACCTTCAATGTGGATCTGCAAAAAGATCTGAAAAGCGAATGCCTTCTCCGTAGCTCGTTGGCAGTAGTACTTGACCTGAACTGATTTGAGGCTATTTATAGTTTTTATTTATCCTACTTAGCATGATTATTCATCCGTGCCCTGAAGGACTCCTCCCGCAATTGGCAATGGGACACTGCCCAGACCCACTGGCGGTGTGACGTAACAGGCCACACACGCATCATCCTACTGCTGCAGAAGCAGGCAGCGTGCACATGCCAAGGCACCTCTGGCTCTGGTGTTCAGGGATGTCGTCGTGGGGCTGTATTTGTTGAATGAACAAGAGTTCTTAATCCAAGAATAATGCTGGGTTTACCTTTCAAGTAGTTCAAAGGCTTCTTTCAAGACGGTGTTGTTATGGAGGATGGGATGCGTCTTGCCTTAAATATTAATAGAAATCGTATATGGAAATCTCAGACGGCTTCAAAGAGTCTCTCAGTCAAATTCAGATGGGGACTGTGCCTCTTTCCTGGCTGTCCCCTCCCAGCCCCCATGTGGCCACAGTTTGCTGTAAAACCCTGCAGGGCCCCTGAGTACCAGGTGTGTCTGGCCCGTGTTGCCTTTCAACATGAACTCTTTCTTGACTTTCTTCTCCATCAGGGATATGGTCATATTTATAATATTTGTCTCGACCTCACTTTCCTTTCTCTCCCTGCCCTGCTTGTTCAGCAAATGTGTTGGGGAATCCGCAGGGTCCCAGGCACAGCCTCTCCCTCCAGGGGCTCACAGGCTCCATGGCACACAGATGTGGCCTCAGCACGTGAAGGAGGCTCAGTGCCAGGCTATGTGGCTCATCTCAGAAGGTGGTGTGGCCCCAGGTTCTGTGGTTGCCCTTGCTCTGCTCTCTGCTCCCCACCCCCGCCCATCCTGCCCTGCTCCTATGGTGCCAGTGATCTTCGGGGCTGGTGGCTTGCAGAGCGCTCCCTGGACCTCCTCTTGGACCCTCAGACTCATCTCCTGCAGAGCCTGCCACCAGGCGAGCCCAGACCCCTGACTCCCCTTTGAAGTGTGTCCCTGCAAATGCATATGTTGAAGTATCACCCTGAGGATCTCAGAGTGTGACCTTGTTTAGAGGTAGGGTCTTTACAGAAGTCATCAGCTGAAAATGAGGTCATTAGATTGGGCCCTAATCCAGTAGGACTGATATTCTTATAAAAAGAGGAAATGGGACCGGGTGCAGTGGCTCATGCTTATAATCCCAGCACTTTGGGAGGCTGAGGCGGATGGATCACCTGAAGTCAGGAGTTCGAGACCAGCCTGGCCAACATGGTGAAACCCCGTCTCTACTAAAAATACAAAGATTAGCCGGGCGTGGTGGCGGGTGCCTGTAGTCCCAGCTACTTGGGTGGCTGAGGCAGGAGAATCACTTGAATCTGTGTGGGCGGAGGCTGCAGTGAGCCGAGATCGTGCCACTGCACTCCAGCCTGGGCGACACAGCAAGACTCCATCTCAAATAAATAAATGAATGAATGAATGAATGAAATGTGGCCACAGCCATGCACTCGGAGCAAACCTCACACAAAGATGAAGGCAGAGCTCTGGGTGATGCTTCTGTCAGTCAAGGAATGCCAAAGATTGCCTACAGGCCACTGGGAGCTGGAGAGACAGGCCTGGAACAGAGTCTCCCTGCAGTCCCCAGTGTGAACCCCCCCACTGCCAACACCTTGACCTCAGACTTCCAACCTCCAGAACCATGAGACAATTCATCCCTGTGGTTTCAGTCACCCAGGCTGTGGTTACAGGAGCTCCAGTGAACATACCCCATCTTTCCTGGCCAGCTGGCCCTTCCTCCTGGGCACCCCATCTCAGTTATGGCCCAGGAACTGAAAACCCAAAAACCTTCCTAGATCTTTCCTGGCGCTCACCTGCCCTTTTCCCATCTGTCCAGAACCAGCCCCTTCCACTTTTTCTATTTCCTGAATCTGCCCCTCCCTCCCCACTGGTTGGGCTCTCATTTTGGCCCAGATGGACTGCAGGAGGGGACGGCTCTGGGTCTCACCCCGGGTTCATTTCTCTCAGTCCCCTGGAACGAAGTGGAGCACACTCTGCCTGGGTGAGCCTCCAGCACTCAGATTCTGCTGCTGTGCTCATCCTCAAACCTCTTCCATAGTGCCCTGGGCCACACTCTCTTTATAAGGACACTAATTATTGGATTTAGGACCCTCCCTAATCCAGTATTACCTCGTCGCAACCTCACTGATCACATCTGCAAGGAGGCAATGACCCATTTCCAGTTAAGGCCCCATTCGTAGGTTCTGGGTGGACATGGATTTGGGGGGACACTCTTGTGGACTTTTGTGAGGGTTTCTGGGTGTGTGAGAAGGCAGAGCCTGGGGAGCTTCAGGCAGAGGGGAGGCATTCACATAATTGGTGGTGAGGTCCCTGCACTGACCCAGCGGCGACTGAGCACCCAGTGCGGCAGTAAGTGACCACAGTGTCAGTTCTCATCCCATCTTCCAACAACACCACCATGGACTCCCCGTCGAGCCCCCTGTCTGGGGGAGGACAATCAAGGAGATGATGGGGACATGCCAAGATGACACGGTGGTCACCGAGCCCAGGGTGCCCAACCCAAGGAAGTATCTGCTGGTTATCAGGTTTCTAGCCCAGGACACAGAGCAGACAGAGTGCTGTGGACGGTCAGGAGCTCCATACCCGAGCCTGGCTTGGTGGAGAGGCCATAGGCAGCAAGGTGGGACAGACAGCCTGCCATGAACCAACTGGTCTGCACAACTTTGCCGTGAAATATGAAAGCCTCCTACAGCACAGGCTGAGATTGGAAGCATTAATCACTCTGGTATGGGATGTGTGGAGTTCTGTTGGTCCCAGTGGGTTTAATAACGTGCCGATCGGTGCATCCCAAGCATTCTGTGGCCTGTGGACCGATACATTGTCCTCCCTCTGAAACCTGCTGGTCTGGAGGCCTCTAGGACAGATTGTCGGGATCTATGGTGTATGAGTTTGCTCCAGCTGCCGTCATAAAGCACCACAGACAGGGAGGCTTACACAAGTCATTTATCGTCTCACCGTTTTGGAGGCTGGAAGGCTGAGATCAAGGGGTCTCTGGACTGGTTCCTCCGGAGACCTCTCTCCTTGGCTTGTAGACTTTGCCTTCTCCCTGTATCCTCATGGGGTCATCCCTCTGTATGTCTGTGTCCTGATCTCTTCTTGTAAGGACGCCAGTTGGATTGGATTTAGGACCTGCCCCATCTGGCCTCACTTTAATTTAGTTGCCTCTTTAAAGCCCATCTCCCTATACAGTCGCACACATGCTGATATCCTGGGGGTGAAGCCTGCGTCACATGAATTTTGCAGGTGACACAGTTCAGCCTCTAGCACTCAGCGCCCACCTGGATGTGGCTTCTAACTGCAGGACGCCCTCCCCCAACATCCTCTGGACTTTGGCACCCTGGGTGAGAATTGGGCAGGTTTGTGGAAGAGAATGGGTGAGGATGAGGAGGCCGCATGTTGTGTCCAAACAGGGCTTTCCGTGCCAGAGCCCTTTCCCGGATGGGACTTAGGACTGGCCGTGGCAGCTCCAGTGACTGTGCTCCCTGTGTGGGTGGGGCCCTGGGCTGCCCCCGTGGGGTGTGAGGCTGACTGTGTAAGATGTGGACATGGCCCAGCTCAGTCCATAGGCTGAGCCTGGACTCTGGAACCCACCTTCTTGGCTTGTGTCTTGACTCTGCCCTTCACAGGCTGTGTGACTTTGGACAAGTTACTTAACCTCTCTGTGCCACAGTTGCCTCCTCTGTATCACAGGGATAAATAATAGTCAATAGCCTCGTGCCCAGCTAGTAGCAGTGGTGGTAGAGGGACTCTTGACTGTTGTCATTGTTTATTATAGTATTATTTCCATTTTACACATGGAGAAACCGAGGCCTGGGAGTTTATCCAGCTTGACCAGGCTTATCATAGCAGGCACAGGTTATGACCCTGGGGTTGTCCAAGAGCAGATCACACCGCCCCATGTCCGTGGACAGGTGTCCGTATGCCGACCCCCTCAGCCTCTGTGTCTATGCGACCCACCTTCTTCACCTGCACCCTCTGGGCCAAGCCATTGAAAGTGAGAACGAGGGAGTCTTCCTCGAGAAAAGAAACTCTTCATTAGGCTTCATATTTGTGTCTTCAATTATGCTGTCAAATGCTAAGGAGTTTAGACACTTACTGCCAGCGCCGGGCCCTTGGTGACGGCGTACATTATTTGCATAATCAGCACGGGTGGACCCGCTGGTAATTCCACCCAATTATTTGCCCAGAATTGACACTGATCAATTTAGAGGGAGGCACAGTCAGTGATGGAATTAAGTGGTAGCAAACACACTGTCAGTACATGAAGTCCAGACAGAGGCAAACAGCCCAGAGATGGATGGGCGGGAGGCGGGGGCCGGCCGGTGCAGGAGCAGTGGAGGCGGTGGACCTGGGTCCTGTGTGCTGAACGCTGAAATGCTTCCTTGGAAACTTCACAGAGAGTCCTAGGCAATAAAGGTCAGCAGTGGAATATTGTCACAGAATAATGACTCTGTGCCGCTGGGTAAATGTTAAAGCTTTTATTGGGGTGAGACGTGGATGTCTGGCTGGCTCTGAATTCAGTGGGTAATGAATACAAATCTATAGCGTCGATTCTCAAGAGGGAACATGGCTGAGCTGACCCCACATTCACGAGCCGGTGGCCTGGGCAGACTTTTCTGGCTGGGGCAGCGAGGTTGTGAAGGCATCCCTGGCTCAGGCAGCTTTGGCCCGTCCTGCCCCACCCCTCAGCCCTCATGCGCATGCCGTACTCCCCAGCAGTGGACATAGCTGTTTGCTGTTAACAGCGGCTCTTGCCTCTCGTCCTCCGTTGGTGGAGTCCTGGCCTGATCCTTGGCCTCCGGACCTGCTCTCGGCCCTGCTGCCCGTGTGGAGCCAAGACGTGTGCACTCTCCTCATTGGTCCTCCCCTGTGTTCAGGATTTACTGAGGACTCGGACAAGAGCGTCCTTCCACCAGCACCCTCCACCTACCCCTACCCGGATAGGAGACAGCTGACCTCAGGATGGCACCTTCGTATTCTAGAACTTGAGAGAGTCAGAGTGGGGATCCACTACCCCAAGGGACCTCATTCTCTCTCTCTTTTTTTTTTTTTTTTTTAAATACACCGAATTGGATTCAAATCCCTCTGGGCTACGAGGTCCTGTTTCCCTTCTGTGCTGTCCATGGTGGTGTCCACGGCATATCATTCGTTTGGCTCCTGGCTTCATGGAATGTCAGCCCCAGGCCTTGTCTGCTGGGGTGAGAGCCACAGCGAGGGAGTGAAGGCAGAGGCTGGTGTGGTTGTTGATCTGTCCTCCTGTGTTACCTAGAGATGCTCTCAAGACCAGCGAGGGCCGTCATGAAGCTCCTGCTGAGTCCATGTGCGGGCAGAGAGTGGCTGCCTCTAGGTCACCCCTTAAGAAATGTTTCCTTAGGGAAATGGGGAGATGAAAATTTGCCGGGTAGACATAGGAAAACTCCAGCAAAAGTGGACCTTTAGAAATCACAAAAATCTCCTATTTGTTGACTTGTGTGTCTCCGGGCCCCTGCGTGAACTGATAAGAAAAGTCATTCCTACTGAGATAGGACTTTAGATTTTATCCTTACTCCTTGTAAATTGCTCTCCTCGGATTCCCAAATGCAAGCTCCGTGAACCCTTGGTGCTAGAGTTACTGACGTCTGCAGCAAAGTGCAATTTTGAGTTTCCGGAACATCAACACAAAAGAACACTTGGACTCCTTCTTTGTAGCCAAATGTTAGGTCTGGGATGTTTCTTGGTCTTATCTGTTCCCTTCTTGTTTCAGCAGCATCTCGTTCTCAGAATCCTAATTAGCCGGGTGTGGCTCTTTTGACCATTTCTCTCAAAAATGAGTCTCGGTTCCCAACTTCCATTTTCTGTGACTAGATCCCTCCCAAATGGTTCCCCCCATTTGGTGCCGCGGGGTGCGATGGGCTGTGGCTCCTCTGAGCTGCACTCTCTGCCCCTGCCTTCTGATGGCAGGGGAGCCACTCGGTGGTGCTGTCTGGATGGAGCCTAAGTCTCACCAGGAGGGTGTAGACTGCAGCAGACCGCTCCCTGGTGGCCTGGGGGTGAGAGTCTAATCCAGAAAGTGGAGACCACCCTAGGCCTTTCCGACAGAGGCATCTGCGCGCGGAATTGGTGACCAAGATGCTGGACAGGCCATGGACCCTGGAGAACAGCCAGGCAGCCCCCCACTAAGAAACTGCAGAAAGCACCAGGGAGGAGAGGGCCCAGGGGAGCAGTGCCCGAGGGTGGGACTGCCAGGGAGGGGCCACGACCCAAGAAAGCCAGGTATTTGAAGTTGAGGAAGGGCAGCACTGTGGGCATATTCCTTGATGCTTGGGTAGAGCAGTACCTAGCACAAGGCAGGTGCTTGGTTTCTGCAGGGTGAGTGAAGGAATTAGTGAGTGAGTGAATGAATGAATGAATCTATCTATCTGAGGCTCATTTTGAGAGACAGGATCTGATTCAATGCTGGAAGAAGAACACACTTCTTGTCCAGCTACATCAGAAGGCGGTGCGAGGCAGTGTCCTGTGGCTCCTTGCTAGCAGACTCAAGAGCAATTTTGGAGATGGATGCTTGTGGCCCCACCCTCTGCTGCTGAGCCTGCCCGGCCACCCCACCCCACCCTGAGGCACACCTCCATCCAATGGGCGGTTGGGGAATGAGGCACGCGCAGCTGCATCTCAGCCTGGCCATTCCGGCACCTGACTTCTGCACTTTCTCAGACACCCCCCGCGTGCCCTTACTCGTGGTGAATTCAGCCTCCTGGGCCCATTGTATTCTTCTCCTTGTCCCTTCAGAATAGTATTTCCCTGCTCCTGTGCTCTAGATTCTTTGTGAGGCTAAATTTAGACGTCGCCTAGTTCTGCAGCATCTTTGCTTTTCTCTAGAATGGTTTGTCCAGTGAGAGAAGTCTGCCAGCCAGACCCTAGAAGTTGAGTCTCTCCTTAGAGCCTGTGGTGGGATGCAGGTCTGACTCAAATCCTCTCACGGGTATCATAAGGACCCCTTGAACCCCACTCCATGGGATCTCCAAGGAGGAAGGTCTTAGCCCGCTCAGGCCACTGCAGCAAAGTACCATGAACTAGATGGCTCGTAAAAAATACATATTTATTTCTCACCATTCTGGAGGCTAGAAGTCTGAAACCAGGGTACCAGAGAACTCTCTAGGGCCCCTTTTTCTTTAAGACACTCTCACTCCGTTTTCCAGGCTGGAGTGCAGTGGTGCAATCATGGCTCACTGCAGCCTCAAACTCCTGGGCTCAAGCCATCCTCCCACCTCAGCCTCCCAAGTAGCTGGGACTACAGGTGTGCACCACCATACCTGGCTAATTTTTGTATTTTCTGTATAGATGGGGTCTTGCCATGTTGCCCAGGCTGGTCTCAAACTTGTGGCCTCAAGGGATCCTCCCACCTCAGCCTCCCAAAGCACTGGGATTGCAGGTTCACACCACCATATCCAGGTCCTGGGGGTCCCTTTTATAAGGACATTAATCCTATTTATGAAGGTTCTACACTTATGACTTGCTTACCTCCCAAAGACCCCACCTCATAAAACCATCACGTTGGGAGTTAGGACTTCAACATATGAATTTGGGGGGTTGGCACAAACGTTTGGTTCATTACAAGAATAGAGGCCTTCCCCCAATACGGCTGCTTTTACCTGGAGAATCCTCCAAGTCACAAGGTGACCTTGTGCAGGGCACTTCTCATCTTCGAGCCTCTGTTTCCTCTCTGACAGTGGGGGACCTGGGCTGACATTGGCTGGAGCCACCATGACTTAATGGGGAAGTCCCCGCGGCCCTGGGACTCATCTGAGGTCATTAAGCACTGTCAGGGTCACCTGTCCGAAGCTGGATTTTTCCTAAACTTCATTTGCTTTTCTCTCCTTTCTTTTGCCCTGGATACTCTCATCTCCCTCAATTTTTCTTTCCTTTTTCCCTTCTCACTACCCACCTCCAATTTCAAAATGTGCAAATAGCAGAGCATCCCAGTGGAGTTGCCACGGCAACAGAAGCTGGTTTTCCCTTTCCAAATGATGGGCCCCTTGGAAGCCTCTCTCCCCTTTGCCTCCTTGGTGACCAGAGCTCAAGGAAGAAAGCAAGGTGTGTGGGCACCCCGAACTGGAGGGTCCCTTTCTTGTGCTTGCAAGGTGCCCAGGTCGTAGAGACTGAGGGGCCAGGACAGGGGAGGCCATGGAGCCAGTTTTTGTTTGCTGGGGCTGCCATAAGAAAGTATCAAAAACTGGGTGGTTTTATCAGAAACATTCTCTCACCGTTGTGGGGGCGGACGCCTGTGATTAGGGTGTCCCAGGGCTGGTTTCTCCTGAGGCCTCTCCTCCTGGCTTGCAGGTGGCTGTCGTCATCCTCACTCGGTTTCTTCCTGTCTGTCCAGGTTTCCTCTTCTTACAACACACCTCTCCTGTTGGATGAGGACCTACCTGAGTGACTCCACTTTAAAGACTCTCTGTAGCTGTAAAGATCTCATCTCCAAATAAAGAGGCCGAAACGGGGTGCCAGTGCCTCTTCCCCATACCCCCAGCCCAGGATGCCAGAGAGAGTGGACCAGATGTTGACTGAAAGGAGGCACCAGGCCTAGCAAAGCTCCGTTTGCACCAGCCTGAGTTATTTTAGACTCTAAATTGTACCTTCACTGGGATCCAGAGTTAAAATGAGGATTTGCATGGGAGCAGGTGGGCGAGTCCTAGAGATAAGGAAAACCCCCCACAGAATCCGTGTCTTCCACCACATAGCCGTGGCCAGGAGTTCACAGGCGTCCCAGGGCACCGAGCAGAGGATGCTTGGGGCTCGTCCAGACAGGGCCAGCACTGGATGAACCAGGATGAGGTCGGGCTGTGTTCGGGGAGCCGGCATCTGGGCACTGGGCAGTTGTGCCATCAGCTCAGGTTCTGGTGCTTAGATCAGCTGAAACAGAGACAGCCATGTCATGGGGAGAGGTGTCACCTCATGGAGCCCACACCAGTGGGCCACTCAACCCAGGCCAACCCCTCCTGACCAGGGACCTCTCTCACCTGCTGTCTGGCCTACAAATTATTTTTGAGATTTGTCCCTGGAATGTGACAGTGTTCACGGTTTCTCTAGACCTACCCAGGTATAAAAACCCCTTGATCCCTGCCATCTAAGATGGATGCTACCCCTGCTCCGTAAGTCCTGCGGAGCAGCCTCTGCCCTGCCCACCAGCTCACACCTTTTAGCCCATGTCCCTGAGTCCCTGAATCACTGAGGTAAGGCGGCTTGTCTCCTGCTGAGACCAAGAGCCCCAAGACGGGCACTTCAGCAAAATCAGCCCCACACCCATGTCTCCTCCTCCCAAATTCTTACCTCCAGTTTACTAGACTCTAGACTGTGTCCTGCTGCCCAGTTGACTACTCCCGTGGGGGAATCCCAAAGGATCCAAAATGTGCAATGTGTCCAAAACCAAGCTCCCCACCCCCACCCCAAGCACATAGATTTCCCTCTTTGTTCATGATCCACTCAAGCCGGAAGCCTGAGTATCATCCACAGTCCTGTCCATCAGCCAGTCCAGTCTATCAGCCAGTCCAGTCCATCAGCCAGTCCAGTCCAGTCCATCAGCCAGTCCAGTCCATCAGCAGTCCAGTCCATCAGCCCGTCCAGTCCATCAGCCAGTCCAGTCATGTCCATCAGCCAGTCCAGTCTATCAGCCAGTCCAGTCCATCAGCCAGTCTAGTCCTGTCCATCAGCCAGTCCAGTCCAGGCTCCAAATACCAACTGACGTATTGCACTTCTTTCCATTTCCATTGTCTCTACTCAAGCCCATTCCAGAGACTACACAGACCAGTGTAGTAGCTTCCCAGCCAGGCTCCACATTCTACTCCTTTCACCTACAACCCAGTCTCCACCCCAGGAGCTCGAAGAGGGATCTTTCAACAAAGACCATAAATCAGATTGTGTCACACACCCTCCCCCTGAGACACTTAATCGCAGCAGGTTTGCAGCAGGAATCTGGATGAACTGGGATGAGGTCAGGCTGTGTTCGGGGAGCTGGCACCTGGGCACTGGGCAGGTGTGCCATCAGTTCAGTGTCTGGTGCTTAGATCAGCTGAAACAGAGACAGCCGCATCGTGGGGAGAGGTGTCACCTCATGGAGTCCATCCAGGTTGGGCTCCACACCAGATTCCCCCTGGCCTGGGAGACCCAGTGCGACAGGATCCTTCCCAGGTTTTCACTTTTTTTTTTTTGCCCCTGCCCCCTGCTCTCTGCATTTTGGCTGCACCTGTGTCCCACTATTCCGAGACCACCCTATCCAAATTGGGCTCTGCTCCTCTTCTAACTGATCACATCTCTGCTTTGTTCTTTTGGTTCTCCTCCCAGTTGGATCACTCATTTATTCCTGTGCTTATTTATTGTCTAGCTCTGAGCTCCCTGAGGTCTGGCTTATTCCCTGCCTTTCTTTTGTGGCCTGAGGTCAGCATCTGCTGGGATTGTCTCAAGGCACAAACCCTGCAGCCTGCAGAGGCAACTGTAGGTTGCTATATTTGCACCTGCCCAGAGGAGTCAAAGAAACAAACCCCAGGCCCTGAGCTACAGAGTTAACTGGCTCGTAGAGGAGGCCAACTCAGTGCAATTAACTCTGACATGGATGTTTGCATGGTTTAAAAAAAAAATTAACCCAAAAAGACTGCTTTATACCAAATAAGACTTTTGATGGGAATTTTGATGGAAATCATGTTTTGATGCAAGTTCAGGTGCAGGTAGGGCTGGGGATTTTTTGTCAGAACACACAATAATTCTGCCTCTTATTTTAGAGCTTGTATTTCAATGCCATGTGGTGTAGGAAAACATAAATTTTCATCTTAATACACTTTTGAGGCATCAGAGCCATTACAGACCTTGTTTTATAGTGTTTTAAAAGCATTAGTCCTTCACGACCCATTTTTAAGAGGACAGACTGGAGGAGCAAAACCATTACTAGGTGTGGGACTCATTTATTTTCACATGGAAACAGAGGCATAATAGTAGGTCTTGCTGTTAAACATGACCTTCCAACTGCAGGGTTAAAACCCTCAGGGAAGTGGCAGGATTTACTAACCTGGGCCTGATTAAAATGCCTGTTGGTGGCTGCCAGCTTGGACTGACAGTGCCTGCAGAGGGGGCAGGTCGGAATGCTTCCCTCCCACAAGGGGGCCCGGAAAGGCCAGCGCTGCTCCCCGTGTGCCCAGCAGGTCGAGGGATGTCCTTTCCCTGGCTCCTGGGAAGAGAGTATCCCCTGAGATGCACGCGGCTCCTGCAGAAAGAATTTGGAATGAAGGGGCTTTGTGGTATGATTCACATACACATTTTCTTTTATTTCTTTTTTGTTTGTTTGTTTAAATAGAGATGGGATTTTGCCATGTTGCCCAGGTTGGTCTTGAACACCTGGTCCTGGGCCCAAGTGATCCTCCCACCTCAGCCTTCCAAAGTGCAGGGACTACAGGCATGAGCCATCGCGCCAGGCCCCTTGCGTGTATTTCTAAAACTATAAATGCATGCTCGCATTTCATTTTATACTTTTATGACTTTGAGAGGTCAAAGGACAAGTATTCATCCATTTTCTTCAAGTGAGAGAGTAAGGGAGAAATGCTTAATCATTTGTCCTCGTTCATTCACCCAACTGGTAGAAAAGCAAGACTGAGTCCCAGTCCCTGGGGACCTCGCAGTCTCCCACTGCACACATCGGGATTGAAGATGGACAGACGAAATACACACTCTGTTGGTCTAATTCTTATTCCCTTATTCCTTCCTGCATTCCACAGACAATTTCCACCTTCAAAACGTTCTTTCTTGGGGTTACATAAAGAGACCCGTCACCTTAATGGGTGATGGGAGAGATCTGATGGGCAGGTGTGCACGAGGATAACATGGCCTAAGGGGACATTCAGGCTGATGAGAGTCTGGGGGTGCCAAGTACAGAGCTGAGAAAATCCCCCGCACCCAAGTAACTCATAGCCATGGGGCTTTGGGGCGGGTAGAGAAGGTTTGACCAGGTGTGATAGGGTATGGAGGTGGCGGGATCAGGTGGGCTGTGTTCACCTTGGTCTGGAGCAAAGAGGCTTCTGAGAGAAAGGGACTCCTACCATGTGAAGGGAGCAAGGGACAGGGTCGGATGTTGGGGGAGGTTGGAGGTGGGGATGTTTGCTCCGCAGGGAGGGAGATAGTCGGGGTTCTTTGAGGAACACACGAGGATGACTGCCAAGCCTGGGCGCTGTGGGGTTGTTGCCAAAGCTGAATTTAGAAGTCATTGGCATCCCATTGATCAATCCCAACTGTGAGCTGGACCCCGGGTCATGGTTTCTGACTGTCCCTGGAGGTGCGGTGCTCCAGAGTCTGGTCATCTGTCCTCGTGTTTAGCCCTGATAGGGAAAGAGGGCTTAGTGCATCTCTTCAGCTATGCTGGACACCAGCCTCGAGGGTAGAACCAATCTGTGGGTAACAAGCTTCCTGGCATGTTTTCTCACTTCGTGGAGGTCAAACCACATTCAAGGGCAGGGACTTGACCCTGTTTTGCCACTTGCTGGTTCTGTGTCTTCAGTTTCTCAGCTTCTCTGAAGAAGTTTCTCTGACTCAGTTGTATAGGTGATGATATCTACCTATGATGTCATTCATCCACTTTTCTGACTAGTCCATCCATCCCCACCTATCTACCTATCACCCATTCATCCATCCACTCACCCATCCATCCTACCCATCTTTCCATGCATCCATTCACCTGCCTACCCACTTCATCCATTTGTCCATCCATCCATCCACCCACACGCTTATCCATCTATCGATCCATCTGTCCACCCACCCATCTACCCATCTTTCCGTCCACCTACTCGCTTGCCTACCAACTTCTCCATTCATCCATCCATTCATCAGTCCATTCATCTATCCCTCCACTCACCTACCCATCCATCTGCCCATCTGTATATCCATTTATTCATTCATCCACTATCCATCTACTTATCTACACATCTATTCACCCACTTGCCTACTTACCCTCATCCACCCATCCATCCAGACATCTGTTCATCTCTCTATTATCTATACATTCATTCTGTCCATCCAATTCATCCACCGACCTATCCATTTATCTACTCACCCACCCACCATTCTGTTTATCCACTCACCTCTCCATTCATCTACCCACCCATCCAGAGCAGTGCTGTATGTAAACATTTTATGACTCTAGGCCCAACACCAGTGCTCCAGTGTGGAAAGGACAGCATGAGACTCAGGGCAAGGTGGACTGCCCAGTAGTAAAAACAAAGTGCTCAGGAATGCCTTTGGGAGGGACGAGCATGTACAGGTGTGTGGACAGCACATTCCTGAAAACAGCTTTGGCCAAGACCCTGCAGTAGGAAAGAACTTGCTTGGGTTCTCCCAGATGCCAGGGATAACCAGATGGAGGTGTGAGTGGGAGGTGCATAGTCCAGGAGAAGAGGTAGTAAAGTTAGGCTGGAGATAGGAGCCAAGTCCCTTGAGCCTCATGTTCTAAATCAGGGGTCTGGGTTCTGTTCTAAATGGGGAGAACCTTTAAGGAGTTTTAACAAAGAAGTTTCCATGATTGCTGTTGTTAAGAAGAATCCTTTGGCTGTTGTGTGGATAACTGTCTTTAGCAAGGAAGGAAGCAGGGCTCACACTGGAAGGCTGCTGCCATGTCCATGGGATACTCAGCCATGGGCATGAGACTGGAGAGCCATGGTCAGGTTGGAATCTGCCTTGCTGCTAGGTGTTGGGTGTGCAGGTCATGCCTGGGTTTCCAGTCTAGCCCACTGAGTGGATGGCAAAGACTACAGGAGGCCATGGGCTTTTGCATGGCACACTGCCATGCCTGCAGCTTCAGACATGGGTATCACATGCACCCTGCCTACCTGACATGGCCATGGCTAAGAGAAGAGCAACCTGGCCGCACAGCGCAATACAAATTTAGTGGCAGTTGCTGCTGTTATTTTATATGAACATGGCAGTGAATTTTGATGACTTCATTTAAAATGGATTATGAACAGGGGACAGGAAGCAGATGCTCTGGGGTGGTTTCGCAGCAGCACTCGGCTCCTTCTTGACAGAGCACAGGCTGGGTACAACCCTCACCCTAAATTTAGCTCCTGGCACATTTGGGCTGGGATGAAAGCTGAGAAGCACAGGTCATGGGTGTGCTATGATCTGAATAATTCCCTCTCCAAATGGTGTCTTGCAACTTGCCACAGGCCCAGATAATCCATCATGCTACAGTACAAGGATTCCAAGGTGGGGTGGGTGGAGGCTGCAGTGAAGCACCCACACACTAGGTCAGATGTAGCCCCATCCTGGGTCTCAGCATCTTGAGAGGATGTGTGTGAGCCGTGGAACATGGTGTGTGACTCATGGAAGTGCCCCATCGCTGTGATCTGCTGTTACCACCATTTTTGGCCTTCAAGGGTCATTGTGTCTTCGTGATGTCATGTGCTAAGGCTGCCGTCAGTTCTTCCTAGAGAGTTGCAAGTCTTGTGGGCTTAGATCTCCCCTTGTGCTCCGTGATGCCCCTAATAGCAAGAGGTGGGCCATCACGTCAACTAAAGTGCTGAGGATGATGGGGTGGGCAGCAGAACCCGTATGTCAACTGCTTGTGCTCTCTTGGGCACTGCCCAAGGGCTTGGCCCTCCCAAGTCCTGAGAAAGGCACCAAGGTCTTTATCAGGAAGTGAGGCCACTTGAGGAAAAGGAAATAGGATATCCAAGACCCAGCAGTCATCTGTTGGGCACATGACTGAGCCCTGTGCTAGGGAAGGCCAGAGTCAGCCTGGGAGGGCTTAGCCTCCAGGTTGCTTGTGGCTAGGTTGAGAACGCTTTGCTTAGGAGCAGGTGTTTGAAAAGCGGGTCACCGTACATTGAGTATTTACTGGGTGCTAAGTCCTGTGCATTATCCAATTTGATTCCTAAAACAACCCTTTGTGGGTGCTACTTGCATTATTCCCATTTTGTAGGTTGGGAGCTGAGGCCCGCTTACTTGTCCAGTGTCAGTCATCCTGTGGCCCGATTGGGCTCTCAGGCTCCAGCCCTTGGAGTCCACTGAAGTTTATGCAAAGCATGGAAACCAGCTATTGAGACTGCCTCCTGGCTGCTGGGGCCATCGTCAGGGAAATGTTTGCTTAATCCCTCTTGCAGGAACATTTGCACGCAGAGGCAGGCTGTTGCAGAGAGCATAAGTTAGCAGGAAGAGATGTAAGTCCAAAACAGGTATCACCAACCCTGTCAGACTAAGGATAGAGACGAGGTAGACAGAAGTTAAGGAAGGGCCAGCCAGGGGTGTCCATCTGGTGTGTATCCAGAGTTTCAAATGATGCTTGGGGCTGGGAAGAGCAGGGAGAACCACACTGGGCAAAGAGTCCTGGGCACAGATTGGCAGATGTTTGAATTCCAGCTGTCCCACCTGCTTATTGAGTGGGACTCTGTGTAAGATCCTTGAAATTCTCTGATTCAATAAAGCAGGAATCAGATGCCTCCCTCATAAGGCTGTTGGTGTTTTTAATGAAATAATGTATCAAACATGGTTTAAACTCACACCCCCTAGAGGCAAGGAAATATAATAGATGGGCAAAACAGTCCAAGAGGGGAAGGTTGCCTTTATATATACAACTAATATATCTATCTACCCTCCCATTCATTCATCCAGCCACCTACCACCCAACCTCCCATCCTCCCATCCATCCATCCATCCATCCATCCACTCATTATCCATTCACCCACCCACCTATCTGCTCACCCATTCATCCATCCAAATATCCATCTGTTAATTTATCCATCCATCCATCTACCCATTCATCCATTTATTCATCTATTCCTTCCTCCAGTCAATTATCCATCTATCTGTCCATCCATTCATCTATGCGCCCACCTAACCACCCATCTGCCCATCCAGTCACCCATCCATTCATCTGTGCATTCACTTGCCCACTTATTCACTCACCCATCCACCCATCCATCCATCTGTCCATTTATTCATCCATTCATTCATCCATCTACCCATTCATTCATCTATTCATTCATCCATCCATCCCATCACCTATCCATTCATCCATCCATCCACCCATCCATCCACTCATTGAACCACCCATTCACCCATCCTCCCACCACCCACCCACTCATCTATCCATTTACCCACCCACCCATTCACTCACCTGTTCATTTATCCATCCATCCATCAATTTATTCATCTGTCTTTCCATCCATCCATCTATCCATTCATCTATTCATCTATCCATTTCTTCATTCAGCCATCCATCCTTCCATCTCTCTATCCATGCATTCATCCATCTCTTTATCCATTCATTCATCCATCTATCCATTCATTAGTGTTTCTGCTCATTCACTTATCTATTTATCCATTCATTTATCCACCCACCC
Source organism: Homo sapiens (assembly GCF_000001405.40). Classification (NCBI taxonomy): domain Eukaryota; kingdom Metazoa; phylum Chordata; class Mammalia; order Primates; family Hominidae; genus Homo; species Homo sapiens. Next base: position 70,855,824 of record NC_000011.10, on the reverse strand, counting down.
ATCCATCCATTCATCCAACAATCCATGCAGTTACCCATCCTGCCATCGATTTAACTCCTTCCTTTCTTCCCACCTTTCTTTTTTCTTTCCTTCCTCTCTTCTGTTCATCTTACATTTTTTGTGAGCTTACCACATGCCAGGCCCTGTGCCATGGAAGGCAGCTTCTCTGCCCTCAGGGTCTGCTGGTTTAGCGTTACCTCTTGTGAAGTTGGAGACCAGGATTTGAATGTAGGAATTCCTATTCCTTCACTTTTGTTCTAACCATGGGAGCTGTTGAAGATTTTTAAAGCAGATGCCCTGGTCAGAGCTATAACATTGGGGTTCAAGAATCAGGAAGGGGAAGCTGGCTAAAGGGGGACCTGCCTGGAGGTTGTTGGAAGAGCTGATAGGATCAGATCTGAGCAAGGGGTTGGGGGAGCAAAGAGGAGGGATCTGAAACCTTCTGTGACTGAGTTGGGCCAGACTGATGGGCAATTTGCCCAGAACCCAACATTCTAGATATGGGAAGCTTCCAGAAACCTGGCTTACTCCTCACCTGCTAGAATGTCTGTCCTGTAGGGCTTAGAATACCTTGCTAATTTCCTCTGAGCTTGTTCATCATGTGACCAAATTGGATGAGGGAGGAGAACGTGCAGGGAAGCTGTTTTAATTATCCCTCATCATGAAGTCATTGAGGGGCAGCCGAGCCTGCTGTGCAAACAGCCAGAGCCACTGGGCCATATGCTGGCATCTAGCCAAATGGCTGTCCCTTCTTATTAGCAGGTCACTGAGAGTGTCCAGATTTTCAGGACTACGGGCCGGGCCCAGACCTCCTAGATTGATGGACAGTCATGAACATCTGGGGGTGGGTTTCTGATAGTCGTGGGTGAACCGTGATCTGGATTTCTGCAAAAACAAAAAGTACAGCTCTTGCTGTTCACTCCCTGCGTGCAACACAGGTGTAGTAGGGAGACCAGTGCCTAGTCCCTGCTCTGTGGTGGACAGAGGGCTTGTCCAGGACCCCAGAGGCCATGGGGCAGTGTACTCACACCCCAGCAGCTTTGCCCCCTGTGGTGCCTGCTTCCAGCTGTGGGTGTTTCTCCCTGGGCTCCCCATTGAGAACAGAGAGGGACATTTCACTGGCCTTCATGTGCTTGTCAGCTTTGGCGGGACCTTTCACTGTGTGGGCCTGCATCCATCTTCCATTTGGGCCACTTCTGCATCTCCTTCCCCAGAAGGCCCTTCCTTGCCTGTGCCTGGATGGAAAGCACGTGTTTCACCCTCTGGACCTTGGTCCCTCTCCCTCAATCCAGCCATGCATGCGCTCAGTTGGATTTCAAGCTACAGGGCTGAATGTGGGCCACTGGGGGTGGAATCTGAGGCACCTGCTCACTTCACTTTCCTGTTGCTCAAGCTCTCAACTTTGTTGGCTGGGCTGAGTGCTAGTAACAGCACTAGCCACAGTTACAAGGCACTGGGTTTCTTGGGCCATGAGCCAGCAGCCTTCTCTCTGCTGGACTCACTAGATTCGATCTCAGCATTTTTAGCATTGGTAACTTTCCTACTCATGACAGTCAACAAGGACCTTTGAGATCTCAAGTAATTTTTTCTTAATCAAAAATATACTATTATTTATTTGCCTCTGAATAGAGAGGTAATATGTGGTCTTCGTAGAAATTACACAAAAGCAAGGGGTAAATGCGTGTACATATGAAAATCATCCAAACCTTCTTCTCCCCCACTCCCCAAGTGAATCACTGTTAACACTGCAGGGTCTTTCTTCTGGGTCAAATAATGTCCCCTCAATTTCATGTCCAACTTGAACCTCAGAATGTGACCTTATTTAGAAATAGCGTCTTTGTGGGTTTAATTGGTTTGGTTAACATGAGGTCATGCTGTATTAGTATGACCAATGGCTGATGTCTTTATAAGAAGAAGGAGGGGGGATTCAGACACAGGAACCCACTGAAGCACACCAAGAGAGGAAGGCCACACACAGACGAAGGCAGAGAATGGAGTGGAAGAGGCAGGGAGGGTCCTCTCCTAGAGGCCCTGGAGGGAGGAAGTGCTGCCACAGCCCTAATTTTGGACTCTTGGCCTCTAAGATTGTGAGAGAATGAATTTCTGTTGTCTGAAGTCACCCATTGTGTATTAAGCGGTCACGGCAGCTCCAGGAACATGGGACGCATCCTGTATTTTCACTCTGTCTCCCTCCCGTTACTGAGAGTGGAGGCAGATGCCCAGGAAGCATCCTACACACATCACACGCTCCGGGCTGGTGGAGCTGTTGGGAGGAGACATTTGCCTTTGCCCTGCCTGCTGAGAGGCATCCCCCCTGGCCATAAAGAGACTGAGAAAGACGCTTAAGGCTGCACCCAGAACTGAGCACCAGTCCGCTTCAAACCTCTCTCGGTCACTGGGTGACAATGGCCGACGCACTCAGCCTCACTGCAGCCTCAGGGTCTTGTCTGTCCCCACGGCCGCTGTGACTCACACCCTCTCCCGCACTTGGACTCTCCCAGGAAGCTGTGCTCTGAGCTCCAGGGCCCGTGGGAGGCGCCGGGACGCCTGGTCCAGGTCCACCTGGCTGGAGTTTCCAGTGTCTGCTCCCTAGAAAGAGTCTGGCTCTGTTTCCAGAGCTCACGGAGTGTTGCTCATGTTTCATTTCCCCCAACTTCACTCTCCCCACAGGCTCTAAGGAGCCCAGGAGGACCCTGCCAAGGATTGCTGTCTCCCGTAAACCCAATGCCAGGCACTGAAGGTGTCTCAGCAGGGGGCACCCCAGATGGCCTGTCGAGTGGGCCTGAGGGCTCTGCTTCCCCAGGGCAGGGTTGTGGGGCTCTGCAGAACTTCCCACGTGGCCCACTGGTTCAGGGAACGTTGCCTTCCTCTGGCTGACAGTGATGTGGAGACTCAAGGCCTTGCCAAGGCAACCCCTCCCCTGGCCTCTACCTTGGGCTTCTTCCTAACAGCACAGCCATCCTGGTCGTGGATTGATTGATTGAGACAGAGTCTTGCTTTGTTGCCCAGGCTGGAGTGCAGTGGCATGATCTCGGCTCACCACAACCTCCGCCTCCTGGGTTCAAGCGATTCTCCTGCCTCAACTTCCCAAGTAGCTGGGACTACAGGCATGCACCATCATGCCTGGCTAATTTTTGTATTTTTAGTCAAGACGGGGTTTCACTATGTTGGCCAGGCTGGTCTCGAACTCCTGACCTCGTGATCCGCCCACCTTGGCCTCCCAAAGTGCTGGGATTACAGGCATGAGCCACTGTGCCCAGCCAGTCATGGATCTTGAGGAACACACAGTCCCCCAGAAACCTGGGGACCTTCGTGGAGTGCAGACTGTGGCAGTGTCCTGCTGGAAATGGACAGCCAGCCCGTTCTTCCTGCCCTTCCCCTGCAACCCTCCTGCCCTGGCCTCTGCATCCCACAAACACAACACCCTTTGCAGGCCCCGTGGAGCCCCTGCATGGCCTTCTGAGGAAACTTCTTTCTGAAGGGCTTCTCTGGGATGGCCTTGAAGTTGACTGGGGTTTACGTTCCTCGCTCTCCCAATATTCTTTCTTTAAAGCTTCTAAGCAGGAGCCAGTTTTCTTTGTGGTCTGTACAATCTGGCACTGTGCAAATGCTTTGGAAACAGCAGGATGAGGAGCTATATGCTCTAACAGGTGGGCCGTGTGTCATGTCTGAGTCCGAGCTCTCTCTCGCCTCTGCAGACCCTGCCCACGCTCCTCCCCGGCGGCCAGGGGACTCCTGCAGTAGTCCTGCTTCCCTGGGCACAGAGTGGCCCAGAAGGTCTTGGTTTTAAAAGGGACTGTGTTTTATTTTCACGGCTTTCAGGAGTAGGTGGGAATGGGAACAGACTGCCTGGCAGAGTTTCATGGGGCAGTGATTCTTATTAATTGATCACATTCTATCACAGTCGTTTATGAGTCTGCCTCACTTTACCAGCCTGGGGGCCGGGAGGCTCTGACTTTTGCATCCACTCAGGATGATTAGCAAGAGTTTGAACCTCCACGCATGGTCCAACTGGACCCCAAGCTCTGGGTCCTTAATAACGATGCTACTGCTCTCTCAAGTATTTCTAAATTGGCATTGCTAGCCTCTAATAGTCATGGTGAGATTTGGCTGTGAGTAACTAAAAATCCTAAGTTTTTTAAAAAGTTTGTCTTTTCCATAAAAGTCCAGCTAGGTGGTCCATAACTGAGGCAGGGTTCTGTGGTGTCTGAGACGCATGTTCTTCTGACTTACTGCTTCATCATGTGTGGACTCCGTGCTCAATTGCCCTCATAGTCCAAGGCGGCTGCCTCACCTCCACCCATTACATCATCATTCCAATCAGCAGAAAGGAGAAAGGGGCAGGAGAAAGGCATTATTCCCTTTTCCTATAAGGACACTTTCCTTAAGTGGACCTGTTTCTTTTATTTATGTCCCAGTGGTCAGGATCTTATCACACAGCTCCCTTCTTAAGTGGACAGCCATGTTCTTAAACCTTCTTCTTTGTGGACAGCCAGGTGACCAGATGAAGGGCCAGGTTACATTTCAGAGGAAGACAGGAGAACAGGAAGTGGGGGACAATTAGGAGCCCCAGCTACAACAGCCCTTTCTTGTGCCTTTGTTGGGGAGAAGATCTTTTCTGAAGGAAAGTCTGTTCTTGTTCTGCAAGGCTCTGGTATTTGGATCTGAGAGTTAAGGGCTCCATGAAGTGGAAAGTCCAGAGAGTAGGGAGGGATCCTGGAGAGGATTCAGGAATTCTCACCAGGGACTGACAGTCCCTACAGGGCTGGGTCCCAGCCTTCCTGTGAGAGCCACAGCCACTGTTAATGGGTCACCTTGGGGTACGGATGCTCCAAATTTGTGTTGGCTCACTCTACCCCTGCAGCAAGCATGAAGAGTGGCCGTGAGCCCATTTTAAAAGTGGAAAATGTGTGGCTTGGAGGGCGAAGGGGTTGTCAGGGCTGCAGAGCCCAGCAGCACAATTGTCAGGACTCTCGGGTACTTGTTTCAGCTGGTCTGGACTCAGGGACCCCTGCCCAAAGCTGAGATCAGGAGCTGCCTTGTGAGGTCACCTTTCCCAGCTTCTCCCCATTCGCCAGCAGTCTGATGGGATTCAGAACTGACTAGAAGGTCCGGGTGCCTCAGAGTCATAAGTTACTCTCCCCAGGAGCCCACGGGAGCTGCAGGCACAGTGACTCGAGGCCCAAGCCCCCACTACACTTAGATCTTGGAATTTGGGAGAGAGCTCAGCTCGGGCGTGCATGGTGAGGACACGTGGCTCTTGGCAGAGGGGAGGCTGAGGATCCATCCTTGGTATGGTTTCTACACACTGTCCCAGAGAGTTCCTCACAGGTGCTTTAGGGACTGTCTGATGGGCAGGAGGGAGAGCTGGTAAACCACACCACCCTGGCCCCCAGTGAGTATGAGCATCTCATTTGGGTAAAGTGAGCCAGTTGCTTGAAAAAATGCATCAAAAACCACTGCTTCTCTGGCCTTGGGGGCAGGAGGTATAACACCTGGGGTGGAAGCTTGGAGACAGACATCTCTAGGTTCAAGTTTCAGGTGCAGCTGTGTGATCTTGGACATGTTGTTTGGCTTCTCTGATCCCATCTGGTCACCTGAGTACTGACCGCTGACACTGTTGTGAAGATTGAAGGAGAACCGTAGGAGGTTGTGATACAGGCTACAACATGGAGAGACCTTGAGGGCACTGTGCTGAGTGAAAGAAACTGGTCACTAAAGGATAAATCCTGTACTGGTCTACTCATATGAGGTCCCTAGAGTCGTCAGATTCATAGAAACAGAGGGTAGGATGATGAGGGCCAGGGGCTAGGGGAGAGGGAATAGGGCATGTGTGTTTCATGGGGACAGCATTTTCAGTTTGGGAAGATGAAAAAGTTCTGGAGACAGATGGTGTAATGGTCACCTAACACTGTGAATATACTTGATGTCACTGACCTGTACACTTAAAAATGATGAACATGGTAAATTTTATATGTATTTTGCCATGAGTAAAAACATTTTTTTTAAAAAAAGAGATAACGTAGGGAGATCATGGACCCCAGATCACCATCCAGGAGACTTGATAAATGGCAGCTATTAACAGATTTGACCCAACACTGCTGTTTGCATATTTTTTTTACTGTGGTTTCATTCTTTTGACATAAATGCCCTCATAAGAAAATTCAAAGAGAGGAAGGAGTATGGCTACTGCATGCTAACATGTATATTAGGGTGTTATGTTCTCACACAGTGATCCCTTGTATTTTCATTTGACAAAGGGTAGGCACTTGCCCAGGGTTATGCTCTAGTACAGTTGGCTCTGGGGTCCACCCTGAGCCCAGGCACCCACTTCCTACACTAGCCTGCCACAGCCTGCTGGCCTCCAGTGCAGAGAAGGACTTCCAGGTTCCATGTCCCTGTTCAGCCCCATTTGTGCACCCGTAGACAGAATTCACACAGATGTGATCTAGGGAGAATAGATTGTGGATTGGTGTCTTTTTCTCTACCTCACCTTTTTAGACCAGCCATTGGCATGCATGCATGTGTATACATATTAATATATTGAGATGGGGTCTCACTGTGTTGCCCAGGCTGGTCTCAGATCCCTGGGTTCAAACAATAGCACCTCAGCCTCCTGAGTAGCTGGAATTTCAGGTATGCATCCTCACACCCTGCCTATGGGTGTATGTATCTTGTTGGTAATTGTGCCTTGTGTCCTGGTGGGGAGGGGGTGTGTGCCCCTATGTCTGAACATTCCGGAGTGTGAGGTCCAGGCCGTTTCTACCATTCATATTTTCAGTGGCCCTGCAGCCAGCATCCCTGGGCACCACTCACATCCTTCTCTGACTCATTCACGCAGCATCAAGCCTCAGAGCAAGGTCCCCCTTCACCCACTCAGAGGCCCAGCTGTCTGTATGGTGCTCAATTTGTCTCCCAGCATCATGCACTTGTTGACATTCCTGGTGGTCCTGAAACAAGCTGGCATCAGGCTTGCTTGCTCGGGGAAAGGACTGGCTCTCCCATTCTGTAATTAAGATCACAGCCAGACTGCACAGTTGAGGGTGGCTTGCATCACTGGACGTGGTACATCCCTGCCCAAGCTTCTCGGACCCTGAACTGCACACTTGCCATTTACCTTTCAAGGTAAAGGTGCTGGATTCTAGTGAGTGCCGTGGCTGCTCTGCAAAGCACAGGTCTGTGGTCAAATCGCATTGGAAGCGCTACCTGCTTTACTTCCTTCCTGGACCCTCAGAATGTACTTAAGGGCCTTTAAGGTCCTGATAAGGCCTGCAGTGCACTTTAGGGCCTTTAAGGTCCTGGTAAGGCCTGCAATAAAAAAGCCCCTTAGCTTTGTTTGATCTGGCGTTTCCCAAACATGACTGTAGAACCTATTTTGCACAGTCATCTTCAAGGGTCTCCAGGGTCCCGTGGAGCTCACTTTGGGAAGTGGCGGGAACGGGTGGGTTGATCACCCCCGCCAGGCCCTGACATTGCCCGTCTTTCAAACCCCCCACCCCACAATTCCTGGCGGCTCACGGGCAGATTCTTTTAGCCCATGCTGTAAGGCACATTTTGATAAAATAGGAACTCGTTGCTGGTATTTAAAATCAGGAGATTTCACATAAAAATCCAGAGTTCTGGCTTCTTTTTTAGGCAGCAGTGATAAGATTGCTGTCGCTAAGCCTCCGTGGAGAGAAGGCTGTCCTGAGAGGGCCTTTCGTCTTCTGTTTCATTGGCTGTGAAATGAAGCCCAGCGGACCTCAGACTCCTTTTGGGAACTGGGAATAGGTGTGGGGCCGCCCTTCCTACCGCAGGCATTGCCATGCCTTCTAGCAAGATGAAGCCACACCCCAGCTGGCTGGTCCCCTCCAGCCACGGTCACCTCAGCAGCCCTGGGCTCCCCAGGTCTCCTGTAGCCGTGAAGCCTGGGAGGACGTGGTCTCCTGGTGGTCCTCCACTGGGAACCGTCTCCAAGCCCTGCCCCCCTCTTTGGTCCAGGCCTTGCTGGGCAGGCCCTGGACTGGCTCTTGGCCCACCCCTGCAGCCAGATGATGAGGACTGGGTGGGTGGGGGCACCCCAGGCAAAGCCAGGCTGGTTCCTCTCTGTGGGGATGTGGGAGAGTTTGCGTGGTAGACTCTGCTTGTGAACTCGGAACCTGAGTGGAGTGAATTGAGAGGGAGCATGGGAAATTCAGGAGCAGAGATGAGACCCTGGATGGCGTCGCTGCTGAGCGCAGAGAGATGCTCGGGCAGGTTTTCAGTGCTGGTCCCCCGTTCCAGAGCAATTTTAAATTAATTTAAAATTCTGAGTTGGGTAGGGGGGCAGCACCCTCCCTGGCAGGGGATCTGGCAGTCAGGCACATTTCCCCCTATTTTTAACGCTGACAGCAGATCCTGGGATTGACGGTTTTGCCTCCTGGCATCACTTTCTTGCTGAGAATCTCAGAGAGGAGGCCCTGCTGCTGCCAACCCCGTCACCACCCTGTGAGACAAGGCTGCATTTGGGGGACCCCGTCTCATTAGAACCTCAACAGAATTGCAGCGGTAGGAGGCGTGGACCTCATCAAGTACAGAGTGGGCAGGAGGGACGGCCTCCCGCGGGGTGCCATGGTGGGACTCCATAGCTGAGGCCTGGAACGTAGACCTGTGTCTCTGTCTCCCTAGCACACTCCCAGGACCCTGTACTGGGGTGTGGGTCGCAGCACAGTCAAGGACCCTCGCAAGATTGATGATGGGCCGGGGCAGAGGTCCCCTCCTCTTGATGGGGGCCTCCACCTCTCCTCTGTAAAGTGATGCCATCTTGCTCAGGGATGGGAATGCCCAGGCCCCAGCTGCAGTCCTGCCCATCCTCAGATCAGAGAGCAGCAGCCAGTCCCCGTGGCAGCAGGCTCTTTTATGAGCACAGAGAAACTCTTAAATAGCACCACGGGCCTTGAACCATGCTCTGGGCCTGGGAGGCACCGAAGGCTCTCCATTGGATGACCTCGTTCATGCTCACAGCACCCAGTGGTCCTGTTCTAGCCCCCATTTTTCAGAGAAGGGTGGGAGGGAGAGTGTGGTGCTTTACATTGGAACATAGACCTCGGAGCACTGGCTCCTTCCCAGCTGTGTGGCCGGGAGCAGGTGACTGGACTATCTGTGTCATGGGGATGATGACGCTGCCTTCTGTGCTGAGATGAGGTGGCCGTTAGGCACCTGGGGTCTGTGGAGTGCTGAGAGCAGGGCTTGGGACACCAGCAGTTGACCTGTGCTTCCCAGTGTCATCCTTGTTATTGATTGACAGATGAGGCCGAGCGCAGCAGCTCATGTCTATAATCCCAGTGCCTTGGGAGGCCAAGGTGGGAGGATCGCTTGAGGCCAGCCTGGGCAACATAGCAAGGCCCCATCTCTACAAAAAATGAAAAACTAAAAATTAGCCGGGCATGGTGGCACATGCCTGTAATCTCAGCTACTTGGGAGGCCGAGGCAGGAGGATCGCTTGAGCCTGGGAGGTTGAGGCTGCAGTGAGCTGAGACCGCACCACTGCATATCAGCCTGAGCGACCGAGCGAGACCGTGTTTCTAATAATAATAATAATACTAATTTACAGAAAAATAACCTGAGGCATTGAAGGCTCAGTTGTCCTCCTAGGAACCCCTAAGAAGAGGGGTGCCTCCGTTTTCTGCCACGGTAGAAAGACCCCACCACCGGCACCCTCTTTAGCTGACTTTGCCTGGGGGTGCTGTCCCACTGGAAGCGCACTCTAGACTCTCCAGTTCGCTTTTCTGCCCTTCCGCTTTCCCAGGGACCCAGTTCAGGTCTCTCTGGGCTCGGCACCAGCCTCTGGAAACCTTGGCGGCTGCCCTTGGCCACCTGTTTCTCCAGTGTCGGGAGACGGGGAACAGCGTCTCTGGGGTGCTTTCCTCTGACGGCTCCGTTTCCTGCCCCCAGTGCGTTGCTTGTTGTTTCATTGCAGGAAGCTCGGAGACAAACACTGGCGGTTTCTATCCAGCACCACCTCTCCGGTGTCTATTTTCAGCCTCTGCTGCAAACAACTTGGAAGTGGGCTCTCCTTCTCGCTTTGTTCTGTGCTGCTTATTTCCATCTCTATGTAATTATGGGAAATGTGCATTCATTCACCCGGGGCCGTCTGTTTCATTCTGATTTTCCCTGGCTTGGCTCGTCTTTCCATCAATCAATCCTGGGTTTTATTGGCATCTCAGTGTCACCAGGTTGTCTGCCATTCCTGCCTCTGGTCTCTGGGAACGGTCTTTGTGGGTGGTTTGGAGGCATCCCCACCCATTTCTTCCAACACCGCCTCTCTATCCTCGGCACCTAAGATGGCCCCGTGCTGGCCCCGGGGCCAATAAGCACATTCCATTGGAAGTTCACGAAGCCGAGTAGGAAAAATGCCATGGACTTGGAGATTTGGAATAGGCCTGATGTTATCAGAGTCCATTTCTCTGTGAGAAGGAGAAACTATTCTGTTCTGATGAGTCCTTCAGCGTGAAATTATGTCTCCCCTAATCCACTCCAGTGGAAAGTCCTCTCATCTTTGAAGTTTATTGTCCTCTGGTTGAAACCCATTTTCTCTATACCTCATTTTAGAAAAAGATTTTCTTTTCTTTTCTTTCTTTCTTTTTCTTTTTTTTTTTTTTTTTTTTTGAGACAGAGTCTTGCTCTGTCACCCAGGCTGGAGTGCAGTGGCACGATCATGGCTCACTGCAACCTCTGCCACCCGGGTTCAAGCGATTCTCCTGCCTCAGCTTCCTGAGTAGCTGGGATTACAGGTGTGTGCCACCACACCTGGCTAATTTTTGTATTTTTAGTAGAGACGGGGTTTCAGCATCTTGGCCAGGCTGGTCTTGAATTCCTAACCTCGTGATCCACCCATCTCAGCCTCCCAAAGTGCTGGGATTACAGGTGTGAGCCACTGCACCCAGCCCTATTTTATTTTCATAAGAAGAAATTGGGTCCCAGTGATTTGGTCATATAAATTGGCATAACTCTGGTGAAAGCAATTGGCCAGACACGTGCCCAGGGCCATGGGGGCGCTCAGACCTTTTGACCTGGCATTTCCGCTCCTGGGAATGTAAAATATTCAAATGAAGAAAGGTGCCACCTGCGTGAAAATGTTCTCCGCCGTGTTATTGATCATGGGGAAAGTCGAAAAGCATCTCAGCTGGACTGAGATAATCCCTGTCTGAGGAATTTGTCATGTAAAAGAACAGCATGTATCCTCCAGGAATATTACGTAACATCCCACGAGATTACTCAAAGGGCTGCAGCAGGAGGGCCAGGTGCTCAGTGTGGGGAGTGAAGGGCAGTGCCCGGCGTGGAGCCTGTGTTTCCAACTCCTCCACTGCGGCCCCAAACCCCATGGTTCCAGTGAGTTTGTGCTATGTCGAGAAACGTGCCCAGCGTTTTAGATGATCCCCTTGTCGAGAATGCTGGCTGTGAAGGCTGGAGTAAGGATTTAGGGGGAGAGATTTTCATGCCCCGCCCCCGGCCCCCCAACCCAAATGGAAAAACGCATGGCAATTTCAGGTAGAAACTGAACAGCTTGAATGCTATTCAAGGCATGCTCTGCTGACCCAATTAGGAAAATGGGGCATTCATTAGATTTTTCTTTTTAAGCAGAGTATTAATGAGTTGAACTAATGTTGTAGGGGTGCCTGTGGCAGGGAGAACACACTGCCAGAAGAGTCCTCCTGTCCAGAGATGTGGGGAAGCCAGGCGAGGGCTGGGTGTGTGTGGATGGATGGAGGCGCCCACTCATCCCCCAGGGAGCTCCCACCACCTTGGGGACTCAGATGGGACAGGGGATGGTGCACGCAGCACAGTGTGGTCCTACCCTAGGAAAACTGAGGGCTCACTGGAGAATCGTCCACGAAGGCCGTGTCCCCAAACTGAGGAGGAAGATGAAGATGGTATGGCCACCCACCCAAGGAGATGGCATTCACAGGCCTTCCGACGGAAGCACCAGGAGATATTTGTGAACTCCTGGTCCCTGAGCACCAAATTGGGAGGGCTGGAGCAGTTCTGTTTTAGGGAAGTTGACTCGTGTGTCCTCTAAGAATCGGTTGAGCCCTGTATCAGTCTCCCGTGTGCAGAGAGCCCTGCAGGTGGGCTGGGGGGCATTCAACAGCAGGCCTCTATGTTCTCACAGTCCTGGAGGCTGGAGCTCGAGATCAAGGTGTCGCAGGGCTGGGGCCTCCTGCAGCCTGTCTCTGCGGCTTGTAGGTGCCGCCTTCTCCTTGTGACCTCACAGGGTCGTCTCTCTGTGCGTCTTTGTCCTCATCTCCTCTTCTTCAAGGACATCAATGAGAATGGATTTGGGCCCACCCTAGTGGCCTCCCTTTAACTTAACCACTGTGAAGGACTCTGCTTCACATGCAGTCCCACTAGGAGTCAGGACCTCACAATACGAATTTCAGCTCTGTCTACAGCGCCAGCCATCCATAAACTCTTCCCAAAAGCCACCAAGACTTGCTTCCCTTCCTCCTCCTGGGGCCCACCAAGCCCACCCCATAGGAGCCCAGCCCACCCCATAGCAGCCCAGCCCACCCTTTAGCAGCCCAGCCCACCCCATAGCAGCCCAGCCCACCCCATAGGAGCCCAGCCCACCCCATAGCAGCCCAGCCCACCCTAATAGCTGTCTTTGCAACCTCCCAGTCACAGTCACCACCTGAGCATCTCCACTGCAGCCTCTGCTCCCTGACCCCATGACCTGAAACCTGTACCTTCCAGCCTCAGCTCTGGGCTCACACCCCAGCCTTCCACATGCTGTGAGAGTCCAGGGTCTGCCCAGCCCGCTCTGGGAGTCTGAGGCCCAGGGTGTGGTGTGGGCAGCTCTGTGCAGATGCGAGCCACACCTGTGTTAGGGGTATGACACTGCGTCAGGGTAGTCAGATGACACGAGGGAATGGCCGCCCAGCCCGGCCCCCTGAGCCTGTGGAGTGGAAGGTTCCACCGTCCGTGTTATTCTCACAGATCCCCGTGCAAGCTCAGATGCTGAGAGGAAACCGTGTGGAGGGAGCTTCACCTCGGCCGTCTCTTGGGCCTCTGGGTGGGGAGACCCTGCGTGCTGCCTCCCACCCCCCTGGGAGCCTCCAGCAGTGTCTCCTTTAGCTTCAGGACAGGGCTCAGCTTCCTTGCCGAGTTCCATTTAAGCTGCACGAGAATCCCAGGTGGCACAGCAGGGAGCAGGACCCACTCCTGGCCGAGGGACCTAGGCTGAGGCTCATGCTCGCTCCAGGGCAGGAGCTCACGGTGCAGGGCTGCTGACCCCTCCCTGTGCCCAGTTCTCTTCTGCTTTTGAAGCTAAAGGAGCTCCTGAAAGGGACAAGTGCAGAGAGGGCCCTAGAACACCATTTGCACATGGAGAGACAGTGGCTCAGACAGGTTATGCAGCCTGGCCAAGGTGGCACAGCGAAACCCCAGTGCTGATTGAAGCAGAGTGGGCCATGGGCCTCCATGACTCATAGCTTGACCACCTCGGGGTCACCATGGTGCTGCAGAAAGGTCTGGAGCCACCCGGCAGGGAATATGCTTTATTCCCTGGAGTGTCTGTCTCTTTCCAGCATGGGTTTTGGCCCCAAGTCAAGGGAAGGCAAAACCATCGTCAAATTTTACTAAAAAGAAATTAGTAAAATGTTTAAATATTTTAATAACATAATGAGATTTCATATACTTGGAAGTAAATGCTTGGTGAGTTTTCAGATATCGCCAATATTGCATTTGTTCTGTTCGTGATTTGAACAAGCATGGGCCAAATAGCTGTGACACCCATCCAGGCTTCAGGGCGTGTGGAGTAGAGAGAGACAAGGTCTCTTGTCCTGGAGGAGCCCAGGGTTAAGGGAGAAGGGCAGTTAGGTCCCAGGAATAAGGGCAGTGACAGCACAAGGACCGTGTGTAAAGGATGGTTTGGGAGGCTGTGGGCTCTGGGGTTGTCTGCCCAGGTCGGTGACAGTAGCCAAGACTTGGAGAAGATTTGGGAGCTGACGAGCAGACACGCACAGTCAGGGTTGGGGTTGAGGCCTGAGAAGGTCTGTAGATCAGAAGTGGCACTGCATGCTTGGGTCCTGAAGAGAAGCAAGAAGCCAGGCAGGAGGAGCAGTCACGTCATCCTGGCTTTGCGGGCTGGAGACTCACCCCGATTCTGCAGTAGCTGGCTCTAGTGCCTAAGGGAGAAGCAGACGGAAAGGGGCCCCGGACCTTCCAACAGTGATCGCAGGCACCCAGGTCAAGCCAGAATTCCTGAAGAACCAAGGTGGAGACCCTCCTGGAATGTGGCACCACAGGGCTTGAGTTTCACTCTCAGCAGCTGGGTCAGCGATGGGGCCAAAGGCAGACTCCACAGGCTAAGCCCAAGCACATCTTGGCCTGGCTGTGTGACCTCCATCCAGTTGCTGACCTGCTCTGAACCTTGGACTCCTCTGCTGTGTAATGGGGAAAATGGCTGTGCCCTGGGTGGCGGTGGAGGAAGGAGAGATGGAAGCCGTGAGCTGTTGCCCTCCATGCCTGGCGTGTCACAGGCATCACCTGCTGCCACTGCCCACCTTTCACTGCGGTGATAATTGCTATTTTTTTTAAGACGGAGTCTCGCTCCGCCACCCAGGCTGGAGTGCAGTGGTGCCATCTCAGCTCACTGTAACCTCTGCCTCCCAGGTTCAAGCGATTCTCCTGCCCTAGCCTCCTGAACAGCTGGGATTATAGGTGCCCGCTACCATGCCTGGCTAATTTTGTTTTTTTTGTATTTTTGGTAGAGACAGGGTTTCACCATGTTGGCCAGGCTGGTCTTGAACTCTGGACCTCAAGCAATCCACCTGCCTCAACCTCCCAAAATGCTGGGATTACAGACATGAGCCACCACGCCTGGCCTATTCCTATATGTTTTATACACCTCTGGAAGAGATCAGAGCCAGCCAGAGTGTTTCTCAGGTGAAGTCTTATCAAGCTCCAGTGAAACACAGTCAAGTCTTGATGGCTGGGGGTGGCCTCATCAGCATCTCTTAGAAGTGCCCGGTGCTGGGATGGCTGCAGCATGAGAACCCCCACTGCAGTTCCTTGTCCCTGTCCTCGGCACCCAGGAGGGAGATCCTGAGTCTGCAGGCTCCAGCCTCCCGATATGGCCCCCCAGCCCTCCCCAGGCTCCCACTTCCTGGAAGAGCCCTGCCCTGATAGCTGAGGTCCCAAGAACTCTCCTTGGCCACTGAGCTACAGTATGTGGCTGCCGCTGTGTGCCCTTTTATTTGTGGACAGTTCAGAGGGAGAGGGCTCCCCTCCCAGGTCTCCACCTTTTGTGTCAGTTAATGCCCCTAGAATCCCAGGAGTCAGGCCCATGGACACTCTGCTCCTCTGAGGGCTCCTCCCAGACAAGGATGCTCCTCAGAGCTGAGAGGGGGGATCTTGCAGCCTGAAGGACTTTTGGGGTGCATTCTAGCCTCCTTTTGATATATGGGGAAACTGAGGCTCCAGGGAGCTGGGACTCCCAGCCAGGCAGAGGTAGCACCCAGAACACGCAGGTGGGTCTGCGGACCTGCCCTTGGGCATCTCTGCCTCATGCTCTGTAGTGTGCCAGGTGAGCTCTCACCTGCCCTCCGAGGCACCCACCCAACTACCTCCCTGTCCAGGAGTCGGGACACCTCTGGTTGGCTTTGACATTGAGGTGGCGATCACAGTGAGGCTTTCACTGCCTGGGAAGCTGTGACCGTGACAATGCCTGAGTCCTCAAAGCCCCTCACACTGTTCTTCCCAGACTGTACGCCGTCACCATGTGGGGAGTCAGCTGGTGGGCCCCACGCCCTCTGCCTTCAGCCCCAGGGCTGCATAGCTGCTGGCCGGCCGAGCCCACCTCACGCTTGACATTCCCTCCTCTCCATGTCCCTTCCCTTTGGGTTTTGGTTCTTCCTAGACTTTGAGGTTTTCTTGATGCAGATGTGGTGCCTGATATTCACTATGCTGCCAGCTCGGCCCTGGGAGGAATTTATTTGAAGGTTAAATCAGTCACTGAGCCTTAATTAGTTCCCAAAATATAAATGTGCATTTGGATTCGCTAACTAGGTGAAGAACTGAGGTGGAGAACCAGCCTCACTCAGCCGCCTGGTGAGTGCTTCCTTTTCCAGGGCGGCCTGGCAGCTTTACCGGGGACACCTCGATCTAAAAAGGGACCTCCCCTTCAACCCACCTTCACTTCCAGCCTCCTGGAGGTACTCAAACCTTACAAAAGTTGGATTCTTGTATTGAAATAAACCCCCTCCAAGGCTGTGGTCCTTTCCTGATGGGGTATAAGGAAGTCCAGGTCCAGGAGCCCAGTGGCACAGGAAGGCTGCACCTCCTGTCTGCTCAGGACTTTTTGGCTTACGTAGTCAGTGGTCCCAGCACATCCTGTTCCCCTCTCTCCTTTGACGTACCCGCCCTCTCTACCAGGGGGGTGTGTGTTGCCTCCAGACCTGGGGAGACTGCGCTGGCTGCCGGATACCACGGGCTGTGGAGTGGGGTGGGGAGGGCCACTGGCCCAGACCCGCCCTTTCCCTGAGGGCTTTCTAGGCTGAGTTACCAAATAAAGCAACCAAGACACCTCCAAGCACATGGTCTGAGTTCTGGAGCCCACATGTTTTACCATTGTCCTTAGTTTTATTTAGAATGAAAAAGTAATTTGAAGGAGCCTATTGGATGACTTCTCCCCCACTTTACTGAATATCCGCAAGTGTGTTGTATTAAATATAATTATAAATGTATTGATGAGCCCATGACTTCTGCTTTCCCATAGTGATGGAGCAGCTCATGTCAGACTAACCCTCCTGTTAATTACAGTGGCAAACGCGGGACAAATTCTATATAAACACCAACACCAGCTGCTTGTAGGCCTGGGCAAGTGGCCAAAAGCAGACAGAACTAGAGATGCTGGGACCCTTGACAGAAGAGGGGCCCCCCACCCTTGTAAGGCCCACATTAATTAGATTTCCCCTGACATAAACTGGAGTCTTACTGTGTTGTGGATTCAGGGGTTGGAGGTTGGGGTCAGAGTTGCCTGAGAGACTGGAAGTCAATAGAAATCCTGGAAAGTGGAGGGCCCTGAAGTCTACACATAAATTCCTTTTGGATTGTTGAATCGGCCTGTGCAGAGTGAGAGTCCAGGGACTCAGTGGAAAACAGTAGCTAAAAGCCCAAGTGCCTTGGGGAGACTTCAGTAATTTCTTCCACAGGAGAGATAGAGTATAGAATTGAGTCCCAGCATGTTAGAGGAGCTTGATAAACATCCAGAGCTGGAGCCACAGAGGGGCCCTAGGAGTCAGGACTCCATCCCAGGACCAAATCAACAGAGACTCCCCCAACAAAGCCTCAGATTGCACCTCCACGGGGCAAGGCATTGCACTGATAGTTTTACTACCTACTTGAAAAACTAAACACACCTCAGAGGAAGATAACAGAACCTAGAGTCTCTCCGACATAACAAACACAATGACCAGCATAGAATCAGAAATTACTAGCTAGGAAGAGAAGGAAAATGCAATGTGCAACCAAAGGAAGCCACAATTGTTAGAAGCAGCATCAAACAACCCAAGTGTTGAAGCAGGCACACAAGGACCTAAGATAACCAGAACATGTATTGATAAGCTCCCACTTTGTGCGGGGTCTTCTGTTGTGTCCTGAGCATAGAAAACTGTGTGAAGGCCCCTCCCCTGCCCCAGGTCTTCCAGAAGGCCCCAGTTGTAGGGAGGCAGTGTTCATGGTGGGAAGACATTTCACACGGTGAGGCAAACACCATACAAGTCCAGGGTGGGAGGTAGGAACGTGCCTTCCTTTTATTTATTCATTTATTGGATGAAGTTACTCAGCATGCATCTTTTTTTTTTCTTTTTTTTTTTTTTTTTTTTTTTTTTGAGACAGAATGTTTTGCTCTGTTGCCCAGGCTGGAGTGCAATGGCACCATCTTGGCTCACTGGAACTTCCGCCTCCTGGGTTCAAGCGATTCTCCTGTCTCAGCCTCCTGAGTAGCTGGGATGACAGGCACACCACCATGCCTGGCTCATTTTTTGTGTTTTTAGTAGAAACAGGGTTTCGCTATGTTGGCCAGGCTGGTCTCGAACTCTTGACCTCAAGTGATCTGCCTGCCTCAGCCTCCCAAAGTGTAGGGATTACAGGCATGAGCCACCGTGCCTGGCCTCAACGCACATCTTTGAGAGGGGCTGGGCTCTGTGCTGGTGATGCAGTGGTGATTAAGACAGACTGCACTTGTCAGCAGTTTACAGTTTACTTGGGGGAGAAAGACCATATAAGCAAACTTAAAACTAACATAACTTCAATGTTCAATAAATACAATGAAGGAAAAAGTCACAAGGGGCTAGCATAGAGATTAAGAGAGTAACCCTCTTGGACAGGATGGTGAAGGAAAGCCTCCTCATGCGTTGACCATGAGCGTGAATGCACAAGGCCTGGAGTTGGAAGCAGCCAGACATGGGGAGAGCAGGCAGAGGAATGCCAGATGGAGGGTAGGCACAGCAGGGGCAGAGGTGTGTCCAGGCCAGTGGGAGGGAGCTGACAGGGCCCGTGTGGGTGAGGGAGCATCTGGAGGAGCAGGAGCAGCAGAGACAATGGCGTAAGTCCCCTGGAAGCCTGTAAGGGGCAGTGGCCTGTAAGGGGGCAGTGGCATGCTCAGTCTGCCTGGTGTCTTCATTAGCTGCAGCCACTTTAACAAAAAATACCATAGACTGGTGGCTTAAGCGACAGAAACATTTTTCTCGAAGTTCTGAGGGAAGTCCAAGATCAAGGTGCCAGCCTTGATTGGATCTTAATTGGGTGTCTGATGAGGGCTCCCTTCCTGGCTTGCAGACGGCAGCCTTCTGGTTGAGCCCTCCCATGGTGGAGAGACAGAGAGACAGACAGCGACCAACTCTCAAGTCTCTTCTTACAAGGACACCAGTCCCATCATGGGGTCCCACCTCCTTGACCTCATCCAACCCTAATTACTTCCCAATGTCCCCATCTCCAAATACCATGACATGGGAGGTTAGGGTTTCAACACATGAATTTGGAGGGGATGTAAACCTTCAGGCCACAGGACTTGGTGACTGTAGTCAGCCTCAGATGGTCTCAGGTGCTGCTTTACGAAAGTCAGTCTGTGAGGGGAGCTGCTGGGTGGGCCTAGTGCTTGAATGTGTCCTGAGACACCCAGGCGTTGGGCAGCTGCAGTGGTTCTTTCTGTGTGGTCCTGGCATCTGCAGTCTGGCACCAAATGCCCAGGCGGTGAGGAGCCTATGAACAGTGAGCAGAGGCTGTGATGGAGGCAGGCAGGGCCCTCCAGACAGCGTCTACCCATGGGGGAGCAACAGGAACGATGTAGAGGTCCAGGCCTTGGGTGGCACCCGGGGCCACCCACAGGAAGTCCTTTCCCTCCATACCTGGCACTTTGTAAACGTTGACTTGCACAACTGCTGGCCTTCAAGACAGCTGCTGTTATTATCCTTTCTCCAACTTGCAGGCTCAGGCTCGGACAGGCACAGCCACGTGCCTGAGGTCTCAAGCAGCAAGGGTGGAAGCGGGCACTGTCCTCACCCCCAGTCTCGCCCAAGCTTTCCCTCT
Organism: Homo sapiens; assembly: GCF_000001405.40. Classification (NCBI taxonomy): domain Eukaryota; kingdom Metazoa; phylum Chordata; class Mammalia; order Primates; family Hominidae; genus Homo; species Homo sapiens. The sequence continues at coordinate 70,836,276 of NC_000011.10, read as the reverse complement.
GTGCCCAGTGGCAGCTGTGTGGAGCCGGCCTGAGAATCAGGGCTAAGGGGCCATGCTGCTTCTGAGTGTGCAGCCGCTCAGAAAGAGGAGGCAGCAGGCACGCTCCCTTAAGGACTGAGAGCTGGGCCTTCCCCTGGCCCCCCATGGGCAAGCAGGCCATGTTGTGAAAGGGTGTCTGTGGCTGGAAACGGAGCGACACTCCTACCCACATTTCAGGAGTCCCTCCTGCACCTTGGTGGGCTCTCTTGTATGGGAGAGGAGGTGGTGGGCAGCCCACCCCAGTGTGGCTTGAGACAGGGAGAGCTGCTGCCCTGCTCGGGGTGCAGTGGGCTCGGGGTGCCCACTCCCCCAGCCTCCACTGAGGTCCGAGAGGGAGCCCACTCTGCCCCTAGATCTCCAGGCTTCTCCTGCCTGGGTTTGTCTAGCCTGTAGGATTCTCAGAGACCTCATGAGACCTCAGCAGAATGAGGCTGGTCACCCTATTCTACAGATGAGAAAACTGAGTCCCAGAACCCTGCCTTGAGTCAGAGACTGACCCAGGACTCACATCTTCCACCACCAAGCTCAGATTTCATTCTTTTTATAAGAAGCTGGAACAAAGGACCCCATCAGGTCCTGTGGAAAGAGAATGGCTCACTCCAAGAGGGGTCCTCCAGCTCAGCTCTAGTTCCTCCCAGGGACTGGACATCTCTTCTCATGGTGCAAGATCACCCTGGCCCCAGGGTCCTCCATAAGCCCCCAGCCCACTTGGCCTGCACCTCGGCCCCTGGTTGTGATTCCTGACTGAGCGGACCATGTCCCCAAGAACTGGTGGAGCACATCTCAGCACATGAGCCTCTTGACTGAGCGTCCTGTGTCCTCGAGAACTGGCGGAGCATGTCTCAGCACATGAGCCTCTTGACTGAGCGTCCTGTGTCCTCGAGAACTGGCGGAGCACGTCTCAGCACATAAGCCTCATTTTCCCCTGTGGGAGGCCCAGGTATCCACAGTCACTCAGCTCTCAGAAGGGCCACCACAGGGATGGTTCATGCTGCCCGTAAGCCATTGCACGCCCCTTGGCTCCACCCCTCCTCCTTCAGGTGTGTCCCGCACACAGTAGTGTCCTGTGCACTGGGGCTGTGGCTCTGCAGGGAGCCTGTGGCCAAGGCTGGAGCTGCGTGGAGGGAGGGCAGAGGAGGCAATGTCTGGAGGCTGTGATTCTTCTAGAATATACCTTGGGAACCCCTCACCTCTCTTTGTGGTCAGACCCACCTTCACCCTCCAGAGCTCCTCCCCGCTGCCCCCCAAAATAGCCATGTTCTTGGCCCTAAAGCTCAATTCAGGGTCAGAAAACCGGTGAGTAGTATCTCTTGGAGTTACACCCCCAGCCCCTTTCAGCTCTCCAACCAGGGAGAGAGACCCTGTGGGAGGTTCCGACGCCCGCTCCTCAGTGCCCTCACCCCGATTTTCCACGGGCCTCCCTCGATCCTGCAGGAGCAAAGCTTCCCTCAATGACTCCAGTGACGGGAACGTTACAAACACCACAGACTCCTACCTCTTTGTGCAAAGATAACCCCGCATTATTGCTGAGATGCCTTTTTATATCTTGTGTTATTTATAAAAGCATGATTCATTTAACAATTATTGTGAGATGGAGAAATGTTGCCTACTAATATTTAAATTGCAGTTATCTAAAGCTACGAGGGAAAGAAACAAGAGATGCTATTTTGGATCTGGTGGGGGATGGGCAGGAAGAATCCCGCTCTAGCTTGTACCTGCCCTGCACCTGCCACCCCTGCTCCTGGCTTGGCCCCCGCTGGCTGAGGCTCTTGCATACATACTTTCTCAGCATTCAGTCTTTGTTTCTGCAAGATAAAGTGGAGCTTGGGCTGGTGGGCCACTGAGACCGTCTAGAGTTTGTTTTCTTTTTTCGGCTCCCCATGGGCCTTCAGTCTGACCAGAGTTAGAGCCACCTCCTGTGTATTTTGTGTTAAGGTGGAAATAGGCTCAGGTGCTCCCCTGTGTCTTCCCCTGAAATATGGGGTGGGACCAGAGTTAGAGCCACCTCCTGTGTATTTTGTGTTAAGGTGGAAATAGGCTCAGGTGCTCCCCTGCGTCTCCCCCTGAAATATGGGGTGGAGCCTTAATAAATCTCCGGGATATCAGGGCATCCCCTGCCCCAGAACCCTGGGAATTTTCTTGGCATTGCTTCCTACATCCCAACATTTTATTTTCTTCCCTTCTGGTTTGGTTGTGATCACACTCAGGGTTTTGCCCAGGGTTTAAGTTGAAGGTGACGCTCAAAGCTGGCCCTTGTGCCTTCATCAACTTGGAGCTCCTTCCTGGCAGAAGGGCCTGGGTCTGAGTTACACAGAAGCAGTGTCCTGGGGAGACAACACTGTCCTGGCCTGGGTCAGGACCCTGTCTCTAGCGGCCTGATGGCCTTCCACTGCCTGCAGCCACCTGAGCTGCCCAGAGAGACTGAGAATGCCTGTCAGGACCTCCCTCGTCAACAAGCTGTTGTAATAATCACAATAATGAACAGTCAGCAATAATAAACAAACTTCAGTCGTGGTCGTGATGGCAACAGCTAACCTCTGTTGAGCACCCACTGTGCGTAAGTACTGCACCCAGTATGCACTTAACCCCCTGAGCAGCTCCTTGAAGTGACCATCATCACTGTGCTTGCTTTGTTTTTGGGGATCCAGAGTCCAGGGACATTTTGTGACTCATGGACAGTTACCTTGTGGGATTTGAACCCAGAAAGTCCAGCTGCAGATGTTGCAGAGATGCTGTCAGGGTCCCTGGACCAGAGGCCTCCCTGAGAGATGTCGCATGCCCAGCTCTCTTGCCCGAGACCCAGCCTCACGGGCTCTACCGGTCAGGGTCTGGGTCACCAGCAGTAGAGTCCACCCTGGCTTGTTGATGCAGGAGGCAGAAGACTCTGACAGATGTCAGGCGGTCACTGTGCTCCAAGAGGGCTGGAGAGCCAGGCCTGGGAACTGCGGCCAGCCGGGGTGGCCAGTCGGGGCGTCTAGCCACAGGTGGGCTGCATGGAATACCTGGTGCTGTGCACAGTCAGAGGCGCTGGCAGGAGCTTGACATTGTGCTGGAGCCCCGTGCCACACTCGCCGGCTTCTGTGAGTTGCTCCTTCTGCATCAGTGCCTTCCTGGCCCATGTGTCTGATGGGCTCGAACTCGAAACCACAGCAGCTGGGGAAGCTGAGGGATGAGCCCTCACTGTTTCCAGGCAGGACATGGGGTGCAGGGAACTCCAAATGCAGTGAGGACGCTGAGGACGCTGGCCAGGCTGCTCTGCAGATGCAGTGAGGATGCTGAGGACACTGGCTCAGCCACTCTGCAGATGCAGTGAGGATGCTGAGGACAACAGCCTAGCTGCTCTGCAGATGCAGTGAGGACGCTAAGGATGCTGTCCTGGCTGCACCTGCTCGTGGGGCAAGGCGGGGCAGTACAGGCCTTCTCAGGGTCTGGGGCAGCTGGTAGCGTGGCTGTGGCTTAGCCCAAGCCTCCCTGGGCCTCCACTGGGTACATGCAAGGCCCTGGGCAGAAGAGGGGGTGGGGGTAGGGTGGGAGTTGGACAAGGAAGGTGGCTTCTGGCCTCAGGAGAGCAGCACAACTAGAGAGCAGCCTGGTGAACCTAGTAAAGTGCTCTGGAACACTCAGAAAAAAAGCTAGGACTCACCCCCTCTGTTAATTCACTCCATTCATTCATTCATTCATCTCCAGAGCACTAGGGATCACTGCCAGTGTGCAGGGCAGGGAGGAGGGCTGGACACGGAACCTGCCTTTGAGAAGCTGGGAGGCTCCTGGCTCCACAACATGCCCCAAGGGCTGACTGCTGCCACGGGAGCCCTTAGGAGTGGTCTGTCTGCTGCCTGGATCAGTCAGGGAGACTTCCTGGAGGAGGCAGCACCCAGAAGGATAATGTGAATGCATCGTGAGCAATAGACCAGGACTTGTTTATTATAGAGATAGGGCAAAGCAGGAGGATTGCCTTGCTATCCACTTACAGATTTTTTAAAACTTAAATGTATTCATTCAGGGATCACCGACACTGCCTCCAGGTACTACTGTTACAAATATTAACTTACTTTATCCTTATGACTCTCCTGTGAAGTGGCACCATTAATATCCCCATTAAACAGACTAGGAAACAGAGGCACAGAGAGCTCATGGGACTTCTCTGGGCTCACAGAGCTGAGACTTGTCCCCAAAGGTGTCCCCACGGTGTTGCGTGCACCAAGCCCCTCTCCTTTGTGCTTCAAACACGAGCTCGGGTGGCTCCACCCTGTGGGGTAAGTTGTGCTATTCCTACTTTACAGATGGGGAAACTGAGGGTCAGGGGGTGTCCAACCGGCCCATGGCTGCAGGGGGCATGATACAGAGTCAGCACCCAAACCTGCGTCTTGACTCCCACGTCCGGCTCTTTCCAAACCACATGGGCACTGAAGCCACAGCAAGTGGAGGCGGGCGTCTGATCGCCACTGAACGAGGATGTTTCTGAGACCCGTGAGCACCTCTGAGTCTTGCTGGCATGTTTATAACACCTGGTACGGCGTCCCCGCCAGGACTTCAGAGCACCTTGAAATGTTCTGATGTGTGAAGAGCTTTTTTTTTATGCAAGAAGTGAAATTATTTTCAGTCCGTTGTCAGGCAGTTGTCAAAAGACATGGCAAATAAAGGGCTTAGTGAGTCTCAGGGTTTGAGGGGGTGGTGCAGTGTATGGGGTGAGTCTGTGGGATGCCTGTGGGCAGGGGCTGCAGGGAGGGAGGCAAGGGGGCACGGGGCTTTGGATGTCACTGGCTCACGAAGCACCAAGGGCCAGGCACTGGAACTGGGCTGAGTGGAGCTGAGTTGGTGTCTGAAGAGCCAGGTTGGGTGGCTGAGAGTTTGGGGTTCATTTGGGGGTGACCCTTTTCCTTTCTGGAAACTCTGACTTCAGAGCCTCCCTCTCCTCTTTCCTCCTGGTTTTTCATCTGTCCATGGACAACAAACAGACTCAAAAGGTGCTCGCCTGCGTTTTGAGATGGGTGGGCGTGCGGGCAGGCAACAAACAGACTCAAAAGGTGCTTGCCTGAGTTTTGGGACGGGTGGGTGTGCGGGCAGGCAGGCAGGTGGATAGCTTCATCACCAACCACTCACATTGCCACCCTCTCTGCTACCCGCCTGCCCCCAGCCCAACTCACACCTGGAAGTTCTTCCCCTCCAATCTCTCCCTCTTCCAGAATGAAATCCATTTGAAATAAAACCTCATCTGCATTCAGTAGGAATGTGGCCGGCACAAGCCTCCAGGGTCGTTGTAGGCCCTCCACGCAGGACCCCTATAGGAACAGTGGGTCTAAAGGCAGAAGGAAGGGAGTGCTCAGCCATGCTGTGGGCATTTGGGCTCCAATGCGTGGAAACCTATGTGGGTGCAGCAGGGATGTCTGACCCTTCCCAGGCCCTGGGCAGCTTAGCGCTCAGCCTCTCTGAACCTCGTCTGTCTCATCTGACAGCCTTGCTGCTGGTCTCAGGGACCCAGGATGGCAGCTCCACGGGGACATTCCCAAAGCCTGAGGCTTTTCTCAGAGAAGAAGATCTCTGGAAGCCTCCAGGGAAAATGGGTTTTTAAGTTTCATCTTTTATCTTTGTCTTAATTTTCATCTCAACCACTAGCGCTCGGTCATCCTCGGAATACTTGTTTTAGAGATGGGAAGGGCGCTAGCGAATTCCCGGAGTTCTGCGGGAGGCTGTGCACCCGCCTCTGCTTCCCCAGCTCTCCAAGGTCACCTGGTCGGTGGCAGGTTTCTGGGTCTCCGTGGCTTGGAGGGTGAAGGGCCGGGCCTGTGTGCAGATGGCAGGAGAATGCGAACCATCTACCTGGGGCTCAGGGGTGAGCTCGTCTCCTGCAATAACCCCAAGTGTGGATTTCTGGGAGGGCCCGGACCCCAAACACTCACACGGAACATTTGTCCACACAGAACTTCCCTCCCAGCCAGGCAGGCAGGGCAGGCTTCAGGCCACGGACATGCTCATAAAACGAGGGGCAGGAGGAATGCTGATGTTCCCATGGCCACATCCCAGGGCTGGAAGATAAATATTCCCCCAGAAAGGCAGGGATGGGGACACCAGATGAAAACTGCCCTGGAGGCTGCACAAAGGTTTGCGTTTGTCGGGGCAGAGTCTGTGCCTTCAGCGCCAGACTTCTTGGCAAATGAGGAAGTGGTCTGCACCCACCAGGGAAGGGGGCAAGTGGTGGGTGTGGGGGAAGGAGGCTCTTACAGGCTGCTGCCCGCGTCTGACAGTGAGAACCCCTGTGCAAAGGTAGTGAGTCCCCCGTCGCTGGAATTATCCACGGAGAGCCTACCACATGGCCAGGACAGTGGTGTCAAGAATGGCCCAACTCCCTTGGCAGGATTTCTGTGGGGTTGACCAGAAGACCCCGTGTGGCAGAGCCTGGCCCAGGACCGGGCACTCAGTAGGTGTGTGCATGAGACTGATGGAGCCACCACCGCTCCTGATCTTTGTGAATGGTTTACTCAGCCTCCTCCGAGTGTGGGCGGGAAAAGTTGTCTGCTTATTGAAAGAATTGAAGGTGTCTGGAAAAGGGATCCTTTAGCCTGGGGGTGTTCCCTGGATTCCTCAAATCGTCTTGTGTCCAAAGCCTCATCCTGCCCCGCCCCTCACCCCTGCACAGGCTGAGAAGCAGGCCTGGGTCTTCAGATCTGGCTGGCTGTCTTCTGCGCATGCCCCCAAACCAGATGGGACATGGGGTGCAGGGGTGGGGGTGGGCGGGGCAGAGGGACCCCAGGGGTGGAAGCCAGCCGTATTCCTGGTGACGGGGCCTTGTCTTGGGAAGGCTCCTTCCCTTCTCCCTGGGCAGCCCAGGGTTCATGGAACCCCTGCCTGGGCTCCTGCTTGTGGGCAAATGCACCTCCAGGAGCAGCTGCTGCACACGCACCGGACGGTGGCCGCTGAGGGTCCTTTCTGGGCCAGCTGTGAGTGCTGCTGCGTGGCTCCCGTCCAGAGGTTCTGGGTTTTTCTCTGGTTTAGATGGGGCAGGGCCTCTTCTTGGTCCTTTGACATATTTGACATTGGAGGCCCCCGTGAGGGGAAAAAGGCTCCATTTTGTCCCCTGCCTGGTCCACCAGTCAGAACAGATGCAGGATTGTCACATGGTCCCAGGGAGGTGGCTTCTTCCTTACACCCTCCACCCAAGGTCTTCCGTGGCCGGCAAGGCAGCCAAAGATGACAGGACACCGCTGGCCTCAGGCCAAGGGCCATCCTGGCCTCACCAGCCCAGAAACGTGCAGGCTCTCCCCACACCATGGCAGGCCGCAGAGGCAGCAGCGCCGGAGCAGTGATTGGCTCAGAAACTTGGCTTGGGATGAGGCTCTGTGCTTTTGGGAGGGAATCGATCAGTGACAGATGGAGGGGGTGTTGAGCGTCACTGAGTCTCCCCGAGAGTTCCCTGCGCTTTGATGAGTCCTCTGGGCTCACGTGGCTGAGCACACGACCAGCCGGGTCCCCCAGCCTTGGAGGAGCTCCCTGTACACACCAATACGGACACGGTGGCATCCCCGTCTCAGCCTCCCAGCGCTCGCCAGCCAGGGCAGGCAGCCAGGCCAGCACATGGCAATGAACTAGACACTCACCATCTGGAAAGCTTCTGGCCCCCCTGGCTGGTCCACCCGGAGGACACATCGTCAGGCCTCCCGAAGTGGGGGAAAGCTTTGTGCATCCGAGGAGGGTTCTTCTGGAAGCTGTTCAGCCTTGCTCAGAGTGTCCGAGGAGGTGCATGAACTCTGTGGGACACACTGGTGGCTCTGACCTCAGAACCGTTTCTTAATGCAAGTCTTAGAAATGGCTTTGACTCAGTTTTATGAGTCGGTGATGCATGGTAGGGTGAGAATGTCACCCCGGCAGAGTTTTGACATGGCTCATGAGTTGTGTGAGTTAAATAAGAGATGAAGTTTATCGTTATTTCTGGGTTTTTGTGGGGTTTTTTGTTTGTTTTTGGAGACAGTCTTGCTCTATCCCCAGGCTGATGTGCAGTGGTGCAATCATAGCTCATTGGAGCATTGAACTTCTAGGCTCAAGCAATCCTCCTGCCTCAGCCTCCTGAGTAGCTGGGACCACAGGCGCACGACCACACCCGGCTAATGTTTTTAAATTATTTTTCATGGAAACGGGGTCTCACTGTGTTGCCCAGGCTGGTCTCAAATTCCTGGGCTCAAGCAATTCAACCGCCTCCACCTTCCGAAGCACTGGGATTACAGGCGTGAGCCACCGCACCCGGCCAAGAGATGCTGTTCGGGTGCTCAGCTGATATAGGGCGTACACTCAGTGATTCTGTGGCAGTCTCTGCTCTCCCTAAAGCCAGAGGCCCTCACCGAGGCATGCCGCAGTCCCGTCCCTGGTACGCCTTCAGGGAAAGGCTCCTGGGGGGCCCCCAGCCTTCTTGTTCTCACACCGCCATTTTTATTGACACAAAGTGTGTCAACCATATGGAATTAAACTTTAGTGCTCTGGTTGCTTTTTCCTCGTCTTGTCTCGTCTTTCTCTGGTTGTGTGTGTGTGTGTGTGTGTGTGTGTGTGTGTGTGTGTTTTAAATTTCTGAAGCAGTTCTCTTAGCAACCAGAAAAAAAAAAAAAAAAAACACACACACACACACAGCACACTAAATTACAGCCCAGCAGAGGCATCCGGCAACAGAACCTTGCCCCTGGATGCTCCACGTAGCTTCAGGAAGCTCCTTCTCCTGGTGTAGAAATAACTCACTGTCCACCTGCCACAGGGCACCAGCCTGCATCCACTTCTCTGTGTTTGCTTTATAAATCTGACTTTCTCCATGTAGGGCTTCCAAGGGGCAGCTTTCCTCTTTTCTCTTCTTCTGTTGGGTTGGAAATGCTGAGGAAATGCCTAAAGTGACCCTGAAGAGCTCGCTTTTATCAGCTGCCTGGAATCGGGGCCATCCTTGGCAGGGTCTCAGTTTAATTGTCTTTTTATCTCTCTCTTTAAAAAAAAAAAAAAAAAAGTAGGAGGGGGTGGAGTCCTGTTTTTTCCAGGGTAATTACCTCGATGGGTGGGGAGCCAGAGAAGTCATGGGCACTTGTGTCTGATTCTTTTGAACAGAAATATAGGTCGTGTTCAGAAATTCCAGAATGCTGGCCATGTCTGCCCGGGGAACGTGGGTCTGGTGTGAAGCTTATCTGGTACTTGTACGCTTCCCTCCCCCTTGTCTGTCTTACCACATCTGCTAGCTGACAAACAAACTTGGCTTTTTCTTTAAAAAAATTTTTTTTTAAAAAAATAGAAAAGCACAGTGCAGTATATTTAGGCACAGGCGCATGGAGCGCCCAGCACCAGCCCGAGTTTCCTTGGATAACTGGGGCTCGAGCTCACTCATGCCTCCCGGCGTCTCCCAGCTGCCAGCTCGAGGACGCCTGATCCGCGTTAACCCTCCGCGGTGCCTCTTCCTCAATGCCCTGAGCACAAAAGCAGAGTAGCCCGGCTCACATGACGCGCGCCGCGAGAGGTAGCCGGGTTTGAGAGCAGCCCGTCTACGTGCAGTTGGTTCCCAGCTGACAGACAGAATATGGGGTGGGCTTTGTCACCAGCACGCTGGGTCTGGCATGCCCAGCTATGCTCGGAAGTGCACCGTGCCCAGACACCCGCCACCTCTCCCCGGGTCCCAGCTGCTCTAGCACCGAGGGGCCGGGCTGCACGCCTGTCCTTCCTCCCATCCAGGAAGGTTATATAATGAGCGGACCGCTGCCAAAGTCAGAGGGAAAATGAAGTCTTTGTTAAATGCCTTCACCAAGAAGGAAGGTAAGGAAAAAGCTGTCGGGAGCCGGGTGCATGGGAATTAGCAGCTGCTTGCTGATTCTCGGGGTGGGGGAGAGGGAGGACTCCAGTTCCTCCTAAAATTGCCAGTTGTTAATCCCTAGCATGTCAGGGGATAATGACTTTGGTTTGGGATACGGTTTGGTTTGAGTTGGTCCGGAATATAACGCGGTGGAAGGTCTCGCCTTATCGTGTGCTGCTTTCAAACCTTCAGCCCTTGTGGAACTCCATTCCGGAATGGCCATCCGTGGGGACCGTGCCACGGAGTGTGTTAGGAACTAAGTCCTAGGGAAAATAAAGGAAGTTTTGACTATAGTCCTCAGTGACCAGAGGGCTGCTAGGCACTGGCCGAGGCAGGTCGGGGCACATGGCTGGCTGCACCAAATGGGTGGCTACCTTCCGAGCTGCTCCCGGCTCTCCCATCCCGGGGTTGCAGTTACATGGAATGGATGGGAAGGGAGCGTGGCCAACTTTAAAAGTGCACACTCTGTTTGTCATACCTTGTGTAATTTTTATTGTGGGGAAAAAAATGTATAAATAAATGCATGTAAGCCAGCTAAGAAAATATCCACCTATTTAGAGTGCAGATTGCCTAAAAGAAGGAAACAGTTGGGTGGAATATTAATCATTTTCAGACAGAAAACAGTTATTTTTAACCCTTTTCACAAAAAAAAATCATCATTTCCATGGATGGTTCCAGTTAGAGAGTTTTGTCAGAGAGCTCTCATTTTAGGAAATCAGATATCATAAAAAGGTATGACTTTAGAGAAATGAGGAAGGTACTTCCCAGCCCCAGCTCGTTGCAAAATAAACACCAAAGAAATTTCAGTACTCAGGAAACTAATTTAATATGAATCTTGGTAATTACGCGAGGTAATTTTCATTAAAATGTTCACACTGATGTCACCGGTGAGATTTCATTTGAGTAACTTGCGTGGTCTACAGAGTAAAAATGTATTTGAAAATGTCCCAGCTCTTTTATTCCTTAATCCTCCAAGGGTGGCCTCCCCATGTGAATTCTTCCCCCCTCTAAGTCCATACTCTTCTGACAGAGTCTTAGGAATGTATATAAATAACAACCTTTGTCTGTGCCCATTTTCTGACATTATTCACCAAAATTCACCTTCTGGGGTTTCAATTTTTATAATCCATGAACAGCATGAAAATTTCAGTTGGGGGTTTTGGTGTTAGGTTAATTCTGTATCTGTTCTGTTCTTTTATAGACTTTTTTTTTCCTAATGAGTTTATCTTAGCAACTGCCAGGACTCCCCCAAATGCCATCACTTGCTATGAAGAGTATGCATACCTCCCCCAGTTACAAGGGTCAGAAAAAGAGAATTGGCTGCATTGTCGGGGCGGGGAAGCTGGGCGTGAGGCAGTCGGCTGTGGGAGGCAGCGTTTCCGTGACTGGGGGCCCTGTGATGTCTCCTCCACATGGGTAGGGAGAGCCGTGGCCTCTCCTGGGGTGCCCCAGGAAGCTGGGGGCTCTGCGGCTGCTTTCTGCTGGCTGTGTCTGTTTGAGATTTTGGCTCTCACACCAATACAGTCTTCCAACACGTAATCTCTGTAAATGAAAGATAATCGCTCTCTGAGACTGTGGGCTCATCAGCCCTTTGCAAGGTCTTTTAATCCACCCGCCCAGCCCCCTCCAATGACAGGCAGTTCCCGGATCACCCGGAAGCCCTCTGGGCCAGTCGTATCTTTGTAAGCCTCCATGCAAACACTCAGTGATCTACAAGGTTTTTTTTAGTCTCTGCCGGTCCAGAGGGAGGGCACCAACATGGTTTTCCCTCAAGACCAACAAAACAGACTCGGTGACCTGTCCCAGGGATGAGGTTTTTCTCGTGGGTGGTGGCTGTGGATCCCAGGCCAAGCCCCTCGAGGGGCTCTGGAAGGAGAGATGTCCACGGAGAGTGCCGTCAGCTTTTTCCGTTCCTTGTCTCTCCCCGGCCAGCCTGGGTGGCGTTCATGGATCCGTGTGCTTTGAGAAATTAGGAGTGGGATGAAAGTGCTGGCTGAGGAGCCCCGGCTGCTTAGCAGGGCATCTTCAATGACAGAAAGGCTTCACAGAGGAACCAGATCAGAGCAGGTGTGACACCGCGACCTCCCCAATGTACCACCTCCAGGTTCTTACCGACAGCAGGCACTGACGTCCAAGTGTGTCAAGTCCAAGTATCCAACCTCAGGACGCTTTGCGCAGCTCTGTGCGGCTCCCCAGGCTTGGCTCTAGCTCTGTCTCCAGGGCTGCCCTGTGTCCTGGGGAGGTGGGGAAGGTGCGCCGGGTCACAACTGTCTCCCGTGAGCTCTGCCAGCACCCTCCATCCCCCATGAGCTCTGCCAGCACCTCCTCTGCCCTCAGGAGCTCCATCAACGCCACCTCTGTCCTGTGAGCCCTGCCAATGCCATCTTTGTCTTCAATGAAACCTGCCAGCACCACATGTGTCCCTTGTGAGCGCTGCCAGCACCACCTCTGTCCTTGGGAGCTGTCAATACCACCTCTGTACCTGTGAGCTCTGCTAGTGCCACCTTTGTCCTCAGTGAAATCTACCAGCACCACCTTTGTCCTCATGTGCTTTGCCAGTGCCACCTCTGTCCCCCAGGAGCTCTGTCAACGCCACCTCTGTCCCTCATGAACTCGGCCACCGCCACCTCTGCCCCCCATGAATGCTGCCAACGCCACCTCTGTCCCCCATGAACGCTGCCAACGCCACCTCTGTCCCTCATGAGCTCTACTAACACCACCTCTGTCCCTCATGAGTTCTGCCAGCGCCACCTCTGTCCCTCATGAGTTCTGCCAATGCCACCTCTGTCCCCCGTGAATGCTGCCAACGCCACCTCTGTCCCCCGTGAACGCTGCCAACGCCACCTCTGTCCCCCGTGAACGCTGCCAGCGCCACCTCTGTCCCTCATGAACTCTGCCAGCGCCACCTCTGTCCCTCATGAGTTCTGCCAATGCCACCTCTGTCCCCCGTGAACTCTGCCAACGCCACCTCTGTCCCCTATGACCTCTGCCAATGACACCTCTGTCCCCCGAGTTCTGCCAACGCCACCTCTGTCCCCTATGAACTCTGCCAGTGCCACCTCTGTCCCCCATGAGTTCTGCCAACACCACCTCTGTCCCCCATTAACTCTGCCACCGCCACCTCTGTCCCCCATGAACTCTGCCAGCGCCACCTCTGTCCCCCGTGAACTCTGCCAGCGCCACCTCTGTCCCCCGTGAACTCTGCCAGCGCCACCTCTGTCCCCCGTGAGCTCTGCCAGCGCCACCTCTGTCCCCCGTGAGCTCTGCCAGCGCCACCTCTGTCCCCCGTGAGCTCTGCCAGCGCCACCTCTGTCCCCCGTGAGCTCTGCCAGCGCCACCTCTGTCCCCCGTGAGCTCTGCCAGCGCCACCTCTGTCCCCCGTGGGCTCTGCCAACGCCACCTGTCCCCCATGAACTCTGCCAACATCACCTCTGTCCCCCATGGGCTCTGCCAGCGCCACCTCTGTCCCCCGTGACCTCTGCCAGTGCCACCTCTGTCCCCCGTGACCTCTGCCAGTGCCACCTCTGTCCCCCGTGACCTCTGCCAGTGCCACCTCTGCCCCCCGTGACCTCTGCCAACGCCACCTCTGACCCCCATGAGCTCTGCCAGCGCCACCTCTGTCCCCTATGAGCTCTGCCAGCGCCACCTCTGTCCCCCATGACCTCTGCCAGCGCCACCTCTGTCCCCCATGACCTCTGCCAGCGCCACCTCTGTCCCCCATGACCTCTGCCAGCGCCACCTCTGTCCCCCATGGGCTCTGCCAACGCCACCTCTGTCCCCCATGAGCTCTGCCAGTGCCACCTCTGTCCCCCGTGAACTCTGCCAGTGCCACCTCTGTCCCCCGTGAACTCTGCCAGCGCCACCTCTGTCCCCCGTGAACTCTTCCAGCGCCACCTCTGTCCCTCATGAACTCTGCCAACTCCACCTCTGTCCCCTATGAACTCTGCCAGTGCCATCTTTGTCCCTGTGACCTCTGCCAGCACCACCTCTATCCCCCTTGAGTTCTGCCAGCACCATCCATGTCCCCAAGAGCTTCGTCACTGCCACCTGTGTCCTAAACTACTTGTGACGTTCTTCTCCTCTGAGGCATGAAGGTTCCCCCAGACCCAATCCCAGGGAGGACACGTGTTTTCTCTTGCCTTGCAGTTTGTCAGATGGTAGCCCTGGTCCTGTGCAGTGGAAACTTCGGAGCCAAGCGTGGCTTCAGCCTAAGGGCTGAATCCTGTAGCCAGTGAAAAGCTGCTGCAGGCACGATTATCACGGGCCGGGGAGAAGCCCGTGCCTTTGGCCCCCCAGTGATGGTGGTTTCTGCTGTTTCCTGCGGAGCTTGGAGGGCTGCCTTTCAGGAGGTCTTCTTTCTTGGAAAGGGCACTCGCTGTCTTAGGCTCTGGAGCTCTGGGTAAACCAAGGCAGCTGCGGCGTGGCTGCCACCCCTCAAAGCTCCCAGGGGCTGTTGCTGTCATTCTGAGCCCCTGGTCTCATTGAGTGAGGAGAGTGAGGGCCTGGCCCTGTCTAGAGCTTTGTAGGATGCCAGATAAGGGGTGCCCAGCCCCTGCTTCCTCACACAGTCCCCACTTGATGGGAGGGAGGAAGGCACCTTCTTAGTGAGGACTGAGATTGAATCATCCAGCCAGTGGACTCGGAGACTGTATGGTTGGCTCAGGCGTGGCAGAGCGCCACAGACAGGTGGCTTAAACTCCAGATATTGGCCGGGCACGGTGGCTCATGCCTGTAATCTCAGTACTTTGGGTGGCTGAGGCAGGCGGATCACAAGATCGGGAGTTCGAGACCAGCCTGGCCAACATGGTGAAACCTCATCTCTACTAAAAATACAAAAATTAGCAGGCGTGGTGGCGGGCACCTGTAATCCCAGCTACTTGGGAGCCTGAGGCAGGAGAATTGTTTGAGCCTGGGAGGCGGAGGCTGCAGTGAGCCGAGGTCGTGCCACTGCACTGTAGCCTGGGTGACAGGGCGAAACCCTGTCTCAAAAACAACAACAACAACAACAAAACAACCAGATATTTACACCTCCCAGTCCTGGGGACTACAAGTCTGAGATCAGGGCATCGCAGGGCTGGTTCCTCCTGAGGCCTCTCTTGATGGCTTGCAGGTGCCACCTTCTCCCTGTGTCCTCACGGGGTCATCCCTGTGTGTGTGTCTGTGTCCTCATCGCCTCTTCTTATAAGGACCCCAATCCTATGGGATCAGGGCCCCCACTAATGGCCCTCCACCCAGATGATCTCTGTAAAGACCTTACCTGCAAATATTGGCACATTTTGAAAACTGGGGTTTAGGACGTCAACACACGAACTTGGGGGACACAGTTCAGCCCACCCCAGAGGCTCAACTTAGGTTGTGGGGAGGAGGCATCTTGCGGCAGGCAGCTCAGTGCCCTCTCTGCTTTGTGTGATGGGGTGGCCCGTCCTTACACATGCCCAAGCCAGCCGGACGTCTCCCAGGCCAGATGGAAGCTCAGACCCCACGTCCCTTCCATGCGAAGTACTGGCTTGAGCTCCGTGCCGTGGAGATGTTCTCCGTCCCCAGCCTGTCTCTCTGCTTCCATGTCAGGGGTGAGTTCTGGGCCTGGTGGAGTCCAGCTGGGGTCTCGGCCCAGAACTCACAGCTCCCCTCTGCTGGGCTCGCATGGGGGCTTGGACGCACGCAGGCCTGCACCTCCCTAGGGTCCCCACCCAGCTGACCACGACACAGATGCACTCACCGGCCTCTCTCCATGTCCTTCTCCCCAGTGCCCTTCCGAGAGGCCCCGGCGTACTCCAACCGCCGGCGGCGGCCCCCCAACACGCTGGCCGCCCCCCGGGTCCTGCTGCGCTCCAACAGTGACAACAACCTCAATGCCAGCGCTCCCGACTGGGCCGTCTGCTCCACGGCCACCTCGCACCGCAGCCTGTCACCCCAGCTGCTGCAGCAGATGCCCAGCAAGCCCGAGGGGGCCGCGAAGACCATTGGGAGCTACGTGCCCGGGCCCCGCAGCCGGTCCCCATCGCTCAACAGGCTGGGCGGCGCAGGCGAGGACGGCAAGAGGCCGCAGCCTCTCTGGCATGTCGGGTAAGGAGTGGCAGACGCCAAGGGAAGGAAGACCGCCACGTGCTGGGGGTCCCAGCTCCTCCAACTTGGGGTGGCCCAGAAGTTGAGCAGGAAGCCCATTTTATTCCAACCCAGATGTTGAGGAAACTTTCATGCCTGAGTTTTGCTCACTGTCCCTGCTGGCACGGTCTCCCCTTGGGGGGCTGGGGTCACCTTCCCGAGCCTCATGGAGGCACACGATGAAAGCTCGGGGCAGGTGTGCAGGCTGAGCTGAGCATCCTGGGGTGGACTGGGGATACTGCTGGCCTCTCGGGTCCTGTTTCCTTTCCTTGTGTACTGACTTCTTGGTCCTAAGTGAAATGTCAAGAGGGAGAGAGGCAGGGCTGCAAGCCTGGTCAGGGGTGTGTGCCCTCCCGAGGGCCATGTTTGCAAGCCTGCAAACACACCTTATCCAAATTGAGGGTGCACACGTGGGTGGCAGGGAGAAACCCAGCCCAGAGGAGAATGCTGGGGGCCGGAGAGGCCGGCTCAGGGCTCTGGCGTCTGGCTGTCTCAGCAGCTGCAGGGATGGTCTCAGGTAGCGCTAACCCTCAGGGGAGCACTTGCAGGCCTGGGTCCAGCATGGCAGGAGCACAGAGGGCATGTCTGTCAGTCTCTGAAGCAGCCCCAGGTGACAGGAGCCTGTGCCTCGTTCCATTTCCTAGACAAGGACATGGGCAGCATAGGGCAGACTTTGGGAACTGCCTGTGGTCTCCTGCCCAGCACCCCATTCGGCGTCCAACTCCAGGTCTGGGTCTCTCCCCACCCTCCTGCCTCCCAAGCAGCCAGGGGAGCTGGATTTGCACTCAGAGCTCCAACTCCCAAGCAGGTCTCTGCCTTTCTCACGCCACCTCCCAGAATTTTCAGTCGAGGAAGAGACTTCCCAGGGATCAGCTCATTGTCGGGGCCCCAGGTGCTAGGGTTGGTGTCGGTTCCAGCCACGAAAGCTGCACCTGCAGGGGCAGTGGCCGTTGCCACCGATGCCTCCACATTCTCATGGGTACAGCTGCTCCAGGAGTTCACTGTGCTGGCTTCTTTGCTGCAGACGCCTCTATGAGGAGCCCGAGGTCACACAGCCAGAACGTAGCAAGGGCAGGACTCGGCACAGGCCCCTGGCTCTGGCATCTGGTGACTTGGCACTCCCTCAGATTTGGGCCTTGGACCCGTGCTTCCCCGGCCGTTGCCATGTTTTTGGTGATGTCGGCATTCAGTGCTGAGGCCCCTGACCCTCGCCCCCATCCTACATGCTTCCTGTTTCCTCCCTGGCCTCAAAGCCACTCGGGGTCCAGAGCCTGGCTGCGGGGAGTCTTGCAGGCCTGGGTCATGCTCTGTTGCCAGCTAAGGTCAGGGATGTCAGGGAGGAAGACCGCCACCACCCCTGCCCCCAGGGGCTCCACCTGGCAAGCTCCGTGTGAGTTTGAGGAGGGTCAGTGCCTCACGTGGTCCCAGGAGGGGCTGATCACCCTGACTATGACCAGCAGCCCAGGCTTTGGGGCCACAGCCAAGGAGTTTGTGGGGAGAACATGCCGGTGAGAGCCCACTTCTCCCGGCCCCTAGACAGGGTCGAGGCCTGATCCTCTTAGAGCTGGCAGACCCCACGTCCTCTCAACGCTTTGGCCTTTAGCCCACAGACGCTTCCCACCAGAGCCAAACAAGGAGGTCCAGCTGCTTCTGGTCTAGATTCCTGCTTGGAAGGACCCCAAGGGAGGAGTCCCAGGTGCTGAGAACAATGGGAAGCTAAATTAAAGGGCTCCCCCGAGGCAGCCAATTCCACTTCACACACTTAGCAAGACTTCTGACTACAGTTTTAAAAAGAGTGTGTCCCCTTCACCCAGTACAAAATCTAATAAGACAGCAAAGGCAGCGTGGCCAGGGACTTGAGCTGGCTGCAGACTAGATGTGCTAGATGTGGCTCGGGAAAGAGAGAAGCAGCCGGGTGTATTGCAGCTGCGGTCTGACCATCCCTGTTTCCCTGTTCATGTGTGAGGAACGGGGGACAGAATGCACATGTGTGTGTGCATGTGTGTATGTGTTTGTGTATGCCTGTGTATGTATGTGCATGCATTTTTGTGTTTTTTTGGTCTGTGTGCATTTGCCTGTGTGCATGCTGGTGTGTAGACATGCGCGTGCATGTTAGAGAGAGAATCATTGTGTATGTGTGTGTGTGTGGTCATCATGGTGGCCAGCCTGCCTCAAATGCTCATTGCCTGGCCTCCTGCATACACGCTTCTGTACTGTACCATTGTATAGCTGCATAACCTTGGGCAGGTAAAACCCAATCTGCCTAATCTTTGTCAATTATAAAACAAGGGACCAGGTGCGGTAGCTCACACCTGTAATCCTAGCACTTTGGGAGACCAAGGCAGGCAGATCACTTGAGGTCAGGAGTTTGAGACCAGCCTGGCTAACATGGTGAAACCCCATCTCTACTAAAAATACAAAAATTAGTTGAATGTGGTGGCGCATGCCTGTAATCCCAGCTACTCAGGAGACTGAGACAGGAGAATCGCTCTAACCTGGGAGGCGGAGGTTGCAGTGAGCTGAGATGGCACCACTGCACTCCGGCCTGAGTGACAGAGCGAGACTCCATCTCAAAAAAGGGTCCCAGAAAGACCAACTTCAGGTTTTTCTCAAGATCAGCTGAAGGCGTTCAGGGTGGCCGCCTCCCACAGCACCTTGTCCAGCCAGTGCGCATTCCACATTGGTTCTTAGAGCCCAGGTCCATGTCCAACCCAAGACCCAGAGCTCGGCCAAGACTGTCCCCTTTGTCACCTAGAACCGTTGGTAGAGTGACCAACCATTCAGGTTTGCCTGTGATGTGGGACTTTCAGTGCTAAAATCAGGACAGCCAGTCCCCCTAACTGTGGGCCACTGCCTGTCCCAAGTCGAGGGGCACTGCTCTTACCTGGTGGCCCTGACCCGTCAGTCCCTTCTTTCTTGGCCTTGTTCCATCTTCCCTTTCCCCACCCCTTCACAGCCTCCCTGTCCATATCCATCTGTCCAGGATTCAGCATCCTCAATGGTAGCAATAGCTGTGCTGTAGGAGGAACCCTCTGGATGGGCACTGATGAGCTGAGAGGTCCTTCCCTTAAGACCCGTGTCCTAACTAGGACCTGCCAGTGGCACTGACGTCCCCTCCTATGGGACAGCAGTGGTGAGCATTTGCCTTCGAGGCGACCAGGTGGGATGGAGAGTTGGAGGCAGGCATGCTTCTCCAGGCATCTTTTTGAGGTCCCCTGGGATGAGGGTGGGGCATGCAGGTGCCACTGTTGTGTTCTGTCCCTGCATAGGGCCATATGCATTCGGGGGGCAGAAGTGTCTTTGCACGGTGAGAGGCACAGAAGGGAGCCAGTTCACTGCACATTGTTTGCTTATGGAGCAGTTACCCAGGCCCATGCTGGGCGCAGGGACATTCAGGTGACATAGCCGGGGTGCAAAGGCTGGTGCCCTGAGCACACTTGGTCTGAATGTCCTGCAAACAAGGTACAGCCAGGGGAGGGGGGCCTGGCTAGAGCTGTCTGCTTCCTGGCTGTGGACCGAGGCCCCATTGTGGAAGTGGCCTTTATTGAGATAGGGAAACGCTCATTCGGCCAGCCCTGGTGATGCTGGATGGTGGATCACAGGACTGTGCAACCCAACCCAGGGCCTTTTGGAGGCTCCAGGAGGTGGCTGAGCCCCTCTGCTCCTTGTTCATCCTCGAAGCTCAAAGCTCAGCCCCATGCCTTGTGCGCCTGCCTTACTATTCCTGAAAAACCAGCTCTTTCCTAGGGCAACGGGCCCTGGCCATGTGGCACTAACGGGCCACTTTCAGGGAGGCTGCTAGCTCCCAGCCTCTGGGGGCCCTGGGTGACCCAGAGCTCTTTCTGGTTACCATCAGAAGCATAAGTGACAGCGTGCTCTCCCTGCCGTGGAGGGGAAAGCCCTCCCCACTTCCTCCTGTCTGAAGGGTGGAGCAGCTGCCCATCAGCCCATGCTGAGCAACCGGTGCTGAACATCCCCCAAGCAGTGCTGACCGCCAGGGCTACCTGGCTCTACCCACCCGCCAGCTGACCTTGGGCAAGTCACTTGCTGGTTCTGTGCCTCTGTTTTCTCCTGTGTAAAGTGGGGCTGATGACTTTCACCCCCTCCCGAGTGTGCTGGGTGGATTAAGTGGCTTTCAGCACCTGGCCTGCACTGACATCCACAGCTGCTCATAGACAGTCTTCGGTTCTGCAGAAACGTCGGCCACTCTTAGGGTCGTCTTCATCTTCATCCTTATTGTGGACAGTGTAGAAAGACCCCGCTGGCTGCCATGGGGCAGGGAGCACAGGGTATCAGGTGTTATTGTCCCGGTGGCAGAGGCCTGTGTGGGCTAAGAAGCAGGGGAAGCAGAGATGGCCAGGTAGGAGGAGGCCGACTGTCCTGGGCAGGGAGGCGACTGGCCAGGTCCCCTGTCCCTCTGCACATGCTCAGCACCCCTCTTGGGCCAGACCTATTTGCCTAAACGCTGACCCAAAGCCCCAGAAACCTTGGCCAGGACTGCAGTGGGCGTGGCAGTGTGGTCAGAACCAGCCTCAGGTCACACCCTCAAGTGCAGCCTTGATGGGGTTCAGGGAGGCCTCCCAGCCTCCCCAGGGCCCCCACCGGGACTCCTGCTGGCACCAAGCAACCCAGTGCCTCCTGGCCTGGGCTCAGAGCTGTAGGCAGGGTCTGCTTCCTGCATGGAGGTGCCAACCCTGGTTCGAAGCTGCCCTGAGCCAGCTTGCACAATGGCGAGCGCCCCAAGGAGCTCACCGGGCCCAGCCTGGGAGCTGGTGTTGCAGTGATGGTGTAACAGGAAGGGGGCTGCAAGGGGTGTGAGGGGGCCGATCTGTGGATGGTGAGTGTCCGCTGGGAGGTGAGGGCTGTTAGTGGAGACACCACAGGGTCCCTCGCTGCCCATCACTGCACAAGCCCCTCCCAGGTGAGCCAGAGCCTGTGGCAGGGCTGTCCCTCTGAGACAGAGAGAGGAACACGCCCCACACTTGTCCCTGCCCCCATCCTCCCCCACAGTCTCTCCTGCCTACCTGTCCACCTGTCCCTTGGCCTGTGTTCTTCCTTCCTCCCTGTGCCTCCTCCTTCTCATTTTCGTGTGTGTGTGTGTGTGTGTGTGTGTGTGTGTGTGTGTGTGTGTGTGTGTGTGTGTGTGTGTTTCTTCTCCCATCCTCCTAAAGGTGCTGGTCCGGGAGGGTAGGAGCCAGTGCACCTGCACACCTCTGCTCCCTCAGGTGTGAGGCTCAGCCAGCTCCGCCCCTGGGGGCGCCCTCTGGTGGCGTCCACTGGCACTGCTGGACCACTGTCCTGAGAACATTCCTGAGACACCTGAGTCCCTGCTCTGGGAGTGTGTGGGGTGGGGGCATCCCTGTTCCTTCTGGGTCTCTCCCAGCTGCCAAGGGGCTGGTTGGCCTTCCCGGGTTCAGAACAACTCTGGATGTATTTCTACAAAGTGGCAGCCAGTCCCAAGGGCTGCCCTGGCCTCACCCACCAGGGAATGTCCTGGCCACCCTCTCCTTCAAGAACGTTGCTTGGGTGGGGTCAGCTCAGCAGGAAAGAAGGACTCATGCTTTTGAGTTCAGTTGGTGGAGATGAATGCTGCCGCCCTGTCCATGCGTCGTCCATTGCACGCATGAAAGAGCGGCACCCACCTGGCCACACAGGCAGGGGCTGGACCCCGGCAGGACCCAGTGGGGCTCTGGGAAGCCCGTCTTTGGCCCAGTGGCCTCTGTTTTCCTGAAACTGGCATGGGAACTGAGGTGCAGCTGCGTTCAGGGTTTCAGGCGGATGAAATGGGCAGAAGGGGCCTTGGCCGCCCAGGGACACTGCTGGAGTGGGGCCCGCAGAGGGGCTTCAAGTCAGTGCCAGGACTGCGGCTCCTGCTTGCCCTCCTGTGCCCCATCATCCTGACCTAGAAAGTGGGGGTGGCTGGGCCCTGCTGGCAGAGTAGGGGTGAGGTGTGGAATTGGGAGCTCTCCCGGTGGCCCTGACTTTCTTTTTTTTTTTTTTGAGACAGAGTCTCACTCTTGTCACCCAGGCTGGAGTGCAGTGTCACGATCTTGACTCACTGAAACCTCCACCTCCCAGGTTCAAGCGATTCTCCTGCCTCAGCTTCCCAGGTAGCTGGGCTTATAGGCATGCTCCACCATACTCAGCTAAGTTTTGTATTTTTAGTAGAGATGGGGTTGCGCCATGTTGGCCAGGCTGGTCTCCAACTCCTGATGTCAGGTGATCCAGCTGCCTCAGCCTGCCAAAGTGCTGGGATTACAGGGGTGAGCCACCATGCCCAGCCTGACTTTCACCTGTGCCCAGGGTTAGTCTGGCAGACAGCCGGGGCCAGATGGAGGGGTAGCCGGTGTCCTGTGTCCGTCCCTGAAGCAGTCATTGCAGCCAGCAAGGTGAGACATTGTGAATAATCCTAAGTCCCTGTCGTGCATCCTCAGAGATGCCGTCACCAGAATCACAGAGGCAGCGTGAAGCCCTCAGGCCCGAGACGCACAGGGCTTGGGTGCGGGCTGACTTTCACAGTCCTGGGAAGCCAGGGAGGGAGGTGATATTGACCAGACAGGAGATGACACAGGACCTGAGCCTTCAACTTTAAAACAACTGTCAGCCAATAGCATTTAGTAACATTTGACAGACGCTAAGGGCTTGGGAACTCCTGCGTTTGCTGTGCTGCCCTCTGTGCCAGAGACCTGAGCTGACAGCTTTCTCTATTCCCCTACTGCCATCTTCTGCGTGAGCCGTAACCTGGAAGACACACCCACCTACCCACCTTGAGTAGGTCCCAGGCCTGGGTGATTGTGCCTCTTGAAACCTCCAACTTTCTCACAATTCTACACATCAGGGGCTCCCCTAGCTCCCCTGGGATGGCCACAGGGGCCCTCAATGGGGCTCCCCACCTCCACCTTCTGTCTGCTCCGGTCCAGCCTTGAGGCTGCATCCAGGGTGAGCTGGTGCTCGTTCACTGGCACCACTGCGCCGTGTGGCATCCATTTCTCCCCGAACATCCCTGCAGAGCCTTTCCCGTGCCCTTGCCCTTCTCTCTGCACTACCCAGCTGTCCCCTCTTGTAGCCTTTTGTGGGTAGGCCCTGTGGACTCTAACCCTGACCTCAAGTCCTGGCCCTGTTCTCTGTGCTGACCCCTCAGATGGGCGGAAATGCATCTGCTGACCTGTGCTTCTGCCCAGTTGACCGTCAGCTCCCTGAGGCCTGCATCCGTGTCTACCATTCACGGGGGTCTGCAGACCCACATGGCGATGGGCTCACAGCCCACCCGCAGAGTACTTGCTGGATGAATGAATGAATGTGTAACTGACTGGTGAATGAATGAATGGAGAAAGGTCAGTATGTCGGCCAGTTCCTGTTCACCCAGGCTGGCTGGGAAATGGCCCAACTCACTGATCCAAGTCACCCCACCGAGAAGATTACCAATTTTTTCATTTTAAGAATTCAGTGATTTGGCCCTTATACCAAAACAAGTTGGTTAGAATCCCTCCTGGCTGTTCTTGGCCAGAACATAAGGAAAACATGGACAGTTTGGGATGCAGGAACTTCAGACCAGTCCTCACTGTGCAGGCAGGACAGCAGGAGGGACCCCCAGCGTGGCCCGGGTGCCATGTCTCCTGAGCGGGGCAGCCCTTCTCCCTGGGCTGCAGAGGTCTGGCTTCTGCTGCTGACTATGGCTGCTGTGGGAAGAGTGGGACCTGGCAGGAGGATGTAGTTCATCAAATGAGACATCACAAGGATAAGACACCTTGTAGCAGGTGAGATCTTGTTCACCTCATTCTGTCACCAGACAGAGCAGGGAACCCCGAGCTAGGATGTGAGGACCAGCTCTGTATTTCCATACCCAAGTCACCATTTATGGAGCCTCCATTTTCTCACCTGTAAAATGGGGACAAAAGTTTTCACCTTCTGCCTTTGTGGGACTTTTTGAGGTTCAAATTAACAGTGAATAAGAAGACATGTGAGCATTTGGCTGGAACCGTATGTCACTGCCCGGTAATCACTGCCTGCAACCGTGTACACCACTCTGGTCTAGAAGAAATAAGGCTTTCCTGTTTTTAGATAAAGGTTCCCCAGGCTCTGGGGTTGATGGGTTAGGGAACTGATTCCTGCAAAGAGAATCAAGAAACAGAGCTTCAAGGTTGGAGCTGTGTTCACTTTGACTTCTCTGTCAAGTGACACGCACTCTGGTGCCAGCTGGACCAGTGAGGTGAGACAGGCACTTTGTTACTGACTTTGCAGCTGCAGCAGGGCAGTGTGAAGGTGCTGATGTTTGCATAACACCTGGCAGAGTGCGTTATCACAGTTACTCCTGATCATCCGCTTTTTTGATGGGGAGGTTGAGGCTTTGAGAGGTAGCTAACTTGTCCAATGATGGATAGTAAGTGTTCAGCTGGGCTTCAGGCAAGATCTTTCTGAACTTTGGGTAGATGAGTGAATAGATGTTCAGAAAAATGATAAGATGGATGGGTGGATGGGTAGATGCATGGATGAATGAATGGTGGATGGATGGGTAGATGGATGATGGATGATGAATACATGATGGATGGATGGCTGGATGGTGGATGGATAGATGATGGATGAATGGATGGGTAGATGGATGGATAAATGAATGGTGGATGGATGGGTAGATGGATGTTGGATGAATGGATGGATGAATAGATGATGGATGGATGGATGGATGGATGAGTGGATGGATGATGGATAGGTAGATGATGAGTGGATGGATGGGTGGATGGATGGGTAGATGGATGGATGGATGGATCGATGATGGATAGTGGGTGGATGAGTGGGTGGGTGGATGGATGGAAGAACAGGTATTTGGGCAAGGAGGCCTGGATGGATAACAAAGAAGAGATGAGTGGATGGATTAATTCTGATGAAGTTAACTGACTTCTCAAGCAGGGCAGGCTCAGTGTCCCTTGCCGGCTGCTGTTGAGGATGCACAGTGGGGCCGTGGGGTTCCTTGCAGGAGCTCTTTGGGTGTGGAAATCCTGAGAAGACGCACTCCTCATTTGGTTCCTAAGTTCTGGACTTAAGCAGCTGCTGTGTCAGACACATAACAGTTGTGAACAGACCCTGTGACTCCTGCTCTGTGGCTCACCCTCTGCCCTGCCCCAGCTACTGTCAGCCTTGTTCATCTGATTTTTCCTCTAGACTTTGACCCACCCTTTCCCCTCGGGAGGAAGCCCACAAGCCTCACCTTGCTCCCCCTGGAGTCAACCTATCCGGGTGCTTGGGGACTGATCATGGGGCTGGGCTGACCTGACCTGCAGCCACTCCACCTGCTGAAGAGCATCCATGCAGCCCAGGGGACACTGGGGCCACCTGTGACCTCATCACTAGGACTAACCTTCAGTCCTGATGGGGCCTAATGCATCCAGCTCCTCCAATCGCCCATGTCGCATCACCGGCCAGGAGAGGGGGTTGAGATGATGTCGGCATAGCCCTGTGTTCTGGCTGCTGCCGGTCCAGCCTGGATAATGGTCAATGCAGAGACAGTGACTGCCCTCGGAGCTGCAGCGGGGCTGGGAACTGAGCTTCTCATCTGCATTTTCTCATTAGTCTCCCAGCAACCACAGGTGGTGGGGATTCGCCCTACCCCCACCCTCTACCACCTATTTTACAAATAAGAAAATTAAGGCTCAGAGAGGTAAAGTGACTCACTGAAGGTCACACAGCTGGGGCAGGTCAGCCTGGGAGTGACGGGAGGTTCAGGCCGTCCACAGAGCCCATGATGGCCGCCAGCCTTGCTGGCTTCATCACTCGGGGCAGATGTGGGCAGGTGCATTAAGGGAAGTTCAAGGAGAGGAGGGATTCTGACCCTGGGGTGCTGTATTCTCCTTGGAGTCCCTTGGTTGCCGGGATTCTCCTCCCCGCATCCCTGCTGGCCTGGGAGCCAGAGAGGAGACAGCCGTGAGACGCTCAGTGCCTGCGGTACAGGCTCCCACCCCTCCCAGCTCTCGGTCCTGTGCCAGTCCAGCCCTGCCTGAGTCAGGCTGAGTTGAATGTGTCTGAGTGCTGGTACACGTGCAGATGGCTGGGCAGGCTGGCAGGGAAGCCTCTCAGGTGGGGGCCTGGCCCAGCGCTGCTGTTGCGTTCATCAGCTCCCCTTGCAGAGCAGGAAGTGCCCAGTGTCCTTTCCCTCTGCTCCCTGGTGGCTCACTGAGCTATGCCTTTGGACAAGAGGAGGCCACCAAACCTAGCTTTTGCAGGAGTTCCTGCTCCAGGAACTCCTGGGGTGTTTGGGGATAGATGATGTCCATCGATGGGGAACAGTGGTCCTTTGGAATTCTCCTGGCTGTGCACATCGATGCACTGCTGTGCCACACCGTGCCCGGTGGGCTCCATATTGTGCCCAGGCTGCATGGCAGTGACAGCTCAGAGACACCTGTGCCCCCAGGAGTCTGTGACTGCCACATTTGTGGCTGTGACTTGGGGGAGGAATGGCATCCCTAGGGACAGGGGACAGGGAAGTCCTAGCTGCTTGCAGCCTCCCCCATCTCTCAATGTCCTCAGAGCCCAGGTAAGCATCCAAGACGCCCACCTGTTCCAGAAGAGGCCACTGTCCTGCCCTGTCTCTGCTCCCCATGGTTTCAGGACAAATCTGAGATTTGGAGTCAGGCAGACAGACTGAGTATTCAGGCCCAATCTGCTCCCTACAGAGTAATCGGAGTACATGGAGCCCTGGCTCCTCAAACACGTTGACATGGGTAAGGTCCCCATGGCCAGATCTCACCATCCTAATGCTGAGAGAAGGAGTAAGAATCAGAACTAAATACAGCCCCATTGCCCTTCTGTAACTTTATACAAGCACAGAGCAAACTATAAGGCAATTATCAGGGACACATGAGTCGGGTGATTACAGTAGTGAAGGCAGGTGATCAGGGGGAGGCTTATGTTAAATGCCAAAAGAGGGTAGTCACATCCGCTTCTAGAACTTTCCCTGCAAGCCTGTTTTGCATGGGTCCCTGTGTGCATGGGCCCTTCCTCCCTGTCCTCATAGAAAGACTGATGCTGCCTCCATCGCCTCAGAGGCCACAGCACCTAAAGTTTGGGAGGGGAACCATGGTCAGAGACCACTCGCTTCCCTGCAGCCAGGCGCCCTGTTGGAGGATGCCAGCCGCAGGTGGACACTTTCCCTGTCTTTCTGAGCATGTGCCCGGGAGGGCCGTCCTGAATTTCTGGCCAACTTCCTCCGTGTAGATGCGTTTGTTTCTAAGGACGCCCGTCCTGGCACTGTGTAGGTGCATCTCAGAGTACTTTGTGTTGCGTGTCCTGTCTCTGGGCCCTGTTAAGGTGTGTCTTACTGTCGGGTGTAGAAGTCAGGTTGAAAACATAGCTCTGTGCAAAATCAATGACATACAGCAAGAACGGATATGAGTTCCTCTAGCGTGGTTCGCTGGGGCCGCTGGGAACTGCACTGGGAGAACCGAGGTCGTGACCCATTTTGATGGAAGGCCCTGGGTGCTTCCTCGTCCAGTGTGACTGACGCTCACAGTGAGGTGGATGAAGTGTCGGACACCCATGGCCTTCCTGGATTTCTGTCTCCACCTGAGTCTCTTTGGGATTTGTTTGTTTTTGTTTTTTTGAGACAGGATCTCACTCTGTCACCCAGGCTGGAGTGCAGTGGCACAATCATGGCTCACTGCAGCCGCGACCTCCTGGCCACAAGCAATCCTCCCACCTGAGCCTCCCAAGGAGCGAGAACCACAAATGCACAGCACCATGCCTGGCCAATTTTTTTTTTTTTTTTTTTTTTTTGTAGAAATAGGGTTTCATCATGTTGCCCAGGCTAGTCTTTTTTAAAATAGTGGCAAAATAGGCCAGGTGCGGTGTCTCACACCTGTAACTTCAGCACTTTGGGAGGCCGAGGCAGGTGGATCATTTGAGGCCAGAACTTTGAGACCATCCTGGTGAACATGGTGAAACCGCATCTCTACTAAAAATACAAAAAGTAGCCAGGCATGGTGGCGGGCACCTGTAATCCCAGGTACTCAGGAGGCTGAGGCAGGAGAATCGCTTGAACCTGGGAGGCAGAGGTTGCAGTGAGCCGAGATCATGCCACTGCAGTCCCGCGTGGGTGACAGAGGGAGACTTTGTCTCAAATAAATAAATAAAATGAAGTAAAATAGTGGAGAAATAGGTGTAACATCAAATTTATCACCTTAGAACCATTTTGAAGTGCACAGTTCAGTGGCGTTCAGTGGAATACATTCGAGTGCTGTGCAGCCATCACCACCATCCATCTCCAGAACCTTCTCATCTTGTGAAACCAAAACTCTGTCCCCATTGAACCCTCACTCCCCATTCTCTCCACCAGCCCCCGGCACCCGCCATTCTACTTTCTGTGTCCATGAATCTGACTGCTCTCGGGCCCTCGCATGGCTGGGATCACACAGTCTGTGTTCTTTTGTGTCTGGTGTATCTCACTGAGCAGTGTCCCCAAGGTTCACCCATGGTGTAGCCTGTGTCACAGTTTACTTTTTTTTTTTGGAGACAGAGTCTCACTCTGTCACCCAGGCTGGAGTGCAATGGTGCAGTCTTGGCTCACCGCAACCTCCGCCTCCCAGGTTTAAGCAATTCTCCTGCCTCAGCCTCTCCAGTAGCCCGGATTACAGGTGCTCACCACCACACCCTGCTATTTTTTGAATTTTTAGTACCAACGAGGTTTCACCATGTTGGCCGTGCTGGTCCCGAACTCGTGATCTCAGGTGGTCTGCCCACCTCAGCCTCCCAAAGTGCTGGGATTACAGATGTGATCCCACCACGCCTGGCCCAGAGTTTAATTCCTGATGGAGGCTAAACAGCGTTCCATTGTATGTTTGGACCACCCTGTGTCTCTCCATTCTGTGGAGGGACCCTTGGGCTGCTGTGAACGGTGCCACTGTGAACGCAGGTGTGCAGACGTCTCCCCGAGTGGCAGCTTTCTGTCTGTGCGGGGCAGACCTGCGAGTGGGATTGTTGGATCTGCCTGAGCCTCTGACCACAGTGCTGCCCCGGCCTGTTCCCATCTTCCTGTCTGGCATCAGGAGTTCTGATGCGGCCAGCCGAGGCGCAGCATGCGTTGAATGGCTTGGCTGTGGTTTGTGGCATGTGGCTTGTGACCTTGTGACTCTGCTCTCTCTCTCTCTGCCCCTCTCACCTGGTCCAGGTCGCCTTTTGCTCTTGGTGCCAACAAGGACTCACTCTCGGCCTTCGAGTACCCGGGGCCCAAGCGGAAGCTCTACAGTGCCGTGCCCGGGAGGCTCTTCGTCGCTGTCAAGCCATACCAACCCCAAGTGGACGGCGAGATCCCCCTTCACCGCGGTGACAGGGTCAAAGGTCAGTGTCTGCTGGTTGTCCTCCGCTCCTGGAGTGAGGTCAGGCTGGGGCCCTTCACCCGGCCTGCTGTGGGGACGATGTCCAAGGCTGTGCTTCTCCATGGAAAACACGGGCCCCTGGAAGGGCAGGAATGGGGAACAGAGTGACGTTCCCAGACCCTTTCCCTCACTCTCCAGGGAGCTGCTGCGGCTTCCCCAGTGCTGGGTCTCAGGGATCGAAGGGGACACGTCCACTGGGAATGAGATTCCACTTGAGAAGGGCAGTGGGGGAGCCAGATGAGGGCATCGAAGAGCAGAGCTCCTTTCCATCCCCTAAGTCTGAAGTGTCGGGGTGGGCCCTGGCATGGGTCGGCTTTGGGGTCTCCAGGTAGATGGTCCGGTGTGACCTGAGGCCCGGGGCCTGCAGTGTTCAAAGGAAGGAATTCTACCAGGTTGGAAGGAAAGATTCTCAAAGCAGAATCCTGAGAACCAGCGTTGAGAAGCCTCTGGGGGGGCCATTGTCAACACCAGGTCAAGAAGGGGTTAGACATTGTTCCTGGGGTATTGGGGAGCCAGTGATGGTTTCTGCCCAGGGGGAAGTCAGGTGTGTGAAGCACTGCAGGAAGATAAAAGTAGGGTTGGAGGGAAGTTGGCAGTGGTGTCATCTGAGGCACACAGCAGAAGCAACATGGCAGGTGTGGGCTGCGGAGGTTGTGTGGGGTGGTAGGAACTCACTGGGTGGAGCAAGAAAGGCCTAGCACACGTGGCCAGCATGCCCGGGCCCCGCCATTGGAGGGCAGCATGCCGGGCCCTGCCATTGGAGGGCCTTGCCATTGGAGGGCAGGTTGCCATTGGAGTGGCATGGGTGGAAGGTGCGGCCCTTAGAGGTCAGTAGGCCCGGTTCAAATCCCGCCTTCCCCAGCTGGCTGCCTCCTGGCCCCCAGCAGGTAATTGACTCAGTTCCTTTCTCTGCGCGACACACTGATCAGGTCAGCTTGACCTGGGTTACTGCAACATTCTAATGATGGCAGAGCCCCGCCCTCTTGCCTGATGGCCAGTGTTTCTGCTGCACACATATTTCATCATTTGATAGCATCAAACAAGTCCCTGGAGCTCTATTCATTTTTTTCAGTCATTTTTCTTTACATTAGATCATTTCTATTGGTTATTGTTTAAGTTCACTTACCCTTTCCTTTGAAATGTCCCTGTAGCTGTTAAGTCCGTCTTTTGAGTTTTATAATTTCATAAATCATGTTTGCTAGCTTTTCTGTTTATCTGTTTTTATTGTTGCCTTTTATTTGCCAAGATCTCCTATTACCTTGTTGAGATTTTTTTGTTCATTAAAAACTTAGTTTTTTGTTTTGTTTTTACAACACTGTAGGTTGGTGTAATTGCCACTTTAAAATCCTTCACACTTACCCCATCAACTTGGCTGTCTCTCTGAGGACTAGTGCTGAGAGCCACCTTCCCTCCTCCCCACTGAGGCCAGCCCTGAGATGTCGGGTGACAAGGATGTTAAGGCCCCGCAGTGGGGGAGCAAGAGGGGCCATCTGTGCAGGGATCAGGGCCGATGCCGGCCTTGTTAGCAACCCCGTTCTAGGAAGTGAGAGCTGAAGTTCCTAGTTAGAGAGTGTTTTCTGACCGGTCTGCACACTCAGGGCCACCCCCTAGGCCCAAGTGGGAGCCAAGGAAGCTCACTGTCTCTCCAGAGCAGGAAGGGACACACGGTCTTCTTGTCCAGGCCTGTCCCTATTGTAAAGAGGAGAAGCCTGGGGCTCAGGGGTCGGAGGGTGGGAGCTGCTCCTCTGTGAGTCCTGCTTTGGAGCTCACTGATGCCCAAGGAGAAGGCTGGGGTGCGGCTGGCAGTTCCTGTAGGGCAGCCAGGTTAGTCCTGGACTTCCAAAGGGGCAGAGAGGCCTGTGAAGATGAACCTAGAGCCTGGGGCTGGGCATCTGTGGACTCACTCAGGCATACTGACCCATGCTCCGAGAGGGGCAGAGCTGCAGACAGGCTCCCATGCTGTGAACTTGGCACATGTCCCCAGTCCCTTAGACATAGAGCAGAGGCCCATGGGAGTGGGCACTAAACAGCTGAGAGTCCCTTAGAGGGGACCCTGAGTAGCAGCATGGATGAGCAGGAGCTCAAGGGAGAGGGGGAGCCGGTGATGAGCCCCATCAGTGGATCCGAGTCTCCCACAGGCTGGCAGTGGTAGGCAGACTTGAGGACCCAGGACTCGCAGGGGTCCTGGGACATGGCAGGCGAATCCACATCTCACACCTTAATTCCCAGAAGCTCTGGGGGGGCCTTCCCCTGTCCAACTCCCTGGGTTTGATAGAATGATTCAACAAAGGAAAGAAGGGAGGTCACGTGACTCCTATCCAGGCCCCAGGACTGGGCCTCCTCAGCCTCTCTGCCCCTCCCCAGCACACTGGAACCCAGCAGCACCTCCTCAAACATGACCAGACTGGAACCCGCCCCTCGCAGGAGCGTGGGGCGTGCGGGGAGCTGGGCCTTTCTCCCAGGGAGAACAGAAATGACAGAGCTCGGTTCCAAAACTCACACTTCAAAGGATCGATGGCAAAGGACTGCTGTTCTGAAAAGAGATTCGAGTGGGCCGCGCAGGCCATTTGCACACAATTGGCACGGAGCCCCTTCCTGCTGCCAGTGGCACCGCTCTTCCTTCCTGCCGAGCTGTCGGTGCCTCCTCCCCATCGTGGGGTGGCCCGCACATCCTTGCTGCCTGCATGGCAGTGCTTAGAGGCGGGCGGGTCGAGCCGATCCACTGCCTGCAGAGCCAAGGCCGTTTGGAGGAATTCTGTCCCCTTGATATCAAGGGAACAATCATTGTGGGCAGGAAACCCAGCTGCCTGGCTGGCAGGGGCAGGTCTGGGAGGGTTTCCAGAGAAACCAAACTCATTTTTTGCAGTGGAAGTCGGGTCTGGGCAGCAGGCAGGCAGGGTGGCTGTGACGGGCCCCAGGGTGGCCCTGGGGTCCTGCTGATAACACTGCTGCTCCTGGCTCTTTCAGAAGGTTAATTTACATCTCCTCCGCTCGGTCCCATTTGGGAAGGGGTTGACGTTCCCAGTAGACAGTTGCATACCATGTACCTGGGAAAACATACCCCAACATTTTTCTTCTAAAATAAGGGGTGCCCAAAAATAGGTGTGTACATGTTCCGATTCCCCCACTGACGCTCCTTTTTTTTTTTTTTTTAATTCAAGGGCTCTTCTTTGTCCTTCACTGTGCCTGGCACATTCTTCCCTCCACTCCCGATAGTTCTTTATGCGAGATCCAGCATCAGGCTCCTGAGCCAGAGGCTCCTGTCCAAGCTGTGTACCTGAGTGCAGTTTCTCAGCCTCTCTTCCCGAAGTCCCTGCATCTGAGACATGAGAGGAGTTTGTTAAATGTGCAGATCTCCTGGCCATCCATCCCTACATCTGCAGAATTGTGTCTCCAAGGACACAGCCTGGGAATCTGAATAGTTAACAAGCTCCTCAGGTGATTTTGCAGCATTCCTGACTGTGACGGATTGTAGACCCTCTGCAGGCAGGACTTTGTCTTCTTCTTGTTTGTTTCCCAAGCATGTGACACAGTGCTTGGAATGGGATAGATGATGGATGGATGAAATGGCTGGATGGCTGGGTGGGTGGGTGGATGGATGGATGGATAGGTAAATGGATGGATGGGTAGATGGATGGATGGGTAGGCTGGAAGATGGATGGATGGATGGATGGATGTGCGGTTGAGTTTGATAGGTGGGTGAATGAGTGGATAGGTGGGTAGTTGGATAGGTGGTGAGTGAGTGAGTGCATGGCAGCGTGAAAGAATGACAGAGTTTTCTAAATAGCAGTGTGTGTTTTGTCCCACGCTCTCACCACCATGCTTCCATCCTGCTTTTCCTCTGCCCAAACAGCAGCTATCCCTGTGTCTTCCCATCAGCTCCTCCTTCAGGATTCGGCTGCCATGTCCCTTCCTCTGGGAGTGTCCTCGCCCCCACCTGCCACGCTCCCTCTCTACTTTTTGGCCCAGGCCACACAGGCCTCTGATGCAGCACGTAGCACAGTGAGCGTGGTCATTTTAGGGGTTCATTTATTTAACAGACACACAGTGAACCCCTGAGGGTTCGTGGCCATGGGTGAGGCCTAGGGAAGCAGTGATGATTGACCCTGCTTACTGCAAGCCCCCATTCTGGCAAGCAAAAAACTAAGCCCATGACATAGCATTGCCAATGCTGGGGGGTGGGGGCACAGGGGGCGCCAGCGTTTTTGCTCTGTGACATTAGGTAGGTGGACAGTAAGGCCATCCTCCTTTTCTGAAGCTCCTCCAGGTGTCTGCCCCAAATCCTGCACCATCTTTGTGACCCCAGACACCAGCACAGTCCTTGACCCAAGTAAGTCCTGTGTCAATTTAAGCAGAAGGATATGTGGATTCAAGAACACCATGCATGGTTTGAAATTGAAGATGGCCTAGAGGTACATTAGAAACCAGCATGTTGGGTACAGAACAGGAGAAACACTGGGTCTCGGTTCCTCCCTCCTCCGCAGTGACCTGGCAGGTTTCTGTACCCAGGCTGGGGTCAAGGGGGAGAAGGTGGAGTGTAGCAGCGGGGTCGGAGCCACCCCTGACCCATCCAGTACAGGGAATCACCGCTGCTTTCCAGTTTGCAAGAGAGCTGCTGAGGCAGGGAGCGGCCCACTGTGGTGGCCATAGTGAGGACAGCAGAGCTGGCCCTTCTCCAACAAGCTTATCCCCACTGTGGCCTCAGGAAGCATGTGGGGCCCATAGAGAGATCCGCAGTTGGTTTTCATAGGTGCCTTAAAGCATCGTCTGTGTTGGAGCAGACATGGTGTTGAGGATGAACCTTCTTTCTAGCCAGGTTTCCCAGGGCCCCCAGCCGTGCCGTATGTGCCCCTCTCCCGGTCCTCATGCCCTGGGTGCAGTGCCTTCACCTGCTCTCTACCCACCATTCAAAGCACTGCCTCTTCCTGCAGGGTTGCCCCAAGTCTCGCCGCACCCCCTCTGTGCTTCCGTAGTCTTCCTCCTGCCCCTCGGTTTGGCTGGGACGATTCTCATCTGATCCTCTGTGGTAGAGTCAGTCCTATCACACCGTATTCCCCTGCAAGTCTGGGGCTCCAGGGACAGGGTCCTTGACAATTTTTCTAGCCAGAGCACCCAAGAGCAAGGCAGGACTCCAGACTCCAGAATTCCCCTGGTTGCCTGGTCAGAATTCACTCTCAGAATTCACCCTAGTGTTCCACATGGAGTAGGTGGGGCCACAGAGAGAACAGGAGTCCCCGGGATCCCTCAGCATCCCAGTGATGGGGCCAAGTCTCTCACCTCCCAGCCCAGTGCTCGCTCTTGTACTGCTGGGTGGATGGGGACTTCCTCTTCTCCTCCACCTCTTCTTACCCAGGGTGTGGAGTCTTTACTTTTGAATGAATTGCATCAGCAAACAATGGGGTAGCCAAGCCCAGCCCCTTCCTCACCATATGAGGAACACTCATTCCTACCTGGACGCAGATGTTCTGTCAGGGAGGCACTCAAGGCACAAACCCCTCTCTTGCTCCCCATTCTCTGAAGAGGACCAGCAGGTACCATTTGCACAACCAGAAACCCAGAAGGGGCCCCCTCCTCCATTCCCCTGCACCCTCGGCACACGTCCTGCTCTTTTTACGCCCCTGACATGAAGGCTCCCCGTGTTGGGGGGACCCCTTGCAGCACGTCACCTCTGCCTCCTTGTACAAGCCCATTGGAAACAGCCTTTCATATTTTTGGTTGGTCTTGTAATAACAATAACACATCCTGAAGTGCATACTTCATAGAGATTAAATATGGAACTAAAAGGTGTGATTCTCCTGGAGAGGGGAGTTTGGAAGGAAAGTCAGGCAGGAGTGTTGAGTCCTCATTCCACACTGGGCTCACGTGCCTCCGATTCACGCATAGAAACACTTATGAGCTAGATAGTATTGTCATGCTCTGATAAATGAGGAAACCGAGGTACAGAGAGACCGAGTTTTCCCAAGCATCACATAGCTAAGATAGGGCAGAGCTTCCATGGAAGATGATACCAATCTCTACCTATGCAGTTCCCTTCTCCCCAGGCCCATATAAAACAGCAGAATGACCTCACAGCCGTGAAGGAAGGAGAGTGTGGGTATCTGTGGGCACTGGCTCCTGGTGGCGCAGCAGCAAGTCCTTGGCCTCCCTTTGCAGCCCGGGGTTACTGCTCTGAGATGACCCTCTCAGGTCCAGGGTTCTGCTGGGAAACTGTGAGGCACATCCCGGCCAGCTGGGCTGAGAGGAGCCCACAGGCCCTGCATCGAGTTTTGGAGGAGATGCTTCAGGCAGTGATGATTGTCCTGGTCACCTGGGATGTGGCTGATCTGTTTCAGTTAGGTCATTTCTTCAGGTTATTAGGAACTTATAAAGTGGGGTTTTCAGTTCCATTAACCTTCAAAAATCGTGGGCTGAGTGGTTCTCTGTCTGGCCTTTGAGATTCAAATGAGGGCTAGAGGAAAACACTTATGGGGCCATAATTCCTCTTTCAGCAGGGCTGTTGCCTTTGGATCCTGAGTAATTTAAAAGAAGGTAAAGATGTGGAGAAATCAGATTGTTTTCCTCCTTGCTTAGACACATTAGGAGGGAGTGAAGGTGTTGAGGGCATCCCTGGCCCAGCACCAAAGTCCTAAGTAAGATACAGACCGGCGCAGTGGCTCACGCCAGTCATCCGAACCACTTTGGGAGGTGGAGGCAGGTGATTGCTTGAGCTTAGGGTTTTGAAACCAGCCTGGGCAACATAGTGAGACCCTGTCTCTAAAAAAAGTAATTATAATAATAATGAGGTGTCGTGGTACACGCCTGTCATCCCAGCTACTCAGGAGGCTGAGGTGGGAGGATCACTTAAGCCTGGGAGTCAAGGCTGCAGTGCGCTGTGATGACACCACTGCACTTCAGCCTGGGTGACAAAGCCTCTAAAAAAAACAAAAAACAAAAAAAAAACCCTAAGATATAAAGATTTTCCTTCCTCACTTTGCCACTGCAAGCTTTATGACAGAAATAGTTATCACAGTAGGGCCATGGGGACCGGCGGGGTCCTCCTGACCTTGCCCCCACCCCATGGTGTCTTTGGGCTTATGTCCCTCACCCATGCTCAGCAGTTGAGTTTAAAAACAAACATGCTTTATTCTTCCAGCGGATGTTCATTGAGGGCCTACTGTGTACCCAGTACATGGGCTGGGGAGGGATGCCTGTGTCTGGACTCAGCAACTTCCACCCTGTAGGCTGGGGTGGCCGTGTCTGTCCAGTGATGTGCGTGGTCCCCAGGACAGGGTCACTGTGTGGCCACCATCCCTTCTCTCCTGGGGAATTGGCTTCTTTCAACCACAAGTCAGAAAGAAAACTGCAGTCCTTGCCAGCAACCACGTAATGAATAGGTTCCTGATTAATAAGCCAGCATGCCTGTGGGCCAGGCCTCCAAGGGGCTGGTGCTGACTGTGTGAGGTTTTTAGTGCAGTTTCTTCCATTTTAAGTGAAGATAATTCCACGTCCACACCATTGTCAGATGATTCGTGAGCTGCTCGCCCATCCTCTGCTGTGATTTCTTTTTCTTTCTTTTTTTTTTGAGATGGAGTCTCACTCTGTCACCCAGGCTGTGAGTGCAGTGGCACAATCTTGGCTCACTGCAACTTCCATCTTCCGGGTTCAAGTGATTCTCCTGCCTCAGCCTCCTGAGCGAGTAGCTGAGATTACAGGCATGGGCCACCATGCCCAGCTAATTTTTGTATTTTTAGTAGAGACGCGGTTTGGCTATGTTGGCCAGGCTGGTCTTGAACTCCTGACCTCAGAGGGTCCACTCCCCTCGGCCCCCCAAAGTGCTGGGATTACAGGCATGAGCCACCGCGCCCAGACCTCTGCTGTGATTTCTCCTTCCGCACGCTTGTTTAGAAGATCCAGACAGAGCCGGGCAGGTGGATTTTCTTTCCTCCAGGCCATCTGCCTCCGGTTCTTGCCCAGCTTAGGAGGGGAAGGTACGACCTCATCATTTCCTCCCTGCTTTGTGGCGGTGCCCCCCGACTCCACTTTTATATCTGAAATCATTGATGGTAAGGACAGCCAAGCACCACTGTCCTGTCTCATGTGCAACACTGAGAGATGCTACAGGGCCGCCGTGCACATCCATTCATATGACGTGGTGTCAGATACGTAAAGATGCAAACATGTCAGTGCTTCATTCCTGTCTCATCACCTAAGGGGCACAGGGCACCTGTGGTCTGCAGTGGTGATGCCCCGGTGCCTCTTAGCACTGTCAGCAGCTGAAGGAAGTGCAGTCACACCAGAGCCGCTTGCTCTGCAGGCCTGGCCAGGGGTGCGCTGATTCTCCTGCCTCTGCCCAGCCCCACTCGTCTTGTTCAACCTCAGGCCCTCCACGTCCCCCCTGCTAACACCTCTCCCTTTTTGTCGTCTCTAGTTCTGAGCATCGGTGAAGGGGGCTTCTGGGAAGGCAGCGCCCGCGGCCACATCGGATGGTTTCCGGCGGAGTGCGTGGAGGAGGTCCAGTGTAAGCCCAGGGACAGCCAGGCAGGTAAGGCGAGCGCTCGTGGCCGCCCACCCTCGATCCTGCAGGCCTATCTCAGGCCCGTGGTCGGTGTTGTCCGTGGCAAGATTCGGCCGTTGCGTCGTAGAGGGAGGCTGAGTTGCGAATTCAGGACTTTCTAGATCTTTGGAAACAGGTTGGTTGCTTTCATTCCTCTGGGCTTCATCCAAACCAGAAATTCCTTACAAGATGGTGTGGAAGCTTTTAGTTAAAAGGCTGCTCAGTACACGTCCCAGAAAACCTGGACCGTATGTTCTAGCCATCAGAGAGAGACTTTTGGGGGTTGATTAGATTTCTTTTTCGATCTCTTCTATCGATGGCATAAAACAGGCAGCTTCCCATGTGCAGGCGAGATGCTCCTGTGCCGCCCTGAGAACACGTAGCAAACGCCTCCGTAAAAACTGCTCGAAAGAGTTCAGTGTTCCGACGGGAAGCCATTCCAGCATCTCTCTTAGAACCTCCAGATATAGCACTTGCTGAAAATCGTTTCAAAATTGATTGCCGAGAGATTGAACTGATTAAAATGTGAAGAGGAGACCACTTATATAAAATGGTACCGAGTGTGTGTGTGTGTGTGTGTGTGTGTGTGTGTGTGTGTATGAGAGTGGAGGAAAAGTGAAGCCTTAAGTGTCTTATAAGAAGAAAGCAGTCCGCATGTGAACGGCATCTGGCTTTTAGTAGAATCCCAGGCTCACAGAACACGTGTCAAGTGGCCACGGACGCTGCGGCCACCAACCATGCACGCCTTCTTGTGCGGAGCCTGCCGCCTCTGAGCTCTGTCCAAACGGGCCCATTGCCCTGTTTTTGAGGTTCCTAGTCTGTGGGCTCACTAGGTAGCCCTCTGCCGCCTGATCAGATCTGCCAGGGCCAGCCAGGCCCTACAAACGTGTGTTCTGGAAAGCAAGGAGGAGTCTGTCCTGGACCTGGCTGGCTTTGCAGTCTCTAGCAGGGAGGCTCAGTAGGTTTTCTGTCTGAGATCTTGGCTTCAACGGGGACTCAGTTCGTGCATCAGCTTCCCTGCTGATGAGTCCCTGCTCAGGCTTAGACACCAGACGGTATTGTGGGGTATTGAGTTAAGACATGTCCCAAACTTAACTATGAAGGAGAAGCTGGGAATGTGCTCCACTCGGAAGGCTGGGTGGGAGGGAGTGTGTTTTTCTGGATGTGGCGATGACAATGTTACCAACAAAGCTGGTCTTCCCAAGAATGGGGTCTTTCTCTGTTGTGTGCTACACAGCCAGTATCCAAAAGCAAAAGTGAGCTTCAAGCAGCACAGGCTTTATTTGTTGGCCATGGAACCGAGAAGCGGGAGCTTGGCTCACAGATCCATTTATCAGCTCCCGAGGGCTGGGAAGTCACAGAGCTGGGGCCTCTGTAATAAAGGGATTGGGCATTAAATCAAGGGGAGGAATATTCATGTCTTTTCTGGAAATGGGCAGAGAGCTTCTCAGAACCGGTGTGCCGCCTTCCTTTCTGTCCTTTTACGGTTTCTTTCTGTTGTTGTCATGGTGATTGTCAACTATCCTGGTGCTGGGGGGAGGGTCATTTAGCATGGAAATCAGACTGTAATGAGGTTAGAGGTTCTTCAGAAGCCAAGTGAGCTGCCATCTTGGATCCCACTAGTCTTAGCCTTTTTGGTCACCAGGGGGAGCTTCTGACCTCAGGCATCCTGTTGCCTCAAGATAAGCAGAGTTGAACCAGGTAGACCACACGGGATTTACACTGGGCAGCAATCACACTGAGCACTGGCACAGGCCAGACCTCCAAGCCCTGCCATTGCCCGTCCACCCCTGGTCCACACCCACCCTCTCCTGCAAGCAACCTTCCCCTGCCTCACTTGTCTGAGAAGGGCCAGGCCCTGGAGCTCAGCTTGCCTCCCAGGGTTGCTCAATGCCTTCCTTCTCCCTGTCCTCCAGTCCTCCTCTTCCTGAGCAGCCACCACTCCTCCCTCTCCTGGCACTCACCTTCAGAGCCACACTGGCTGCCCTCCCTCTACTCTTTTGTTGGAAGGACTCAACTGTGCCAGCACCGGGCTTTGTTGGCTATGCCACACCTGGATGGGGCAGTCCTGGAGGGCTGCTGCGTAGGGGGATCATTTGAGCTTCCTGCTCTCTCCATCCTCCAGAGAGTAGCGGCTTCCAGGATAGTGTGCAGGAGGAAGCAGGGCAGCTGGAGCAACCTGTCTTCCTCCTCTCTCCTGTGGGCTTTTCCCGTCCACCTGCCAGCATCACCCTGTGTGCCCTAGATGAGAACGTATGGCTTTCTCTAGCCCCGTTGACAGGGTCCCCACCCAGGGCAGGTGGGCGAGGTGGAGTCTGCCAGAAAATGTACATCCTGTGCAGGCAGCTTCCAGAGGGGCGGTGGTTTGTGTTTGTGTTTACTGTGGGAGGAGGTTATTTAAGGGGTAAGACAGAGGTTTCTAGAAGGGTGATCTTGCTCCAGCTCACACTCCCAGGACAATGTCCTTGATAAAACCGTATTTTCTACCTGGGCTGATGCGGGTGTGAGTCTCACTTGGCTAAAGTCAGGGCATCAGCAGGGCTGCATTCCTTTCTGCAATCTGTGGGGGAGAATTTGTTTCCTTGCCTTTCCGACATCCTTGGCTCATGGCCCCTTCCTCCGTCTCCAAAGCCAGCACCTGTTGGTAGGGTCCTTCTTCCATTGCATCTCTCCAACCCTCCCTTCTGCCTCCTCTTCTTCCACTTTTAAGAACCTGTGTGATTATGGCCAGGTGCAGTGACTCACACCTGTAATCCCAGCACTTTGGGAGACTGAGGTGGGCAGATCTCTTGAGTTTAGGAGTTCGAGACCAGCCTGGCCAACATGGTGAAACCCTGTCTGTACTAAAAATGCAAAAATTAGCCGGACATGGTGCCATGCACCTGTAGTCCCAGCTCCTCGGGAGGCTGAGGCAGGAAAATTGCTTGAACCTGGGAGGCGGAGGTTGCAGTGAGCTGAGATTGCACCACTGCACTCCAGCCTGGGCAACATAGCAAGACTCCATCTCAAAAAAAAAAAAAAAAGAAAAAGAAAGAAAAGAAAAAAGAAAAGAAAAGAACCCATGTGATTAGATGGGCCCACCTTGCTAATCCAGGTCAAGTAAACTGATGGGCCGCCTTAATTCTGCCTGCAACCTTAATTCCCTTTTGCCTTAAGGGAGCATATTCACAGGTTC
Organism: Homo sapiens; assembly: GCF_000001405.40. Classification (NCBI taxonomy): domain Eukaryota; kingdom Metazoa; phylum Chordata; class Mammalia; order Primates; family Hominidae; genus Homo; species Homo sapiens. Next base: position 70,795,255 of record NC_000011.10, on the reverse strand, counting down.
TAGGGATTAGGACCTGGGCATCCTAGGGAGGAGCCATCTTTCTCCCTAACACAGATGGCAAAAATGAACATCAGAACTCTCCTCTAACACAAAGGCTGTGGGTCAGGGAAGGAAGGCATCTCTGTGACCTGGGATGGAAGGAGGTACACCAAGATCACAGCACAGAGGAGTCGAGGAGGGCGGGGAGGATTCCACAGTGGTTCCTGCTGGGTTCTGCTTGCCCTTGGGTGTTCTAAGATCGTGACTTAGCACCTTCTTTTGTATTATCTTCTTTTATAGAGGTGTGATTTACATACAGGAAAACACACAGATTATAAGAAAAATCTAGTTCAGTGCATTTTGACAAATGTATATACCCACGTCTCCAACTGCAAATAAGATATTAAACCCTTCCTTCACAGGCCAGGTGTGGTGGCTCATGCCTGTAATCTTTGCACCTTGGGAGGCCAAGGCGGGTGAATCACTTGAGGTTAGGAGTTTGAGACCATCCTGGCCAACATGGTGAAACCTGTCTCTACTGAAAATACAAAAATTAGCTGGGCATGATGGTGATGCCTGTAATCCCAGCTACTTGGGAGGCCGAGGCATAAGAATCACTTGAACCTGGGAGGTGGAGGTTGCAGTGAGCCAAGGTCGCACCATTGCACTCCAGCCTGGGTGACAAGAGCAAAACTCCATCTCAAAAAATATATAAAATAATTTTTAAAAACACCTTTCTTTCACCCCAGGAAGTGATCTCAGGCTGTCTTCCAGCCATCCCTCCCCATCCCACACCGGAAGCAAGTGTGGTTCTGATTTCTGTCACCATAGACCATAGATTTCTGTCACCATAGATTTTGCCTATCACTGGATTTCATGTAGATGAGACCCTGCAACTTGTACTCTCGGGCCCAACTTCTTTCCCTCAGCCTAATGCCTGTGATATCAGCTATGTATTGCAGGACTCAGTGGTTTATATGTTGTTTTTTTTTTTTTTTCTGAGACGGAGTCTCTGTTGCCCAGACTGGAGTGCAGTGGCACCATCTCAGCTCACTGCAAACTCCCACTCCAGAGTTCAAGTGATTCTCATGCCTCAGCCTCCCTAGTAGCTGGGATTACAGGCTCCCACCACCACACCTGGCTGATTTTTGTATTTTTAGTAAGGAGGGGATTTCACCATGTTTGCCAGACTGGTTTTGAACTCCTGACCTCAAGGGATCCACCTGCCTTGACCTCCCAAAATGCTGGGATTACAGGCATGATCCACCATGCCCAGACAGCAGTTTATAAATGTTTATTGCTGGCTAGTGTTTTATGGTGTATTTACACCACAGTTTGATCATTCTCCTGATGATGGACATGTGGATTGCTTCTCAGTTTTGGCTAATATGAATGAACCTGCTAAAAAAGGTTTTTGTGTGAGTCTTTTTAAGGACATACATTTTTATTTCTCTAGGTAGAAAACTGCTGGGTTGTATGATAACATTTTCATTTTATAAGAAACTACCACACAGTTCTCCAAAGTGCTGTCCCATTTTGTTCTCCTACCGGCAGTGTGTGAGAGTTCCAGTTGCTCCACTTTCTCATCAACATTTGGCAATATCAGTCTGTTTAACTTCAGCTGTTCTAATAGATATGAAATGATATCTTATTGTGGGTGTAATTTGCATTTTTCTGGGGATGATGATTAGGCATCTCTTTGTGTGCTCATTTGCTGTATGTATAGCTTCTTTAAGTCTTTGGTTCATTTTTAATGGCAGTGTTCATCTTTTCCTTATTGGTTTGTAGGAGTTCTTTATATATTCTGTTTATCAGTCCTTTGTCAAATATATGCTGCAAACATTTTTCCCAGCCTGTGACTTGCGTTTTCATTTTCTAACTACAGTCATCTCTCAGTATACGTGGGGATTGGTTCCAGGACACCACCACCTCACATCATATACCAAAATCCACCTCAAGTCCCACAGTCATCTCCATGGAACCTGTGTATGTGAAGTCAGCCCTCTGTATATGCAGGTTTTATTTCACACGAATATTGTGTTTTCAATCTATATTTAGTTGAAAAATCCACATGTAAGTTGACCCATGCAGTTCAAACCCATGTTGTTCAAGGGTCAACTGTATGTCTTTTAATGAGTAGAAGGGTTTTTAAAATTTTGAATCTAATCCAAATTATTCTTTTTTTCTTCCACGTTAGTGCTTTTTGTCACTTTTTTCTTTTGAGTCAGGGTCTTGCTGTGTCATCGAGGTGGGAATGCAGTGGTGCCATCAGGGCTCATTACATGCCTTGACTTCCCAGTCTCAAATGATTCTCCTGCCTTATTTTAAAATTTATTTTATTAGTGTATTTTTTTGTAGAGACGAGTTCTCACTATGTTGCCCAGGCTGTTCTTGAACTCCTAGGCACAAGTGACCCTCCTGCCTCGGTCTCCCAAAATACTGGGATTGTAGGTGTGAGCCACCATGCCTGGCCCTTTTTGTAGCTTTTTTTGATGCTGAAAATTAGAAGACTTTGGATATACATAGAATCTGGAAGATGGTACAAAATGTTTTTAGATGTTCCCATCCACCAAGCTCTTTCTACACAGTAGACCTTGCTTGCACCCTTGGAAGCTGTTTCTCTTTTATGGAGCACCATTGCTTTATGTTGTAAAATGAACATTTAGTTGGTAAACTCCATTCATGAACATTAAATGAAATAAGTGAGTGACTCACAGAATGAATAACTCAGTAAAGAAGTGGCTGCTCAGGACCCAGTGAATTCTCATAGCCTCATGACAGTTGCTGGAGGTTGGGGATAACAAACAGCAAAATCAAATGGTGGTCCTCGTTGGTTGGTTGGTTGGTTGGTTGGTTGGTTGGTTGGTTGGTTGGTTGGTTGGCTGGTTGGCTGGTTGGTTGGTTGGTTGGTTAATTAGCTAGCTGGCTTGCTGGTTGGTTGGTTGGTTGGTTGGTTGGTTGGTTGGTTGGTTGGTTGGTTGATTGATTGCTTGGCTGGCTGGCTGGCTAGCTGGCTGGTTGGTTGGTTGGTTGATTAGCTGTCTAGCTGACTGATTAGTTGGTTGGTTGGTTGGTTGGTTGATTAGCTGTCTGGCTGACTGGTTGGTTGGTTGATTAACTAGTTGGCTGACTGACTGATTGGTTAGTTGGTTGGTTGGTTGGTTGGTTGGTTAGCTGGCTGGCTGATTGGTTTGTTGGTTGGATGGATGGTTGGTCAAATGATACAAGTTCAGCTTAGTTCCATGAATAGTTTGGTAGTTATGCCTTCAAGATATAGTGGGCTTACTCACCTGAGCCTTAGTTGTAATTTCTTAAGGCTGCATGTTTATGGGACTTCACAGTCTCCAGTGGGCTTTCCTGCATGCTGTCTCATCCAACCTTCTGGAATAAGTAGGGCAGGAATCATCACCTGCATTGTACACATGAGCATCCCCATCTCAGCATGTCGGAGCACACAGATAGGGAGTTACTGGGCAGGGACTATGACCCATTATTTGTAACTACTGATGCTTGAGCTGTGACCTGTACCTGCATCAGGACAGTGTTTCTCATGCAGTGATCAGGGTGGTGATCCTGGTGTGACTGCCAGTGATTAATCCTCCTGCACATCCACCTGAGGCAATGGGGAAACAGAAACATATCCGGGTCTATTCTCAGCTCAGCTGTCTCTGGCTAGCTCTGAGTAGACTTCTTTATCTGAAATGTGAAGCCTGGAGATGATGCGTATGAAGAGTTGGGTGGAAGTTTATGATCATAGCTTTTTTGTTTCTGTGCGTAAGAGACAGAGGCATGCCCAGATTTATAAAATCTCACTTCTTTGCATGCATCAGCCCAGAGACCTGAGAGCTAAGTGCCACATATGACTATGTTGTTATTATATGCAAGAGGAGATGCATCTTGGAAGATGGTGCTCTAGAAAATTGGTGCTTAATTACATGCATGTCCTCACCCCATCCTGCTGGAGTTTAGGCTCTCTGAGGGCAGGGACACCTGTGCCCTGCATGGTGCCTATCCAGGACAGAGTGCATGTCAGTTGGCCCACCGCGTTTGTGAAAAGGAGGTTGGGTGGTGTTGCACTTGATCAGTTAGGAGTTGGAAGGTCTGGCTTTTGTCAAGACTCTAAAGCTTTCCACCCATTTGTATTAGGTAGCTCAATGTCAGCTGCTACGACAAGTGAACCCACAACTTCAGTGGCTTAATGGAGTGCAGGTTTTTTTCCTGCCCAGTAGCCACCCAGTGTGGTCTCTTCTGGTCAGCAGACGGGCTGATTTTCTCCATGATGTGACCAAGCAGTCCAGGCCCTTCCATTCTGTGGCCTGGTCATCCTCGAGGACCTTAGGGTCCCCTGCCCCCAGCCTGCAGAGACGGGGAGAGAGAATGGAGAAACGCTGCCCTCTTGTGTGAGGCTCTGGCACATCAGGGACACACATCATCGCCCGTGACACCCTGTGGAGGGAACCTGGATGCTGCAGATGCTGGGACCTGTGGTCCCGGGCCAGGAGCCACCTCCTGGTGACTGTTTGAGTCAAGATTCTCCAGAGAAACAGAACCAGTAGGACGTAGACACAGATGTAGATACAGATAGAGCGTATGTATTAAGAGACTCATTTCAAGGACTTGGCTCACCCGATCATGGGAACAGGCAAGTCTAAAATCCTCTGGGCAGTCCAGCAGCCTGGAACGCCCAGACAGGAGCTGGTGCTGCAAACTTGATGCAGAATCTCTTCTTCCTCAAAGAAACCTCAATTTTGCTCTTGAGGCCTTTTAAATGATTGGAGGAGGCCCACCCACATTACTGAGAAAAATGTTGACTTCAAGCCAACAGACTGTAAATGTTAACCACATCTACAAAATACCCTCCCAGCAACACCTAGGCTAGTGCTTGGCTGCATAACTGGGTGCTATAGCCTGGTCCGTTGGCCCATAAAGCTGACCCTCTTTATGCACCCTGGGTGGAGAGACAGTGCCCTGGGTGGACATGCACCCTGGGTGGAGAGACAGTGCCCACCTCCCCTACTGGGGACTTGACTGCCTTCCGCATCTTCCAAGACATCAATTTCCTCATCTGTGAATTCAGGCTGGTGGATTGTAGAATCACTTGATCCTTCCTCCTCAGAATTCTACACATTGAAATCAGGGGTGCCCCTGTTGATGTATCTTGACTAAGAAACAAAGATAAAATATTTCCGAAGTAATCAGTTGGCACCCATGGATGAGGCAGTTTATGAAAAATGAATGCAATGCACGTGTGTGCAGTTTTCAGCGACACATCTTATGTGTACATGGAAACTGTCAGGCCAGGGCTCTCTGTTTATCCCTGAGAAAATGACAAGGCCAAGCAGCACCAGAGCAAATCGTATTTTAGTTGCTGAAACAAACAAAAGACTTGACTATCAGTGAGCACCATTCATGTAGAACATGATGAGAAAATGGGTGTGATGAGTCACCGCTGTACATCCCTGTTTCCATCCTCCAGAGACAGGTAGGATCTGGTCACCTGAAAGCCACTGAGGTAGGAGTGGGGGCCTCACAGCCAGGCAGCTCAGACTGGGGCATAAGATGCCACATTCTCAACTCCTACTTCACTCCTGGGCACCTACCCAGATGAGCAGCACCTACCCAGTGTAGTTTTGGCATGTCCTGTGCCGTATGCACCACCAGAGCCTGTTGGAGTCGGGATCCTCAATCAGCTGCAGAGACCACCGAGGAAGTGACTTGATGGGATTCTCTGCAGAATGGGCTTCCGGAATCTTCTGGCTGACTCCCTGGTGCAGGGGTCTCGACTGGGTAGAAGGTGTGAGTGTAGGATGGGATTAGCCGTGCCTTCCCTTGACTGGCCACTCTTGTGGGGTAAGTCTGCATTTAAGAATAGGCCCCATGGCTCTCTAGAAGTTTCTAGAAGCTAGCCATAAGCATAGGATCTAGATCAGAAAGTCAGAGCTCTGACCAGGAAACAGATGTGGTTTGCAGTGTGTCTTTTCTACTTTTTTGTGGCACTCAATGGAGAAGAGACAGGACCTCATTTGAGCCTCGTAATTGCCCTTAATGGGAGGTGCCTTTATGATCCCCGCTTATTCATAAGGAAACACGTGTTGTGTATGTCTGGGAAGCATGTGTGCCAGGCTGTCCAGATTCCCAAGCTCTCTTCCCATGGACTGTTCCCATTCAGAATCCCTGCCGTGGACTCTCCTTTCCAGCCACTCTCTAATTTACCAGCGTAGGGGGCCCTTACTGGGAGCATCTTACAGCTTAGCATTGCCATTTGCTCTGAGAAGTGTCTCCGGACCGCCACCAGCCCCACACCCCAAGGACTAATGGGCATAACATTCTCGGATCTCTCCTTCAGATCGTGTGGACCCGACAGGGTGGTGGTGAGGCTGGCATGTGTTTCCTCCTCCCAGAAATCGACCTGAGAGCAGTGCGTTGCTCCTCTATCATCTGAAGCCACACCTGGAGCCGTCACCTCCTGTCTCCTATAGGACACCCTGTGTGGCCTCGTCGGGGTTTCAGGACACACTTGGAGTTTAAATCTCCTCCTCCCAAATCCAACCCTGGGGTCAGGGCTGGGCAGGAGAAGGATGGGGACCTCTTGGTTTTACCAACTCTTTTGTGACTGCAGCAGTCCCCTGTTATCTTCAGGGGCTACCTCCCAAGACCCCCATTGGGTGCCTGAAATGGGGGACAGCGCTGAACCCTGTACTGCCCTGTACTGCATACACCATGTTTTTGGTCTGATATCAGAGCCAGCTCCTAAGTGACTAACCAGTGGGTGGTGTGGACAGCAGGAGTGCGCTGGACAAAGGGATGAGTCACTTCCCCCGGGCGGAACGGCACTCGACATCACGCTACTCAGAATGGCATGCAATTGAAAACTTTTCAACTGTTTATTTCTGGACTTTTCTGTTCAATATTTTCAGACTTCAGTTGACCGTGGGTGATTAAAACCTCAGAAAGTGAAACCATGGATAAAGGGAAGCTGCTGAAGTCACAAGTGACTTGGGGCCACTGTCCTTTGAGATTTCTTGTCTGTGGCCATTGATAAGAAGACGACACAATGAGGAAAGTCCTCATCCACAATGGCCCTGGTGGGGGACCTGTCCTCTTGGCTGTCACACCTCCCAGTTCAACACTAGGTCAGCTTCTGGGATCCACCTGCTCTCCCTCGGGAGCCATATCATGTATGCACTGGAGTAAGTCATGTTCCGCCATCCTGCAGGCCATGTAACGTTATCGTTCCAGCCTTTTCAGAGCACACAGTTCCAAACCTTGTCCCTGTGGTTGCATCCTCTCACCTCTCATTTGATGTTTATAGGTAACTCATGTGATCCTCAGAGTAAACTTGGGAGGGGGGCATGCAGTGATGTTAGTCCATTTGACACGAGGTCAGAGATGGTGAGTGACTTGCTCAGAAGCAGGGGTGGCCGGCCCAGGACCTAAACATAGATACATCTGAGCTGACATCTGTTTCCTTTACCTGGAGGCTGGAGCATCCCCAGGGTCAGCCAGCCTCTGAGATGTTAAGATTTTGTGGCCTTGGAGTCAGGGACCAGGGGTGGTGGTGGTGGTGGTAATGATGATAAGTAGTTGATGGCAGCCATGGTGATGCTGTTTATGGTGGTGGTGGTGTTGGTGGCGGTCATGGTGATGATCGTGGTGATGCTGGTGGTGGTGCTCATGGCGATGATGGTAGTGATGCTGGTGGTGGTGGTCATGGTGATGGTCATGGTGATGATGGTGTTGATGCTGGTGGTGGTGGTCTTGGTGATGATGGTGGTGATGCTGGTGGTGGTGGTCACGGTGATGATAGTGGTGATCCTAGTGGTGGTGGTCTTGGTGATGACAGTGGTGATGCTGGTGGTGGTGGTGGTCACGGTGATGATAGTGGTGATCCTAGTGGTGGTGGTCATGGTGATGCTGGTGGTGATGCTGGTGGTGGTGGTGGTCATGGTGGTCATGGTGATGATGGTGGTGATGCTGGTGGTGGTGGTCATGGTGATGATGGTGGTGATGCTGCTGGTGGTGGTGGTCACGGCGATGATAGTGGTGATCCTAGTGGTGGTGGTCATGGTGATGATGTTGGTGATGCTGGTGTTGGTGGTGGTCATGCTGGTGGTGGTGATGCTGGTGGTGGTGATCTTGGTGATGGTGGTGATGCTGGTGGTGGTCATGGTGATGATGGTGGTGATGCTGGTGGTGGTGGTCATGGTGCTGATGGTGATGCTCATGGTGGTGATCTTGGTGATGATGGTGATGCTGGTGATGGTGGTCGTGGTGATGCTGGTGGTGATGCTGGTGGTGGTGGTCATGGTGATGATAGTGGTGATGCTGTTTTTGTTGGTGATGATGGTAGTGATTCTATTGATGGTGATAGTCATGGTGATTGATGGTGGTAGTGATGTGACTAGCAATGATGCTGGTGGTGATGGTGTCAGAGGTTTTAAGATGATAAAGGGATGATGCTAGTCAAGTCTGGCACTCCACCTTGGTGAACGCTACTGCTCTGGCCATGAACAAATATTCTTCCTCATCCCAGCCCTGTGCAGCCTTCCCTTTGTTTGGAGGAGGTTCCTGGCTTTCCCCTTCTAGTTCTTGAAATTTCATTTCTTTCCTCACATCCCCTCTTGATGTAAAGAAATCAACACCACACTTGGTGCCCTTGAGAAAAATTATTTTACCCTTGTATGTCTCAGCTTTCTCATCTGTAAGTTGGATTTATATGCCCTGCAGATAGACACGCCCTGCAGGGTTGTTGCAGTGGCTCACAGAGAAGAATGTAAAGGTATAAAAGTCCATACGCATACAAGAATTGTTACCAACAGCACTGATGGAATGGGCTTCCTGATAGTAATACCTGGGAACACCAGCACCACCAAGGCTCTGGCCATGCAGGGCACTGTGGCTACAGTAGCAGGTCATTGTCACTCCTGCTCTGCCCTCACCTCCACCCAGCCCCTGCCCATCTGCTTCCCTGCTTTGTGAGGCTTGGTCTAATAGACTGTCCTACCCCCAGCTCCATTGTAAAAGGAGGCCAGGCCAGAGACAGCCCAGGGTGGCTGCAGAGGAGAAAGGCACAGAAGCAAAGGACAGGTGCAAAGGTCATAATTCCACTTTATTGCCCCGTCATTTATAAGCCCTGTGCTGCCCGTGCCAGCTGTGTTTCCACTTGAAAGTTACTCCTGGTGTTTGTTGGAAATTCTGGCACGGTCCCGCTTACCCTGAGAGGAGACTTGGGCTGCAGTGTGGGAACCTCTACACTGCTAGAGGTCTGGTCCCGGGCCCATCTGTGCATAGCAGGTAGGACACCAGCCCATCAGTGGTCCCAGGCGACCACCCTCAGCTGATAGTGGAACCCCTCCTCTTTGAGCCCCTGCTTAGAAACCAAAGAGTCCCTGAAGCGGACAGAGCATCCCCATGTCCACTCCCTCGACCTGGTGCAAATTAATCTCGGCTTTTGTTTGGGCAGCCTGGTGCCCGAGATGGGGGATGATGCCCAAGGCCGCTGTTACCTCTCTTGCTTTGTCACTGCACCCCCTGTCCTGGAACATGTGAGCCCCTGGAAGGTGTGGCAGGGTCCAGCACCACCTGGAAGCCTGAGACTAACGGCAGCTCCGGCCACCTGGAACACCCTCTAGAGACCTCCCTTCACCCCACTGACAGGCCCTGCCCAGCCCCTGGGGGGTGCTGGAGAGACAGAGGTAGTGGCATTCACTGGGAACAGACTCCTCTCCCTGCAACCGGCAGGCTGCCTCTGCTCCACTGAGCGGGTGATGGAGCTTGGCGGGGTTGTGGGGAGCAGGGCCAGCTGGCAAAAAAAAGGAGAGAGGAGACTTTTGGAGAGAGGAGAGTTAGGTAAGGGGATGGGCCACCACCCTGGACAGGAGAGCTTTGGGGGGCATCTGGAGCAATGCAGGTTTAAAGCAGAGATCTGCTTTGATGAGTGAGGGCCCCTCCCCCTCGGGTCACCCCAACACTTTTAGCAGCAAACCTCATGCCTCCTCAAGTCTGGGGGTAAGATGGTGTGTGGACGAGGGTAGGAGGGGGCCCAGGCGCCCCCAGGGGTCTGTCCTGTGTGGTGTGCAGGTCTCCTGTCCCCTCCTGGCCATGCCCATTGGGCCCATAGCCTGGGTCCTCCCGGAGGCTCACAGGCTACCCAGAAATCAGGTCTGTGCTGGACGGAGGCATCCTACGGGCCTAGCAGCTGCAGGCACACAGGCCTCAGGACACCCCATGGAAACCCAGAGACCCACTGCAGATGGCCCTCCTGGGAAGCCACCACTTGTGCTCAGGACCTGGGACCAAAAGCTGAAAGTGGCACCTCGTGTCCCTGGCCCTGACAGCTCAGCCTGCAGGGGACCACCTGTGGCTTCCTGTGTCCATGGATGGGAGGCAGGACAGCAGCCCCCAATAGCGGGAGGGCTCTTAGCAGTGGCGGTTGGAGCGTGGGCCCTGGCCCCGGGGCTGAAGGACTCTGGGCAGAGGCCCTGACATTTACCGAGATGGGGAAGCCAGAGGAGTCCTGACTTCCCCACCCAGCATCTCCCTGGACCTCAGCCACAGGCTCCCAGGGAGGCAGACAGAGCTCAGCCCATGCCACAGAGGGGGACAGTAACACCTGGGGACATCACCTCGCTGGTCAATGGCAAATGCGGATTAGAACTCAGGGTTTCTATGGCCAGGCACAGTTGCTCACGCCTGTAATCCCAGCACTTTGGGAGGCTGAGGTGGGCAGATCACCTGAGAGGTCAGGAGTTCGAGACCAGCCTGGCCAACATGACACCTGTAATCCTAGCTACTCGAGAGGCTGAGGCACGAGAATCGCCTGAACCCAGGAGGCAGAGGTTGCAGTGGGCCGAGATCACACTACTGCACTGCACCAACATGGTGAAACCCCGTCGCTACTTAAAAAAAAAAAAAAAAAAAAAAAAAAAAAAAACTAGCCGGTGTGGTGGCGCACGCCCTGTAGTCCCAGCTACTTGGGGGGCCGAGGCACAATAATCACTTGAACCTGGGAGGCGGAGGTTGCAGTGAGCTGAGATCCTGCCACTGCACTCCAGCCTGGGTGACAGAACGAGACTCTGTCTCAAAAAAAAAAAAAAGCAGGGGTTTCTGTGTATTCTCCCGAGGCCTCTTTGTGCCAAGTGAGACCCTGGCTGGGTGAACAGGGTGCCCGGCTTCTTCCTGCAGCACCTGAAACATCCCGGCTTTGCCCCGGAGACACCCTTGGGGCCTTCAGGCAGCCACTTGTTCCCACTTCCAGCCTGTCCCCAGTGGCCCCTGCCCTGTGTCTCACACCCCCTGAGTCTGTGTCACCTCCAAGGCTCACACAGTGGGTGCCCAGGGCAGGCATCTGGGAGATGACCTTGCAGGTCAGACCCAGAATCCAGCAGTCCCCCTTCACTCCTTCCTCTTCCGGGCCTTCCGAATAGATGGGAGGATCCTGTTTGGTGCCTGTGTGATGCTTTTATTTTTAATTTTTCTGTGTGGCGCGTAACAAGCATACAGAGAGGTTCACAAAACAACCGCACGTCCAGTGGGCAGTTATAAAACAAACCCTGTGGACCCAGCACCCCCAACCCCACCCAGACGCCCCCTCTGCCTCCTCAGCTCCCTCCCCAGGATAACTGTCTCTGCCCAGGGCTGGTCTCGCACACAGTTGCTTCCTGATTTTATTACTAGTCCCAGGCTCTTATTACACAGCCCCAGACAGTGTCGTGGGACTCTGCCCACTCGTGAGCCATATGGAGACAGGATTGGCGTGTGCTGTGCTGTGCTGGCTTCTCTCCCAACAGCTGTCCCTGGTATCTGGGCCATGTGAGTAGATCTGGGTCACTTGTTTTCACTGTGAGGTCGTTCACTGGGGATTTGTCCCTCTGTCCCGCCGTGGGCAGTCGTAGTCCGCTTGCTGTGGGAGTCCCTACCCTTGTGTCTCGATGTAAACGTGGGTGCCCTTCCATCGCCCATACCCCAGGGGTGACCGTGGTCAGGCTGGACACGTCCTCTGCTTTTCTGAATTCTGCAACCCTGTCCTGCCTGGACCTCATTGTCAGTCCAGGCTTCTGTAACAGAACACTGAGATCTGGAGGGCTAAAATGCTGGTTCTGGAGGCTGGACAGTCAGAGATGAGGGTGCGAGCATGGCCATTTCTGGGAAGGGCCCTCTTCCTGGCTTGCAGACAGCCTCTGTCTCTCTGTGTCCTCATCCGCAGAAAGACAGAGACAGAGAAGAGCACTGTGCTATCTCTTCTTAGGACGGCAGGAATCCCATCTTGGGGACCCCAGCTTCGTGACTTATCTAAACCCAATCACACCCCAAAGTCCCCATCACATTGCGGGTCCGTGAATTCTAGAGGGGGTCACAGACATTTAGTCTGTAAGAGTAATGGTGCCCACGTGTCACCAGCTCACTACTGACGGGCCCTTCCGCTGCGGACGTGCTGCGTGTGCGATGATGATATGGTTGTGATTGCCATTTGCGGTTCCCTTATTACTTCTGAGGCCGAGCACCTTTCTGTGCATGTATTGGGTGGCTGTTTGTGTGTCGTCTTTGGCCATGCGCCAGTTTGGGTCTTCTGCCTGTTTTTCTTCAGGCTTGTCTGTTTCGTATTGATTTGTGGTCAGTCCTTGTATACTTCAGAAGCAAGACCTTTGTCAGTGGTGCAGGTGTGCGGATGACTGCTCCCACAGCGTGGTTTGCCTTTTTTTTCTGGGGGCTGGGGACTCTTCCACACAGCTCTGTGGTCTGTAGTCCTCCTTATAACTTGGAGAAGGCGGGCCTGGCCCAGTGCCTCCCACAGACAGCAGGGCAGCTCGACTGGGACCCCATAGCCTGCTTTCCCCCTTGTTGGATGTGAAGGCTTCCTTCCATCTATGCCAGGGAGGCTGGTTTTCCACTTAAAATGGTGACTTAAAGAACTGCTTTAAGGCTGGGCGCGGTGGCTCACGCCTGTAATCCCAGCACTTTGGGAGGCCAAGGCGAGCTGATCACCTGGGGTCAGGAATTTAAGACCAGCCTGGCCAACATGGCAAAATCTTGTCTCTATTAAAAATTAGCCAGGCTTGGTAGCGGGCACCTGTAATCCCAGCTACTCAGGAGGCTGAGGCAGGAGAATCACTTGAACCCAGGAGGCAGAGGTTGCAGTGAGCCGAGATCACACCACTGCACTCCAGCCTGGGCAACAGAGCGGACTGTCTCTAAATAAATAAATAAGTATTCTCATTGTTCAATTCCCACCTATGAGTGAGAACATGCGGTGTTTGGTTTTTTGTCCTTGCGATAGTTTGCTGAGAATGAGGGTTTCCAGCTTCATCCATGTCCCTACAAAGGACATGAGCTCATCATTTTTTATGGCTGCATAGTATTCCATGGTGTACATGTGCCACATTTTCTTAACCCAGTCTATCATTGTTGGACATTTGGGTTGGTTCCAAGTCTTTGCTATTGTGGGTAGTGCCACAATAAACATACGTGTGCATGTGTCTTTACAGTAGCATGATTTATATTCCTTTGGAACATCACACTGGGGCCTGTTGTGGGGTGGGGGGAGGGGAGAAGGATAGCATTAGGAGATATACCTAATGTAAATGACGAGTTAATGGGTGCAGCACACCAACATGGCACATGTATGCATATGTAACAAACCTGCACGTTGTGCACATGTACCCTAGAGCTTAAAGTATAATAAATAAATAAGTAAATATATATATATATATATATATATAATAAGTAAGTAAATTGCAAGCTGCTTTTAGAAATAAATGTGTAGGAATGACTGTGTTTGGAAAACTCTGCCCTGCAGCTTTGAGGATGACCAAGCAATGGTCCCTTTCCCAGACAGGCTCCTTAACTTAAGGCTCTCAGAGATGCCTGGGTTGGGGGAGCTTCAGAGGTTTGCACCAGGCAGTGGGTACCATGGGGCTCTGAGGGTCCTGACAATAATCCTGACCCCGATTCCAACACCAGCCAGTGCCTGTTGGGCAGCTGGCTTCAAACCGGACGTTTCTCATGGTTTTCCTCCAATCTCCAGAACAATCGTGAACTGTGTGTTCAGTATTGTCGTTCCTATTTTGCATGTAAGGATGTGAGCTCCTTACATGCAACCGGTCCGGGGTCTCACGGCAACCGGTCCGGGGTCTCACAGCCCTATGAGTTTCAGCCTGAGGATTTGCATGTGGGTCAGCTGACGAATGGAACCCCTCACTCCTTGGGCTCATAAACAGAGAACCGACACAAACACCATCCAGAGAAGGTGAGAACCGGAAGGGATGATAGTTACTGCTTAGTTCAAAATCTCTCTGACTTAGTAACGTGTAGGTCACTGTTAAGAGGGAAATCTCCTGCGTTAAAACAACAACAACAAAAACACAAAACAAAAAAACTATTGTGAAACAGAAGTTCTGTCTTTGAAAATGTGAATTACAGCCAGGGCCTGTAATCCCAGCACTTTGGGAGGACGAGGCAGGCAGATCACCTGAGGTCAGGAGTTTGAGACCAGCGTGACCAACATGGTGAATCCCCGTCTCTACTAAAAGTACAAAAAATTAGCCAGATATGGTGGCAGGCGTCTGTAATCCCAGCTACTCGGGAGGCTGAGGCAGGAGAATCGCTTGAACCCAGAGGTAGAGGTTGCAGTGAGCCGAGACTGTGCCATTGCACTCCAGCCTGGGTGACAGAGCAAGACTCTATCTGAAAAAAAAAAAAAAATGCATTACCAGGGAAAAACAGTTTTGTCTTTAAAGATAAGTATAGGGTCATGTATTTAGGTTATCATCTACATGTTGGCACCAAATAAACAGACATGAGATGCCCCTCAGATGACTTGGAGTTTCTGGACTCCAATTTGGAAAAACTCATTTAGAGCCAGGCCTCTATTTTTCAGAGAAGGAAATCTGGGCTTCTGGTTACTGGGGATCGAATGCCTGGCTCATGGCAGAGCTGGCCTGGAGCCCTGGGGTTAAACTCTGACCCAGGGCCTCTCCCTTCCCCTGTACCAACTCAAGGGCTTCTCTGGTCATTATTGCTTTTTAAATTGGAGGCAACAAAACCCCAGGGCTCCCTCCAACCCCTGTCCCTACGAAAGGAATTTATTAGTGTACACAATGGAGAAGCCTAAAATTGTCTGGCATCAGGCATAGTTGGATCCAGCTGCTCAAATGGTATCCCCAGGGAGCTCTCATTCCATCTCTTGGCCTGATTTCTCCATGGGGGCTTTATTCTTTGAGCAGCTCCCTCTCAGGATGGTGCCTGGCAGCTCCAGGGCTTATGTCCTTATAGGTCCAAGTCCTGCAGAAAGAAAATGGCTCTGTGCTAGCTTCTTAGCGAGAGTCCTGATGGGACCGACCTGAATGATGTCCATGCCCACCCAGAACCAGTCACTCTGGCTAGGGGGTGGGGGCACCAGCAAGGGTGACTGGCCGGGTCTGGGTCAGGGGTGTAGGGAAGATGGCTTGCCAAGGACAGTTGGGGTGCTGGAACCAGCAGAAGGAGGGGGTGGCAGGCAGGACCTCTGCAGGCCATAGTTAGAGATATGCCTTCAGCAGGGACGCCAAGCGCCTCAGCTCCTTGAAGATCAGAGGAGGATATTGCTGTGACCTGCTTTCTCAGGGAGTAGGAATGCCCTCCCAAGGATGTGAAAGGGGTGGGAGCTGTCACCCACATCTCTGGGCGGCTCTGGTTGGAGCCATGGAACAGGGCATGGTACAGTCCTATTAAACAGAAGTGTCGTTAGTCACAGTGTGTATAAACCCTCGGCAAAACATCAGCATACCCATGTTTGGTTCTTCCAAAATAGAATGTCTTTGTTATCTTTAGAGCATTTAAAAATACAGGCAAATGACTCTATTAGCACAATTGTAATCTAAAATATTAATAAGCCACAAAAGCCAGCTTCCAAAGAAGTTACTAGCTGTTCCCTCACAGAACATAAAATAGCTATGAGGACGCATTGTCCTGTCTGCTAATGATTATGTTTTTGTTAAACAACCGTGGCAGACTCCTGCATCCCCCACCCTTTCTGTCTCGTATGCCACTTTATTAAAACACACTCAGAGCCTCGCTGCCGTGAAGTATGTGCTGCTGTTTCGTAGCAGCCGCTCTGTGTTTTAAGGACCAGCTTCCATGCTTGGGTTCACCCTCAAAATAGAGTTCTGCCAGGTCTGTGTGTTATTTCAGGTTCCTTTGGGAGGATCCAGTCTCTGGCTTTGCTGTGGGGCCCAGGCCTTCCTCGTCCCCTCCCAGCAGTGGTGGTGCCTGCTCTGGGTTACTATGGCAACCTGGTAATGCTGGGTACCAACCCTGTCCTTTTTTTCTCCACAGCCCCTCCTGCCGCTACAGGATGTGGTGTCTGCAAAAGTCACCTTGTACAGTGGCCACTGTGGGCAGAGGGTTCAGGAGAGAAGGGCAGTGACATGGCCCGGACATTCACGGGGTTAGAAACCTTCTTAGTGCTACACTGGGCTGCCAGTGTGGAGGGCAGTAGGCAGGGAAGAGTCTATATTAGTCAGTTTGGGCTGCTATCATGAAATACTGTAGAATGGGCAGCTTAAACAACAGAAATGTATTTCCTCCCAATTCTGGAGTCTAGAAGCTGCAGATCAGGGGCTGGCAGGGGAAGTTCCTGGTGAGCTTCTCTTCCTGGCTTGCAGATGGCCGCCTTCTCGCTGTGTCCTCACAGGGCCTTTCCTTGTGCATGCACACCTCTGCTCTCTCTTCCTCTTAAGAATGCCAGTCCTCTTGGGTCAAGGCCCTGCCTTGTACCTTCATTTAATCTTAATTACCTCTCTAAAGTCCTTTCTCCAAATCCAGTCACACTGAGGGGGTCATGGCTTCAGCATAGGAGTTTTGAGGGGGACACACACATTTAGTCTATTTCAGAGGCAAAGAGTCACAGCTGTAAACCAAGCTGCATTCTGTGGATGACTTCTCAGTTTCACCCTTTCTTACCACACAATCCCATCCTCTGTGGGGCCATTTTGTTGTGTGAGCCGAAGGCAGAGACTGCTACTTGACAAGGGTGTACCCTGGCCCATCAGCATTTAGAAGCCTCTTTAGGTCAGTCTCAGGGCTGTTCTGGGGGTTTGACCTGGATTCTTTTCCATTGAAAAGGCAAACATCAGAGTCCATGACTCCTGATTTATGTCTCCTGTGTGACCTTGGGCAAGTTACTCAGCTTCTCTGAGCCTCTGTTGGCATTGACAGTAATGTGTTTGCCACAGGGCTGCTATGAGAGGGGAATGAATTCAAACTGGAAAGCACCAGGAGCAAGCTAGCTCTCCTGTCATTATTCTCCTTCCTCAGCTGCAGATACCCAGGAAACATGGGTTGTGTGTGTCTGGACAGCCATGTGTTAGGGTATGGCCCTCAACCTGGACTATAGAAAAGTAATGTGGATGCCAGGGCTCTATCTCCACCTCATGAAACCTGAATGTCTGGGGTGGGACCTGGGAATCTGTATTTTTAAGCAGCTTTCCCAGTGATGTGTTTGATGAGCTGGGATCAGGAACCTCGTGTTGGAGCAGATTTAATAAGTGCAAATGGTGCAAGCCAAGAGGACTGAAGGCAAGGACCTGGAGGTTAATTAATTTGTAAACGCCTGTTTGTGGGGTCAATTGATCAAGGTTTACTACCCTCCATGAGAGCCAAGAATCAGGAGGATACAGTTGACTCACATCAGTATTCTCTGCACCTCACACAGTGCCTGGCATGGAGTAGGGGCTGAGAAAGTACTTCTGATGGATGGATGGATGGATGGATGGATGGATGAATGGATAGGTAGGTGGGAGGATGGATGGGTGGGTGATCAGATGGATGAATGGGCTAGCAGGGTTGGAAGGATGAAGAGTAGTGGGAGGTTAGATGGATTAATGGGTGAGTGGGTGGATGGGTAGATGAATACATGGGTGGGTGGATGGGTGTATGGATGGACAGATAAATGGATGGGTAGGTAGAAGGATGGATGAATGGATAGATAGATGCATGGGTGGGTGAGTGGATGGATGACTGGGTGAGTGGATGGATGGATGGATAAGTGGATGAATGGATGGGTAGCTGGGAGGATAGATGGATGGGTGAATGGATGGGTAGGTGGATGGGTAAATGGATGGGTGGATGAGTGAGTGAGTGGATGGATAAATGGATGAGTGGGTGGATGGATGGGCAGATGTGTAAATGCATATGTAGGTGGGGGAGGATGGGTGAGTGAATGAGTGGGTGAATGGATGGATGGATGCATGAGTGGGTGGGTGGGTAGATGAATGGATGGGTAGGTGGGTAGGTTGGAGGACAGAAGGGTGGCTGAGTAGATGGATAAATGGGTTAGTAGGTATCTCAATGGGTGGATGGATGTCTAAATGAATAGTTAGGTGGGTAGATGGGAGGATGGGTGAGTGGGTGGGTGGATGGATGGGTGGGTGGATGTGTGGATTGATGCATGGATGAATGTATGGATGGATGAGTGGTTAAGGGATGGACAGGTGGGAGGATAGATGGATGGGTGAATGGATGGGTGGCTGAGTGGGTGAGTAGATGGATAAATAGGTGAGTAGGTGGGAATCTAGTAAGACCCACCCAGTTAGGTGGGTAGGTGGGAGGATGGGTGACTAGGTAGATGGATGGATGGGCTTTGCTTGGGGATGTTTATAGATACTCACTCTACCTTTCATACACAGCTCACCACAATTCAAGTTGTGCATCCCTTCCTATTGTAAACCTTTACATTACCCAATGAGATGTCTTTAAAACCATAGAGTTTGTGAGCAACAGGGAAGGCAGTGAGGCGTGCATGAGGCTCTTGGCGATACCAGCAACATCACTGGCATCCCAGGCCAGGTTGTCTTCGAGTCTTTGGCCCCTAGAGAGTGTTAAGGTATCAGTTACCTTCAGCCAACCCAGATGCACTGTGGCCTTAGACTTTGCATGCCTGTCCTATCCCCCAAGTCCAGTTTGCAGGCCTCAGCCCTACCCCTGTGGAGCCAGAGGAATGGGGTTGGGGCTTGGACATCCACATGGGAGGGGTGGGTGACCTGCCCCCACTCACTCATGCCATCAGTGTCTTGGATTCTTGGGTGTTCCAGAAGTCTGATGTTGTCATGCCCTGAAAAGGTGGAAGGAATGGGCTGCTCCCAGTACATGCAGTGGAAACACTGATGTGCCATCTGTCAGATGGGAACCTAGTGAGGACAGACCTGCGTTCTCTTGCTTGGCACTGGGACACCAAGTCTGGGTCTGGTCAGCCAGGGCTGGGAGCCCCCTTCTAGCTGGGGCAAAGATGGAGGCCAAAGGCCACCCCTGCCCCCGCTGCAACCTCCAGAGCATGCCATGGCTCATTCTGGGAAATGAAAGCTGTCATATGGTGCTCTGTTATTGAATGAAGATGTTGTTTTTGGCTCCTCTGAAATAGACGATGGGAAACAGATTCGGGGATTATGAATAAACATTGGCTTATGGGGGCCGCGTGCTGGTAACGATGAAACCTCCACATTTGCAGATTAAATTTAAGACAGGCATATGTAGAGTGGATGTGTAAAGGGCAGGCTCCTGCTCAAACAAATCATGTAACCAAGGAGAGCATCTTGGATGACACTCTGTAGCCCCCTGTCCACAGCCAGGTTGTGTGGCTTAGGAGCACCGGGTCCAGGGAGGAACCCGTGTTTCTAGGAGACCTGGAACAGGAAGCCAAGAGGACATGGCCGCGAGTGGTGGATTGGGCACCATCTGCAAATGTGGGTCTAGAGTCAACACTCACCTTCAGCAGACGCAACCTCCAGATACCTCAAAGTGGTTAATTGAATCAAAGCAGTCTGCAAAATAATTTTTTCTCATTCATTTGAGACAGAGTCTCATTCTGTCACCCAGGCTGGAGTACAATGGCACCATCTTGGCTCACTGCAACCTCCGCCTCCCAGGTTCAAGCGATTCTCCTGCCTCACCCTCCCGAGTAGCTGGGATTACAAACACGTGCCAATGCCCCCAGCTAATTTTTATGTTTTTAGTAGAGACGGGGTTTCACCATGTTGCCAAGGCTGGTCTTGAACTCCTGACCTTGTGATCCGCCTGCCTCGGCCTCTCAAAATGCTGGGATTAGAGGCCTGAGCCACCACACCCAGCCAATTTTTTCTCTTTTTAAGAGACAGGATTGCCTTTGTCGCCCAGACTGGAGTGCGGTGGTGCAATCATAGCTCACTGCAGCCTTAAACTCCTGGACTCAAGTGATCCTTTCGCTTCAGCCTCCCAAAGTGTTGGATTATAGGTGTGCATCACCACACCCAGCCTAAAAGCAATGTTTATTTTTTAGAGACAGTCTCACTGTCTTGCCCAGGCTGGTCTTACACTCTTGGCCTCAAGCAGTCCTCCTACCTCGTCCTTGCAAAGTGCTGAGGTGACAGGTGTGAGCCACCACACCTGGCCTAAAATCAAATTTTGACGGTTAACCCTCGCCTGTTTAGTTTTATATTATTCTGTGATCCGAAGGAATTCACACAGGACACCAACCTTTTTTTCTTTTCTTAAATTGATATATAATTTCAATGCCATAAAATTTACTGTTTTAAAGTGCACCATTAAGTGGCTTTTTGCATATTCACGAGATTGTGCAAACATCACCACTCTCTAATCTCAGAGCATTTGCATCACCCCAAAAGAAATTTTGTACCCATTAGAATTCACTCCCAACCAGGCACGGTGGCTCACTCCTGTAATCCCTTTGGGAGGCCAAGGCGGGCGGATCACCTGAGGTCAGGAGTTCGAGACCAGCCTGGCTAACATGATGAAACTTTGTCTCTACTAAAAATACAAAAATTAGCTGGGTATGGTGGTATGCACCTGTAGTCCCAGCTACTCAGGAGGTGGAGGCAGGAGAATTGCTTGAACCTGGGAGGTGGAAGTTGCAGTAAGCCGAGATGGCACCACTGCACTCCAGGCTGGGCAACAGAGTAAGACTCCATCTCAAAAAAAAAAACAAAAGTCACTCCCCGATTTCCCCTTTACCGGAGCCCTGGCAACCATGACTCCACTTTCTCAATCTAGATTTGCCTGTTCTGTCCATTTCATGTAATGGGATCATCCATGTGGGGTCCTTTATGACCAGCTTCTTTTAGTTAGGACAGTGTTTTTGAGATTCTCCCATGCCATAGCATGTATCAGAATCTCACTGCTTCTTATGGCTGAGTTGTATTTCATTGTATGGTTATACCATACTTTGTTTCTATTAGAAGATGGACACTTTGGTTGTTTCCAGTTTTTGGCTGCTGTGAACATTTGTGTGCATGGTTTGTTGGAACACCTGTTTCCACTTCTCTTGGGTATATATCTAGGAGCGGAATTGCTAGGTCACAAGGGAACTGTAGGTTTAACCTTTTGAGGCACTGCTAGACTGTGTTCCACAGTGGCTTCATTTTACATTCCCGACAACAGTGTAGGAAGGGTTCCAGTTTTCCCCATCATCTTCGCCAACACCTATTATCTGGTTTGTTGTTATCGTTATAGGCATCTTAGTGGGTATTAGACCTATATATCATTGTGGTTTTGATTTGCATTCCCCTAATAACTAATGATGTGAAGCATCTTTTCATGTGTTTATTGGTTATTTGTGCATCTTCTTTGGAGAGAAGGTCACTTATTAAACTAATACTTTATTATACAAGTAATATCTAGTCCTGTAGCAAATTTGGAAAATAAAGAAAGGTATAAGGAAGAAAATTAAAATCACTCCTGAGTCTATCCCACGTTCATAGTCACCACTGAGGCTGTAGTCCTTTGAGCATAAATGTATATTCAGCAACATTAAGCTCATTCTCTATGATTATGAATCTGCATTTTTCCAAGTGAAAAGAGATGTCATGAATTGAAAAGATCCTTCCAAAGCACCATTGCTAATGGCTCTTCCAGTTGTCACAGATGTGTGACATTTGTCGCCTGTTCCCCCCACTTCTGACTTATGATACTGCAGTTGTTCGCATGTTTCCCTCTTGTGAATAACGCTTCAGGAACGGCCTCATCATCTCAAAGCTTTGCTCTTGTCTTTAGGACGCTGCCCTGTGAGCCGCTCGCCCAGCTACTTTGCACAGCAAGACATCACCTTGTAGCTGTTCTTGAGCGGTGCACTGGCATCCAGGCCAGTAGTGTGGTTGCCTCACCCCCAGCTCCTCCTACAAGTTCTAGAAGGCCTCTCTCTGGTTCAGCTCTTGGCAGCTCAGTAAAGATAAGACCTGCCCACAGCCCTGGGGATGGGCGGAGACTGGGGGATTAGAGGAGCCAGAGGTCACCTCCAACTGCCATTTAGCTCTTAGTGGGCTCTTCAGCTGGATCTGGAAACCAGATTGACAGCAGGCAGATTAATAAGAATAGCATACCAATTGTATTGGTTTTACATATACATGGGGATCTTCTGCAAGAGAGCGAAATGCAGAGAAGTGACCCAAGCAAGACGCTTTTGTACTTTTTGACAAAGAATGATAAATTTGAAAAGAAACGACAGGGCAAAGAAAATCTGGCTAGGACAGTAAATTTTCTAGTGGAGTCCCTAGGACATATACAGGTGGTGTAAAGCAGTGGAAGATGAGGGCTACTCCATTATGTATGTTTACTCAGGCCCACTGCAGCCTCCAGTGCCCAGCCTCTGGTGACAAGGGCCATTTTCTTGCCCTGGTGCAGAGAGGGGACCCCTTCCAGAGGCATCTCTATCACTGGCTGCATGTAGGAAGCGACAGGTCAGCTCACCCTTTCTGAAACTATAGTTTCTCCAATGTTTCAACATGATATAGTCAGTATAATCAGGCATATGTGAGGATGGCCTGTCCTTCACTCTTTCAGAGGCATGGAATAATATACTTTTTTTTTTTTTTTTGAGACAGAGTCTTGCTCTATTGCCCAGGCTGGAGTGCAGTGGTGTGATCTTGGCTCACTGCAACCTCTGCCTCCTGGGTTCAAGCGATTCTCCTGCCTCAGCCTCCCGAGTAGCTAGGATTACAGGCGCGCGCCACCACCCCCAGCTAATTTTTGTATTTTTCTTGGAGATGGGATTTCACCATGTTGGCCAGGCTGGTCTCAAACTCCTGACCTCAAGTGATCCACCTGCCTCAGCCTCCCAAAGTGCTAGGATTTCAGGCGTGAGGCACCACACCAATACACTTCTCAAACTAGGGGGGCTTGTACCCACTGTTACACGGGCCCCATGCTTGTGTAATGTTCTGCTGTCAGCACCCGGAGACTCTGAATCATTTTAAACAAGGGGCTCTTTGTCATTTTGCCCGGGGTCTCACAGCTTACACAGTGGGTTCCACTGACTTGAGCCGTCCTCATCCTTAGAGACCTTCACCTTTTAGACCTCAGAGCTTTGCTGCCTTTAAACAAAGACACCTTGTGGTGAAAACCCCCAGGCCCAGTAGCGATTTCCTGGCTTCCTCACCTTGATGGCACAGACCAGGGGCAGATTCTGGAGTCCTGGCAGCTCAACTGGGAACGGGGATTTGGCTCCAGGAAGTGTTCATTATTTATGAACCTCCAAATCCTAAATCCATCAGTGGCCGTGTGTGGCCACAGTGGGGCAGGCTGGCCGGCAGCCCAGCTGCTCCTGGAATGAGCTTAGAGTCACCCCTCCCGGTGGAGGCAGAAGCTCGCTGGGCCCCCAGCGCGGCTCCACGCCCCTCCTCCAGGTGGCTTGGGTGAGAGCCTCTGTCCTGTGAAGTAACTGCCAAAAACTGCCAGATCCCCTGGAGCCATCGTCCGACCCGATGGATACCCACCCACTCCACCCAGCCCAGCTGCTCCCTTCACCTTTTTAACCCTGAGAATGTGCTCAGAAGGTTCCAGCACTGCAGTCCTCATGCAGGAAGATGAGCTGCCACTGGGCATCTCCATCCAGATGCCACTGCCCTGGGATGGGCCCCACCTGGGTCAGGCGCCCAGGGACCCAGCTGCCCCCACCACTTCTGTGTGCTGGTCACTTGTGCATGTGGTCACAAGGTGCCTGGCCCTCCATGTCTCTGAAAGAGCCCGTCACTCCTTCGCGATGGTGTGCTGAGATGGCAAGAAGCCGTCTTTTATAGAAACTGTCTCTGGGCCGAAGGCCGTGGGTCATGCCTGTAATCCCAGCACTTTCAGAGGCTGAGAAGGGTAGATCACCTGAGCTCAGGAGTTCAAGACCAGCCTGGGCAACATGATGAAAACTCATCTCTACCAAAAATACAAAAAAATTAGCCAGGTGTGATGGCACATGCCTGTGGTCCCAGCTACTCAGGAGGCTGAGGTGGGTGTATCGCTTGAGCCTGGGAGGCGGAGGTTGCAGTGAACCAAGATTGCACCACTGCATTCCAACCTGGGTGACAGAGTGAGACCCTGTCAAAAAAAAAAAAAAAAAAAAAAAAAAAAAGGAAGTAAGAGGGAGGGAAGGAGAGAAGGAGGGATCTCTTATTGACTACCAGGGTCCTGCAGATCTGTGCACAGATTAACTGTGCCTGTTAACTTCTGGAGCACTCTGTGTGTCGGAGAGGGACTGATCCCAGAGCAGGAACCTGGGGGAAAGGTTACTTTTCCTCGGAGAGAGGAGGCCCATGCTCCAGTTGATTCTCAGAGAACCGAAATGGGTGTCACTTTCATCATCACTGTGGAGCTTTTTATTTGTAAACGGTTACAACTTCTCAAGGTGCCCAAGCCCTTTCCCAGAGCCGTCCATTGGATAAACAGGGCCAGAATTGCATCTGAGGACCCGTTTTAGAGAGAAGGCCCCTGGGCCTAAGTAACTTCCCAGCCATCACATGGTGACCCCGGCTCATTGGCCGCTCCAGGCACAGTGGCTTCTGTCCAGGTGGGCATTTTCAGGCCAGCTGGGGGCCTCAGTGTTAACACAGCTGGACAGCTGGTCTCTACAGTGCTGGGCACAGAAAGTTCCCACCCAGGCGGATGAGCAGAGGCATGAGGACCACAGGCCCATGGCCATGACCCCAGTCACCCTCAGGGGCCTTCCCAAGTCTGCTGTGTATACAAGATTCCTACTATCAGAGACCAGGCTGGTCTGGTGGTGCTGATTCCCAGGAGGACACCAGAGGCAAAGAGCAGGAGACACAGCCGAGCTCCAAGTCACACATCAAGTGGGCGGCAGCAGAGACTAGAACTTTCTCCCCTAGACCAGAGCTTTATCTGACCCACATACTCAGCTGAGAAGGGTATTCATCTTCCCCTCAGCTGCTTTGCGACCAGAATCAGAGGGAGCCAGAGGGCCCAGGTCACACTGTCCGTGGGCCACTGGGAAGGTACATGCTCAACACAAGGTTACGTAAGGCCTTCCTCCATGGCCCAGGGATAGGGTAGGAGATGGCGGAGGAAGATGATGGATGCCCACCCCCTTCAGCCTCCAGCACCTGCAGGACCCAGGGTGTGCTGGCTGGTGCCTCTCTCACAAACACATGCAACCACAGACCTCATTGAGTAGCAGATGAAAGATACCCATACACACACACCTACACACGTGCAAATGTGCACATACGTGCATGCCTGCACACAGACACACATGCCTGCACATGCCCACATAGAACATACACACATGCCTACACATGCCCACATAGAACACACGCACATGTGTGCTTATGCACATACTACACACATGCTGCACATGCTTCACTTGTGCTCAGCACACGTACACCCTCACATTTACACATGTGTACATGTGCATGCACGCACATGCCATTTCATGTGCTCTCGCAGAAGGCTCAGAGAGCCCCCCTGCCCCACCCCCTGCCGTGTGCACCAGGTATGCATCACGTCTGTTGAGCACAAGCTCAGGTCACCCTGCAGCTCCAGCGTTGTTCAGGGACATGCTCTGTCCTTGAGCTCTGGCACAGATAGAAAACCCCAGTGGCGACCTGACCTATTTGTTGTTCCTGAAGCTCCTGGCATTTCTCCTGGATCCTCCTAGAAGGAGTCTATGTGCCAGGGTGACCGCATCATTTATCATCCAAACGAGGACATGTCTGCGAGCAAAGGAGGGCAGTGGGCACCGTCCCTGGGGCCACCGCGTGAAGCAGGGCTGCCCTACTTACTGCCAGGAGCACGGGCCCTGATGATGGGCTGCACTCGCTCCGCTGAAGGAGACCGGAACTGGAACTTCTCAGGCGAGTCATTCACTCAACCACCCACCCACCCATTCATTCACCCCGCCAACCTCTTACTAGAACAAGTAGGATGCCAGGCCCTGCGTTCCAGGGAATAAAGCCTCTCAGCGAATTACACCTGGGGAAGAGTGGTGGCCTAGCGTGGACAGACCCCGACAAGGCAGACCCAAGATGCGGATGTGAGACCAAAGCCTGGGAAGCTTCGGCCACCTGTGCAGACACCTTTGGGGAAAGCTGGAGACACCTGCCTTCCCCACCCCCCTGGAGTGGGTCTCTGGACCTGACACTGCCACTGGTGCCCACCTGGCCCCTCTTCCCATGTGCAGGGTGAGAACCTTGGAAGCCAGGAGCCAGAGCCAAGGCCTCAGCAGCCAAGTCCTTGGCCTCACCCTCACACCCCTGCAGCCACCACTGCCCGCCTCCTCCCTCCATCTCCAGGCTCCCCATGGCCTGAGGCTTCCCCCAGCCTTGTTTCTCCTGATGAGGGAAACCTGCCTGGAAAACCTCCTGCAAATGGCTACTCCCTTCCTTTGCAAGATAAATAACTCAGGGGTGCAGGCTGTGGTGTGTGCCCCACAGACTCCTGAGATGCCAAAGTGGTTAGAGATGGCCCCTCCTTCCGGCCCTCACTCCTGCAGGCACCCAGCTCTCTCTGCTGCCAACAAGCTTCCCCACAGGGCCAGGCCACCTCCCCACTGTGCCGCCACTCCAAGGGCCTTCCCTGAACTGCCTCCGGGTCACATTCCTCACCTCATCCTTTTCTTGGTGTGGTGACACTCTTGTGGCCAGAATTACTTGGCTGATTTGGGGAGCTCTATTCTTGCCTATCTCTCAGGTGATGCTGGGGACTTTATCCTCCCTGTCCACGACTTCCTCCATCACTACTTCACTGTCTGGTGCAGAGGCCTGCTCAGTAAATCGCCACTGGCAGAACTACCCTGTCCATCAGACATGGCCTCTGCCCCAGTAGACAGGCAGGGAGGGAACTCACATCTACACTGCATGCTGCACCTTCTCTTTGATGCCACTCCTGGCCCCAGGATGTGCAGCTGTCGCCACTTTACAGAGAAGGAAACAGGCTCCAAGAAATTCAGCAACATCCTCAGCCCCCCCACCCCAGCTAGAAAGTGGCCAGCTTGGATCTAAAGGGGATCTGGGTGTTGTTTCTAGCACCCTGCCCCGCCTTTCTGCACGGATCCCTGCAGAGTCAGGCAGGGGAGACCCAGAGGACCCCTGGTGGTAATCTGAGTGCAAGAAGCAGAGGGAAAGGGAGCACTGGCATATCTGAGCCCCAGCAGACCATTCTGGAAGGTTTTTGTGTTTTGATTCAGGCGAAATTGACATTAACCATTTTAAAGTACAAAATCCTGTGGCATTTAGATACTCCTGGAGTTGTGAATTGTCACTTTTTAATTTGAGGACATTTCCATCACCCCAAAAAGAAACCCTATATTCATTAGCAGTCACTCCTCATGCCCCCCCCACCCCTGGCAGCCACTAATCTACTTCTCATCACTGCAGATTCCCTTTCCTGTGCATTTCCTATCAATGAAATCCTCCAGCATGGCCTTTGTGACTGGCATCCTTCACTCAGTGCCATGTTCTCAAGGCTCGTCCACATTGTGGCGTTGTGGTGGTACGTCGCTCCTTTTCAAGGCTGAGTAGTGCTTCCTTTTGTGTATGGACCATGTTCGTTATGTGCTCATCTGTTGAGGGACACTTGGGTTGCTCCCACCCTTCGGGCTGCATCTGTGAGTGGTGCGGCTGTGAACGTCCATATGTAAGGATATGCTTACCTGTTTTTCCTTCTTTTTCTTTTGGGTGTGCCTACCTGGGAATGGAATTGGTGGGTCATATGGTAACTCTGTGTTTAACTTTTCGAAAAACCGCCAAACTTTCTTACATTCTGGGATCTTGAGCCCAGAGAATGAGGTCAGTCTGGCTGCTGCCTGGCCCTCTCCTGGGGCTGGGCAGGACCCTGGGCTGGAAGGCAGAGGTGAGGCTCTCCCAGCTGCTTGGCCTAACATCATCTCTACAGCCAGCCTTCAGTTCAAAAGCCCAGCGCCCATGTCCATTTTCACTTCTCTCATCTGTGTCCCCACTCTGCAACTCCTTGGGGCAGGGACCCTGTCTGATGCCTCCCCGTGTCCGTGCCTGGCACACAGTAGGCCTGCCACACCAGAGCTAGCAGAGTGGACATCACATCTCCCGGACAGCTAGTTATTTTCTAAGGAGCGCTAACCAGCTCAAAACAGATTTAGAATTCCGTGTGGTTAAAAATCACCCGTCTTATGCCGTTTAAAAATTGCTTGTCATTTTGTATGCCAAGAGCTCTTCCAGCAGCCTACTTTTCCAAAATGATCGCTGATTGGAACAAAAACATTGCCACTAAAATTAGAGTGACAAAATGGAGTTGTTATGAAACAAGAGGAAAATCGACAGGTACATTTTAACAAGCGAGGAGCAATCCCTGCCTACCTGTTAGAGCGGCAAGGAGCATTCCGGCCCCGTCTGTTCTGAGGGGCATTGATATCCACGTACACTGCTCTATTGTTTGATTAAACCCCTGATGCGGTTGCTTAGGAGTGGAAACTATTTTAGTGACTTAAACCAGGGCCTGGAGGTGTTTGAGGGAAATGTTCTGTAATTCGAAAGCATCAAATAAGATGCTTTCAAATTAACACAAAAATCCAAATATCCATATCTTGAAAGAAGAGACCCCTTCCTCCCCTCTGACTTCTCCTTCCTCCCAGCCAGATTATCCAAGACGTGCTGTTATTCAGAGTCCCATCAGCCACATGTGACAGAAAAACAACTAAAGAACATGGCTTACATGACACAGAGGCATATTTCTCTGTCATATTAAAGAAGACAGAGGGCAGCAGTCCAGAGCTGATATGAGGGCTTCAAACATACAGGGACCTGGCCTCTGCCTTTCTTGCTGCTCCAACATCCTTAATAGGCTGCCTCGCAGTTCAAGGTGGCTGCTTAGACTCCAGCCATTGTATCTGCGTTCCAATAGAGGAAGAGCGAAAGGTTCAAGAAAACATTCCCTCTTTTAAGGACATGCACATTGTCCACTCTGCTTCCAATTATGGATGATCAGCCATAACATCATCTCAAAGGAGGCTGAGCTGTTGGCTTTATTCCAGATAACCTGCTATGGATGAGTAAGTTGAGAACTGATGTTAGAGTAGGCAGCTGGCCACCTCTGTCACAGTACCTCCTAGGTAATGGCTTTCTTCCCGTTTCCAAGGTGCTCACCCCGTACAGATGTCCTCTACTTCCTCCCAATTTCAGAGCAGTTCAGGATATAAGGTACAAAATGTCATTCAAGAAAAGTGTTGGGAAGCTTTAAGTGAGAAAACAAAACTTATTTCATGTATGGGGAAACTGAAGCCTGAGCTGGGGAGGGACTTGCCCCAGATGCATTTGTGCCCACTTAATGTTACACCAGCCACCCTGGGTCTCTCGCAGGGGATTTCAGAGCCTCATGGGAGTTCTTGCTTCTTGGGAGCTCCTGGATCTCTTTGCTGAGGCTATACCCTGCCATGTTATTAAGGACACTTAGTTACAGATGACAGAAAACAAGCCTATCCTGGCTGAAACCAAACAGAAATTTAACGGCTTTTAAGTTTAGGAATAACAGCTTCAGTCCTGGCTGGATCCAGGTGCTTAGGGAGCCTTAAGAAGCTCTCATTCTCTTTTCTCTGGTGTTGTCTGTATGAACTCCCCCATGCCATTCAGAGGTGGTCACCGGCAGCACCAGGCTAGCATTCTGCTGTTTTAGTAGTCACATAAGAGCAAGACTGCCTCTTTCCCAGTCATTGTAAAAGAAGGTTCAGGATCTAATTTCACTGGACTGATTTGAATCACTGCCCATCCCTGACCCAATCATGCTGGCCAAGGGAGTTGGATGAACCCTTTGACCAGACCTGAATTGCATGCATATCTTTGGAGGCGGCCAGCCATGCCACTTGGGTCACAAAGACTGGCACACAGACGTGGGCTATAATGTTTCCCCAGGAAACAGGAAATGGATGGAAGGCAGGCCCAACTCCCTCTTCCCTTCCACCTCAGTTCTGCACCTCCCCACTTCCTGCCCTGACACTTCTCTCCCCGATCAAAACAGAACTGGTGTAGTCTTCTTCCCTTGGGCTGTTGTTCAGTGGCTTGTCTTTCATTAATGGATTACTTCCCTCCAGGCCTAAGAATCTGTTGGGAGAGGGGCCATATGTAACACCCTCTCTGATTCATCAGTGCCTGCCCTGCATAGAACTTGGCATAAAACAGGTGCTAATAAATATGTGACCAACTGGATGGATGGATGGATGGATGGATGGATGGATGGAAGAGAGGAGGCAGGGATAAAGCACAGATGGATGTGTGAGTGGATGGATGGATGTGTGAGTGGATGGACAGATGTGTGAATGGATGGGTGAGTGGGTAGATGGATGGATGGATGATGGATGGATTGATGCAAGTGTGGATGGATAGATGCACGTGTGGATGCATGAGTGGGTGGGTGGATATGTGAATGGATGCATGGGTGGGTGGGTAGATGGATGGATGGATGGATATGTGGATGCATGGGTAGATGGATCAGTGTGTGGGTAGATAGGTGGATGGATGGGTGGGTGGATGGGTGGGTGAATGGATAGATGGATAGAAGAGAGAGGGGAGGGAGGGATAAAGGATCGATTGATGTGTGAATGGATGGATGGATGATAGATGCATGTGTGGATGTATGGGTGGGTGGATGGATGGGTGCGTGGATGGATGGATGGATGGATGTGTGGGTAGGTATGTGGATGGATGGGTGGGTGAGTGGGTGAATGTATAGATGGATAGAAGGAGGAGGGAGGGATAAAGGATGGAATGATGTGTGAATGGATGCATGGATGTGTGGATGGATGGATGGATGGATGGATGCATGGGTGGGTAGTGGATAGATGGATGGGTGGATATGTGGATGCATGGGTGGATGGGTGGGTGGGTGAATGGATTGATGGACAAAAGAGAGAGGGGAAGGAAGAGATAAAGGAAGGCTTGATGTGTGGGTGGGTGGGTGGGTGGGTGGATGGATGGATGGATGGATGGATGGATGGATGGATTGGTGGGTATATGGATGACTTAATAATCAGATAGTTTGAGCAATGGAAAACTTTGCTCTATGATTCCCACAGCTCTGAATAAATACATGCAGTTTAATGTGGTATGATTTCATGTCAGCATCTAACTTTCATACATTCCACCCTTTTAAAAAGCGGTTTAATAGTGTGGTTGATGCTGAGTCACATCCACTCACAGTGTGCCCAGAGGCCCAGGACAGCTGAGCCTCTCTCTCTAGTAAGCCTGCAATGGGGCTGTGCTCCCTTGAAGCTTGGGCCTCTCCGTCTCCCTGGGTGTGGTTCTAGGGGTGACACCCTCCTGTCAAATGCATTCTGCCTGCCTGCTCTTTATTGCAGTCAGCTGCAGACCATTATGCATCGGGCATCCATATGGCCCAACAGGCTCAGAGCCAGGCATGCTGCTGTCCAGGTCACAGGGTGCTTTCTGTGGGTGCTGTTGGCCCGAAAGCACATGGCCCTCAGCCCCTTCATGAGGCTGGCCCCAGTAGGTGGCCTTTCACTGACCACTGCGAGCCCAGCCTGGTCCCGAGCAGCTCAGAGCACAGAAGGGCATGGGAGTCATGAGAACGTCCAACTTCTGCTACACTTCCCTGCAGAGCCAGGCCCTGATGCTTCACCCACATCCACTCACCCAATCCTCAGGGCAGCACAGTTATCCCGGAGCAGCTCCACCCCTGCCAGCAAACCCTCTGTGCCCCTGTGTCCCCTGCTGTCCCATGGGGATGGGAGTTCCCATCCCATGGCCCTGTCTCAAAGATGGTTATGTACGTGGCTGCTGCACGTGGCAGGTGCTTCATCACTGGTGTTCATTAGGATGCATCATTTGGGTTGCATTTGTTGTAACTTAGACCCACCCTCCAAGGCAGATTGGTTTTCGCTCTATCCTCCACATGAGGAAACTAAGGCTCAGAGAGGTTAAGTGACTTGTTCCAGGTCGCACAGCCAATGAGTTCCCCTGTCACACCCTGCTCCTTCAGATCAGGCTCCTTGGCAGGGAAAGGGGGTGGTTAGGAAAGAGTTGAGTGGCTGGGAGGGATGTGCCCAGGTGGAATGCAGTATGGCCGGGCCTCATGGTGGTGTGCAGGTGAGCGTGCTCCCATCACGTGGCCTGGCCACCAGCCATGACTTTGAAAAGTGACAGCATCTCTCCCGCCTCCATTCTGAGCTTCTCTAACAAGGCCACCACCTGTCTGTGCTTCCCTCCTCCTCCGGGCTGAAATGAGGGCACACATTTCAGGTGGCCGCTGTAGAGGGCCAGGTGGCCTTAATGCCCCTCACCTCTTGCCTCTCCAGGTCAGTGTGGCTTACCTGAGAGGACCCAGGGGCACCTGCCCTAAGGTAGACACTAGGCCATCCAGATGGCTCATACTGAGGAAGGAGCTATGACCTCCACTGCTTGTGGGATCTGTGGACCTGGGGCCTGGGGTCTGTGCACCTCTGTACTGGACCATCAGCCCTGTCATCCAGTGGCTGGGCTTAGACTGGAGGGGCAGCACCCTGGGGTGGTCTCCAAGCACCCGGACACTTGGCACCACAAAAACCCTGGTGGAAGACTCTCACCATGGCCCTCAGACCAGCTGCCCACCAACTCCAGAATACAGACTCAAAAGAGGCGCCCCCACCACTGACATTCCTTCTCATTTCCTCTGCATCCTGCTGGTCTGGGGGGCCCTGGATGCCACTAACCGACAGCCTGACAGTACCCACCCAGGGAGAACTTCTGTCTCCAGCCAGGACACTTGGGAGGTCTGCGATTGACATGGGCTTCATTTTCCTTCGGCTTAAAAATAAGCTAATTTCAGGCCACGTTTGTAAAACCACAGAATTTTGAGAACTACCGCGTTGGCTTAGGTTTTGCTTTGTTGGAGCTTTGCTCTATTCTGTCTGCTTTAAAGATGAAATATTCATGAGATGAGCATTGGCAGATTGAGGAAAAGAGAGCAGGAGCGAAGTCAGGGGTTCTCTGAATCTCTGGGGCGCTGCAAAAAGAACCCCACGCCCACAGATGCTGATGGAGTGGGCGGGGCCAGGGCAGCAGTCATTGAGAAAAGCCGCTGGGGCTGAGAACCACCTGGGCAGTGTTGCTCCAGCTGGATGCCCCAGACCAGCAGCAGCAGCAGCAGCAGCCGGGAACTTGCTAGGAATGCAGAATCCCAGACTCCACCCTGGAATCTGAAGTTCTATGCTTTAAAAAGCCCTCCGGGGCAGCTCAGGTTTGGGGGTATCTGCACAAGGATGGCTGAGGTCAAGGGCCACTCGTGAAGATCTTGCCACTCAACGTGGCCCATGGAGCACAGCATGGGCATGGTCACCTGGGTGCTTGTTAGGAATGCAGGCTCCCAGGCCCCCAGAACCTACTGAATGAGAGCCTGCCTGCTGGCAAGACCCCCAGGGACTGGAACACATGGCAAAGCCGGGGAAGCCCTGCACCTTGGAGTGTTTCAGAGTCTTCTCCAGAATGTGAGGGGAACACTGGTGCACCCGGGATGAGCCAGAGGACCCATAGAGGTGCGTCACTCACTGGACACCCTTCACCATCATCATCATCCCACGCAGACATGGTGCCTCGTTCTGTGGGTCTGGGGAAGGCTGATGTCTCAGCTCAGGCTGCTGAAACAAACACAATCGAGACTGGGGCTCACACACCAGAAATCGATTTTCTCACAGTGCTGGAGAGTGAAAGTCCCAGATCAGGGAGCCTGCCTGGCTCATGGACACCTCCTCGCTATGCCCCCGTGTGGCCAAGGGAGAAAAAGACTGGGACTCTCTTATCTCTCCTAGTAAGGGCACAAATCCCATCATAGGGGCCCCACCATCATGACCTTATCTCACCCCAGTCACCTCCCAAAGGCCCCATCACCAGATACCATCCTGTTAGAGGTTTGGGTTTCAACATTTGAATTTGTGGGGAGGAGACACCATTCAGTCCACAGCAGACGACTTTGTCTCATTTATCCAGAGACCCAGCACACTGATAGAGGAGGGTCCCACGCTCTCCTCCCAGTGGGGCCTCTCCCACCCGACCTGCAGCCTGGAAAGCCGGCACCTCCACCACTGCCCCTGGGCATTGCAGCTCCCTGAGCACATCCTCCAGGGGACCATCACCTCCCTGCATTGAAGCCCTGCAAACATGGCTCTGGACCCGCCTCCTGCTGGCTCTTCTCATCCTCCAGCCTCTGCCCCACAGGTCACTCCTCCCGGGAGCCTTCCTACACTGACTACCACCCTCCAGGTTAATCCCTTCATTTGCTCCTGGGGTACCTGCAGCCTCAGCAACTGCCTTCAGCTGGAAGCCTCCAGGCCACTGCCTAGGCAGGGACAGGTGTGCAATGCTCAGGGGAGCAGCCACCATGGGGCCTTCCCGAGCCGCTCCCTGTGCTGCACACTCCCACAGCACTGTAGGGTAGGGATTCATCGAGTCCCCTCAAGGGTCCTGTCAGGCTGAATGCTGGCCCCACCCATGACCAGTATGCGTCCTAACTTCCAGGTGCTATGAGTCAGACCTTATTTGGAAAATAAAAGCATCTTTGCAAATGTAGTTAAGGATCTTGAGATGAGATCTTAGATTACGATGGCCTCCAAATCCAATGGCAGGTGACCTTAGAAGAGAGGAGGAACAAACGTGGGGAGCAGAAAGTCACATGTCAGCCCAAGAATTGCACGATTTATAAATTTAGAAGGGAGACTATTATAAAGGGTTACAACCTGTGAGCTGGGAATTGGGCCTCTAGCCAAAACCAGAGGCAGGCGCTTCGAGGAGGTGAGGGTGGAACGGGGCTTTATGCTGAATGCATTGGCTAAGGTTATGGCAGGTTAAGCATACTCAGCAGGTTACAGGAGGAGCTGTGAATATTCACAAAGCAGGTCCTGACATGTGCACTGAGCACACATGCGTGTTACATGCGTCCCATGTTCACCTGGGGTGGAGGCTTCACATTTAAAGGCATTACAGTCAGGCTCTGTATGTCAAAAGGTGAAGCAGGAACGTAAAGCCGCTCAGTGAGCAGCCTCTGTAAACCGGCAGAGCCGGTCTCTCATAGTTCTGGAGGCTGGAAGTCTGAAATCAAGGTGTCTGCAGGGTGGGTTCCTTCTGGAAGCTCCGAGGTAGAATCCGTCCCATGCCTCAGTCTTTGGCCAGTGGTTTCTTATCAAGAGAAAGCTACTGAAATCAGCCTCTTATCCAATCACAGTTATAGTTATGGCTGCTGGCATGGGGTCTGTTATCAGCATCTGGTGGAGCTGCAATGGTTTTAATGTTGTCCATCCCAAGGCCGGGGCTTGCTGGCTGCTAGAGGAAGAGAAAAGCACTATGACAGCCAGAACTCGTTTATTTAAGTGTGGGGTGCATGACTTCACCCTTGCCTCACACAGTCTTAGGTCTTGCTTACAATCCAGTCTCTTATTGCCACCAGGAGCCCATTCTATCAGTCTCACAATCTCTCCTTTAGTGTTAACGCCGGCCAGTTGTGGCTAAACCTCAACAGGGAGCAGCATAACAAGACGTGCCCAACCTCCTGTCCCATCATGGTTGGAACTCAGTTTTGCTTTTTTGTTTTTTGTTTTTGAGATGGAGTCTTGCTCTGTAGCCCAGGCTGGAGTGCAGTGGTGCGATCTGGGCTCACTGCAACCTCCGCCTCCCGGGTTCTAGCAACTCTGCCTCAGCCTCCCAAGTAGCTGAAATTACAGGCACCTGCCACCACGCCCGGCTAATTTTTGTATTTTTACTAGTGACGGGGTTTGGCCAGGCTGCTCTTCAACTCCTGACCTCAAGTGATTTGCCTGCCTCAGCCTCCCAAAATGCTGGGATTACAGGTGTGAGCCACTGTGCCCGGCCAGAACTCAGTTTTTTTGTTTTGTTTTGGTTTGGTTTGGTTTGGTTTTGTGATGGAGTCTTGTTCTGTTGCCCAGGCTGGAGTGCAGTGGCGTGATCTCGGCTCACTGCTCACTGCAACCTCTGCCTCCCAGGTTCAAGCAGTTCTCTGTCTTGGCCTCCTGAGTAGCTGGGACTACAGGCACACACCACCACGCCTGGCTAATTTTTGTATTTTTAGTGGAGACAGAGTTTCACCATGTTGGCCAGGAAGGTCTTGATCTCTTGACCTCGTGATCCGCCTGCCTCAGCCTCCCAAAGTGCTGGGATTACAGGCGTGAGCCACCGCGCCCGGCCAGAACTCAGTTTTTAAGGCTTCTGTGGTGTCCCCTTGTTCCAGTCAGTCGGGGGCTTAGGATTTTATTTTTAGTTCTCACATGTGAAGATGGAGGCAGAAGTTGGAGGGATACGGCCACAAGCCAGGGACTGCTGAGGGGTGCCAGCAGCCCCAGAGGCTGGGAGAGAGGCTTGGGGCAGATTCTTCCTCAGAGCCTCTGTTAACTGGGGATCCTTGTTCTTAGAGCTCCCAAGATGATGGCGGGCCACTTGCAAGATGGTGGCAAGCCTCTTGTTCCTTGACCTGGGGTTCTTGGCCTCACAGATTCCAAGGAATGGAATCCTGGGCCATGCAGTCAGTGTTACAGCTCTATTCAGCTCGATTAGGACCAACCCCAGGCACTTAGCTGGCGCAGGAACAATGGCGAGCCTCTAGCCCAATTGGGAGCAGCAATGGGCGCCGCCTCGCTGGATCGGAAGTGCAGGGGACACTCTGCCAGATCCGGAGGGGTGGAAGTCAACGGCGGGTCTGGGATG
This sequence comes from Homo sapiens, assembly GCF_000001405.40. Lineage (NCBI taxonomy): Eukaryota > Metazoa > Chordata > Mammalia > Primates > Hominidae > Homo > Homo sapiens. The sequence continues at coordinate 70,758,362 of NC_000011.10, read as the reverse complement.
GCGGTGAACAGCAGTGGTGGATGGCGAGCGAAAGCTCACCTCGAGCCGTAACAAACACGGACCAGAAGAGCGTGCAGTTGCAAGATTTAATAGAGTGAAAACAGAGCTCCCATACAACGGGAGGGGACCCAAAGCGGGTAGCCATTGCCGGCTGGAATGCCTGGGTTTACATCCCGATCATTGTCCCTCCCCCGTGCTTTCAGGCAATAGATGATTGGCTATTTCTTTACCTCCTGTTTTTGCCTAATTAGCATTTTAGTGAGCTCTCTTTACTATCTGATTGGTTGGGTGTCAGCTAAGTTGCAAGCCCCGTGTTTAAAGGTGGATGCGGTCACCTTCCCAGCTGGGCTTAGGGATTCTTAGTCTGCCTAGGAAATCCATCTAGTTCTGTCTCTCACCTCCAGAAGGAGCCCATCCTACAGACACCGTGATCTCAGACTTCCAGCCTCCAGAACTGAGAGAATGAACATCTGTTGTCCAGGCCTCCTGGTCTGGGGTCATTTGTTGTAGCAACCCTGGGACATTCATGCAGGCCTATGGGATGGTGTGTCGGGGGACCCCACCCACACATTCTGGGGTCCTCTGGAAGGACTCGCAGGACTCGATATAGAGTCATCCTGTTGTCTAAGGTTTATAACAGTGCCACAGCTTAGGCGGAGTCTGCAGGCATCCATGAGCAGACTGAAGCCCCCTCCCTCTCTCCTTGAGGGGACACAGCACATTCCCCACCCACTAGGAAAAAATGCAGCCACATGTGTGAAATATTTCTCCCTTGGGAATCCTGTCACGTAGGCACCCTCAGCCTGGCACGTGCCACAATTCCCGACTTCTGGAAGGAAAGCTGGGGTTTTGCTTGCATACACCACAGTGTTGGCTCAACACGCCATGGGAGCTGCTGCCGCAGGGCTGGGTGTCCCGGCCTCTCCATGTAGGGGACATTTCAGCTCCCAGATGCCAGCTAGGGGCCAGCCCTGCGGGCAGGACTTTCTCAGGGCAGCAGCCACAGGCCTGCTATGCTCACTCTTATCTGCATGGGTTGATATGGTTGTTATCCCTTTTTACAGATAAGGAAACCGAGGCTAGAGAGTGTAAGCCCCTTGCTCAAGGTCAGCCAGCTCATAAATGGCAAAGCTGGGTGGGATTCAAACCCAGGAGTCCAGCTCCTAACACTGCTATTAACCTTCCTGCTTCCTGTCTCTCCTGCTCAGGGCAGGGGCTCAGTAGATACTTGTCTACTAAAGGGATGCATGGAGGAATAAAAATAAGAATAGTCACATTTATTAAGCATTTGTTACCTGCCAGCCTTTGACCTTCACACGGCTCCCCTCCATAATCCTTGCCAAACGTCCAATATCATGGAAACTGCTAGTGCTCCATTTTGCAGACGGGGGCGCAAGGACCTGGGGAAGTGGAGTGGTTGGCCCAGGAGGTTTGGAGCCTGGGTCTGAGCCCAGGGTCTGCTCTATGTATCCGTTCTCTTTTGTAACATTCTGTGCTGATCTACATAAGACAAGCTGCAGATCTGTGTAAAGGTGAGCTTAGAGGACACGTTCCCAGAAAGACAAAGCAGCTTACAAAGCAAAATTCCGTATGTCAGAATATGTTCAACGCTGCGTGGCCACTGAGATGATAGGGGTGTGGGGCTGCCTGGTGCCCCAGAGTGTGCAGCCGAGGCCCTGCCCTCAGCAGCTCCAAGCCTCCCCGTCTTCCCCTGCTAGTGGCAGAAAGCAGGGTCCAGTATGATGCCATGGAACCTGCCTGGACCCCAGAGAGGGCAGCAGGGGTTGTGAGACTAGTTAGAGAGGTAGCCACAGCCCCTGCCCACACAGCTGGAGGGAAGGAGCGTGCAGGCGGCGGTGGATTCAAATGCCTGTTCTGGGAGAGGGTGTGCTCTGTGCCAGGCAGCGTGGGGGCTTCACCTGCTAACCTGGGCTCTTCTCCGGTTCACCTCCTGTCTATCCCTAGGCCCAGCACCGTGGCCAGCCCCCAGGATCAGTGAGTGCTCCTGGAACCCTTATTATCCCTGTTTCAGAAAATGTGCCTCTAAGGCTCAGAGAACCCAGGCCAGCATTTGAGCGTTTTCAGGTAAAGGATCTTTCCCATCAGAGCCTGGACATTCAGGAAGGGAGCTTTCCCTGGCTGGAGGGTGGAAGAGAGACCTCCAGCCTGGAGTCTGGAAGGTTCTCTGCCTCGCTCTGGGAACCTGCCTCTGGGGGAGCTGGGGATGTCTCCTGCACCTGCTCGCACGGGGGCTGCAGCTGTCACCCTGAACCCGCTGCGGCCAGTGAGGAAACGAGCTCAGAGCAGCAGAGCCATCTCCGCAAGATCACAGAGGCCTTTGGCCCCAGGACGTCAGTGGGGTCCGGGGCTCGGTGAAGCGGCTAAGTCATAGGCTTGGCTTTCTGCACAGGCACAGCTGGGAGGGCTGGGTATTCAAGAGCTGGGCAACGGAAAGCCATCCTGTAAGATGGAAATAAACTTGTATTTCCAACAATCGGAGGGTGATGCAAAAGTGGCCCTACGATGGCCCCAGCACTGGGAGGCCCCTCCGGAAGCCGCGGCGTTCCAGGAATCTGCTGGCGCGGTGTCTTCCCTCTTGTGGCCTGTCGCTCGCCTGGTAGGAGCGGACTCACTGCCTGGCGTCCCTGCTTGTGGCCACTAGATGGCAGCCGCGGGGTGCGGAGCCGAGGGCGGCCTCCAGGAGTGAGTCCCTTCCGCACGAGAAAGGCCGGTTGCCAGGAGAACCTGCTGGGCCTTGTCCCCAGAATCTCCACTGTGGTCCCACTGCCACCACTGCAGGCCGGGGCCGGGGCTGGGGACGTGCCTGGAAAGCCACTGGCTCTGCCCGGGTGCCCACAGGGCACCAGAGAGGCCAAGAGGTTGGACGCTCACAGGGCAGGGATGGGATGAGGGGCCGGAGTGCACCCCTGCACACAGTTTCTGCAGGAAGCCCCTGGAGGGTGGACACCCACAGGAAGAAGGCTGCCTGCGCGCTGGGCGCAGTGGCTCACACCTGTAATCCCAGCGCTTTGGGAGGCCGAGGCAGGTGGATCACCTGAGGTCAGGAGTTCGAGACCAGCCTGGCCAACATGGTGAAACCCTGTCTCTACTACAAATGCAAAAATTAGCTGAGTGTGGTGGTGGCCACCTGTAATCCCAGTTACTTGGGAGGCCAAGTCAGGAGAATCACTTGAACCTGGGAAGCAGAGGTTGCAGTGAGCCGAGGTCACGCCACTGCACTCCAGCCTGGGCAACAGAGCAAGACTTCATCTCAGAAAAAAAAAAAAAAGATTATGAACAGGGTTTTCATACATAGGAATTGTGCGGGACATTTCGAAGTACTTCTGGGATCTTGCTTTTACTAGTATCGTTACTTATTATTTTGTAATCATAGCCGTTATTATTGCTGTATTAGTATCTTCTTAGGGACCCAGGTGCCTCCCTGTAATCGATGTCTCTCTGCATCTGGGGCCGTGTTAAATCTAGATATTTGAAGCAGCACTTCCCAGCTCTTCGGTTTTGTCAGCATTTCTTGGAAACGTGCTGTCTGGAAGGTGTTCAGCATTGCCCAGACACCTGGACTTTTCATCCTTGTCCTCCCTCTCCTGCCACTGAGGCCCCGCCACTAACTCTTATGGGTCCATGGTATTCAAGTAATGTCAGAGACCATGGGGGCCAGAAAGCTCTTTATTTCCACCTCCTCCTACCGCTGCCTTTGCCAGGCTACTCAGAACCCAAATGTGGAAGGCATGGGCCACAAGTTCCAGGCTGGGCTCTGCTCGAGCTCACCGGGGGGAGGCTGTCACCTATGTAGAATTTCCTCAAAGGCTTTTTCTGCACCAGTTGCTATGATTATCTGTTTTTCTTCATTAGTTTGTTTATATGGTGGCTTACATCAATAAATTTTTCAAATATTGAACCAGCCTTGCACTCCCAGGATAAAGCACACTTGCTCATGATTCCCTTTCTACTAATATATGTCTGGATTTGACTTCCTAATATTTTAAGGATCTGTGTCTATGTTCCTGAGGGATGTTGGTGTATTGATGTCTTATGCTGTCTTTGTCTGGTTTGTGTATCAGAATAATGCTGCCCTTATAAATTAATTTGGGAAGCGTTCCCTCCACTTCTCTTTTCTGGGAGGAATTGTGTAGAGTTGGTGTTGCTGCTTCTTGAAATGATTGGCAAAATTCACCAGCGAAATCACTGGAGTCAAGAAGTCTTTTTCAGATGCTTTTTAAACTACACAATTGTCAGGCGTAGTGGCTCACGCCTGTAATCCCAGCACTTCGGGAGGCCGAGGTGGGTGGATCACTTGAGGTCAGGAGTTCAAGACAAGCCTAGCCAACGTGGTGAAACCCCATCTCTACTAATAATACAAAAATTAGTCAGGCATGGTGGTGCACGCCTGTAATCTTAGCTGCTGAGGAGGCTGAGGCAGGAGACTCACTTGAACCCAGGAGGCAGAGTTTGGAGTGAGCTGAGATTGCACCACTGCACTCCAGCCTGGGTGACTGAGTGAGACTCTGTCTCAAACACACACACACACACTTAATATCTTTAATAGATGTAAGACAATTTATCTCCTTCCTAGGTGAGTTCTGGAAGTTTGCAACTTTTAGAGAATTAGTTTATTTTACCTAAATTGTCAAATTTATCTTAGACTTGGTCACAGTATTCCCTCATTATCTGTTTAAAGTCAGCCCTGTAGTGATATCATCTCTTTTAGTAATTTGTGTCTTCTGTCTTTATTTCTTTGTCAGTCTTACTAAAATTTTTATCAATTTTATTGATCTTTTGAAAGAACTACCTTTGAACTTCATTAAGTTTTCTCCTTTCTCCCTGTGCTTTTAGCTTATTGATTGCTGTCCTTATTTTGTTATTTGCTTCCTTCTCCATGCTTTGAGTTGATTTTGTTCTTTTTCTATTTTTTTGACTCAGGCTGTGGTCTATCTTGGCGAATATTCTGTGGACATTGAAAAGAATGTATATTATGCTCGTTATTGTTGAGTGCGGTGTTCTTTAAATGTCAGTTCGGTCCTTTTGATGGTATTTTTAAGTGTTTATAGCCTTGCTGACTTGTCCTCTGTTGTTGATTGCTGAGAACGTAGGAATGTGGAAATTTTCCAGTATCATCGTGTGGCTGTCCATTTTGTTTTTTTTTGTTTGTTTTTTGTTTTTTTTTTTTTAACAGTTCTGTTGGTTTCTGCCTCATGTTTGTTTTGTTGTTTGTTTGTTTTGTTTTGTTTTGAGACAGAATCTCACTCTGTTACCCAGGTTGGAGTGCAGTGGCATGATCTTGGCTCACTGCAACCTCCATCTCCTGGGTTCAAGCGATTCTCCTGCCTCAGCCTCTCAAGTAGCTGGGATTACAGGTACCTGCCACCACACCCAGCTAATTTTATATTTTTAGTATAGACAGGGTTTCACCATATTAGCCAGGCTGGTCTCAAACTCCTGACCTCACGTGATCTGCCTGCCTCGGCCCCGCAAGGTACTGAGATTACAAGTGTGAGCCACTGCACCTGGCCTGCTTCATGTATTTTGAAGTTCCAATGTTAGGTTGTAGGTTTATGCTGGCATTAGGTATTATTATACTGGTTAGGTTATTCACGACTGGCGTGTCTTCTTGGTGAATTGATTTTTTTTTTTTTTTTGAGACGGAGTCTCGCTCTGTCACCCAGGCTGGAGTGCAGTGGCGCGATTTCGGCTCACTGCAAGCTCCGCCTCCCGGGTTCACGCCATTCTCCTGCCTCAGCCTCCCGAGTAGCTGGGACTACAGGCGCCCGCCACTTCGCCCGGCTAACTTTTTGTATTTTTAGTAGAGACGGGCTTTCACCGTGGTCTCGATCTCCTGACCTTGTGATCCGTCTGCCTCGGCCTCCCAAAGTGCTGGGATTACAGGCGTGAGCCACCGCGCCCGGCCGAATTGATTTTTTTTAATCATTATTCAATGTTCCTATTTATCCCTGGCAATTTTCCTTGCACTTGAGACTACTTTGATATTAATATAGCCACTCTGGCTTTCTTCTTATTAGTGTGTGTATGTCTTTTTCTATCCCTTTGTTTTTAACCTCCCTATGTTGTTATATGTAAATTTGAGTCCTTATAGACTGCATGTCATTGGTTAGTTTTCTGAAAGTCCATCTGATTGGGAGGCCAAGGGGGGAGGGATTGCTTGAGGCCAGGAGTTCAAAACCAGCCTGGATAAGAAAGTGAGATCACATCTCTACAAAAAAATAATAAAGAAGTCAACTTTTTAAATAAAAAAATAAAACTCCATCTGGTAATCTATTTTATTTGATGTGTTTAGAGCATTTAAATTTAATGTTATTATTAATGTGTTAGTATTTATATCTACCATTTTATTTCTTATTTTCTATTTGTTTCCTTTGCACGTTATTCTCTATTTTTCTTTCCCGATAATTTTTGGATTATTATTTGACTTGTTACTTTTCCATTTTAATTTAATTTTGGAGGCTTTAAAACAATTATATAGCTTTTTTTTTTATTAAAGCAATTAGTCTGTGATTTCAATACACATATGTAGCTTTTCCCAGTTTACTTAATGCTTTACCACTGCAAGTAGAACATGGAAACCTTACCACCATATAGATCGCTTTATTCTCTCCCTTTTTTGGTGTAGCTATCACGTGTATTAAACCCACATATATTGAAACTACTATCATAAAATATAATAATTTTTACTTCAACCATCGTATTTTCAAGAATGTAAGAAGTGAAGTATAGTCTATTAAAAGATATTGACCATTTTGTCTGTACTTCTTTATTCCTGACTTTCAAAGGCTCTCTGGTATCATATCCATTCCATTCCAAGCATTATCTTTGGCATTCCTCTTAAAGTTGACCTGCTGGCCACAAATGTTCTTGGTTTTGCTTCATCTAAAAATGTCTTGATTTAACCTTTATTCCTGAAGGATATTTTCACTGGGTATAGAATCCTGCATTTGCAGTATTTTAAAAATACTGTTCCACTTCCTTCTGACCTCCATAGTTCTGATGAGGAATCTGCAGTAATTCCTGTGGTTTTTCTTCTGTATGAAATATGTCATTTTTCTCTAGCTGCTTTCAGTATATATTTTTTCGTTTTTAGTCTTCAGCAATTTGATTTGGACGTGTCTGGGAATGGATTTTTTGAGCTAATCCTGTTTAGGATGCATTGAGCTTCTTGAATCTGTAAGTTTATGTGCTTTTCTCTCTTGTTCAGATTGGATAATTTCTATGGATCTGTCTTCAAGGTCACTATTTGTTTCCTCTGTCTTCTATATTCTGCTTTTGACACATCTAGTAATTTTTTTTTCATTTGTATTGTTTCCGTTGAGAGTTGGCATATTTCTAGTTCTTGGTATGCCAAGTAAATGAAACCTGTATCATGGACATTTGGAATATTTTGTTAAGATACTCTGGGTCTTGTTTAAACCCGATGGAATAGGTTGACATGAGCACTTGGTTGAGATCAAGCCCTAAATTCCTTTTATAGAACTTTTATGCATGGTTTCCAACGTCAAATGAGCTTCTAACCCCTTGGCTTGCGATTGAGATCTGTCCCACGTATGCACAGACACTCGCCAAGCTTGGAGATGGTGGTGGTTTTTATCTCTTAGTTCTTTTCTGAATATCATTGATATGCTGTTCGAGGTCAGATCCACCTGTGCACAACTTGGAGCTGAGCCTAGAAGTTCACACACCACTTCACACGATCCCTGTTCTGCTCCCTCCTCACTACAGTCTCCCTGACATTTTCCGTGTCCATGGAGACCCCTTTATCAGGCTTCTGGATGAAAAACTGGGACCTTAATTAATTTCCCTGCTTTGCCATAAACTTACTGCAAATGGACCTTCATCCACGGTCAAATGGCAGAAAAAGAGAGAGAGAGGCCAAAAGCAATGGGGATTCCTCCACATGTGTGGACCACAGCTCCTCTGGCCAGAAAGAAGGATCCCCTCCTCCAGAGTTTTAGGTGCCTGCCCAACCTCCGCCACCACAGGATTGCTTGAGGCTGTGGGTGGGAGAAAAGGCAATAAAGAATGAAAGGGAAGATCTCCCATGCACTCTGAACCTTGGGGCTCCCTTTTCTTGAAGCTCTTTTTATCCACACTTGTTATACACATGTGGCTTTCAGGCTACCTTTGAGTCCCAGCCAGGTGACAGCCCAAGGGAAAAAATGGGAAACTCACAGCTTCTTTAGTGGTACTTGGAAATCTGCCTTTCTTCTCCAATTGCCTGCTACTCTTTATTTTTCAGAGTCCATAAATAACAGCATCTGCCCAGGTTTGCTAGCTGCGTTAACTAGGGAAACAGAGTGTGGTGTGTGTACTCCATCTTTCCTGGAACTAGAAGTACTTGCTGAGTTTCTTGAATCTGTGCATTCGTTTCTTTCATCAAATTTGAGAAGTTTGTTTATTATTTCTTAAAATACTTTTTTCTGCCTCGTTCTCTGTGACTGTGATTATCCAATCCTTAGATTTTTTGTAATACTGTCCTTTGGAACCCTGACATTGTCTATTTTTTTTTCAGTCTTTTTTTCTTTCTTCTTCAGATTAGACAAATGTCATTGATTTGTCAAGTTCCCTGAGTCTTGTCTTCGTCACTTTTATCCTACTAAGGCTGTCCATTGGATTGTTTCAGATGTTGTGTTTTTCAACTTTAACATTTTCATTTGGTTCCTTTTTATGAAAATGTTCACCACATTTACCTTTCCTTGTTGAAATAGTTACAATAGTGGCATTAAACTCATTGCCTCCTAGGTCCAGCATCTGCATCATCTCAAGCCTGCTATCTCTTGTCTTTTCTCTTGAGAATGGGGTCATATTTTCCCAGGAATTTTGGATTGTTTGCTTGATATTGTGAGTATTATGTTGTGTAGATTGTGGGTTGTGTTATATTCCTCTGGAGGATGTTTATGATTTGTTTGAGCTGACAGCTACTATGATTAGACTCAAACTGGAATCTCCATCTTGCCTTCAGTGGTTAAAGTCTCAGATCACTCATTTAAGCTTTTGCTCCACTCCTTTGTGCCTGTCCTACACATGCGTGCTTCGGGGTCAGCCTGGGGCTTTTGCAGATGCACACCCAGAACTGGGGACTCCCTTCCTCTGGCTCTTCTCCCTCCAGGGCTCTCCTCTCACTCCCCAGTTCCCCTACAGTTGCCTGCACTTCTTCCCCTGAATCCTTCAGCCTGAAAGATGTCAGCTGTACTGGGGTTTTAGTCGCCTGTGCCACATGGTTGTGTGTCTGCAGCAGGTCCTCAGGACAAAGCCCCCATGAAATGCAAACTAACACCTGAGCCCATCTGACTGCTCTTATTTACTCTTCAGAACCCTCAGGTCGGTCGCTGTGTGTGTGTGATGGGGGGGATTCGTTATTGTTTCTGTTGTGTAGTGTTCTGATTGCTGTCAGTGGAGGGTTGTTCTACAGTGTCCTAAGGGCAGCACTCTCCAGTGCTGGCTTTTAATCTGGAACTTTTCCAAGAGCTTTTCTCCACTTCACTGTTAAGCAGCAGGGCTGGTGGGAGGGGGTCGCCAGCTTATTCGGCACTAGTGGTCTTCACATTCACGGTCACTCCATCTGTGTAGGTATGAGCATTTCACATGGAGATGCAGACGGTTGTGTTGTAAACAATGTCCTTCTTCTAGTTTGTCTGCACCTTAACAGTTAGAAGGAATTATATTGGGGGTGGGTATACTGAAAGTTTCTAGTATCTGTGAATTTTATTTCCTGGCAATATCGGGGTGGCATTAGAAAATATTTATTTTAAAGGTGGACTGTTGGATCTGAGGTCATTAGGAGCTGATGGGTTAGGTGCTGATGGGGCCCCCTTTGGGCACTGGCCCTCCCTGATTCTAGGGAGTGTCTTTTCCTGCCCTCCTGCCAGCAGTCCCTCCAGGGAGCACCAGGCATTAGCCAGGCACCCACCATGGTTGTGGGGGTGGGCAGGGGACGGTCCCTTTTTCTGGTTAGTGGATGTTCACCCTTGACTTCCTCACTCTTGCCAAAAGGACCTTTTGCCCCAGGGATTCCATCCATGGGGGACCTGCGGCACTGGTGGCTTTCAGAACAGCGTGTCTCTTGGTGATTTATGTCTGGGCGAGGCCTCCTCAGTTCAGGGTTTGTCTGTGGTGGGTATCCTGGGAGCAGCTCAGAATTCCTGGGAACAGGAAGAGCCTCCAGGCATTGTGGTGCAGTGGGCTGAGAAATGAACTGGGAGTCAAGACCCAGGGTCCTTCTCTGCTGTGTGATCTCAGACAAGTCATGTGACTTCTTTAGTTTTCCTGACTAGGAGGTGTACAGAGTGGACAAGATAACCCCCGTTTCAGCTCCACTGTTCCATATAGCAGTGCAGTCTCCTGCCTCCTTCCCTCTCCTCTTTTTTCGTCTAATATTTATTATTGTCCATGTATACACACACATTCACATATGTGCACATACACGTATGCTCATGTGTGTGCTATATGTACATCATGTGTGCATGTATGCACACACAAACACTGCACATACATGCACCGTGCAGCATGCATGCACACGTGGACACTCACAAACATGCACACTGCACATACATGTACCATGTGGCATACATGCACACACGTGCCTGTTCACACATATGCACACTATACATATGTGCAGCAAGCATGCACACACACATACATACTCATGTGCACACACATGCTGTTGTCTCTGCTATTCAGCATGGAATTGGGGCCTGGGGATATGGAGGGAGGGCCAGGTCAGCCCCACCCAAACAGTGCTATCTCCAACGCAAGCCTGGTGGCCACCAGCAGTGCCAGGTCTAAAGGCTGCCCTGGAAACAGGCTTCCAAATCCCAACACTAGTCTGTAAGCCAATCTTCAGTTACTCAGCTGTCCTTCCAGGATGTGACAAGGAAACCCGGCCCCCATGGCTCCTGGCCTGGGGTGATTAGGAGCCTGAGAATGTCAGGCCATGAAAAGACTTTTCCACCAGCAGAAAACAGGACTGTGTTCTCCGGGTAGCCAGCTGGTAACTGCCCGGGTCCCTCCCATCCCTGCTGCCCAGGGCTAGTTCTGGAGAGCAGGGCAATCCTAAGCATGGCACCGAGCCCCACCTCCCCGCCTGCCACCTCCCTGTGCACTTGCTGCAAACTCTGCCACCGGTTTCCACTTCAGGGTGGTGTACCCCACCCAGCCCTTCAGTCTCCTACTTCTGTGAACCCAAGCGGAGTCTTACCACCTCGGGCTTGTCCCCATGCAGCCCAGTCCCCAGTCACTCGTGGGGACCATGGATGAGCCAGGGGAAGAGACTGAGCAGGGAGTGCAGGGGTGGAGGGAGGGGAGTGCAGGGGTGGAGGGAGGGGAGTACAGGGGTAGGGGGGTGCAGGGATGGAGGGAGGGGAGTGCTGGGGTGGAGGGAGGGGGGTGGAGGGGTAAAGGGGAGTACAGCGGTGGAGGGAAGCAGACAAGCCACCCTCATCCCCAGGGGCTGTGGCAGAGAGATCTGGAGAGCCCAGACCTGAGGCTGGGATGGAAAGGGTAGGGCAGAGCCCTCCCCCAGTGTGGGGGCAGCGGGGCATAGAGGAGCTGAGGTGGGAGGTCGTGTGACATGCCTGGGGACACAGAAGAGTCACCCAAGGCCACCTGCAAGTGCTGATGACCAAAGGGGAGCAACAAGATGGAGGGCAGGGACCAGACCCAGAGGCTCCCATCGGCCCCTCCTAGGGGTGACCCTGAAAGCAGCGGGGAGATGGGGGCTGTGAGCACGGGGCACCCTGCATCCCCCACCCTGGAGGGAGGCCCAGCCTTCCCGTCCTGGAGAAGCGGGAGAGTGGTGGGAGAGGAGATGCGTGCTGTGAGCACGGGGCACCCCGCATCCCCCGCCCTGAAGGAAGGTCCAGCCTTCCCTGTCCTGGAGAGGCGGGAGAGTGTGGTGGGAGAGGAGATGGGGGCTGTGAGCATGGGGCACCCTGCATCCCCCACCCTGAAGGGAGGCCAAGCCTTCCCTGTCCTGGAGAGGCGGGAGAGTGTGGTGGGAGAGGAGATGGGGGCTGTGAGCATGGGGCAGCCCGCATCCCCCACCCTGAAGGGAGGCCCAGCCTTCCCTGTCCTGGAGAGGCGGGAGAGTGTGGTGGGAGAGGCTGCTTCTGTGCTACAAGTGTGGCTGGGCACGCTACCCAGCCCTGGGCTCTGCCCCCAGATCTGCTGGGTGAGTTCACAGCCTCCTGGACCGTGTCAGAGTCACCTTTGAAGCGTGGGTGTGAGATTCTGACCCAGCAGGTCCTCAGCCCTGTCTCGGGTCAGCACCTGTGTGATTTTCCCTTCAGTAACTCCCATGAAAGCCCCCAGGCCCTGGGTTGGCTGGAGGCTGGAGAGGAGGGTGCAGCATGCATGTGCTCAGCTGCCTTCTTTTCCGTAAATGCGCCCAAATGGTTTCACATCCGAGGCCTTTTTTGACAACCGTGAAGGACACGGATGAAGGAATAACGCTCGCTCGAGGTCTCAGGTGTGGCGGATCAGGGCATGAGGCCACCTTTTGAGCCTCAGTTGCATTTGCATCCTCAGCAATGCGTTTCCCACCAAGGCTCTGCAACTTCCAAGGCGGCGGGTGACCTAGGGACAGCTCAGGTGAGGCAGGGAGTGGGACGGCTCACAGAAGTAGGAGGCAGACCCTGGGCCAGGTGGGGGCCAGGCCAGCTCCAAGCAGCTCTACCCATCCAAGCTTACTCTACACGAGACCCACGTTCCCCGGAGAGGATTGGGGCTCTCTGAGTTCCAGGCTTACCTCAGGCCAGGCCAGCGCAGGGCAGGACACTCCAAGGGTAGTCACCACAGTGGCAGGACCACTCATAGGGGCGGGACAGAGCCAAGGGACACAGCCAAGACTGTGTTTTCAAGGCAGCAGGAGGAGGGGACGGAGGCCCGGAGGTTTGTTTTGAGGGACTGTGAGCCCCAGGGCTGAGACACGGGTGTTTCAACCCAAGGAGGGTGATAGATGAGAGATGTGGGCACCCAGGGCTGGCATGGAAATACGTGGAGACCACTCAACCGAGAGTAAGCAGAGGCTGGGTATCACGAGCTTGCTGTGGCAACAGCCAGGCCCTGCTACTTACATGAGGCAGAGGCTCAAAGGCAGGCAGTGAGGGAAACGCTTTGTAGCAGAGAAAGGCGGGGCTCACTAGCACTGGGGCCTTCTAAGTCATTGGTTGGGGTAGCAGATTTGGCTTTCTCTGGTTGACCCTGAGTTGGAGGTCGGGTAGAAATTGGGGTGAAAATGACAATCCTTGATGAGGAGGTCCTGGCCGCTTGGGGCGGCTTTTTGCTGAGAGGTTTGCTTGGCTTCCTGGTGCTGCCGCAGATGCTGGGTCAGGGCGCCGGTGTCCCCCGTGGTGTCTGTCCTCTTGTGCCTTCACTCTCACTTCAGAGCTGCAGGGTGCAGCTGCCACTGCCTGGGCTGGGGGAAGTGGCTACCTGGACTCAAGCCTTGGTGGGGAGCAAGACAGTGCTTATCGCTCAAGAGGTGGCCTGTGTGCTTGACCAAGCTGAGACCTTGCAGGGGTGCAGCCAAGGGGCCCCTCAGATGCCTGAGGTGGGGTGTGGCCCAGCCAGGGCTCCCACAGCCCAGGGCTATTGGCCCCAAGAAACTTCGTCTGGCTGTGCGATGTCCTAGTGCTTGGAGAAACGCTGGCACTTCGGTCCCCAGCCATCACAATTCCACCACCACGGTCACCGCTGCAGGGGCACAGCCAGGTGGGCAGTGGAAGCACAGAGAGATGCCAGGACCACTGGAGCTGCTGTGGGCTGCCCTAGAGGGACTTGGAAAGGAGCAAGGAGGAGGGAGGAAGCTGCCTGCCCTCTTCCAACCTTCTGGGCTCATTCATTCCTCCCGTAGGCAGATCCTAGCAGGAACCCCCCAGGGGGCCGGGGGCATAGCCTGCCAGGCCCCACTGCAGGCTCACATTGCAGAGCGCAGAGAGGGTGCTTAGAGGTGAGGAAGGAGGGCCCGGCAGGGTTCCCCACATGGGTCTCAGTGATGCTTGCTGCAGGGTGTGACCAGCCTCTACTGCAGTCATGGAAAGACCTCCCTGGGATCTGATCGCCCGAGCCCACAAGGGCAGGAGCTTCCTGGGGGAGGCCAGAGACCCACCCTGTGCCTTGGGCTAAAGCCTCGGCCATGGGGGTGGCGACTTGCCAGGTGCGTGAATGTGGCTCTGGGGCCCTGTGTGTTCCTGGTTCTTCCACTTTCCTCCCCTTGGGTAGGAGGCAGGGGCCTGCAGCCACACATTGGTGGCAGCTCAGGGTGGCTGCTGCGTGAAGTGTGGCCCGGGATGCCCAGCTGGAGTTAGATCCGGAGGGAAGGCTGAGGCCAGGTGTGGGGCTGAGGGCTTGGGCCCGGGAGCAGCTGAGTCTCTGCAGGCAGAAGGAGGTGCAGTGGACGGGGTCTTAGGAAGAGGACCCTGAGGGTTTGGCAGGGCCTCACAGAGCCACAAAGAGCCATGTGGGGGTGTCGCAGCAGCCGGGTAGGAAAGGAGGGAAGGAGACCTGAGAAAGAAAGACGTTTTGGAGCCTGAATCCACAGGAATTGGTGGACAGGGAATGTAGGAGCTGGGCAGAGTTCACCAGGATCTGAGGATCCCGCCTGGAGGAGGGAGGAGAAGGTGAGGGGGACATGGAGCAACTTCCCGTGGGGGCTCTCCCGGCCCCTCTGTGTAGGGTAACTGCTGTCGTCGCTCTATAGAGAAGCTTTTCTGTAGCTGTGTGCTTATCCCAAAGCATCCAGTGTGTGTGCAGTAAATGTTGATGAATAAAGTCCCAGTAGGAATCACGTCTCCTCCTGAGTCAGCTCAGGCTGCTGTAACAAAAATCCTCTAGACTGTGTGGCTCAAACAACAGAAGTGTTTCTCAGCCCTCTGGAGGCTGGAAAGTCCTTTATGGTCTGCAGACAGCAGCCTTTGTGCCATGTGCTCGCATTGGGGGGCGAGGGGTACTGGCGTCTATTCTCGCAAAGACACTAATCACCAGAGCCCACCCTCATGACCTCCTCCAACCCTAATCACCTCCCAAAGCCCCCACCTCCAGACACCCTCACACCGGGGATTTCGGCCCCAATATATGAACTGGGGGGGGCACGCAGACGTGCAGCTCGAGCGCTGCCCCTGGCATCTGGCAGCTCTAGCTCCTGCAGCTCCTGCGTTCCTGGCTGTGCTGTTATCGATCATTCTGCAGGTTTCCCCTCCAGCCCCCGCCCTGTGCCTTTGTGTCCCCACCGCTCAGCACCGGCAGATGCACGCTGGTCCTCAGGCACCTCCCATCTCCCAGGTTCTGATCCCCTCTCAGGTCCCACCAGCACTGCAGCCACATGGTGTGTTCAGCAAAATATGCACGAAGCTTCTGCAGAATTCCAGATGCCAGACATCCAAGGACGCCAGGCCAGGAGCCGGCTCATCAAATATGTGCAAGGCGTCAGAGGTGTGAATTTTCTACTTCCAGCCCAAGGCAAACTTTCTTTCCATTTCCTTTATCAGTGCTGGTCACACCTGTGCAGGGAGACTCCAGCCCCCGCCCCCAGCAGGGAGTGGCCATGCCTGCGCTCCAGGCCGCCCCCTTGCCTCTTATCTCCGGCAGCCAGTCAGCCACGCTGCCCAGTGGGGTGGCTGTGCATGGAGAGCTCTGAATCCGCCTCCTTTTGAGCCTAAACAGATTAGTGCTGACATTCATTCCGCGTCCTGGGCCTGCCTCTCTGTCATGCGGGGAAGTGCTGGATTATGGGATGGCAGAGCCGGGTGGGGGGTGGCGTGAACTGGACTGGGACTGTGGATCTGGAGTTAAATATGTGATGACTGCTTAGGATTCCCCGTCCCTCTCAGAGCTTGGCCTGGGTAGTTACTAGTAAGAGAAACCTGCCAAGAATTGTCCTGGACCTAGGCAGAGAACTAATATGCCTACCTTTTGAAAAAGCATTCCAAACTTCTACTTTGTGCAGTGGCCTGAGGGACAGGCCCTTTTTCTTCACCCTGTGGGTTCAAGAGCAGTCGGTAGAAACCAAGAGACAATAGGGTCTGGAGAGCTGTGACTTCCCAGAGTGCGCAACAGTCCACCTGGGTTTTGAAGGATGAGTAGGAGATTGCCAGCAGAAGGAGGAGGAAGGGGCTTTGCTTCATAGAGGACTGCAAGCTGTCTGCTTCCCTGGCCCATGAGGCCACAGGGGATGTGGGCTCAGGGACAGGGCAGTGGCCTCCAGGGTTTGGAAGTTGTCAGAATTTGGAGTTTCCTAGGTGGACAGCCAGTGTATCTAATGTTTTGCCTTGTGAGTGGTTTTCATTACTCCATTTTACAGATGAGGAGGTGGGGACTCGGAAGAGACCAGTCCTGTAGCTGGGGCAGCAGGGGAACCAGGTGGGAATCTGGAATTCTGGACACTGACTCTTTCCTTAACAGTTCTCAGGGTCCACCAGCATGGGGGCTACTTCCTGTGGGACTGCTGGGGGCAGCAGAAGGAATCCTGGATCTAGAGTTAAATATGCCTTCTGTTCCTTACTCCTTGCCAGTTGTGACTTCTTAGAAAAGTAGGATGGTCCCTTATGGACGTGTGATGACTGTTTAATGAAAAAACAGAGGCAGCCTGTGTGCTCAACACATAGTAGGTTTTCTGCTAGTTTCCTTCCTTCTCCGAGGAGGTAAGCATCAACCACTTAAGTTATGGTGAGGCATAGGGTGCAGAGGAGACTGGAAACCTGGCAGGGGACATGTCAGGGGCCTGGGGAGGACACACAGGGTACCCAGGCAGCTGGGAACAATGAGTAGGCAGTACCTCCAAGAAAGTGGGGGAAGGTACCTGGTAGGTACTCAGTGAGGTACAGACAGATACATGGGGTGGATGGGTGGGCAGATGGATGAGTGACTATGCAATGCCTCTGGGAAGCTAAGTGGGTCTGAAGGTAGAAGAAGATACCTGTTGGTGCTCAGTGAACAGCGAATGAATGTATGGGTGGGATGGATGGAGGGATGGATGGATGGATGGATGGATGGATGGATAGATAGATGGGTAGTTGGATGCATGGATGGATGGATAGTTGGATGCACGGATGGATGAATGGATGGATGGATGGATGGATGGATGGATGGATGGATGGATGGATGGATGCATGGTTAAATGCATGAATGTTTGGATAGATGGGTGGTTGAATGCATGGATGGATGGATGGATGGGTAGGCGACACCTCTGAGAATTTGAGGGAGTTCAAAAGTGGGAGAAGGTATATCAGGTAGGTGCTCAATGAGCAATAGCTCAGTTTATGAGATGGATGATTGGATGGATGGATAGACAGATGGGATGAGCGGAAGTTGAATGGATGAACAGTTAAGCAAGAGATAACACAAATAACCTCATCCCCTCCACCTTGCTGCCCATCAAATCAGTCTCAGTCATAGTTTGTCCCCTTGATCAACACACATGGGCACCACCTGGCCAGGGGCTGCAGGTACTCAGGATGTTCCCTCAGTGAGGGATTCTGCCCTTTCCCATCTGCTGGATAGGACCAGACTGGCCTTGGACATCCAGAACTGCCTCTGGGGAGAGGCTGGCTCCAAGGACTGGCTCCCTCTGTCCACTGCTACCAGGCTGTGCCAGCTGACGCTTCTTCTGGCTGCTCTGCTGTGGGAGTGCTGCACTCCCAGTTAAACTGCTTAAGTGACAAAAGACCCCGGGTAATCATGTGATTAAAAATAAACTTGGGCTGACTGATGCTGCTTGCTGGGGCCTATCCAACCGGGCAGGGGGTGAGGGGGAGGAACAGGAAGACTTCAGTCCCAGTTCCTCTGACGCATCACCCCAGGGGATGAGGGCGCTTCAGCTACTCCCTGTTTACAACCGAGGATTTGAGAGACCCAGAAAAGACCGGGGAAGCTTCAGGAACTCAAGGTGGAGGGTGGGTGGTCCCAGCCTAGGGGAATCTCAGGCCACAGAGACACAGAGCAGAGGTCAGGATAAACGGGCTGGCATTTATTTGTCGAACACATACAGTGTTTCTATCCCCAGAGGGAGCCCTTCTCATGGGTTGTCACGAGAACCCATTGCGGACAACCTTTATGGTTTTCATTCATACAGATGTGGGCTGCAGCGGCAGAGAAGCCCTTTCAGTCTTTCATTCAGCACCTCCTGTGTCCAGTGAGCACCTGCTGTGTGGCAGGCACTGTCTGTCCTAGCTGCTGTGGACGGAGCCATGAGCACCTGCTGTGTGGCAGGCACTGTCTGTCCTAGGTGCTGTGGACGGAGCCATGAGCACCTGCTGTGTGGCAGGCACTGTCTGTCCTAGGTGCTGTGGACGGAGCCATTAACAATCCCAAAATTCCTGCCCCTGCCGGGCCCCTGGTCTGGGTCGTGTGACTGTCCAAGGTCTCCTGATGGCGAAGGAGCCAAGCTGGACTTCTGTGCCCTACCTGCGTGCCACCGAATGCCAGGATTCGGGATCATCATCCTCTGCGGCGGCTCTGGCCTGTCTTCACGTGGCCGTCCTCTGTGGGTGCCTCCCTGGTGCCTCGTGTGTCTGGCTCTCCTTGTCTTACAAAGACACTGTCATGCTGGATGAGGGCCCATCACAGTACCTCGTTTTAACTTAATCACCTCTTTAAAGACCTTATCTCCAAATACAGTCACATTCTGAGGAGCAGGGGTTAGGCTTTCAGCATATGAATTTGGAGGGACTCCGTTCAGCCCATCACAGCCTCCCTGGGGCCCAGCTGACCCTGGCTGGTGGTGGGACCCTGGACCAACCTCACCAGGCTCAGAATCTGAAACCAGAACAAGACAAATCACATGATCTGGTGGAGCCCAGCAGCCACAGGTCATGATCCAGGTGTT
This sequence comes from Homo sapiens, assembly GCF_000001405.40. Lineage (NCBI taxonomy): Eukaryota > Metazoa > Chordata > Mammalia > Primates > Hominidae > Homo > Homo sapiens. The sequence goes on along the minus strand of NC_000011.10, from coordinate 70,739,515 downwards.
CCCCAGACAAGGCACAGGCACAAACACCCTCCCCACGTGGGCACAGGTAGACTTCAGGGGCAAGAGGAGAGGACGGGGCAGCCTGGGCGTCAAGGCTGGAGTCTGTGCCTGGCCTCACCGCAGCAGCTGCTCCACACGATTGTCTTCATTGTCCACCTCCTGGCCTCCTCCCTTCTGTGGGGAGGTGGAGATGTGTGGAGATGTGTGGAGATGGGTGGAGATGAGTGGAGATGGGTGGAGATGGGAGATGCCCCGGGTCTGCGTCTGGGCTTTGTGTGCCCCTGAAGTTCACATGCCGCATCCCCACCATCAGGCCCTCTGGCTGAGGTTCAGTTGGTTGCTGGTGGGTCAGGCTCCTGATGGGGCTCAGCCATGCCACCTGCCTAACTCACTGGCCAGGAGATAAAGTGGAGTGTGTCCTGTCCCCAGACAATGGGGCCAGATGGTGGGATATGCAGCATCTTGGCTGGAGAAACTCACCAGCCCTACTCACTGAATCCAGAGGGGTGTCTGAACACCACAGGTCCTTCCGTCGGGCCACAGACCCCCTCCCTACATGGGAAAGTTGAGTCCAGTGACCCCGCTGTCTTTCTCCATGGGCCGGATCTCCATTCGAGGGGGGCAGCAGAACCCTCTGGGGCCTGGGCAGGCTGGTGGCAGTGCATGGACGTGGCTGGAGGCCGTGAGGTGGTTTGCTTACTGCTTTTGTTGTAAACTACCACTTCCCTCCAAAGAGGCGGGCGGCTTCTGGCACAGTGGGCGTTCTGGCTAGTTGGCTCTATTGTCAGGGGACATAGCCTGGAGACGGGTCAGCACTGATGGGGGTTATAAGAATGAGTACGGTGGCCACTGCAGAAAGACAGGACGAGGGGTCCAGCGGCTGGCTGTGCTTCCATTGGTCCCTTGGGTAGCTGAAACAGTGGATAAGTTTGGGCCTAAACAGACCAGAACACCATGGGGCAGCTTTGTAGATTCCGGGGACTTCCCTGCAATGGGCCCTGGGAATGCACTTGCTCCCCGCACACGAGGGGCAGTGATGGCGGCCTCTTCCTGTGCAGCCTCAGCCACGGTACTGCTCGGAGCCTTGGGCGTCCAACTTGTGACCTGCAAACAAGCACAGCGCCCCTCAGGGCTGTGGTGCAGCCTCCACTGAGTGTTTATGGTTGGGGTTGGTGCACAGAAGACAGAGGGGAGCGCCTTTCCCTGCACATTGTTGATGGGAGTCCGGCTTTCTGCCAGGCCAGACGCGGTTTCCTCGGAAGCTTCGGTTGTTGTAAGGCTCGAGCATCTACCAGGTCTCTTAGCAGTTTTGAAACTCGTGGCATTGCTGCCAAGCCCCTCCTGGAATGTGTGCTGATTCTCTTGTGCGATGCATGGTTGCTTTGGTGTCAGGACAGATTTCGGGGCTTTCAGCCAACCATGCGATATGCAAGGGAGCTCTTGCCACCGTCTTGCGGGCTTTGTCACCGTGCAGCCAGCCGGTGCAGTAGTTGCCGAGCCCGGCACCCGGCTCCTGGCATCATGAGGCCTGGGCCCAGATTCTGGTGTGATGCCCACGTCTCCGCGGCTCACCGTAGGGCACCTTCACACTTGTCATTGTCACACATGCTCACCCTGGAACCTTATTAGCAAATATACTTAGTGTTTTTTCATTTAAGTGCCAGCTCTTGCAAATGACGGGCCTCCTTGCCATCTGTGTGCAGGGAAAACCGGCCCCAAGAAGCCTTCATTCTGGAATCATTTGTCCTCAAAATGTTTGCGATGTAAGGGTCTGTGGGAGGAGCACCACCCTCGCATTCCAGATGGGGCTGAGGCTGCAGCCCTGCCCCGGGCTGCCCGTCCTATACTGGCTGCCCACTGGGGCCTGGGCTGCCCTCTCTAGAGGGTCAGGGAGCGCGGAAGCCTTTGCAGACAGTCTCCTGGAGAGAAATGGGGTGTATCATGTGGGTTTGGACTCAATGCGATGGAGGTGGCCAGGGATGTCTGGAGCGAGATGCATGCAGGGCTGGGGAACTCGGACAGAGTCTCATTGAGCCACCTGTGCCTGGCACGTGTTTCTGGACAGATCTCAAAGAAGGCCAGGCCACCTGGGGGCTGGCGTGTCCCAGGTGCAGAGGGCACAGAGCTGAGCCCGGGACCCTGATGGGTGAGGATCATTTTCAGAGCCGTTGGGGCTGCCACCTCACAGGAAGCTGGCAGGCAGATCAGGCAGGTGAATGCATCTTCCTTGAACTTGTTTCTATTTTAACATTGAAACGGGAGGATGCGCCACATGGCTGGGAAATGATAGTGAATGCAGCTGCACCCAGAAGCCAGTCCCCTACCCCTGGGGGGCTGCACCCAGCCTGTGAGGGACCTGACTCCACCAGGGTGGCTGGGCAGGGCTGGCAGTCCCAGGAGTCTCTGAGGGGTGTAGCCCGCGGCTCGGGACTTTGGCTCAGAAAGGATTTTATCCCCACTTTGGCCGCGGGTGAAGGAGAGTAGGGACAGGTTCCCCAGGCCCCTGGGAACACACATGGTACAAGAAATTCACACAGAAACTGGGATTCTAGAGGCCACGTTTCAGAACCCCCAGGTTCTCGCAAGGAAGAGGCTGAATTCCGTTCCCATTTCACGTTCAGTCCCTGGCCCTGACCACATCTTGACAAACCGTTTGGTTCTGGAGAAGCCACTTCACCCCCAGGGAGATGGTGCTGTCCTTTGCTTCATCCCTGGGATCTGAAGGGTGTGAGGGTGGGGTGGGGGTTGTGTTGGGGTGCGTGGCGGGGAGCCGCCATGGAATGAAGCCGTGTGACTCTCCTGAGGACCACAAACTGGGTGGCTCAGAACAGCAGAGAACGGATTGTCTCAGTTCAGGAGTCCAGAAGTCCAATATCACGGTGGCAGCAGGGCCGTGCTCCCTCCACAGTTGCTAGGGGAGGGTCCTTCCTGCCTCGTCCACCTCCTGGTGGCTCCAGGCATTCATCGGCTGTGGCCCTATTTCCCCATCTCTGCCTCTGTTCTCCCATGGCCTTCTGCTCTGTGTCTGTGTCTTCTCTTCTGACTCTCAGAAGAACACGTATCATTGGATTTAAGACCCCCCTGGGAAATCCAGGGTGATCTCCTCATCCCAAGATCCTTAACTCAATCACACCTACAAGGAGCTGTTTTCCAAATCAGGTCACACTCGTGGGTTTCGGGGGCTAGGGTACAGTCACATCTTTTGGGGACCAGCACTCACCCCGCCCACACAGTTACATCCTCACAACTAGAGAGGGGCACACTGTAACTATTTGCTGAATGAGTGAGCTCTGAAACGAGCGGTTGGCCACCAGGAGGCCATGCATGGCCTGAATGTGAACACAGGTGTGTGTGGTTTCAGAACCCAGCCAGGGGCCTTGACTGGCTCCTCTGCCACTGGGCTTGGCTGGGTTCTTGTTCCCGAGCCTCAGACCTGGGTCAGGCTTGGATCTAGTTTGCCCATCCTTGTCTACTCTAGTGGCTGTGGAGGAAGGCGATGGCCTGGATCAGGAAAACATGGCAAGTGGCAGGATCTGAGGTCACATCATAAGGAGTGTGTACCCAAGGCAAGGGAGGTGAATGGAGCTTGTGGAGGTGAGCAGCTAGGATGGTGATGGGTGTAGGGTTTGGAGAGCATGACCACGCAGCCACCTGCCTGAAGGGTGGACACGCTGAAGAGAGAGCTACAAGAACCTCAAGTTGGGCCAGTGCATGGTGCTCTGGGGAGGTGGACCTTGGGGCCAGTGAGCACTGGGAGAAGGAGTACTCGGCCTCCCACTTCCCTCCCTCTGCACATTTTTTTTTTTTTTTTTGAGACAGAGTCTCACCCTGTCACCCAGGCTGGAATGCAATGGCACGATCTCAGCTCACTGCAACCTCCACCTCCTAGGTTCAAGCAATTCTTCTGCCTCAGCCTCCCAAGTAGCTGGGATTACAGGCGCCCGCCACCACGCCCAGCTATTTCTTGTATCTTTAATACAGATGGGGTTTCACCATGTTGGCCAGGCTGGCCTCGAACTCCTGACCTCGTGATCTGCCTGTCTCAGCATCGCAAAGTGCTGGGATTACAGGCATGAGCCACCACACCCAGCCCTCTGCACATTTTCTATCATGCTGGGTGAGGCTGGCTTGCGGGACCCCAGGAAGCCTCCACAGGTGTGGCTTCCTCTTCCTCTCTGGAGTTCCCTGCACATCCCTCCTCCCCGAGGAAGGATCTCTCGGGAAGCCAGGCCTTCCCAAGACCCTGCCTGGTTGCCCAGCTCCACCTGGGACACTTGCAGAACACTCACAAGGTGCGCCTCTGTCCTCAGTCCCCGCCGCCTCTCTTGGGGAAGATAGTCCCTTGAACACAGGGCAGTGGGTTCCCTGACAGATTGGGCAGAGTCCCGAAAACCTGCCCACCTGGGGGGAGGCCACGGCCTCGCCCACCTTCCCACACTGACCCCGCGATGGAGGGGTCCCCTTCGCCCCTGAGCCCAGACACGGGACTGGCCTCACAGAGCACAGATGTGCTACAGCCGCCGAGGCCTGGGCCCGCTCGTCTCCAGGGCAACCCAGAATCCCCCTTGTACTGCTTAAAATATCCTGCCATTCCCAGCTTCATGGGCCTTGTACTCTGTTCTTGGCAGAATTTCTCTTTCCTTCCCAAGCCTGGGGGAGGGTGGTGGCAGGAGGGCCGTCCCCAAGGGTCCTCATCGCTCAGGTGGTTGCTGGGTAGGCCCTCGGGGCCAGCAGCCATTCCTGTGGCTATGTAACACTGGCTGGTCCCCAGGCCACCCCTCAGCACCCTTCGGTCTTGAGGACACCCCTTGGCCTCCAGGGCACAGGCTGTGGGGCCCCTGCTGAAAGCCTGGGCCAGGGCAGCCTCTGGCTGGGAGGAGAGTTGGTATTGGTCGGGGGGCCCTGGCTGGGCCTGTGTCCTCCCCACCCCACCCCTTGGTCCTCGCCCATTGGATCCTTTGAAGCACACAGCAGGAGGGCTCTGTGTCCGCTGGGCTCCTGGACTCTGCCTGTGGTTGGTGAAGCCTGGCTGAATTTTGCCAGCCCAGCTACAGGCACCCTGAGCTGTCAGTGTGGAGCGTGTGGACTGGGTATGGGAGTCAGGCGGCCCACTGGCGCCCTCACGCTCATCATGAAATGCGCCTCACCTTTGAAGTCACCTTCACACACCTTCACTCGACCTCCCTCGGGTTTTAACTATTCTGCCCGTTCAATCCCTGCTCAGAAGCATCAGGCAAAACATTCTCGAACAACCCAGTTAAAACATCTCCTCGCATAGCCAGTTCCCCCGTCACGGTGCCCTGGAAGGGCCTCCACACCCTTGCCCCTGCCGCACCTGCTGCCCGGCACTCCCTCCCGCGGGCTCTGCTCTGCATACTCCACCTGCTCCTCCCAGATGCGCGGCTCAGGGGGTGCCTCCTGCCCCCTCCCTGCTGCCAGGGACCTCCCAGCCCCTGGTGACTCTTCCCCTCTCCCCAGTCACTGCACACCCTCCCCTGTCTTCCATGAGTGTGTGAGTGCGCGAGCAAGTACACAGAGCCATGGCTTCGCTTTGTCTCCAGGTCCCACCTTGGCCAGGCACGAGGTGGGCCTAGCAAAGGCACCCAGGGGTAGCAAGTGCTTGGGGGGTCACCCTCCCCGCCTTGGCAGCTGAGTCCCTGTCCTCACCGTTCCCTGTGCCTGCACAGACACCTCATGGGAGCTGAGCCTGCCCCTCTTCTTGGGCCTCCCTCTTCCCCAGACCTGCCAGGCCCTCCTTCCCGGGTCCCTCTTCTAGTGGGGCACGGCCCACCCTAACTTACCTGCCACCCCCCTCTCCATGACCTAGGCCAGGGGTCCACAGAGTTTATCCGTAAAGGCCAGAGAGTAAATATTTTAGCCTTTGGAGCCATGTGCTCCCTGTGGCAGCCTCTCAGCTCTGCCTTTGTAGCAGGCAGCAGCCACAGACAGTACCCCCATGAATGGAGTGGCAGCATGCCAATAAAACTTTATTGACAAAAGCAGGCAGCAGCCCTGGGTTCCAATCCCAGCTCAGTCACCCATAGCTGTGAAGCCTCCAGAAAGGGATGGAGCCTCTCACATTCTTTTTTCAGATCCTAAAATGGCGATGATCACTGTACCCACCACACAGGGCTAATATGTGCATTGAATGAGACATTCTGTATCACACATAAATTGTTAATATGAATCAACTCCTTGCTTCTGTGTAAACATACTAAACTTTTTCACACCTCTGGGCCTTTGCTTATGTTCTTCCTCCTTCCTGGGATGCCCTTCCCTCACATGTCCATCTACCCAACTCCTACTCATCCTGCAAAACCCAGCTGTGACAGTCCCTCCTCTCCACGCTTCAAGCAAAGTCCTCTCCCGGCACTCTCAGTGGCTCCGGTAGCATGTGACACGTCTTTCTGTCGCGGACGATCCCACTCAGTTGAGATGATCTGCTCCGCGTCTGTCTCTCCCACCCCGCCCAGCCTGTGCCCTCGCCACTGCTTAGTCATCACTCCATCGGCAGCATCTGACATGCAGGAGAAGCTTAGAATTCATTCATTCCACAGAGCACTATTCGCGCGGGCTGTGTGTGCCAGACACCATTTCCAGAGCTGGGGTTACAGCCGGAAGCAAAACAGAGAGTCCCTGCCCTCACAGAGCCGGCAGGCCTGTCCCCTGCAGGGAAATGGCAGCTGCTGGGGATGTGAAGCAGCTGCAGGGCTGGGGAGTGCTGGAGAGGGGAGGGCAGGCTTCCTAGGCAGGACAAAAATGGCCACCTAGAGGTGGGATGTGTCAGCAGAGACCGGACAGAAGCAAGGGCATGGGCTGCGTGGGCATGGGCTGGGGCACTGCAGGCAGCAGGAACAGCAGGTGCAAAGGCCCCATGGCGGGAATGGACTTGTGCTTGGGGAACAGCAAGAAGGGCAGCGCGGCTGTAGCTTCTAGGGAGGGGAGGGTCGGGGAGGTGTGGTCACATAGGCTGAGCCCAGCTCAGTGAGGCTGGGGGACACAGAAAAAAATCCTGGGCCATGCAAGGGTCTGAGCAGGCAAGAGATGTGATGGGTTCGGCTTTCTAAGGATGGCTTTGGGGCCAGGTGGAGAAAGGACAGAGCAGTAGAGAAGTGGGGAGACTGGTCCAGAGCCAGGCACAGGGCCCAGGAGAGAGAGGAAGGTGGCTCAGGCCAGAGCAGAGATTGTGAATGGGCAGCAAGAAGGGTCCGGAGTTGTCTGTGACCTGCAGGCACTTGCTGTCTGATTGGCTGTGGAGGGTGAGAGCAGAGGCGAGGCTTGCGGCTTCAGCAACTGGATGAGGCGCCAGGGCAGAGATGGGGTGATGTTACGTGTGATGTTGGGCGAGTTACATTTGAGCAGCCTGTAGTGTGTCAGGGTGGAGCCTGCATGGGTTGGGCTGGAGGGTGAGGCTGGGGCCACAGGAGTCTGATGGCATCTGAAGCCAAGACTTGAGCAGGTCACCCTGGGGGTGTGTGTGGCCAGAGAGGAAGACACAGAGGACTGCGTTCAGAGGATGGGGAGCTGAGGAGGAGGCCACAGGAGTGGCCAGGAGCATCCAGGAAGTGAGAAAGGGGACATCTGGAGAGCCTGGCCACACCCCAGCCCGGCAGAGCACGTGCAGGAGGAGGAGGCGGCTGTGTCAGCTGAGACGAGGGCTGCTCATCAGCCGTTCCACCTCGCAGCGTGGAGGCCACAGGCACCTTGCTGGTAGCTGGTGTGAATCTGGTTTTGAGGGCTCAAGAAAGAAGAGAGCCCCAGAGAATTAAAAACAGGTGTCCAGACAAGTCCCTGTGCACAGATGTTCACAGCAGCACTATCCATAATAGCCAGAAAGCAGAAGCAGCCCAGATGCCCACCAGCAGGTGGATGGATGGACAGACTGTGGTCTGTCCAGTGAATGGAATATTATTCAGCCCTTAAAAGGAATGAGGGACTGACACAGCACACATGAGTGTGGGAAACAGGATGCTGAGTAAAAGAAGTCAGACACAAAAGGCCACACATTGTGTACTGTGTGATTCCATTTCTGTGAAATGCCCAGAATTAGCAAATCCGTAGAAACAGAAAGTAGATGAGTGGTTGCCAGGAGATGGGGGAGAAGGAGCGGGGAGTATGTCAGTCAGCCTGGACTTTCATAACAAAATGCCACAGACTGTTGCTTAAACAACAGACACTTACTTTTTCACTGTTCTGGAGGCTGGAAGTCATAGGCCGAGGTGCCATCAAATTCAGTCCCCAGTGAGGCCTCGCTCCTTGGCTTGCAGACGGCCACCTTCTTACTGTGTCCCCACATAGTCTTTCTCTGTGTGTGCTGAGAGCAAGAAGGTGCACAGGTGTTTCTTTCTCTTCTTATAAGGACTCTAATCCTAAGGATCAGGACCCCACCTTTACAACCTCATTTAACCTTAGTTATCTCCTTAAAGGTCCCATCTCCAAATACAGTCAAATTAGGCGTTGGGGCTTCAACATATGTGTGTTGCGGGCACACAGGTTAGTCCATAACATGGAGTGACTGCTTCATGGGTATGAGATTTTCTTTTTGGGTGATTTAAATGTTCTGGAACTAGATAAAAGTGCTGGTTGCACAGCATTGTGGATGTGTTAACTGCCAACAAATTGTATTTTTTTAATGATTAGTATTCAGTTTTGTAAATTTCACCTAAATTACAAAAAAAAAAAAAAAAAAGAAATAAAAAAGAGAGGTCCCAGGCATAGCAGTGAGCAGACGCCACTTTGGGAAGGAAAGTTGCTGAAATGAAGACATGGAGTCCAGAGAAGATGTCTTGGATGATTTGGGAGTTGGTGGCCCTGCCGCAGCAGCCTCATCCTTCAGCAGGGAGAGGAGGAGATGCTGGCCTGGCCAGGAGCCTGGCTGCTCATCTGCAGGGACCAGGTGCCCAGGGTAGGAATGGATGTGAGGAGACATCAGCTCATCAGGCAGCTCTGAGGACAGTGCTGGAAGGGCTGGGAGATGCGGTCCAGTTAGGGGCACACTCAGCGTTACAGGGGTGGGCATTGGGGTTGAGTCTGGGATAGTCGGGTGAGATGCAGTCCAGTTAGGGGTGTGCACAGCTTTATAGGGATGGGCTTCGGGGGTGAGTCCTGGGCATCTATTTGTGATGAGATCATGGGGACAATTGGGCGTGAGTGGGGAGGTTGCAATCTCAGGGCCTGTTGCACTAGGCAGGTGCAAGGGCAGGAGTGGAGAAGGCAAGGAACTGACAGGCCAGGAACTCACAGTCTAGGTGTTCGTTGAACCAATGTACACATCCTGCTTCAAAGAGCTCGGGGAACTCCACAGAAGGAGATTCACCTGTGCCAGCTCCTGGGGCCTCATGCTGCAAATAGCATTGATGATAAGATTGAAACACATAATAGCAGCTGGCACACAGGTCCCACTTCCTCCTCTCCAAGGCCCTTCTAAGAGCTTCACGTGCATTGACACATCCAGGCCCGACACATCTGCAATGGTAGGTATCATGACAAAGGAGAAAACCGAGGCAGGGAGAGGCGGTTTTGCTTGCCCCACATCATGAACCCCTAGGTGGTGGAGCAGGTTTGGGACTTAGACCACCTGGCTCAGGCACCTATCGGCTTTTTTTTTTTTTTTTTAGTAACACTTTGTTGAGATATCATTCTCAAACGCCAGAACTATCCCCATTTTTAAAGTACACAGTGCAGGCCAAGCACGGTGGCTCAAGCCTGTAATCCCAGCACTTTGGGAGGCTGAGGCAGGCAGATCATGAGGTCAGAAGATCGAGACCATCCTGGCTAACATGGTGAAACCCCGTCTCTACTAAAAAAAAAAATACAAAAAAAAATTAGCCGGGTGTGGTAGCGGGCACCTGTAGTCCCAGCTACTCGGGAGGCTGAAGCAGGAGAATGGCGTGAACCTGGGAGGCGGAGCTTGCAGTGAGCCGAGATCGCACCACTGCACTCCAGCCTGGGCAACAGAGTGAGACTCCATCTCAAAAAAAAAAAAAAAATGAAGAAAGTACACAGTGCAGTGGCATGAGTACATTCACAGGTATGTACAACAGCCACCTCTCTCTCGCTCACTCCAGAATACTTTTAGATCCCAAAAGGAAGCCCCGTGCCCATGAAGCAGTTACTTCCTCCCTATTTCCCCCAGCCCCCAGTCCCTGGAGCCCACCAGTCTGTTTTCTGCCTCTGTGGACATGTGTATCTGGACATGTGTAGATAGAGCCCTTGGTGTCTGGCTTCATTCACTGAGCAGGAAGTTCCTGAGACGCATCTGTGTTGCCACGTGTATCAGTATTTCTTTCTTTCTTCTTTTTTTTTTTTTAATTTTTTTTTAGATGAATTCTTGCTCTGTTACCCAGGCTGGAGTGCAGTGGTGCGATCTCGGCAACCTCTGCCTCCTGGGTCCAAGTGATTCTCCTGCCTCAGCTTCCCAAGTAGCTGGGATTACAAGCACCCGCCACCACACCCAGCTAATTTTGTACTTTTAGTAGAGACAGGGTTTTGCTATGTTGGCCAGGCTGGTCTCGAACTCCTGAGCTCAGGTGATCCACCCACCTCGGCCTCCCAAAGTGCTAGGATTACAGGCATGAGCCACCACGCCCGGCCCTTCATTCCTTCTCAGGTGCCAACACCAGTCAGTCCGTGCTGCACCATCTCCCACTGGGAGGATCATTTTCTTGAACCCCTTATGGGTATGTTTAGCTGCAGGCCTCCTTACGTGATCAGAGGGCATGCGTAGGAGAAGGTGTGAGTGTCACTGAAAGTGTTTGGAACTGGTTTTTTGTTTTTCTTTAAAGCAAACCTGAATTGGGGGTAACACAGTAATTCAAACAGCACCTTGGGCAGAAGAAAGACCACCCATGGTCAGTGTTCTGGGCGTGCGTATTTGTTTGTGCCTTGTTTGTTTCCAGGAAGATGTGTTGTTTGGGTAAGAATCCATTATCTCTGTCCATCGGACTCAAAAAGCCCAGCCCCGTTCCACTCAGAAGCTCTGGACCTGTGGCTTTCATCTGGGGCTCCTTGAAGCCCTGGGATGACTTTGCTTCCGCCCAGGACGCTTCCTGAGTCTGCGTGATGAACCAGTCCAGCTGCCAGGCTGTCTTGAGTTATATTGGCAGTAAGGGGGCTGCCTTCTACCAAGTAAACCGAGTGTGACCACTCCCAAGTCACGGTGCCTCGGATCCGGCCTCTGGCTGCAGACAAACCTCTGTCCCTTCTCACATATCCCAGAGGGATCCTCTTTGGATCCCACAAGGACCCATCTGCATCTGGGGAGGTGTGGGACACTCTCATTTGTTGGATTCCAACTGGGGAGTACTTTTCCCTGTGTTCCTAACCAAGCACTGCCCTTTGGGAGTCGGTTTAACCCCATGGCTCGGTTTCTATGGTGACAGTCAACAGGGAGCCGCCAGGGAAGCTGTAGGCTCCGCATACACCTGCCTGTTCTTGCCCTGACACTGGGTGCTTGCATATTCATTTACTCTCCTTTTCCAAAGCATTTATAGCATAGAACACTAAACACAATAAATGCCTTTGCTGAGCCCGTAAATAACTTCTGAAAAATGTCAGCCAACAAAACTCATCAGAACACCTCTCGCCTCCTTTGTCCCTTGAGGAAAATTACTTACTGCTCTGGAAGTTTTCTTTTGTTGATGTAAATGTTTGTGCACAGAAACTGAGGACAGCCCATGGCCCCCATCCAGCGTCTTGGGGGAACAGAGGCTGTGTTGCTGACCACACCATCTGAATGCTTGCGGGTAGGGCTGGGGCCCCCAACCCGGGACCTTGGGAGGTCCTCTATCCTGAGTCTTAACCCAGGGTGGTACCAATTTTTGACATGGGCCACCTCATTTTTACCGTATGCCTGCCCCATGTGGAATGCAGAGCAGGGGTAGCAGCATCCATTTACCCACAAAGAAACCACCTAGCAAGAGGAACAGTCTTAGCTTAGAGCGTAAGCTACAAAGCAATAGGGCCAGAATACCAACACCTTGCCTGGGATGCCAGCTCCTAGGATACCCCTGCTCTACCATGGTGCCTCTTACATCAGGGAACAAATTACCTACCACCTTAGTTGCCAGAAAGCCCTGGAAACTACACAAGAGTCAGTGGAGACTTGGCATCCCCGAAGGAACCCCTCAGGGAATTCTGCTGTCTCTGGAGAAAGACCCCAAATATAGCAGTTCATATGTGAAGTATTGGCCAACCTCCCACATTTTGTCTTCCAGGTTATTCTAATAGTAATACTTCCACCCCGGCTACCTTGCACTTTAAAATTCGCAATGCATTTTTACATAGTTTCCCATGTGACTCTCACAACTGCTCCGTGCCAGAGGCAAGATTTGTCATCTCCATTTTGTAGATGGTAAAACTGTTGCTAAATTATCAAGTGGCTTGCCCAGAGTCATAATGTATTAGTCAGCTGTTGCTGCATAACAAATTATCCCAAAAGTTAGTGGCTTAAAACAACCGTCATTTGTCTCATGATTCTGTAAGTCAAATTAGGGTGGGTTCTGCAGGGAGGGTCTTCTGTTCCCAGGTAGATTTCCATTTGTGTCTGTAGTGGCAGTTGGTGAGCTCTCAGCAAGTTGGCAGGGATGACCAGGGCATCTGGGTCTCATCCTTTAGTGGGCTAGCCCAGGCTTACTGACATGGCAGCTGTACAGCCTTCCAGGGGTGAGCAGAAGCACATGAGGCCTTTTGGAGTCTAGACTCAGAACTGGTCAATTGCACCACATGCTATTGGCCAGTATCACAGGACCAGACCAAGTTTAAGGTCTGGGCAGACAGGCTTTGTCTCTTGATAAGAGGAGCTGCAAAGTCATATCGCATACGGGTGTAGGTTCAGGGAGGGGAATAATTTTAGGTCTTGTTGCCATCTACCACAGCCAACCCCCACCTGCCTTCCCAAATGAGCTTACTTTCTCCCTCTCTGAAAATCTTTGATCTCCACAGACAGAGACACTTGCCCCTGCCTTTTGGCTTCCACCAGCTTTGTCCACCTCCGTTCCAGCCCTGATCCCAAGGGGGTCTAATTTATCTGCCCACCCCACCCACCCACACCAGACTCAGAACAGCTTCAGGGCAAAGACCCCACATCTCTAGCCTCCTGACCAGAGCCTGGCATGTGAGCTCCATAAGGCATTGGTGAATTAACAAAGTGCACCTTGACCAGAGGTTTCTGGTGCTCCTTTTAGTGGCCAGACCTCTGCACTTCCTGCTTTTGGTACAGACAGGCAAGAGCTCTTTATCCCCAGCTTCCAAACCCAGCCCCAGGGAGCTCAGGTCCCTCCAAGATGCTGGTGGGAGGTGAGGGGGCAGGGCCTCTGTACTCGCTGCTTCTGTGTTAGGTTCCGGGTAAGATTTCACTGAAAAAGAGGCACCCATCCCTAAAGCGGGGAAGTAGGTGTAAAAGTCCTCAATGCACTTACCAAGTACAGCTCTGAGAAACTCAGCTGAGCATGGAGAAGCTTACATGGAGGAGAGAGCTGGTGCTCCGAGTTGAGCTCTGTCCCTCCACTGCCTGTGTGTGTGAGTTCACGCATACCCTCCTGGGCATCCAGCTGCTTCGACATGTTTTTATGGACTGTCAGGCAGAGCAGTTAGAACAACACGTCTGCCTTGCTTTGTCTAGGTATTTGTGAGGAACAGAGATGATGCAGCTTAGAAGGTGGCTGTTCTTCCCCCCATGCTTCTGTACACATTTTTTCATTCATTGTACACCATCTTTCAGTTGTCTTCAGAGGTCTACCGGGTCATCCATGAAGACAGGGAATAAAATACGTAGAGTTACCGACAATGTGCTGACAAGAAGTGGGCCTTTGATAAATGACATTCTCAGTGTTGCTGTGGATAGCAGTGTTTCTGTGTTGATATGGATGCATCTTTTCTCCTCGCATCCTCTTGGGATCGTGCGGTATTGGGGTGAGGTTCATCTGAACAACACCCACTGGTCCAAGTGACTCGGTCCATAGTGAGCCTCTTTGGGCACCAGGCCCTTGCTCTGACCTCATTAGCCTCGGGCTCCAGCCAGCAGTTGCAGCTGACATGCAGCTGTCAAAGGCCCCAGGCCCTTTGGGAGGAGCGGGTCTGGGCCACCGCACCCTGGCAAGCCCTCAGCGCCATGTGCCTTCCTGTCCCAGTACCCAAGGAAATTCCTCCTGCCACGCTCAGCTTTTAAGAGTCCGCAAATGTTGAAAAATGATTCATTTTAAATATGACACAGAACCAGCTGCAAATAAGTTAAATGTTGCTGCTTTGGGGTGTTAGTGGCATTTATGAATATTGTAGGGAAACATTTACTCACTAAAATTCCACACAGTAGAAAAACATCCCTCCCTTTAGTACACTGTACGGTGCTTATTTTTGCCCATGTTATTTACGCTAAAGATAGTCTTATAATGGCCTTAGCTTAAGTGTTTTCCCCCCCAAAGAATCAAGCTTTGGAATATTCCTTTTTTAAAACATACTTTAAAAAATCTTTTCTTACCTGTGAAAGCTTATGGCACATAGTAGGCATTTAGCAAATGTTGGTTTCCTTCCTTTTAGACCGACATTTGGTTGGGACTGGTTTTAACTACCTTGAGGACTTTTCTTATCTCACCCATCTCAAATGTCTCCTCCCCTGTAGGGTGTATGGGCATCAGCTGCAAGTTGCTTCTTCTGACTAGAGTCTGCTACCTGATCACCCCGTTAGATCTTGAGAGGTTTCCCTTCCCAAACACTGAGCAGGTGACATTTCCGGAACGCAGAGTTAGCGTCTTCCTGCTGCCTCTGAGCTGGTGTTTGGACACAAGGCTGCCCAGAGAGCCTGGCTGCAGGTGTCGACACAGCTCTCCACAGGACGTGGTTGGCGGCAGTCACCTGGTCACCACAACTCTTCTAAGCCTCCCAGCTCGGGAATTCTGGACCTCTTGCATCCTCTAAATTGGATGCTGTCTGATATTTCCAAAAGGATACCATGCTTGATGAGATCAAAGGAGGAGAGGATGACTCAGAAAAGACCCAGAAGAGCTCACAGTGCTCTTAGCAGGATGCTTAGTGACATGGAGTCCTCTGACAGCAATAGTGCTTGGAGACATTTTTACACCTATGGCCACAGGCACATGCATACACACACACCCCACCACCACAACAAAACCTGCTGCACAGATGGTTCTTCCTTAACTGAGCAAAGTGTAAGAATGAACTTTGAGCCAGGCACGGTGGCTCATTTCTGTAATCCCAGCACTTTGGGAGGCTGAGGCAGGTGGATCATTTGAGGTCAGGAGATCGAGACCAGCCTGGCCAACATGGTGAAACCCTGTCTCTACTAAAAATACAAAAATTAG
This sequence comes from Homo sapiens, assembly GCF_000001405.40. NCBI lineage: Eukaryota > Metazoa > Chordata > Mammalia > Primates > Hominidae > Homo > Homo sapiens. The sequence continues at coordinate 70,724,198 of NC_000011.10, read as the reverse complement.
CTGGGAGTGGTGGTGTGCACCTGTAATCCCAGGTACTCAGGAGGATGAGGCAGGAGAATTGCTGGAACCCACAAGGCAGAGGTTGCATTGAACCAAGATCATGCCACTGCACTCCAGCCTGGGCAACAGAGTGAGACTCCATCTCAAAAAAAAAAAAAAGAATGAACTTTGGGGCCTCCAGAACACACCTCTTGAGGAGTCAGGGTTTGATGCGGGATTTTTTTTTTTAAGTGGATTTGGCAAGGTCTTGAGCTGTGAAAAGGAACTGCTCTTATTTCTGTCCCTAGAGTACTCAGAAGAGCACCTAGGAGAGTGCTGGCTCCTTGGAGCTGCTTCATTACTATTTGAGGACACCTGCTCTTGTTTCTTTCTTCAGTTTGCTTCTCCCATATTGCCTCTCTACATCCTCTTCCTCAGGTCTAGGAGAGACAGTTTCACCCATAGAGTATTTTATAGTGTTACACCAAGTAAGGCTATATGGCATGGCTCATAAGTCTAAACAGTGTGGGACTTGATTAGTCACCTGTTGCTGCATGACAATATTACCATAAAATCAGTGGCTCCAACAACATGCATTTACTCTCTCATGGTGTCTTTGGGTTAGGAGAGAGGCATGCTTTAGCTGAGCCTTCTGCAAGGCTTCACTCAGCCTGTGAGTTGGGCTGCATTCTCATCTGGAGGTTCAATGGGGAAGGGTCCACTTCCAAGCTCTCACAGGTTGTTGGCAGAAATTCAGTTCCTTGTATTTTTATCAGTAAGGGCTTCATTGCTGGCTGGGGGCTGGAGACTGCTCTCAGCAACCAGAGGCCACCTGTGTCTCCTTGCTAGATGGGGTTCCCCAAGGCAACTGCTTGCTTCATCAGGCCAGCGAGAGAGAGAGAGAGAGAGAGAGAGAGAGACAGACCCTCCAGCAAGAAAATTGCTACTATCTAATATAATCGTATAATCCTATAATCATGTGCATGAAGTCATGTATATCTTGTCCCCTTTGCTGTATTCTACTTGGAAGAAGCAAGTCTGAGACCCAACCCATGCTCATTGGGAGAGAATCACATCAGGGCCTGAAGACCAGAAGGTAGAATCCAGGGCCACCTTATGAGTTTGTCTACCACAAGGACCATGAGCATATTTCTAGCCCCACATGGGGTCTGACGGTGCTTTGTAAAAAAGTCCCATAAAGGTAAGGAGATGAGGGACCAGGCAGAAAAGTTAAAACTGAGGCTTATTCATTATTAACAGTGAGATTTTTATCTAACAAAGTAGGTTTCTTTTGAAAGCATTTGGTTATTTCAAAACCCTCTTTTTCAGGAGGCTTAGAATCTTTCTGAGCACATTATTCTCCTGCCACTTCTCATAAGTCGTAAGTCCTGCTTTTAAGCTAAGAGATTCTTTTAATAAGTCTCCAGGTTAAGTCACCAGCAGCCTTCGAGGTACACTATGTTAGGAGGTAGTGGTTTTGACCTTTATTCCTAGCTCCACCATCCTCAACCCTTTAAGAAACCATCTCTCATTTTTGCTCTGTGGTTCTCACCTCTAATAGACACATTGCACCCATTTTTTCAAACAATGATGTGCAAGGATTCCCCTTGTTATCTTTAAATGAAATTCTTATAGAATAAAATTAACAATATACGTAATTTCAAAAAACTCAAGCTAATACCTTTTATGAATCCATGCAGTCAGAAAAAACAATCGCCTATGTAGGTATTTCAAACAGAGGGGATTGAATCAGGAAATTGTTTCCAAAACTGTTGGAAAGGCTGGAGGAGCAGAAAGGGACAGGTGATGTCACCCAGAGATTGGTCACTGCAGGAAGCCTTCATGTCCCTTAGGGTTACAGGAGTAAAAAGAACCAAGAGGTATTGCTGAGAGCGTGAGGAGCATCCTATTGACATTCCTCAGTGGCCACCTGTGCCAGCCACTAAGGCCAACTTTGCACAAATGCCTCCCATCAGCAGAGCCTGACTGCTGCCCTGGCAAGAGAGTGGGAAATGCAGTGTGCATACTTAGCCCCTGAGAGCACTGAAGGGCAGGAATGGGGCTGAGTACCAAGAGACAGCACACATCCCAGCAGTGACAGTGAGGACAGAGGAGAGGATGGCATGACAAAGCGGGAAGATGATTTCCAGATCCATGCACTTGGGTGCCACTGGACGGGAAAACAAAGGATGGGATGGATGATCCTGCAGTCACCTTGAGTGCCACATGAGGTGCACTCACACCTCGACGGGCCCTGCCACCAGTGGCATCATTTGGGGGAATTGGTGAGCAGTTCTTTCAAAGCCTCAGCTAAACAAAGGACATTCTTCCCTTGATGTTGAAGTCATTGGCATTCCTGAAGAATTGTATGTATTCAAGCCGTGCTCAAAACACGCTGTGCTTCTTGCGAAAAGAGTTTAGGCTCTGAGCTCAGATGGTTAGGAAAAGACACTGCACCTGTCTAGGGTTGGGTGGGACCTTTGGAAGTCCTGCATGCAGGGTAACTGGCTGCTGACGGTCCCACATCCCAGCCCTGCCTGTGGCATGCCAGTGGTACCTCCCCAGCACTGGGACAGCACTAGCTGGCCCACGAACCTCCAGACCACACCCTGGGGGCAGAACTGCCTCAGTAAGAACGCTGCTCACAAAGTGGTGCCCTGAGCCCAGCCCCACTCACAGCTGGCCTCAGAAAGAACAGGCCTTCCCCAACAGTGGGGTGTACACACCTCCAATATTCAGTGGAGCCCAGCCCCTACAATTCCCTGTGGTGGAGCACCAGCTCCTGTACACACGGCCTGCCCCAAGATGTTGGCATCTCTGACCCCTGCATTTAATCCTGACTCATGTATTAAATCCAAATGGGCAAGAGTTCATTGAGAACCGACCTTCAGGCATGCCCATGTGAGACACTGCGGAGGAAGCCTCAGAGTGTGCCCAGGAGCGGCTGCAGTCCCTGAGGGAAACCCTCACAGCCCCACTAGGTGTGATGCGCCTGAAATGAAACTCAAGAGCTGCTTGCCTCTTTCGGGAAGGAGCAGCAGAGCGTGCCAGGGAGACCTTTGTCTCCCTAGACGTCGGTGGAGAGATGTCCAGGTGTTAACTGGAGGAAAGGGAGGGGCACAGAGAGAAGGTGCCCGGACTGCCGGTCAGTCAGGGATCTCACCTCAGGCCTGCCTGGCACACGGAAGCCCGGGCTCAGGTCACTGGGGGAATGAGGACTGGACTCCTTTGGGTTCCAGAGGGAAAGAAAGCCTTGAGATTATTTTTCCAAAGAAAAGAATTCCCAATTCCCAGTCTCTCCTCTGTTCCTCCCCAACATGTGTGTACAGATGTGTATGTGTGCATGCATGGGTGTGCATACATGTACGTGTGTGTGAAGATGTGTTTGCATGTATGTGAGCATGTGTGTATATATGTGCATGCACACGTGTGCATTGTGCATGCCGGTGTGCTACATGAATGTGTGTGTGTATGTTCACATGCGTGTTCACGTGTGTCAGCACATGTATACCGCAAGAACACACAGCTATCAGTCCCACCTGTCATTCCTGCATGTTTCTGGGTAATTAGAGACTGGTGTTGGGCCAAGAACAGCGTAAACAACTCTATCTCCAGCCCTCCCTCCTGGGGACCTCTTAGGGCCTCCCTGCCATGGGGGTGTGACGGATGAGTGGATTTCAACTGAGACACTTTCCACACACCCTCATGGGTTCTCCTCATGGCCCCCTGGGAGCTGGCACTTTCTCCATCCCCACTTTTTCACCAACGAAGGAGTCACAGGGCCAAGAATGCCAGGGACATTCCTCCAGTCCCATCACCCATGGCATCAGGGAGCAGATTGACAGGCGGGGGCTGTGGACACCAGACCCCAGGCTCATTCTCTGTAGCCTCTGGAGATGTCCCTGGATCACATCCATTTTGTGATAAACCAGTTAGACGAGGTGATGACCCCTACATCAGAAATGACCGTGGCACTTTGTACAGTACTCTACAGTTTATAAGCACGTGTGTGCAGGTAGTCGGTGTTTATGGGCATCTCCCAGGTACCAGGCCCTGGGGGTGCAGCTGTGTCCAGGGGCAACGTGGACCCTGCCCTCATGGAGCTGGTTCCAGCGGTCCGATGGTTCTGGCTCTGCCTTCCAGCAGGAGCTGTTCTGGTCTGCCTGCTTATTCTTGATGCAGAAGCTGAATCTCAGAGAGGTTGAGGAACCTGCCTGGGGTCACCCACTGGGAAGGGACCAACCCTTTTGCTTTGAAGCTCAGCCCTCACCCACTTCTGGCCTTCCTAGTCAGCCTGATGTGGGGGATTTAAGGACTTCAGGGAAGGTGGAGCCTCTGCTGTGTGCAGCTGCGAGCTCCTCATTTTCCTGGCAAGATAGGGTGTCTCCAAGGACAGGAACCTTTAAGATTCCAGCGCAGTGGGACAAGAGGATCTCGTGTGCTGCCGTGTCAAATGCTGGAGCAGGGGAGCGCGGGGCTGTTGTGGAAACCCTTGCTATTTTTACCTCCTGTCTCCGCAGCTTCTGCCTCCCACTGAAATCCCAGTGAGCAGCAGCAGCCCCCTGGGCCCCTGGCGTGCCAGGTAGGGCTATTTTTATGACCCTCCGATTTGCCCATAGATCACATCAGACCACGGGCAGAAGGAAAGGGCCACAGAAACCAGGATCCCACGTAGGTCAGGGTTCTGCACCCCTCCACCATGCTGCATGCGGGCAGGATTAGGGTTAGGTTCAGCATCTGCCAGGCCACCCATGAGAGTGAAGCCCAGCTCCATCCTCATCCCCAGCAACCCACTGGGTGCCCATGCACACAGCACCATGACGTCCATGTCCCCAGGAGTGCTGGGGCAGCAGGCATGGATAGTGGGTGGGCACAGCGCTGGGTTCTAGCCCCAAGTCCACCCTTACCTGGCTGTGTGACTTTGAGCCAGTCGCTAACCTTCTCCAGGTCCACGCTTCTCATCTTTGAACTGTTACAAAGTGTCTATTTGAACCGTCACAAAGTGTCTATTCCAACGTGGGTGGGCTAACGGGAATCAAAGGAGTGAGTTACACCCCACGCTATCTGGAACCCCAGGCAGCGTTCACTGCGCCACGGCGAGCTTGCAGGTGATGGCACCTGACGTGCTCTTCACATGGGCAGTGAACGTAAGAACAGGAACAAAGCTGATCTTCCTTGCGTGCCTACTGTATGCCAGGCACCCTTCTTTAATTCATTGTATTCTCATGACCCTGATTTCCATCTTACCGATAATTCGTGATTATCCCCAGCTGACAAATCAAGATAACTGGAAACAAGCCCAAGCTCATAGCGCCAGTGACCGGCAAAGTGGGATTCAGTCCAGGCTGCCTCCCTGCCATACACTCTGCCTCTCCAGGGGGATGAAGGACATCCATTGAGTATCCCCAACCCCTTCTAATCCGTTTTCTAACCCACTGAAAGCCTGCAGCTCAGGAAGGTGAGGGCTTCTGTCCCGGGCCATGATGGACATTCAGGCCAGCAATTCAAAAAAAAAAAAAGAGAATGAGCTCTATCAAAAAGGGAGGAGCACTCCCTCCCTGCCCTGCTGTGACATTCGCCTTCTCACGGGACGTACCGATTGGGAAGTATTTGAAAGCCGAGAAGTCCTTGCAGGTATTTGGAAGGAGGCTCAGCCCCCAGCCCTGTGCCCTGACCCTGATGCAGGGTGGACTGCTGGCCGTGACCTTGCAGATGGAATCTGCAGCATGTCCATGGATTTTTCCCCAAATCCCTCCTTGCCTCCTGATGCCCCAAGCCCCGCTAAGGACCCACTGCCCAGAGGAAGGCACAGTGCACGCCTTGGGCCAGGGCCACCTCCACCGAGGCGCAGTTCCTTCCCTCCAGCGTAGGCTCAGGGCGTCTGTGTAGCCAAAACGGGCTTGGCTGCCCGGCTGCCCCTTCACAGAAAGCAGGGCTCTGAACGGCCAAGACCGAGGAAACACCAAGCCTTGCAAAATGAGAAAGCAATTACTGGGGACGAGGACAGCTGCCGCCTCTAAGTGACACCTCCGGCCCATCCTAATAGCCGGGTTGAATCACTGCCTCTCCCTGCTAATGGCATGCGTAATTGCACTGGTTTTTCAGGCGTCCTTCACCCGTACTTATTTAGACTAGTGACTGATGCATTGCCATGGAAACTGGCACTAGGGGAAAAAAAAGTCCCTGGTACAGTGGGAAGTGGAAGGACGCGGCTCCAGTCTGGGGCTTACAACTTGTGTCAAAGAAGCGAATTTTCAGCTGATTTGGATGTTCAGTCCCCAGAAGTCAAATTTGTGAACTTCCTCATGGATGAAACATTCCCGGAGCCATCTTTCTTCTTCATCTGATTTTTTTTTTCTTTTCTTCTTCAATTCTGCCCCCAGAGGGCTGCAACTTTTTTTTTTTCCTGTTGAATTAACAGGCAGTAGTAGATGAGGCCGCCCCACGGACTCAGTCTCCGTGGAGACCCCGAGGAGCAGTGGTCCGAGTGAGATGGTCACACCCAGGTTAGAAAGGATGGCCGAGAATTCACGGTTCAAGAAGAAAGTTCATTTTGGAGGTACGCTGTGGGCTGGTGTGCGGAGCCTTTGTTCTTTACGAGAGCTGCGGGGACGGGAGGACCGTGGGACTTGGGCAGTCCTGCCGGCGCTTGGTGAGACGGGGTGGCAATGGCTTTGCACTTGGTGTGTTTTAGGGGGACTGTGTCCTGCTTGCTGGGCGCCCCGAGGCTATTGTTTCCATCACGGCTTTCGCCTGCTTCTGATTTAGAATGGAAATAAAGATATAGCCTCAGATCATTCGGGAGGAAACAGGCTTCTCAGTTGCATCCAGAATCCCAGGGATCCTGTTTATAGTCTCAAGGGTCCCTTTGAGCGGCTAGTGGGTTTTTAAGACAAATTCATACATCTCTTCCTAGTAAGCACTGTGGTTAACCTCAAAGGGAGGTCGGTTGCATGATGAGGTGCTGTGGCTACAGATGTGGCTTGTTCATTTTCTGGCGTGTTCTTTCCTAACCCGACAAACTGTATTGAAAGTCCCTGCAAGGCTGGCCTGGGGCAGCGTGCCTGCTCCCGAGTGCAGCCTGCCTTTCTCCAAAGACAGCATGGCTGGGTGGATTTCCGTTGTTGTTTTAACCAAGTGGACGGTGTGCTCCTTCCGCGTGGTAACGGTGGAGAGGGAGAAACACCCTGTGCGTTTGCAGGCTGCATAATGGTTTATATCAGCTTCTCCAGTAGCTTCTCACCAACTGCTCCCTCTTGCCCACAAAGGCCGAGGAGAGCAGGAATGGCCAGGCTGGGAGGGGTCCAGTTGGGCGGGGGGGGGGCTCCGGGACCCGGTCCAGTGAGATGTGAGGCGCCTGCCACCGAGGAGCATCCCTCCCAGATGTTGCTTTGCGGTTGAAGAGATCTATGTGAGCCATGAGCTGTCGAGACTACGGTGACCCCTGCCCAGTCTCCCCGCTGGTCTTCACCCGCCTGGCAACTCTGGGTTTTGTCAGCGACGTGTAGAATCTTTTGGGGGTGCCCCGTGTTGGTGAGTGGCAGGGAATGAGCCCTGAGCATCTGGCCCTGGCTTGCTAAGGTCACGGCCAGGGGCGGAGGGCGGGTGGTCTTTGTTAGCACCAGTGGGACCCACCTCATCCTCCCCAAGAAGGCACCCTGATGGAGATGGGTCCCCTTGACCAAGAACTTCGGTTGGCCAAGGTCCCAGCACCGAAACCCGAGCAATAAAGAAGCAGCTGTCTTCCCACACGATCAGGGCGGTTTCCTTGAGCTCAACAGGTCTTTTTTCTAGATGTCCTATTTCCGAAGCCTCAGCTGCCGGCATCCTTAAAAAAGATTATAAAGCTAAAAAGAATCCTCCCGCCCCCACCCATTCCTAGATTTAAATCCAGGCTCTGCTGCGTGCCCTTGGACATGGCCCCCTCCTGGGCCCTCTCTTGGGGGTAACAAAGCCTGGCCGGGAGCAGTGTTGAGCACCTCGTGCCAGGAGATGCTTGGGGTGTTTGCTCTGAGAATGGTGGCTCTGATTATCATCGGCCTTCTTCGAGGTGCTCTGATTGGCCGGGGAAAGAGGCCGACCACAAAGAGGGCCCTAAGACAGGATGTTCTGTGGGGTTAGGCAGCGGGTGTTGGAGGGGCAGGCATGGGGGGCAGAGCCCTAAGACAGTTTTGGGGTTAGGCAGTGGGTGTTGGAGGGGCAGGCATAGGGGGCAGGGGTACACAGAGTGAGGCCCCTCCAGACGCCCTGTCCACAGCCAGAGGCAGGCTCTGCTCCCCTCTGGGCCCAGGCCGGATTAGCTCAGCCGTGGACAAGTCTTTTGGAGTCTGGCCACAATACCCCACCCCTCCTCCCCACTGGCGACTCCAGCCCTGGGCTGCCGGGTCCAGGGGCATGTGGGTCACATTCGCCAGGCATCCTTCTGGACAGATAGAGGAGAGAGAGCCATTCTGGAAACGGAGCCTGCTTCGGCATGGACACTCCCAGCCGAGCTCATCAGCAAATGCAAATCAGGCACAGATTCATCCATTTACTCTAATTTCCATTTAAACTGTGAGTTTGGCTCGATGTATTGGTATACATGCTTCCACTGAGCTCCTGGGCTGATTTTTTTTAAAACATTCTAATTACTATAGAGTAGAAACCAACTCAGTGACAGCCAACAGCTTGATTCATTTGTCCAGCCAATTTGGGAGGGTGGTAATTGGGAAGCATCACCAGAGACTGAGTGTAGCCTCCCCTCCTACGGTGTCCCCAGCCTGGCTTGGCCCGAGAGCTGCAAGAAGGGCTAGTGTGGGCAAAAGAGAAGTCCACACTGCCCTCCCCATAGGCACTGGGTGCCCAGGGTGGGAGGCATCCACTGAGCTTACAAAGCAGGCAAAGGAGCCCAGTGGCGGGAGGGCAGCAGGGCAGAGCTGAGCATCCTCCCTTCCCGGCTGGGTGACCCTGGGCACAGCCCGTCCCATTCTCCAATGAGGGTCCTTCCTCCAAGAACCTAGGATTCCAGGTTTTTCCCACATTCCCGGATAATTCTCAAGTGTAGCATTGTAAAAAATATTATCTACAGGGCACCACTCACCTCTGAGATTTATCCTTTCAAAAATGTTATAGGTGGGGCTGGGTGTGGTGCCTCATGCCTGTAATCCCAGTGCTTTGGGAGGCTGAGGTGGGGGGATTGCTTGAGGCCAGGAGTTCAAGACCAGCCTGGGCAACATAGACCTCATCTCTACAGAAAGTAAAAAAAAAAAAAGCCAAGTGTGGTGGTGCACACCTATAGTTTCAGCTACTCGGGAGGCTGAGGCAGGAGGATTGCTTGAGCCCAGAAGTTCAAGGCTGCAGTGAGCTATGATTGCACTGCTGTACTCCAGCCTGGGCAATAGAACAAGATTCTGTCTCTTATAAGACAGAAATGCTACAGGTAAAACCAATCTTTTGCAAAAGAAAAAAAAAAGGAAGGAAGAAAAATGCCGTAGGGAGGATGTAGCCAGAGGCCATGGGGTGACCTTGACTCTCAGAGCCAGGAGGACCTGGGTTTGGATCCCAGCTCTGATGTTCAGCAGCCAGGTGACCTTGGAAATGATCAGATCACACCTGATTTTCTCCTGGGTCGAGTCCTCTCGTGGAGTCTCTGTGTGCAATACTGCAGAAATGTTAAGATATTAATGTAATCACCAGCTCCATCAGTTGCTGATTGTGTTATAGAGGAATACCATTTAACCTTCCGGTGCCTCGATTTCCACATCTGATAAGTGATTATTATAATGACAGTGCCTGTCTCATGGGGCTCTTTGTGGCTAAACAAGATAAGGCCTTGCAGTTAGGACCCTGCCTGGCTGGGAGAAACAGAAACCGTTGCCTAAACACACAGGGCTTTACTCATCTCACCCAACAGACATCAGGGGCCAGGCTGCAGGGGCCAGGTGGGCATAGCTGCGCCACGGTGATCTGGGCATGTGGCTCTTTCTCTCCTTCTCCTCCGTGTCCTCAGCATGCTCTGGGGGCAGCATAGATGTAGAGCCACTTCCACATTCCAGACAGGGAAGAAGGAAGGGCTGAAAAGCTTCAGGCTCTGGGGAGGTTTGGTTTGGGGAAAGGAAGCCCCTCCTGGCAGGCGCCTGCTCCTGTCTCATTGGCCAGGACCTAGGCACTCCTGGAGGGAGGCTGGGAGAAGCGCTGAGCTTCCTGGCCCCTGGGGTAGAGGGAGGAGCTGCTGCTTGCAAATAGCTGTTGAGTGAGCCAAAGCAGTTTGTTGGAAGGAAGAAGGCACTTAGCATGGCCACAAGGCAGTGCCCAGAGCTTGGACACTGGCACAGATCGCTGGTGTGCACCTGAGCTTCTTCACCTGTACAGCAGAGGCCAACGCTGCTAGCACTTTTCTTGTAGTGTTGCTGGGAGCATTCAGAAGAGAGTGTGTTTTACACTTAAATGGTGTGTGTGGCACACGGCAAGGCATGACGGATGGTGGAAAAGGACAGATCAAGATCACATGGTGGCAGCAATGGACACCCGGCGCTGTGACGGACACCCGGTGCTGTGACGGACACCCGGCGCTGTGACAGCTCTGCCGCCTGGAGGCATCTCCCTCCCATTCTCTTCCTCAGACTCTTGGAGGCTGACACCTCACCCTGGCTTTCCGATGATCAGTGGAACATGCAACTGAGCCACTGCCTTGCTGGACACCCTCAGCCAACCTGTGAGCCTCCCCCTCGGCTCCGTACATGAAGCCACTGCTACGTGGGCCTTGGCTGCTCCACGCCCAAGCCCTGCTGCTACGGGGGTTCTGTGAAAGCGGACACAGCTACGCTTGGCAAAAAGACTGCTTCGTAAAGTGGCAAGTCAGTACTGTAACCCGTGTTCTTCTTAAGGTGCTTCACTCATCTTGCAGTACAACCAACAATTTCCTGAGATGACTAAGAAAAACCAACTGTGCCAGGAGCAGACGGAGCCGGCTCTCTGAAGTGATTTCTGTTTATTGGAGGATGGAAACACAGCCCAGCATGCTGGCACCTGCTTCCTTGGCCCCTGGATTTGGAGTCCATAGATCTGGCCCTTGTGTGGTGTCAGAGTGCTGAGGACCCACTGGCACGTGCCCGACAGGGCTGGTGCCTCCCCTGCCCACACACAAACCCATGCCAATGTTAAGGGAATTCAAAGCACGTGATTCTTTTGGCAAACTTCCCCTGCACCTCGCTGCTGGGGTCTTACCCAGGCGTGTGACACGAGGCTGTTCTTCCCAGCATCGAGCAAAGAGGAGCAGGGCGGATGACACACGCCATACACATGTGCGCACATGGGAGGAACCACGATCTTCCAGGGAGCTGGGAACAAGTGGAACTATGGACTCGGGTGCTTGTTGGTGCTGAATTCCAGCAGATAGGCAGCTTCCACTACTGGAAACCAGTGTGATTCCAGGAAGGGGAGCGTGGCCCCCTGAGCATGTGGTGCAGACCAGGAAAAGGGCTGTTGGTGCAGAGCTGGGCGCTTTTAGCCGAGCGAGGAACCATCGTGCTGGCGGCTCAGTCTGAGTGAGGGCCACGCCCACCCATTGCAGGAGGAGTCTCCAGGAACTGGGCCCCGCCCTAGGGCTCACCATAAGTGGCAGAATCCGAATTGGAACTGAGTGTTGTTTGTATCTGGGAACAGGGAAGTGCATTTCCTGGAAGCCGCTTCTCTGCCACCCTCATAGTTTCTGTCCTGTTGAAAGTTCTGAGCTCTGTTGCTGATGGGGAGGTAAACAGTTTTCAGAGCACAGCCTGCCCAGCTGTGCTGTCTGACAGGGATGGTCTCTTTGTGGTTATGGTGGGCACAATAGCGGCCCCCAGAGATGTTCACGTCCTAATGTCCAGAAGCTCTGAATACATCAGCCTCATGGTCACGTGGAGTGGAGGTCGGAGAGGGAACTCAGGTTGCTGTCAGCTGAGGGTTATCTGGATGGGTTCAGTGTGACCCCAAGGGTCCTTAAATGTGGGAAAGGAGGCATAGGGCTGAGAGTCAGAGGGATGCAATGCAGTGGGGGGAAGGACTTGTCCCGCTTTTGCTGGCTTTGAAGGTGGAGGCAGTGGCCAGGATCCGAGGAACACCGCAGCCTCTGGAAGCCGGGCGGGGGAAGCAAGTGGATCCCCCACACTCCAGGAGCCTCCAGCAGGAAGGAAGCTCCACAAACGCCCTAACTTCAGCCCAGAGACCTGGTCAGACTTCCAGCCTGCAGCTCTGTAAGGGGAGACGTTTGTGTTGTTTGAGGCCACCGAGCCTGGTCGTCTGTGCCGGCAGCTGCAGGAGCCCAGGCCACCATCCCCACGAGGTCCGTGTGCTGTGACGTGTGCCTGGGCATTCTGCACAGGGTCCTTATTTTCTCTTCCCCTCCCCTGCAAGGTCAGTCCCGGGAGCCCAGAAGGTGCTTGATGAATGATCTGCTGCTGATTGAGAAAAGGAACAAGTGAGCCGAGCCAGTTGGCGGCATTTTTGTGATACGTGTTGCTTTTCAAATCAAAGCTCTGTGCCTCTCAGTTGGGTAGTTCTGAGAGCCAGGGTCCCCGCCCTTCTGTCCCCCTCGCGGTGGGTCCCATACCCAACAGCTTGCCAGAGCAGAGACTGGGCCCCAAGAGTGGAGTCCTGAGCCTGGAGGCCGGGCGGGCGTGCTGGCTCCAAGCCCCGCACACTCCTAGCATTCCTGCCTGCGGCACTGCTGCCTGTGTGTTCCTCTGCCTTGCAAGGAGCCCATCAGCATCTTTGGTTTTAAAAAAGAAAAGTTATTTCGGTCTTTCATCCCCATCAGTAATTTCTTCCTCCTTGTGGTTCTGATCCCGCTTTTGGCTCAGCAGCCTGGGCACAGCCTGAGCGGCGTCTGATTTAAAACCTGCGGAGACGGCAGGAGGCTGCGTGGGAGGGAGGCGTTCGGGTGCAGCACTGGGGGGATTCGGAGCTGGACAGCCCAGCCACGTTGCCACCCGGGTGACCCTGAGCCCTCTAAACGGCAGGAAGGGTGGCCAGAGCGGACTCAAGGCTGCACGTTGCAGGAGCTCAGCAATCACAACCAGGATGACACGGAAGTCCTGGGGACCCCACCCCGCCCCAGAGCCCACTGCTGTGATTTTTGCCTCTTTGGGATGAAGAGTGAAGAGTGAGAGTTCAGAGAGGATGATGGATTTCAAGGGAGGGAAGAAGGGAAGATGTTCTGGGAATTCCCTTCACCCACATGCCTCTCCCTCCCTCTCTCTCTCTCTTTTTCAATCTCTGTCTTGGGTGAGATTGCAGATAAATCTTCAGGAAAAGAAAAAAAAGATCTGTGAAGGAACCTGCAGCCCCAGTTCCCTCCGTTTCCTGTGCTGCAGAACCCGTGACCACAGGCGTGTCTGCTCACACCCCCGACCCCGAGGCTCTGTGAGTCCAAAGTCAGGCAGCTGGACTGGGTTCTCTGCCCAGGCTCTCACAGGGCTCCGGTGGAGGGGTCTGAGGCCTGGGCCCTTAGCTGCAGGCTCGGGGAGGAGTCTGCCTCTGGTCACATTCAGGTTGTGGGCAGGATTTGGCTCCCTGAGTCTATGGGACTGGCCTCCCCAACTCTTCTAGTCTCTCCGACTTCCCCTTCTGCCACCCGCCAGAGAAAAGTACTTGCTTTCAAAGGGCTCATGAGATGATGAGATTAGTTCGGTCCCACCTGATAATCCCCCTTTCACCATCAACCCTGACATTACTGTGGGGGTGATGCCAGGGGGCGAAGGTCTAGGGGGCATTGTCAGTTCTGCCTCCCTCGCCGGCCTCATATGCTCCGGCACAGTCCGCATTCAGCAGGGTGTCTGCAGCCCTCCTTGGGTTTTAAGCTTCCCTCCTACCCCATTCCATAGCCGAGAGGGGGCAGTGGGACACAGTCTCCTACAGTCCTCTCTGCAGGTCAAAGGTTGTGTGCAGTGGTTGCTCACCCTTGACTTCAGAGCCTGGTCACTTGTCGTGCGGCAGCTCTTAGGCCGTTGTGAAGAGGGAGCCAGGCCTGCCTGAGGGGACGGCACAGCCCCCAGGTGTGGGGAGAGCCAGTAGGGGTCAAGGCCCTGTCTTCCCACGGCCACTGAGGAGGCGCTCAGCAGCCCTAAAATCGCGTTCATCTCAGGACAGGGGTTTTCAGTGCAAAGGTGGTGGTGGGTTTTGATCTGGGAGAGCGCCTAGAAAACCTCTTCTGCTGCCCCACCCTTTCCTGGCCTCTGAATTTCAAGTCCAGCGGCCAGGGAATCTCAGTGTTCATCCTCCTTTACTTCTCCGTGGGAACCGTTCTCACCACCTGTCCCCCTCCGTCCCTGAAAGCATAGACTCAGCTCCGAGGACATCCTACCCTGGACCCCCGGAGCCCACCCGCCCCACTGGTGACCTGAGGCCTGCGGCTGGCTCCTCTTCTCTCCTCTCTCCCCAGCCTCTGTGCTCAGCCGTCACATGGACTCGCTCGCCAGGGCTCCCCCAAGTCTCTTCCCCAACCCCAAATCTCATGATACTTGCGTACCTTTGCCAGCTGTCTCTGCCACGGCCACACGCTCCATCGGCCCAACACTGAGTGTGTGCGCTAAGCCTTCCCTTAACTATGCTCTGCCTCAGTGTCCGTGTCTGTGAAATGGGCATCCTACAGAATTTTTCTAGGGCTTGTCCTGAGCATTTACCCATGGGATGTCAGGATGGCTGTGGTCACCGAGTAGGCTCTGTCAAGCTATAGCTGACATATGATATTTCCCCATCTCTGCTGAGACTTCCTCCTCCTTCCTCAGCCAGGTCAGACCTGACCTCAACCTTCAGGGTTCTCCCCTGCTCCCTATTCCCAGCAGGAGACTTGGCAATAGCCAGCATTAGCTAAGGTCCTGCCATGTGGCAGAGGACACAGTCAAATAACCTGCCCAGGCTCCTGGGCCCGTGTTCATGTGTGTTCAGGGCTTTAGCTGATGTGACTCAGCTCTCTGCAGTCACCTTTTGAACTGTCCCATTCAGAATTCGCCTACATCGGAATTCTTAGTATGTTTTGTTTTGTTTTGTTTTGAGACAGGTTCTCACTCTGCCACCCAGGCTGTGGTGCAGTGATGTGATCTCAGCTCACTGTAGCCTCAAACTCCCAGGCTCAAGTGATCCTCCCACCTCAGCCTCCCAAGTAACTGGGATTATAGGCACATGCCACCATGCCCAGCTAATTTGTGTATTTTTTGTAGAGATGGGGTTTTGCCATGTTGGTCAGGCTGGTCTTGAACTCCTAGCCTCAAGCCATCCACCCACCTTGGCCTCCCAAAGTGCTGGGATTATAGGTGTGAGCCACCACGCCCTGCCCTTCTTGTGTATTTTAAAACCTGCCCTGGAGGTCAGCAGGGGGGGTCCACACATCAGAAGGCCTTTCAATCCCCTCTTCAGGACGCATGGCATCATCTTCCCACTCTCCCGTGGCATCTGTGCTTATTGTCAATTTACAAAAGTAAATTTGGGACGTAGCACTTGGGGAAAAGAATGAAAAAGCTCAGTATATTATCATCTGGGACCCCTCAAAGGGCTTGGAGGAGCGGCTCCCAGCCAAGGCAGACGATCCAAGGCTGCCTGACCCGGAAGTGCTCTGTGGTCATTTGAAGTCAGCCTTAAGGTCCTTGGCCAAACCTCGGGGCCTCACTGTCTTTGTCATGGACACAGGAGACATCTGACCCCTGCCTGTTCAGTGCCCTCTGTCTGGTCATTGTCACTGCCCTTTGACAAAAAGTAACCCAGAAATGTCTGCGGCATGTGGCTCTCGTGGTGGGGGAGTGCGGGGACTGATTGGAAACGTGGAGGGGACGTTACTTGGTTGTCATCTTGAATCCCAATGTTTAGAGATTGGAGGCAAGGATGCCCAAAGCCCTGCAGTGTCCAGGGCAGTCCATCGGGAGAAATGCAGTGTCCAGGGCCGTCCATCAGGAGAAATGCAGTGTCCAGGGCAGTCCATCGGGAGAAATGGGCCACCGAGCCAGGACCTGAGATGACGTCTTGGGTATAACAGGTTCCACCCAGCTTGACAGACAGACTGAAAGATGGCACTCCTCCCATTGCAAGAAATACAAAGCTTGCCTGAGCTGGGTTGCATGAAGAAATGGACCTTGGTCTAGGGACGCCAGGGCTTTTCCTGGTCATCGAGGGCAGAAGGCAGGGCCCTGCCTCCTGAGGCCCTGGAAGCACATGCCTCCCTCCACTGGTGCTGTGTGGTGACAGCCTTGTCGCCCCAGCTGTGATGTCCTCGGTGCACACCGGGAGCAGACTGTCCACATCTACTCCAGATTCCCAGGGGAGGTTCTGATGATTGGCCTGGCTTGACACAGGTGCCATCTCATGGCCCAGCCCTCTGTAACTGGGGCGTGGGGTGAGGTGGTACAGAGGTGGTCAGGGAGCAGAGCTTCCTGTCTGCAAAGGGCAGGGGGATGTTTTCAGAGAGACTTGTAGACCAGAACGTCCAAGCTGGATTCCTGGACAGACAACAGTAGCCAACGTGACTCGACGGCTTCCCCAGGCCGGATGCTGGGGAAAGGATTTATTTAGAAGTGTGCATTCATCTTGTCCTCAGTGCAGCCCTGTAAACTCTGCTCTTGGCCCAGGGCACAGTTGAGAAAACTGAGGCTTGGAGGGAGATGGTTTGCTGCTTGGGGTTGTGTAGCTAGCGAGAGATTTAAGCTCGAGCTTGTCTTGTCTAAAGATGGACTGTTGTGTATCCTTCCTGCCTCTGTCTGTCCACGTGTGTCTCATGAACAGAGGGGACCACTGCCCATGGAATGTGGCTGGAGTGTAGAGGTCAGCATGCTCACAGGACCCTGTCCTCACCTCTCACCTTCTATCTCTCTCTCTCTTTTTTTTTTTTTTTTTTTTTTTTTGAGATGGAGTTTTCACTCTGTCGCCCAGGCTGAACTGCAATGGCACAATCTCGGCTCACTGCAACCTCCACCTCTCGGGTTCAGGCGATTCTCCTGCCTCAGCCTCCCAAGTAGCTGAGATTACAGGTGCCTACCACCACACCCAGCTAAATTTTATATTTTTAGTAGAGATGGGTTTTTGCCGTGTTGACCAGGCTGGTCTTGAACTCCTGATCTCAGGTGATCCACCCATCTCAGCCTCCCAAAGTACTAGGATTACAGGTGTGAGCCACCACACCTTGCCCCACCTTCTATCTCTTAGTTCTATAGCCCACCTCCTCCCAACCCATCCTTAAAGATTAGCTTTTGGCCTTTCAGTGTCTTAGTAAATTTCTTTGAGAAAAATCCTCTTATTTCCTTTTCCAGAAACAGTCAGAGCGCAGGATCAGAGGCCACTGGAATCTCCCCAGATGCTCCATCTTGGCTTCCTTGCCAAGCTGTACAGCATCCTCTTTCCAGCAGCCCTGCTTAAAGGTCTATTTTAAATGCTGACAGTCTGAAGCTTGTCATGCAATCTGTCACTGCCTCTCGTGAGTCCCAAAAGGTATATTAAGTGGGATTTCTAGGTTTGGCCTTTTTTTTTTTTCCTTTCAGTGTAGATTTTTCTAGGCCATACTCAGAAAACAGCTTTCAGGCCCTGCATGCTCAAATGCTGCATGTGTGAGGTGTCTGGACCGATGGCCCTCTCCTGGGACATGGGGTGAGTCGCCTTACACCCAGAGGGATGTGTCGGGTTGACAAGTTCAAGAGCCTAAGGAGCTGTTTAGTCCCACCGGCCCACTTCACAGCTGAGAAGGGGAAGGCCCAGAGATGCAAAGTGAGGAGGTCACAGCCAGCCACTGCCCCAGCCAGGGCTGTGTCCCCTGCCTCGGCAATCCCCAGCTGGAGCTGTAATCATCCAGCTTCCTGTATCTCCAACTTGCCCCATTCAGACCCAAGGAGATGACGTGGCCAACGGTGGAATATGAGCAAAGGGTCCAAGGGTGTGTGGCTTTGACCCATTCGCTCACTTTCTCCAGAGTTACTGAGTGCCCGCTATGCACCAGGCTGTGTTGTAGGATCTGGAGAGCTAGCATTGCAGTGAAATGTGAGCTGGGGAAGGAATGTTCCAGGCAGAGTTAAGCACACACAAAGGCCCTGAGGTGTGAATGAGCTCGACTTGTTCAAGAGACAAAGAGGAGGCTAACACGGCTGGGGGGACCGAGGAGGGGAGAGCGGTGGGAGATGAGCCAGGGAGCAGGCAGGGCCACGTGGTGAGCGGTGGGAGATGAGCCAGGGAGCAGGCAGGGCCACGTGGTGTCTGGCTTGTGCCATAGAAGGCAGCTTGAACGTGACTCTGGTTGCATTGGGAAGCTGTTGGAAAACGTTAAGCAGCAGAGTTGAAAATCACCTGATTTACATTTTTTAAAAGCTCATTCTATTGTCTCTATAGAATGTGTATCAGTAAAGGGAAGGGCAAGCATGGAAGCAAGGAGGCAGGAGGCTGCTGCAACAGTCCAGGTGCAAGATCATGGTGGTTCAGACTAGAGTGGTAGTAACTGCTAGCCTCCATGTATGTGGAGCACTACAAACATTGCTGAGCCCTTGCTATATGATGCACTGATCCCAGCACTGACTGGGAGGAAGGCCTGGTTGGAAGCTTGGTTTTGACGTCAAGAAGTTTCTCCATGGTTAAGGAAGCAGACAAGTCAATACTTCCCTCTTGGATGGTTGGCTTCCCTGGCTTCTTTATCACAGGCAGAGGGGTCTCCTCTGAGACACATAAAGTGCCTGCTGCTATGCTGTGTTCTGGCCATGCTTAATGGGATCCATTTCCATTGTCTAGTAGGTGGTTTTTTCCTTTTCTCCTAGAAAGTACAGCCATTCTCTCAGAGGAGGCCAAACTCAGCCTTTGCCTTGATTTTGTCTGGTCTTCCCTCCTATACTTGCTAGGACAATTTTGGTTGCTGGTGACAGAAACCCATCTCTGCCTAGGATGTACTGGCCCACAGGACTAAGAGGGCCATGGAGATGTGTATCAGTCAGCTTGCCCTATATGAAGCTGCAGTAACAAGCATTCCCCTTGGCTGCTCTGAGTGCAGCAGTGTTTACAACTCATTGATCACAACCAGTTACAGATTTTGTTTGTTCCTTCTCCATTCCCACTGCTTCACCTGACTAGCCTTAAAAAAATAAAAAATAAAAAATTCCCCAATCTCTGTGGTTTGGAACAACAAAAGTTTCTTTCTCATTCACACCTTATGCCCATCATACATCAACAGGGGGTGACTTGAGGACCCAGACTAATAGAACCACCAGCTTCTCAAATGTTTTGGTGGCCATGCCCAAGGACAAAAAGACAATGCTGGTGGGTGGGGGTCTTGCATTTGGAATTAAAACCTCCAGCCAGGAAATAACAGAATTCACTTCCTCTCAAAATTCACTGGCCAAAATTAATTTCAAGGGCCTACTCAACCACAGGAGAGCTAAGAAGTAGTGTCTGACCACATGCGCCCTGGTGGAAAGCCAGAAGTATTTGATTAGTAGCCTCAGTGACCACCACAAGCCACAATCCAGGGACTCCTAGCATCAAGGTCTTTTGTGTCCATCTCTCCCTGACCCCAGACCTTGAACTTGGTTCTGTCTTCCGCCATGAGCTGGCTTCATTGCTGGACTCACTCCCTCCCTGTGCTTTGAATGGTGGCCATAGCCCGTGTCCTTCCATCGCATCTCTAAAAGGAAGCCAAGATCACCTTTCTCAGCAGTCAGACTACAGAACATCTCAGAAAAAAAGCCACCTGTCCTTAAGTGGGCCCTGGGTCACTTACTGCTAATGACAGGGCCCAGGAGAGTCCAGCAGGATCCCTAGACCACACCCACATATGCACCCCTGTGTGCCGGGTGGGCTGCTTGGCCTCCTGAGGGTCAGCCTCACCAGGACCTTCCCATGGGGAAGGGAAGCGGCTGTGTCCCCAGAGAAGCTATGTAGCCACGGCAGTTTCTTAGCCACGCAGTGCAGCAGCACAACTATTAAATGCATTACTGCATCATTCCTAGTTCTTTCCATTGTAAACAACAGAAAGCCAAGTTTTTTTATACCACCAAGGATATGCATTTAGTTTGTACAAGTGAGAAGCCAGGCATGGCTGTGTCCAGGGTTTCCAGCTGTGTCTCTAGGGCAGTCGCCCGTCTCTCTGGGTCTCTCTGTCTCTGTTCCTGCCCTTCTTCCTCCCGAGCCCTGTGCCATCCTGCACATGGGTATCCCCCTCAGGAGGCTGGCCTCCCTCTGTGGCCTGAGGCGTGGGAACCCCAGCAGCAGGAGTAGGGCGGCATTGTCCCCGCTGTGGTCCCAGGCCCCTCCCCTGAGCCCGTCACTCACTGGGATCAAAGGGACATTCCAGCCAGGCTCCCATGGGAACTGCAGGAGCCCAGGGCTGGGCAGTCAGGTGGGGAGGGGGCAGGGTGGCATCACCTGACCACATGGCTGGAGCTGAGAAAGGGCTGGTCCCACAGAAGACAGGGAGGATGTGGCCAGCCAGGTGAGCAGGTGCATGCGCGGCTGAAGGTGTGGTCAGCTCTGAGGCAGAATTGACCTCGGGCCCCGGCACCTGGGAAGCTGACCTCTCAGCGGCAGGAAACAGCCAGCATCCTTTGTTGTCACTGGTGCACAGGGAGGCTGGTGTGGCCCCTGACCTCCTGCTCCTCCCCTCGTCTGCCTCAGGGTGTTTTATTTGTGACCCACGTTTTCACCAGTGAGATCCAGGGAGCCTTGGGAAGGGGCAGCCCAGCAGCCCTTGCCTCTCAGCGCAGTGCACAGCAAGTCCCAGGGGGCCAAGCCTGGACATGCCATGAGGTGTGCACTGTAACACTGGGGGCAGGGTCCCAAGGGCCGTCTAGCCCACCCCGCTTTTTCCAGGTTAGAAACCGAGGCTGCTGAGGGCACCTCCACAGGATGTGGCAGAGTTAAGAAGACCACCTGGATTTACACGGGTCGCTCATGAGATGCCACCTCCCAGGAGCCCTATATGGGTACTACCCCCGGAGGCTGCACCACAATGGGCTCTGCCACTTCCTGGCTGGGTGACTCACTCAAACTCTGTGAGCCTCCCCCTCCTCACCCGTAAACCAGACACAGCAACGTTACTGAGCTCAGACAGGTGAAGCACACACACCTAGAATACGTGTGGCCCCTGGTAAGTGGATCACCAACTATGGCCATTGGTTGCTGTCAGCACTGATTGTGGAGGCACAGATCTGAGGTCGGAGGCCCACACTGCTGCTGACAGACTCCATGACCTTGAGAGGCCACCTTGGGAGGCAGAGGTTTCTAATCTAATGTATGACCACGACAGCATTAGTTAACATTACATAGCACTTTCAACATGCCATGCACCATTCTAGTGCCTTACATGTATTGATTCCTCAATCCTTCCCCTTTAAGGAGGGACTGTTACTATCATCATCCTTTTAAAGATGAAATAATGAGGACTTGCAGCCAGTAAGTGGCAGAGCTGGGTTCTGAATCGAGCCAGCCTGGCCTTGGAGCCCACATCCCTTATCATTGCACTCTGCTACTTCTGTAAACCAGGGACAAGAAATCTGCTTACTTTGGGATATTGTGTGAGTACCAATTAAGGGTAAAGACTTACTTTTAATGAAATGAGATAATTTAGCAGAGCATTCCACACTTGACAGTAGATAAATGTGTCTTCTGCTGCAGTGATGATGATAATGATTACAGTGATAATGGCAATGATGATGGTGAAGAAGATGATTGTGGCGGTCATAGTGGTTGATGATGGTGGTGATGACGCTAGTGATGATGCTGGTGAAGAAGAGGATGGTGGTGCTGATGATGGTGATGGGGTCATGATGATGATTAGTGGTGATGATAGTGATGATGGTGGTGATGATGTTGGTGGTGATGGTGGTGATGATGATGATGGTGAAGAGGATGGTGGTGATGATGGTGGTGGTGTTGGTGGTGATGATGGTGATGGTGGTGGTGATGGTGTTGGTGATGATGATGGTGATGATGGTGATTGTGATGATGGTGAAGAAGATGGTGGTGATGATGATGATGGTGGTGATGATGTTGGTGATGATAGTGAAGAATGCGCTGGTGGTGGTAATGATGATGATGATAGTGGTGATGATGGTGGTGGTGATGGCAGTAATTATGGTGATGATGTTGGTGATGATGGTGAAGAAGATGGTGGTGATGATGTGGTGATGGTGGTGATGATGGTGAAGAAGATGGTGATGATGATGGCGGTGATGATGTTGGTAATGATGGTGAAGAAGATGGTGGTGGTGGTGATGATGATGGTAATGGTGATGCTGATGATGATGATAGTGGTGATGATGATGGTGATGATGGCAGTAATTATGGTGATGGTGGTGGTGGTGATGGTGGTGGTGATGGTGGTGGTGATGATGGTGGTGATGATGGAGGGTGGTGGTGATGATGATGGGAGTGGTGATGGTGATAATGATCTTGTCCCTTAGGGTCCCTTTCCTGTCCCTTAGGGACCATATCCCAGAGCCCAAGTATAACTGTTTCTGGGAACCAGGAGACAGGGAAGGCCTGTGCAGGGGGATTCCTGCATGAAGCAGTCAGAGATAATGTCCTTTTAAAGGCTTCTTTTTCTGGCCGGGTGCAGTGGCTCACACCTGTAATCCCAGCACTTTGGGAGGCCGAGGCAGGTGGATCACGAGGTCAGGAGATTGAGACCATCCTGGCTAACACGGTGAAACCCCGTCTCTACGAAAAAAAAAATATAAAAATTAGCTGGGCGTGGTGGCACGCACCTGTAGTCCTAGCTACTCGGGAGGCTGAGGCATGAGAATGGCGTGACCTGGAAGGCAGAGCTTACAGTGAGCTGAGATCGCACCACTGCACTCCAGCCTGGATGACAGAGTGAGACTCCATCTCAAAAGAAAAAAAAAGATTCCTTTTTCTTACAATTTTGATATCAGAGGGGAATTTACTGTTCTTAATATCCTTACTGAGCCAAATGTAAAACTTGGTGAATGTTATGTTAGTCTACACCCTTTTTCTCTTTGTTTAAAGTTTTGTTGGTCCATGAAACTCCAGTCTGGGACACACTGGCTACCTTACCTAGCCTAGAAATGGTTCCTTTACTGAAATAGTCTTTTTTTCTGGTAAATACACACACACACACACGCGTACACACACACGCACACATTCCACTACACACTCCTCTCTGCTTCTGGCCCCGGCCTCCGATTTCAGCCAGGATCCTGCACCAATCAGCTGGTAGCACCCAGCAGTTCCCTAGACAGCCAGCACAAAGCTGCCACATGAGGGTGTAAGGAGCAGAGACAATTAAAAGTAATAATAGCAATTAACAGCCAGTCCCTGTGGCCCTTCATTGGCATTGTGAGCTACTCTGTTTAACCCTAGGGAAAGGTGCAAGTCTCACTTGTCCCTGCACATGCATGGCCCAACATAAATGTCACAGGGATTGCCTGACCATGTGTTCCCACCTCACAGCTACCCACGTGCTGGGCCCCTCATCCAGCCTGTGGAGGCTCAGTACCCTGGGGCTCCTCCTTCGCCCCATCCCCGGGATCCTGAGGCCCTGCCCTGCTGAATTCTTCTAATCCCTGCAGTCGAGGCACGGGCCTGGCTGCCAGGCAGACTTCATAAATGATGATTGGAATTGGACCTGTGCAAGATGCTGGATGCCAGGGAGGAGGGGGGCACAGGTGTCCTCCTGCACCTGGGCATATTTGTTGCAGATGCCAAGCAAAGGGGAGGTGTGTGCAGCTTGGCTGGACCGGTGCTGGCTTGGTGAGGGCCCTGTGCACTCTGACCAATCTGATTGTGTATACTGTGTTTTTATCTGGTAATCGTGCAATGCGTCTTTTTGGTTGTACAAGGAGGGCTCCCACGGCCCTGAGCAAGGCTTTGAGGAGTGGCATTCAATGGAGTGGAGGGCAGAGGGTGCCCCTGGCTGCACTGGAGGGGCCTGCGAAGTGGAGTGTGCCCCACTCCCTGGGTGGTCATGGCAGTTAAACTATTGAATACTCGGGCAACACTTTATAGCAGGGCCTGGTACAGAGTAAGTGCTCAATAAGTGTCAGTGACGATGATGGAGATGGTGATGATGTGGCTGTTTGGGGAGTCCTGTTGTGTTTTGTAGGAGCCTCGGGGGTTTGTGGGGAGCAGTGTGGAAGGGGTGGAGACAGCTGGGAGCTTCCATGTGAAAGACTTAGCCACTGTGTCAAATTAATCCGAGGCTGCAGCCTAATGTGGTAGAAATGAAACTCTTGCTTACGTAAGAGTCCAGGGCACAGAGACCCAGCTGTTGACCCCAGGGTCTCAGAGGCCTGAGCGTTGAGCTGGCAGAAGCAAGAAGACAGAGTCGGGAGAGCACACTGGCTTCTAAAAAGCCTAAGCTTGGAAGGGACCCTTCCCACCCTGCTTGTGCTCACATCTCAGTGGTGAGAACTAGTCACGTGGCCACATCTGGGTTCAAGGGAGGCTGGGAAATGTAGTCCTGGGCTCAACACCTGCCTCCTTTCCTGCCCTCAAGGGCAACACCACACTGCTGGAAAAGGGAAAGGGTTCTTGGAACATGTGCTTTTGGTGAACAGCTGGCTGCCTCTGGGCACATGAAAGGTGTGGAGACCTTTCTCAATTCCCTTATTTACTTTTGAACTGCAAATGTGCATTTTGGGGTTTGAGTGGAAGAAAAAATGATTTCACCTCAGAATTTGGGATGGAGGAGGCTAACAACAGAGAAGGTTGTTTACAGAGTTTAGATTAAACTTTGGGCCATTTTCCTGAAGTCAGTTGCATAATTTCTTTGGATGTTTTGCAGGGCTTAGGTAGGAGATCATGCAGGAAATCCTGTTTGGGAGGAAAGTAAACAGGAACTCGTGAGCTGCTATGTTTTATGTCTTTTTGTTGTGTGTGTGTTTTTTTTCTCCCTCCAGCACTGAGCTATCCATTAAATCTAATTACATCACTCATATCATTTCCCATGAAATTTATGTCTCAATCTGCTGAGTAAGGGGAGCAAGCAGAGGACTTAATTAGAAATGTTAATCATGTGGGTTTGGTGCTTTTTTTTTTTTTTAGGAGAAAGGAACTATAATCAGGAAAATGACAATAAATGTTCTTTCTTTCCCAAATGGCAGTTGTCTGCAGGTTTTCAGTTTTGCTGGAAGGCTCAGCAGCACCACGGCAGAATGCTGTTCTAGTGGATTCCATGAGCCAAGCGGGCTGCCCTGTTGGGGTCTGAGCTGGCCTGGCCCTCTCATCTTTGCAGGCTGCTTCCTCCTGCCTCCTCTGTGAGCTGAGGCCTGTGGGACTCTGCCTCCCTTAGGGAGTAGTGCTCCTGACTCTTCAGTAGCCAGCATTGAGGTGCACATGCATTCCCCAAATTTCACAAAGTTGAGCCCCAGAACCAGGCCTCATTTTCCTCCAGACTCTTCCCCAGGACAGTGCATCTCACATTTTGGGGAGTAGGTGAGAGGGCCCACCAGCCTCATGTGCTGTGGGTTCCGCGTTCGGGGACCATGACTTTTCTGAATGGTGTTTCTCTTCCCTCTCTGTACAGAAACCCGCGCTGACCGCAGCAAGAAGCTTTTCAGGCACTACACCGTGGGCTCCTATGACAGCTTCGACACTTCCAGGTAAGACGCGCTGCTTTCTCTTCCAGGACCCTCTGGTCAAAGCTGTTCGTCTGTGCTGCAAATGCTTTGGACCATCTTGCATGCAGCTTTCAGGCCCCTCGTGTCTGCCTCCCTGTGCCTGTTACCGGGCTAGGACTATGGAAGCCACCATCTCCTGGAGCCCCTGCCTGAGAGGTGTACTTGGTGCCACCTTTGGTTTGTGTCCAGCCAGAGCACACCTGTGTGGTGGCCCCAGGGAGAGGGCTGGGTAGCATTGTTTTTGCGAAAGCATGCAAATGTCAAGGATGACGGCAGTGGGCCACAGGAGCCTTGAGGCAGTATTGGGGCAGCAGCATCCCCCGGGGGAGTATTTCGGATGCCTCAGGTCTGGGTTTCTGCCTTCTCTGTGGTCCTCGGGTTCTCATCCATTCCTGCCACTTCTGCTTAGGTGGAATGGCTGTGAAGGAAGGGGGCAGGCGAGCCACCAGGTAGCCAGATCTTCTAAGCACAGCAGGTTTGAGTTCGTCTGATGTGTGGAAAGAGCCCTGCATCTTTGACAATGTGACTGGCACAGGCACGTGGTTGGATTTTTCTGCAGAAACCACACCTGTGTGTCACCAGCTGTGGGGAAGTCCTTGGGTCTCTGTGGGGAGGTTGAGGCTGGGGGGTGCCTGCAGGGGAGGTTGAGGCTGGGCAGGGGAGGTGTCCTGCTGGCCCCGAGTGTGGGGAAAGGCCCCTCCACGTGGGGAGCCCCAGATAGAGGGTTCTTCCTGGATGTTGAAGCTCAACAAGGGCCAGTGTGTGAGGTAGAAAAGAGAAGGAGGTGCAGGTGCAGGCCCCGGGGATGTGAGGGTCCTGTGCCCGGCCCTGCTGGCTGAGGAGCCCCTTCTCAGAAGCTGACCCCACTCATCTCCTGCAGAGGTGGGAGGGTCCGGAAGCCCTACGCTGGGTTCTTCCCCGACCTCCAGGATATCTGTGATGAGCAGCCCAGACCCCTGCACTCGACTCTTAGACCTGCCTGTGGAGGGATCCAACCTGGGTTAGCTGATTGATTTGTTTTTGTTTGTCTGTTTTGATTGAAGTAAAATGTACGTAACCTAAAACTTACCATTTTAAAGTGTACAATAAGGTGGCAGTTAGTACGTTTACGATATTGGGCAACCATCACCACTATCTGCTTCCAAAACATTTTGTCACCCCATTAGCAGTCACTCCCACTCCCATTGCCCCTCGCACCCACCCACCTGCTTCTGTCTGTGGGCTCTGCCTGCCTCGGTGCTGCGCGTAGATGGAATCAGCCGCTACGTGATCTTTCATGTCTGGCCTCTTCCACGCTGCATCATGTTTTCAAAGTCTATCCACATGGTGGCACATACCAGTACTTCATTCCTTCCCCGCCCCCAATTTTTTCTTATTGTGGTAAAATACATGTAATATGAAGTTTCCTATTCCGACCATTTGTTAGTGAATCACTAGTTTAGTGGTATTAAGAACATTCACAGTGTTGTGTAGCCAACACCACCATCCAGCTCCAGAGCTCTTTTGTCTTGCAAAGTTGGAACTCTGTCTGCATTAATGCAAACTCCCCACTCTACCTCCCTCAGACTCCAGCTCCCAACCTGTCTACTTTCTGTCTCTATGAATGTGATGACTCTAGGAACCTCAGATGAGTGGAATCCCGAAGTATTCATCTTTCTGTGACTGGCTTCTTTCACTGAGCGTAATGTCTTCAAGGTTCATTCGTGTTGTAGCGTGTCTGGATTTTCTTCCCTTTTTTAGGATTGAATAATGTTTCATTGTATGGACGGACCACATTTTGCTCATCCCTTTATCCATCAGTGAGCACAGGTTATTTCCACCTTTTGGTTGTTGTGAATGGTATTGATTGCTGTTGATATTTGCATGCAAGTATGTGTGTGCACTTAGGAGCAGAATTGCTCATTGGACTCAGTTATAATGCTGACCTGTCCCAACCGCTTCTCTTGTAAATGAGGTGTGCTGTAAAAGGAATGCCATAGCCAGGAGAGGAGCCAAGACCCCTCCAGGGAATGTCACAGACTTTCCAGGTCTTGCTACACTCGCCCACTTTGTGACCTTGAAGCCCAAGTGTGATCCATGGCCTGGCCACAAACGCAGCCCTAAAGGCAGGTCAGGGACTGACCACAGCTTCTCCTGATGAGCCTTTATTTGAGCCAGATGAATTGTTTCTGCAGCAGCAGAAGGCTGCCTGTAGAAGTGGACCCTGGGCAGGTGGTCATAGTCAGTGGGCCTATCACACTGTGATAGGATCTGTGATAGCAAGCAGAGTCTGCACAATGATACATAGTGCCTGAGTCTCCCCACAGAGGAGCAGAGGAAGGACCTGCCTGGGAAGAGAGACATCTGTGGGCAAAGCTGGCTAGGGTGTTGTAGTAAAGGTGTGACACATGGCTAACAGCAGGGCCAGAAAATACCAGGGACATGGGCTGGAGTTCAGCCAAGAGAAGACTTGCAGAACTATTGTGGCTGTTCAGGCTGCCTCAGGAGGTAGTGAGCTCCCCATACTAGAAGGAGCCAAGCAGGGCTGAGGATTCTCTTGCCAGAATGTCACAGAAGATTGGACTGGATGACCTCCAAGATCCCCACCAACTCTGCATCCCTGTTTTGGTGTCCAGTCAAGGGCTTTTGTTTTACATGTGTACTGAACACCTGTTCTGCCAGGTCCTGGGACCTCACCTCAGAGAGGAGGAACATGCAGACCACACTGGGGTCAACTGGTAGCTTCTAAGCAAATGGTGAAAAAGCTTCAGCCTTGATCAGAGTTAGGAGTCAGCTCCAGTACTCCCATGGCGAGGGATCAGACAAGCTGTGGGCCTCATGTGACCCTGTGGTTCATTGAAAGAAACAAGAGTCACAACAGCCCTGCTTATCCACTCCTCCCGTGCGCCACCCACCCTGCATGGAGCACAGCCCTGTTCATAGCTGAGCCTCCCAGCAACCTGGTAACGCAGGTGTTACATTCCACCTGCTAGAGGGACACTGATGGAGGGAAAGGAAGGCCAAGTTAATGAGCATCTGAGCCTGAGTATGCGGCCTGATCTGTGGGCAGTAGAGCCCTGGCATTCAGGCCCCACCCTCCCGCGGTGAGGATGGTACTGCCCAAAGCCAGCCTGGGTTGAGGGAAACTGACGAGGAGGAGGGCCAGTGTTTCTTGTGGTAACAGTCAGCACCTCCCAAAGCATTGTTGGGAGAGATGCACATAGATGGAATCAGCCACTACGTGGTCTTTTGTGTCTGGCTTCTTCCACTCTGCATCATGTTTTCAAAGTGCATCCACACAGTGACACACACCAGTACTTCATTCTTTCCCCACCCCCCCATTTTTTCTTACTGTGGTAGAATACACATAATATAAACTTTCCTATTCTGACCATTTTTAAGTGAATCACTAGTCTAGTGGTATTAAGACATTCACTGTGTTGTGCAACCGACACCACCGTCCAGCTCCAGAGGTCTTTCATCTTGCAAAGTTGGAACTCTGTCTGCATTAACGCAAACTCCCCGCTCCACCTCCCTCAGACTCTGGCCCCCACCTGTCTACTTTCTGTCTCTATGAATTTGATGACTCTAGGAACCTCAGATGAGTGGAATCCTGACGTATTCAGGATGATGGTATTATCGTTGTTCATCCCTGACTGTCTGAGCTGGTTCATAACGGGTGCAGGGTTAGCCTGAGGGAGGCCACCCTGCCCAGGACCAGCAGAACTGGCCTCAGCTAGACTGTGAACCTATTAGCATGGCAGGGTGGACAGGGGGACAGGCAGTGCTGACAGAGGGTGGGCAGCACGGATGGAGGGTGGGCAGTGCAGGCAGAGAGCGGGCAGTGTGGAAGGAGAGCAGGCAGCATGGAAGGAGGGCAGGCAGCATGGGAGCTTGTGGACAGAGATGAGTAGGTCTTGTGCACCCCTGTAACCCTGGAATGGCATAACTCTGGAGTGGGTGTGGAGTGAGAGGCTGACTGCCAGCTTCTCCAATGGAGCAGGAGGAGCATCTGGAGGCCATGGTCACCAGGGCATGGGTGCAGAACAGCTTGTAGCTCACAAACCCTTGTTGGCATTCATGTTGCAAGTAGACTAATGAGCAGCAGAAACCTGGGTGCAGTGCCAGCCCTGTGGGCCAATTATCCACAGTAGGCTGTGGGGTCACAATCTGGGCAGACAGCACAGGGCTGAGGCCACCCCACTGCCGATGCAAGTGTAATGAGAGAAAATGCCATGGGAAGTGAGACTCAGTGGAGACATTTTCTGAATCAGTCAGGAGGTTTCTCCCCTTCCAACCTCCTCTTATGTCAAAAACTGCTCAGAGTCTCAGAGCTGGAGAGCCAAATGTTGAAACACACCAATTCATTAGTGAACATATTCAGCTGTTCCAGCCAATTCCCTCCCTGGGATTCCCCTCCACTCACCCGGAAAACAGTGAGAGAAGGATCTAGAAATGGCCACATTAATTAAGGTCAAACAGCAGAGGCCCTAAGGGCCATTTCTACTTGGGACTTTACAGATATTTCAATGTCATTTTTAAAAACATGTCTCCACTCAGGGAATGGGAATCTTAAGTTCCCACTCCTCGTTAACCAAATCCCCAGCCTCATCATGGGATACTCCAGAGAAATCTACCTGGTGGGATGGGGGAGAACTCAGGGTCTCACTTTAGGCTGAACGGACTCCATTTATACATCCATCCTTCCCGCCATCCACTCACTCAGCCATTTATCTTTCTATCACTCATCTATCCACCTATTTATCTATCCACCCAGTCACCTGTCCACCTGTCCGTCTATCCACACATCCATCTATCCATTCATCCATCCATGTATGAATCCTTCCATCCATATGTATCTCTTCATCCATCCATCCACCCATTTATCTGTTCACTCCCCCGTCCATCCACCTACCTACCCACCCATCCATCCACCCATCCACCCAACCACTGCATTCATCTGTCCATCTGTTTAATGAATATTTATCAAGATCTGACTATTCTGGGAGCTGAGGATATAAACAAGACAAGCACATTCTTTGACTTCAAGTAGATTACAGTCTAATTAGTAAAGGTACACAATAAAGTTAACAAATGAAGCAGAGGATCTCACTTTGTAGTTAATGCTATGAAGCAGATGAGTGCTGTCATAGAATCCTGGGAGGTTGGGTCATGCCGGCTTTATGTAGGGATGCCAGGGAGGGAGTGTCTCCCTGAAGAAGTGACTTTTGAGTTGAAACACAAAGATTGAGGAGGAATCACCCCTCAAGAGAAGGTTCAGCAAGTGCAGAAGCACTGGGGTGATGAGAAGATTCGACACTGCAGGAATAGCCATGGCCTAGAAGAGATTAGAGGCAGTAATGTCAGAGAAAGACCTCGTGCTTCATGAAAAGAGTTGGGTCTTCTCGCACTTGCAGTGGAGGCATTGGAGGGCGTTAGGCAGAAGAGACATCATCTGAATCACTTTTCTGGAGGAAAGCAGATGGCAGGATGGATGGAAACCAGTGAGGAGCCCATTGCCATTATTCAGGCCAAGCAACAATGGTGGTTGGGGCTGGTGGAGGAGGTGGGGTAGAGAGGTGGATGGAACTGAGGGGTAGGATGGAGTTAGATTGGATAGGGGCATGGACATGGAGGTGAGGAAGAGCATGGAGGACTTAGTTCTCACCTTCTCTTCGTTTTTGCCGGGAGGAGCTCCCAGAGGCACATCCTTACTGGCAGCAAGGTCTGCTCAAAAGGAACATGTCCATTAATGCCACTCAAGGAAAAGGTTTAAGAAGGTGCTGAGCATCTGTTTTTTGTTCTCCCTTAGAGAAAACCAGTTTTCTCTTAGAGAGCGAATTAGAAGGATGGCAAAGTATGCCTGCTCACCATTGAATATCCACTGTCCACAGCTCCCTATTTTCATGGCTTTCGAGCCTCACAGCCCAATTTTTATCTTTTCTAAATCAGTAATAAGAAATACATATACCTGGTTTAAAAATTCAAGATATGCAGGAAATTGATAGAGTGTGAAGAGTAGGTCTCCCATCTTTGCCTTCTGGTCCCCAAGTTCTTCTCCCTAGAGAGAATCTCTGTTGCTGGGTTCCTGAGGCTCTTTCTAGAGAAGGGCCCTGCAAATAGAAGCATATATGCATGTTATCTGAAGCGTTCTAAAGACGCTGAGAAATCACCGGTCCTAAGTTATCTCTCTGGCTTTCCAGCTAAGTCACTATGCAACCTTGGGTAGCTCGCCTCCCCTCCCTGAGTCTTCAGTTCCTGTTGTTTGCAAAGTAGAGCTGCTTCCAACTCATTCTGTATCTCCAGTTGTGTTCGTGTTAAGGATGAATGAGAAAATATGTTTAGTACTTGCAGCTCCTAAGAGGCATGTGCTATATAAATCCAGAGGGGTGCTGAGTTGTGAGCAGTGTGTGTGGGTAGCTGGCTTTCCTTTGAAACCCTAACTCTGCGCTCTAGAAGACTGCCTCAGTGTGTAGGTTGTAAGAACTGAATGGCAAGAAACATTGATTTCCCTCATTCTTCCTCCGCCATTATTTTGTATTTTTATATATTTTTTCTTATTTCTTAGACTTGAAAAGAAGGCTTTATCCCTGAGTATGTCTACTGTCTGGACACAGAAGGAAGCACACCCCATTTGTTCCTTACTCTCAACTGAAGGCTGGGCCTCGCAGTTAATTTGGAAGCCCCCATGGCGGCTTCTTTGAGGCATAGTTTGGGGCAGGGCAAGAGATTATTTCACTGTTTATTTCATACATTTTCTGTATTTTTATTTTTTTACTATTTATTTATTTATTTTTGAGACAGAGTTTTGCTCTGTTGCCCAGGCTGGAGTGCAATGGCATGCTCTCAGCTTACTGTGACCTCTGCCTCCCTGGTTCAAGTGATTCTCCTGCCTCAACCTCCTGAGTAGCTGGAATTACAGGCATGTGCCACCATGCCTGGCTAATTATTTTGTATTTTTAGTAGAGACGGGGTTTCACCATGTTGGCCTGGCTGGTCTCGAACTCCTGACCTCAAGTGATCCACCAGCCTCAGCCTCCCAAAGTGCTGGGATTACAGGCGTGAGCCACCGCACCTGGCCCATATTTTTATTTTTATTTTTGCAAGTATATAGTTCTTTTGTAGTTTTTTGAAACAGAGAGGTATTTCTCTGGGCATAGGCAAAGGAAGGCATCACAACCACAGATGGCCCAGCTCTTCCTTTGCGCTCTCCCAGCATGGTAAAGATGGTGGCCGGAACCAGGTCTCCATTTGGGTGAGCCATTTCTCCAGGGAGTACTGCTCTTCTCTGTGGTCTCTATTGTGATGGACAGCCCTCCCAGTGCCTAAACGGGGGACCTGAGTGTCCCCCTCCTCATTCTCCCTTGCCTTTCTCCCTCCTTCCCTCCTTTAGTCCATCACAAGGGTCAAGGAGTCCTGTCTTCTCCTCGTCCTCCTGCTGTTTCCCTGGGCTGGCCCCTTGGCTCTTGTCCATGTTCTCTGTTCCCCTTAGCACCCCACAGTCCGGCTGCCCCAGGGACCCCTCCCCTCATCCATTCTCAGTGAACTCTCAGTTTCACATTTTTCCTCCCTCCATAAATTTTCATCCAAGTACTGCATGCATGTAATGAAAGTAATTAATTAAACTACAGAGATAGGGCCAAGAGTAGAAATAAATTATTATGTGCCCACTCTGACCCAGCCTCATCCACACAGCCCCACTTGGCAGAAAAAAAAGTTTTTAAATTATGTCTGCTTCATTCTTCTGGTGGGTATCTTCCCAACGTGATGATTACTCCCGTATTTCTTAATTTTAAAATGTGAAACATCCTTGACACATTGCTGGAAAAAATGAGGCTTTCATAGTTTGACCCTCACCTCCAATTTTGAATAGTTCTTGCCAGTATGCTAATGGATTACCTTTAAATAACATTCTTAAACTTCTCTCTCTTGTTTAATACATTTTAGACACTATCACTCGACCCTTTGGTATATTTATATTTATATTTATATTTATATTTATATTTATATTTATATTTATGGGTTCTAAGTTTTGTCTCCAAGTTGGACTCAGAAGTTAAAAAACAGTGGAGGGTGAGCACAGTGGTTCACATCTGTAACCTCAGCACTTTGGGAAGCCAAGGCAGGAGAATCGCTTTAACCCAGGCATTCGAGACCAGCATAGACACCAAAAAAAAAAAAAAAAAAAAAAAAAAAAAAAAACATGGGAAGTATTACATTATGATGATAATACAAATGGGGTTAGTATTCCAATTCCTCTTTACAGACCTATGAGAAGAAGGGTACTAATAGTATCACAACCCAATGAGTTTTTTTTCCACTCTATCAGTGTTTCAGAGTAATTCTACATTTCAGCTTAATATTAGGATCATGATTTTCACATGAAGATTTTGTTTTTCCTGGAGTTTCTGATTGCCTTTTTTTTTCTCGTGGGAGAAAAATTATGGCTTCTTGAGCATACCACTAAAATATCATTCTTTTTCTGATGTATCACTGGAATCTGTCCTCTTCTTGTTGGAGTCCTCTGACATTCTGCTCCAATTTGAACTCCAGCTCTCAGTACACGACGATCATCCTGCAACTTCACTTCACTGAGCTAGTGGATACGTGAGTTGCTTCTTTTCTTTGCCCTTATTCTGTCAGGATACATCCTCCACTTCAACAAAAGGTATCTGGAATGTAACCTCCCTGTCTGGAAATTCCCTAGTTATCAAATGTTCTCCAGGTTGTAGAACTCCAGTTTCAAAACTCTCCAGGCATTGCTTCATCACCATCCCGTCTCTACTCATGGCTTAGAGCCTTGCTGACTTGTCCTCTGTTGTCAATTTTTGAGAGAGGAATGCTGAAATTCTCCAATATTATTGTGTTTGTCTATTTTTTCTTTTCAGTTCTCTCGGATTTCGCTTCATGTATTTTGAAGTTCTGATGTTAGGTTTGTACTCATTCAGGACTGTTTTGTCTTCTTGGTGATGGTCCTAGGCCTGGAAGTTCAGGTGTCTGGGGGTTCTGTTCCCAGTTCTGAATTGATCTTTTTCTCATTATTCAATGTTCCTGTTTATCCCTGGCAGGTGAGAATTGCCAGTAAGAAGTTATAGCACTGTCTGATTCTCATTCCACTGTAGGTAGCGACCCTTTATTTTCCTCCCTAGAAGTTTGTAGGAATGTCATATTTTCTACTTTTTCTTAGTGTTCTGAAATCTGATGGTGGATGTGAGTGTGCGCTTCCTTTGCACATTGAGCTCATTGCTCTGGAGACCCCTCCAGACTGAAGCAGCTTCCACTTCAAGAAGGTATTTTATTACCTCCTTGACAATTCCATCGCTTCCTCTTTCAGTTCAGCCTTTCTGGATTTCCTCTATTAGACCATTTACGTTCTCCCCATTTGTCACTTATTCTTTCTCAAGATTTTTTTCTTTGCCTTCTTGCTCTGTATTCTGGGAAATGTCCTTAACTTCCAACCTGTCTATGTAAGTTATTATTTTGTCAATCACACTGTTACTGTCCAAGAGCTTTTCCTTTCAACAATGGGATAAGCTTCTAAAGCTTGAGAGAAGTGGTTTCCGGATCTCTTTGTGAACAAACCAGCCAGCCAGGTATGGGCAGATCTCTGCACGTAACTGCTCTCACGGCAGAGCTCAGGTGAACTGCACGTTCCTCAGGTCAAACACCAAAAAGAGAGGCTTAGAGACATGCTCCTGGCCCCACTCCCACCAGAAGTTCTAAGCAAAGATAGACATAGGTTCTCATGCATACCTATGGGACAAGTAGTAGGATCCAAATTGAAAATTGAAGTGCTGGTCTGTTTATCTTGAAGTGAGTTGCACAGGTGGCCAGGTGATAGAGCTGTGGTGGGGAGACATGGTCCCAGGAGCGCAGTGTCCCTGCCGAGTCATGAAAGGGGAGGAGGCTCTCTGATGGGAAAGGGGGCAGTGAGGCACAAAGGGCCTAGACTCATGAGTTAGACAAGCCCGTGTTCCCTCCCAGCCTCTCCACCTGCCAGCCCCATGACAAGATCATCCACTCTCAGCTCTGCCTGTGCCATCTGCAAATGAGCATTTGTGATTCTGCCTCTGTCACGGAGCTTTGAGATTCAGATTTCTTAGATATCATCTGTGAAATATATAATTTCAAAGAGCCAAGCATAAAGCTGACACTTGCTATGTTTCCTGGGTGCACAGTGGGTCATGAGTCTCTTGGGATGGCCGGGGCTGCTGGCTTGGCTGGGCCAGGCCTGGACTCCTCCTTCTCCAGTACTCAGTGATGCGAAATTAGGTGCACGAAATTAGGTGTGCTCCGACCTGGCCACGGCCAACTTCCCCTTGCAGTTTTATGACGTCAAGCACCTGACTTGGGGACTTTGGACCTTGGCCCCAGACCAAGGTGAGGGTAGGTTTTTCTGGCTGGAGGTACGCTCAGACCCTCTGAAAGCAGTTGGATGGGTTCTGAGGGTGGAGAAGGGGAGGGGCCTCCTCATGCCCTGCAGGGGGGATCCAGCTCAGCAACTGTTCTGCATTGGGGCTGGGCGCACTTGGTCTTCAGGTTGGGGTAAGTGGCTCCAGGACCACTCTGGCTGGAGAGCAGGGAGGCCAAGCTCTCAGCAGCCTGGACACCCTCATGACGGCCTTTTCTGTGGGGCCAGGCAGGAAGGTCTGGCTGCTTTGTTCTGGACCCAAGTCCCCTGCTTTGGGGCTGGGAGCTGAGTTCCTCACCACAGGGAGGCTCCTGGCTCAGAGCAGCCTCAGACCACGTTTAGTACATTTCCCAGGTGGCGAGTGGGTGGATGGTGGGGACACCGGTGGTGGGTGGGGCCATCGGAGCAGCAGCAGAGGAGGGCCTGGGGGGCTGGGATTCAGCACCTTCAGGCAGGGCCCCACTGAGGGCACTCCCAGAGGCCTGCCTTGCTCCCCACCTGGATGGGGCAGGGGCCCCCAGAGCTCAGGAGCTCTGTAGCTGCGCAGGAATCTTCTGTCTCCTAAAATCCCTGAGCCCCGCCGGCAGGCAAAGGAGAGGAGTTAGTCATGTTCTCTCTGGAGCTGTTCTGACAATAGCTGCCAAAGCTGACCTCTGCCTCCACACCGCCCCCGCCCACCCCCCTACCCCCACACTGTACCTGGCCCCTCTCGTGCTCCTGTCTTATATCCACCTTGATTGGTAGCATTTACTGATTTCAGTGGTGTAAATTGCCCCACAATGGCCCATTCCGAGCTGCCAACGTGAGGTCACTGAGCAAGCTGGAAAGAGGCGCCCACAGTCAGCCCTGGCAGCTCCTAAGAGCCAGCTTCGGCTCATCCCTGGGCAATATCCGTGCCTCTGCACCCCTGCTCCAACCTTGTGCTCTGAGTCGGGGTCTTACACAGGGTAATGAAGTGTGCTGATCTGAAGCTCCAGCAAGCAGGTTTCAAGCCTGATAGGCCTAGGCCTGGGAGTTCAGGTGCCAGGGGTCCTGGTCCCAGTTCTGACATCACCTTCCTGCACGGGCCTTAGTTTCCCCATTTGTAAGATGGCTACATTGTAAAATGCCTACATCATTGCTGAGATCTCTTGTGAATATAAAATTCTACACATTGGGCCTGAAACTGCCATAACCACTGGCCAGTGGTCACCATGAATGAATGCGCTTTAGACAAAACTGCAAACCCTGAGACAGGCTGGGCAGGGTTGGGATTCCAGGGCCTGACCCAGAGTGGGCAGAGGTATCCAGAGGGCAGCCCAAGATGGGCAGGAGTGCTCTTAGTTGGGGTCCAGACAGGGGCCATCAGTGGCATACAAGGCCAAGGGGTGCCTCTCCAGGGAGCAGATGAGGAGACTGGTTCTGGAGGGGTACCCAAGGCTGTGCCTGGGAAGCAGCAGGTTTTCGGGAAATGCTCACACTGATCCCCGCCTCTGCCCAAAGCCTGGTGCTCTGGGCCTTCCTCCAGGAAGCAGGGAGGTGTCTTTGGTGCCTGACTTGTAGAGCTAGAGTGAGAAGCAATCAGACCTCCCTGACTCAACATTACCTGGGCCATGCAGGACTGCCTTTTCTCTGCCCACCCCTGTCCTTCTACACCTGTGTCTCCTCCAGATAGGACCAGGACTGACTGACTTGTCTCCTTCTCCCTGGCATCTGGCACAGGGTCTGGCAAATGTCCAGCTCTCAGAGAATGGAGAGTTGAGTGGAGAGAGAGGTGAGAAGATGGATGGATAGACAGATGATGGATGGCTGGAAGGAAGGAAGGATAGATGGGGAGCTGGATGGGTGTGTGGATGGGTAGATAGATGAATGGATGGATGGGTAGATGGATGATGGATAGATGGAAGGATGGATGGATGGATGAATAGATGAGGGGCTGGATGGGTGTGTGAATGGGTGGATGAGTGGATGGATGGGTAGATGGATGATGGATAGATGGAAGGAAGGATGGATGGCTGGATAGATAGGGAGCTGGATGGGTGTGTGGATGGGTGGGTGGGTGGGTGGGTGGATGGATGGATGGATGGATGGATGGATAGATGGATGGGTGGATGAGTAGATGGATGGATGGAAGGAAGGAAGGGGAGCTGGATGGGTGTGTGGATGGGTGGATGGATGGATGGATGGGTAGATGGGTGATGGATAGATGGATGGAAGGAAGGAAGGAAGGAAGGGGAGCTGGATGGGTGTGTGGATGGGTGGGTGGGTGGGGGCATGGCTGGATAGGTGGATGAATGAATGGGTAGACAGATGGATGGATGAGTGCATGGGTGGACCCATGGATGCATGGATGGGTGAGTGGGTGGGTGGCTGACTGAATCTGTGACTTGGGGTAAGGGTGGGGACCAAAGTTGGGCAGTGTGCTCAGACCTCTCTATAGGCAGTACTTGGTACATTGTCAGCACTCAATAAATTTTCACTTCATGGGAAGGAGAGGATAGCATGGCCCCAGTGAGAAGGAGACTTGTGTCCCCAGTGCCAAGGAGTATGTCATGAAAAGTGCTCAGGGCAGTCTAAGGAGTTGAGACTGCCCCCTGTCCTCCCTAGGGCTCTGCTGCCCCGTTCTCTCCAGGACAGAATGAAGCACTGGGCACCTGTCCCCATGCTTAGGATTACAAAGAGATGCAGCCCATCCAAGTCTTCGGGAGGGTCCAGCTTGGAATCTGCTTCCCTCTCTTTCCCTGTCAGGGAGCTTGGTCAGATGGGTCAGGACTAGAGGCTGCACTCCCAGGCCCTGCCAACCAACAAGCAGGGCTTAGCTCTTCAGGGCATGTGCTGATTAAAACCTGACTCTACTGCCCCCAAGGTCAAGGTGGAGGCTGGCTCGGTGGTCTAATGCCTGGTATAACAGCTGGCACCATGTGTCCCAGGTCCCCTGGCCTGGAGTTGGCCCCGTGGAGCTCTGAGGCCTCCAAGATGAGTGAAGGGGAGGAGCCAGGAAGATGGCAGCTCTTTTCTGGGCGGCAGGAGGAGGGTGGAAAAAGCGAGTTCAAAAGCAGATTGGAAGAGAGGGGCCCAGACTGGAGGTTGGGAGCTTTTTTCTTTCCTGGGTTTCATTTGCCAGTTTTTTGTTTTTTGGGGGTTTTTTCGCCAAGCCTCTGGGACTGTCAGATGGGAAGGCAGGGATTAAGGAACTGGAGTCCTCTGGCCACACCATCTGGGGGAA
The DNA here is from genome assembly GCF_000001405.40 of Homo sapiens. Classification (NCBI taxonomy): domain Eukaryota; kingdom Metazoa; phylum Chordata; class Mammalia; order Primates; family Hominidae; genus Homo; species Homo sapiens. Next base: position 70,685,074 of record NC_000011.10, on the reverse strand, counting down.
TGGCTTGGACTGAGGTCAGGGACCTCAGGCAGGGACTAAGGTGGTGTTGGGGTCAGGCCTTGCCCAGGGTCCTTTGCCTCACCTTTCTGCAGCACAGCATTCCCACTGCCAAAATGCACAAAGTAATTGTCCTGCCTCTTTTCCCAAATTATCCTCACCTTTGCATTTGAGCCAAGAGGGATCTCTGGAGTCCCTTCTTCTTCCTAAAGGGTACACTGAGGCAGAGTGAGGCATGTGACCTATCAGAAGGGCTGCAGCCGGTCAGACAGGGCAGGGCTGGGACCAACAACGCTCACTGGATTGGCAGGGCCAGGGGCACTGTCCCTGGCCCTGAGTGTGACTCAGGCACTCACTGAGTCACACTGAGTGACGGACAGGGGCCAAGGGTTTACCTGCTCCCACCTTGACACTCTTTCCACAGCCTGTGCTTCCTGGGTGAAGGGAGTGTGAGATACCAAACCGGATTCTCCTAGGAAACCAGAGAGTATGCCTTTGGGGTGGGGGTAGGGGGCTAAGAGACAGGGTTTCCCTCTGTCGCCCAGGCTGGAGCACAGTGGTGCAATCATAGGTCATTGCAGCCTTGAATTCCTGGGCTCAAGTGATCCTCCCACCTCAGCCTCCCAAGTAGCTGGGGCCACAGTACAGGTGTGCACCACCACACCTGGCTAATCTTGTGTGTGTGTAGAGATGTGGTCTCTCTAGGTTGCCCAAGCTGGTCTTGAACTCCTGGCCTCAAGCAATCCTCCCACCTCTGCCTCCCATACTGCTGGGATGCATGCGCCGTGCCCAGCCAGGAGTGTGCCTTTGAACCTTCATGGTTTCAGGCTCTGGGAGCCATTTTTCACACTTCAAGGGTGATGACTGGGTAGGGGGACGGGGACAGTGAAGACCCTGGGAGAGGGGCCGTGGATATGAAGAGTGAGTAGCAGGGACAGGGACCCAGGTCTCTCTCTCTCTCTTTTCATTCATTTATTCAAAACTATGCATCCAGGGCCAGGTGCAGTGGCTCACGCCTGTCATCTCAGCACTTTGGGAGGTGGAGGCAGGTGGATCACTTGAGGCCAGAAGTTCGAGACCAGCCTGGCCAACATGGTGAAATCCTGTCTCTACTAAAAATACAAAAATTAGCTGGGCGTGGTGGTGTAGGCCTGTAATCCCAGCTACTTGGGAGGCTGAGGCACGAGAATCGTTTGAACCCAGGAGGCGGAGTTTGCAGTGAGCCAAGATCACGCCACTGCACTCCAGCCTGGGCAACAGAGGGAGACTCTGTCTGAAAAAAAAAAAACAAAAAGGAGATCATGAAGCTAGAAGAGGAGAAAGCCACATGACCACAGAGGCAGAGATTAGAGAGATTGACCCCAAGACAAGGAATGCCTGCTGCAGCCACCAGAAGCGGCAAGAAGCAAGGAGGGTTCCTCCCCTGGGGCCTCCTGAGGGAGCGTGGCCCTGCCGATGCCTTGATTTCACCACAGTGGTCATGCTGATACTGCACCTCTGGCCTCCAGCGCTGTGAGAGAACCCATTTCTGCTGTTTAAACCACCCGGTTTGTGGCAATTTGTTACAGTGTCCACAGGAAACTCTGAGAGCATGTAGCAGCATATCAGTGAGCTAACAGACACAGAGATGCACCATCGGTAGAAGGCGGCAAGTTCCAGGGGTGGAAGGAAAGTGTTAAAAGCAGCACGGATTGGGTGGGGAAGAGGGCATGTTGCTGAATTACACAGAAACGGCAGAGTGGAGCTCGCTGAGGTGAGAGCTGGCCAGAGACAGGAAGAAGGTTAGGACTAAGGAAAAGAAAGGAGGAAGTGGCCAGGCACGGTGGAATCCCAGAGCTTCAGGAGGCCAAGGTGGGAGGATTGCTTGAGCACAGGAGTTTGAGACCAGCCAGGGCAACAAAGCAAGATCCCATCTCTAAAAATAAAATTAAAAAATTTCAGTAAAAAAGGAGGGAGCGGTAATTGTCAAATCCTGAGCCAGCGGTGAGCCTGGTGGAGAGACCAGCAGGGAAACTGAGGCCATCAGGGAGACAGCGTCTTACAGGGGATGTGGCTCAGCGGTCACACCAACCCTCTCGGCCACGTCCCAGCTTTGCCCTTCTCCAGCCAATCTGCCTTAGACTTGTCACCTAACCCCTGGCCTCGGTTTCCTCACCTTCAGGGTAACACCTGACCCATGCCTCGGTGGTGCGGTGAAGAGCAGTGTCATTCCCCATCCTCACGTCATCCTCCTGTGCTTAGGACTTGCGTTTTGTCTTTTCATTTTCTTCCATCCACGGCTGCTCTTGGGTCCTGAGAGAGTGAGTTCAACAAAGGAACCAGGATGCTCCCCGACCTGGGAGGACAAGGGCTCCAGGCCTCCTTCTCTGTGGCCTTGGGCAAACCGGAAACTTCCTCCTACCTGCCTCCCCCATTTCCTCCCTCTCTCCCTCCCATCTTCATTGTCTGTTTTAGAAAACAACAGTGCCCACTTTTCCATCTCAAGATATTCAAAGAATGCAGAAATATAGAAAGTCAATATCATCCTCCTGGTCCCACTTCCCAGAAGGGGCCACTGTGCATGGCTGGCTGTGCCCACCAGCCTTATTTATTTATTTGTTTGTTTGAGACAGGGTTTCACCATGTTGGCCAGGCAGGTCTCAAACTCCTGACCTTCGGTGATCCTCCCGCCAGCCTTTGCAACATCATTGTGTCCTCCTCTCATGTATTTGTGGGGCACAGCGGGCTCCGCCACACAGCATCCTGCAGTTTGTTTCTGCACTCTGTTGGTGCCCAGCTTCCATGCCCATGGGTTCGTGTAGACAGTGTCCTTCCTAGTAACCGTCCGGGGGTGGGGTGGACCCAGCATGTCCCCTGGAGATGGCTCAAATATTTCCAGTTCAGACAGTGGCAGTAGCAGCAGCAGCCCTGGCCCGGCCTTGTGGTGCTCTTGAGGGTGCGTTTCTGTCGGATCAGTCCTGGAACCTGGCCTGTGGGTCAAAGGCCCTCTCACAAAGCACCCTCCAGCAGGTTTGGGCTGCCTTATACTCTTCTCCAGGTTGTCGAACTCCTGTTTCTCTGAAAGGGAAAAGCCGCAGCCCCTTGCCTGGGGGAAGGCCACACCCAGATGCGTTTCCCTTAGATTTCACCCCGAGCATGCCCAGACCCTGTTATTATAAAGCCCGGTGATGTCCGCCCCTCCACATCTTTGACCTGAAGCCCGTGCAGAACCCCACAGTGTTCAAGATCTCTGGAGGTGGTTTCTGTTGCTAAAACCTAGAGCTCTGGTATCCAGAAAGGGGTTTCTCTGTGGAGCCTGGATACCCTTGCCTCGTGCTCCCACCCCAGTCACTCCATTAGGTACTGGGCTTGGGTCGCCTCCCAAACCAAAAGGCATGGGCAGGAGGGTTGCTGTGAGTAATCTGGGGAGCTCAGCGTGCCCCAGCGTCCGTTCAGTCTCCCTTCATGCGAATGAGCTGGCCTCTCCCCTGTGGAGGTACAGCAGGGATCCGGCTGAGAGCCTGGATGGTTACAGTCCAGGGTGGCTGAGGCAGTGCCGCTGGTGGGTCCCATTTCTGGGCATGGTGGGGTGGATGTGGTGGATGTGCACCTTTCGGCCTTTGAGGAGATACCCCAGGGGGCCCAGGTTTCCTCTTTATCTAATTAGTTTCTGGGCCGGGAATCTGATAGACCCTTTAACCTTGCCAGAGAAGGTTACCGCTGAGGCTGGCGGAAATTTGGCAGCATCAAATGATGGGCTTGGACTTCTGAATTCTCCTCCAGTGCGAATCCTGAGCCGCGGAGAAACATCTCTGTGCAGGAGCTGTTTATTCAGGGGGTTTCCGCCGTCAGACTTTGCCAAGAGAAAAGGGACCCCACGCTGAGCAGCAGAGAGAGAACGGGGGACTTGGCAGAGCCGGTGCCGCTGTGTGCTTCAAGAGGCAGGACCCTCCCAGCAGGTGCCGGCAGCCCCAAGGCACAGATGCAGAGGCATCCCCGAGCAGCCAGTGTCCTCTGAGTCCTCCTGCAAGTCAGGGCACCTGTCAGCTGGGCCACCAGCACCCCAGAGCCAGTTGCCTTTTAAGTGGGTACTGGCCTGTGGTCTGAGCATTGACGGGGATGGTTCACACCCAGGGAGAGTGTGATTTACTAGGAAGAGTGTGGGAGTATCTCGGCCGCAGGACCTGCCTGCTTGCTTGCTGGTGCCCAATCTGAGGTGTGCCTGCATCCTGTTGAGAGTCCCCACAAGGAGGACGGTGCCTGCAGTTGGATGAGTCAGCCCACAATCTGCGAAAGATTGTTGAAAACACCCCCACTCCATATTAAAGCCTCATCCACCTTGAGCCTCACCAGGGAAAGAGAGAGAGGCTGGGGTGGCATGGCCAAGTGAACTGTGGAGCCCAGAGACATCCATGTCCTAACCCCTGGGGCCTGTGAGTGTGTGACTTCACCCGGCCAAGGGGAATGAAGCTTCAGAGGGGGACTTGTCAGCTAATCAGCTGGTGGTGGATTAGGAGATGGTCCTGGCGAATGCAGGTGGGCCCTGTGCCATCACAGGGATCCTCATCAGAGGGCAGGGGGTCAGAGGCAGAGAGTGGGGAGCTGGGACGATGGGAGCGGAGGCTGGAGTGATCTGAGGAATGATCATGGGTCAGGGAACGTGGTGGCCACTAGAAACCAGAGAACACAAGCAGCCCCTCCTCTGGAGCCTGGGTGGGGAGCCCGCCCTCCAACACCTCAGTCTTAGCCCAGTGAGACCTCGGACCCCCAGAACTGTAAGAGGCTAAATGTGTCTAGCTGCCAAGTTTGTGTTACGTTGTTACAGCCGTCACAGGACACTCACAGAGTGCTTGCAAGCATTCAATGCATAGACTGAAGAGGTTGAGAACCCGCTCTGACAGAGGCTGTTTTGGCCGACATTAGCTGTGAGTGTGTAACTCCCTGGGATGGGGTGCGATGGCCCCACGTTACAGATGGAGAAACCGAGGCTGCAGGAGTTCTGCTCCCTTCCCCAGGGCCAAGACATGCAGTAGAAAAGGACAGGAAATGCCGCCTCTCTCAGACTGTGCAGACTGCATGCTGCCTGCTCCACCGACCCCTGTCCCACCCGTCGGCCTCCGTGGGACCCCAAGTCATTTCCAGTCACAGTGATCACAGGGGTCTGGGAAGGGACTGTGCAGCCCCAAAGGCCACAGTCACCCTGGGCTCTGTGGATTTGGGAATGGATCACACAACTGTTGGCAGGTGGACGTCCAGGGTCCCGAGGGAGGGGCACCGGTTCTAGTTGTCACTCCATGGGCCAGAGGGCCTGGCTGGGGTGTGGCAGCGGGCAGCGGTGGCCTCTGTTGCTCAGGCCACAGACATCCTCATGATACCCCAAAATGCGCCAGACACCGTTCCAGGCCCTGGGGCGTATAGTCAGCACGACAGATGGCACCGGGCCTCCCAAGCCTCCCGTTCAGTGGAGGTGCCCTCTGTTCCTCGGCAGGACCCAGGCCCAGCCCTGACCCACTTCTCCCCAGCACAGGGGAATGGGACACAGCCCTTTGTACTGGTCATGGGGAGACAGCTGATGGCTGGAAGCCTCCGCTGCTGCCAGGCACAGAGGGACTGCCCCAGGCAGGTGCACACCCCAAAAGAGGGGGCCGAGGGTGCAGGGAGATCTCCCACCTCCCTGATGGTCCGGGGATAGGCCTGCCCTGCTCCTCAAAAGGGGGCTGGCTGGCTGCTGGTGGTGGGAACAGGCTCTGCAGTTGGCCTCGGGGGTTGGATGCCCAGCTCCGCCATTTGCCAGCTGTGTGACCTTGAGCTCCTCACTGGACCTTTCTGAGCCGCAGCTTCCTTGTTTGTAAAATGGGAAAGAAAATGGTGCCTCCCTCCACAGTGTGTTGTGTGAGAGAGAGAATGAGGGCAGGGGCTCCCCATGGGGCTTGGCATGGTGTGCGTACCCGGCCTGCCAGAGCCCAGCGTTGCGGTCAGCCGTGTTTTACTACCTGCATTTGCACGGATGACCCCGTGCCGTCACCTGTTACGGGCCTGGTGTCTTCTTCTTCCCAGTCATGTGAGGGCGGGGGAGGAAGGTTGTCCTAGCGAGCATGCTGAGATCCCCTGGCTAAGGAGAGTGAGTGTGTTGGAGCTTGGAGGTAACCTGGGGATATCTGGAGGATGTATGTCAAGGCAAATGAATACCTGTGCAGCCTGGACTTGGGGTCAGGGGCATGGACCAAACAGTTCGCAGTTAGAAAAATACCAGTTCTGGGCTGGGCGCAGTGGGTCATGCCTGTAATCCTAGCACTTCAGGAGGCCGAGGCGGGCGGATCACAAGGTCAGGAATTTGAGACCAACCTGGCCAACATGGTGAAACCCTGTCTCTACTAAAAATACAAAAATTAGCTGGGTGTGGTGGTGCACACCTATAGTCCCAGCTACTTGGGAGGCTGAGGCTGGAGAATCACTTGAACCCGGGAGGTGGAGGTTGCAGTGAGCTGAGATCACACCACTGCACTGCTCTCCAGCCTGGGTGATAGAGCAAGACTCCATCTCAAAAAAAAAAAAAAAAAAAAAAAGCCTGTTCTTAGCAGACTGGAAATGAGCAGGTCGAGAGGCAGGGAGAGGCAGGGAGAGGCAGGACAGATAACTCCAGCTTTAATAAAGAACAGGCAGGAGGCTGGGCGTGGTGGCTCATGCCTGGAATCCCAGCACCTTGGGAGGCTGAGGCATCAGGATTCCTTGAGCCCTGGAGTTTGAGACCAGCCTGGGCAACAAAGCGAGACCCCATCTCTACAAAAATTAGCTGGGCCTGGTGGCGCATGCCTGTATTCCCACCCAGGAGGCCGAGGCAGAAGAATTGCTTGAGCCCAGGAGGTGAAGGTTGCAGTGAGCCAAGATCGTGCCACTGCACTCCAGCCTGGGTGACAGAGTGAGACTCTGTTTCAAAAACAAACAAACAACAACACAACAAAAGAACAAGAAGGAAAATGAGAAGGAAATCAGGAAGTCCTGGAGAATGGGGAAGATTTAAAGTGAGAAACTGGCTGGGGCTGAAGACCTGGGAAAATTGGTGCAAGGGGTTGTCTTTTGTCTTTGGAGGGGGCCCCCTAACAAAATAAATGAACTGGACACCATGGGAAATGGCAGTGAGGATGCCAGTGGAGATGGTGGAAGGGAACAGAGGGCTGGAACCTTCTGCAAAAAGAAGGAGCGAGCCTACAACTGGGACAAGCAGCTCGTTCTTAAGATGTGTCTTCCTCAGCGAGAAGTTTGCACACATCTGGGAAATGGGTACGCAAGGACCCTGGCTTTGGTGGTCGAGTGCAGAGCAGTGTGAGAGGGAGTGGGCATCTCGGGCTCAGGGGGAGCCTGGCTTCCGGAGCCCTCAACAGGGCTTCTGGTGGGACGTGCTGTGTTGGACCTGGTGCTCTGAGGGTTCCCTGCCTGCCCGCTTCTTGGAGGTCATCTCAGCAGTGGACGTGGTCATATTAATGGTGGACTTCCTTGGGTGGGTGCAATGAGCAGGGTTGTCCAGGGGCAACCAGCCTTACCTTTACCTCATTGGGAGACGCTTCAGCCCCCATGCTGTGGCCAAGGGTCCGGTCACAAAGACAGGGCATCAGTGGTGTCATGGAAGGTCAGAGGGAAGGCAGGGTTTCATTCGAGCGAGGCTAATTTTCAGAATCGTGGGTGGTGGCCCGGGTTCTAGGAACACTTAAAGGATAGAGGAGACTCGGCACCACGTGCTGAATCCAGGAGGAGGATGTTGGCCGCTCAGCTGGATGCATTGAATGACAAAGACTTTGCAACTGTGTGGCTTGTCTGGGGTGTCTGGAAGCCCAGTCTGTGGACAGGCTGGTCCTCAGGTCTAGCAGAGGGACCCATTAGCAGAGGCAGCGTCTGGCCTCAGACATCCACTCATCAGGTCCAGACCAGACCGTGGGCCTTGGCTGTATCTTCTGATCCACTCCGTTGCTAAGTTCCCCTCTGTACCTAAACTCTGTCTCCCTTTACTTCACTTGGCTTTTTAGAGATTTCTCAGCCTTGGTGTGTGTTGTCCCCAGCCCTGTGATGTACAAGTAATTGCCTGTATACGTGGGATTAGCCAGCTTGCTCAGGAAGTCAGTGTTGTGGTTAGTGGGAAATTCAGACCGGTTGAGTCCAAGGAAACCACTTTTCCTTAGTTCTGTTTTCTGAACCAAAGTTCATTTGAGATGAGGGGTTGTGACTAGATCTTCTCTGGACAGTTGAATATAGAGCAGGGCCCCCATCTGTGTCACTGGGGCTCATGAATCCTCCTTGCCAATGACTAGAGTCCTTGAAGGAATAAGGGCTGGGTCAGTGTTTCCCAACCCAGAATATAACTCGGAGACCTCTTAAGTTGTCAGGAAGCCATCCCAGTGTTTTGCCCGTATCTTCTAATTAATAACTACCCTGCCCCCTCACTCCAAGCTCCAAATATTCACATTATGTTCATTAGAAAGCATTTGGCTGCAAGTAATAAAAAACCTCACTCACAGTGGCTGAGACCACAATGGCGAGTCCAGAGGAGGGCACAGCTAGCATCCATTGCACGGGCAGTGACATCTCTGAAGGCCTCTTGGCCTCTCCCTCATGGTGGCAAGATGGCAGCCATAGCTCCAAGTATGATGTCCCCATAGCACGTCCTACTCAGGAACGTAAAGGAGGGGGTGCCAGGGAGCAGTTCCCCAACCCCCACTCCCTTTCCAAATAGTCCAGCCTTTCCCAGAGGTCCCAGCAGACCTCGGGTCCGCTTGGCCTTGGGTCTCCTTGGCCAAAACTATTCCATAGGGTCATGACCATCCATAACTGCAGGAAAGGCTGCAATAGCAAGTGTCTGGCTTTTCCAGTCGCTGCAGCAGGCAGCAAGCTGGGAAGAGTGCCAGAGTCTGTGACAGGAGCTGGGTGTGGTGGAGAAAGAAGACTTAGTCCCCTCCCTCTAAGCACACAGTGTCACGTGAGGGACAGCATTAAGGTCCTCTTGGAAGTGGTGGCTATTGCAGTGCGCTTTGAAGAATGAATAGGAGTTCAACTGATAGAGATAGCAGGTATAGAGTGTTGTAGGTGGGAGTAAAAGTGTGAACCACAGACCAGCACACACCTGCTGTGCCCAGGAGATGCCTTGTCTTCTGACACATTGCCAGTTCATTGAGATGGGAATCATAAAACACAGCCATAACCAGCATGGGGTGTGAACTGTAAACGTTTATCCAGATGTTCCTGCACCCATTTTTAGGTGTGGGGCCTTGCTTTGCCTTTGGCCTTGCTCACCCCACCGTGTCCTTCCTCCCTGGCATTACCCAGCCCAGCATTTGGTCCACCATTTCCAATTTCAAATTTTTTGATACAGAGCAGGATCTCCTGGCAAAATCTTCTCAGAGCATCCCAGGGTGCCCTCCCAGCAGCTCAGATACTGGCAGGACAGTAAATCACCAATTCCTTCTCCAGTTCTTTCTCCAGAACATGCTGCTAGGACCAACGCCTCCCCTGAGGGTTCTTTCCTTTCTCTCTGTCATTGTCTGGGTTGGGAGGGCTGTGAGCTGTCGGGGAACTGGCCCCCACCTGGCCAGGAATCAACAGTGCTTCAGTATCACTATCGTTCAGTAACCCACAGTGGTTCAGACAGCCTGGCTTTGCCTCCAGCCCTGTGTTCTGGTGCAAATCACTCAACCTCTCTGCTTTATTTGCTCCCCTGTAAAGTGAGCGTCATCACAGCTCCTGCCTCATACGGTCATTATGAGGATTCAATTAGTTAAACCCACAGAACACTTAGAACAACGCCTGGTGTGTGGAAGGTGCTCAAAGGCCGTAGCATAATAATTACACTAATTACTCTAATTATGAATTATTACTCATTAAGCCAGAATTCAGGTCTATCCCCACTTGGAGCCAACCAGAGCATAAAAACCTAGACAAAGTAAAGAGGTGTTTCTTTGTTTTCCAGAAAGTACTCCCCATGTGATCCTTCTGAACCTCTCAGGCATCTCACAGATGATCTCATTTCTAAAACGCGTTCTCCTTGCCTCTTTTCCAGAGCTCAGGTGTTACATCAAGCCAGGCACACCTGTACACAGTAATGTCAGCATGGCTTCTGCAGCAAGATTGAGACTTTTCTTAGTTTTTATTATACATAGTTATATGCCATGTACATGTATTATTTGTGTGGACTTAAATGTCGTTAGAATATTTAGAGCCTATCTTTAGAAACTGCAGCCCACAGGCCAAATCTGGCCCATTGCCTGTTTTTGTAAATAAAGTTTTATTGGAACACAGCCCCACCCATCATTTACATATTGTCATGGCTGCCTCTGTGCCACAACTAGCAGAGTGAGTAGTTGCAACAGGGACCACCCATCCACCCTCAAAGCCTGGAATGTTCACTCTCTGGGCCGTTGCCTGGTCTAGAACATTTGCAGAACCCCTTCCAAAGGACATCATTGGCTGGACATTGTGGCTCACGCCTCTAATCCCAACACTTTGGGAGGCCGAGGCAGGCCAATTACCTGAGGTCAGGAGTTCGAGACCAGCCTGGCCAACATGGCAAAACCCCGTCTGTACTAAAAATACAAAAAGTAGACAGGCCTGGTGGCGGGCTCCCATAATTACAGCTACTTGGGAGGCTGAGGTCAGAGAATCACTTGAACCTGGGAGTTGGAGGTTGCAGTGAGCCAAGATCATGCCAAGCTGGCAAGTAAAAAGAGCAAAACTCCGTCTCAAAAAAAAAAAAGGGGACATCATTAAAATACTTCCCATTACAATGTGTCAGCCTCTATCTTAGTTCAGCTGCATTGCAGTAATGGATGCCTGAGCCTGGGTAATTGATAAAGAAAAGAGGTTTCTTTGGCTCACAGTTCTGCAGGCTGCCCAGGAAGCATGGTGCCAGCATCTGCTTCTGGTGAGAGCTTCAGGAAGCTTCCACTCATGGCGGAAGGCTAAGGGGAGCTGGCATCACATGGCAAGAGAGGAGGAAAGAGAGAGAAGAGGAAAGTGCCAGACTCTGTTTAACAATCAGATCTTGTGGGAACTAGGAGTAAGAACTCTCTCAGCCCCGGGAGAATGGAACCAAGCCATTCATGAGGAATCCACTCCCATAACCCAAACAGCTCCCACCAGGCCCCACCAACAACATTGGGATCAAATTTCACCATGGGATTTGGAGGGGACAGATAGCCAAATTATATGAGCCTCCTACTTTTAACTGTTTTTACAACTGCCCCTCTGGTGACACCAGTCTCTTAATGAAGCATCAGCACTTGGAAGAGAAGCAAACTTTTCAGTGGCCCTAGTGAGTGGAGGGAGGTTGGTGGCCAGGGGTGGACGGCAGCAGTGGCCTTCTCCTCCGGCATGGGCCTGGCCTGGGTTTCTCATGGCCTCCCACTCAACAGCTCTGTGCCATCCAGGTTGGGCAGGTGATCCTGGTGGGGGGACCACGGGCTGCAGGTGGGCCCCCAGCCCTAGAATCAGCCTTCCCTACAAAGCCCAGGACATCAGGTGACTGTCACACTGAGTCTGGTTCCCGGGAGAGGAGGACATTTCTGGTTTTGTAGCTGTGGGGCCATCTACTCCCCACCCCCACCAGAGGGACTTGGGAACTTGCCTCACAAGGAGACCCCTGTGGCCTGTCCCATGGCCCGCCAGCATGGTCTTTGTGGGCGAGCTTTGAGACAGACAGATGGGGCAGGCTTGGCCTGTCATTTTAATTAACGAATGAAGGAAAAGTCATCAACAGTCCCTTCCTGCACTCACAGCAAAATGCCAGGCAGTTGTACTGTTCCCCTGATTTTTTTTTTTTTTTAAAGAACATTCAGTTCAGAGTCAAAGGCTGAGGCTTCAGTGTGACTTGGCCCTGCTGCTAGTGGAGGCATGTGCCCTGGGCAAACCTGTCGCTGCAGGCTGCCTGGACCTTCAGTGGCGGGCGACCAACTCACCCCATTTGTCCAGGACCATCTTGGTTTTAAAACTGACAGCCCCATATCCCAGAAAACCCCTTTGTCAGGAAACATCAGGACAGGGGGACACCCAGCCTGCATCAAAGACCACATAGGAGGTCCCAGCTCAGGCTTCCTTCACTGCGTCAGGAGCACTGATGAAGCTTCTGCTCAGATATCCTGGTCTTTCATTTTGCAGACAGGAAAACCCAGGCTCAGGGTGGTTGAGGGTCCTGTCCAGGGTCCCACTGCCAGCTCTTGCCAGAGCCAGGACTAGAAAGTGGGCCTTCTCCACCTAGAACAGCACTTTTCCTTCCTTCCAAAAATAACACCGGTGGCTGGCACCATCCAAGGCTGCAGAGTGTGGTGGGCAGAACCGTCCTGCCTTCGGGGGCACTCATGTGCTACTGGGGGAGTCAGACAGCAAATGAGTGAACAAGCAAATCACAATTTCAAACATAGTAACTGGCCAGAAGAAAGCAAAGCAGAGAGAAAAGCTGGAGGGCTGGGGACACAGGAGGACGGCAGCCACCAGGCGGCAAGGCCCATCTCTGGAGGTGACCCAGGGGACCTGCAGGGACAGCAGCCTGGCTCGGGGAGACCTGGAGCAGTGTCCTGAGAATTGCACAGGCAACGCAAAGGCACTGTGTGGAGATGAGTGTGACCTGCTGGAGGAAGAGAGGATGGCAGCATGGCTGGAATGGGAGGAGTCAGGAGGAGAAGGGGCATGAATCAGATCACAAAAGGTCTTAGCCATGGTGGAGAATTTGGATTTTATCCTCGATTATAATGGGGAGGCTGGGTGCGGTGGCTCACGCCTGTAATCCCAGCACTTTGGAAGGCCGAGGCAGGTGGATCACTTGAGGTCAGGAGTTTGAGACCATCCTGGCCAACATGGTGAAACCCTGTCTCTACTAAAAATATAAAAATTAGCCAGGCATGGTGGCGGGCACCTGTAATCCCAGCTACTCAGGAGGCTGGGGCAGGAGAATCGCTTGAACCCGGGAGATGGAGGTTGCAGTGAGCCAAGATCGCGCCACTGCACTCCAGCCTGGGCGATAGAACAAGACTCCCTCTAAAAAAAAAAAAAAAAGAAAAAGAAAAGAAAAGTATGGTGGGGATCTGTTGGGGTGTTTTAAGTGGGGGAGATACAGTGTGATTTAAGGTTTTTACATAAAGAGTGAATTCAGAGGAGACTTTTCAGTGGGCTCAGAATAGAGATACTCATGGTACTTGCAGACAGGTTGGCTGTGGGGGAAGGAAAGAGCTCACTTCAGGACAGCTCCTCGGGTTTGGGCCAGCACTTGGGTGTTCTGCCTGGCACCGCAGAGTCCGTGCCAGCTTTGGAAGCACAGGGAGGCATCCTGGCATCCCTTGCTTGGGGGCCCCCTGCCCTCATCCCATCTGCCCACAGCCCTGTGTGCAGAGACCCGCCCACCTCTGAGACACAAACAGTGTGGGGACTTTCTCCTTGTTGGCTAACACACCCGTGTGTCTTGCTCTCCATAAGGAAGGACACCCAAGGGCAGGCCTCTGCTGATCTCAGTAGGAGAGTCTTTTACCTGGGGACAAGTGAAAATATCTGTTTATGCATAAGGTCTCCAGAATGAAGCAAGTTCTAAGGTGCATTCTCACATGCTAATAGCCTTCCAGCCCCTGCTGAGTGCTGAATCCTGGCCAGGGGCCTTTTAAACAAGGAGCTTCCCACCCCACTGTGGTCTCCAGGCTGTGGTTGACATCTGTAGTCGTCAAGTGAGGATACTGGCGCTCGACGAGGTTGAGGAACTTGGCCAGGGGCGTGGCGCTGGTTTGGGGAAGCTGGGGTTCCACCGGGGTGCTCAGCTTCCAAGGCCGGCATTCTCCCTCCTAGCATTCTCCCTCCTAGACGACGTTTCCGTTCGTCTCGGCAGGGAGCGCTGATCACACCCCGTCATGATCATGAGCGCAGTTAAGCCGTATCTGTCTCCTCCGCCAGCCGTTCCTGGCAGGTAACATGCCTGGTAGTGCTCAGGAAATGCTTGTGGGTGATTTATTACAAAGTAATGAGACAATTTAATTTGAATCAAGTTCTTTGTACATTATTGTTTCTATTAGGAAAAACTTGCATTGCTTATCATGTTAGCAATGAGGAGGAAAATGGTCATAATAAGCGCCGGGCAGGGCGTTTTCATAATTGCCGATTTGAGAAATGGCTTCCGCCAGCGCACGTCTCTGGGCACGGGTGTGCGGGCTGCATGAGTACAGAACCACTGCCCTCCTGATGCCACGTGAAGCGACGCAGCCCCCTGCCTGTGGGTGAGAGTGGCTCCTGGGAGCCAGGAGGAGTCCCCTCCGTGCAGGAATTGCCCAAAGTCATCACCTCCTGCCCTGGAAACAGCAATGGCCTCCCCAGGAGCAGGCTGGCCGGGGCTGTCACTCAGGCACCAGGATGGCACTGGGCGTTGGGCATCATTTCCCCTGTGAGTTATGCAGGAAGGGCAAGAGAGCAGCATCACACACTGTAACTCTCCGACCAGGAAGCAGGATGCTGGGAGCAGCTGCACGTGTGGTCATGGGCTGAGAAGCTCCCCCATGCCCCTTGGGAGTGACAGATGACGGGGAAACCCTCCTGTTCTCCCGCAGCCTGCCCCGCCTGTCGAGCGGCCCTCTGTGCTGCCCTGCAGCCAGCTCTGCCACGGTGAGCTGGGCTGGCTGCCCGCACCCGGCGGCCAAAGCGCCCGAGCTGGCATCTCCGCTGAGCTGGGACACCTGTTGGGTCCTCACCTCAACACCCCCCACGTAACTGCTGAAAGCTCTCTGCTTAGCCTCATCTTTCCTGATTGGCAGAGCCCGGAAATTTCTAGGACATCCACTGCCATCACCGTTCCCTGGAGGATCCTCTTTCTAATATAGTGCTCCAGTTCCTGCCTTCACCAGGCCCTGCCACTGAAATGCGATTATACCAGGAATGATTTAGCGAAGCTGCTCTCAGGCCCTTCCCTGCCTTGGAGAAGGCAGATCTCCTGGCTCCAGCTGCTCTGGGAAGGACTTTCAGGGGCAATAAACGCACCACCCAGTCTCTCTGTGGGGAGTCCTTCCTGGCTTTCCCAGGTCCCACCACCCACCTCTATGGACCTTGCTCCACCCCCCTGCATTCCAGCGGTCCCCGCCTGGGTCTGATCAGACATCACACCCACAGCCCATGTTCAATGTACCTTTCTGCCATGAAAAACATTCAGAAGTGATTTAATCATTCCGCCTTTGAACTTGTTTGGCCGTGAGTGATACACTGATCGTTCCCCAGCAGCTCCTGTGATTCCCCAGCCGCCATCAGCACACCCAAGGATTCTTGCAAGGTGGGAACACCTGCCCTCCGAGTGGTTCTACACGCAATGAAGTGATGCGTTTATGGATACCAGCTTAAATGGGTCGTGACGTTGACCCCGTGTTAAATATCAGAGACACTGAATTCAACAGAGATTAACCGCACTGTTGTTTTCTCTTTGGATTTTGGAGCCAGTGAATTTTATTTTTCAGGTTGCAGACACATTTGGGGGTCCCTGCAACCCTCGGAGACAGCTGGAGTCTGGACCTGTAGGGCCTGGTTGTGGAAACAGCCCCGCTGCCTCCTGCCCGGTGGCTCTGGAGGCCCCTTCCGCACATCCAGGGCGGGTCGGCTGCTCCAGTTCTGCCTTCCCACCCAGTGCTGGGATGTGCAACGCCCCCCACCGAATGCTCAGATGTGCAGCCCCCTCCTCTGCTGGCCTGGACCTTGGACCTCACACGTGCACATGTTCTGACATCAGTGCCTCATCCGATGTCCAACCCCGGCCAGAGGAACCACCGTCGCTTCAGCCCCACTCTGACCTTGGAAGCCCCACCCTGCATGGAGGCAGAGGTGGGAACTCTGTCATCCACCGTTCCCCACAGACCACTCACAGCCGCTTTAAGAGAACAGCCAGGGCTTCTAGGCAGGAGCACGACAGTGTTCACGCTGATGGCCAGGGAGCCTCCTCAGCCAGCAGCAGCCGACTCGTGCTTGTGCATTGTTCAGATGGAAGCATGATCATTGGATGGAAGTTCCTGGCACAGGTGCAAGTTGACCCTGAGTCATTCCAGAAGGATTCGGGCCTCACCGGAAAGAACGCCAGGAAAAGCCATAGGGCAACAGCTCTTCTGCCATTTCAGTCCTCATGGGTGAAACTGGGGTAAAGCGTGAGTGGCTGGGGCCCTGCTGACACCTGCACTTGTGCGTCACCGCCAAGCTGTGTCCCTAGACTGCCCTGGGTGAGTAGGCAGCCAACGTCTGCAGCCCCGTGTGGTCAGCTGCTCCTGCCCTCCCGCCTCATCACGGCCCTTCAGACATCAGGGCCGGCTGCCTACCTTCCAACCCCACTCTGTCTGGAATGTTCTTTTCTCTTCTGTCCCCTCCCCAGTCCTCCAACCCATTCTCCTATGTATACTTCAGTCCTCCTCCTCCAGGAAGTCTTCCAGGTGCCCGTATGGTTCTCACAGAACCACGTCCTGCACTGTTGAAGGCACACATTTCTGTGACTGTGGATTGATGTTTATCTTCCTCACTTGCCCGGCCTTTGCTCTAACGATCACCACAGACTAGGGGGCTCAAAACAAGAGAAGTCACTTACCTGTCACAGCCCTGGAGGCCAGAGGTCCAAAACCAAGATGACAGCAGGGCCACGCTCCCTCCGGGGGCTCCAGGGGAGAGTCTTCCTCCTCCACCTCTGCTGTTGGCCTGCAGTCCTTGGTGCTCCTCAGCTGGGCCACATCACTCCAGCCTCCACATCACTCCAGCCTCTGCCTCCACCTTCCCATGGCCTCCTCTGCACTGCCTCTGGGTGTCAACCTCCCTCTGCTTTTCTCGCGTAAGGGCACAGTCATTGGTTTAGGACCCTCCCTAAATCCAGGAAGATCTCAACTCAAGACCCTTAACTAATTATACCTGCAAAGACCCAAATTCCAAGTGTCGTCACTTTCACAGACGCTGGGGGTTAGGAATTGGACACATTTTTTTGGGTGGGTTGAGTCACCATTCAACTGACCACACCAGACAACTCTATAAGGACCAGACTGGGCCTGGTTTGTTCCTTCCTAAATGCCCAGCACCCAGTTCATCCCCTGACTCTCAGTGGGTATTCAGGATGTAACAGCTGGATTGATTTATTGATTTACACGGCGGCTTGACACTGGCCCCAGTTACTTCTGAACTTTGAAACCCAGTCCCAGCTGGTCACGGAAGAACTAAAGCTGTCACCAGACGGGGCCACCAACCCAGCTGGGATCCTGAGAGCTATGAGTAAAGCCATCTGGTCTACCCCAATAACACTGGTGTTCAGAGTTAAAATGTCCACATCTATCCACCCCATGTGTGGGGAGGCACACAGAGCCACCCAGAGCCCCTCAGGCCCATACGTCTGGGCCAGCTCAGGCCTGGCTTCCTGTGCCTCCAAATGGACATCACCTCGAGGATCAGGTGCTGCTGCCAAGGGAGCTTGTTAAAGTGACTGACAGATCCTAAACGCCAACTGTCATCACTGGCACCTGCTGCCCGCTGGACCAGGGAAAGTGCAGCCTTCCCTGTGAGTCTGTCATGGCGCCCAGTGGGAGAAAGGGAACCCGGGCCACTGCTAAAAGCCACAGGGTGTGTGGCCACCTGTGGTCTTGCGAGGCAGACACCAGGAGCATCTTTAGGCCTGCCAGCGGGGAGAGACCTCTGGGGCCTGCTGCGTGGCCATCCCTGGGTCTCCACAACCCTCCTGTCTTGCTTCAAGGTGCTAAGTGCTCCAAGTGTATCCCATAAGCTCTCTTGCAGCATACAGTGGGACCGTGGGTGAGCAGAAACAGGCAAACCTTTGATGCTCTCTCCTCCAAGTGGCTCCCAGGAGGGCATCAACATGGAGGTAGTTGTGTCTCCGGGAAGCCAATATGGCTCCCATAGGGATACCTCTTGCATTCTCCATGGCAGCATGGCCAGGGCAGCCTAGACCCCATCTTTGTTTGAACTAGGAAAAGGTGCTTGCCCCTTCCTTAAGACGTTTTTCTTCCCTCTGTGACGAAATTACCATTAGTACCTGTGCCGTGATGGCCATGATGGCAATGGTTTCCTCCATAGTTGTACAGTGCACAACCTGCACAGCTGTACTTGGTGGGGCTGGTTGCCCACCCCCTTCACCTTCCACAGCTCCTGCTGCAAGCAGATGTTGGCAAAAGAGGGTACATTTGGGGCATGTCAAAGTGCCCTTCCACCTAGCTCAGAAAACATTTGGGGAGTGCGCCGCTGGATTACATTTTTTGTTCAATCAATAAGCACGGGTCAATGTTGTGTTGCATGGAGATACTCAGAGGATCAGGGCATGGCATTTGCTTACAAGGAGCCCACAGTGCCTACTTCAGGCACGTGATCAGTGAGCAGGTTAGGGGGTGAGACGGGCTTGGAGAAGGCTGTCCCAACACAGCGTGGGGAACGTGTAGGCGCCTCGGTCATTTCCCCATGAAACTGGATTGCAGTGCATCTCATCTGCATGTGGAGAGTGGGTCTGCTGGTGCAGGGGCAGGGCAGGCTGGCAGGGGCCAAGGTCAGGGCAGACTCTGGTTCACAGGGACTTCAGCACAGTTCTAGGGCAGCACACAGAACTCAATGCCACAACTTCCGGACCCAGCCGCAGCTGTCATCCTGGGATAGGTTTTAGATTCATGAACCAGCAGAAGGAGCCTCTGAGGGTTTCTTGTCTCCAGAAAGGCCCCTTCCTAAGGCCTGCGTGTGAGACCCCCCTGTCTGATTGCATGGGGATGGGGGGTGCTGCCAAGTTCCGCCTTTCAGACACAGTGACTGCAGCTCCTTTCAAGGAATGTCTCTTCTAGAGTGTCCCATTGCTTTTCATGAATTCCCCAAAACATTGAAAGTTTCTAAGGGCCTGGGGCTGCCTTTTCTGTTTCCTCTCTGACTTCCTGGGCCAAGCCAGGTGCATGCCGTAGGTCCTCTGCAGCACTGAGTCTACCTTCTGGGTTTAACTAGGAATCCAGGGATTGTTCTGGTGCCTTTTTACTCGAAACCCTGTAGTCATCCTTCGCCCACCTCCCACCCAACATCCGTTTCTCCCTGCTCTGCTCCTGACTTGAGTTCATACCCATTTTGCATCCCCTCTGGGCACACATGGGGCACCTGGCCTATGCGGGGTGCTGTGGGCATTTGGGGTGGTCTGCAGGATGAGGTCACTGCCCCCATTGACCTTGTAGAAAATGTCCCCTCCCCCACAAGAGACAAGCTCAGAGGGGACATTTTCTCCAGGGTCACCCAGCTCAAGAAGGTGGACGGGGATGCTAAGAAGAGCAGCTTCCCCTGGTTACAAGGAGCCTCCTGCTCATGGAGCATTCACTGGGCATCGCCTCACTTGCTCCTCCTAAAACTTACAAGCCAGAGGTTTCTCCCCAACTTTGCAGGTCAGGAAATTGAGGCTGTAAGTAGTCAAGGTGGTCAATGTCTGGGTTGAAATTCAAACCCATGTCTGTCTGCCAGTGAAAGTGAGATGGGTTCATGGTGGGTGGGGAGTGGGGGCTGTTTAGATCCTGAAACAATGCCGGAAAGAGAAGTTAGAAACAGTCCTTCTTAATGTCAGAGACTAAGCAGTTTGGTGTTTTACTGAATAAACAGGACAGGGCCATTACAGTCTTGGGGCAAGATCTTTGCACAGTTACAAGTGTGGGCTAGAAAATTCTCAGATGGAGCAGGGTGTGGTGGCTCACGTCTATAATCCCAGCACCTTGGAGGCTGAGAAGGGAGCATCCCTTGAGGCCAGGAGTTTAAGACCATCATGGGCAACACAGTGAGACCCTGTCTCTACAAAAAAATTAAAAATTAGCTGGGCATGGTGGTGTGTGCCTGTAGTCCCAGCTACTTGGGAGGCTGAGGTAGGAGGATCACGTACTGCCTGGGGTTCAAACTTACAGTGAGCTGTGATGGCACCACTGCACTCCAGCCTGAGTGGCAGAGCAAAACCCCGTCTCTAATTTTAAAAAACTAAGTTCTTGGGTGCATTAGGAATCACTGAAAAGGTTTTAGCCCTGGATGTCGAGATCAGAGGGGTCCCTGTAGGAGGAAGGGGGTCCGGGGAAGAGAGGGTGGCGTGTGCAGACAGGGATCCCACTTGTAACTGTTGGAGTTATGAACATGTGCTGCTTGCCTGGGCTGGTTCTGAGGCATGGATGCACGACTCCACGGCCTCCAGCTCAGGACCCATCAGGTGCATCTTGTTGTTCTCATTTTGCAGAGCAGGCTCTGGGGCCTGATAGGTCAGTGACCTTGGGGTCAAAGCAAAGCTGGGATTTGAACCACGCTCCGTGTGATGCCAAAGCCTGTGCCTCCACCAGCCACACTGGAATGCCCCTGCCCTTCTCTAGTCTATGGGAGACAGCTAGCAAGTGTCTGGGCAGCCCCCCTGGCCCTAAGAAGTTCCCGTCGCAGGGTATGCTGGCAGGAAGTGGTCTGGGTCATCTTGGAGATGCAAGGTTTGGATGGCGTTGGGCACTGCAGGAGGAGCTGCCCAGCAGTGCAAGTGAGCACGCCTGGAGCGCATGACAGGTTCCCCTTGGAGCTGGGTGGAGATGGACTTGATCAGCCCATGTGTCCCCAGGGAGAGTGCAGGGCCCTGAGCTCCAGACCCCAGGGTTCGGCATCATCCTTCCAGGGTTTCAGGGAGGCGGTCACCCTCAGCAGCTCCTCTTGCAGACAGCAGGTGCACAGCAGGGTTGAGCAGAGGCTCTTGGCTTTGGCAGCCTTGGCCTTTAGAGAACCTTCCATGAAGGAGACACAGGAGACACACAGGCTGGTCACACAGCTTGCGCCTCCCCAGCCGTGAGTGAGCCATGGGGCCGGGGTGGGCTGACTCCCCTTTCAGGAGTTCAGAGGGAAAATGGGTGGTGACTAGAAGGCATTTCCCATGAGGGACACAAGTCTGTGTTCTCGTTGTGGGGGGCCGTGGAGACAGGTCGAGGGACCTGGTAGAGGGTCTGCTCATCAATGCCTCATGGACCCCTAAATCCATGGCAGTAGAGCCCCAGCTCTCCCTGCTCAGCCTCCTTAGGGCTGCAGAGTCCTGGCCACCTACCAGGCCTGCTGGAGGTTAATGGCAGCCGTCACAGGGACAGCGGCCTGAGGCATCCTATTACACCACACCAGCATGGCATGGCCTCATCTGACCCCATGGTGATCCCAAGAGGCCTGTAGGTTTGTTCTTACCCACTCTTGCTGTGCAGGGAAACTGAGGTTTAGAGAGCCCCATCATTTTCTAAAGGTCACAATAACCATGTGACCTCACCCCCAGGCTCCCAGGGTCCTGGACCTCTGACCCTGTGTCAGCCCTTGTTTGGTGGCCCTGAGCAGGGTAAGTGGGCTTCCAGGGATGAGCCAAGAGGGGCTCACAGTTGTGACCGAGTTCCCCAGAGTGGACCTCCCTGCACTTAGCAGGCTGTCTCTGGGGAGGGGGCAAGGTAAGGAAGGTCAGGGGCCAGAACCCCCCTCCCAGCTGCTGACAACGGGAGTGACCAGTCACCTGGATTGTCCTGGTCTTCGGCTGTGAAGCTATCATTCATGCTGGGCTATTCCTGGAAGACAGGGTCACCCCAGCATGCCTCCATGCACGACCCTCTGATGCTGTCGGGGGTGGGTGCGTGGAGTGGTGAGAAGAGCACGCGTTCCCTAGCTGGGTCCTCCGATCTCTCTGAGCCTCACCAGCCTCATCTGTAAAATGGGAGGATCGAGGGGCCGCTGCTCGTCCCTTGTCCAGGATACTGAGCCCTGTCATCCACGTTTGCCCCGTCCCTCCTCCTCCCCAGGGCCCCCCAATCCGGGGTGGCTGTGCTGTCACCAGCTGGCTGCACCTGGGGCCCTGTGCTTCCTGTAGACCGTGAACCTGGTGCTGGTGCCAGGCAGAGCTGACCCGCACTCCTCTGGGACCAAGAGTCCGTCAGCACATGGCCTTGTTTGAAATTTGCATCCCTGGGACTGCCCCTGTGCGACGGGGGCCTGGTGGGTTCCTCATGACCCATCTGCAGCTTTTTCCGGCTGGGCCGCTGGCCTGGTGTCCTTTCTCCTCACCCCCGAGGCTCACACACAGCCCCGCAAGACCCTGTAGAGGCCTCCCTCCACGCTGCCTCCCTCCCTTCCCCGCTCCCCTCCACAGAGGCCTTCCCAGCTCCCCACTAACTTCCGGGCAGCAGCAGAGTCCTACGGGGCGGGGGGGTGCCGGTAGCCTTCATCTCACTCCCCTTCTGCCCCCGCAGGCCACCCAGAAGGTGGGGGTGGAGGACAGTTCAGCCGCAGCCTGGAGGCTCACTGAGCAGGGCACCGTCCCACACACTCTGGGTGCCTCGGGGGCTGGATGTCATGTGGCGAGTGCCAGCAGGAAAAGCGAGAGGACACTGTGGCCACTAGAGCAAAGTTGGAGCTTTTTTGGTTTCTTTCCTTAAAAAAAAAAAATGCCATGGCTAGAGGCAAGCAGTTGTGGCTTTAGCTTTGTCATCTCAAAGGGGCAGCCACATACCCCCTCCAGTTCCCCAGCAATGAATTCATCATCCCCAGAGGGGGCTGGTGTCCTCAGGGGCTTTAACACCGAAATGTCCTGAGTCCTCTGCCAGGGAGCCCCCACCCCTCCCCGACCGGCCACCGGCCACCTTCCAAGGCTGCAAGGGACCGGGGGGACGCTGGAGGGGGGGATGCAGAGAGAGCCCCAGCCGCTCCCCCTCCCCGCCCTCTCCCAGCCCAGCCTGCGGATGCTCGCGCGGGATGACGCCCAGGCAGCCGCCGGGCGCACTGTGGGCTCGTCAGATGATTGTGGGGGCTCCTGCCTGCCGCACACCGCCGGCGCCGGGACGGGAGAGGGAGGGGGCGCTGGATGCGACGCGCAGGTCCCTGCGTCTCTGGTGCCTGCTGCCGGCTCGTGCGGGGAGCAGATAGGATTTGATTTTATTTTAAACCCCCTTCAAGGAAAAGCAAAACAAAACTGCTGCCTCATTTCTCCTCTGGCTGATTTTCCCGGGCTTCCCTGGAAGATGCGTGTGGTCGGGACAAGCCGGAGGAGCTCATTCCCGACGCCGCCGCTGCTGAGGCCGCCGCTGCCGCCGCCGCCGTTCGGGCCACTTACTTTCTTTGCCCTGGGCGGCGTCCTGGCCAGCCCCCCTTGAGCCTCCAGCTCAGCCATCCCTCAGGCAGCCGCCCCACCATGTATGACTCCTTCCTCCGGCTGGCTCCGGCTCTGCCTGCCCCCACCCTGCAAGTCTCATTGTGCCACGCTCGCCTATCCCGGTAGCCACCCCCCTCTTCCTTCGCTCCTCCTGCACCCTCGCTGCCTCCTTTCCTCCATGCTGCCTGGATCTGGCGAGCTGGGGTGATTAATTGGCTATGATGATGAACGTCCCCGGCGGAGGAGCGGCCGCGGTGATGATGACGGGCTACAATAATGGTCGCTGTCCCCGGAATTCTCTCTACAGTGACTGCATTATTGAGGAGAAGACGGTGGTCCTGCAGAAAAAAGACAATGAGGGCTTTGGATTCGTGCTTCGAGGGGCCAAAGGTAAGAGCAGCCGCTCTGAGCCTGAATATGTTCCCATGTTTGTGTGTGTGTGTGTGTGTGTGTGTGTGTGTGTGTGTGTGTGTGTGTGTGTGTGTATACGCCTGCATGAAAAACGTTCCCCAGCTCAGGAATAAGCATTAAATAAGCATTTTTCCTGGGGGCACTCAGTTGCTAGACAACCATGTTCCTTCACATTGTGCCTTACTCAGAAAACGTTAGGGCTTCCTTGAGGAATGTTTTTAATTTTCTGTAGATGATGTTGTTCTGAATGGGTTCTCTCTCCCTCCTGCCCCTCCTACCTTTTGTTTTTAAATGATGGGGTGGTCAGTATTTTGTGTTCTAGTTGAGCCAGACTGTGGCTACCCTCAGAGCTCTGGGTCTCAAATCCCCAGGATTGCCCTGGCCTGAGTTTCAGGCACCTAGAAACTGCCCCATTCTGGGAGTGGGCTTTGGCTCCAAGGGCGGCAGGCATTTGTGTGCTCACCTCTAAGGTGACTTTGCAAAGGAAATGTGACAAGATGGTCCCCTCTGCCGTGGACTGAGCCGGCAGCACACACGTTACGTGGCCCGTCGTGGGAGGCTCAGGAATGCAGTCCATGGCGGTGCACCTGCCAGTCACCCTGCACGCGCAGCTTCCCCTCCAAAAGAAAACAAAATGGCATCACCTCCCCATGAGAGGGGACATCCGCCCACTGTGTGTGTGGCTCAGCCATGTGGAAGTTTCATCTTGGAGCTTACGCGCTGTGCCAGGGGTCCCGCACCTGTGCTGCAGGAGGCCTCCTCCCCAGCTGGCATGCCCACCTGCCTCAGACTCAGGCAGCTCCATAGCGAGCTGTCCAGAGAGAGAAAGAGCAGATGCATCTGTCTCTGTGAGAGCATCCACGCCTGTCTGTGTGATTTGCTCTCCCCTCCCCCTGCTGGAATCTTTATCTCCACACCCACCCACCCTTGGCCACTCATGCCTCCCTAGAAAAGTCCATCTCCTGCCCTGGAGTTGCACCTGGCAGCTGTGTGGGGCCCCAGAAGCCAAGCCTCACTGTGCTGGGCAGTAGTGGTTCAGCACCCACACACACACATGCCAGTGCCCAGGGACACTGGTCACACACAGAGTGGTCACAGAGGCCTGGACTCCCTGTAGAGAGGACTCATGAGCACATTCCAAATCTGTAGCCACCCACTGGGTCAGCGTGATGTTCCGTCCGCGTTCCAAGTTGAATTCCCTTGGTTGCGAGTCTACGTAGATGTAAATTTGGCAAGTGGTTTAGTGTGGTGTTTCTGTAGCTCTGTGTGGCAGGGGAGGAACTTTTCCATTTTTAGAACCGAAAATGTTTAGTCACTGATGCTTTTAAAGAAAATGACAGGCGTGTAGACATGTACCACAGAGCACATTATCCTGTGGTTTCAGCAGAGAGGCCAAGAAATATGATGGCGGCCCCAAGGTGCAATTGACTTCATTGCTTGAGTTGCATCAGCCCATGAGTATGAATCTCAAGCCCTTCCTGGGGGAGAGTTGGCCTGGACTAGCCACCTGCAATGGGAGATGAGTGGGCCCACTTCCTCCCGGGGTCCTGTGGGGAGGTCAGGCAATGTGAACTTGGAAGACATCTCCCAGGCTTGTAACCAGGTGCTGCTTGTCTTCCCAGCTGACACACCCATTGAAGAATTCACACCAACACCGGCTTTCCCAGCCCTACAGTACCTGGAGTCCGTGGATGAAGGTGGGGTGGCGTGGCAAGCCGGACTAAGGACCGGGGACTTCTTGATTGAGGTAGGGACACAGGTGTCTGTATCTTTCTGCTTGGGGAGAGCGCCGACTCTCGGGGAGAGGGTCGTAGTCCTGGCAGCACAGCCACGAGGCCCAGTCTGGGGGTGCTTGTGGAGGCTGCCATGAACTTTCATTGGTCAGTTTCTCCCACCGTGGGTGCCACTGCCTGTGGACCTGGTGTTGGGCTTGTCTTGGAGGCCTTGGCCGTAACCCGTTGGAAGGAGGAAAAGTCTGTGGAATTTGGTCATTGGTCTTGAAGTAGAAGGTAGAAAGAGGAGGCATGTGGTCACCATGATGTTGGGGACATGTGCAGACCTGTGGGTGGTTTAGTTGTGACTAAATAGGCACCAAGAGGAGTCATCGTCCCTTCTTGTGTCCTATGGGTGAGTCGGCAACCACTCTTGTGTGGCAGTTGCTGGCGTGAGGTCTGTAACATTGATGGCTAAGAGCTTGTAGATTTGCAGGTTGTGGTAACCACCCCATCAGATGGACGATGGCCTTCCAAGACCAAGGAGCCCGGGCAAGAGGGATGGCTGGTGTCGATGGTGCAAAAAGGAAACTTAGGAATTCAGATGCTTTGAAAATGAACTTTTGCTGGTACTGAAAAGGAAAGAGCATTCTCTTCCTTTAGAGAATAGAGGTTTGAGTGCTCCGGCTCTGCAAACAGTCCCTACGGTTGGCACGTTGGTGTGTGCGAGGGGTTCGGAGGCCCCAGTACATCTGATCACCTCGCCTTTTTGTGAGTTTAGGTGTTCAGTTTTAATCTTGTTATGCAAAGGAACATGTGACTCTTTGGAAGTAGGAAGAAGAAAAGAATGTTACAGGTTGAAAAAGATGATATTTTAAAGGTTCAGTAGACTCGAATGGTCCTCGTTGGGAGTGCGCATTTCTTGGATGCACGCGCTCTTCCATGTCACCCTGAGCCCAGCCTCGTGTACATCAGAACTCCACATGCAGGTGGAAGGGGTGGGTACGTGGCATCCAGCCAGCCATTTGGTGGTCCCTGCCATTGGGCTGGACAGACAGACATTCATTCTGTAAATGAGGAGCCCACATCTCCACCCGTGGTGAGAGGGCTACCCGTGATCATTTCTCCCAATCAGGCCTAAGCTCCCAAGCTTCTTGTTCATGCTATGATTCTGCTAGTGATCTCCTTAGAGATCCTCAGGACTATTACGGGGCAATGGAAAGTCAGAAGGGAAGAGACTATTGGAGAGCCAGGTAAGATGGAGCAGGTGCTTAAACTTATTCTGAGTGCCTCATGTTGATCTCTTTGATTTGCTGGAAGATGCATTTAAATTATTATTGACCAATCAGAACCTGGTTTGAATGAGAAATGAGCTTATTTGGGTTCTTGTGTGTTGAAACTGTCGGGTGCACCACCAGAATGACAGAGATTGGAGCCCGCTGTGGCTTTGTGGGCTAACTCGATTTGTAACCTTCATGGAAATGCAGAGGGCCTGGGTTGAATCATCCTCTGTAGGATGCAGTTGGGATGTGAGTCCCCTTCGTGTGTGTGTGTCTGTGTGTGTGTGTGTGTGTGTGTGTCTGTGTGTGTGTGTGTGTCTGTGTGTGTGTGTGTGTCTGTGTGTGTGTGTGTGTGTGTGTGTGTGTGTGTGTGTTGGGGGGGCGTGGCCTTGGGCCTAGCAGCAGGGCTGAAGTCTATAGGTGGTGTAAGAGTGTGTGCACGTGTGACAGGCAGGGTGGGGGGGGTGTTGAAATAGGTCACTCTTGGTTCTTGATTTTCAATAATAAAAGAGGGCTGCAGATGCAAGAACAACCCCCGTTGTTCAGCTCATTGGACTGTTTCCTGGATAACCTCATCAATAAGAGAAACGTGGCCTGCTGAGGCACGTGTGTGGGCCCTGCACTTGCCCAGTGAGCGGAGCCTCAGTGGGTTAGAAGATGTAGCTGTCTGTGGCTGCAGCGCTCACCTGGGTGGGGCTGAGAAGGTGGACCTGTCCTGTCGGTTTGAAGCCTTTGTGGAAATTTGGAGCTTTGAGAGTTTCCACACTTCTGTTTCTAAGCACCTCCTCTGACATTGCTTTTAACCTCTGGTATGCAAATAGATTTGCCATTTTGGGGCAGGTTTTATATTCTGGGTAACCTCTGACTTCCAGTATTCTAGGAATGGCTGGTCCTGAGATGCATTAGGGCTGCGCCTGCATTATGATTATCACAGATAACCCAAGGAGCACTGGGCCCTCCACAGCCCTACGAGGCTGCTCCACACCAGTCATACACTAATGAGGGTGCGGGGTGCAGGCAGCTGGACCCTTGCACGATCCTGGCTCCTCCCAGTTCATGTCCACAGCTGCCTCTGGGACTCAGAAATTCTCCTCTAGGGGCTTAAGACTGAGAATTCCATTGAGTTGTGTTCCTAGCGACTGGATTTTGCCACCGGAATATTAAAATCTTGTATAGCATAATAGGTGCGTGTTTGTTCCAACAGACCATGTTTCTCTATTTTTAGTGAAGAGCTTTGACCTTGGAGGGATGGTGTGAAATAGCCTCACATGTCTCACGTGAATTTTCTTTTTGGTGAGCAGCCAGTCCTGGAGTCAGTGGGGTTTCTGAGCTCCCGGTGAGGTGCAAGGTCTCCACGTGAAAAGCTGCCCAAAATGCAGGCATTCTGTCTTCCTTACCCCAAGCAGCCCTTGGCAAGCCTTCCTTTCTCTCTGCTATTTTGAAAGAACCTCGAAAGTGTGACAGATTTTTATTTTCTCTTTAAAAATGCATGCTGCGGTTTGAACTTTTGGACCAATGGGCACCCTTTGAAGTGAATGTTGGCTTTTAATGTCTTTGGTATCTCTAGAACTTCATTTTCCCTCGTTAACTTTGTGAGAATGCCCCGACGTGGCCATCCGGCTCTCGGCCTTGGTGCCTGTCATGATTTCCTGCTGTGCATGACTTTCTTGGGTACTTAGCTTGTAGAATTTATTTCTCTCCTACCTAAGCTTTTGGGAAGAGTTTGTTCTTTTGCTGTTGTTTTTGTTCCTTGGTTGACCACCCCCTGACCCTACCAACCACAATCAAAGGCTTTGAGCTATCTCCAGATCGGGAGTCTCATGAGACAGATAGATGTTATCACTCAAGCTGTGTGGTAATAAAAGGTTCACCTCAGAGGTGGACGTGAAAGATAAGTGAATGTCCCACGGGTAGGGACATTTGATCACAGTGGCCCCATGGATGGTGCGATTTGCCATTTCAGATCAGCTAGTGTGCCGGAATTCCCAGGATAGACAGTGACACTAAGCCGTCCCAGATTGTGAAATGTCAGCCAGCCCAGGGGAGAAGGAGCCAAAGAGATTTCAGAGGCCGTGGGAGGGGCAGGGCGGCGGGAAGTTGAATGCCCCTGCGGAGAATGCCCGTGGGACCTGCTGAGGGAGGCTGAAGCCGAGGCTTGGAGCAGTGACAGCCCCCGAGAGAAGCAGGGCAGGTGTTTCTTTCTATGCAGGTCAGAGGTGAGGATGGGGCCTCCACCAGCCAGGAGTGACAGAGGCCCATGTCCCTCTGGTGACAACAGGAAACCCAGTCCAAACTGGTTTTCATAATGATTAGAGCTTGTCAGGAAGCTGAGACCAGAGAGTTTCAAAGGAGAGTGAGCCTGCCATAAGAGTTTGCTGAAGACTTTGTCTGCTGTCTCTTTGAGATGGCCCTTATTAGGCCCCTTCACTCCCACAACATGGGGCTGGAGAGATCACAGGTTGCTTCTGAAGTTCACGACATGTGCTAAGGAGGATGTGGGTGGTTCCTGGATGACGGTAGTGCATCAAGTGTGTAAGGAGATGTGGAGGTGGGGACGCCACTTGGATGTCATGCAGGGCTCACTGTAGGTCTCACTCAGTGAAACCTGGCTGGGCGTCAGTCACCTGAGGGTTATAGAAACCTCGTCTCCAGCCCACACGCCCTGAATCAGAATCATGAGGCGAGAGCTGGGCATCCATGAAAGCTGCAGTGGTGATGCCGGGGGTCCCAACAGGCAGGCAAGGTGATGACCCACTGGCCCAGTGCAAGTTGACATTCCAGCCTCTTGATGTGGCCTGCCAACTAAAGTCTCCTCGACCCAAACACAAGCAGGTGCTGCGTTAATCTCCTAGTCTTAAGACTAGGACTGTCTTCCACAAACCCCTTGTTTGACAACCTAAATGTTGTTTCTTGAATGACTTTTGTGATCTAAAATATCCTGTAACTGAGACATCCTTACAGTTCAACTCAACAGCAGGCAGGCAGAGGGCAAACAACATTTGCAACAAATGTCCCAAGAAGGCTGTGTCCTTGTTTATAGCAGCTGAGCTGGATCTCCAAACCCTACAAGCCCTGCAGTGCTCCGCTTAACCCTCACAGTCATCCATATAGCATGTGTGTTCCTCCCCATTTTACAGATGGGGAAACTGAGGTACATAGGTGCAGTAACTACATGGCCATGTAGCTGGTGAGTGGAGAAGGTGGAATTCCAACCCACATTGTCTGACTCTGTAATGTCATGGCTCAAAGATGCCTGAACAACACTTTGATGTGCTTTATGTATAAATGGGCAAAAGGTAAAAAGAAAAGCAGTGCGGTGACTGTTTTATTTTCAAATTAGCAAATACTTTTTTGTGACTATACTCCTTGCTGGTGACAGCACTCATGTGTTGCTGGGGGAAAGCCTAAGTTGCCATAAATGTTTTCACAATCAATGTGGTAGTATGTAACAAGAGCCATAAAGCTGAACCAGGAATTTTACATCTAGGAATCCATGCTAAGGGAATAATTTTTTAAAAAACAGGTAGAAATCACGCCTGTAATCCCAGCACTTTGGGAGGCCAAGACGGGTGGATCACCTGAGGTCAGGAGTTCGAGACCAGCCTGGCCAATATGATGAAACCCCGTCTCTACTAAAAATACAAAAAATTAGCTGGGCGTGGTGGTGCGTGTCTGAAATCCCAGCTACTCAGGAGGCTGAGGCAGGAGAATCGCTTGAACCCGGGAGGCGGACGTTGCCGTGAGCCGAGATCACGCCACTGCACTCCAGCCTGGGTGACAGAGCAAAACTCCGTCTCAAAAAAAAAAAAACAAAAAAAACAAAAACAAAACCAGGTAGCAATTACAGTGTGGCAAAAACAAGGAGTTGGGGCAGGGAGGGGGCGGGGCTAATAGGAGAATGGTTCAGTGGCAATGGACATCTGTTGTGAATTCATAAGAAAGCATTAAAAATGATGTTTACAAGGAGCTCTTAATACCAACCAGAAAAGGTTACATTCTACTTAGTGAGAAAGGCAGAATCAAAATGATCAGCACAATATCATCTAATACCATCTTTCCCCAGTATAGTCATAGAATAGAAAACAAAAAGGAAAGGAAATATTAACCCCTAGGTGGTGAGATTGTGTTATTTTCTCTTTCTTTCAGATGTTTGTCTCAGATTTCCTAGAATCGAAGTATTCATATTTTGAAAAGTATCCATTTCATACATAGGAAACTGTGTCTTAGAAGAAAGTTATCTCACAGAGGAGACAAATGTTCAGCCCCCTTGGCACAGATAGTGCTGTTTGCTGTCAGAGGAAAAAGCCTTCCTGGGCATTAATTAATTTCCCGGGGCCATTCCTTACCCGCCTGCTGCAGGGCTCTGATGACGCCTATGGTTTTTGTGATTGTTTTCTTGGCCCTGAAGTGGCCAATCTCATTTTTGTGTTAATTTCTGCAAATAGGTTTTCCCTTGCAGTTAAAGCAGGTGGCAGTATCCTTCATCCTTGAAAAGTGGTGCTCGAGTTTGCTAATTACATTTTCCTCGTATTAAATACTTGCACGAGAGAGGGCGTGGATCTTCTTTATACTCGTGGTTTGTATTTAAGTCAGGATGCTAAGAGGGATGCCCTGGTGTTTTCCTCGGAGACCCTGGGAGTATCTCATAAGGCCGGGTGTGGTGGCTTATGCCTGTAATTCCAGCACTTTGGGAGGCCAAGGCAGGCAGATCACTTGAGGTCAGGAGTTCGAGACCAGCATGGCCAACATGGTGAAACCCTGTCTCTACTAAAAATACAAAAATTAGCTGGGCATGGTGGCATGTGCCTGTTAATCCCAGTTGATTGAATGCCAGCTCTGTGCTCAGCGCCTCTGACTAGCAGTCCAGTGCTGAGAGCCCAGTTCATCTCAGGTGATTCTGCTACTGTCACAACCACCCAATTTATCAACAGGAATACTGGGACCCAGCAAGCCTAATGACTGATCATGCTGAATATGGACTTCATTTTCTTTCTTTTTTTTTTTTTTTTTTTTTTGGAAGGCTGAGGCAGGAGAATCACTTGAACCCGGGAGCGGGAGGTTGCAGTGAGCCGAGATCGCACCACTGCACTCCAGCCTGGGCAACAGAGCAAGACTCTGTCTTGAAAAAAATATATATGTTTCTTGGGCTGGTATTTTAAAATGGGACTTGAGAAATGTGAGGTGGCCTCTAGCATGTTTGACTTTGCAACCAAGCTGGTGTGAAGAACAGTTGTTAGAGCTCGCTGCTCAAGGGTCAATCCCCACAGCTTCAGAGTTAAATATTACTTGGAGGAAAGAAAATGAAGTCCAGGCCGGGTGCAGTGGCTCACGCCTGTAATCCCAGCACTTTGGGAGGCCAAGGCAGGCGGATCACGAGGTCAGGAAATCGAGACCATCCTGGCTAACATGGTGAAACCCCGTCTCTACTAAAAATACAAAAAAATTAGCCGGGTGTGGTGGTGGGCGCCTGTAGTCCCAGCTACTCGGGAGGCTGGGGCAGGAGAATGGTGTGAACCTGGGAGGCGGAGCTTGCAGTGAGCCGAGATTGCTCCACTGCACTCCAGCCTGGGTGACAGAGCGAGACTCCATCTCAAAAAAAGAGAAAAGGGAAAGAAAATGAAGTCCAGATGCAGCATGATCAGTCATTATGCTTGCTGGGTCCCAGTATTCGTGTTGATAAAATGGGTGGTTGTGCTGAACTGGGCTCTTAGCACTGGACTGCTGGTCAGAGGCGCTGAGCACAGGGCTGGCATTCAATCAACTTTCTTTTTTAGAGACAGGATCTTGCTCTGTTGCCCAGGCTGGAGTGCATGGCACAATCACAGCTCACTGCAGCCTTGAGCTCCTGGGTTCAAAAGATCCTCCCACCTCAGCCTTCCAAGTAGTTCAGACTACAGGCACGCACCACCATACGTAGCTAACTTTTGTACTTTTTTATAGAGCCAGAGTCTTGCTTTGTTGCCTGGGCTGGTCTCAAACTCCTGGCCTCAAATGATCCTCCCACCTCAGCCTCCTGAAGTACTGGGACTAAAGATGCATGCACCCCACCCGGCCTCAGTCAGTATTTGTCATTGATTATCATCTTGTCTTTCATCATCATTAATGATGCCTGACTCAGAAGAGGAAACCAGTGGCTATTAGTTGAACAAACGGGGATAATAATATTATAATAATGACTGATGTTTGTTACCACTATTATTTGAAGCATGTAGCAGTCACAGGGCACACCCACCATGTGCCAAGTACGTCGGACACTTCCAGCCAAGAGTACATGAGCCATGGTTTCCTTGTGCCTCTGTTGTGAGGAACATCACTAATAGAGGTACCTGTCCCACCCCACCCGCCAGCCTCCAAAGTCCCTGGCAGGCATATCTCCTCCTTTGGCTCAAACCACTGCTCCCAGAGCACTTACCAGCCTGTACAATTCTCTGTTGGCATGGGTCTGGCTTTTAGATCACCTTGGAATTCCTATTCCTGATGCCCACTTTGCCCTCTAGCAGCAAATCCCAGGGCCAAGGCCAGAGCCCTGTTGTGGTTTGCCTGGTGCCAGCATCCCTTGGGTTTAGTGGTTCAGCCACATCACACAGCTCACATTTCTCTAGCTTTCCTTTTGGGGTATTGTGAGAGACTTTGTCACATGTCCTGCTGGTGGACCTGATGACCAATCTAGGAACTCTCCACCCCATCCCCAAAATTTCTTCCACTCTTATTTAGATGGTTTTGAATGGCTACTTAATAACCAAGTTAAAGACCAAACACCAGCTGATGTTAGCAGGAACCCAGGGTGACTGCTGAATTCTTCAGCCAGGGTCACATTGGTGCTTTGGTCATCAAGGCCAATATTTCATTGCATTCACACCAAAGACAAACAGGGTCTGTCCTGCATCCCTCTTGAGTGTGGGGTGTTTCTGTCCTGGCAGCTCAGTGGCTTCTCACCGTGTCGTCAGGATCCATTGACCAAGGGTAATAGCATTGGGGGCCTTTACTCTCTAAGGCTAATAGCACTGGGGATCTTCAGTCTCTGAGGCCAACAGCATTGGGGTCTGCTCTCTGAGGCTTAATGCACTGTGGTCTTTCTTCTCCCAGACAGAGGCCACTGCTCTGTGGGGAGCCCTGGATGGCGGGGAGGTTGGATCCCTTTTCTGCATGTGGCCTTCTGGGCCTGGGGAGGTCGTTCTCTTTGTCCTCCATATTGACTGGGAACAGGTGGTTCGGGCTGAGGAGTGGCCCAGGAATCTTGCTGAGAAGGTGGATGCGGGCAGCTCGGCAACTGCAAATCTGAAGTCTTGGCTCGTTCATTTTGGGGTTCTAATTTGAAGCATCAGTGATTTCAATTTCAGGCTATAAAAAGATTCAGAATCACTTCAGGGGACCATGGCTGCTGTGCTCAGATGCCATGGGACTGGCAGATGGCAGCACACAGGGTTGGAGAGAGGCAGAGAGGAGCCGCGGTCAAGGGCACAGGCTGTGCCATATGATCCAGGTTTGAATCCAGGCTCTGCCTCTTCCTAACTGTGTGAACTTGGGCAGGTTGCTCATTTCTTGGCCTCAGTTTCTTGAACTGTAAATAAAAGTGTGTGTGAAGCATGTAGCAGTTTCTGGCATCATGAGTTCTCAACAAATGGTGGCAATTGTAAAAATTACTTCTGAAGCTTCACTCATTCATTTCTGAAGCATACATTCTGCCTCCCAGGTACTGGGCTGGAAGAAAGACGTGAATCAGACACAGTTCCTTGAGGAACACACAGTCTAGAAGGGGTAGGCAAAAAGCAGAGTGTGGTGAAGGCCCCAAAGTAAATCAGGAAAAGGGCTTCATGAAAGATGGTGTTGGCTCCAGGCTTTGATGGGTAAGTGAGGTTTTTGCAGGCAGAACTGAGGAGGAAGGTCTTGAGCAAAAGCTTAGGGGGTCAGGAATGTTCAAGGTGGATTTGGGGAGTGATCAGATGCTATGAAGCTGGGCATGACCGGCTGGTCTAGTGGGGGCCTGGGTTGTTAGTGAAGTAGGTACAAATGTGTGTGGCTGTACAGCTGCACAGAGCAAGAGCATTGCTGGATCTCTCCAGGGTGCTGAACCCTTGTGTGGCATGGTCTCTCTCCAGGGTGCTGAACCACTCCAGGGCACTGGCTCTCTGCAGGGTGCTGAACTAGACAGCTGGGAGGATTGGATGCAGCCTTCCTCAGGAGTCTGGAGAAAGCCCTCAGCATGTCCCCTCCCTCCATCCCTGCACCTTTCATTTCTGTCCCCTGTGTCCTTGGAGTTTCTGGGCATAGAGGCTCATTACTTAGTGACAGTCTCATCTACTCGATGGAGAAATCTCTTCCACAAGGAGGGGCCAAGGAGCCAACATGGTTGAGCATCTGCTATGTCCTGCCATGTCCATCTGCATCTGCTTTGAGCCCCACTCCCCTCACCACTGAGGTTTCAGCTCACATGATGCCTTCTCAGAGAGGCCCCTCTTGGCACCCTCAGGTTGCCCTGACTCTCACACTCACACCGTGTGCTTCCATGACCATAGGAATCATACATCTCCCGTGTTAGGTGACTGACTTACTATCCACCTCCCTCAGGGAACATTCCCTGTGGGTCAGAGAGTTTGCTGACCAGGTCTCTGCTACATCTCCAGCATGCAGCACAGTTCAGAGAGATTAAGAAGCCTGCCCAGGGCCCTCCAGGGAGGTCTGAATCTAAGCTGACTCCAAAGCTTGTTTCTTTTGCACTGTGTCTGTCTGATGCTCCAGGTAAGTCCCAGATCATTGGGATGTAATCTTAACAGCCATCTTTTTCTGTGTGTGGATGCTGTACACCCAGCCCCAGGCTACATGGAGCGAAGGCTGCAGGAGGCATAGTGGGCTGACATCTCCATGTTGGAAGCTGCTGGCGCCAGGTCCTCTGATGCACCCATTGGTGCCTCTGGGTCCTCTCCACCTGCCCCCCTCCTCCCTCCCATACACCCACTGCCCACCTCCCAGTGTTCTCAGCAGGCTCTTGTTAGTACTGATTTCTCTTCGCCTTTGGTGCCCTTTCGTGGGGAGTTTCATGATACAAGTGGTTAGACTGGCAAATGAACTGGAGGAAGGCCCTGTGCTAAGTGCCCCACAGGATCTTTTAATTGATGGAGTTTGTCAGCCCTGGGAATTAGGGTGTGTGTGCGCCAACAGTAAGCAGAGTGGGATGAGAAGGGGAGTTAGAGCTGATGCTGTGGAGCCCTGAGAATGGTAGCCCCGCTGTGGTCTCATGAAATCAACCACCCACCAGCAAGTTCTCTACTTCCCTCTCCCCAGGATCTTCAGATGGGTCCCATGGAGCAGACTTTCCCATGCATCTCCTTTGTGTTCAGTCTCCATGGCAGGACCTAGGGGGTCATGGAGATAGACAGGGACGGTCCTGGGCATGTGCACCTCCTTCAGCACCCTCAGGGCTGGGGTTGCAGATGGAGGAGTGGGTTATATGGGTGAGAAGGGGAGATGGCACGTGTGCCAGGCCAGTGAGGAGATGAACGTCGCCATTGGACACTCTCTCTGGTCTCCGGAATGTGCCACACCCCTCCTGTCCCCAGACACTTGCCCACAGTTTTGCCTCCTCCACCTGCTTTACCAGGGCACCTCCTGCATCTGCTCCCTGAAAGTTGCCTGTGATGCCCGCTCATAACCCTCTGCCATAGTCACTTCCTGCACATGCCCCATCAGATAAGGGACCACCCAGAGCCGAGCACATGGCAGGCCACCAATAAATATTCCTTAAGGAAAGGAAGGCACCACTGAGGAGAGCACAGCCAGGATAGAACTTCCGTCTTGGACAAGGGTCTCCTTCCTCCCAAACCCCTTCCCCCTCTCCATCAGGGCCTGAACTTGAAAAGCTGATGGAGGTGGAGGGGTGGATTCATTTACATCAGAGAGAGCGTGAGAAGCCAGCCCTTCCCTGGAAGGTGCCAGCCTTCTCTCCCCAGGCCCACTGGAATCCTGAGGGGTTTACAGGGGGAATTGTACCCCTGGTCCTAGGAAATTTTGAGTAAACTTTACCCCCATATCTGCCTGATAGCCAGCTTTTACATTAGCATTATTTCACTGTGTTTCGAGTAAATCATGTCAGACACAAATAAAATTGGTAATGCAGAGAAGCCAAAGAAAAAACCAGGGATGCTGCCACCAGGAGACAGTGTCCGCATAACAAGGCTTATCTTTGTGGAATTTTACTTCTTTATATGTGTCTGTTAGTAATACATTTTGTCATGTGTTTATACACTTTTTTTTTCACTTGGGTATGTCTTTTTTATTGTGGTAAAATACACAGACCATAAAATTTACCATCAAACCCATTAGCACTCACTCTCCATCTCCCTCCCAGCCCCAGGCAAATACTCATCCCCTCTGGGTCTTGGGTCTGCCTGTTCCGGGCATTTTCCACCCACAGAATCATGCTCTAGGCAACCTTTTGTCTGGCTTCTTTCAGCATCGTGTGCTTTAGGTTCATCCGTATGGTAGCATGTGTCCGTACTACCTTCTGTTTGTGGGTGAATAACGTTCCACCATGTGGTTAGACCACAATTAGTTTATCCATTCACTAGTTCAGGGACACTTGGGCTGTTTCTAACTTATGGTTGTGAATAATGTCGACATAAACGTTTTTGTACCAGTTTTCGTTTTCAGTTCCTTAGGGTACATACCTAGGAGTGGAATTGCTGGGTCAGGTGGTCATTCTGTGTTTCTTGAAACTGCTGATGCACACCCCAGAGTCCCCATCCGGGGTGGGATGGGCGGGTGTTCAGTGAGTGCTGAGTTCACCACCTTCGTCACATGCCTGGGCAGAAGGACCGCAGAGGGAAGGGGGTCCTGTCCCCTTTTGTTAAGACAGAGCTCAGATCCAACAAAAGCTTAACTGCTGAGCAGCATGATACAGACTGCAAATAAGACTCCGAACAGCCACGGCAGTGACTGTGTAAAATGCTTGCGCTGCTTGAGCACCTACTGTGTGCCAGCACCGTTTTTGAGAGAGTTCACACACATGAACTCACTTTGTGTTAAGTTTAACTCGGTGACTTTTATCAGCTCCTTTCTCTGCATGAGGAGGCCACAGCACAGAGTGGGGACTCACATACCCACAGACACACGGCGAGTGGTAGAGCCAGGCTGTTCTTCCAAGATCCACGTATCACTTCCCACCCTCCTGCTCCAACCACCCTCCTGTGCCACCTGTCAGGGAGGCGGGGTCTTGCCCAACTGGATATCTTCTGTGATGCAGATTCTAGAGGAAAGAGGAAAACAAAGAAACAGAGGGAGCTTAGGCAGAAAGCCGGAAGGAA
Organism: Homo sapiens; assembly: GCF_000001405.40. NCBI lineage: Eukaryota > Metazoa > Chordata > Mammalia > Primates > Hominidae > Homo > Homo sapiens. The sequence goes on along the minus strand of NC_000011.10, from coordinate 70,647,282 downwards.
CAAAAGTTATGCACAGGCAAGACTTGAAGGAAAACTGGGGGCTTACTTCTACATACAGATGATAAAAGTTGGGGCTACCAAAAGATATTGCTTTGTGCTTTAAGTTAGATTTCTTTTGGCTGGGCGCGGTGGCTCATACCTGTAATCCCAGCACTTTGGGAGGCCAAGGCAGGCAGATCCCCTGAGGTCAAGAGTTCAAGACCAGCCTGGCCAACGTGGTGAAACCCCTATCTCTACTAAAAAAAATACAAAAATTTGCTGGGCATGGTGGCGGACACCTGTAGTACCAGCTACTCGGGAGGCTGAGGCAGGGAGAACCGCTTGAACCCAGGAAGCAGAGGTTGCAGTGAGCCGAGATTGTGCCACTGCACTCCAGCCTGGGCAACAGAGCAATACTCTGTCTCAAAAATAAATAAATAAATAAATAAATAAATAAATAAATAAATAAATAAAATAAATAAAAGTTAGATTCCTTTTAATAACTGGAGAAGTACTATTAAAGATCAGAAACCCTGTTTTCTATCTGTTTGGTATCTGGACTGTGATTCCTTGAAAATCTTTCCAACAAGGACTGGACCACGTGGGGTTAGGGTATCTATCTGGGTTACACACATCTACCAAGTTATTTTGAGCAACTGCTTGTTAGGCTCAAGCCTGGAGCCTAGTGGTTGGTGAAACAGATTTGAATCCTATCTGATCCTTCTTCCCAAAGAGTGCAGAGTTCAGGTCCCATGCTTCTCCATAGCCCCTAAGCAGAGACATCCTGCAAAGTGGTTGCTCCACCCCTATTGTCAAACTGAAGGAAGGAGGGAAAACATGGGCTGAGGAACTTGAGGGATGGCAGGGTGGCCCTTGGAGATCCTGTGTATTGGGAGAGGTGAGCTGTGGCTACCATGCACCACGAACTTGGAGAGTAGAGAGCCTGATTGGGCACTTTGCCTTGGGAAGCCCTAAATGCTGCACTTGGGACACAAGCTTCCTTACCTTTGACCACCCTGGAGGGCTCAGGTGCGTCTGACACAGCCTGATGGATGAGTCTTTCTAGCTGGGAAGGGAAACGATCTTTCCAGCCTGAGGCTCACAGTCATTTACACTGAATGTCCTGGGTTTGAGGGGGCACCAAGCACAGGAGATCCAAACGCTGCCCTTGCCGCCACAGGCTACCAGCATGCGAGTTCTGGGGGTCCACACAGCTCTGGGAACAATAACAAGGACTGTTTCAATAATGACCTCTGCCACTTCTTGAGCACTTACTGTATGCCAGGGTCCCCTTCCACGCTCAGCAGTGTGAGGAAGGAGATGGCATTAGTGTCAGTTTGCACATGGAACAGCTGAGGTTTGGTGAACATAGGATGACCCATCACAGGTGATGATGAGGGAGTGACAGGGCAGGATTCAAACCCAAGTCTGGCTCCGGCTCCAGAGTTCTTGAACACTGTATGCCCTGCTGTGGCAGGGCAGGGGGTCAGAGGGTTCTCGGGGGTCCTGGCCACCCCGATGCTGGACTCAAAGCCCAGGGCACTCTGCCTTGCCCCAGCTCCCCAGTCTGCTGCTGGACTGAAGCGAAACTGTGAGGTGTCGGCCACTGAATTTGAGGGGACTCAGCCCTGAGGGCCTGTGGCAGGTGGCGTTGCCTCCAATTCGTGACATATGCATCATTCTCTTGTTGTAAATATAGCAGCTGAACCTCGGCAGCACCCGTGTGGGGTCAGCAGTGATTGGTTTTAATTCCTGTATTGGGCCCAGCCTCATCTTTTCCGGGAAGACATTTTTTGTTGTCAGTTAATTTTTCCAGAGTGTTTTTCGATGAGCCTTCTGATTACAGTGGACTGATTTGTTGTTCAGTTTTTTGTTTTTTGTTTTTGTTGTTGTTGTTGTTCCTGGAGAACAGGCTGTGTGCCCAGCAGCCCCATGTCCAGCCCTATCCCCAGCCTATAGCCCCCCTAGACAGCCCCTGCCTCCGACCAGCAACACCGGGATTCTGGCATTGAGCAGGATGAAGCTTGTGTGTACCTTGTGTGCTTCTTCAAAGCATTCTTGATGTGTTTTTTATTTTTGTTTTTGTTTTTGTTTTGAGACAGAATCTCACTGTTGCTCAGGCTGGAGTGCAGTGGCGTGATCTCGGCCCACTGCAATCTCCGCCTCCCAGGTTCAAGCGATTCTCCTGCCTCAGCCTCCTAAGATAGCTGGGATTATAGGTGCCCAGCTAATTTTTGTAGTTTTAGTAAAGACTGGGTTTCACCATGTTGGCCAGGCTCGTCTCGAACTCCTGAACTCAGGTGATCTGCCCGCTTCAGCCTCCCAAAGTGCTGGCATTACAGCCATGAGCCACCATGCCCAGCCTTTGACGAGATCTTTTGATGAATTTCCTGCTTGTTCATAGTCCCTGCCAGGCTGGGGTCATCTTAAAGGCAGTCACCTTCTTCTCCACGTGTTTGTCTGAGGCACAGGTGTCGGTCTTGGCAAAAGGCATGGGCTGTTGTTTGCTGAATGCATAAAGGAAGGAATCAATGAAATGAGCACAGCAAAGTGGGACTCAGTGACACTGTGGGGTTTAGCAAGCAGGTCTGGAGATGGATTTCAGCACTGTCCTCACCCCTGACTTTGCTGAGATCTGCATTGTCTCTGGGAATGCATGTTGGAAAGGTGTGTTCTTCCAAGATCAACCTCCCTCTTGCATTTGCAGCAGGCGGGAGCTGCCATGCGGGAGGGCTGCTGGTCCTGCCCTTGGCCGGGGGCCCCCTCAGTTCCTGTCGCTGCGTCCACCCCACATGGAGGTATCCAGCCTGGGACCCATCGGGAAGCAGATGGACAGATGCCAGGAGTGGCCAAATACAACATTCTCTTCCTTTGAACTGTATGATTCCGCTCAAGTGAGGTTCCTAGAGTAGTCACATCCGTCACATTCATAGAGACAGAAAGTAGGATGGTGGGTGTCGGGGGCTGGGGAAGGGGATGGGGAGTTCGTGTGTAATGGGGACAGAGTTTCAGTTTGGGAGGATGAGAAAGTTCTGGAGATGCACGCTGGTGATGGCTGCACACACTGTAAATGTAGTTAATGCCATGAACTGGCCACTGTAAAATGGCAAATTTTATGCTTTGTGTCTTCTACTACATTTTTTTAAATTTGGAATTTTTAAAAAAGCAATGTTCTTCACTTTTTGTTGTTTAACTTTTGAATAGTTGGGCTTTCCTGTTAAATCTGGGGCAAGTCCCAGCATGTTTCCTTAGCTCTGAAACAGGACCAGTGATAACCCCTGCTCGCCGCCACGTACAAACCCTTGGGTCAGCTGAGACCCTGGGCAGAGCTCCAGCTCAGCCCCCGACCCCAGATCTCCTCTGCCCCTCTGTGTTCCTCCCCCCCCTCCACCTGCAGTCCCTTAGTCGGCTTCCTGTTTATTCATAGCTCTGGCCAGCACACGGTATGGTTTCTGTTCACCTTTTGTTGTTGGTCAGTCTTCCCCCATGGGACCATAACTCTATGAGAGCAAAGACTGTCTTTCTTGCTCACCTACAAGAGAAAGCACCCAGCACATGGCAGGAGCTCAACCCTCATTCAAATGACCAAAAACAATGCCAACGTATAAAAGAAAGAGGAATATTTGCATACCAACCACGACGTGATTCCCAAGACACCATCCCAAATACTAACCACAGGTCACAGACCAACCACTGTAGTATAATAATATTTCTGCTTTTTTTTTTTTTTTTTTTTCCGAGACGGAGTCTCACTCTGTCGCCCAGGCTGGAGTGCAGTGGCGCGTGATCTCAGCTCACTGCAAGCTCCGCCTCCTGGGTTCACGCCATTCTCCTGCCTCAGCCTCCTGAGGAGCTGGGACTACAGGCACCTGCCACCACGCCCGGCTAATTTTTTTGTATTTTTAGTAGAGACGGGTTTTCACTGTGTTAGCCAGGATGGTCTTGATCTCCTGACCTCGTGATCCGCCCGCCTCGGCCTCCCAAAGTGCTGGGATTACAGGTGTGAGCCACCGCACCCGGCCTCTGCTTTTTAAAAAAGCATGCAAAAATATTATATGTATTCTCTGTACTCCACATTTTCCAAGGGAACATAAATGTTATGCAAAAGTTCTGGAAAGCTCCACACCAATGTGATAATCCTTCAAGATAAGCCTTCCTCCAAGGTAACCCGTTGGAGGAAGAGATGGGTGGAGGGTGAGTCACAGGGGGCTCAGCTATTTGTTAACTGATACCTAGTAATTGTACATATGTACGGGCCCATGTGACGTTTTGATACATGCACACGATGTCTAAGGATCAAATCAGGATAACTGCGATGTCGTCACCTCCAACATGTATTTCTTTGTGCTGGGAACACTCCAAATCTTCTCTTGTATATTTTGAAATATGCAATAAATTATTATTAACTGTAGTCACCTTGGCTCTTCTGTAAAGTAACTTTTTTTAAAAACTTGTATTCTTTATCTAATTAGAAATAAACGAGCTGGTGAAATTATGGCTCTCAAGCCTGAGGGACCATCTCTGCGTTATTCTCAGTCGCATGGAGGGCCTTTGTCATCTTCACCTCTTCAGCAGGTGCAACTCCTGAGCCAGATATAAATTTCCAGGAAATCAGTGTCCTGTTTGTGTCACTTGGTGTTTCCCAGAAGATGACGGGAGGTGTCAGGGGAAGGATGGAAGTGGCAGCCCGGCCTCTGTGTCCGTGGGAGGGAAGCACCCAGCTAGCGTGGACACAGGGGAGACACCTCTCGGCCCCGCCTCAACTGCGATTAGACAGGCTGAGCCGCCGTCCCCATAAATCTAACAAAGCTACCACTCTGTTCTCCAAAGCAGTTCACATGGGGTGACCTAGCAAGCTCCGTTCTGCCCAGACTTCCTGCTGAGGCCCCTCTGTCACTCACTGGTTGGTTTGTTAGCTAGGACATTGTCTTTATCCTGGGCATTTCCCCCCCACCCCCCACAGCACTGCGATTCTGGATTTAAATTTGAATCGAACGGAAAATCAAAGTTTTAAGACCCATGGGCATTTTTAGGCGAGAAAATTTATCTCAAAGGCAGCCTAATTGCCAGTAGCTAGGCAGGATGGTTTGAGGTCAGGGCGCAGCGCAGCAAGTATTGGGTTGGCTTTGTCTGGTTTCCTTTTAAAGAGACCCTGCGGGCAAAGGCTTCACCAACTGGAAAAGCCTGTGAAATGCGGCCTCCCTCAGGGGAATGCCAGTGACCCCAGCCCCTGTCCTTCTGACCTTACCCATCCTGGTACCCAGTCCCCCGTAGCCTTCTCTCCAGACCCAGGAACTCCCAGGAAAGAGCCTGAACCTTGGTCACCCAGAAGAGTCATCCCCAGTGGGATTGCCTAGTGCAACCCTTGCCCAGAGAGATTGGCCCTTTTGTGCTAGCACAGCTGCAAGCTGGGGCAGGGGCTTGCCTGCCCGCTGGACTGCCCACAGCCCAGGGATCTCGGGTGTGCTTTGTAGAACTGCACCCATTTTAGACATTGTGTGTCCGTGCCCGCAATGCTGGACACCGTAACAAGCCACATACTGAAAACTGGCTGTTCATTTGAGCCGTGGAAAGATATTTATTGCCCCTCTCAAGTCGGGCAGGCAGCTCTCCTCCAAGCAGCTTCAGGCTCCTCCCAGCTCCCAGCTCCTCCATCCTGAATACGCAGATGCCCAGGTCACCGGGCTCGGCCGCCTCTGGCTGGCAGAAGAGAAAGTGCATATCACTTCCGCTTCTGTTCCGTTGACTGCAATCTCAACTGGCGGTCATTCCTCCCTGCAGGGGAGGCTGGGGCAGGCGGTCTTGCTGTGCCTCTGGAAGGAGAGCACATGCCATTCTCTGCTGTTGATCTCACAATGCCTTGTACTGGATCCTCCTAGACAAGCTAAAGCACGTTTAAGAAAAAAGCATAGTCCAGGCGCAGTGGCTTATGCCTGTAATCCCAGCACTTTGGGAGGCCAAGGCGGGCAGATCACAAGGTCAGGAGATCGAGACCATCCTGGCTACCACGGTGAAACCCCATCTCTACTAATACAAAAAAATTATCCAGGCGTGGTGGCATGCGCCTGTAGTCCCAGCTACTCAGGAGGCTGAGGCAGGAGAACGGTGTGAACCCAGGAGGTGGAGCTTGCGGTGAGCCAAGATCATGCCACTGCACTCCAGCCTGGGCAACACAGCAAGACTTCGTCTCAAAAAAAAAAAGAAAAGAAAAAAAGAAAAAAAAGCATAGTAAAGAAAAAAAAAATACTTAGAATTTTAAAAATTCTGTACACGATCTATTGTTATTTTTCATCAGGGAGGGATGCCAGGCAGTAGCCAGCCCATGTTTTAGCTGTCTGAACCTTCAGGCCTCAAGCGAAGAGGCTCTTTGCATCCCTCTAAGTCCCCAGGCTCTCTGTGTAGACGCTCATTGCCTGCACTCATGGTGCTAAGCAGGTTACCCAGCAGTCGCCTCGATTCTTCCTAGGAGCTCTGCAAGGTGGACTTGCCTGACTCTCCGTTTTACAGATGAGTAAACTGAGGCTTTCTGAGATGGAGCAACTTACAGAGGATTCCAGAGCCCAGCCTTGAGGGACTGTTCTAGAGAATGGGAGACAGGGAGGGATCCTGACTGGGCATGCGCCCCTCCTACCCCAGCCCTCCCCTGCTCGTAGTGGGCCCCCAGCTCCAGCACATGCCTGTGATCCCAGGTCAGGGCTCGGGCCTCAGCTTCGTGCAGTCCTCTCTGAAGCATAGCTGTATTCATGTCCTGAGGCCGCTGTCACAAATGACCAGAAACTGAGTGGCCTGAGACAACAGCGATGCGTTCACTCACAGTGCTGGAGGCCACAGGTTTGAAATCCAGGGCCTGGCAGGGCCCTGCTCCCCATGGTGGCTCTAGGGGAGGATCCTTCCCAGCCTCTTCCGGCTTCCCGTGTCTCCAGGCGTCCCTTGGCTCATGGCTGCGTCGCTCGTCTCTGCCTCCATCTTCACGTGGCCTTCTCCTCTCTGCGATTCTGTGTCTCAAATCTCCCCCTGCCTCTCTCTTATAAAGACACTTGTCACTGGGTTTAGGGCCCAGCCAGGTAATCCAGGATAATCTTCTCATCTCAAGGTCCTTAACTTAATTATGTCTGTGAGGACTCTTTCCAAATAAGATCCCATTCTCAGTTCCGGAGATTAGGACCTGGGCACATCTTTCTGGGAGACACCACTCAGCCCACTGCACTAGCTGTGCGTGGCCCCAGGTTGCCTGCTTACCATTGGCGACACATCCCAGCTGCACCTGCACGTTCTGCAGCCTCCAGGCCCCTGGACGGCCTGGGCAAAGCCCTCTGAGCCCCAGACGGGCCTGTGGGCCTGAAGACCTGCCCCCTCCTCCTTATGTCTGAGACCTAGCCCCTTCCTTGGGGCCGTCCCTGGGTCCACTGATGTCCCAATCCCAGCCACGTAGAACTCCACCACTGAGAGGCCGAGAGTTTAGAGAGGAGCCAGGTAAAGACCCCTTGGGGCTCAAGGGGGGTCCGCTCAGGCCCTGGAGGCCAGAACCCACCCTGTGGGCCTGCAGGGCACCTTCATGTCCCTGGCCAGCCAGGGGAGCCTCAGGCCACCCTCCTTCCTGCACCCACCCCACCTACTCATGTGGATTTGGCTTTACCCAATTAATGTGTTGCTGGGAAAATCAGATGGAAATTGACTCTCAAAAAGAAAAGAAAAAGAAAAACCAGGCCCTCTTTGCTGTGGTGTGATGGTCTGTGTCACCTGAAAAATTCATACAGTAAATCCTCATCCACAGTGTGATGGTGTTTTAGAAGGTGGGGCCTTCAGGAGGGGATGAGGTCATGAAGGTGGGTCCCTCATGAGGAGGAGTAGTGCCCTTATAAAAGGAACCCCAGAGAGCCCCTTTGCCCCTTCTGCCCTTTGAAGACACCAAGAGAAGAAACCAGGACAGGGGCCCTCACCAGACACTGACTCTTCCAGCCCACAGCATGGTGAGAAATACATTTCTGTTGTCTAGAAGCCACCAGTTTGTGGCATTTTGCTACGGCACCCTGAGCAAAGGCCTGATGGACTGAGACTCCCTTTCAGGCACTTGCGGAGCCCACTTCCACCCCAAACTGGCCATTTCCTGAGGCTGCCATCTGGGTCCCCAACACAGAGGCCTCTAGATGCCATCAGGGAGTGGCAAGTCCTGGCTGCAGAGACCCTCAGCCAGCAGGGGAAGCCCTTCCCAGCACCAGCCCAGGCTGGCTCTGTGAGACTCAGGGCAGTGTGAGCCATGGACTCTCAATGTTTTTTTTGTTTTTTTTTTGTTTTTTTGTTTTTTTGAGATGGAGTCTCACTCTTGTTGCCCAGGCTGGAGTGCAGTGGCATGGTCTCGGCTCACTGCAACCTCCACCTCCCGTGTTCAAATGCTTCTCCTGCCTCAGCCTCCCAAGTAGCTGGGATTACAGGTACCTGCAACCATGCCCAGCTAATTTTTGTATTTTTAGTAGAGACGGGGTTTCACCATGTTGGCCAGGTTGGTCTCGAACTCCTGATCCACCCGCCTCGGCCTTCTAAAGTGCTGGGATTACAGGTGTGAGCCACCGTGCCCGGCTGGACTCTCAACTTTTTTGACCAAAGCCAGAATAGATCATTTTCTAGGAAATCTTTCTATTATATTTGTTGGAAATTCAGATGTTTTTATTATTGTACAAGAAATGCTGAGCAGACTAAAGAAAATAGGGCTTCCTCGGCCACCGCGGATTTTCCGGTGCATCTGTTGACAGAAGAGCTGCTCCTTGGTCCTCGGCTGTTACAACTCATTCTTTGCTTCCGTTAAAGCAGAGAGGATCAGAGGAGCCGGGGGTCAGGCTGGCCCAGGGAAGGTCATCAGCAGGGCGCCGAGCACATCCTGCAGCCCCAGACCCTCAGCTTTCCCATCTGCAAGCGGGGCCGGGCGTGGATGCAGGGTTCCGTGACAATAGAAGCATTGTGCCCAGCACAGCAGCTGGTCTGTGGCCTGGGTCCTCTGTCACTGGGAGTAGCTTGTGGTCCATTGCCAGCTTTGGGTTTCATATCCTGGCAGCACATTCTTCAAGCCGGCAGTCCGTGGTCTCATTCTATGCCGAGCCTGTTCCCCCCGGACTCTGTAGCTCTAAGCTCCTGCTCTGAGCAGTGCAGTGACGATTAGTGTATTTGCCAGATTATGGGATCAACTTCTTTGCAGGAGAAAATTAGCCCCAAATTGCTGTGTGCCTCACAGCTCACTGTGGGCTGCTAGCTGTCCTGGGGGTACTTTCCAGCTTCCTGCTGGTTGGTGAGCAGACATCTGTGAATGGGACCCACCTGGCATGGGGCTCTTGAGCATTCCCCGAGAACCTGTGCTCAGTGGGCCTGAATTGATGGACAGAGCGGAAGCCGGCTTGGCGTGAGCTGTGGGCAGCTCGCAGACCCCAAACAGGGCTCCAGCCCCGTCACTGGGTAGACTCACTGGTCAGCCTGAGGCTGGCTGGGATACCAAGGCTCCTTGGGATTCCCCTGGGCAGCCTAGAGTGTGGGGTGCGGGAAGGAAAGGGGTCTGACACCTAGGTCTGTTTTGCAAGACTGCCAGGATCTGGGCCCCAGGGCTTTCGAGGGTCTGGAGCAGCCAGTCTCCCCTCGCCAGGGCGCCAGCCTCACTCCCAGTGCCTAGCATCCTTTGTGCCCCGGCCTTCCTGAGCGCTGGGCAGCGGCCTCCCACGGGTCACACCCTCTCTGCAGTGGCTGCTTCCCGATGGGTTGGTGGGGGGAGGTCTGAGGAGCTGCCTATCATGGGCTGGCTCTCCGGCCGCTCATTTGTCTCTGTGGGCACCTGGATTCTGCACCGCAGGAGGAGAGCTGGCCGTGGCCCGGCCAGGAGGGGAGTAAACACCCAGCCCAGCCCCACCTGCCCCCATCTGTGAATAGCAGGAGGGTCTCTATAGGCACCCTGGGTCTAATCAGTTGTGTGCGGGCCACACACTGAGTCCGTACTCAGCACCAGCCTGGGCCTTTTTGGGATCCTGCAGAGAGGAAGAGCAGGCCCTGCCCTCACAGAGCCTGAGTGCTGGGGAAACAGGCACTGCACAGATTGACAGGCACTATGTGGGTCAACAGGCTCCATAACTGGAGGCTGTGGCTGTGCTGTGAATGGAAACACACACATACTAATGCACACACACATGCACACACAGGCACCCACACACGTGCACATACACACAGGTACCCATACACATGCACACACACGTGCACACACATGAATGCACCCACATACGTGCCCACCAGAGGAGTGTGGCCCTGCTTACCCCTTGATCTTAGACTTCCCGCCGCCAGACTGAGAGAAAAATTCCTGTTGTTTGAAGCCCCTTGGTTTGCGGTGATTTGTCGTGACAACCCCAGGAAACGGTACACATGTTCACACACACTTGCACACATGCTACCATGTGCACACACATGTTCACACATGCTTACATACATTCTTATAAATACACAAGTTCTCACACATGCCCACACACATGTTCACACACACGCTCACACATGCTCACACAGATGCTCACACACATGCTCACACACATGCTCACACATATTCACACATCATGCATCCTCGCACATATGTTCACACACGTGCTTACACATACACAGATGCTCACACGTGCTCACACATATATTCATATGCTCACACATTTGCACACATGCTCACACATGCTCGCATACACACACTCATACACTCACACAGACTCACATTCATACACACACATGCACATGTACTAACACGCATTCACACATGCTCACACATATTCACACATTCTCATGCATCCTCGTACATATGTTCACACACGTGCTTACACATACACAGATGCTCACACGTGCTCACACATATTCATATGCTCACACACTTGCACACATGCTCACACATGCTCGCATACACACTCATACACACAGACTCACATTCATACACACATATGCACATGTACTAACACGCATTCACACATGCTAACATTCACACGCTCACACATCTGCTCACACACATACTCATACATGTACACACACATGCATGCTCGCATACACGCATGCTCATACACTCAGACTCACATTCACACACACACACGTGCTGACATGCATTCACACATGCTCACGCATATACTCTCACACACACTAGGATGCTGTGCAGCTACAGGGCAGAGACCACGCCTTTGTCGACAGAGTGGTCAGGGAAGGCTCCCCAAGGGGAAGGATTTAGGCTGAGACCTGAAGAGGAGGGTAGAGCTGAGGTGAGGGTGGGCCGGGCACCGGGGTGGTGAGTGCAAGGCCCCACCTGGACCAGGGAAAGACTCTGCGTATTCTGGAACATTCGGGAGGGGTGGATGTGGCAGAGAAAGGGGCGGGCCTCATGCCCTACGGGGCCTTTCAGGCTGTGTCAAGGCCTAGGGCAATGGGGAGCCATTGGAGGCCCTTGAGCAGCAGATGAGCGTGACCGAGGGTTTATGAAGACCTTGTGGAGAGCTGGCCCCCAAGAGATCACAGCCGCCATTTGCTCCATTCACTTCCTCCCCCCTTTTTTTTTTTACAGTTATACTTTGTATTATGTTTAAAATTGTAGTACAGTGCACATACCGTAAAATTTACCATCTTAACCATTTTTAAGTATACATTTCAGTGGCATTAAGTACATTTCCATTCACCATCACCACCATCCATCTCCAGAACCTTCTCATCTTCCCAAACTGAAACTCTTCCCTATTAACACTCATCCCCATCCCCTCCCCCGGCCCCTGGCACCCACCATCCCACTTTCTCTCCCTATGAATTTGACCACTCTAGGGACCTCAGGTCAGTGGAATCCTGCAGTATTTATCTTTTTGTGCTTGGTACATTTCACTCAGTGTAATACCTTCGAGGTTCCTCCGTGTTGTAGCATGCATCAGAATCTCCTTCTGGTTTAAGCCTGAATGATAACTATCCCAACTCTACGGAAACACCACCTTTTGTGTGTCTGTTCATCTGTAGGTGGACACTTAGGTTGCGTCCACCTCTTAGCTACCATGAATAGTGCTGCCACCGTGAACGCGGGTGTGCAGATATCTCTTCAAGACCCCGCTGTCAATGCCTTCGGGCATAGATGCAGAAGTGGCATTGCTGGCTCACGTGCTCGTTCTGTGTTTAAGGTTTTGAGGAGCAGCCATGCCATGTTCCACAGGGGCTGCACCACTTTACCTTCCTGCCAGCGGTGCCCAAGGGCTCCAGTTTCCCCACATACTCACCAGCGTCATTACTTTCTGTTTTAGGATCGTGGCCATCCTAACAGGTGTGAGATGGTGTCCCGTTGTAGTTTGGATTTGCCTTTCTCTAATTGATTAGTGGTGTTGAACATCTTTTCAGAAAAGTCCTTATCAGCCATTTGTATCTCTTCTTTGGAGAAATGTCTATTCAAGTCCTTTACCCATTTTTATTTATTTATTTATGAGACGGAGTCTCACTCTGTCACCCAGGCTAGAGTGCAGTGGCGTGATCTCACCTCACTGCGACCTTTGCCTCCTGGGTTCCAGCAATTCTTCTGCCTCAGCCTCCCGAGTAACTGGGGTTACAGGGACGTGCCATCACACCTGGCTAATTTTTGAAATTTTAGTGGAGATGGGGTTTTGCCATGTTGGCCAGTCTGGTCTCGAACTCCTGACCTCAAGTGATCCGCCCACCTCGGCCTCCCAAAGTGCTGGGATTACAGGCATGAGCCACCTCACCTGGCCAGTTTGCCCATTTTTAAATTAGATTTTTGTTTCTGTTGTTGAGTTGTAAGAGTTTTCTGCACATTCTGGATACTAACCCCTTACCAGATACATGATTTGCAAATATTTCCTCCCATTCTTTAGCTGCCTTTTTGCTCTGTTGATGGTGCCCTTTGATGCACAAAAGTTTTAAATTTTCATCGACCTTAGTATTTATTTTTTCTTTTATTGGCTGTGCTTTTGTTACCAAGAAATTCTTGCCATCCATATACAGACGGACCTTTTTATTCTTTTTTTTTTCTTCAGCAAATCCCAGGCATCGCGTCACTCCCTCTTCCCCTTCAGTCTGTCTCTCACAGCATGGGATCTTTCTTGCGGGCCCCAGTGTCACTGTCCCATCCACGCACCCAGCAGTGGTCTCTGGGTGGAATCTGAAACCCCTCCATTAGCACATGTCCCAAATTATCTCAGAAATGTCTTTTCACGGTGGTGACTTTGACCCAGGACCCACGTGGCACTTGGTAGATATGTCCCCAGGTCTCCAGTCTGAGCCATCTCCCGTGTTTCCTGCCAGCAACGTGTTATAGGGACAGGGTAGGTTGTTAGAGGGACAGGGTAGGTTGGCCATAGGCTACCCCCAACCCCCGATGTGCCTTCTGCCTCCTGTGGTGTCATCGGCCAGTCCTTGGGTCCTTCCCACTTCCTATAAATGGAGGTGAGCTCTTGCAGCGCTGTTAATGTTGGGCCCAGCCACACGCAGGTGCTGTGAGCTTCACACCCCATCTCCCCAGGAGGCAGAAACTGTGCTCGCCACCGCTGTGACAAAAGCTGCACACAGGATCCAGGTGGTGATGGTGAATCCTTCCTCTTGAAGCTCCTCACCGGCTGGTCACCCAGGGGCCTCTCTCTGGGGTGGGCCCTGCAGACATTGAGGAGTACACTGAGGCTTGCAGGCTTGCATCTGATGACTTCCTAATCCTGGCATGCCTTCGCAGTGATGAGCTGAGATTCTTCCATCTCGAAGAACTTTCACATATCAAATAAGATGACTTGGTTAAGCTGAACACTGTTTGTACAAGAAGGCAAGATAAATGCTTAATTCTTTCTTTTTCATTGTCAAGTCTCTCTATAGGAAGCTGATGCTTCAGTGATCTCTACTGATGTCCAGTGAGTTGGTTTTCTATCATGTTGTTGAGGGATGAAGTAGGGTCTTTTTCACTCTCCCTGTGTCTTCTCTGCCCTGGTCTGTCTCTCTCTTCCTCACCAGTATGTCATTATGAACTCAGGATTTTTGTATATTCAACTCAGTGTTATTTATATATATATAAATATACTTATACATGTTTTATATAGAATATATATTATATACAATATATTTTTATGTAATACATATATAAAAATATAACATTTATGTTACGTATATGAATATATGTATAAATATGTTATATATAACATACATAATATATATAACGTATTTATATATTCAACGTGTCTAAATCAGCTGCAGACACTATTCTGCATGGTGCCCAGGTTGCCCATCTGTGCCCAGTGGCAGCCCCCTCATGCCCAGGTCTGGGGATCCCAGGACCTCTCTCCTCAATGAGCACCTGCGCCTGTCCTTGTCCCCCTGCCCCGTATCCATCAACGCTCCATGCAAGGGGCTCACTGGGATTAAAGGGGCCCAGGCTTCTCAGAGACCCAGCTTCCCAAGCCCTCATCTTGCTGAATGATGTCCTTGTCCTCTGTCCTCCCTCTGGTCCTGTCTACTCTTCCCCCGAGTTACCTTCCAGATCAACATGACCTTGTTTCAAAAAATAAACCAATTAGTATGTTCTTCTGCAGCCCGGATGTACCCTCATGCGCCCTTTTCTGGTTGGCTGGCCGGCAGAGTCCCAGCATCCACCGAGTGCTCAGGGCGGGTGGGAGGTAGAGCAGCATGTGGCTGTGTGCCCACATCCCTGGGAGACAAGGATTGTCAGGCAGCATCAGGGAAAATGGTATGTGGGGAGATGATTCTGTTGTAAAAGGCGGTTCTATAAAACAATCACAATTTGGATTGTTATCAAGGAGAGAAAGGAGCCTCTGGTTGAACCAGAGAGGTGGGTCTGACTCAGAAGTGTTTCCCAGACTGCCTTCACACACCTGCAGCTGTTCGGGGCCCGTGATGGAACCAGGAGCAGGGAGCGTGGATAGCATCCTTAAAAGTCCGCCAGTTGGGAGGCTGAGGCGGGCGGATCACGAGGTCAGGAGATCGAGACCATCCTGGCTAACACGGTAAAACCCCGTCTCTACTAAAAATACAAAAAAAAAATTAGCCGGGCGTGATGGTGGGCACCTGTAGTCCCAGCTACTCGGGAGGCTGAGGCAGGAGAATGGCATGAACCCGGGAGGCAGAGCTTGCAGTGAGCCGAGATCGCGCCACTGCACTCCAGCCTGGGTGACAGAGCGAGACTGTCTCAAAAACAAAAACAAAAATGTCCGCTCAGTCCACTCTTCCCTGATTGAAGGACAAATCGCATTCTAATGTTTAGCGTCTAAATGAAGCGTTTCCCAGAACAGAGTGAACCTTTCCATTGTCCTCTGAAAGCATTTCAAAAATAAGGGGGAATCTAATTAGTTAATTTCTGCGTGTGATTCCAAGAAATGTAATATATTTGATAGAAAATTACCTGTGGCAACTGCTTTCCTTCTCTGAGACTTGTGTTTTCCAAGACGGGCGCAGATGGGCGCTCAGCACGGGCCGGGCGTGATCCAATTACACAGCAGATTTCAGACGCCCAGACTTGGAGCTGGGGAAGCCTGGCGCCCTGGGGAGAACACTGCCTGGAGAGAGGCCGGGGAGGTCAGGGGACCCCGACTGCTTTGGGCCAGGCTTCATCCTACAGGCTTTTGTGTTCTTATAACCCCAGCTTGTCATGCAGGAAGCATCCTCACAGACACCCAGCCACATCCCCCACTGCGGGGGCACCTACGCTGTCCTATTCCCAGCGCCCTCTGGGTCACCTTGCCTTGGAGGCCCTGAGCTCAGCTTGTGCCTGGCCCAGCACTCAGTGACTCACTGTCCGCTGGGACTTTGCCGAGTGGATTAGGAGCTGAGACCTCCTCCATGATGGAGAAGGTGGATACCAAGAGAAAAGGACCAGGGACATGGTTTTATTTGGAGAAGGCAGGTGGGAGGGAGGTTGTGTGGGTGTGTGTGTGTGTGTGTGTGTGTGTGTGTGTGTAACTCCGGGAACCCTCAGAATGGCACGGCCCCCAGCAGGCTCCTCCCAGATTCTAGCTAAATGTGCCACTTGTACAATTCTAAGTTGTCATGAGTCTGGGAGAGCCTTAGGCTACCCTCCCCTGTTTTAGGCAACCTGGACCTTATTTGCTTTAGAAAAGTCAGCTCTCCTGTTCCTAAGGCCTCCTGGATGGGGGCCCGCCTCTTCCCCTTGGTGGTTTGCTGGGGTGGGAGTTCGCGTTTCGCGGTCCTCTGAAGGGCTCTCGCTGCTGCTTCTGTCATTCCTGCCGGTCTTCCGTGGCTTCTCCTATGAATGCCACAGCCCTTTGTGGGTCAGATTCCGGAATGCAGGCTCTGTCATCACCCTCTGCTGCCAGTTGCTCCCTGTCCGGTCCCCAGGCCCCGGCTAGTCCTGAGGATGCGTTGGGCGCCGGAGGGAGGGACCACAGGATGCGCAGGTCACCACACTGGCCTCCTACATGCTCACCCTTTGTGCTGGTGTCCTGGGGCTGCTCTCACAAAGGGTTCAAAGCCACCAGCTGGGGCTTGAACAACAGAAGTGTCTCCCCTCACAGTTCTGGAGGCAGAGACCAATGTCAAGGTGTCGGCAGGGCCCTCTCCCTCCAGTGCTCTAGGGGAGGACCCTTCCTTGTCTCTTTCAGCTTCTGGGGAGTCCAGGTGTTCTTTGGCTTGTGGCCACATCCCCCAGTCTCTGCTTCCATCTGCACGTGGCCATGTCTCTGTGTGTCTGTATTTTCCCTCCTTATAAGGGCACCAACCAGTGGACTTAGGGCCCACTTATTCCAGGATGACCTCATCCCAAGTGATTGCATCTCCAGCAACCTTACTTCCAAAGAAGGTCACACTCTGAGGTTCTACATAGACGTGGATTTTAGGGGGACAAAATTCAACCACTACCGTCTCTTTGCTTGAAATCACACACAATTTCCAGAGGCCTAGAGATGCCACTTTGTCCGCAGATCTCTTCCTGGCCCCGCCTCTGCCTGGGCAGCCTGGGTCTGATTGTCCTTCTGTCTGCCACCCTCACAGTCCTCAGCCGTGGCCTGGTTCCTGTCCTGGGGGCTGACCAGCCTTCTGGGGCCTGGGACCTGGGGCATCGCTGCTGCCTGCCGTCTGGCCTCAGGGCACCTGCAAGGTCAGTGCCAGCCCAGCAGGATGGCTGACCTTTCTCTTGCTCTAAGCGTGGGCTCTGCAGCCCACCTCACCCCACTGCCATCAGGGAACCTTCTAGCATAGGGCAAGCTGAGTGGGGGCCAAAGCCCACGGTAGTGCATCTCCCGGACCAGGGCCAGGAGCAAAAGCAGTGTGCATGCTGTCTGCCCCTCTCTGGAAGCCCACAGACGATGTCCTCTCCTGTCTCATTGATAAGCACCCTGGGGTCTCCTGGTCACTCCTAGCAGCCAGGGGAAACTGAGAAAAGGGGTTTTGTAGCTGGGTCTGTTAACTGCCAAGACAATATTAGGGTCCTCATAGTGAGGAAGGGGACTAGAATGGATGTCAGGGGGCCGGATCTGCTGGGGGTCTGGATGGCCAGGCCCTTCATTGCACACTTGGGGAAACTGAGGCCCAGAGATAGGCTTATTGGAGTCAGGGCATTAGAGGGCACCAGGATCATCCAGCTCTGCAGCAGGTGCTCCCTGGTGTCCCGTGCCTCTGGCCCAGGTGGCACCTTCCTGACGGCAGCACCCCCTCTCCCCGGCTTGGAGCTGATGTCAGAGTGCACCTAGCAGTAGCGGCTGTGGCAGCAGTTCGGAGGCCCTTAGGGGAGCTGGAGTCCCCAGTGTTTGCCAGCTCATCCCGCTGCCCTTCCCACCACATGCGGCCCCCAGGGTCACGGTGGCCCGCAGCCTGTGATCCAGACCTCCCTCTCCCGCCAGGCCGGAACCTGCTGGACGTCCGTGTGTCCCACTCCATCAGGCCTGGAGACCCGGGAGGCCAGCAGCAGAGCCACACTCTATTCTGTGTCCTCATCACCAAGCACTAGGTTAAATGACAGAGAACTGACCAAACCCTTCAGAGAGTTCGAAAGAGGCGGTTTCAGTCTGGCTCGCTGCCCCTCTCCCAGCCTTTTCGGCAGCAGCCTGGGTGGTGTGTTTTAGTTGGTGGGGCAGGGGACAGGGTGTGGCTCAGCGGAGAACACACCCAAGGCTCTCTAGATGGAAGGAGGGGCCAGGCTCTTCCGGTGCTGGGATGTGGGGGTGGCTTGGAACACTGACAGAGGAGGGAGGGTGCCCGGGGCGCGTTTCCCCACTGAATTCAGGCTGCAGTGAGCACGTGAGCTGTGGCGCGCACATGCCTGAAACCATCCCTCTCCAAGTGTTGGCGTTTCCCTCCCAGGCTGGAATCAACTCCAGGCTTAAAATTAATTTCTCTTCCGCTCACAACAATGGTACAGCCTCTCCCCAAGTACATCCTGTCTTTGTGCAGAACACACTGCCTTGCCGCGCTGCAGCCCAGAGCCCCAGAGCTGGGATGATTTACCCAGCCAGAGCCCACAGCAGTACTGTGATCCTCTGGGACCTGTTCACTCCCCTAGTCAAGAGACTCTTCCTAGACACTCAGTTTGAGCCTGTCCTGGGGAGGGCAGGTGGGCCGAAACTTCGGCAGCCCCTCACCACCCAGAGGCGGTGCTAACAGCCTGCTGTATGGTGGGTCTCCACTGCCTGGAGCTCGGGAAGCCGGAAGTTGGGGGATGACAGCAGCATCATGATGCTGGGTGTGGAGTGAGCATGGGGCTGGCGTCGAGGCCAGCTCTGCCTCCCATGGGTGGGCCGCCTTAGGCTCCTCCTCTGCAAAATAGGGAGCTGTTGCAGGACATTTCAGAGCTACTATAAGGACTGAAGGAGGCCCCGGGGAAAAGAGCTCTTGATATATTAAGGCACTGCTTAGTAGTGACTATGCTTACTTTGCGAGCAGGGAAACCGAGGCCTGGGTAGGACAGAGGGGGGCACATGTGTTTACTGCCCTCTCCGCCCCCGACTTTGGTGCCATCAGCCTCCACCCCTGCTGCGCCCGTCAGAATTTGGCTTCCACGTTCTGCTCCCGGACCCTCCCAGCCTAACCTGTGGATCCTGCCACACAAAGATGGGCTTACCTGGGAGATCTTCAGTTTTAAGAACTCTCAGCCAGGCATGGTGGGAGGCTGAAGCGGGTGGATCACCTGAGGTCAGGAGTTCGAGACCAGCCTGGCCAACATGGTGAAACCCCGTCTCTACTAAAAATACAAAAATTAGCTGGGCATGGTGGCATGCGCCTGTAATCCCAGCTACTCAGGAGGCTGAGGCAGGAGAATCGCTTGAAGCTGGAAGGCCGCTATTTCAGTGAGCCAAGCTCACACCATTGCACTCCAGCCTGGGCGACAGAGCGAGACTCTGTTTCAAAAAAAAACAAAAAACAACTCTCTTCCTTGCTAGGCATGTTGACCTTGTATAAGGGCACCCTTTGAGGTCCAATCCAGGTTGAGCTCATCTAAAAATCCAAAATCCAAAATGCTCTAAAACCCCAAACTTTTTGAGCATCAACATGATGCCACAGGTATAAAATTCCAAGCCTGACCTCATGGGGTAAGTCCCAGTCAAAACACAATGAAAACTGTTTCATGCACAAAATTCTTTAAATGTTGTATAAAATTACCTTCAGGCTATGTGTATAAAGCATACGTGAATTTCATATTTAGACTTGGGTCCCATCTCCAGGATATATGTGATTATATGTGCAGATATACCAAATGTACATGCAAATATTCCAAAATCCAAAAATATATGCAATCCAGAATACTTCTAGTCCAAGCGTTTAGGATAAGGGCTATTCTGCTGTAGCCACCTGACCTGTAACAGTCAGGACAGCGGGGTTAGGCTGCAGTAGCAAATAATCTCCAGGTTGCCATGGCTTAAAAAAACAAAGGCTTATTTCCTGCTCACTCTCACTGCCCTGTCAGGTCTGCTGGGTGCTGTCCTTTGCCCTCCTCACTTAGGAACCGGGTTGGGTGACGCCCCCACCAGCTGGACCATCATCCATTTATAGTTGCCACATCTGGGTTCAAGGGCAGTGTGGTGGGTGGTGAGTTGGTCTTCATCTTTCCTGGAGTGACACACGTCCCTGCAGCCGCCGGCTCACTTGGCCGCACCTAACTTCAGGAGGGTGGAGACCTGCAGCCCTGTGTGTGCCCAAGAAGGAGGAAAATCGGAATTTTGGGGAACAACTCTAATATCACAAACCTCAAAAACAGGAACCTTTAGTGCTAGAGCGAGCTGTGAGAGGAGACACTTCAGGGACAAAGTCCCCCAACACCATGCCACCCCCACGCCCCCCACCTCCAGGCTCCCATCTGACCTTCACGGCTGCGCCAAAGCCAACCAAAGGGCCTCCCGGGGTCCCTGTCTTGGGTGCCCAGGAAATGAGATACGTGCTGACGGAGGACCTGGGAACCGCAGCCTTCATCCTTGCTGGGATGGAGTCTTTCCTCTTCAGGCTGCCCACTCTGGGCTGAAGAGTGTCATGATGTGGCTTGGGGTGCAGTATTTCTCCACTACAGCAACAGAGGCCAGCTCTGCCTCCTGTGGGTGGGCCACCTTGGACTCCTCCTCTGCAGAATAAGGGGCTGCATCTGGACCTTTCAGGGCTGCTACAAGGATTGGCCTTTCAGAGGTACTACAGGGATAGTAGCCTCTGGTCCAGGGCTGGAGCCATCGGTCTCTCCTGTTTCTTGCAGTCCAGTGGGCTCTGTGGCATAAAGCTTGCCACTCGGCGGTTGTGGGATTAGACCAGATGAGACTGACTGACGAGCTCTGCCTCTGGCCGAGGACTAGAGCTGTCCATCTTTCCTGTTTCCTGCAGTCCAATGGGCTTTGTGGCGTAAAGCTTGCCACCTGGGGGTTGTCGAACTTGACCAGATGAGACTTACCGACAAGCTCCCAAATCAGCCAGGAGCACCAGGCTTCGCTGTGATATGAGGCAGGATTTTTCCCTGGTGTCTCCCTGCCTCTTGATCCCAGTACCAGGCTTCATGCCATAGTCAGTGCAGATATTGTGGGTGATATGTTTGTTTCATAACCGTTCCTAAATATAGAGTGCATGCTAAGTGATATCTAGAAGCCATGTAAAAGAAAACGTTTGAAATGTTTGCAAAGAGGATGAGGCATTGAGTGGACCAGAAAACATGTCTTCCTAAATGGGCCCAGCAAACGGTGCTGCTGGGGGTGTTTTCCGTTGCCAGCTGAGTTGTGACTCTTGGCAACGGTTTCTTAGCAACCGTGTGTGCGGGGTACCATGCTCAGCCGGGATGGGAGGCTGGGACGGAGGCTGCCTGGGAGTGAGAACAAGGCAGCGGAACTGGAGGCGGGGAGGCCCCAGAGGCCTGCAGCCCTCAGCCCTCCGAGCGGGAGGGGCCCCAGGTTTAGAGGATTAATACTCCAGGTCCCACGCTGGCCTGGTGGTTGCCATGGGGTGAATTACTGGAAACTTCTCTTCCTGCATTTTTCCTTCCTCTACAGTGTGTATTTTATGCACAAACGTGTCTTTTTTTTTTTTTTTTTTTTTTTTTTTTCATTTTTGCACAGAGATCCAAGAGGCTGCACTGAGATTTCCCCCAGCTTGGGCTTGTGGACCTCTGGGAGGCAGGGGACTTGGGGAGCGGAGGGGCCTGAGTAAAAGAGGAGAGTGCAGGGACTGGCTCAGAGCCCACATCCTCCACTGCTCAGAGCCTGCTCAGATTTCCTAAGGTCTGGGCCTCAGTTTTCTGATCTAAAATGGAGGGAGGGAGGTCTGGGTAGTGAAGCACCAACTTGATCCAAAGAGAGAGCTAACCTTTGCCTTCACCTCCTGGGAGGTGGTCTCTGGGCTCCCAGAATATCCTGCCTGATGTATGTGTCTCTGTTTGCCTGGGGGCTTTGACTGCTGGACAGTCTGACAGTGTGATTTATGGTGGGAGCTCTGGGTCATGCCACATCAGCTTGGACCTCCAGAAGAAACTGGAGACCAGAAGGATTAGCCCTAACCTCCAGGAGGAGCTGGAAACTAAAGCCCTGCCACCAAGGCAGTGTGTGACAGAGCCCCAGCAAAGACTCGGGACACCAAAGGTCTGGGAGCATCCCTGGCGGCAATGCCCCATGCGTGTTGTCACACGTCATCTCTGGGAGGGACTTATCCCCACTTTCCCAGGGAGGACGGCAGACACCCCATGTCTGGACCCTCCTGGACTCTGCCCCCCACGCCTGCCTGTCCTTGCCTGATCTCAGCCTGGATCCCTTTGCTGTAATAAACCATAACTGTGAGCATAGGTGCTTTTAGTGAGTTCTACGAGTCTTTCCCACAAATCACCAAACCTGAGGGTGGTCTTGGAGACCCCCAGAACTTGCAGCTGGTGTCTGAATTGAGGAAGGGTGGTCTTGTGGGGGCTGTTCTCTCAAACTGTACATTGGCTAAACTCCTGGTGAGAACCCTTGGGACACCCCCCGCAGGCCACCAGGTGAGGGAGCCGATAGAGACCAGGCTCTGGGTGGAGGCATTTCGCAGAGCCGCCCTGCCAGGTGTGGAACTGGGACAGTGTTGCCCCAGGACGACACCGGGGACGTTTCTAGCAGGATCACTCTGCTGCGGGCCCCTCCTGCACACTGTGGGGTGTCCAGCAGCAGCCTGGCCTCTCCCCACTCCATGCCAGCACCAGCCCCCAGTTGTGAAAACCAAGAATGTCTCCAGACGTTGACACGTGGTTCCCTGGTTCCTCCTCTGGTTCCCTGGGGTTTGGGGGGGCACCATCACCCCTGGCTGAGGACTGCTGCCTTAAGGGAAAGACGGTTTGAGGCTTTTTCTTTTTTTTTTTTTTGAAGAAGGTTGTGGCCATGGGAGCATCTCTTTGGAAAGATGGAAATGGATTCTGAGGGATGTCTGGGGGTGAATCCTGGCTCAGGCAGGAGGGGATGGTTGTTCCTCTCTCTGTGAGGGGTGCAGTGTGTCCAACACCCCCTGGCCTCAAGTCTGAGGGCCGCAGAGCTGGCAGGAATCCCTTGGGAGCACCAGGGAACCAGGGGATTGGCTGGGGGCGTTGCTCCATTCCCACCTCCTCCATGGGGGAGAGGGGTAGGATGCAAGCCTGGGAATAAGACCATGCAGGTGACAGCCCGCCCCCATCAGCTCTGCCCTCAGCTCAGGAAGTGGCAGGCATGGTGTCCGTTAGTCCTGCACACTCCCCCGGCCTCAGCCCCTCCTGAGGCTGCAGGCTCCCAGGAAGCTCCGGGCCCACCCCTCCCCTAGGGAAACCAGGGCCTCTGCTCCCAGAAGTCCACACCCAAGGCTGCCCCTCCCTGCACAGGGACGAAGGTGCCCTGCCTCCCATGGCTCCAGTTCTTGGTGGCAGCTCTGGGCGCACCCTTAGCCCTGAGTTGTGACCCATCCTATACCCCAGCTCCCCAGTGGGGTCTCTGTTGCTGTCCACACCCTGCCCTGGCCTGGGAGGGGCCATAGGCTGGAAGAGATGCCCTGGGACCTTCATAATGCTGACAGCCCTGAATTCTCTCTCCTTCCTTGGTCTAAAGCAACTCTGTCTGGTAGAACTTTCTGGAAATGTCCCATGTGCTCGATATGGCACCACTGGCCACACACAGCTACTGAGCACTCAAAATGCAGCCAGTGTGGCTGAGGAGCTAATTCTTAGTTTTACGTATTTAATATCAATTAATTGAAACTTAAGCAGCCGCGGGTGGCTGGGGCTACTGTATCAGACCTCCCATTTGATGAAAACCACCTTCCATCTGGGAAATGAAGGAGCTGGGAAGAATTTCCAGTCCCCTCTCTCCTTCCTTCCTTCCTTCCAGCCAGTCCACCCATATTTCCCAAGCACCTGCCATGGGCCGTGTCCTCATCAAGGGTGCTGTGGGGGCGCAGCCTTCGGGGTGCATCTGGCTGCATGATGGGACAGAGGCAGGAGCCAGGCCAGAAAGAAATGAATAAATAACGATGATCCTCCAAAAGGGCAAATGGTGCGTGGAGCATAAGCAATAGCTGTGCAGTGCTGGCCGGCAGGGAAGGTCGGCAACCTCGGAGGAGGTGGGCTTAGAGCCCCAGAGGCAAAAACCGCCCGGGGACCTGGAGGGGCAGAGGCCATGCACCCAAGTGCGGGAAGGGTGGGAGAGGCAGGCACAGGCCCCACAGGATGTGGAGAGGAATTTTTTTTTTTTTTGATTGAGACGAAATCTCGCTCTGTCACTCAGGCTGGAGTGCAGTGGCGCGATCTTGGCTCACTGCAAACTCCGCCTCCCGGGTTCACGCCATTCTCCTGCCTCAGCCTCCCTAGTAGCTGGGATTGCAGGTGTGTGCCACCATGCCTGGCTAATTTTGTATTTTTAGTAGAGATGGGGTTTCACCATGTTGGTCAGGCTGGTCTCAAACTCCTGACCTCAGGTGATCCACCCGCCTCGGCCTCCCAAAGTGCTGGGATTACAGGTGTGAGCCACCGCACCTGGCTGTGGAGAAGAATTTAGACTCTACTCCCCAGGTGACAGGGTTTGTGGCAGGGAGCAGTGGTGCTTGCGCGTGTGTGTTGTTCAGCTTGTTTGACTTCCGTTCGGAGACTGGATTGGAGACAGTAGGGGGTTGGATGGTGTTCCACAGAACTGTGTCCACTGGGAATCTCATTTGGAAACACGGTCTTCGCAGATGTCCTTAGATGTCATTTATAGTTAAGGATCTTGAGATGAGATCTTGAGATCATGAGCAGAAGGCCACGTGCAGAGGCTGGCAGGTGCAGTTACAAGCCAAGGGGAGGGCACCAGGGTGGCCGCAGCCCCTGGAGCTGAGGGAGGGCCCCGGAACGGATGGCCCCTCCCAGAAGCTTTGGTCTTGGACTGGAGGCCGCCTGAACTGTGAGTGAATCAATTTCTGTTGTTTTAAGCCCCCCAGTTTGTGTTGCTTTGTAACAAAAGCCCAGGACACTCGCACAGAGGGTCAGGAAGCCCCATTGGCGGCTGTTCCACATCAAACACCGGGGTGGAGAGGACTGAGGCTGGGGGTGGTTTTGGGGCACAGCACAGGTGGGGGCGGGGGTTGACATGAGTTGAGTCCTGGGCTCTTCCATACACTGCCGGGCAGCTGTGGGGCCCTTTGCTGAGACGGGGAAGCCTTTGGCAGGCAGGGGAAGTTGCGGTGCTGTGTTGGATTGGAGACGTCCATTCCATTGGACATCCTGCTGGGTTTGGATGGTTCTAGAAGGAGCCGAGGAGTGGTTGACCAGCTGTTCTTGTCAGGCTCACCCACCCCACTAGTGACAGGCAAACACCCCTTTGCCCCAATGTGCCTGGGGCAGCCAGCCCAGCAAGGTGGGCCAGGCCCCTCCACATGGCGCTGGGCTCAGCTCCAGAACCTCCCGGCACCGTGTGGACAGAGCCGGGAAGAGAAACGAGCTCAGAAGTTGGCCCTCACCCCTCCTGTGTGGACAGAAGAGCTGGCCAGGCCTGGGGGTGTGCAGGCTGGGATGTCTGTCGGCAACACCTGTCAGTCACACTTGATCACCTCTGCCATTAAGCCCTCAATCATGCTTTTCTGGGATCATTTATGGGTGTCTCCAGAAGAGTTACAGCAATGGATCATCCCCATGTATCTCCATCATTCTTCCCCATACCCACGTCCTCAGGCAGAGTCTCCCCTTCTACACTCACTTGCCTGGGTTGTTTTGTAATGTAAGCAGCCACGCATGGCTGGGGCTACCGTATCAGACCTCCCATCTGATGAAATCACCTTCCATCTGGGAAATGAAGGAGCTGGGAAGAATTTCCAGTCCCCTCTCTCCTTCCTTCCTTCCACCCAGTCCACCCGTATTTCCCAAGCACCTGCCATGGGCCACGTCCTCGCCAAGGGTGCTGTAGGGGCACAGCCTTTGGTGTGCATCTGGCAGTGTGGTGGGGCAGAGGCAGGAGCCAGGCCAGAAAGAAATGGGCAGATGGTGTGCAGGGCATAAGCAATAGCCATGCAGTGCTGGGCTCCAAGCTGGTCTGGGTTCTGCTTCGCATGTTCCACCTGTGACCTCAAATGAGTACCCTGGCCGCTCCTGCCTCGGTTTCCTCATCTGCAAAATAGTGATCAGGACAAGAGGGGCTGATGTCTTATGACACTTAATCTCCTCAAGTGTCTAGGACTGCCCCTTGGACACCCCAGAAATTGGGTCTTCCTGGGAGGTCAGAGCAGGCTGCCCAGGGGCTGCTGTCATTGATGTGAGCCTGTAGAGGTGAAGTCGGGATCACACCCTGCCCGATCCCGGTGCCTTGGTGCCTGAGCTTTCATTTCAGCCCCCACAGCCTTTGAGGCAGGTGCTGTTACCATCCATCCCCATTTCAGATGGAGAAACTGAGGCCTGTTGTGGTCACACAGATATTACGTCATACCGGACCCCACATGTCTTATTCAGTTTGGGTTGCTGTAATAAGGTTCGACAGACCAGGGGGCTTAAACAAGCATTTATTTGGAGACTAGAAGTCCCAGATCAAGGTGCCAGCAATTTGGTTCCTGGTGAGGGGTCGCTTCCTGCTTATAGGCAGCTGGCTTCCTCACATGGCAGAGAGAGGAGAGAGAGAGAGTGTGTGTGAAAGTGCCACCAAGCTCTCTGGAGTTTCTTCTTATAAGGACACTAATCCCATTGGATCAGGGCCCCACCCTTATGACCTCGTATAACCCGAGTTACCTCCAATAAAGGCCCTGTCTCCAAATGTGTCAACATAGGAACTTGGGGGGATACAGACATTCAGACGGTAACAACAGACTCCACATTTTGTCTGGGGGCAAGACAAGCCTTAATGCAACAACCCAGATAGTTGTGAAGGAAGGCGCCCATGGTGGGGGTGGGGGAGACCAGGCGGGGCAGGCAGCCTCCAGGCCCACAGGCAACTGCATTTCCACAGATATTGGAGCTCTGTGTGTTTCTTGTAATAACGATGGGATTACCTGTTCTGCTTAATTAAGTACTTCATGGACAGCCACCAAAATCTCCATTTCTCCCAACTCAGGAGGTTTCTAAAAGGCACAAAACAATTACATTTTTGTTCTGATGAGGCCCCGGCAAGGTAATGATTCTTCTGCCTTGGGAAAGAGAAGAGCCAGCCGGGCTATGCAGAGGCCTCTCCCCATCTCAGACACCAGGAAGCATCAGCTTGGTGCCGTGGACCGAATGTCTGTGTGACCCCCACACTCAAATGTTGGAACCCTAACCCCCACCAGGATGGTGTCAGGAGCAGGGCCTTTGGGAGGGGGCTAGGGCTTGATGAGGTCAGAGGGTGGGGACTCATGATGGGATCCGTGTCCTTATGAGAAGAGAGAGGGAGACCAGCACACCCTCTCCCAGGATAGACATTCTGTTCCAGTCTTAAACAAGGTCCTCAAGTGTCCTTCTAAGTTCCGGGGTACTTTGTGGCTCTTTTAAAACTCTCCCCTCCTGCCTCCCTGAGCATCAGTTAGCAGAGCTGAGCCCCAAACGTGCTCCTCCAAGTCCCATGGTAACAGAGGTAGATTTCACACTGGGCAGCGTCTCACCCTCCAGCATCCAAGGGCCTTGCTGTTATGGAGGCCTCCTCCCTGTGAGCCGGCACTGACTAGCACGCCTCATGGAGGCAGCCAGGACAGCCCCAAAGAGAATGAGGGAGATGGGGAAGAGAGGGGCCCTGAGGCGTTATCACTGCCTGGAAGGGTCCCTGGGCAGCCTCTCTGCAGAGCCCAGTTGTGCCTGCCAGTGGCCAGCTGAATAAGGGTCCCCAAGATGTCCACGTGCTTATCCCCAGAGCCTGTCGACCGACTGCCTTCCATGGGAAAGGCGGCTTTGCAGATGCAATGAACTGAGGGATCTTGCTGCAATCAGGAGGTCATCACGGATCGCTTAGGGGGGCCTGAGTGTGACCACAGGCGTCCTTATAAGGGGGAGGCAGAGGTAGATTTGATGCATGCAGGGGAGAAGTCCATGGGACCCCCCAAGGCAGAACTTGGAGTAATGAACCCTCAGCTAAGGAACGCCAGGGGTCCCCAGAGCTGGAAGAGACAGGAAAGGACCCTCGCTGAGAGCTTTCGGAAGGAGCCAGCCCTGCCAACGCCGCTCTCTCAGCCTCCTGAGCCCTGGGTTGGCCCTCTGACCTACAGAACTGGCACGTAAGAACATTTTTGTTGTTTTAAGCCACTAAATTTGTAGTAATTAATTACAGCGAGCAATAAGAATCTAACCCAAGGGTGGTTGTCAGGCTGAAATGATGAACCCTCAGGAAGTCCTTAGAGTGTCACAGGCTGGGCTGGGGTCCGCCTCCCCTGGGCAGGGCCATGGGCAGAAAGCGGGGGTCCTGAAGGGAGATCGAGCCTGCAGGACGAAGGGTGTGGGTAAGGGACTGGGGCGGCTGTGCACGGCACCTGCAATGATTCACCCCGTCCATCTCCTGGCCATCTGCCGGGTCAGCCTGTGTGTCCCCTGTCCCAGAGAAGCTCGCCTGCCCTGGATACGCCTCTCAGGGTTGCTGGATTTGTTCCATTTTAACACAAAGGCCCTGGAGAGCCAGCCTTGGGTGGTTTCCGGGCCTTTCCAGGGTCACCTGCCCAGTTTTCCAAGCTCAGGTTTATTTTTATTCCACACAATGACAAATGCTCAGCATAGCGTGATGAGGGTAAGCGGCGGCCAGGGTTTCCGCATGGGCTGATTTAACCCAGAAGCCTGCGCCTTGCTCTCCCAGTCGGTGTTAATTAAGCTGGATTACCGTATTCACAAGCTGAAATGCCTCGTAATTCTGCTCTAAGTAGCCAGCCTTGTGTTTTATGACTTAATTACTGAATCCGAGCCATGCACATCACCTGCAGGTGAGGCCAGGCCTGGCTGTGGGCAGAGCCAGGGGCCATTCATTGGAACCTAGGGCGGGGTGGCCCTGGGATTCTAGAACGTTCCTTCCTCAGATGGTTAGGCTAGACATAAATGGCGGTTAACTCTGGAGACTTTTGTCCTTTTGTTCAAAGACTTTTCCCTCTCAGTGGGTTCATTCTGACCTTCTGAAATCACCCCTGCACGAATCACATCAGAATCAAACATTTCTTTTTTTTTTTTTTTTTCTGAGACCGAGTCTTAACTCTGTTGCCCAGGCTGGAGTGCAGTGGTGTGATCTTGGCTCACTGCAACCTCTGCCTCCTGGGTTCAAATGATTCTCCTGCTTCAGCCTCCTGAGTAGCTGGGATTACAGGCGTGCCACCACGTCTGGCTAATTTTTGTATTTTTAGTAGAGACGGGGTTTCACCATGTTGCCAGGCTGGTCTCAAACTCCTAACTTCAAGTGATCCACCTGCCTCGCCCCCCAAAGTGCTGAGATTCCAAGCGTGAGCCACTGTGCCCAGCCTGAATCAAACATCTTTTTTTTATTATTATTATACTTTAAGTTTTAGGGTACATGTGCACAACGTGCAGGTTTGTTACATATGTATCCATGTGCCATGTTGGTGTGCTGCACCCATTAACTCGTCATTTAGCATTAGGTATATCTCCCAATGCTATCCCTCCCCTCTCCCCCGACCCCACAACAGGCCCCGGTGTGTGATGTTCCCCTTCCTGTGTCCATGTGTTCTCTTTGAATCAAACATTTCTAACATGCTTGGCATGGTAGACGTTTATTCAGAAAAATACTGTTTTTCAGAGTTTTGGTCATATGCACGTGGGGTAAACTCCACCTTGATCATGAAAGCCTCTTTCCCTCATTCCGGCCACCTTCTTCTCCCGTTAACTCTGAACTCGAGCTTGCTCTAGGCTTTGTAGGTCCCGTGGGGTTCTGAGGGTTCCTATGCTTCCCGTGGCGACAGCTGCGTCTGCCCCCTAGCTCTGCTCTGAAGCCCACGATCAGCTCTGCAGAGGCTCTGACTGCCCGTTTTGACAAATCTGCTCCACCTCCCCACTCCGTTCCTCGCGTTTCTTTCTTTTATGGCAGGGCTGGGTGAACTCTGGCCTGGGGGCCACATTCCATCCATGACTGAGTTTCTGAGGAAGATTTTTACATTTTTAAAGGGTTTTAACATGCATGTACATGCACTACACACTCACACACACACACACACATACTCTCTCAGGCACTGACAAACATACACCATCATAGACATTGACACACATGCACTCTCAGTGACACACATGCACACACACACAACACACTCAGACACTCACACTCACACATTCATAGACACTGACACACACACACAGACAGCTCACACACCCTTTCAGTGACACACATACATTAGCATACTCTCAGTCACACTCACACACATACACACTCTCATAGACACACACATATACACACACTCAGACACTGCCACACCTACACACACACTCATAGACACACACGCTCATAGGCACACACTCAGTGACACACAGTGACACACAACACACTCTCAGACACTGTCTCACACACATACACACACACTATCATAGACACACACAGGAGCACACACGGCTCTGCCCCTGGCTGCTGCACCCTGTGGCCCTTTGCGGGGCATTTGTCATCTCCTCTTCCTCAGCGGCCCCTGTCGGGGGACGCCCCGCAGGCTCCCCTCGCCTGGGGACTGGTCAGGAGCCAGCCTGGCAGGAGTCCCCTGGGCCAGGGAGAGGCTCTGGGCCACCCCAGCCTGGAAGTACTCCCTTCTGGCACTCCCAGCCTTCACCCAGCAGCCTCCGGAGGCCTCAGATCCCCCCACACCCCACCCTGCCTTCCTTCTCAGGTGTGAATGTTTTAACCCTCAGGAGAACTTGCTCAGGACCCAGCACTGGGCACCAGGGACCTGGTTCCAGGGTCTGTGGGGAACAGTGCCTCCTCTGTCCTCGTGGCCTGGCCCTGCCTCCCTCATCCCTGGACTTTCAGCCTCCTGAGTTGTCTCTGCCTCCCCAGTACCACCCAGCGCCCTCCTCGGGCGGTCCTAGCACTCGAATTCACATCCTCTGCTCAGCTCACCCTCTGATCTCATTGTAGGCCCCAACTCAGAGGTGCCATCCAGGCCCCTCCCAGGCTGGGGAGGGCCTCCTCTTGGGGTCCCTGGAGCCAGTTCCGACAGCCCAGTGTGGGGTCGCCAACAGACGCAGGGCCTGGGCCTTCTGCTCATTGAGACTTCTCGGGGACCTTCAGCTCAGTAGCTACTTATCGGAGCAAGGAGCAGTCGGCCGTGGGGTCCGTTCAGTTGCATCATGTCAAACTAGCAAATATTGAACTCTTATCAACCTACAAGAATGGCAATCTCATGTGCCCCCCATCCTGATGAGCAGCTGAGGCCCTGAATGCAGGGAAGGGCATCCTAACGGCAAGGACAGTGAAGGGAGGATGGGTTCCAAGGCCTCTGTCCATTTCCCAGAGGCAGGCTCTGGTCTCGGCATCCACGCTGTCTGCCACTCCTTCCTCAGCAGCCCTCTCAGGGACAGCTGGGGTCTGAGTGGCCCCAGTAAATGCTGGTGCCCACCCTCACCTCCCCACTAACCAACAAAGAGACAGACCGAGGATGTAAGAGCCACAGAGAGCAAGTTCCTCCCTTGTTGCCAACAAAGCCAATACCGGCCAAGGTGGCTTAGACCTGTGGGTGGGTGGGCTTCCTTCTACCACCAAACCCCAGGATTGGACTGAATGGCCTGACAGCTCTGCCCCAAGGTGTGGAGCAGGTTCACCACGCGCCGCTTACCACCTTGTCCTAGCCTGGTGAGCCAGCCGCCCACACAGCGAGTTCCATGAACTGGTTCATTGCTTACAGATATGCAGCAAGGGACAATAGAAGCCTGGGATTCGGCCGAGCCAGCCTGTAAGGCTCAGGAAAGCTGACCGGAGTCTTGACTGCATGTGCTCCCTTGCGCCGCCACTAAGGGACCCTGGAAAGCAGCTCCTCCTGGGTTTTATACCCCGGGGCCATATGACTTTTGGACTAAAGTGTTGATGGACATCATGTTTCCGGGGAAGACTGGGACAGAGCTCAGGCTATTCCAGTCAGCCCTCCCTCTCTCGGGGTGTTGCATTTCTAGCACATTCTATGGTTATTCTTAAGAACTGAAAGCAAAAGAGAGGGGAGAACTGGGCTCGTCCAAGGCCACCTAGAGGACAGTCCCACACCAGGTATCAGGCCCTCATCACAGAGTCCACCAGGAGGAGCGGGGTGTGGGCTGCATTAGGCAGAGGTGTATAGGCAATGTTCAGCTTCTCCTTCTAGGCCCACCCACTGTTCTCCACCCCCTACTCATTCCCCAACAGCTCTTGGTTCAGAGGGAGGCTGAGTGTTGAGTTCATGATCCCCCTCTGCCATCGGAAGATGTCTTCCATGAAGCATTGCAGATGGCATGTCCACGAATGGGTTCTGTGCATGGGGGGAATCCAATCTAAGCAGGCTTCTCTTCTTTCCTTCCTTTTGCCTTTCCAGTTAACCCATTAAAGCAAGGCCCTGGGACCACAGCCCCCCAGCCAGGAGCAGCATAGCTGCCCACTTCCTCTTCCCTCTCCAGAAACCTCTAACACGGCCATGGGGACATCCAGTACTCCCGTGTTGTTAAGTTAGTGGGGAGGGGAGGCCTGCAGCCCTGTGTTGAGAAGGGCTCAGAGGCTCACCCCAGGCTCAGAGGAGCACACAGACTCTTGGAGATCTGCAGAAGGGCTTGGTCATCCTTGCTCTCACAGCAACAGACCCAAGGCCTATTTGGTCACTGAGACAAAGACTGGAGGATGGGATGAAGGAAGGGCCTGGAATGCTGCTTGTACTTATTTCTTAGGGCTGCTAAGAAACCACAGGTTGGGCTGGACATGGTGGCTCATGCCTGCAGTCCCAGCATTTTGGGAGGCCAAGGCAGGTGGATCACCTGAGGTCAGGAGTTGGAGACCAGCCTAGCCCATATGGTGAAACACCATCTCTACTTAAAAAATGCAAAATTAGCCAGGCATGTTGGGGCACGCCTGCAATCCCAGCTACTCTGGAGGCTGAGGCAGGAGAATCTCTTAGAACCTGGGAGGCGGAGGTTACAGTGAGCTGAGATCACGCCACTGCACTCCAGCCCCAATAACAAAGGGAGACTCTGTCTCAAAAAAAAAAACAAAACCCACAGACTGTCTGGCTTAAAACAGCAAACTTTTACTGTGTCATTGGATGCTGGAAGACAAAGGTCAGGGTGTCAGCAGGGCAGCGCTCCCTCCAGAGGCTCCAGGAGGCCCTTCCTGGCCTCTTCCAGCTTCTGGTGGTGCTGACACTCCTTGGCCTTCCCTGGCTTGCGCTGCCTGGCTCCAGTCTCGGCCTTTATTGTCACATGGTGGGCTCCCTGTGTGTCTGTGTCCAAATTCCCCTCTTCTGGTTGGGCGCAATGGCTCATGCCTGTGATCCCAGCACTTTGGGAGGCAGAAGTGGGCAGATAATTTGAGGTCAGGAGTTGGAGACTAGCTTGGCCAACATAGTAAGACCCTGTCTCTACTAAAAATGCAAAAATTAGCTGGGCATGGTGGTGCGTGCCTGTAATCCCAGCTACTTGGGAGGCTGAGGCAGGAGAATTGCTTGAACCCGGGAGGCCGAGGTTGCAGTGAGCTGAGATTGTGCCACTACACTCCAGCCTGGGTGACAGTGTGAGACTCCATCTCAAAGAAAAAAAAAAAAAAACAAGTTCCCCTCTTCTTACAAGGACAGCAGTCATTGGATGTAGGGCCCACCCTACTCCCCTATGACCTCACATTAATTGATATCTTAATTACATCTGTAATGACCCTCCTTCCAAATAAGGTCACCTCCTGAGATCCTGGGGTGAGGACTTCCACACCTCTTTTTGGGGGACACAGTTTAACTCATAACACTGCTGCACATGGCCAGGTCTTCCAGAGCCTTTTGAGTTTCTACACTTTGTTTTTAAAAAAAGAAAAACATGGCCGGGTGCGGCGGCTCATGCCTGTAATCCCAGCACTTTGGGAGGCCGAGGTGGGCGGATCACGAGGTCAGGAGATCGAGACCATCCTAGCTAACACGGTGAAACCCTGTCTCTACTAAAAATACAAAAAATTAGCTGGACATGGCAACGGGCGCCTGTAGTCCCACCTACTTGGGAGGCGGAGGCAGGAGAATGGCATGAACCTGGGAGGCGGAGCTGGCAGTGAGCCAAGATCGCACCACTGTACTCCAGCCTGGGCGACAGAGCAAGACTCCATCTCAAAAAAAAAGAAAAAAGAAAAACATGAAAAAAAGTCCCAAATCTTGCAACCTCTTTAGAAAACAGTAGTCATTGCCCACTAATATGAAAGACACACCTGCTGTGCAAACCAGCATGTGACTCCATGGCACACACCCCTGACACATTCTCCCACGTGGGCCAGGAGACACACACGAGAAGTTTCCAAGCACCTCTGTTCATAACAGCAAGACGCTGGAAATGATGCAAGTGCCTGTGAACAAGAAAGGATCCGGATGCCGTGAGTTGCTCACACGTGGAGTACAGTGCGCTGGTGGGAGAATGAATGAATGCCAACTGCATTCATCAAGGCGCGTGAATCTCAGACATGCTGTGGAGGGGAACGTGGAGGCCACAGAGGAATACATAGAGTCTGATATTGCGTATGGAAAGTTCCAAAGAAAAAAAGGCCAAAATGATATCTGTAAAATTTGAAAAAAGGCAAAGGGAATCCATGTATTGTTTAAGGAAGTGAGCAGGTGACAGTGAGTGCTAGATAGAGCGCGGGAATTGCACGCGCAGACCCCGGGTGCCTCTGCAGGGAGGAAGGTGGCTGCCGGGGGCCGCTGGGGGCTTCTGGAGCGTTGAGCGTTTTGCATTTTTCTTCGTGGAGTTTCGTTTAACCTTGCCTGTACAGTATGCATACTTCAGGGATGAAGTTCCATCAGAAAGTATGCATGGATCTAAAGATATTCGTAATTGTACAAAGAAGGCAAAACACCCCCAAGAATATGTATGCACGCATGCATATGTGTATGTATACGTGTACACACGTATGTAGAGAAACCCAACCTTTCATGCCTTCGCCTGCAGCTGTACCTGGCGAGAGATGCAGCTGCTATCAGGTAAATGGCAGGTGCTTGTTCATCTTGCCTCTGTCAGAGATGGGGGCTACAGGTAGGCTTCCTTTCCCCTCTGCGTTTCCCTGATCAGCCCAGCCCTGATTCTCTCCTGCCCAGCACGTGTGAGTTCCCATACTCAGCAGCAGGACGCCTTCAAAACCCTTATTAAAGTCCTCTCTGTGAGAACACACATCCCCACAGGGGCCCCACCACCAGCACAGACCCCTGGTTCCCAGGCAGGAGTCGCAGGCAACTTCCCCACCACCCCATCCAGCTCCCCTCCTGGGCCTGTGTCACGCCCGGACGCCGCCTCCTTCCTGGATCTTGGGCAGAACGCTCAAGACGCTCCCCTTCTGTGATGCCTTCCCAGTGTTCACGCCCCTCGCCACCCGCCCCCCCTCCCCCACCTCCCATGGCAAGTAAATTTGGAACGAGGCTTCTCGTTCCCTTTCAGCAGCAGCCCAGTTTCACACTGCTGAGTGCTGCAAGAACTGAAAATTGCCTTTTTTCTCCATTTTCAGTAGAAACGAAGGCAGTTTCCTAAACTCCCCCATTCATCCTGGAAGGCCCATCCTGGGTGCTTGACTACCTAGAAATTCTTCCTAAATGGCTAGAGGAGTGAAGGAGTCTCAGACGACACCTCCACCAGGACACCCTCCCATCTTGCCCTGGGGCCAGTGGGTCCCTTCCCTTTGTACATTCTTAGCCTTTTTGAAATCATGGTTTGAATTAGACCCAAAATAAAGAATGGAATGATAAATGCAGAAGTAGCCCTTAAACCAGACACCCTCTGTTTCTGTCCCATGTCACTCTGTCCTTCCAAACAGCCCAGAGGTGAGGCAGTCCCTGAAGGATAGGACGTGGGTCGTGGGGTGGTAACCAAGTACCCAGGGCTGCCATGGGGCATTGCAGGGAAGATGGGGAAGCAGGGCAGGTGGGGAGCAGCCCAGGGCTCTGGCTGGAGTGACGATGAGTTGAGAAAACTGTCGAGGAACGGGTAATGCCACAGCCCTGCAGGCTGCTGGCCCCGCCTCACCATCCCCACAGAGAACAAGGCCAACACCAATAGGTGTCCGTGAACATGCCCTTTGCAACACTGATAAACTCCCCTTTGTGAGCTTCTGCCAACCAGCCTTTTCCTGCAGTTTTAGCACCAGCCTCAGGAAGTGGCATTTGCGCTTAAATCTGAGAACCTCCAAACTCCTTTTGAAAGCTGCCACTTTTCTTGCATTCTGAAGCGTTGGCTTCACATGTGAAAAGGCAATTCTTGGGTTGTGGAGATTTTGAAAGGCTGCATTTGCCTCTTAGTCACTATGGCTCTAGGTTCAGCCTTTTTCTGGACGTTCAAAGGGATCAGGGTGCATCATTTGCTGGTTTTTAAAGAGGCTGGAGCTCTTCTGATCACCGTGCCCCATAGTTCCATATGGAAGCAGTGTTCTTCAAAGGACCATTTGTTTTTCAAATTCAGAGAGTTTTGAGCTCAGAAAGATTTCCGTCATTCTTGGCATGAGTCCTGTGGATCCCCACAGGCCCTGGAATGGAGTCTGTGGGCTCTGAGAGCTGCTTAAAAGATGCAGAAAGCCCAGAGGGGCCGGCAGGGGTGCCTGGTTTTCCTGCACGCCAGCCCCATGCCGTGTTCTGTGCTCTGGGCTGGCATTGTGCCGGCTGCCCCACGGAATTCTCCGGGCCTGTCCCATCCGCTGGAGCCGATCAGCAGCTCTGGCTGGCTTTCATTAATATAAAACGGAGAGTCGAGGATTACTTTACAAATGTAGCCTGCTTGGAAAACCATCATCCTTGGATTCAGGGAGAGAAGAACAAAGGCCAGCAGCCTGTTTCTAGCTTCTGAGTTTGCATGGGAGAAGCTGAGATCAGGGACAGTGGGACTGGCCGGGGGCACAGGCGTGTCATGTGCCACCCTGACTGACAGACCTCCTGGCCTTGGCATCAGTGGCAGGAGCAGGTCACAACATTAGACTCATAAAACCAGGCAATAATTCATTTTTTTGCAGCTGAGCAGCAAGAGGGGACTGGGAGCTGAGTTTGCACGCCTCGTATTAAGAGGTGAACAAGCCTAAGAACAGGCAATGCTGATGGAATTTTAGGGGCACCAAAGCTCCCATTGGTCCCATAACTGTTTTCTTTTCATTGTGGTCAAATACATGTAATGTAAAATGTGCCATTTTAACCATTTAAAGGGGGAATAATTCAGTGGCATTTAGTACATTCACAAGTCTGTGTGACCACCACCGAGACCTAGTTAACCGCCCCAAAAGGAACCCCGAACCTCCTGGCAGCCGCTCCCCTCACCCCTCCCTGGTCCCTGGCCATCCCCAGTGAGCTTTCTGTCTCTATGGATGCACTGATTCCGTATATTTCCTATAAATAAAATCACAGAATGTGGCCTTTTACGCCTGGCTTCTTTCACTCGGCGTCATGTTTGCAAGGTTTATCCCTGTTGTAGTGTGGATCTGTGTCTCATTCCTTTTCATGCCCGAATTATATTCCATAATATACATATTCCATATTGTATATTATGGAATATACAATATAGATATATTATGTATATCTATATACATATACAATATACAATATAGTACATGTATATACAATATGCAATATAGTACATGTATATACAATATACAATATAGTATATGAATATACAATATACAGTATATACAAGATACAATATACAGTATATACAATATACAATATAGATATATTATGTATCTATTCCATTCTATCATATATCCCGCATCATTTGTACGTGCCACGTTTTGTTTGTTCATTCACCAGTGGATGTGCGTTGGGGCTGTTTCCACCGCCTCTCGGCCATCACGGATGGGGCTGCTCCGAGCATGGCTGTGCGTGCTTGTTTTTGCCTCCCTGTGTGGTGGAATTACTGGGTCACATGGTGGTTGGGTGTTTAACTTACTGAGGAACCTCTGAATGCTTCCTGTGACCCATGCTGGTTTCTTCACACGCCAGGTCATCATCTTTCTGGGGGTCTCTAATTTGAACAGATAAAGCCACCTCCTGGGGCCTCCTGTGACCCTGCAACAGGAGTCCTCGGATTCTTCCTCTTTCGCTTTGAAACCATCTGCCGTCAGACCTAGCCCAGGGCTGCCTTTGTGTCTGATTCCTCTGTTGGGTGGGCCGTCCCGGAGCCTTGCCTCAGCAGCATTGTCCGAGCAGGGCTTTGAGAGGTGGGAGCCGGCCAGGCCCTCTCTGGGCCGCCCGGTGCCACAGGTCCGTGAACAAACAACGCGACCACTTGCTGCAGCTCCACGTGGCTGGGCCCTCCTGCCAACAGGTTTCCCTTGAGACGTCTCCCGTTTCATCCCAGGGTTTTCTTGATTGAGTCCCACTGACCATGGCTAAGCGAGGAGCGAGCTCTCTCTGAGCAGTGAAATTAATTAGCATGGGTTTGTGTTTCCATTATCTCGTTATTCAAAACCGTGCCACATCTTTCCAGAGAGTTCCTGGGGACTGTGTTGTAAGGGTTATTTATAGCCGCTGGAATGAGGTTTTGCGTAATAGACCGCGTTTAGCTGAGAGGTTTGTAATTTGAGATCAATTCTCTGATCGGCTGCACACAGATGAGACTAAATAGCACGAGCTTTCGGCTGTGAATGGGTTTCCGGGAGCCCGTGGCCCTCACCCCCGTGTCGAGGTGGGTGAAGCAGGGAGAGAGGCCCTGAGGAAGCAGCGCTCCTGCGGCTGATGGGGCCCAGGCTCGGCCAAGAGGAGGAGGGACAGTAGCTCTCAGTGGCTCCCTGCTGCCGAGTGCTGTGTCCTGCCCACCTGCAGAGCCTTTACATGACCCCATTTTACAGATGAAGAAGCTGAGGCTCAGGGAAAGGCTGGGTGACTTAGCCCAGGTCCCAGAACTCAGAGGTGCAGACCTACCCTCCAGACCCCATGATCCCCCATCAGGAGCTGGGGTGTTCGAGAGAAAAAGTTCCCATCGCCAGGTGGCCTTGGAAGCCTGCAGGCCCCCTACGTGTTCAACTAGGGAGCTCCTCCTGTAGCCCAGTCAGTAGCTGAAAATAGTAGCTCTTTTCACAAAGAGGAAAGAAATATCCCTTCTGGCTGGGTGAGGTGGTTCGCACCCACAATCCAAGCACTTTGGGAGGCCAAGGCAGGGAGATCGCTTGAGCTCAGGCTGGGCTACGTGGCAAAACCCTGTCTCTAAAAGAAAACAAAGAAAAAGAAAAATCTCTTGCAAATTAGGGTCAGATTCCGATTTCCCACAAGAGCAGCTGGCACATTTACCTTTATCTGGCAAAGGCAGCAGGAATCGGACATGGCGGGCAGTGGTCAGGAGCCCTGGCACTGCCTTTTCTGTGTGACTCTGGGCAAGCCACTCAGCCTCTCTGGTCAGAGTCAACTGTGGAAATGAGCAGCTGCTCATGCTGCCCCACAGGAACGCAAGGATGGAGCTGGAACCAGATTCTTCTTTCTGAAAGGGGGGCTATATGTTGTCCAAGAGACAGAATACTCAGTGGTCTCTTTCTGGCCACCACATGGGGCCTCTCCCGCTTAACCCCAACTCTCGGAACTGGCCAGCCAGGCTGGCATTAGGCGGTGCTGCTGCTTCAACACAGAGCAGAGCTGGCCACTGCCTGCTCACAGGATGGTGGCATGTCCTGGGGGCCCTGTGGTGTGGGGAGTTGGGAGTTGCCCTTGTTCTCCTTGGACAAGCCAGGGGTATACAGGGAGGCCATGCCTTCTTCCAAGCTGATCTGCTCTGTTTGCTGACGGCCACAGGCATTTTCCAAGAAGTCCCTGGACCCGTGGGCCCAGGGAGTAAATGCTGGCAAACAGGCCCTAGAGCCAGTGTGTGCGTGCAGGTGCTGGGCACAGAATGGGCACCTGAGGGCAGGGAGTGGGGTGTGATGGTGACCAGGACCCAGTTGGTCACCTCTGACTTCCGGGAAGACCTGGCCAAGCATGTACTTGGTTGGGGAGCTGGGTGTGGGGCAGGCACATAGGGAGAGAGGAGCCGGAAAGTGGCCAGGTTCTTAGAATCTGCCAGCTGGTCACCTCTGACCTTCCACGGAGGCTGGGCTCAGAGTTCAGCCTGGAAACCAGTTCATCTGTTAAAATTCCCCTAGGACCTAGGGTACGTGACCTGGGCAATCTGCAGTACCCAGACCCCGGAGCCACATTCTTCCCAGACCTGAAAAGGCACATATTGCTGTTGGTGCCCGGGGAGGAAGGCGGATGTTTCCAGGAAGGCCGCCCCCGTCTGAGGGGCCACAGAAGAGGGCTGAGGCCTCAGATCCGAGTGTGGATTTTGGACTTCCACTGACCCCGGCTATGTGGAGGGGCCAAGTGGGTGGGCACCCCTTGCTGGCCTGCCCCTCCAGGCACCTGTCTAGGAGCTGCAGACACAGACGACATGACTGGGAACTCAGGTCCCGAGCCTCATCCTTCTCCAGGGCTGTGCAGAGATTTAAGGGCTTTGCACTGAAGGATGAAAACAGCCGAAGAACAGGGTTGCTCAGAGACATCACCTAGCGCACCTCCCTTCCGTATCTTCCTGCTGCGGTTTGACCCAGTAACAGGAATCAGGACTGCAGAAGCGCCTGAGGCCCAAGGAGCAGACGGTCCATTCCATCTTGCACCTGGGCAGCTCCTAACCCCAAGCCAGGACCTAGAAGTTACAGAAATGGTGAGGATGACCACAGGCCCTCAAAGACACAGACGCCCAGGAGGGGAGTCTGAGGGGTAATTGTACTGCAGGACTTGGCCCCCCACAAAGGACCTGCTGATTCAAACTCTGAAGTCTGCACAGTAAGGCTGAGGATACAAGCTAGGGCCTTTTTTTTTTTTTTTTTTTTTTTTTTTTGAGTCAAGGTTTCACTCTGTGGTTCATGCTGGAGTTCAGTGGTACAATCACGTGACACCCCCCCACCCCCGGGTCATATGATGGCATGTGCCACCACACCCTGCTAATTTTTTATTTTTTGTAGAGATGGGATCTTGCTGGATTGCCCAGGCTGGTCTCAAACGCCTGGCCTCAAGCGATCCTCCCACCTCAGCCTCCCATAGCATTGGGATCAAAGGCAGGAGCAACCAAGCCTGTTCATGCTAGGATCTTTAAAGAGTGAGTAGGAGTCTCTTCAGTGGAAAAGGTGGGGGAAGGATGGGCAATGGAGCCAGAAGAGCTGATTTCCAGACATGGGTTGGGCTGATTTTTGAGTGGGGTCTTTGCTGGTATTGGGGTGGCTCTGGATGACCTTCCAGCTGCCCCCCTGCCATGCACACTTCCTGGCAGCAGAGCACTCATGAAGCAGCCCCGATCTGCTGTCGTCTGTCTGGGGAGCCCGACCCTCGGATGGTTATCTTTCCCCAGGATTCTTAACTGAGGGTACTTCATGCCATCTTTTTACCCCAAGGAGGGGGGGGAATAATAGGTTGTTCTAGAAGGGTCATTTAAATTTGTGCTTCCTCCTTCCTCCTTCCTCGCTGGCTTCAGGCCCCTAAATCCAGCTCTAGATAAGAAAGTGGTCTTGCTGCCAGCCCACCTGCCGTCCTGGGGCCTGTTGCCGTGCAGTTTCCTCGGGTTTTCTTTGCTCTGGTTCCAGGAGGAAAACATCAAGAAATGGGTTGGAAATCTGCATCTGTAACTCAATTTGTGCAATGAGCCCAGGGAAACGTGCAGTTGAGCTCTGCGTTCCTCGTCCCCCTCCGCCTCCTTGGAGAGAGTTCGATATGGACATGCTCCCCGTGCGCCTGATACATCTGAGCTTCACTGAGCGGTCAGTAGAGTGGAAATGGCTAAAAATAAGGCCACCGGAGGCAGCCGGCCATTAAGAAATCTGCAGGAGCTCACATGGCTCTGTGGTCCCAGCGTGCTAATCGCTGGAGGGTGAGAGACCAGCTGCATTAGGAAAATGCAAGTGTGGAGTGTCCAGCCTAAACATGAGTGGTCACAGGGGGGCTTCCTGCCAAGGGCCCTTTCCTAGCCACTGAGGGTGCGCCTGTCGCGGGCTCACCCGCTTGCTGCCTTCTGGGCGTGGCCAGCCAGGCTGTCTCCGGGCTGGGCTGCAGGAGGCTTCACTTCTCACTCTGGGTGTTCCCACCCCCGGGGCTCACAACGATGGAGTGGCCAGGCCTAGCAGGGAGAGCATCTTCCAGAAGAGGCATGTTTACTTTAAGATTTGGCATGACAGGGGGCTTTTTTTATGTAGAAAGACACGTGGCCCTGTTAAAAAGCGCCATCCCAGGCTCAAGCCCTGCCCTTCACTGAGGATTCTCAGAGCCTCCCATCCTCGGAGGGCTGCTGCAGGCCCCTGGCCCTGCCCCAGGCTGCCTGACCAAGGCCCATCTGGTCCTGACTGTAGAGCCTGGTGCTGCTGCTGGTGAATCCCGATGGGCCCTGAAACCGCGGAACCTGCCTTGTGACTCACACGCTGCCCACACACCACTGCCCTGTGTCCAGCACCCTTGTGTGGCCAGTGCAGATGGATTGGGAGGGGGCCAGAGCCAGGCCACTGGGGCTTCCGTCCCATTGCCACCCTCAGCCCTTCTGTGCCTCAGTTTGTCATCTGTGAAATGGGGTGAGGATCATATGACTGACCCCCTTCAGGGGCCATTGTGAGACTTCAGTGGTTTTGTTTATGAAAAGCACTGCGTATGCTTGCGGCATGCCGCTATGCTGTATGTAGAATGCATGTTGTATGTATACATGTGTAGTATATCAACGCATCATGTATGACATTGGGGAAGCTTTGTTGCCACTGCTTTCAGTGCGGTCCTCATTGTCTCTACACAGCAACCACTCACCAGGAGGTCTCGGGTCAGGCGCCTGCCCTCCCCAAGCCGAGCGTTTATGTCTGTAAACTGGCGTGATCATAGTGCCCACTGCAGCCCAGAGCACCAGCACCACCTCTCCCAGGCCACCCCCTGGCCCTCCTGGACTCACTGTCCCAACCATTCAGAGGGCAGAGGGTTCTGGAGGGTCCTCCACGTAGCTGTGTGCCCCACAGTTCCCATCTGCCATGTGCAGATCTGCCAGAGAGGCTGGGAGGAGCAGGGAGCGCAGGGTAGCCCCCCACGGGCATCCAGCTTCACTCTCGTGCTCTTGCACCGCTCACTTGTGTCTCCCAGTTTTGCTCACCATGGAAATGCCCCACCATGGGTGAGAGAGCCCTTCATGGGTGTTTATTAAAGGAGGGAGGAGAAGGGAGACTCTGCCTGAGCAGCTGGGCCTGCGCAGAGACAGAGGGGCTGTCCCTCCCTCCAGGCTGCTCCCTCCAAGGCACCGTCTCCTCCCCAAACCCTCCCGCCCTCTCTGGCTTGCTGCTGGCTCTGCACACAGGCACTTGGGGCGGCAGGCAGCTAACATTTCATGGGCCCCTCGATGTTACTTTTGCATTGCTGCAGTGCCTGTGGTTAAATATTTGCATAAATAATTTTATCGGGTCGTTCTGCTCTCCTCACCCCACTTCTGGGTGCCAAGCACCATCTGCTCAGCATTCCTGCGGCCACCACCAGGGCATCGGGCAGGTCTCTGCCTGTCCCCTGGGCAGGGGATGGATCCTGATGAGTGGAGAGCTCCACAGACATTTCCTTGCCTGCAAATTAGGCTGAGAAGGGGGACTGTGGGATTCTCCTGGCGCCTCTTGAGTTTTTCTGAAAGCACCAAGGCTGTTGGGAGTGGGGAGCAGGACTGGCCCAGGAGAGGGCTGCCTAGCATGGAGGAGGCACCTTCTCCGAGGTCCCAGCTCAGTACCTCACTAGCTGTGTGGCCTGAAGCAAGTCACTCAACCCTCTGTTCCTTGGTGTCAGTGACACATTATTAGTGGCTCACCTGCTCAAGAATGATTTGTGTGCCTACTGAGCAAAGGTTCTGCTGGACTCTGGGTTTACTGCAGCTGTGGACCAGCTGCTGGACAGGGTCAGGGTCAGGATGTGGAGGGACACTGGGGATATGCCTTTCTCCTTCGGGCAGCTGGGAAGATGGGCTGCTGCCCCAGAGGAGGAAGGGAAGCCTGGAGGAGGAGCGGTGATGGCTGTGGCTTGGTGTTGGTCTCAGGACGGCAGCCAAGCTTCCTGCCCACAACTGCTCATGGGGCCTGAGCCTCGGGCTCAACTGCCATCTGGGCCTGGACCCATCTGGTGTACATGGCCCATGGTTGGCGGTTTCTCCCCATGTCATGGAAGCATCACGGAGGTGCTGGCCTGAGCCAAGGGACACCGTGCAGAGCCAGTAGGGCTGTGAGGGGTCCCCCACCACCGCTTCCTCAGGATTTTCCTTGGGGTTTTACCACCTGTGTTGATATCACTAAACAAAGCTAACGTTTACCTGTTTTCCAGCTTTCTGTAAATGGACATTTGCCACCTGCATTCTTTGCCGACCTCTGCCACGGGCCAGCAGTATGCTCTGGGGTTCTGCCTCCCCGGTGTGTGTGTCTCGTTTATTCATTTTCCCACCTGTGTAGGACTCTATCATATGATAGACAGCTTCTTAGTCGCTATCCAAAGCCTGTGGGTCCACGTGCATTTCAGAATAAACATACATCATGCATGTATTTGTTTAATATTGTAAAATGTAATGTTATACAATTTATACTATAAAATAAATTTCAGAGGATGTAACATTTTATGTATTTTATATATAATTCCAGTCCAATCATGTCATGTAATCAAGCACACTGATTTTTCTGCATCAAAATGTCCAACTATTCAGTGGGATAAATGCAGAGAGTAAATACAGGCGTTGCCACCAGTATAATTACCGAAAAGAAGAGGATGAAATGTTTTTGTTTCCAGAGCCTCGTGGAGGTGGGAATCTGGGGTCTGGTGTTGTGACCCGTCCCATCACTGATGTGTCTGTTCTCTTGCTGAGGGACGTGTGACCCCCTCCTGGTTTGGGGGGCTGTAAACAGAGGAACTCTGAGCACTCCTGCGTATTCTCC
Organism: Homo sapiens; assembly: GCF_000001405.40. Classification (NCBI taxonomy): domain Eukaryota; kingdom Metazoa; phylum Chordata; class Mammalia; order Primates; family Hominidae; genus Homo; species Homo sapiens. The sequence continues at coordinate 70,602,433 of NC_000011.10, read as the reverse complement.
TGATGTCTGAGTGTAGGTGTTAGGAGAGCAGCTGCTAGATCACTAGGAGGCAAGTGTTCAGCTCTACCACGTGGAGGCCGAGACCTCTCTGCAGGGAGTTGCATTAGGCCCTTCTTGTGTTGCTGTAAAGAAATATCTATGACTGGGTAATTTATAAGAAAAGAGGTGTAATTGGCTCACAGTTCTGCAGGCTGTACAAGAAGCATGGTGCCTGTATCTGCTTCTGGGGAGGGCTCAGGGAGCTTTTACTCATGGTGGAAGGTGAAATGGGAGTAGGCAGTTCACACAGCAGAAGCAAGAGCGAAAGCAAGCAAGGGGGAGCTGCCACGCACTTAACCAGAGCTCCGGAGAACTCACTCACTATTGCAAGGACAGCACCAAGCCACGAGGGACCCGCCCTGAGACCCAGACACCTCCTGCCAGGCCCCACCTCCAACATTGGGAATTAGATTTCAACTTGAGATTTGGGCAGGGTTAAATATCCAAACTGTATCAGCTGCGTTCCAGCCACCTGGGTGGCAGGTCTCCTGGCTCCATGCTGCAGCTGCCCCTGTTCTGGTTCAGACCTGGCAGCTTTTGTCAATCTGGGAGGTACTTAATAATTTTTCATTGCCATTTGAATGTGCGTTTCCTGATTACTAATGGACTTGAGCATCTTTTATGTTTCTGGACTGTTTGTGGTGCCTTTGCTGGGAAATTCTTATTCTCATCTTCTGCCAGTTTTCTACTGAGTTGTTCATCCTTTTCGGATTGATTTGTGTTCTTTATATATTCTCTTTACTGGCCGGGCGCGGTGGCTCACGCCTGTAATCTCAGCACTTTGGGAGGCCAAGGCAGGTGGATCACCTGAGGTCAGGAGTTGGAGACAAGCCTGGCCAACATGGTGAAACCCTGTCTCCACTAAAAATACAAAGATTGGCCAGGTGCGGTTGTGCACATCTCTAATCCCAGCACTTTGGGAGGCTGAGGCAGGTGGATCACAAGGTCAAGAGATAAGACCATCCTGGCCAACATGGTGAAGCCCTGTCTCTACTAAGAACACAAAAATTAGCTGGGTGTGGTGGCATGCGCCTGTAGTCCCAGCTACTCAGAAGGCTGAGGCAGGAGAATCACTTGAATCCAGGAGGCAAAGGTTGCAGTGAGCCGAGATCGTGCCAGTACACTCCAGCCTGGTGACAGAGCAAGACTCTGTCTCAAAAAAAAGAAAAAAAAAAATTAGCTGGGCGTGGTTGCATGCACCTATAGTCCCAGCTACTCAGGAGGCTGAGGCATGAGAATCGCTTAAACCCAGGAGGTGGAGATTGCCGTGAGCTGAGATTACACCACTGCGCTCAGCCTGGGCATCAGAGCAAGACTCCATCTCAAATATAGATATAGATATAGATATAGATATAGATATAGATATAGATATAGATATATTCTCTTTACTAATCTTTAGCTTGTCTTTTCATTCTTTTATGACAAGTCATTTCTAATTTAATGTAGATGAATTTATCAAACTTTCCTTCAGAGTTTGTGATTTTTCTGTCTTATTTAAGAAATTATCTTCTCCCAAGAGTTTGTAAAGCTGTTTCCCAATCTTATTTTCCAGGAGTTTAAAGTTTGTCTTTCATATGTAAGTCCTTAATCCAAGAATTCAGATTGTGTGTGTATGTGTGTGTGTTATGTGAGGCATGGATCTAATTTCACTTTTTCCCCTGAGGACACCCCATCCTTCCAGCAGCATTGGTGGAATAAAACACTTTTCTCCAAGATCTTCCGTGCTGGAGGCGTCATAAACCAAACTTCCACATGGATGCAGGTCTGTGGTGTGGCTGTCCGTTGGTCCATTTGTCTATCTGAGCACCACCTTCATTACCTCTGAATATTTCTCCCCTTCACCCCCAACCCACCCACCTTTTATCTCTTCAGGATTATTTGAGCAATCGTTGGCTCTTTACATTTCCATATGCATTTTCTTTCTTTTTCTTCTTTTTTTCTTTTTCTTTTTCTTTTCTTTTTTTTTTTTTTTTTTTGAGACAGAGTCCTGCTCTGTCACCCAGGCTGGAGTGCAGTGGCGCAATCTCGGCTCACTGACACCTCCGCCTCCCAGGTTCAAGCAATTCTCATGCCTCAGCCTCCTGAGTAGCTGGGATTACAGGTTTGCACCACCGCGCCCGGCTAATTTTTGTGTTCTTAGTAGAGACAGGGTTTCGCCATGTTGTTCAGGTTGGTCTCAAACTCCTGACCTCAAGTGATCCACCCGCCTCAGCCTCTCAAATGGCTGGGATTACAGGTGTGAGCCACCGTGCCTGCTCCATATGTATTTTCCAATCAGCTTATCAAGTTACACCAAAACAAAACAGCAACAACAAACCCTATTGGGATTTTGGTTAGAATTGCATTGACCCAGAATAGACCAATTTGGGAAAAATTAACCCCTTCACAATGTTGTCTTCCTGTTCAAGAACATGATACATTTTCTTTCTTTCTTTCTTTCTTTCTTTCTTTCTTTCTTTCTTTCTTTCTTTCTTTCTTTCTTTCTTTCTCTTTCTTTCTTTCTTTTTCTTTCTTTCTTTCTTTCTTTCTTTTTATTTCTTTCTTTCGTTCTCTCCTTCCTTCCTTCCTTCCTTCCTTCTCCCTCTTCTTTCTTTTCTTTTCTTCTTTCAGAATCTCACACTGTAACCCGGGCTGGAGTGCAATGGCACAATCTCAACTCACTGCAACCTCTTCCTCCCAGGTTCAAACAATTCTCCTGCCTTAGCCTCCTGAGTAGCTGGAAATACAGGTGCCCGCCACCACACCCAGCCAATTTTTTTTTTTTTTTTTTTTTTTTTTTTTTTTTTTTTGAGACGGAGTCTCGCTGTCGCCCAGGCTGGAGTGCAGTGGCGCAATCTCGGCTCACTGCAGGCTCCGCCCCCTGGGGTTCACGCCATTCTCCTGCCTCAGCCTCCCGAGTAGCTGGGACTACAGGCGCCCGCCACCTCGCCCGGCTAATTTTCTGTATTTTTAGTAGAGACGGGGTTTCACCGTGTTAGCCAGGATGGTCTCGATCTCCTGACCTCATGATCCGCCCGCCTCGGCCTCCCAAAGTGCTGGGATTACAGATGTGAGCCACTGCGCCCTGCCTACATTTCTCTTTCAAACTGGTTTTTTAAGTATCTCCACAAAGAGCTTCTGCAAAACCTTTTTTAGATTTATTCCTAGGTAGTTTCACTGATGTCACTTCATGATATATTTTTCAGAATTGCATTTGCTGATTCTTGCTGAAATGTAGAAATATGGCTGGCTTTGGTATATTGATTTTTATTTTATCCAGCCACTTTGCTGAATTCTCTTATTAATTCTCATCTTTTATCGACTGATTATCTTTTTTCTTCCTTTCTCTTTTTTTCTCCGCTAGCTAGGACCTGCAATAAAATGCTGAATAGAAGTGGGAATAGTGGGAATACCTGCTTTGTTCTTGATCTTTAAAAAAAAAAAAGCTTTCAAAATTTCTGTTGACTCTAGTCTTTTTTTTTTTTTTTTGACATGCAGCTTATCAGGTTAAAGTATTTTATTCTTTTCCTAGTGTGCAAGAGATTTTTATTTAATTGCAAGCGGATAATTAATTTCCTCAAGTCCTTTTTTGTATCACTTGCAAAAATTACATGGCTTTTCTTTGCTAATGAATTGTATTAATTGATGTTTCTGTTAGATCAGTCTTAGCTTCCTAAGATAAACCCGACTTGTCATGATGTAGTAATCTTTTTAATATGTTGCCAAATTCCATTTGCTAATATTGTGTTTAGGATTTTTGCATCCAAGGTCATGAGTGAGATTTGTCTGTAATTTTCCTTTCTGAGGCCATTCTTTTCCAACCGGAGTCAAGCTCTTGCCAGTCTCCCAAGAAGCTGGGGAGTGTTCTCTCTTTTTCTCCAGAAGACATTGTTCGGGTTAGAATTATGTGTTCCTTCTGCGATGGCTTGACCCTGCTCAGAAAGCCATCTGGGCCTCATGTTTTCTTTATGAAAGGATTTGCAACTTCTGGTTCAATCTCTTTCAAGGTTACAGAACTCTTCGAGTTTTTATTTTTTCTTGTGTCATTTGTGCTAACTTCAGATCCATTTTCAGCTCCTTCCCAGATAGTCAAGGGCTCCCTGCCAAGCCTCCATTTCCAGCCTCTTCCTCTATTCTTCTCCACCTTCCAATACCCTTCTCTCCAGCCCAACTTGTGTGGCCCTGAGGTCATTCGACAAATGACCTCAGTCATTCGTCCCGCCCCATCGCCTGCAGCTGCAAACGGGCTCCATCTGCCCCTCTATGGGACCCTGTCTACGGCACGTTCCCCTGCTGGCTCTGGACTCCAGCGCATGGCCAGAGTTCTGCAGCCCACTCCACCCCTGAGTGTCCAGAGGGGCAGTTAGCGGACAGCATTGCCCTGTGTGCTGTGCAGAGACGAAGCACAGCTTCCAGGAGCTGCTGTCAGACTTGGTTGGTGCAGGGGTGCCCGCAAGGCCTCTCTCAGGGGTTGCATCTCAGGTGGGGTCTGAAGGGGTCTGGATCCTGCCACTCTGGTGTTGGTTGGTTGGTTGGTTGTTTTGAGATGGAGTCTTGCTTTGTCGCACAGGCTCGAGTGCAGTGGTGCGATCTCAGCTCACCGCAACCTCCGCTTCCTGGGTTCAAGCAATTTTCCTGCCTCAGCCTCCCAAGTAGCTGGGATTACAGGTGCCCACCATTCTGCCCAGCTAATTTTTGTATTTTTAGTAGGGATGAGGTTTCGCCATGTTGGCCAGACTGGTCTTGAACTCCTGACCTCAGGTGATCCACCCACCTCGGCCTCCCAAAGTGCTGGGATTACAGGCGTGAGCCACTGCACCCGGCCCATCACTCTGGTATTTTCTGATATGCCTGCTCAGAAGTCCCATGAGGACTTTGCCAGGTAAAGAAAAATCTCTTATCCTCTCTACCCTCTCTATCCTCTCTACCCTCTCTATCCTCTCTACCCTCTTATCTTACCGCCGCCAGCTCCACTGGCCGCCTCTCAGGGGGCTTTCCCTGTGAGCCCCAAATCCATGGTGTGGCAAAGAGGCAACCCCTTCCCAGGGCTCCTCCAGGTTTCCTGTGTCTACTAAGTACTTGCTGCTTCTTGGCATCTCCACAGTTATTATGGGGTGCCTGGGTAGTGGAAGGGAGTAGCTCAAAGGCGGGGGGCAGTGGGTGGAGAGAGAATGAGGGACAGGGAGGAGTTTCCCCTGGCGGCGGGTGCTGAGCCTGGCATGAGTGCCAGGAGTAATCATGGGCTCAGTGACCTTGTGCCCATTTTGTGCGAAACCTGCTCCTCTGTGCTGCTGCGCCCCTGAGTCTGGAGGGAACAGTCACCCCCTGAGCACCGGTGCACAATTATTCAGCTTTGTTCATAGGGTCTGAGGATGTCTGCGCTTGCAAAACAGATATAGACCAGTCACCCCCGAGCACCGGTGCACAAGTATGCAGCTTTGTTCATAGGATCTGAGGATGTCTGCGCTTGCAAAATAGATATAGACCATAGGAGACCTCAGTCATGGGAAAGGCCCCTTGCCTCCAAGCCTGTGCCCATGTTGTGCCACAGCCCGACGCACTGTCCTCTGTTCTCTCCTCCTCCGAGAAGCCTCGATGATTCCTCACACTGGGGGAGAGCACAGCTCCAGACAGCCCCTGAGTGTACCCCACCAAAGTGCCCGTGACCCCGGAGAGAGTGGACTGTTGTGGTCTAGAAGGTGAGCCTTGCAGCAGCCCAGGGAAGGCAGGAAGGAAGGAAGGCCTGAGGGAAGGGGCAGCCACCAGTCCCTGCGCTGCACTGGCCCTGCTGTCCTGGCAGTTGCCCTGCTGGGCCTGCCGCCCCCCCGCATCAGGATTCTGCCCTCAGTGGTTTCTACTTCAGGAAAGTCCTGCAGTCCTCTTGGCATAGCAAGGCCTGGTGGGGGTGGGTCCCAGACCAGGACCCTGATGCCCCTTCCAACCCCAGAACCCTAGAACCCGGGTAGGGGGTCCTCAGAGCTCTTTCCCTTTGCCCCACCCACCCTGGCCTGTCCCTTGGAAATACCCTGGACAGTTTCTCTGCCTGGTGCCTGTGGCTCCTTCCGGAACTGGTGCCCATGCCCCTCCCCTCTTGGTTCCCAGGCGCCAGGTCTGCCTGTGGGAATTGAAGTCAGCAGGAGGCACCATGGCACTGGGAAGCGTCCGGGCTCTGGCCCAGCCCTGGCCCAGGTGCCCCACAGAGCAGGCGGGGAAGGGGGCTCGCCTGGGCTGCCAAACAAATCACCACACGCAGGACAGCTCAGCACCGCAGAGATTGATCCTCCTGCAGCTCTAGAGGCCAGAATTCTGAAACCAAGGTGTCAGCTGGGTGGACTCCCTCTGGAGGCTCTTGGGGAGGGGCCTTCTTGCCTTTCCCGTATCCTGGCGAGGTGCCCCTGATGCCTTGGCGTGGAGGTGGTCACCGCAATCTCTGCTTCATCCTCACGATGTTCTCCTCTGTGTTTGCGACTGAAACCCCGCTCTGTTTTCTCTCACAAGGACACCAGTCGCTGGAATAAAGTCCTACCCTAATCCAGCATGACCTTACCTTAACTAAATCTGCAAAGACCCCGTGTCCAAATCAGGCCACAATCCGCAGTTTGAGAGAAGGGTTTTGTGGCTGGGAGCTGGGTCTCTCTGAGTCATTTCCTGGTGAAGTCCACTTCTGGGTGAGCCTCAATCTTCCCCCGCTACCCGGGGCGGTGGGGCCTCCCAGCAGCTGGGGAAGGGCTGGCAAGCCCCTTGTGGGTAGACACGAATTTTGGGCAGATGCCATTCAACACGGTCCAGGGGAACCTGAGCCGTGGAAGCCCTGTGGTTCTCAACTTTCCCTCACCTCTCCTGTGACAGGGGCTGTAGGCTGGGCTCCAGGCCACAGTTCACCGTCGCCTTCGCAGAGGGTTGTCTGGGCCAGCGTGTGGTTTTCAGAGAGAGTGAGCCAAGCTGGGTGAGCCTCATAGGCCTCAGGAGCCTCATCTCAGGGATAAAAACTCGACTTTAAAAGAAGCCTCAGTCGCTTTATAAATAAATTTATTAAATTCCAAGTTGCTGCAGATGGTGCTGCGTATTTTTAACAAACGCAGCGGCCTCGGCTGGCTGCGAGGGGGCGCTTGGAGGGTGGCACTGGCACCGGGGCTTCCTGAGAGGGGGTCGGGGTGGACGGCCGGGCTGCACCCTTCAAACTGCCCTCCTGGCCAAAGCTGCCTGGAGGGCCACCCCCCACTCCATCCGGTGGCCGATGTGAGGGGCCAGCCTGGGTTTTTCTTGTACCCTGGCAGAGAGCAAGCCTTGGGCCCATTGGCAGGTGAGGGCTGAGAGGTGGGGGGCCCTGCAGGCTGCAGAAACCACCTTGGGGAATGAGGAAGAATGAGGCCCACCCAGATGTGAAGCCTGCCAGGAAATGGGCTCAGAGAGACCCGGCTCCCGGCTCCCGGCCCTGAAGCCCTTCTCTCATCATTTGTTCAGGGTCACTTTTTTTGAAATTTTACTGAGGTAAAATGAACCACGAACATGGGGTCCCTGAAGGTGCATGCAGAGGGGCATGGGCTGCAGGGCTGGAGGAGCATGGGTGGGAATCCGCAGCTGCCTTGGGCCATAGCGAAAGGGCAGACGCAGCCACTGTTGCTTAGGTGATGGGCAACGAATGCCCATTAGCTCACTCTTCACTCCATTCATTCACTCAGTGTGTATAATCAGTGACATTTCGAGGTTCACGGTGTTGTTCCACCACAACTTTTATCCAGTTCCCAGTCATTTTCCTCACCTTAGAATGAAACCCTGGACCCAGTAAGCACCTGAGCCCCATTGCCCCTGCCCGCCCTCAGCCTGGCAACCACCAAGCTACTTCTCCTCTAAAAGTGTGTCTATTCCAGGCTTTTCATATACTGTTGATACTCAAGCTCCTTGGGTTGACTTCATGCAGATTTTTTCCAACCAAACATGGGTCAAAAATACAGTATTCGTGGAATGCAGAACCCACCCCACGTAGAAAGGAGGCTGGCTTTTCATATACGTGGGTTCCTCAGGGCCAACTGTGTGACTTTTGAATATTCTTGGATTTGGGTCTGTGCTGGGGTCCTGGGACCGATCTCCAGAGTGCACCAAGGGCAACCGTGTGTGGACTCACGTAACGCGATCTTTCGTGTTTGGCATGAAGTCGCTGAGCATCCCCCACGCCCCGGCATGTCAAAGCTGCGGTCCTTTTTGTGGCCGAATCATATCCAATGGTGTGGGTAGACCACAACTGTTGACTCATTCATCTGTGGATGGGCATTGTTTATAAAGTCAGCTGAGGCACAATAAAATTTTAAAGAATTGATGTGAGCAAGCAGCGATTTACGAATCGGGCAGCTCCAACACGGCAGTGCCTAGGAAGAGGCCCTGGAGGACATCTGGTCCACCCTTCTTTCTGCAAGCCCCTCCCTGGCACTTGTATCCCTTCCTCACACCCTCCACGTGGGTTCACTCAGCATCTGACACCAGCAGGTCCCACATGTGCATCAGTCACTATTGTATCACCAGAGCCTAGAACAGCATCTGGACTGTAGCAATTCATTGAATGAATGAATGAATGAATGAACGAACGAACGAAGGAACTAATGATAACAGTTGCATAGGTCCCTCCAGCTGAGGCCAAAGGGATCCAGATTGGAGTCCTTGTCACTCGAGAAGGTGGACACTCCGTTTGCCCACAAAGTCAGGAATGTAACCTGCCCAACCCTGCCCCAGGCCTCCTGACACTGAATGCCCTTTAGCTCACTCTTCACTCCGTTCATTCACTCAACAGGAGTTGGTTGTGGACAGAGCTCCCTGGGGGTGTTGTAGGTGTGGGAGGTGCCTTCCTGCCACTCTAGTATTTTCTGACACACCTGCTCAGACGTCCCGTGGGGCAGGCAGGCGAGGTAGCCACCATGCCCAGGTGGGGAAACTGAGGCTGAGTCTGATGAAACAGCACCAGCCTCCTCCAGGACCACTTTGGTGTAAGAGCTCTTGAGCATTCCAGGATCCAGATCTAGAAACAACATTTCACAGCCCCAGAATAAAAAAAGGCAGCAAGAATGTTCAGATTAGTAAATATTTAATTACTATATCCTACCTTCATTCACTGTTAAATGCAACATTCATTTAAAAACAGGCTGTAGGTTAGATTTTTCTCAATGCAGCAAGAGTTCTCAGAACTGCGTGGAGACTGCTGAGAAATTATAGAATATAATAAGTAGAGGAGCTACACCTAGCCAAAAATGCCACCAAAGTCCTACGCGTGCTGGGACAGTGTGCGTTCATGTTGGAAATGGTGCTGGGAGGACTTTGACAGGCAGCAGGGGCAGCCACAGGCCTTCCCCGAACTATGGGGCCAGACAGACGTGGGAAGTTTTTCATGCGAGGCCAGGGCTGGGACCCACCCCTCCGATAGCTGCAGGCTCCCTTCGTGAGTCCCTCCTTTCGGCGAGGGTTTGCTGGACATCTTGGGGTTGCATCACGTAGGTGACAGGCCTGGGGGCAGGGCCGAGGAGGCTGGAAACCCTGAGTGCTACCCCAGGCGAGGTGGGGATGTCTGGGTGTCCCTCTGCTGGACATCGGGTCCCTGAAGGTGCATGCAGAGGGACATGGCTGCAGGGCTGAAGGAGCATGGATGGGAATCCGCAGCTGCCTTGGGCCATAGCAAAAGGGCAGACGCAGCCACTGTTGCTTAGATGATGGGCCGAAATGGGAGGGGGCTGGAGGAGGGAGTTGGCCTAACCACACAGCCCTTGTTCTAAGAGGTGAAGCAGGCCAGGACCAGGGCTGCACACATTTGCCCTCAACGGGGGGTGCAGACAGAGGGACAGAGGCTGCCCAAGACCCGCCTTGGGCAGAAGGGGGGCCACCGAGATGCCGCACGGCCTTCAGAAAGACTCCCCTGGCCGTGGCTGGAGGGGGTGTGCTGGGATGCAGAGCTGGGTGTGTGCTGCTTGAGTCTGTGTTGGCTGCATCAGATTGGTGGCCACGTCCCACCCAAAAGCCTGCGTGGAAGCTCCACCCGAGTCAGCAGAAGTCCTGCCTCTCACTCCGAGTGGGAGCAGACTGCATCTCCTCTCGGACTGACCCAAAGACAGTGCCAGCCTCCCCAGGCAGGACCCAGTCCTCACCTGCCCTGGCTGTCCCCTGGGGGACCAGCGACAGCTGCCTCTGTCTTTCCCCTGTCCCCTGCGTGCAGAGGGAAGACGGAGCAGGTAGAGTGAGGAGGCCGGCGGTCAGCACACATCAATTCACAGCCTGAGCCACAGGAGAGTATTAGAGGCTTGACAGGGACTGGGCTTCCTGCATGCCCTGTTTAAATGTAGTCTCCACACCTCTGCTTGTTATTTTTTATTATTTTTATTTTTTATTTATTTATTTTTTTTTTAGACGGAGTCTCGCTCTATCGCCCAGACTGGAGTGCGATGGCGCGATCTTGGATGGTGCCATCTCAGCTCACTGCAACCTCGGCCTCCCGGTTTCAGCGGTTCTCCTGCCTCAGCCTCCCGAGTAGCTGGGACTTCAGGCACACACCACCACACCCACCTCATTTTTTTGTATTTTTAGTAGAGATGAGGTTTCACCCTTTTGGCCAGGCTGGTCTCGAACTCCTAACCTCAAGTGATCCACCCTCCTTGGCCTCCCAAAGTGCTGGGATTACAGGTGTGAGCCACCGCGCCCGGCCCACATCTCTGCATTTTAAAAAATGTTTCAGGAGATCAGTGTAGCTCAGGTCTGCCCTTGAGAGAAAACACTATTTCAGGATGTTTTCACATGGTCTTCCTGTCCCTTTTTAAGTTGTTGAAATGTGTTATGTTTCCTTGGAGAAGACAAAAATGGAGCTATGATGTTGCTTTTTTTTTCTTTTTCTTTTTCTTTTTTAAGAAAAGCAAATGTTGTATCTCCAGAAGTTGACAGCGTTTGAGTCCAGGGCAATGCGCTTACTCCTGTAATTTATCTGCACAGATTGGCTCTGTGGATTCCGGCTCCTTCTTCTATCTTTTGGTTCTTTCTTTTCTACCTTCTTTTTTCTTTTTTTTCTTTTTCTTTTTCTTTTTCTTTTTGTTTGAGACAGAGTCTGTCTCTGTAGCCCATACTGGAGTGCAGTGGCATGATCTCTGCTCACTGCAACCTCTGCCTCCCAGATTCAAGCGATTCTCCTGCCTCAATCTCCCTAGTAGCTGGGATCCCAGGCACTCACCACCGCACCCAGCTAATTTTTGTATTTTCAGTAGAGACAGGGTTTCACCATGTTGGCCAGGTTGGTCTCGAACTCCTGACCTCAAGTGAGGTCCAGTGATCCGCCCACCTCGGCCTCCCAAAGTGCTGGGATGACAAACGTGAGCCACCATGCCTGGTCTCTACCTTCCTTTTTCTGACCCATTTGTAGACCTTCCCTTTCCCTCCATTTCTTTGTCTTTTCCTTTTTTAAAAGATAACATCTACTGGGGAGAGGGATACTAATTATAAGCAATGAATCTGCCAGGCATGAAAGCCTTGGCCCCAAGAGGAGCCTCGTTAACTCCAGGATGACTCTCAGCTCTTGTTTTCTGCACAGGCCGACCTGGGGATATTTGTGGGTTCAGCCCCAGACCACCACAGGAAAGCAAATACCACATTAAAGCGAGATGCACACTTTTTTTTTTTTTTGGTTTCCCAGTGCATAGAAAAGTTATGTTTATCCTGTAGTCTGTTAAGTGTGCAATAGCATCATGTCTAAGCAGTGTGCATATCTTAATTTAAAATACCTTATTGCTGAGAAATGCTAGCAATCATCAGAGCCTTCGGCGAGTCATCATAATTTTGCTGTTGGAGAGTCTCACTTCAATGTTGATGGCTGCTGACTGATGAGAGCGGTGGTTGCCGAAGGCTGGGGTGACTGTGGCAATTTCTGAAAATAAGACAACAATGAAGTTTACCACATCAATTGACTTTTCCTTTCATGAAAGGTGTCTCTGTAGCATGCAATGCTGTTTGATAGCATTTTACCCACAGCAGAAATTCTCAGAATTGGAGTCTTTTCTCTGAAACCCTGCTGCTGCTTTATCAACTAGGCTTATGGAATATTCTCAATCCTTTGTTATCATTTTAACAATGTTCACAGCATCTTTACCAGGAGTAGATTCCATCTCGAGAAATCACTTTCTTTGCTTGTCCCTAAGAAGCAACTCCTCATCCATTCAAGTTTCTCATGAGATTGCAGCGTTTAAGTCCCATCTTCAGCTCCACTTCTGTTTTTGTTTGTTTGTTTGTTTGTTTAGACAGAGTCTCCCTCTGTTGCCCAGGCTGGAGTGCAGTGACGCAATCTCTGATCTCAGCTCACTGCAAGCTCCACCTCCCAGGTTCACGCCGTTCTCCTGCCTCAGCCTCCCGAGTAGCTGGAACTACAGGCGCCCGCCACCGCGCCTGGCTAATTTTTTTTGTATTTTTAGTAGAGACGGGGTTTCACTGTGTTAGCCAGGATGGTCTTGATCTCCTAACCTCGTGATCCTCCTGCCTCGGCCTCCCAAAGTGCTGGGATTACAGGCGTGAGCCACCGTGCCCGGCCAGCTCCACTTCGAATTCTAGTTCTTCTGCTGTTTCCACCACATCTGCAGTGACCTCTTCCCCTGCACCCCTCAAAGCCATCCATGAGGGATGGGATCAACTTCTTCTCAACTCCTGCTCATGTTGACATACTGGCCTCCTCCCATGAATCACAAATGTTCCTAATGCCATCTAGAATGGTGAATCCTTTCCAGAAGGTTTTCAATTGACTTTGCCGAGATCCGTCAGAGGAATCACTATTTATGGCAGCTATAGCCTTACAAAATGTGTTTCTTAAATATGAGGCTTGAAAGTCAAAATTATTCCTTGATCCATAGACTGTAAGTGACTGTTGGGTCAGCAGGCATAACAGCATTAATTTCCTTTTACATCTCCAGCAGAGACCTTGGGTGACCAGGTTCATTGTCCATGAGCAGTAACATTTGGAATGGAATCTCTTTTTTCTGAGCAGTAAATCTCAACAATGGGCTTAAAATATTCATGCTGTAAATAGCCATGCTGTAAACAGATATGCTGTCATCCAGGCTTTGTTGATCCATTTATAGAGCACAAGCAGAGTAGGTTTCACATAATTCCTAAGGCCCTAGGATTTTCAGAATGGGAAATGAGTACCAGCTTCAACTTAAAGTCACCAGCTGTACTAGCCCCTCACAAGGGAGTCAGCCTGTCCTTTGAATCTTTGAAACCAGACATCGATTTCTCCTCTCTAGCTATGAAAATCCTAGATGGCATCTTCTTCCAATAGAAGGCTGTCTTGGCCGGGCGCAGTGGCTCACGCCTGTAATCCCAGCACTTTGGGAGGCCGAGGTGGAAGGGTCATGAGGTCAGGAGATCGAGACCATCCTGGCTAACACAGTGAAACCCCGTCTCTACTAAAAATACAAAAAATTATGTGGGTGTGGTGGCGGGCGCCTGTAGTCCCAGCTACTCGGGAGGCTGAGGCAGGAGAATGGCATGAACCCGGGAGGCGGAGCTTGCAGTGAGCTGAGACCGCACCACTGCACTCCAGCCTGGGCGACAGAGCGCGACTCCATCTCAAAAAAAGAAGGATGTCTTGTCTCAATTGAAAATCTGTTGTTTAGTGTAGCCACCTTCATCAATGAAGTTAACTAGATCCTCTGGAGAACTTGCTGCAGCTTCTCCATCAAGACTTGCTACTTTGCCTTGCGTGTTTACGTTACAGAACACAGCTTCTTTTCTTAAACTTGATGGAAGTTGCTAGCTTCCAACTTTTTTCCTGCAACTTCCTCAGCTCTTCAGTCTTCATAGAATTGCAGAGAGTTAGGGCCTTGCTCTAGATTAGGCTTTGGCTTAAGGGAATGTTGTGGACAATTTGATTTTCTATCCAAACCAGTTAAAACTTTCTCCATATCAGTGATATGGTTGTTCCAGTTTCTTATCAGTTGTGTGTTCACTGCAGTAACACTTTTAATTTCTTTCAAGAGCTTTTTCTTTGTATTCACAGCTTGGCTAAACTGGTGCAAGAGGACTGTCTCAGCTTTCAGCCTATCTCAGCTTTTGACATGCCTTCCTCACTAAGCCTAATCATTTCTAGTTTTTGATCCAAAGTGAAAGATGAGTGACTCTTCCTTTCACTTGAGCAGTTAGAGGCCATTGTGTGATCATTAATTGGCCTTATTTCTTTTTTTATTCCCTTGGCATGTGAAATAAGAGCTATAATCAGCCTAATTTCTATATTGTTGTGTCTCAGGGAATAGGGAGGCCCAAGGAGATGGGAAGAGACGATGGACCAGCCAGTTGATAGATCAGTCAGAACACACAACATTTATCAGTTAATTTCTCTGTCTTATATGGGTACAGTTCATGGCACCCCAAAACAATTACAATAGAAGCATCAAAGATCAGTCATCTCAGATCACCATGACAGATATCATAATACTGAAAAAGTTTGAAATGTTACAAGAATTGTCAAAATGTGACACAGAGACATGAAGTGAGCACATGCTATTGGAAAAATGGCACCAACAGATTTACTTGCCTCAGGCCAGGCACAGTGGCTCACACCCAGAATCCCAGCACTTGGGGAGGCCAAGGTGGGAGGTTCACTTGAGGCCAAGAGTTTGAGGCTGCAGTGAGCTGTGATCTCGCCACTGTACTCCAGCCTGGGTGACAGAGCAAGACCCCATCTCTTAAAAAAAAAAAAAAAAAAAAAACTGGACGTGCTCAACAATGGGTTGCCATAAACCTTCAGTTTGTAACAAATGCAGTATCCCCAAAGCACAATAAAGCAAGGGGTAATAAAACAAGATATGCCTCTGCATCTTTTTTATACCTTTTCTCTGAATGTCGGACTCGCTGTTCCATACCATTTTGTAACCTACCCTTTTTTTCTGAACATGTGGGGAATATTTTTTCCTGTCGGTAAGCACTGTCATCCATGCCTTTGATGGCTGCGTAGAATGCCCCAGACCAATTTCGTTTTTCCCTGACTCTCATGTTTACAGATGTACCCGTGGTGCCGCGACAGGCTCCTTTCTCCAGATCGCTCTCCCCGCTTCTCCCCTCTGCCCCATTAGGGCCTGTCTAGTTAGGGGTCCTGTTGGCCAGGCTGCCTTTAGAGAAAGCATTTAGAGGAGGGACTGGCAAGTGCATTGCTTCATTTCTTGGTGATTCATGTGGCGTGGCATCCCTGGACATCTGAGAGAACTGCTTTCATAAAGCCCGGCCCAGCTCGCCGTGGAACTCTGTACGGCAGTGGAAGTGACGCAACAACCCTAGTGTTGTGGTCGGGAGAGCAACACAGGCCCTCAGCAAAGGGAGTGGGCTGCAGAGGAGCCATGGGCTAGAGTGTGACCCCATTTTGTTCAACAAGAGCACTGGCATGTGTCTGTATTCCTGCATGTGCCCAGCGGTGCATGGAGAATGACCTCGAATAACAATCTTCGGAGTGACGTTTGAGGTCGTCTCTGGGAGAGGAGTGAGGTGGGGGAGGGAAGAGGGAGACTTTGCCTTTTCTGCATTATTTTCATCTTTCCCAGGAGTGACGTATTCTGGGATGGCGTCTCTAGGCTCTGCCCACTCTGGGGGGGTGAGGTACTGGTGTCCTTCCCCGTTCCGGGGAGCGGTACCCTCGAGACACCTGCCCACTCCCGGCTCCAGCTGCGAGCCGTGCTTCCCTCGCCATTCCCCTAGGATAAGGGTCAAGAGATATAAATAAGGGAAGGAAATGCTTTTTTCAAATTGCTAAATTTCTCATTGCCAGTTGGTTTCCACAGCAACGGTGCCAGAGGCTGGCGATCTGTACTGAGAGTCTGCGTCCCAGCATGTGCCCCTTGGCCAGCCATGCAGGGGCCGCCTCGGAGTTAGCTTCCGAGGTCTCTGTGAAGAGTAGTGTGTCCAGGCTGCCCAGCTCTGAGTGACAAGCTATGCAGCACCTTGGGGCCCTCCTTGCCACTAGCCCCGGCCACGCCTTAAGAGAAGCCAATAGGTGACCCCGGCCCCAGAACCTCCCTCATTCGCACCTGCCCCTCCTGCCCCCAGCAAGCCTTCTAAGGCGCAAGTGATCCTTGTGCCCAGCTTTTAAAGATTCTTCCAGAGGGTCCCTGAGGAGGCACCCCATTCCCATCTTCCTGATCTGCCCCCACTGCCCACCTCACAGCTCTCTTTCCTCAAGCACTCCTCTCTCCCTTGCTGACTCCTGGGCGACATTCAGTCCTGACAGTTACATCCTAGAGAAGCCTTCCCTGACCTTCCCCCTAATTAGAATAGCCTCCACCATGTTACACAACCCAGGGCAGGCACCTGTGCGATTCTCCAAGAAACTTCACCACACTCGTGGCTACTTGTTCAGTTGTCACTTGCAGGTTGCAAACTCCACAAGGTCAGGGTTGAATCGGTCTTTTTCCCAGCTGTCTCCCTATGGGAGGTTGTCATTAAACAGTTCAGATAGCTGTTGGATGGATGGATGGATGGAGGAATGGATGAAGGATGGGTGGATGGATGGATGGGGGGAGGATGGGTGGATGCATGGATGGATGGATGGCTAATTGGATGGACAAATGCATGGGTGGGTGGGTGGGTGGGTGAGCAAATGGATAGATGAGTGGTTGGGTAGTTAAGTGGATGGATGGATAGAGGATGGGTGAATGCATGGATGGATGGATGGATGGATGGCTAGTTGGATGGACGAATGAGTGGGTGAATGGGTAGGCAAATGGATAGATGAGTGGGTAGTGGGGTGGGTGGATGAATGGATGGAGGGATAGATGGGTAGATGGATACATGAAAAGAGAGATGGATGGATGGGTGAATACATGGATGAATGAATGAGTGGGTGGGCGGGTGGATGGATGAATGGATGTCTGGATAAAAGCAAGCCTGTCCTTATTAGGAACAAAGAACAGGGAATGATTCTGGTCAATTTGTGTTAAATGCCAGGTGAAATTGGAGAGTATTGCAGGGCAGTGTGGCCTGGGACTTAGAGCTGTGAGGACCTGGGGCAGCTTTACCGACTGGCTGCTTCCCCATTCCTCCCTCATGCTGTCCCTGCCCCACTCTGCCAGTCTGTTCTATTGTCACTGGTCCCAAATTCTCTGCTTCAAAAATCAGCCCATCCAGCTGGCTCTACTGGTCATCCCTGCCCCATTGGCAGTGCCCTTTGCATCAGCTCTTGGCTTTAGCCCCTGCCAGCCAGTGGATGGACCACCTGTGATCAGGAGCCCACCCTCGAGTCAGGCGGTCTCCCAGGGCCCAGAGCCTGGCACCATTTCCCTTGAGCCAGAGTGGGCGTGCTGTGGCCTGAGCTGTGCCAGCTCAGAGGGGCTGCGAGGCGGTATTCACCATGCCCCCACACACAAAATCCAGTGCATCCAAGCCCCTGGGGTGGTAGCCACGGAGCTCAGGGGCTTGTCCTCCAGCCCTTAGGCCTCTGCGTCTCCGCTGACGATCTCAGGCACCAGCATGCACCAGACCGTGCCAGCACTGCCACTCTTTTCAGAACATGTAGTGGAATGACACAAAACAATTGCCTTCAGGGACTTGCTTTCCTGGATCCTTTGTCAGGCAGGTCCTGTGTACCGCAGTGTTTTAAAATGTAGGTTTTATTATTATTCAGGTATGGCGAGACCAACGGATCAGGGGGACAGCTGCTAACTCACTCTTCCCAGGAGGTAGGGGAGGCCATGCCTTGGGGGCCATTCAGGGAAGCACAAGGTCCATTAGGAGGCAGAGGGAGAGGGGGGAAATGTGGACAGGAGCTTTACCATGATTTCTGCAGGAAGGAGCAGACTAAGTAGGCAGTGTAAGTGGGTTTAGCGTTGGCAGCTGGAATCATTTCAGAGCTCTGGGGCCTAGGGCCTGTCCCTGGCTGTCCGGTACCCAGCCCTGGGGTGATGGGGGCAGGGTTAGTGGCTGGGAGCATGGGACCCGGATAGAGGAGGGGTGGGGTGGCCTCTGTTTTAGTTGGTTAGCATTTGAAAATCCAGCTCTCAGGTGAGCTGTTTACTTTCTCTAGGAATTGCCTGATTCTTGAGGGGCCATCCCTCCAGGGTCAGCAAAACCCTGGATGCCAGAGCATCAGAAAGAGAAAATAAAAGACACAGATGATAGGCCTGTCACACGGGATCGGAACACAGACTCAGCCCTGCATGTGATTCGAGCGCCAGGATGCCTGGCTTAGTAACTACCTCCTACCTTCGGACTCACCAGACCCGCAAGTGTGCCCTTGATCCAGGCCCCACTCTCAGAGCTGGGGACACATCAGGGGCCAACCAAGGGCAGAGTGGAGCCAAAGCGCTGGCAGGTAGACCCGAGTCACAGGCAGCCATCACGGCCGATAATTGAATGGCTCTGGGGGTCGGCCGGGGATGAGACCTTGAGGAGCATGCTCGCGGTGGCTGCAGAGTCATGCACGGTGGTCAGGCCATGCCCAGAGGTTAGAGGGAAGCAGGAGGGCTGTGCAGCTGGGCTGAGCAAGCTGCAGAGAGTGGCAAGGGAGAGAGGGGAGGCATGGCTGGGCCAGGCCGTGGGAACCTGTGGGCCACTGGGCCATGCTGGCTTTTACCTGTGAGGAGCGGGCAGCCCGCAGACGTTATACCGTGGGGTGATGGTGAGATCTTGTTGGGTTGCGGAGGATCGTTCTGGCCACTGGGTGGACAAAAGACTGCAGAAGGGACACACAGCCTCGATGGTTCATTAGGAGGCTCCTGACAGTGAGCGTGGAGTGGACAGGCTCCAGATTTTATCCTGAGCCACTCAAGATGGAGGGGGCTCAACCCCAGTGAATTTGGGATTCGATGACCCGGAGTGCATGTTTTCCGTGCCATCTGGGCAGCTGGCATTTAGCTGCGCTTTCCTGGCACTGCCCTCCTTGGAGCCAGAAGTCAGCCAGCCCCTTGCAAGAATCAGAGCTCATGAAAATCGCACCTGCCAGTATTCACCGAGCACTTGCTGTGCTGTAGGCACAGGGCAGGACTGGACTCCCTCTGCCTGTGCCACAGCCCCGAAGATCAGGGCACTGTGGATGCTGCTGCCACACGCTGGCCCCTGTTCTGCGGCTGGATCTTCTGGCTCTATCCTGGCCCTGTACCCTTGCCCTCCAGGTCACCTTCTCGCCACATGCTCCCTCTGCCAGCAAGGCCTCCTCCCACCTCTTGCATCAGTTGGGGACATGCTGCTAGGCCTTCTGGAGTCAGCCTGGGAATCCCCCATCTTTGGAGCCATACCTGAGCCCGTAGATAGATGAAGGCATCCCCGCTCTGGCCTCCGTAACTCCCTTACATGTTCTCAGCCACAGCCCAGTGCCCCTGCCCCAGGGCCAGGCACCATGCAGATTCTCCCCCAATCTTCCCTCTGTCCCCCGCTCCATGTGGCTGTCAGAGTGCTGAGCTGCACCCCCAGCCACAGGGCAGCACCCTGGCCCCACGAGCCTGCTGCAAGCCTCAGGAGAGTGAGCTGCACAGCAGACCCTGCCAGTGATTCCTGGGGCTTCTCAGACCTCACCAACACCTGAGGGTCCTGCTCATCAGACACGCACACCCCACCCCCATCCCCAGCCCAGACTGACTGACTCAGATCACCAGGGAGAGGGCCCAGGGTCTACATTTGTCTAAAGCCCCCCAGGTGGTTCTGAAGCTCCGCCAGCTTCTAGAACACCACCATAGCACACACAGATGCTGCCTGTGACACGCTGTGTTTTCGGCTGTCATCTCTGGGATAAGGCCCCTTCAGGGACCCCGACAGCATCGGAAGTGAGACCCTGCATCCCCACACCCGACTGGGTGCCCACCAGGACCTGTGAAGGCCCATCGCTCCAGGGCCACCCTCAGTGAACGAGGGGAGAGGTTTGCGTATCCTCCCGCTGCCTAGCCTGCACGCACTGGTCAGATATGGACCTGAGCTTATATCTGCTGCCTGCCGCCTCTATAGGGAGCTCAGAGGGACACACTGGCTCAGGGACTCCACAGGGAAGCTGAGTGGGTCCCATCTGCCGAGCAGGCCTAGCAGAGAGCATCTCAACCCAGCCCTCCCGTCACTTGCAGATGTGTGCATGAGCTAATTGGATCCGGCCGGGGCTGGCGGCCTCCACGGCATTCAGTCAGCAGTAGTAGAGTTAGCGGCTTGGAGGCCCCGGATGTGTGGGGACAGTTAGGTGGTCCTTTCAGCTGGTGCCAATGCCAGGCCCCTTCTCATCATGAGGATGGCGGCATTGGCCCCCTGGGGTGGAGCCCCTCTCTGCTTTCTTTGCAAGGCCTTCTCTGACTGATGGCACCTTGGACTCTCCGCCCTGGGTCTGTCTGCTGTCTCCCCAGGCCAACCCCTCCTCTGGCCTCAGCTCTTCGGCAGGGAAAGGAGACTGGACCTGGCCCGGGATCTGTCCCCTCCCATTGACCAGCAGCTCCTAGGGGAGGCAGGATGGCCTCTGTGGGCATGAGGCTCGGGGCAGAGCTGGCAAACATTTACGGCCCCAACCCTCGTGTGCCCAAGAGAGGAGATCAGGAGCTTTGCTCTACAGGACATTAAATCATAGTCCAAAGAGATTAAGTGGCTTCCCAGGGGCCATACCGCTCACACAGCTCAGAGCTGGCAGAGTGAGGCTTGGGGTGAGTTCCTCCAGTTCCAGGGCTGGACTCTCTATACTCATGGAATGCTGCTGTGTGCACCAGGCCCCAACTTCAGTCTTTGCCTTCAGCTAGCTAGCTTGATTGATTGATTGATTGATTGATTGACAGAGTCTCGCTCGGTCACCCAGGCTGGAGTGCAGTGGCACGATCTCAGCTCATTGCAACCTCCGCCTCCCGGGTTCAAGTGATTCTCCTGCCTCAGCCTCCCGAGTAGCTGGGATTACAGGCACGTGCCACCACGCCCGGTTAATTTTTGTATTTTTAGTAGAGATGGGGTTTCGCCATATTGGCCAGACTGGTCTCAAACTCCCAACCTCGAGTGATCTGCCATCTTCAGCCTCCCAAAGGGCTGGGATTACAGGCATGAGCCACTGTACCTGGCCTAGCTAGCTTTAAAGTACAGTGAGTTATGGTGTTGGTGAGAAGTAAAAAAAAAACAGTAACAAAAACTGAAGCACCAACAACCTTAATGTAACACAAAATATACCATTCAGATAGGAAGATGCCATCTTTGAGGAAGGCAGAGGCCTTTCCTAAGGTACTGGAACAGCCAGTCAGGTTTGTGGTTTTATTTCAGTGACTACAAGAGCTTTTCTTCCCTTGCCCTTCAAACGCTAGACTTACTTTTGCCGTCGTCCCTGATGGAGATCCTCATGGTGATTTCTGGAGAAGGGAGTGCCCTGAACCTTAATCTATTCTTGGTCCAGGTGCCTCTTGCCCCTAGATCTGGCATCCCCCCTCCCTGGTGGCTCCTCAGAAGGCCTCGCAGTGACGAACACTTAGGTGCTGATGACGGGGAAGAGCCAGAACTTTGAGAGCCCCTGGACCTGGTGGGCTCCAGGTCAGGGCAGAGTGACAGAGGAGTGTGGGGTGTATACCCACACGTGTGTGCTGCAGCATCCTGGGACCCACAGAGGGAACAGGAGGTGAGCCCCCCAGGGTCCCCCCAGCCAAACTGGCTCCAGACTTTGAGAGCAGCACAGGCTTTGTGGTCTCAGGGTGGCATGAAGATGTGGCCCGTGGCCTGCTGGCCTCGCTGTTCCCGCCTGCCCCAGCCCTGGCTCTGGCTGGGCAGCCAGCAGCGGGGAAGCGGCCTCAGGCCTGAAGAGTGGGAGGAAGTGGCTCCTGTAACCGCTGAGCCAGTGCCACGGCGCTGTCCTTGGTCCTGGCAAAACACCACTCCCTCCTCCTTCATCTTGAGCCCCCGTGGGTGCCACCAGGTGCCCACAATTTCTTCTGGCAACACCGAGCAGACCCAGACTGCCCAGACAAGGCCGGGTCCCCAGCAGCCCAGGCTGCAGGCCCACGCCGCTCATTGGCGGTCCAATTTCATCCTGCAGGAGGGTAAGGGACGCGATTGAGCATTCTGGAGGCTGGCACGGTCTGCAGTGACAAAGGGATGTTCAGAGACACCCTGCTGGTGGCCCCCTGGACACTGGGGCCATTTGGGGTACAGGGCTGAGCTCTCACCTTGTGGCTCATTACAGGGTCTTCAGTTGCAAAATGTAGCCAGTAAGGCTGCGCTGTGCCTCAGCCCAGCCACCCCACGCCCCTGTTTATTAATGACCAAAAGGGAGGGGCTGGTCTGCAAAGTGTCCCTTCGCAGCAGCCTGGTGGATGTCCACGGCTTTCTGATGTTCTCAGCCTTGTAGAAGTCAGCTGTGCACTTCCCGTGGCTGAGGCATTGGCAGCAAGTCACCACGAACCTGGTGGCTTCCAGCAACACGTGTTTATTATCTTAGCGTTGTGAAAGCCAGAAGTCCAATGCAGGGCTCACTGGCCTAAAGTCAAGGTGTGGTCAGGGCTGGTTTCTGCTGGAGGCTCCAGGAGAGCCTGTTTCCTTGCCTTTTCCACCTTCTAGAGGCCGCCTGTGTTCCTTGGCTTGTGGTCCTCCATCTCCAGCCAACAGCGTATCCCTCCAACTTCTGCTTCCATCCTCACCTCTCCAGCTCTGCTCCTCCCGGCTCCTCCTCCACTTATCAGGACGCTTGTGATGACGCTGAACATCAGGGCCATCTCCAGGTCTTCATCACATCTGCAAAGTCCCTTTTGCGGCTTATGGTCACACAGGTCCCAGGGATTAGGGCGTAGACATCTTGCAGCCGTGGCTTTGCTGACCACAGCAGGCTGACCTGCACAGGACAGGTCCCGGGGACACCGGGGGTCCTGGGATCCGGCCCAGGCCCGGGAGACACCACCTGGGGCCCAGCTCCATCCATGCCTGTCTTACATTCATGCCATCACCGCCCAGGCCTGGGAGATGCCACCTGGGGCCCAGCCTCATCCATGCCTGTCTTACATTCATACCATCACCCAAGACTGGGCTTTGCCTTATGGGGTGGCCTGCAAGCGCCACTTTCTGGGCAGAAGGAAGGGAAGGGATGTAGTGCCAGCTGCAGCCTCTTCTGGCTGTCCTCAGAGGCAGCCACCATTGTCCTGTCCCACAGCTGGGCCTTTTCAGGGACACTTCATGCTCCTATGAGGGACTTTGATCTGTGTTTCATGTAGTTGCTAAGGTAGCCCAGTGAGCTCACTGGCTGGAAATGATTTTCTTGAGAAATATGATGCCCCACGCCCAGCACAGGGCAGGGTTGGACTGGGGATGCATCCATGCCCTTGGCCACCTTGCCAGGGGTGAGCTGGACCTGGAGACTGAGCAAGACCTAATTTAATAAATCAGAGTAGGGCCTAGGGTGTGCAGCCCTGTGTTTCTACTCCCCTGGATCCAGCACAGGCCTCGTTCTCACCTGCATTCATGCTCCTCTGTGTTCAGGTTCCCACGTCCCTTTATTCAGCAACAGCTGGGCAGAGGGTGGATGGGGTCGCCCGGCTGGTGCTGAGGTGTGTGGGAATGCGCTGTAAGGGGAGGCCGCCCATCCTGTGGGGAGGCCAGGGAAGAGCTGAGAGTGACCCGGCAGATGGTCTCTGGGCTCATTGCATCCCCGACATCTAAACCATCATGAATAAGTAACATTTCCAAGGAAAGAGCAATCATCCCCCTTTGAGAAGAAAACCAATCTCTTGGTTATCTCTGAACTGGGCTAAAATCTTCCATGGGCCATCCTGTTGCTCCATTTCATGTAAATTAGCAGATTCGATGACACCAAGCATGAGGTCACGCACCTGGCTGGTTCATGATGGTGTGAGATGAAGGTTCTGCCTGTGAGACGTGGCCCAGGGCCCCCCACCTTCTCGGGGACACGCTGTCTACTCCACAGGGGAGGAACCACTGTCAGTACCAGAATGGTGCAAATGAAGGATGTGGGCCTCCGGAGCCCGTCGTGGCCACGAGCTCTTGGGCCGTGCAATGCTGTGGTCCAGGATGGGAAGGCTGTGCGTCGTGATGCGCCTGTCCCCCTGAGACCTCGCCTTCTGTGCCAACAACATCACCATCCTCAGGTGAGCAGGGAAGGTGCCATTCCTGAAACCCACTCTTGCGGGGCTGGAATAAAAGTTCAAAAGCAATCTGCGTTCCTCCTGTCTTGGGGGAGCAGGAGTCTCTGTTTCTTGCAGCCTGTTGTGGTTCTGGGAAGTACAGTGTGCCCTGCAGGCATCCTGCCGGGATTCGAGTCCTACCTTGGACAGGCGCCGTATCTGTAGGCCGCTTCCCTGTCTGTGCAATGGCGAGAGTACAGTGTATGAGATGCCATGGCACCGCACTAAGTCAGTGTGTCTTCGTGTGTCTGAGTCAGCTCAGGCTGACCACAACGCCCCACAGACTGGGCGGCTTACACGGGACGTTGGTGGGCTCACATTCTGGAGGCTGGAATGGGAGATCAAGATGGAACAGGGCTGGTTCCTCCTGAGGCCTCTCTCCTGGGCTCGCATTCAGCTGCCTTCTCCCTGTCCCCTCACAGGTCATCCCCACCAGTGTGTCAGTGTCCTCATCTCCTTAAAGGACACCAGTCCTACTAGGTCAGGGCCCACCCTAATGGCCTCATTTTAATTTAATCAGCTCTTTCAAGGCCCTATCTGCAAATACAGTCACGTTCTGAGGTTGTGGGGGTCGGGACTGTAACACAGGAATGGTGACCCACAGTTTACCTCCGTTTATCAGCCCACCTGGCTGTGGGGTACAGTGCAGCCAGGGCAGGGAGCCACGAGTCCAGTGCCTGAATGCTCAGGTGGGGGTGGGCCTGGGTGGGAAACCAGTCCTGGCCCCTCAAATCAATCTGTTGCCTCATCTATTTTGTGCACATCAGGAAAGGATGATTCCCCTGCAAAAGGAGTAGCAGCAGTGCCTGTGGGCCTGGGGGTGGTCACTGGCCAGGACCCCACGCCTGTTACCTGGCTCAATTCTGCAAACCCGCCTGTGGCTTTTGGTCCCCATTTGCAGTGGAATTGAGGCTCAGGGAATCATGTGACTTTCCCCAGCCCAGAGATGTCTCGTGGTCCGTGGGTGCCATGAAGTGGCTCCACCAAGGAGACAGGCGTGGCCACGGCCCTCCTCACTCTCCACATGGTTGGGTCATTCCTGGTGGTCTTGGGGTCACTGGAGAAATCATGGCCCCTGCCTGGAGCTCGGGGTTTTGACACTGATGATCCCTTATCATGCTTTCCAGAAAAATGCAGCTCTGAGTCACTCTTCCTTCCTCTCACCCCACGGGGATCACGAGTCCTCCTGGGGCTGTCTGGGCTCCACGGTGTCACGTCTGTGTCACTGTATCCAGACTGAGGGAAGAGGCTGGCGTCTGGTGATGTGGGGCTGGGGACACTGGGGGAGCTCATCCCCAGGGAGGGAGACAGCGGCGTGGCCTCCGTGGCAGGTGCAGGACGGGCGCTCTCCTGGGCTCCCACAGTGTCCTGGCCACCCCTTCCGCTAACTGCGTGATACTCATTATTTCTAGAGAGCCACCAGCACTCACCAGGCATTTACCACCTGCCTGCTGTGTCCTTGTTGCTGACTCATGGCCCCCCTCACAGTCCCTCAGAGTTGGCAGCACTACTGCCCTATTTAGTAGGGGAGAAAAGTGAGGGATAAGGGTATGATGAAACCTGTTTGCAGGGGCTTTCGTTGCCTCACAGCAGCCCTGGGCATCCCAGTCTTACTGATGGGGAAACGGAGGCCCTGGGAGAGCCAGGTAGCTTCTTCAGGCTGGTAAGGGCAGAGTTAGGCCTGGGAGTGTGGGGTTTTTTGTTTGTTTGTTTGTTTTTTGAGATGGAGTCTCGCTCTGTCGCCGAGGCTGCAGTGCAGTGGCAAGATCTCGGCTCACTGCAAGCTCCGCCTCCCGGGTTCATGCCATTCTCCTGCCTCAGCCTCCCCAGTAGCTGGGACTGCAGGCACCCACCACCACGCCTGGCTAATATTTTGTATTGTTTTTAGTAGAGACAGGGTTTCACCATGTTAGCCAGGATGGTCTCGATCTCCTGACCTCGTGATCTGCCCGCCTCGGCCTCCCAAAGTGCTGGGATTACAGGCATGAGTGTGGGTTTTTTGACTCTAAGTCCAGTGCTCCCCACTGGCACGGCTCTCTCCCCAGGAGGTGCATGGGGTCTGCCGCAGCCGCTTGCTGTCCCTCGCAGGAGGGCTCTGCACCACATCTTCACCTGCAGCTTCCGTGTCTGTACCCCCAGCCTCTCCTTTCCTCGTCTGCATCCCAGCACCTGTGACAACAAAGGGCTTGTAAGAAGTGCTGAGGGACAGGTAGTTCCCCGTAGACACAAATGGCCTGGTGCTCAGATTCCAAGAGTCTGTCTGCCAAAATTTAAGCCCGTGAAATGCTCTCCTTGTGGGGAGAGGGGGGAACACATTTCCACTCTGGGAAATGGGACATGCAGCACACCGAAGCTCATTCCTGACTCTCAATGCTCAGGTGTCTCCACCAACAAATAATTACTGAGCCCCTGACACTGCCAGGCTGCAGCACGGCCCAGGGGATTCTGCCGTAAGGAATTAAAACCTACCAGGGCCCCAGCCTAGCTCCGAGGAACCTCACAGGAGCTCAGCATCCTCCACCCTATCCAGCCCACGCCCCCCAAGTTTGCCACCCCATCACCCACCACGGGCGGGGGCTATGCAGAAGCCAGTCAGCAGCCACCTCACAGCCCTAGAGTCTCCACACATCTCATCCTGCGCCCCCCACCCACCACCTGAGTGTCGACTTACTTGCAGTCTGTAAAGCGCTCACACATTGCAAAACACATGTGGAAACACCAAAGGTGGAGGCAGAGGGAATGATAAAGAAAAGCCTGGTGTCTCCTCCCCACCCCAGGGGACTCTGTGTCCCCGCTTTGGGGCTGACTCTGTTGGCCTTTGTACTTTCTTTTTTTTTTGAGGCAGAGTCTCAATTTGTTGCCCTGGCTGGAGTGCAGTGGCACAATCTCAGCTCACTGCAACCTCTGCCTCCCGGGTTCAAGCAATTCTCCTGACTCAGCCTCCTGAGTAGCTGGGATTACAGGCACCCACCACCATGCCCAGCTGATTTTTTGTGTGTGTATTTTTAGTAGAGATGGGTTTTTGCCATTTTGGCCAGGCTGGTCTCAATCTCCTGACCTCAGGTGATCCGCCCACCTTGGCCTCCCAAAGTACTGGGATTACAGGCGTGAACTACCACATCCGGCTGGCCTTTGTACTTTGACAGTCACCGTTGGGTGACCATTCCTCTGCTGCCCGCCTGGGTGGCTTGGCCTGGACCCCAGTGTCCTTCCCACTCAGTGTGATGTCCTTGTCCCCACCCAGAGCAGGGAGCAAGGAGGGCCCAGCTTGAATGCACCGCAGAGGATCAGCTGCAATGAAGGCTTTGAAACAGAAATGTGCCCTTTGTGTGTGTGGCTTCCTGTGTGTGAGTGTGGGGATGGGGATGGTTGGGCAGGGCCTGAAGGACAGATGGGACTCATAGCGGGGCCTCTCTGCTCAGCCTCCGGGTATCATGGCAAAATGAAGAGGATGGGGAAGGAAAGCAAAGAAAGCTTGCCGGGCAGCGAGGTTTGGGGTCAGAGTTTTGTAAGGCTGCCAACCATAATGGTTTCAGAGGGGCTTCCATGTCCTGGGTGTCCTCGCACTACAGCAAACATGTGACCTAATCCCCCAGTTCATAGACTGAGACCCCCGGTCTGTGCTCCATGCTGCAGAACGGCCTGGTCCCCAGTGCACAGGGTGGATCCCATCAGAGCCAGCCCCTCCTTCTCTTCCTGCTCCGTGGTGGAGCCAGGGCTGCATGCAGAGTCAGAGAAGGGGAGGGGACCCTTCAGGGCACGCCACCCCCATGGGCAAAGGGACAGTCACTAGAAGTCCCCTGGCAAAGTGCAAATGTGTGAAAATGGGAGGAGCCATGGCCCCAGAGTCAGATGAATGAGTGAAAGAATGACTGAATGAATGAATGGGAGACATTAGGTGATCAGTCACAGTTGCAGTGCTGGGATGGAGCAGAAGCAGGCATCAAGCCAGCCTGTTCTCCTGCCTCCAAAGACCCCCACCCCCTACCCTGATGTTGCCTCTCCCAGTGGGGAAGGTGGGGAATTTAGTGCCCTGTGGTATGAGTTCCCAGCAGGCTGTGGGGAGTGTGGGGAAGCTCAGAAGAAAGGCCCCAAACAAGCATGGGCTGGCTTTGGGCCACACCTCCGCAGTCTGTGTCGGCCCATCTGGAGATTGATCAGCAGGGTAAACTGAGGCAGGGTCTAAGAGAGATTGGGCAGGGGCCGCCATGAGTGCTGTGAGCCCTGTGGTCATAGACAAGAGGAACTGGCCGAGTTCTCCATCAGCACCATGCTGGGGGCTTGGCCATCCCTCGGCGCTGGTAGGAGGAGATCAGACTTCCTGAGAAGTGTCCATGTTTGGAGAAGGACCCGGGCTGGGGGCCAGGTGCATGGGTCTTGGTGGCTGGAGAGAAACTGGCATAGCGCCATCCGCCCCTGGGGCAGGGTGTGGAGCCCAAGACCACATCATCAGCCCAGGCCTTTCAGGGCCCCCAGCGGGTTCCGCTGTCACCAGGATGGTAAGTGTGCCTTGAAGTCTTCGGTGTGAGAAGTACTTTGCATACTCTAAGTCAGACAGAACATAAAAGTGGCCGTTGGCTGAAGTGAGGTGTGGGGTTGGGGGCTTGGGGCATCGGCTGGCGCCCCGTTTCCCCTCCTCACCCTCAGGGGCAGCCAGGGGCTTGCGTGGGATGTGGACTCCAGCTCTCTCCCAGAACCTGAAGCTTGATCTGGTCAATGTAGGAGGGGCCACTGGGGTCATCTTCATGTCTTGGTCCCAGTAACTCCTATTTTCTTTATATCAAATGCCATGCCCCACCCCCCCCCCGCCCCCACACACACAGACACATGGGGCAACCTCTCCTGTGGTATCGGTCATATCATGATACACTTTTTAAAAACTTTATTGGGGCATAATCAATGTCCAGTCAAGTTCACATATTTAAAGTGTGCAATTCTATAAGTTTTCACGTGTGTATTCTTGGGAAACCATCGCCAAGGTCAAGGTGACAAGTCCATCCACCAGCCGGCTTGCTCCTGCCCCCGCCCCCCCCCCCCACCGCTGGAGTGACCACCCAGCTCCATCACAGCCCCCCCGCCCCCACCGCTGCAGTGACCACCCAGCTCACATCACAGCCCTGCCCCGCCCCCACCGCTGCAGTGACCGCCCAGCTCCGTCACATCACAGCAGCCTGCACCCTCTAGAACATCACATAAAATGGAGTCACGCGACTGAAGCTATTTTTTGGGTTGGTTCCTCTCAGGCAGTGTGATTATTCTGAGGCGTGTGTGTTCCGGCAGTCCGTTCCTTCGCGTTGCCGAGTGATGGGCCGTCATCATGTCGATGGCCCACAATTTGGTGACCAGTCACGATCGATGGGCGTTTGGTTGCAGCCACTCCGACCTACCACGCATAAAGTTGCTGTGAATGTCCATGCACTAGACTTGGGGTAGTTAGGTGCCTTCATTTCTCTTGGATACTCAGAAGAGGAAAGCCTGGGTCACGTGATAGATGGATGTGTAAGTTTGAGAGACGGCCAAGCGGTCTTCCAAAGCAGCCTCACCATCTTGCATCCCTGCCAGCCACGTGTGGCGGGTCAGCCTCTCCTGGGCCTCGCCGGCACTTGGTGTGTGCCGTCTTTTTCATTTGGAACAGTGTGAGGTGGCGTCTCATTGTGACTTTAGCTCACATTTCCCTGGAGACCCCTGATGTTGGGCCTCTTTTCTTATTCTTGCCAACCATCCCTGTGTCTTCTGTGAAGCCGGAAGTGGAATGTTGTGGGGAACAGAGGGGCTTTCTCTCCTTGTTTCCCTCTTCTCTCTCCTCCCTTAGTTTCCTTCCCTTCCCTTCTGTCTGAGTCAGCTAAATCCACTAGGGCAAAATACCCTAGATGGAGGGGCTTCAAAACAGCAGGGGTGACCAGGCATGGTGGCTCACGGCTGTAATTCGAGCACTTTGGGAGGCCGAGACAGGAGGATCACTTGAGGTCAGGAGTTCAAGACCAGCCTGGCCAACATGGCAAAACCCCATCTCTACTAAAAATGCAAAAATTAGCCGGGTATGGTGGTGGGGACCTGTAATCCCAGCTACTCAGGAGGCTGAGGCAGGAGAATCCCTTGAACCTGGGAGGTGGACGTTGCAGTGAGCCGAGATCGTGCCACTGCACTCCAGCCTGGGCGACAGAGTGAGACTCCGTCTCAAAACCCAACAGGGGTTGATTTTCTCCCAGTTCTGGAGGCTGAAGCCTGAGAATAGGATGCCGGCAGGGCCGGATTCTGGCGAGGGCCTGTCCCTGGTGTGGAGATGGCCGCCTTCTCACGCTGTGCTCAAGTGGCAGAGGGAGAAAGTGGAAGCGAGCTCTCTGGGGTCCCTTTTATAAGGCTACCGATCCCATCACAAGGGCTCAGTCTCCTCCCAGAGGCCTCACCCCCAACACCATGCCATTGGAGGTTAGGGTCCAACCCAGGAATGTTGCAGAGACATGGACATTCAGCCCACAGCACCCAGCCCTACCCCTCCTCCTCCTCTCTCGCTTTCCAGTTCCCTCTCCCCTCGTCTCCACTCCTCCTTGGGGCCCCCTGATGCCGCACCCCTCCCTCTCCTCAGGGTTCATCACTTCTCCCTGCACGCACCACCCTCCTTTGCCGACTCCTCCAGTATCGACCTCAGCCCTTGCCTGTAGGGGCCTCCAACTGAGCTCCCTGCACAGACACCTGGATCCCCTGGTTCTGCCCCAAGGACAGAATTTGCTAGGCTCAGCTCACCTCTCCTCCCTAGACCCAAGGCCACTGTATTAGCCTGTGGGGTCAGGGGACCACTCCAGCTCAGCCAGCTATTGCTGGGGTGGGGCACATGGTGGGGGTAGCATCTAGACTTTTATACTGGAAAATGAACATTTTATTTCAAAGAAAAAGTAGCACGATGGTATCCAAGTATCCAGGACCTGCTGCCATGCCCTTTCTCTGCAGAAGGCCTGGCTGGGCCCAGTGGCCTAGCCGAGAGCCTGGCGTTGATTCTCTGCCCTTCCATTTTCGGGCTGTGGATCACCGGAAGTCACTCAGCCTCTAAGGTGAATACCCACAAGGTATTTGATGCTTACTTCATGCTCACAACACTGTCCTTGGCCCGCAGCGGGGAGGATTAAATGCCATCTTCTGCAGGGCAATGGAGAGTCACAAACACGGGTGCAGATGCAGAGCCCAGCCTTGACCCCAGAGTGGACACTCCTGACCTCCAGGGAGTGGGGGAGAGGCTGGACAGGGTCAGAGAGGCCTTGGGGGAAGCCAGGGAGAGTCATTCCCTAGAATCCGCCTCCAGGACCCAGCTGCTGTGGTTTTCTGAGCCTCCTGGATTGCTTCAGAAGAAAGAAATGCTAACACCCATGAACACCACCGCACAGGAGTGCTTTGACCCCCAAGATGCAGCATAGTTATGTTATGCACAAGATAACTACAAGATTTATGAAACTGTCCACTCTCAGAGCCCCACCCATATTTCCAGTTGGGTGACAAGCAGTGTATGTCCCTGGAACTGCACCCATAGCTCCACAGGGAGCTCAGTGTGAGGCCCTGGTGGGTGTGGGCCCCGGGTGTGAGTGGGCATTGATTCCCAGAGGGCCTCGGTCTATGACACCCCATTCCCCACTCCCCACTCCCCACTCCAGTACACCCACATCCTCCAGCCCCTTGGCACTCCCTCTCATGGAGCCAGCTGGGCTGCAGTGATCCTGGAGGGTGACCCTGTCTGAAGCTGCAGCCCACACACACCACTGGAGGCCGCAGCTGTGGAGGCAGACCCGGGCCTGCAGCAGAGCAGGTGAGGAGCTAGCCCTGTCCAAAGGAGGAGTTCACAGCTCGGGCTGCCCAGGGCCCCTTTCAGGGCAAGGCCTCCCTGGGGAGCCTGGCAGTGGGACCCCGGTCCTGGTCCTGCAGCAAGCAGGGGTACCTTTGACCACAGCTCCTAAAGAGAGCCAGACAGTATCCATCCTGGGTCAGGGGCACCCACGCGTGCACCCTAGGGAGGCGCTGGGGCCTGAAGTTCTACCATCAGGAATTAGAAATACCAGTTTTAGAAAATTAATCATCAAGAACGGGAGCGACCTGGGCCCCTTGTAAACCCGGCAGATCTAAAAGAGGGAAGGGCTTCAAAGGGGCAGGACTCCTGCGGGTCGGCGTGGCCGCCAGCCAAACCTACTTTCTCCAGGACTCTCGGCGGCAAGCCACAGAAGTTCCCTCTTGTCATTCGGTCAAGCCTTGTGAAGCTGCCATTTTTATAGGTCAAAAAACAGTCAGGTAGCGACAGCTTATGAGGCCCAACCGAACAGCTCAAGTTTCATAGGTGAATAATGTGCAGGGGGAGACTCAACAGCTGGAGGCAGGAGTCCACAATGGTGCTGGGGGCCTGTCTCTGTCTCTCACTCCCTTCTCTCTCTCTCTCTATGTCTCTGTGTCTCTGTCTCGGTGAGTGTCTCTGTCTTGCTCTGTACCGTCGTCCCCGTCTCCTCGTACTGACCTCCTGCCCTTGCTTCTTTGTGCCGGCCTCAGCCTTTTCCCGGGCTGAGGAACCCCCTCCGTGCTCACACATCTGCCAGCATCACAGCCCCCCAGGGACAGGAGAGCATCTTCCCCAGTAGATGTAGAGGAAAAACCCAGGCAGGATTCTGATTGGCCTGGATGACCATCCCTCAACCAATCACTGTGGCCTGGGAAACGGGAACCCCTGATTGGCCAGGACTGGGTCACTGGGCACTCCTGAGCCCGAGGGCTGTCCTAACCTCCTCGGTATCCTCCACGTGGGGAGGGGCCACAGAAAGGAGAGGGCTGCGGCACCAGCAGAGGTAAGATGGGGAAGCGGCCGGCAGCGCCACCCATGCCTCTCTTCCTGGGGCCTCATCGTTGGTCAACCCCGCCATCCACCCTCTGCCCAGCACAGCAGCCTACGAGCCGCCTTCTCCCTCAGGACCCAGGCCCTGCTCACTCTGCCAGCCCCGGAGCTCCCCGCTCCACCGCACCTGGAAACCGGGGCAAGATGCGTCCATGAGGCGCATGAGCAGGATCACCCCAGACGCTCCCGAGCCTGACCCCCCAGGACCCCAGCGGCATGGCTTAGCCACCAGCCTCCCCTGGGGTCACTACACACTTAGGCTCGGGATGGCCCGGGGGTTTGGGACTGTCCTCAGTCCGATTGGCCCTGAGAGGACAGAGGATCCCCCTCTCTGTGGGACTGAGGTGGTTCAGGTGGGGCCTTCCTGCAGAATCCAGGACAAGTCAAGGCAGATTCGCTTTCCTGGCTCCGTTCACTGTAAGTCCAGCGGCAGGAGTGGGGCCTGCATGCTGCATGCCTGAAAACGGGGAAAGGGCACATGGGCAGCCTTGAACATCTTCAGAGAACGTGAGCAGTCCCTCGGACGTGGATGCTGAGTCCACTGGCCACACAGCTGCACTCTTGCTGGACACAGGCAGGCTTCTCAGCCATCTATAAACAGCTGGGTTGCGGTGCCAAGGGCTCAAGTCCTCTGTCAGAAAGGAAGGAGGGGGCTGTCTAGCCATGGTGGCTCAAAGAATCAAAGTCTTGGAGCCACACCCTCCAGAGGGTGGTTTATCTTGCAGAATTGCTCCCTGAACCTGGCTTCTTCCAGACGGACCATGCCTGGCCTGGGGCGCCCCTGCCTGCTACTCGTGGCTTTGCTGAAAAGAACAGCTCCCGGCCGGGAGGAAGTGGGCGGGGGGGGCAGGAATCCGCTGCCCACATGGGAGAGGGGAGGTGCTGGGAGATGTATCCTCCCAGAAGGAACAACAACTCGAATTGGCTTTGGGGAAATTCAAACAGTTTCTCTCCAGCTGGAGGCTCCACCAAGAATAAGTTCCCCAGCTTCACGGAGCTCCGAGGATTGCAGCCGCCTCCAAGAATCCATTAAATGAGTTCTTCAGACTCGCTTTTAATGCTTTTCCGAGGTTATTAAACAGAGAAGTTCTCTGCAAGGAGCTTTCAGGGAGCTGTGAGAGAGGCAAGGAGGCTTCACCCACCGAGTGAGGCACTGCCTTGCCTGAGCTCTGTCCCTAAGCTCACTTCCAGGGCGGTTTCGAAGAGGAAGTGAAGATTCTTCCTGGTGCTGGAGACGGCGCCGCCCCTCGAAGGATCCCTGGCTCCAGCCTCCTCAGCTTAAGTCTCGCGGAAGAGGCTGCAGCTACAGCTGCCTGCGGGCCTGCTTTCTAGGTTATCCTTGTTGGAAGCTTTGCCCTGACCCTTTCACTGGATCCATTGCAGGCAGGATCGGAGCCAGACTCCACCACCCCGCTGCTGGCCTCACGGCAGTTTTGCACCCAGCCTCCAGTACTGGCCATCAGCTGATGGCCCAGACCCATTTCACATCCTGTCTCCCCATTAACTCTTTTGTTGCCCGTCTCCTCGCTGAGTTTTGGTTTGAATAGCTCAGTCCATTTGACGTGTTTGGGTTGGACAAATACATAGGGTGTCTGCAGCTTCCCTCCCAGCCCTGCAGCTATTCCAGGGTGTGGCATCTGTCTTAGTTCGGGCTGCCCCAGCAAAGCACCACAGACAGGGTGGCTGGGACAGTAGACGTTGACTCTCACAGTTCTGGAGTCCAGAAGTCCAAGATCAAGGTGTCTCAGGGTCTGGGTCTTCCTTCCATGGCTTGTAGGCGCTGCCTTCTCCCTGGGTCCTCCCGTAGTCGTCTGTCTATGTGTGTCTGTGTCCTCATCTCCAGTTCTTTTTTTTTTTTTCTTTTGTGAGACAAGAGTCTTGCTCTGTCACCCAGGCTGGAGTGCAGTAGTGCGACCTTGGCTCACTGCAACCTCCACTTCCTGGGTTCAAGCAATTCTCCTGCCTCAGCCTCCCGAGTATCTGGGATTATAGGCACCCGCCACCACACCCGGCTAATTTTTGTATTTTCAGTAGAGACGGGATTTCACCATTTTGGCCAGGCTGGTCTCAAACTCCTGACCTCGTGATCCACCCACCTCGGCCTCCCAAAGTGCTAGGATTATAGGCATGAGCCACCACGCCCGGCCTCATCTCCAGCTCTTATAAGGACACCAGTCAGCCGGGATTAAGGCTCATCCTCATGATGTCCTTTTAACTTAATTACCTCTCTACAGGCCCTGTCTCCATATAGAGTCACACCCTTGAGTACCGGAGGTTAGGTCTTCAGCATAGGAGTTAAGAGGGACACAATTTAGCCAATCACAGCTTCATAACAGATGCTCTGCAGACACCTCTCCATCAATCATAGCCCGGTGTGTTTAACTTAGAGTAGATGGTGGCACCACCCGATAACAATGGTGGTGGCATTCAGCAGCAGCTCAGAGGGTTCCAGAAGCATTCCTCCAGCCTCGAGGGGAAATGGTGCCTCTGGCTAACGGAGGGAACCATCAAAGCCGGGTATGGTTTCTTTGATCGTGTTTAGCCGCTTTGTGGCTGAGTAGAGATTCTTCCTTCTTCCTGTCCAGGTAATTAATGAGGGACTTCAAAGGCATGAGGCTTTTCTGCTCCAATCAATTATTCAGATTGGCATATCCAAAGGTCTCTGAACAGGAAATAGAGAGGAAATGGATTGCTAAGTGGTTATGATGGAGACTAAATGAATTACTTGTTAATCACCCTTGTCTGCTCTGGTAGTATCTGTGCAAGCCAGGATAGCTGCTCGGGGCACACTCACCATCAAACACGGGAGGGGAAGGGCAGGGTGGGGTAAATTTCACTCTTAGAAACACCAGAATTTCTTCCTTTTCAGGATCAATGTCACCCATATCTTGTCAATTGTGACTGCAAACTTCAGAAGGACTCAGAGTGGAAAGTCTTGGCAACCATGTTGCGGTTCAGACAGTGGGAGCCATGCTTCTGCGAATGAGCCTGGGGACTGGGGACTGTGGTCCCAGCCCTGGATTTGATGAGGGGAGTATCCCTGTCCTGCGAGGGTGCAGTGTCACTTTTCCACTCCCATTTGGGGTCAACTCTTAACAGCATCCCTGAGAA
This sequence comes from Homo sapiens, assembly GCF_000001405.40. Classification (NCBI taxonomy): domain Eukaryota; kingdom Metazoa; phylum Chordata; class Mammalia; order Primates; family Hominidae; genus Homo; species Homo sapiens. Next base: position 70,566,382 of record NC_000011.10, on the reverse strand, counting down.
GTGAGGTGGTGTAAAGTCAGGGAAGTGTGGTCTTTGTCTTATTAAAAATAATGCGATGAGATGGACGATGGCAGAAGCTTCAGGGTAGACCATGGAGCTCATCATGGTATTTGATATGGCTTGGCTTTGTCCCCACCCAAATCTCATCTTGAATTGTAGCTCCCATGATTCCCATGTGTTGTGGGAGGGACCCAGTGGGAGATAACTGAATCATGGGGTCATTCTCCCCCATACTGTTCTCATAGTAGTGAACAAGTCTCATGAGATCTGATGATTTTATAAGGGGAAACCCCTTTCTCTTGGCTCCCATTCTCTCTTGCCTGCTGCCATGTAGAACATGCCCTTTCCCTTCTGCCATGATTGTGAGGCCTCCCCAGCCATGTGGAACTATGAGTCCATTAAACCTTTTTTTCTACATAAATTACCCAGTCTTAGGTATATCTTTATCGGCAGCGTGAAAACAGACTAATACAGTATTACTCTTTACATTGCTTTATGTTTGCGATTTTCCATTAGAAAAGGAACTTGAAAATTAAAAAAAATAATAATAATAATGCCTACTTCTGCTCCAACTTCTACTTGTGGCCAAGATGGAGAAACAGAAACTGGATTTACCTTTCCTCATGAAACAACTGAAAGAAAAGATAAAATATATAAAGTAATAGGTTTTACAACCAGACACCAGGTAATAAATGATAGTGATCACTAAAGCATGAGAAACAGATGGGATGAGCCCTATACTTGCCCCAGCTTCTTGCACTGAGCGTTTCCAGGCTGTGGGGCAGGGAGAGGGAACTCAGGCAGAGACTGGAAGAACATCCACATTGAAGACATTGAGGCCAGGCGTGGTGGCTCACGCCTGTAATCCCAGTGCTTTCGGAGGCCGAGGTGGGTGGATCACAAGGTCAGTAGTTCAAGACCAACCTGGCTAACATGGTGAAATCCCATCTCTACTACAAAAATACAAAAATTAGCCGGGCATGGTGGCACGCGCCTGTAATCCCAGCTATTCGGGAGGCTGAGGCAGGAAGAATTGCTTGAACCTGGGAGGCGGAGGTTGCGGTGAGCCGAGATCGCACCACTGCACTCCAGCCTTGGCAGCAGAGCAAGACTTCATCTCAAAAATAAATAAATGGATGGATGGATGGATGGATGGATGGATGGATGAAACTGCTTCCAGGTGACTTAACTACACCCAGAACAAAGCTCAAGACCAGGATACAGAACTACCCAGCGCCCCCAACAAGTACAATTCATGATGTCTGGCATCCATTCAGAAATTCCCAGTCTTGCAAAGAAGCAGGAAAATACAGCCCGTAAGGAAGAGAAAAATCCATTATCAAAATTGACTGGGGATTAACACCGATGTTAGAGTTAGCAGACAAGGATATTAAAAGAATCATTAAAACTGTATTCCATATGTCCAAAAAGTTAAATGTAGACACAGAAGATATTTTGAAAGCCCACTGGAATGTCCATTTTTAAATGGTTAATATGATAAATTTTGTTGTATATATTTTAGCATAAAGCAGTTCTTTACATTTTAACCCAAATCAAACTTCCAGTGATGAAAACCACAGTGTCTGAGATGACGGATACACAGGATGAGATCGAGGGTAGATTAAATGTTATAAAGTAATAGTGAACTCAGAGAAGTCTCAATAGAAACTATCCTGAGTGAAACACAGAGAAAAAAAAAGAATTCTTTTTAAAAGAACATCAGTCAGTGAGCTGCAAGATAGCTTCCAACAGCCCAATATACATGTAAGTAGAGTCCCTGAAGAGGGGGCGATTGTAGGGGGAGGGGAGAAAAAATACTTGAAGGCTGGGTGCGGTGGCTCATGCCTGTAATCCCAGCACTTTGGGAGGCTGAGGCGGGCAGATCAGTTGAGGTCAGGAGTTCGAGACCAGCCTGGCCAACACGGTGAAACCCCATCTCTACTAAAAATATGAAAAGTTGGCTGGGCATGGTGGTGGGTGCCTGTAATCCCAGCTATTTGGGAGACTGAGTCAGGAGAATCTCTTGAACCCAGGAGGCGGAGGTTGCAATGAGCTGAGATCGCACCACTGCACTCCAGCCTGGGCAACAGGGTGAGACTCCATCTCAAAAAAAAAAAAAAAGAAAAGAAAAGAAAAATATTTGAAGAAATAATGAGGGAACTTTTTCCAAATTTGAAGTAAACAATGAACTCACACACCCAAGCAGCTCAATAGACTCCAAGCACAAGACACATGAGAGAAAAAGAAACAAAAACACACCCAGGCACATAGGATTCAAATTGCTCCAAATTAGAGATAAGGACAAATATGTTAAAAGCAGCCACATGGGGATAAAAGGACACGTGACACATGAAGACGAAAGAGAAAGATGACAGCAGGCATAGTGTCAGAAGCAATGCCAGTGAGCAGATCGTGGACAAATACCTTTACAGTATTGAAAGAGAAGAAAAAACAGAATTATTCAACAGAGTTATTTCAACATAATTCAAACAGAATTATTTCAACAAAGGTAAAATACTTTTGAAAAATACAAAAGGTTTAATCATTCATCACCAGCAGGTACACTATAAAGAATATGAAAGGTTGTCTTTCAGATAAAAAGACAGTGCCTGGGGTCGGGAGTTCAAGACCAGCCTGGCCAACATGGAGAAACCCCATCTCTACTAAAAATACAAAATTAGCCAGGTGTGGTGGCATGCACCTGTAATGCCAACTACTCAGGAGGCTGAGGCAGGAGAATCACTTGAATCCAGGAGGCGGAGGTTGCGGTGAGCCAAGATCACACCATTGCACTCTAGCCTGGGCAACAAAAGCAAAACTCCATCTCAAAAAAAAAAAAAAAAGTGACCACAGATGGAAATACACCAAGGAAGGAAGGACTTAGCTGCATGGCTATATATGTAAAATTTGTTTTGTTTAATTCTTTCGAAAGATAACTGTCTTTAAACAGAAGAATAAATGTAGCTTGGGGATTACGACATGGAAAGATCGTAGGTGTGACAACAATGGCACAAAGTCTAGGAGGGGAAGAGTGGAAGTGTACTGTTGTAAGTTCTTGTATTGTACACGAAGTGGTAGAACATCAGCAGTGATAAGTTAAGGGTGTCTACTATAAATATAAATTCTAAAGCAACTGCTGAAATAACAAAACAAAGAATAATAGCTGATAAGGTGACAGAGGAAATAAAATGGAATCATAAAAAATTATCAACCCGGCCAGGCACAGTGGCTCACACCTGTAATCCCAGCACTTTGGGAGGCCAGGGTGGGCGGATCACGAGATCAAGAGATCGAGACCATGCTGGCCAACATGGTGAAACCCCTCTCTACTAAAAATACAAAAATTAGCCAGGCGCGGTGGTGGGTGCCTGTAATCCCAGCTGTTCAGGAGGCTGAGGCAGGAGAATCGCTTGAACCCAGGTGGTGGAGGTTGCAGTGAGCCGAGATCGTGCCACTGCACTCCACCTTAGTGACAGAGCGAGACTCTGTCTCAAAACAAACAAACAAACAAATTATCAACCCAAAAGAAGGCAGAAAATGAGAGAATTGGCGGGGGTGGGCAAAATATACAAGGGACAAATGAAAAGCAAAATGGAAAGAGGACAGAGTTAAACTTCCTATCAATAATCACATATTAAATGCAGACGATATAAACACCCTTATTTTAAGGGCAGATTCTTCAAGTTGAATAAATGCTCACCTCCAAGGAGCACTCGCTTTAATTATAAAGACACAAAAGAGTTAAAAGTAAGAAGGTGGAAAGGCATATACCACATTAACACTAATCCAAAGAAAACTGGGATGACGATATTAGTATCAAAATAGATTTTAGAACAAAGAATGTTAACAGTATTAAAGAAGGTTATTTCATTATGGTAAAAGGGTCAGTTCTATGGAAGGACATTAAAAACACTAAACATGTATGTACCTAATAACAGAGCCTCAAAATACATGAAGCAAAAAATAGACCTGCAAGGAAAAATAAATAAAACTACAAGTATAATCACTTCTCCTTCTGTAACTGATGGAAGTGTACAGAAAGTCAGCCGGGATATAGGAAACCATGAACAAACCCATCAACCAGCTTGACTTAACTGACAGTTGTGGAAAGAATCCTCTGTGCTTTGTTTTCAAGTGTACTTGGAAGGGTTATTAAGATAAACCATATTTTAGTCCATAAAACAAGTCTCAATAAATTTGGAACTATTCAAGTCATACAGATGTGAGCTCTAACCAAAACGGAATCGTATTAGAAACCAGTAAGAGAAAGATCTCTAGAAAATCCCCCAGATATTAGGAAAGTAAATAGTATTATTTTAAATAACACCGGGATCAAAGTAGAAATCAAATGGGAAATTAGAAAATATTGGAACCAAATGAAAATGAAAGTACAACATATCAAAATGTGTGGAATGCCTCTAAAGTGTCTGTAAGGGAACATTTCTGGCACAAAATATCTATACTAGAAAAGAAGAAAGGCCTCAGATCACTGCTTCAGCTTCTACCTTTAGAAGCTAAAAGGAAAAGAGCAAATTAAAACCAAAGTAAGGCTAAGTGTGGTGGCTCACTCCTGTAATCCCAACACTTTAGGAGACCAAGATGGGAGGATCACCTGAGGCAAGGAGTTCAAGACCAGCCTGGGCAACATAGTGAGACCCCCCCTGCCATCTCTACAAAAAGTTAAAAACTAGCTGGGTGTGACGGTGCACGTCTGCAGTCCTGGCTACTCTGAAGGCTGAAGTGGGAACATCACTTGAGCCCAGAAGTTTGAAGCTACAGTGAGCTATGATTGCACCACGGCACTCCAGTCTGGGCAACAGAGTAAGACCCTGTCTCAGCAACAACAACAACAAGCAAGCAGAAGAAGTGATTAAGCTCACAGCAATCAATGACATAGAAAATAGAAAAACAAGGAAAATGGAGCAACCAAAAGTTGGTTCTTTGGCAACGTCGAGAAAATCGATGCACTTTGGGAGGCCAAGCTGGGCGATCACTTGAGCTCAGGAGTTTGAGACCAGCCCGGGCAACATGGCAAAACCTTGTCTCTACTGAAATACAAAAATTAGCTGTGCGTGGTGGCACATGCCTGTAGTCCCAGTTACTCAAGAGGCTGAGGCAGGAAGATTGATTGAGCCTCAGAGGTAGAGGCTGCAGTGAGCTATGATCACACCAGTGCACTCCAGCCTGGGTGACGGAGTGAGACCATGTCTCAAAAAAATAGAAACCTCTAGCCAGGCTGATCCAGAAGGAGAAAAGAGAAGACACACATAGCCAACAGCAGAAATGAGAGAGGAAGAATCCTGCAGATTCCTACTCTGTTGAATTGCCTTTGCCCTTTATCAAAAACCCGTTCTTCGTGTGTGTGTGGGGCTATCTCTGCGCTCTCTTTTCTCTTCCATTATCTATTTGTCTAGCTTGGTGCCACTGTCTTGATTACTGTATCTTTATAGTAAGTGGGCCGGGCACCGTGGCTCACGCCTGTAATCCCGGCACTTTGGGAGGCCGAGGCAGGCGAATCACTTGAGGAGTTTGAGACCAGCCTGGTTCAACATGGTGAAACCCATCTCTACTAAAAATACAAAAACTAGCTGGGTGTGGTGGTGGGTGCCTGTAATCCCATCTGCTCAGGAGGCTGAGGCAGGAGAATCGCTTGAACCCGGGAGTTGGAGGTCACAGTGAGCCGAGATCGTGCCACTGCGCTCCAGCCTGGGTGACAGAGCAAGACCCAGTCTCAAAAAAAAAAACAAACGAAAAAAAGTCTTGGAATCAGGTCAAGTTAGTCCTCCAACTTTGTCCTTTTTTACAGTTGTTTTGCTTACTCTAGATATTTTGCATTTCCCATGAATTTTACAATCAGCTTGTCCTTTTCTACCAAAAAAAAAAAAAAAAAAAAAAAAAACCCTACTGGGGATGTGACAGGAATTACATTGAGTCCATAGATCCAGTTGGGAGAGATTCAGTCTCCTGCCACATGATCTAAAACCTCTCCATTTATTGAGATCTTCCATTTCTCTCAGCCATGTTTAATGCTTTTGCTATACAGGTCTTGGCACATCTTTTGTTCTATTTATTCCTAGTTTGTATTTTTTGAAGATATGGTAGAGGTATTTTCGAATTTCTGTTTGTGATCATTTTTTGCTAGTATATAGAATTACTCACCGGGGTGTCCAGAGGATCCAGGACATTCTGCTCCACTTGAAATACAACCCCAAGCCGAGCACGGTGGCTCACGCCTGTAATCCAAGCACTTTGGGAGTCTGAGGCGGGCAGGTCACTTGAGGTCAGGAGTTCGAGACCAGCCTGGTCAACATGCCAAAACCCTATCTCTACTAAAAATCCAAAAATTAGCTTGGCGTGGTGGTGTGTGCCCGTAATCCCAGCTACTTGGGAGGGTGAGGCAGGAGAATCACTTGAACCCGGGAGGCGGAAGCTGCAGTGAGCTGAGATCACGCCACTGTGCTCCAGCCTGGGCAACAGAGTGAGACTCTGTCTCAAAATAAATAAATAAATAAATAAAGCAACCCCCCAGAATATGGGTGGTCTGGGGCAGGAAGAGGAAAGGGCTGTTTTGTGTGAGGGCTCTTTTTTTGGAGTCTGATCATCTACCATTTGGGCAGGAGGGGACTGGGCAGGGCGCACCGTCTTCTGTTTTGGGGAGAGGTTACGATGCACGTCCTCCTTGGAGGACAGCTCATCAATTCCTATGAAAATGATCGATGCAGATGCCCTCTGGCCCAGCCTCTGTGCTAACAGGACTGGATCCCACAGCTCTACTTGTCCAGGTGTGTCCCCAGGAAAGCGCGGGCCAGGTAAGCTATGGAGCGCCCAGTGTGAGGAGTGCCGTGCCACTGTCAGAAAGCTGAGGCGGCTCTGGGGGTCCTGCTAGGGAATGATCTCCCGAGTAAGTGATTTGAGGTGAAAAAAGCCAGGAGCAGACAGACTGTTAACTGTGTTGCTATTTGTGTGAGAAAAAGAAGCGTGGTGTGTGGAAACTCTCTGAACGCTCTCTGCATTGGTTTCTTTTGGTAAAGCTAAAAGTGTTCTAAAAAAAATAGGGTCTATGGGCCGGGTGTGATGGCTCACGCCTGTAATGCCAGCACTTTGAGAGGCCGAGGCAGGTGGATCACTTGAGGTCAGGAGTTCAAGACCAGCCTGGCCAACATGGTGAAACCCCATCTCTACTAAAAATACAAAAAATTAGCCGGGTGTGGTGGCAGGTGCCTGTAATCCCAGCGACTCAGGAGGCTAAGGCAGGAGAATAGCTTGAACCCTGGAGGCAGAGGTTGCAGTGAGCCGAGATCACACCACTGCACTCCAGCCTGGATGACAGAAAGAGTCTCCATCTTGGAAAAAAAAATATAGCGTCTGTGAAATGAGAAAATTGTTATTAAGAGTCTCCGAAATGAGGAAATCGTTATTAAGAGGCGTGTGTGTGCACATTGCCCCGAGCACATCTCTCTTCCGTGTGCAGACGCGCTGCAGGCCGACTCCAACGGGGGCTGCTTTCTCTCCATGCAGCAGCTGTGCTGCTGTTTTCTTTCACGTCCTCCAGGAAGCCGGAGCCCTCCTGTGCTCTCCTGTAGCTGCCTCATCCCTGCGCTCTGGGCCGTCAGTGTGTCTTTCTGGTCGCCTCCCGCTCAGGTGTGCACAGTCCTGTCTCTTTCGGTTCACTCACCCAGTGCCCAAGTGTAGAATCTGGCTCTCTGCAAAACTCAGGGGCCCAAGGTGCATCAGGCCCTGGACTGACTACCTCCCCACGTGGCCTCCCAGCTAGCATCCCCATGGGGGAGCACTGATCTTGCCTCTGTGTTACAGACGAGGAAACTGAGGCACAGAGAGGTAAGCCACTTGTCTAAGACCATCCAAGTGAGAGCTGGCAGATCCAGGCTTGGAACCCTGGCAGGCTGGCTCCAGCCTGAGCTCCGAAGCTCTGTCCAGGCACTGTCTTGAAGGCCAGCTCTGTGGCGGTGACAGGCACGACTGGGCTGGGTCGTGCACGCCGAATGGGCTGAGCCCGATGCTGACGCAGGGGGAAGCCGGCTGCTCCCTTCCTGCTGAGAGCTCCCGTGGCATTGTCCAGAGGGCAGGTACAGGTGTCCCCCACATGACATCAAGCCCACAAGCCCATGGCCTGACGCTCCTACCGAAGCCCCAGTGGGCAGGTGAATGAGCCTCCAGTCGGGGGGCCAGGGGGCTCCCCCTCGCACACCTCCAGATAGAAAGAACCTCTCCGAGAATCCCCAGAAAGACCCAGGCCTCCTTGGTGGGCAGCTGGACCCCTGCCACGGAACAGCCAGAGAGCATGGACCCCGGGCCCCCTCACGGTCTCGCCTCCTCTCCCTTCTCCCCTGGCATTTCCTTGCTCAGCAGATGAAGGATGATCAGAGTTCCTGGTGGCATTTGTTCTCAATTGGTATTTAACATATTTGCCAAAGACTGTCATTTTGAAGGGGAAAGTGTTCAAATAGTAGCAGTGACTCAGCCCCGGCTCGGCACGCCTGGGAGCTGTGGCTGCAGAAAGCCCAGCTGCAGGGTCCAGGTGGGCTCAGATGCACTGGGCAGCTGTGTGCATGAAGAAAGCCGCTTGTCCGTTGGAAACGTGCAGGCCCAGCCTCCTCGGGATCACTGGGGATCTCCGGAACCACTTGGGCCTTTGCACAGGAAAGCCCAGGTCAGGGGGCTTTCTGCTTGTCCTTCCAGACTGTGGGAATCTTGGAGGACACAGCTGTGAGGGCCCCCCACCCACAGCTCCCCCAGGCCCCACTGTCAGCTCTTGCCCTGGCCCCGCGGTGCTGCCAGCCTGCTCCCTGCTCCCGGCTTTAGCAGCAAGACCGACATCAAGCTCTGGAATGAGCCTCCCAAGGGTCACATCCAGCCTCAGAGCCAGGACTGCCAACTCCATCTGGGCTCCTCCCCCACTGCTGAGCATCCAGAACATCTGTCTGGAAGCTTCCATATGGAACGCCCTCCATGTGAGTCCCTTCTTAGGAGGAGGTGGTGGTTAGCAGCAAGAGCCTCAGGGTGGGCTGGCCTGGGTTCAGTCCCCGCCCTGGAACTCACATGTGATCATCTGTTTGCTTGCTTGCTTTTTGTCTGTAATTCGTGAGATCCTGAGGCCAGTTGATAGCTTCATTCCCAGCACCCAGGACACAGCCTGCATCTAGGAGGCACTTGGTAAATATTGAGTGAAGAGGTGAATGAATGAATGAATGAATGAATGAATGAATGAATGAGGCTTTTAGTGCAATGCCTGGTATGTGGTGAGCACTTGAAATATGGAAGTGGTTGGGTCCTTCTGAGTCACACCAGCAATGCCACTACATTTATGGCCCTGGCTTTGTAAAAATACAGTCAGGCTCGCCTAGGTGTGGTGACTCATGCCTATAATCCCAGCACCTTGGGAGGCCAAGGGCAGGAGGATCACTTCAGCCCAGGAATTGGAGACCAGCCTGGGCAACACAGCAAGACCCCATCTCTACCAAAAAAAATTTAAAATGAGAAAAAATGAGGCCAGGAGCGATGGCTCACTTTAGGAGGCCAAGGCGGGCGGATCACTTGAGGCCAGGAGTTAGAGACCAGCCTGGTCAACATGGAGAAACCCCATCTCTACTAAAAATACAAAAATTAGCTGGACGTGGTAGCACATGCCTGTAATCCCAGATACTCAGGAGGCTGAGGCAGGAGAATTACTTGATCCTGGGAGGCTGAGACTACAATGAGCTGATTTCACACCACTGCACTCCAGCCTGGGTGACAGAGTGAGACCCTGTCTCAAGAAAAAAAAAAAAAAAAGAAAAAAATTAGCTGGGCATGGCGGTGGGTCCCTGTAGTCCCAGCTAGTCAGGAGGCTAAGGCAGGAGGATCACTTGAGCCCAGGAGTTTGAGGCTACAGTGAACTGTGCCTGCATCCTGGCAACCCAGCCTGGGCAACAGAGCAAGACAAAAAAATAAAGGAAAGCTAGAGAGAGAGAGAGAGAGAGAGAGAGAGAAAGAAAGAAAGAGACAGAGAGAAAATAAATGTGATCAGGCTGCACGTTAAGTGCTTATAGCAGCTTTATTGCCAAAAACTGGATGTAGCCTGGATGTCCTTCAGTAGGTGAGTGGTCAAACAAACTGTGATATATTCAGACAATGGAAAAGTATTCAGCAATGAAAAGAAATGGCTATCGAGGCATAAAAAAGAAATGAGGTGTATTGAGTCACAAAATATATGGAGGAAACTTAAATCCGTATCATTAAGCAAAAGAAGCTAACCTAAACAGGCTACATTGAAAACCTGTTGTTCAGTGTAGCCACCTTTATCAGTGATCTCAGCTAGATCTTCTGGAGAACTTGCTGCAGCTTCTCCATCAGCACTTGCTGTTTCACCTCGCACTTTTATTTTATGGATATGGCTTCTTTCCTTCAACCTCATGAATCACCCTTGCTAGCTTCAGACTTTTGTTCTGCAGCTTACTCACCTCTCTCAGCCTTCATAGACTTGAAGAGAGTTAGGGCCTTGCTGTGGATTAGGCTTTGGTTTAAGGGAATGTTGTGACCGGCTTGATTTTCTATCCAGACCACTGAAACTTTCTCCATTTCAGCAATGAGGATGCTTCACTTTCTGATAATTTGTATGTTCACTGGAGTAGCGCTTTTTTGTTGTTGTTGTTCTTTTGAAACAGGGTCTCACTCTTTCACCCAGGCTGGAATGCAGTGGCATATTCACAGCTCACTGCAGCCTCAAACCCCTGCACTGAAGTGATCCACTGCCTCAGCCTCTGGAGTAGCTGCGACCTACAAGCACATGCCACCATGTCCAGCTAATTTATTTGTTATTTTTCATATAGATGGGGTCTCAAACTCGAGGGCTCAAGTGATCCTCCCACCTTGGCCTCCCAAAGTGCTGACATTACAGGCGTGAGCCGCCCCACCCAGCCCAGAGTAGCACTTTTAATTTCCTTCTAGATCTTTTCCTTTACATTCACAACTTGGCTAGCTTTGGCACAAAAAGCCTAGCTTTCAGCCTGTCTCAGCTTTCAACATGCCTTCCTCACTAAGCTTAATTGTTTCTAGCTTTTGATTTAAAGTGAATGATGTGTGACGCTTCCTTTCACTTGAACACTTAGAGGCCATTGTAGAGTTCTTAACTGGCCCCATTTCAATAGTGTTGTGTCTCAGGGAGTAAGGAGGCCTGCACAGAGGGAGAGAGATGGAGGAGTGGACAGTCGGTGGAGCAGTCAGAACACACAATATTTATCGATTAAATTCACCATCTTATTTGAGTGTGTTTTACGGCACCCCCAAAAAAATCCAATAGTAGCATCAAAAAGTATAGATCACAGATCACGATAACAGACAGAAAGTTTGGAATATTGTGAGAATTATCCAACATGTGACACAGAGATGCAAAGTGAGCACGTGCTGTTGGGAAAATGGTGCTGATGGGCTGACTCTCTGTGGGGTGGCTGCAGGCCTTCGATTTGTTAAAAAAAAAAAAAATGCAATGTTCGTGAAGTGCAATGAAGTGAGGTGTGCCTGTATATGACATTCTCAAAAAAAAAAAAAAATGGAGATAGTGAAAAATCAGCAGTTGCCAGGGATTGGGGGCAGGGAGGGTGAAAGATGGGGCACAGCCATTGTTGGGCAGTGGCGCTCTTCTGTATGGCACTGGAGTGGGGGAACGGGGCGTTATAGATAGTTACAACCAACGAATATACAATGCCCAGAAGGAACCCTCTGATGACTGTGGATTTAGTTAATTATAATGTGTCAGTATCGGTTCATTAATTGCAACAAATAACAGCCGATTCATGCAAGGTGTTACTAACAGAGGAACCTGGGGGAGGGGGGAGGAGAGGGAATCTGGGAACTCTGAACTTTCTGTGCAGTGCAATTTTTCTGTAAATCCAAAAATGTTCCAAAATATAAAGTCTTTGTTAAAATAAGATCAGGTAGGTCCTTGCAAGCTTTGACTCATGGTGGAATCCAGGATTACAAGGGGAACCCATTATCCGAGAGGACAGAACAGGTGGAAAAGAGGCCGCTCTGGAACCCTCCCTGAAGCTGCACTGTGGGTGATCATCTGAGCACGCATTGACTTTTGAGGCCATCTGAGACTGGACCCCCTTGGGGGCTCATCAAAGCCAGGCTCTTAGGAGGGGAATGGAATGTTCTAGAAGTGGTTGGAGGGTCAAGGAGGTGCCTGTGATTTCTTATCAGGAGGGGAGGGTTGCAGATGTTGTGTTTTCTGGGGACAGGGGCTGGACTCGGGAGTTCCTCCCCTATCAGCACAGGCTGTTCCTACCATCTGCTCCCCACAAAGGAGAAGGCAAAGCAAGGTTGTCATCCCCAGCGGGGACTTCCTGCAGCCAGTCCGGTCAGCGACCCCAGGCCATTTCGAGTTCTCTTTCATGACTTTATTCAGATTGCTGCTGACTTCCTGTCCACCAGGCCTGTAGCCTCTTCTGCGGCACACGCAGGGACCCCTGAATCACCCATTGCAAGTGAGCTTATCCCAACCCCACCTGGATGAGGAGTGACTCCTGATGTGACTGGGCTCTTATTCACTGAGGGGGTGTTAACTAATATAGGGATGTATCACACATCCTGACTTCAACCCTATGTCACGCAGATCATCACTGGAAGCTCAAGTGGCAGGGCAGAAGCAAACCTCTGACATTGTCTTGTTCTGCTGCATGTTCCCCCAGAGAGGAGAAGCGTCTTGCTGATGATCGCATGGCCCTCGGTGAAAGAGCCCGGGTGCCAGGCTCCTGACCCTGAATTGACGTGCGTCCCACTGCACTCCTGCACCTCACGTGGCTGAGTGTTCCAGTGACTGAGCTGTCAGGACAGGAGCTGGGACCGGCAGTCAGGATGGCAGGGGGCTGCTGGGGATCGTCACAGCTGAGTTGTGTCCCTCAAAAATCCATGCATTAGCGTTCCAATCCCCAGTACTTCAGAATGTGACTGTATTTGAAGACAGGGTCTTTAAAGAGATGATTAAGATCAGGCCGGGCACGGTGGCTCACGCCTGTAATCCCAGCACTTTAGGAGGCCGAGGTGGGCGAAGCATTTGAGGTCAGGAGTTCAAGACCAGCCTGACCAACATGGTGAAACCCCTTCTCTACTAAAATTACAAAAAAAATTAGCCTGGCGTGGTGGTGGGCAGCTGTAGTCCCAGCTACTCAGGAGGCTGAGGCAGAATTGCTTGAACCTGGGAGACAGAGACTGCAGTGAGACGAGATCGCGCCACTGCACTCCAGCCTGGTGACAGAGCAAGACTCTGTCTCAAAAAAAAATAAAGGAGATTATTAAAGTCAAATGAGGCCATTAGAGGGGGCCTTAATCCGATATCACTGTGTCCTTAAGAGGGGATTTGGACACAGACATGCACAGAGGGATGACCACATGAGGACACGGGGGAAGGCGGCCATCCAAGGAGAGAGGCCTCAGGAGGAGCCAACGCTGAGATACGTTGCTCTCAGACCTCAGCCTCCAGCCTGTCTGTGGTTTAGGCTGCCCTGTCTGTGCTCTGTTAGGGCAGCCCAAGCTGACGACTAGAGGCTTCCGGAACTGGGTCCAGCTTAGAGGGCAGGTGGGCACCAGAGTCACCCTCCGTCCTGAGACACGTGTGTAAGGAAAACGTCCCGATGCAGCTGGACACGGTGACTCCCTTGCACCCCAGGCTGTGTCCGTCACTGGCCCCCTGCGCCACGGAGAACCCTCGAGCCACAGGTTTAATGACGCCCAGCGACGAGCCCCAGAGGCAGCCCATGGTGGCCCGCGGCTTGCCCAGGATCAGCCTCTGCCTGTGTCATCTTGGGTAGAAAGTGACGAATCGCTTCATAGACGAATGCCTGGAGATTAGAGCCTGGGAAATGAGACATCTGATCCCCTTGCAGAGTTAATCGCTTGCTGTTGGGATTAATTTTTCAGTTGTTGTCAAGTTGAAGCACTCGATAAATGACTCGCTGTGACATGGGACATACAGGAACTAAATTGAGCTATAAATCTCCCTGAGCTTGGTGCACGAGTGTTCCAGGGCCCTGCTGGGCACCAGGAGTCCCAACCTCCCGAGGCTTGGCCTGGGCTGGAGGCGCCCAGGCATTCTCTCAGCTTCTCTCCTCCCAGGAGAGGCCCACTCTGTCTGCTCGCCTGTGTGCGTTTGTTCGCAGGCAGCCTGGCTGTACCTGGGAAATGCCGGTTGCCCCTTCCAACTGTCACCTCACCTACTCATATTATTCTTCAAAGCCGAGGTCAAAGCCTCCTCCTCCATGCAGCCCTCCTGGGAATCACCCTGACCTCAGGCATTGTCACTGGTAAACGTGGTCTTGGGTACTGCCTGGAATTACTCATCGCATTTAAGTTTCATCCATGCTCTCCAATAAAATGTACAGACCCCAGGAGGGAGGAAGCTCACACCCCCACGGGCTCCCCCGTGCCTCGGGCTGGGAAGCTGGCAGCACAGGCTTGGCGCATAGAGAGTCTCGCTCCCCAGCCCTCCAGCCTCAAGGCCATACGGCAGGGTCCTAGCCCAGCACTCCTGACTGTGCCTGCTACAGAACCCAGAGTCCAGGCCTGCGGGAGTTTCACATCACTCCAGGCCAGGGACCAGGTGGACGAGCAGAGACACCACATCCCCAGGTGGGGCCCACAGCTGAGGCTAAGTGGGATATAGGGCTATGCTTCATGTTGATGGAGCATATTTATTTTAGTGTCTTAGTACAAAGACGTAACTAGCGCATCGTTGTAGAATTAAAGCTCTATTCATGCTCCTGCTTAGTGGAGGCTTGGGAATTTGAGTGAAAAAAACCACTGAGTCAGCCTGAGGAAGCAGCCATGCCTGGAATGCAGGCCATGGCAAGCATCACACCGGGGCTGCCGAGGCCGGGGGTAGATAACAGGCATGCGGTCGCCATCAGAGCCCAGATGCTGGGGCGAAAGTCAGGTGTGACATTCTGCATGTGGTAGGAATGTTTTGAGAATTCTGCCCACAAATTAAGAGGTAGAGCTCCACTCCCCGTCCACGCAGCTTAGGGTCAGACTGGCCGGGTGGAGATGGGGGAGGCGGTGGGAGGGAGGGGGAGGGGCAGCGGGCAGGGCACAGAGCAGAGGCTCCAGCCTCCGTCTCAAGGCCTCGGGAAAGAGCCTCAGACACATCTTTGAAGCTGAAAGAGCCACATCATAGGCAACACCAGGGGAAGTTTCTGTATGTGTTTTCTCCCTCAAAAAGAACATTTGCTGCAGCAGACACAGGCAGAGTGAGCACATGTGAAAATGCAGACCCTGGTGAAGCCCCCAGCAAAGTACAGGGATGAGGTCTCGGAGGGGGTGGGAGGGGGTCCGCTGGCACTCCAGCCCCTTGGCCCTCCCCGCTTGGCCCTCAGGGGCATCGCCTTCTCAGTGTCCCTGGACCTTCCTGGAGAGCGTTTACCACTGCAGCGTGGCTGTTTGGGTCCACACGTGTCTGCTCATGAGGCTAGACAAGTTCCTCTCCATAACCATCCATCCACACCTCGATGTTTCTCAGACCTGCTCCATGGAGGCCCTGAGGCTGGACTCACATTTCCACCACCTCTGGGCCCTCCTGGAGCTTGTCCTGCCCTGAGATTCACCCGCTGACTGCCTGGGAGAGCCCCGTGGCCCAGGACTGAAGGGAGGTTTGGGCGCTGAGCCTACAGGGTATACCCCCTTCACCACCGGGCCCCTCCCCAGGGTTCTCCTTCACGTGGGACCTTCGCTAACAACATCGCTCAGTTCTTAGCCCACCAACCCACGCGAATCCGGGACCAAATGCGAGCCGACCCCTTGGATGTGGTCTTTCCTCCTGAACGGAGGCCTCGCCAGCAGATCCAGCAGATGAGATTTTCACTGAGCAGCAGTAGCAGTGGGCTAGACTTTAGTCTTGAATAGAAAGACCCTGGTATAGTGAGAAGCAGGGTCCAGGGTGTAGAACGCAGCATTTGCCAAAAACCGAAGAGCATCCCCTGCCCCAGCCCACCTGGGGGTACGCATGCAGCAGGCTCCAGCAGGGGAGGGGTGGCGTCTGCTCCAAGACCAGCTGTGCTCCTGCCCACCCTCCAGGTAGGGAGGGTCTCCTCTGCCTAACTGACATGGGGAAAGGGCTGTAAGGAGGCTGAGGTCGTTCATGGCAGGGATGTGTCCCCTTCCAGAGGTGCTACCGGGAGTGGGTCTGCAGCAGAACACCTGGGCTGCTGGGTGGGCATAGAGGGGGTGGGTTGATGGTGCCTCCCTTTCCAGGGATACAGGAACCCCAGGCAGGAGTAGGAAGAGGGGAGCCTGGCGGGAGCTGGTAGGCCTGAGCTGCTCTTGGCTTCCTGGCTTCTGGGGTGGTGGCCAAGCCGGTGCGGTTTTTCTGGGGGACCGGGGAGGCTACAGGGCAGTGCCCTGCACATGGGGAGGCCTCGGCCAGCACTGGACAGAGCCCTGACAGAGCCCAGCAGGAGAGAGCCCACCAAGTCCCCCAGAGGCGGTGGCTGCGAGTGAACCGGAGCTTCGCTGTGTCTTTCGCAAGCCCCTTGCCTGGTGAAAAACCCAAACATGGAGGTATGGTGAGAATCACGCCTAAAATGCAGCTCTGTTTCCTCGAGCACCTGTGTCGGTGTTAACTGTCTGTGGAAAAGGTCTCACCTCCAAGAGGCATGAATTCCAACAGGGCTGAAGATTCCTTCGAGGTCCTAATACATTCGTCCCATCCCAGGGACAGAGCTCTGGGACCCTGGTGTCCCACTCAAGCTCCCCAGTCCCTGGCCGGGGACCTCGGGTCACTTCCCAGCTGAGCCCAGCTTCTGAGAGGGGAGCCACGGCCCCCGCCTGCCCCTGGCCACACTGCCTCGAGCACCAAAGGAGAGGACAGCGGAAGCAACCTCGCTTCGCAAATGTCATGAGGCCGTCCTAGTCGATGTCCCATCACCAAAGAGGAAGCAGGCAGCTCCATTTCCTAAATACAGAGGAGCACCTTTCTCGGCCATCGGGAGCTTATTTTTAAGGGCCCTTCACTAGGGGGACCAGTGTGACTGTGGGCTTGGGGTGAGAGAGGCAGAAGAAACTTGAAATGACCCGCACCTCATCCATGTCTGGAAGGGATGCCTTTGGCTCAGTCGGCGTGGAATCCTTTGTTCCGCTGCACAGGTCACTGGGGGCTGCGGTGCTTGCAGCCTGTGATAAGTACCTACGTAAGTCGGACCATGGTCTCAGGGCCTGTGTGGTCAGCATGAGCTTTCACGTCGAGCGCCCCCGTGTGCACAGCTGTGCCTGGGAATCCATTTCCTGGGGCTGCTGTCACAGCGTCCCACAGACCCTGTGGCTAGAACAACAGAGGCGTGGTCTCTGACAGTTTGGGGGCTAGCAGTCTGAAGTCGGGATGTCAGCAGGGCCATGCTTTCCCGGAAGGCCCTGGGGGAGGAGCCTTGCCTACTCCTCCAGCTTCTTCCTGCTCCCGGTGGCTGCTGGCAACCCCTAGCACCCCTTGGCTTGCAGCAGCAGCCCCCATCTCTGCATCAGTGTTCACCTGGCCTCCTTCCCACCATGCGTGTCCACATTGTCCTCTTGTTTGAGAACACCAATGACTGGATTAGGATGTACCCCAGTGACCTCATCTTAACTTGATTACATCTACAAAGACCCTGTTTACAAATAAGGTCACGCTCACAGGCTCCGGGGGTTAGGACATGGACATAGGTTTGGGGGTAACACTTTTCAACCCACAATAACCCGTGATCCCAACAGCCAGGGTTCAGCACTTGCGCAGGGCAGCCTCTCCCATAGACCACACCTGCCTCCTAGGGGAGAAAGTGACAGCCTCTGTTCTCATCCTTGGGGACTCTGGAAGGGGAAGGACAGAGAGTGGGCTCCATGTCCGGGCACAGGCGCCGGCCAGCCTCCCACTAAACTCTAGATGCTGCCCTGAGAACGGAGCCCAGCGGGAGACGGGCTGAGGTCAAGAGCAGGGAAGTGGCGGGTGGACGGGATGGGACTTGGGCTAGGCAGCCCTAGAAGCAGAGTCTCCCCACCTGGGATCAGGGCAGTCCCAGTAGGAAGGGAAATCCAGCCATCCATCGATTGTTAGAGATGGCTGTGTGTGCACGTCTGTGTCAGAGGCTCTTTTCAGAAAGATCAAAATCACAGGAGAAAACTGGAAGCATCTATTTCAGGCAGCGGGCCGCTGAGTGGGGAGAGCAGCCGCCTGCTCCAGGGGTGGCCAGTGTCTGGGCACAGCCCACCCGGATGCTGGCAACCCCTGCCGGCCATCCTTGGGAAGGAAGGCGGAGTGAGAGGGCAGTGGCTCCCACATCTGTCCAGTACAAGCCACATATGTCAGCGCCTCCTTTGCCCAGAAGGCTGCACCAGGCCAGGCCAGGATGCTGATGCCAGCCACACCCACAGCCTTCTAGGGCATTCTGTGTGGCTGGCAGGGAGACAGGATGTTTCCGGTTCTAGTTCAAACTCAGTGAGCTGATAACAAGCTTATCTTCACTCTGCTGCCATGAAGCTCAGCCTCGGGCTTGCAGGGGCTTGCCAAGAACATTGAAATTCTCTGTCTCGATTGTGTCTAAATGGTTATGGGGACCAAGGATTCCTTTAGCAGAGTTAATTTGCACTTGGAAGACAATTACGTAGAGTAAGAGCTCAGCCTTTCAAGTCAGCTATTCAAGCGGGGGTCCCAGAGAAGTTGCTTTTCTTTTCAAATCAGATCTGTACCTTCCTCAAGACTGAGGAATAGCTGTTTGATACTCAGACACGCTGTCCAGCTGGGATTACAGGCACCTGCTCTGTGCTGGGCTGTGGGGTGACTAGAGCTGAACAGAAGTTAAAGCGATAGGACAGGTGCGGTGGCTCATGCGTGTAATCCCTACATTTTGGGAGGGTGAGGTGGGTGGATCACCCAAGGTCAGGAGTTTGAAACCAGCCTGGCCAACTTGGTGAAACGGCATCTCTACTAAAAACACAAAAATTAGCCAGGTGTGGTGACAGGTGCCTGTAATCCCAGCTACTCAGAAGGCAGAGGCAGGAGAATCGCTTGAACCCAAGAGGTGGAGGTTGCAGTGAGCCGATATTGTACCACTGCACTCCAGCCTGGGCAACAGAGCGAGACTCTGTCTCAAAAAAAAGTTGTTAATAAATACAGTTTTTATCCAGGACTATTGCGGTAGGGGAGTAGCAGAATATTGAATAGGGAGGAGACTTAGTACGGGATAGGACTCAGTTCCTAATACTGCATGGGCTAGTGGGGATTTAGGGCCCAGGAGTGGGTGGGAGTGAGAGGGTGGAAAATTCCTGAGTGGAAGCATCAAGGGTGAGGGAGATTCTGGGTAAACTGACCTAATGGGATTCTTGCTGCAGGCAGGCTGGGGTGAGCAGACATCCCAGGTGGGGGTGGGAGGTGAGCGGCCTGATCAGGTATCCAGGGTCGGGAGTTCTTGCTAAAGTTGGATTTGATACGGAAGCGCACAGATGGACTCAGGAGAAGTCCAGGGAGTCTGGTGAAGCAAAGAATCTTAATCATAGCTTGGCAAGCACAGAGCTGGCCAAGGCAGGATGCCCCCCAGAAGGTTCTGCAGCTGGAGGAACCTCGAGGGCCTGACACGCTGGAGACACCCAGAGCCAGCAGGGAGGTGTATGCATTGTTCCCCCTTGTTCCCAGGGAGGGGACTGGGGCAGCCCAGCATCTGCCAAGGCCAGCAAGGCAGTGGACACCCTCCCACCAAGGCCCACCAGGGGTCTACACCAGCCCAGTCGGCAGGGGGAGGCTTCAATGGGACTGGGCTGTAGCATGAGGGTCAGGGAAGCTGGGAGGGTCTCGATCTTGAGGAAAGACTGACCAATGAGGCAAGGTGTCTGGACTCTCGACAACTTGACAACTTGGAATAATAAAAAAGCATGCATTGGGGTCTCTGTCCCTAGTTCCTGGCACAGAACTCTTAAAACCTCTTGAATTTCCTGTCTTTTATATGTTAATGAGATGATACTTAGGGGAGGCGGAGGCTAGATAGCTTCAGGATGGCAGGGGCTGGTCACCAGAAAAACCAACCACATGATTCTAGAGGTGCAGAAGGCTCAGGAAGAGGGGCTGGAGGTTGAGCTCAATTGCCATTGGCCAATGATTAATCAGCTGTACCTAAGTATTGAAACCTCCATTAAAACTCTGGGCGCAGTGGTTCACACCTGTGATTCCAGCACTTTGGGAGGCCGAGGCGGGCGGATTCCTTGAGATCAGGAGTTCAAGACCAGCCTAAGCAGCATAGTGTGACCCCCATCTCTACAAAAAAAAAAAAAAAAAAAAATTAAATAAATAAATTTATAAAAAACAACCAGGCTTGGGAGGTTCCAAGCTGGTGGTACCCAAGGGGGTGTGGAAGCTCTGCACCCCCCATTTGCCCCGAGCTTCTCTTCCCTGTGGGCTGTTCAGAGGTGCAGCCTCCATAATCAACTGGTTGCCATAAGTGATGCATGTTCCCGAGTATTGTGAATGGTTCTAGCAAATATCAGACCTGAGCAAGGGTTATGGGAGCTCTGACTCGTAGTCAGCCAGGCAGAAGTGTGGGTCATCTGGGGAGCCACTTCTTGGCAACTGGCCTCCGAGGCTGGGGCAGTCTTGTGGGACTGGGCCCTTCGCCCGCAGGGTCTGCACTGACTCTGGGAGGTACTGTCAGAATTGAACTGAGCAGTAGGACACCCAGCTGGCAGGGATTAGAGAATTGGTTGATGTTGGAATGATGTATTTGGTGTCAGAAAAAAATACAACACCAGCTGTTTAATGAGCAATTACCGTGTGCAGGCGCCGTACGGAGGGTGTGCGTGAATTATCCCGTCCCAGTGGCCTTAGGGAGACGGTGCTGTCACTGAGCTGCTCTCAGGGGAGAAAACCAAGACCCCGAGGTGAGGACCCTCAGCTCTGCAGTGGGCGCTGAGGTGGGCGCCATCCAGGAGAGAGCGTGCGGTGGCTCGGGGCCTCCCAGAGCTGCCCTGACTCCCCTGCTTGGCCAGCCCCTCCCTGGGAGCCCCACCCCAGGGCCAGCAAAGGCTGCAGTGAGTCAGGGGCCGTGAATGTCTCTGGAGCAGGAGCTGCAGACAGGCAGGAGCTGGGAGCTGGTCAGGAAGACGAGACTGGCACACAAAGGAGCTGATTAGCAATGCGACGCTGCCTCCGGCCAGCCGGATTAGGAGCTCAGACAGCGCGAGCCCAGGGACTGCAGGAGCCACTTCCATCCATTCTCAGACAAAAAGAGACGCCCACGGCAGGACTGGGGTGGTGATCGGGGAATCAGAGCGCAACCCCTCCCAGGCCCCAGTGGCCCTTGCCTGCCCTGGCCTGGGCTCTTGCCACCGGCCCATCCTCTTCCAAGAGGCCATCCTGTGCCCGTGCTTGGCATGTGAGAGAAGCTCCCGAGGTCCACCGCCACCCCAGCAGGAGACACAGCAGCTGGCCCATCCCCAGAGGCCGCAGCCCCACGTGGTCCCGCGACGGTGTCCTTGGTGCTCACGTGGGCTCAGAGGATGCAATCCCTGAAGGACCTGTGGGTGGGGACACCGGTGCCTTGCCCAGGACAGCCCCGGTGACATTTGCTCCTTTGTGGCATCAGAAGCCTGAGGGTGGGCTGAGGTCTCGCCTCTGTCGTCGCAGTGAGACTGCGGTTTCAGGTCACAGCAGCAGCAGGGGCCTCCCCTTTTGTCGCCTACCGGATGAAAGACCTGTGTCCCTGCAGAGGTGGCCACCCCGCTCCTGGTCCCAAGTCCATCTGCTGGTCCAGGCCAGGGAGGGGGTGTTGGGATGGGATGGTGTCTACTGTGACCTGAGGGCGGGGTGGCCCCTCCTGACCCTGCTGAGTGCCTCTCCCTGGGCAGGGATTTGGGCCCTGGTGAACCATACACACTGCACGGCCCACAGTGAGATCCGTCAGTCACTCTCCCACGGGCAGCTGCTCCGGGTCTCACAGGGACAGACAGGGGCAGTAGCCTTGCCCCCCTCCAAACCCCAGGCTAAACAATGACAATTGCTAACAGCTGGTCTGGAAGGTCCTACGCGTGGGGCTCCACCTTTGGGGGCTCATTTTATCTTCACAACAGCTATGTTCCCCGTAGCTGCTGGGACTGGCCCATTTTCCAGATGAGGACACTGAGGCACAGAGTGGGCAGGCCGGGGCTGGAGAGGTTCTGCGGCCCCAGGACTCTCTCCTGCATGTGGAGAGTGGAGATTTGAACTGGGCCTGTCATCCCCAGGGAGAGGCACAGGATGGGAGGTCAGGGTTGGGTTTTCCAAATAGGCTGTTTCCTGACTTCTGGAAAGTTGCCTTAAGAAATGGGAACGTGTCTGCTAACAGCCTCTCGTTGAGGCCAAATTTGGGGGGACTGTGAGGCTATAGGAAAAAGCAAACTCAGTTTCTTCCCACTATACTCTCTCAACGCAATCCACACAGAGCCCTCAGTGGCCAGATGAGTGGGGTTCCCACACACAGCAAGCAAGCAATCGGTTCCCTCGGACACCAGCAGGTGCCCCTAATTCAATTCAGTTCTGCACTGCTCACCTGGAGAGTGTGTTGATCCCATAGGGTGAGGCTCAGTCCCACAAGATGGGCCCCACGTCCTTTGCAGGTGCCAAGAACAAGCCCCAGGTTGTGACCTGTGCCTCTGACCGACCAGCTATGAATCAGGGTTCCCATGATGCCCTTCTCTGGTTCAATTAATTTGCTAGAGCAGCTCACAGAATGGAGGGAAATACGTTTGCCGGTTTCTTATAAAGGATATTACAAATGGAGTGATGTGTGGGGTGAGGTACAGGGGAAGGCGTGCAGCTTTGATGCCCTGCCCAGGCACGCCACCCCCAAGGAACCTCCACGTGTTCATCTATTCAGAAACTCCTCCAAACCCTGTCCTTTTGGGGGTTTTATGGAAGTTTCATTACACGGACATGATTGATTCAATCATTGGCCATTGGTGATCGACTCAACCTTCAGCCTCTCTCTCTCCTCCCTGGAGGCTGGAGGGCAGGGCGGAAAATTCCAACCCTCTAATCTTGGGATTGGTTCTTTTGGTAACCAGCCCCCATTCTGAAGCTATCTAGGGACCCCCAGCCACCAGTCATCTCACTAGCATACAAAGACACTCAGCACTCTGGAGGGTCCTGAGATTTTAGGAGCCATGTGTCAGTAGAGGAGAGGAAAACCAAATACCCATTTCACAACGCAGACTGTGTGTGGCTCCTCCGTGCCTTTCTCTAACAGAGCATCCTCTGATCTGAAAGGTGCCCGGCCATCAAACTGCAGTTCCAGTTCCATGAAAAGCACATGCAGTTACCCTGGGGAGCTCAGCCGCCACCCCACGCCAGGCCGGTTGAGGGCTCTGCCTCCTCACCCAGCGCATGCCGCCCCTGCCCTTCTACCCGCCTGCTTGCTCTGTTCAAGTTCTCATTTGTGGGATTGGTCAGCGGTCCCGGGGGGGCCCCCTTCCTGCTGAGATCTCCAGATGGGGGGACAGTCAGCCCTTGAGATACTAGAGAAATCCCCTGGGAACATTTCCTGCCTCTCTTCATGGCAGTGGGGAAACTGAGGCTATGGTGCCCGGGAGTTAGGAGGCCCATTGGAAACCCCGCCAGGGTACAGGCAGGAAGCTGCGTGATCAGGTTGTCTTGTGAAAATGCTTCTTTGGGAACCAGCTTCCAGGAGTAGCCACTCAGGCCCACATGACTTCTGAGTCGTTTGCCAACCTTCCTGGGCTGTTGGGTTTGTGCTCCAGGAAGGACCTGATGGTTAGAGTGGAGGTGTTGGAGAGAGTCCCAGAGCCCTGCCCAGTGAGGGTCAGGAGGCTATGGCCGTGTCCCATAAGCAGGGCTGAGCACAGCCCACATGCACCTCCAGGGGCTGTGCTGCAAACGACACACATGGATTTTCTCACAGTTCGGAGGCCAGAATTCCAAAATCAAGGTGTGGGCAAAGCCATGAGCCCCCTCTAGGCTCTAGGGGAGGGTCCTTCCTTGCCTCCTCCAGCTCTGGGGCTCCCGGTATTCCTTGGCTGCTAGCCACATGGTGCCAACCTGTGTCTCTGTCGTCACACAGCCTCATCCTCCTCTCTCTTCTCATCCCTCATAAGGGCACCCGTCACTGGATTCAGGGCCCACTTCAGTAACCGAGGATGATCTCATCTCGAAATCCTTAACTTAATTATATCTACAAAGAGGCTGTTTCCAAATAAGGTCACATTGGCAGGTGCCAGGGGTTAAAGGCATGGACATATCTTTCGAGGGCCACCGGTCAGCTCACTATGTAGTCTGTTTTTGTAACTTCTCTGCAATAACTCAACCATGCCATGCAGCAGCCACTCAGCATTTGCCCAGGCACTACTGGGCACTCAGTGGCCCGTGCACAGAGGAGTAGCGTGGATCCTGGGCAGTAAACCCCCTCTAGCCACTGTCACGGGGTGTGCAGAAGCTTCTGAGTGAGGAGCTCTCTGGTTTGCATGGGTCCTGCTCTGTGCCAGCTGCCACGAGAACTGCAGGCTGCCTTCCAAGATGGCTGCCCTCAGCCTTAGGGCAGGGTCAGCCCCGGCATTGGTGGCACCTGGGACTCAGCAATTCTCTGTTGTGGGGGACTGTCCTGTGCTTTGTAGGATGTATAGCAGCTTCCTTGGTCTCCACCCACAAGATGCCAGTAGCAACACAAGTTGTTGTCACAACCAAAAATATCTCCCAACATGGCTGAATGTGTTTTGTGGGGGGCACCGTTTCCCCCGCTTGAAAACCACTGCCTTAGGCCATAAACCGGGCTCTCAGAGCCAAGTTGGACACCAGGCTCCACGCCCCACATCTGTCAGTGCCTGCTGGCCTCACCCCTGCCTGCCCAGAGGTCTCTGGTGAGGCCCACAGTCACCTACACATCTAGTCATCACTCACCGTGTCCTAGCTGGCTCGTGCCTGCCAGCCCACCTGCTACCTGCAGAGGTGACTGGCCAGGAGGGCACGCCAGGAAGCTGCCCAGCCAGCACAGCCAGCTGTCCATTTTCTTGATGAAGCCAAGGATGGTTGGTGGGGGGCCGGTGGCTATTCCTACTGTTCCCGCCAGGCTGATGAGTAGGGAAGGCTTAGAGGTGCAGCCAGGCTGACGGAAGGACAGGTGTTCTCAGGTGAAAGGGCCAGCTTAAGTGTCCATCACCGGTGCAGGAGGAAGGCAAATGTGGTGTATCCCGATCAGGGAGCATCGTTCCATCTTAGGCAGGAGGGAAAACCGACACTGGCTACAAAGGCCTCCTATGGAGGACCCTTGAGGATATTATGCCAAGTGAAATAAGCCAGTCACGGGAGACAAGCTCAGCACTGAACCATCCCAGTCATACGAAGCTTCTAGAGTAGCGAAGTCCATGGAGACAGAAAGTTGGAGGGTGAGTGCCAGGGGCTGGGGAAGGAGATGGGGAGTTAGTGGTTCACAGGGACAGGCTCAGTTTGGGAAGATGAGAATGTTCTGGACATTGTGTGTTCAGTGACACTGAATTCTGCGCTAACAGGTTAGCGTGCTGAGTTTTATATCTGAGTTTTTTTTTTTTTTTTTTTGAGTCTTACTCTTTCGCCCAGGCTGGAGTGCAGTGGCGTGATTTCAGCTCACTGCAACCTCTGCCTCAGCCTCCCGAGTGGCTGGGCGTTGCAGGCGCCCGCCACCACACCCGGCTAATTTTTGTATTTTTAGTAGAGATGGGGCTTCACCATGTTGGGCAGGTTGGAAGTTTTATGTTATATGGATTTTACCGCAGTACAGTTAAAAATTAAAACTATAAAGATGCAGCCCTGGGTGGGGCTGACGGGGTGGGTTTCAAGGCCTCCATGGAGTCAGCTCACCCCCCGTCGCTAATCGTGAAGCTGCGGCCATGGGTATCGTGTGTGTGTCAGGCTGGACATGAGACTCCCAGGCTCCCGCGGGCAGGGAGGAGGTGGTAGGATGAGAATGGTCCTCATCACTCCGACTCCGCAGGAGAGAGGAGCCCCAGCCTGCCTTCATCACCTCGACTCCACAGGAGGGAGGGGCCCCAGCCTGCCTGGGTTTCTCAGACGCCGTCCCCTTGACCTGCCCGTGGGCGCCCCGCTTGCTGGTTCTGTTCTCCTTCTTGCAGAGATGGGTGAGCCCTGGCCCCTGCTCTTGGGGACACTGGCCTGGGGGAGGCATGTGAGATGAGACAAGCATGCCCATAACTCACGGCTGTGGAATGAATCGTGTTCCCCTGGATTCTTACGTTGAAGCCCTAACCCCCATTACCTCAGAGTGAGGTCTTGCTTGGAAATTGGGACATTGCGATGTGACTGGTTAAGATGGGGTCACAAGGGTAGGGCAGCCCCTGATCTACTGGCCCACTTCCTTGTAAGAAGAGGGAGGTTTGGGCGCAGACAGGCACACAGTGGGAAGGCCAGGCGAAGATGGAGGCAGAGGGGGGTGATGCTCCTCCAAGCCAGGGACACCAAGGCTTGCCAGCCACCACCAGGGGCACAAAAATGCTTGGAACAGAAACTGCCTCGCAGTCCCCAGAGGAACCCACCCTGCCCACACCTTGATCTTGGACTTCACCTCCAGGACTGTAGGAACATGAACGTCTGTGGTTAAAGCACCCAGGCCCTCTGCTACGGCCCCCCCGGGAGAGAAGCGCACTCCCTGGAAACCCCAGCCTGCTGGGTCATGGCTCATCCCAGCTGAACGAGGAGAGGGTGGACATGGGTCAGCGCCCAGATTACATCCTGGTCCCCACAGCAGAGTCTGGGCAGGGAGAAGCTGGGTAGATAAGAGCGCCGGAGTTGCCGCCAGCCTGTGGTGCTGTCTGTGATTGCTCATCCACTCATGAGTGAGCGTGGTGAGTATGGTGAGTGAGCGTGGCGAGTGAGCGTGGTGAGCGTGGCGAGTGAGCGTGGTGAGCGTGGCGAGTGAGCTTTCTGTGTGCCCTAAACCCCCCAGACCGCGGTGTCACAGCACCTTTCCCCCGCAGATCTGTTGGGCACCCCGACTCGGAGTCTGGCCCCCATTTGGGATGGAATGTTCTAAAATGTTCTTCATTTACTCTACTTTCTTTAAATGGAGAACATCATTTAATGTCTCCAGTCCATCCAAGGCTGTCCTGCCAGCTGCGTTTGGGCACCAGGTCATGCCAGGCCCGCGTGTGGCACAGCCTGCTCTCTGTGGCACTGGCATTCGGTGCTGTTGCATCCTGGGGTCGGCCGTGCACGCTCTGCCATCCGGCCTCTCCCTCTGTGTGCATGGGCCTGCCTCTGCAGCCCTTCTTCCTTGTCTGATTTCCTGATCCTGATCCTCTGTGTGCCGCAGATCCAGTTAGCCACCCTGTTAGAACTCTGCATAAGGTAAAAGTAAACCCGTACATCGGCCCCGAGCGAGAGGCAGAGTAGTTCTGCAAGCCTAGTGCCTGGGTGCCAGGCTTGTGGCGGCCGACGGGGTAACCCAGGAGGCTTCCTAGCCCACGTCCTCTTCTAGGCTGCATCTCAGTAGCCAAGGCTAATGGAGGGGTGGTTGATGGTGAGGCTGGGGGTGCCCCTGAGACAGCACTCAGGGCTGCCCCCAACACTCAGCCCTCCCCACCGTCTGTGCGTGCCTCCCGCCCCACCCAGTGCTTTCTCTGTGTGGAATGGGGCTGTTCCCTGGAGGCTCTGCCCCGGGGGCTGTTCTGCCCCCTGGCTGGTGGATCTTATCTCCCCCTGGAGCAGGCAGAGCCCCAGGGAACCAGCACAGACTCCACCACTGACGGAGCAAGAGTGACAGCCACCTCCTCCTCCATGCATTTCCTGCAGCAGACAGGTTAGCCCCACGTTATCCTGCTCCTTCCTCCTGACCAGAGCTTTACTCTGACCAAGGGCCAGGACACTGCATGGGACAGTGGGAGCCACCTCCTTAGCACTGGCTCAGGGGAGGACGCATCCCCAGAATACCATATGAGCCATGTGCCACCTGTGATTTTGCCCCATCCAGAGCCTGGCACAGAGGCCTAGCGTGCAGTCCACAAGAGGCCTGGCAAGCAGTGTCCACTCCACTGTGCATCCTTGGCCAAGCCCCTCGGGACAAAGGCGGTGGCCTCAGATCCCCTGGTCCCTCCGGGTCACTGTCGGCTAATTCTGGGGGAAGGACTGGCAAGGCTGTTTGGAAGAGGTCAGCGCCCGGGGACTCCGTGTGGGCTGCTGGCTATGTCCACAGGCAGGGCTGCAGGAGCCCCCGGGTGGGGTGACTCAGCTTTCTGGCCTTACCCAGGCCTCAGGCTGGGGAGGTGACAGTGACCGCCTGAATCCCCACTGGTCTCTGCCCCTCATCTCCACCGCTCGCTACTGCCCCGTGGGTGTGCTGGGCCCAGGATGGTCACGAGTGTTCAAGGGTAACGCCCCTCTGCAAGTGAGTGAGCTACTTTGAGATCACTGTTTTGTGACACTCATGGGGTCTCTCGCTGCCCTCTCAATGTAAATCCAGCTAGGGCAGGTGACTGGCCAGAGAGTTCCTCAGGGCACGTGCCCCATAAAATGCCTCCTGGAAGACCCCCCACGGGCCTCTGTGACCTGCTGCAGGGTTGACGTCGGCTACACCAGGCCTGGCCCCGCACACACGGTCCCTGTTGCCAGCAGAATGTCGAGGGTCCCCTCCGCAGAGCTGACTCGTGCCTCTGCAGGACTGAGCCAGGGCCCAGCCGCCTATTTCTTCACTTTGTTGGGTGTGTTTGAGTGGCCTGGGCTTGCCACAAGTGGCTACAAACGGGGCAGCTTCAAGCAAGGGGAATGTGTTCCCCTACAGTCCTGGGAGCCAGAAGTCAGACAGCAGCCTCACAGGGCTGCAGCCAGGTGTGGCAGGGCCCCGTGCCATCCCAAGACTCCGGGGAGGAGGCCTCCTGCCACTTCTAGCTTCTGGGGGCTCCCAGCGTTCCTTGGCTTGGCTGCATCCTGTCTCTGACTTCATCTCCACATGCCCTCTCCCAGCTGTGTGTCTCCTCCTCTTCTGTCTCTTACGAGAACACGTGTCATTGGATTTTAAACCACCATAAATCCCGGGTCATATTCTGTTGAGAAACATAATTACATTTGCAAAGACTTTTTCCAAATAAAGTCATATTCACAGGTTCCGGGGACTAGGACATATCTTTTGGGGGCTGCCATGCTGGCCCTGGGGGCTTCTTTCCTAATGAGCATCCTGGGGGGAGGTTTCCCTCCTCCGCTTCTCAGGCCTAAATTCTGGAGGGGCTGTTGGGGACACCCCTGCAGGGGACTCTGAGAGGGGGGCGCTCAGGGAACTTGGCAGATCCTTTCAAACTAGGATCTCAGTGTTTGGGAGGCCCTGAGGGAGCAAAAGGAGCATGGGCAGACCGTGCCCCCACCCCTCCCCAGCCTCATCTGGGGAACCCTCTTCTAGCTGACGTACGACACAAAGCCCAACACTCAACACGGCTCAGAAAATGCTGTTTATTTCCTGGAGTAAGAAGGGTCCTCTGCTCTGTCCTCACCCCATGGTTCTCTCCTTCACCAAGAGACACTGGGCTGGGATGAGCTCAGACCAGCCATGTACCACAGCTCTTGGAGAATGGGCACCCATGCAGTGGAACACTACTTGGCCATAAAAAGGAAGAAAGTGATGAGACATGCCACCTTGTGGGTGAGCATGGAAGGGGTGACACTGAGTGAAAGAAGCAGATACAAAAGGTGGCACGGTGCACGGTTCCATTTTCACGAAATGTCCAAGACATTGGCTCAAGAAGTGAGAGCCAAGCCTGAGGTGTCTGACCCCAGCTGAAGGGGAGCCACAAGCCTGAAGCCCAGGAGCTCATGGGAGACACTGAGTGTGGGAATCGGGTCCCTGGGAGTGGGCCCTGTGCCCACCGCAGCCATGTGGGTGCAGACACAGCCTCAGGATCGGCCGGCCATTCTGCCTCTCGGGTTCACCAGAGGCCACAGCTGGGCCTCATGGGGACAGCTCGCCAGCCTGGGTGGGGACAGCCCTGGGGTGCACAGCCACACTTTGCTGGCTGTGGAGTGGCCTCCAGCCTACAGAGCCGGCCCACACACTGACGCAGCTCCGGTTTTATTTTAGACCAAGCCTCATCTCAGCTTGGTCCAACGGAGTTGAACTTTAACAAACAACAAGCGTGATGAGCCCGCCACACCCCGCCACTTACAGCTGGCCCAGCCCCTGGCACTGTGAGCTCCGCTCAGACCACACAGGGCAGGCTCAGCACAGAGCCGGGCAGTGAGGCCAGGGTAAGGAGGTCTCCTGGGTCGGTGCCTCCAGCAGACCTGGGTGGGCTTCAGCCCAGGGTGAGGGCCCCCAGGGGGCAGGCATGGTGCTGTCGGTGGCTGGGGCCTGGGGGTGCAGGTGTGTCCACGTGCCTTGGCGACAGTGTGTGCACCTGCAGAGAGTTGGGCCCTGTAGGGCTGGTCTGGCTTCAGGCCCAGCCCCCACGCAGCCCCCTCAGTCAACCAGCCTCGGGTGAGCCACATGTCCATTCTGGGCTATGTGCCTTTCCTGGGGTCTCCGGCCAGTCACTGCTTCCCCCACAGCTTACCAGGCCCTGACACCTTCTTCTCAGGCTCCCAAGCTTCCCAAGTGCCTGGGCCCAGCTCCCTGCCAGCGGATGGCCCACCCGAACCTCTCCTGCCCCGTGGAGCACAGGGACTTCCCACAGTGCTGCTGGGTGGCCCTGCTGCAGGGCTGGCCTCGGTCCCCCTGGGTGGCCATCCTCCTGCCCAACTGTGCAGCCCTTAAAGGCGGGGCCAGGAGTTATTCATTCCCCAGCGTCTAGCACAACACTTGACCTCACAGAGGCAACCTGACAGACATGAGATGCACCAGCAGACAGAAGGACGGGGAGATGGACGAACAGACAGATGAATAGACTGATGGATGATGGTGAATGGATGAATAGATGGACGGACGGACGGATGGATGGATGGATGGATGGATGGACGGACGGACTGATGGTTGGACTGATGGATGATGGCAGATGGATGGATGGATGGATGATGGATAAATGGATGGACTGGTTAGACTGATGGATGATGGCAGATGGATGATGGTAGATAATGAATGGATGAATGGAAGAACAGAGGGATAGAGTGATGGATGGACTGAATGATGGAGGATAGAGGATGGATGGAAGGACAGATGGATGGATGGAGTAATGGATGGATAGAGCGATGGATGGACTGACTCATGTGGGAAGATGGATTAGGTGAGCAGATGGATGGAAAATGGATAATAGAGGGTGGGAGGGAGGAAGGTGTTCGTGGGAACCATCCCTGGTCATGAGCACTACTTCATGTGCCTGCCTCACCTGCCCCAAAGCCAGTCTTCCCTCCAGGTCAGCTCTGCCCTGTTCAACATGGGTGGGAAGCAGAGTGTGAGAGCTGAGGACCACCCTGACCAGGGTCCTGGAGCCATGGCTCCTTTGTCAGTGTTTCCCCAGCCAGAGGCACTATCCACATCTCCTGCCCCTGCATAGCTAACGAACTTGACTATCCTCATCTCTGTTGGGCCGAAGCAGCTTCATGGCCTGACTGCACTCTCGGTGAGGCAGACAGTCAAGGGAAAGACCGTCATGCAGATCGTGAGTCCCCACCTCGCCATTGTCCTCTACATCCCTCGGTCTGTGCAGTAGTGTCTGAAGCGTCACCTGAACTGATGAACTGTGTCACTGTCATTTATGGGAAGAAGTGACATGCTAGAGTGAAGCCACCAGTTTGGACTCCCCAGCAGTCTTAGGACACTGTCATTCTTTCATCCAGCTGGCATTTGTTGAAGCCAGCCTGGCTCAGGGGCAAGACCACAGACTGCAGACCAGGACACCTGGGGCCTTGTCCCAGCCCTGTGTCCTGCCCTGGGCCCTCCATGGTGGCTTCTGTCTGTGAATGGGGACAGCACCTGCCTCCCAGGGCTGAGCAAGGACTTAGTGAGTTACTGCCTGATATGGTTTGGCTGCATCTCCACCCAAATCTCATCTTGAATTGTAGTTCCCATAATCCCCATGTGTTGTGGGAGGGAACGAGTGGGAAGTAATTGAATCATGGGGGCGGTTACCTTCATGCTGTTCTCATGATAGTGAGTGAATTTTCACAAGATCTGATGGTTTTATAAGGGGCTTTTCCCCCTTTTACTCAGCATTTCTCTCTCCTGCCGCCATGTGAGGAAGGACGTGTTTGCTTCCCCTTCTGCCATGATTGTAAGTTTCCTGAGGCCTCCCCAGCCATGCAGAACTGTGAGTCAATTAAACCTCTTTCCTTTATAAATTACCCAGTCTTGGGTATGTCCTTAATAGCAGCAGGAAAACAGACTAATACACTGCCCCTCTAGGGCAGCGCCTAGCAGATACTGGCCTTTACTCCTCCTTCACCAAGAGACACTGGGCTGGGATGAGCTCAGACCAGCCATGTACCACAGCTCTTGGAGAATGGGCACCCATGCAGTGGAACACTACTTGGCCATAAAGAGGAAGAAAGTGATGAGACGTGCCACCTTGTGGGTGAGCATGGAAGGGGTGACACTGAGTAAAAGAAGCAGACACAAAAGGAGACATGGTGCACAGTTCCATTTTCATGAAATGTCCAGGACAGGCCGATTGGTGCTTGCCTATGGCTGGGGAAGGGGAGAGTGAGGACTGACTGCTAATGGGTAGGGGGTTTCCTTGTAGGGGGATGAACTAGAGGTGGTGCTTGCACAACACTGTGAATGTACTAAATGCCATGGAGTCGCACACTTTAAAAGTGTGAATTTTACATTATATAAGCTCATCTCAATTAAAGAAATATGCATGTCCCCCAAAAAGCTGATGGGAGCCAGTCATTGGGGAACAGAGGGGCACCCAGCATGGCTGCGGCAGAGGGAACGCCAGGCAAGCAGGGGGAGGGGCCAGATGACATGGGCCCCCGGGTTGTGATTGGAGCTAGGTTGGACATTCTCAGCAGTTCTGACACTGGAATAAGGATGTAGAATTTGCACCTAGGAGTCTCTGTATTTGAGACCTTGAATCGATTGTCTTTTTAAAAAGAAGTCCAGGCACAGTGGCTCACACCTGTAATCCCAACACTTTGGGAGGCCAAGGCAGGAGGATCGGTTTAGCCCGGGAGTTTGAGACCAGCCTAGACAACACAGCAAGACCCCATCTCTACAAAAATAAAAGTCTAAAAATGTAAAATGTAAAAATACACATAAAATTCACCATTCAAAAGTGTACAGTGATATTCGACACAATCACAGGGTGTGCAACCATCACCTTCTTCCGGTTCCTGGACATTTCCATCACCCCAGAAGGAAACCCCGTCCCCAAGGGCCGTCCCTCCCATTGCCCCTCCCCCCAGCCTCCGGCAACGTCTGCTTTCCGCCGCTGTGAATTTGGCTACTCTGGACATTACATAGAAATGCAATCATGCAAAGTGGGGTGCTTCGTGGCTTCTTTCATTCAGCATCATGTCTCTGAGGCTCTCCTTGTTGGAACACGTGTCAGCATTTCATTCCTTTCTGTGAGTGTCGCACTGTATGGCTCGACCACAGAGTGTTATTCATCCCTCTGTCCGTAGACACTGGGTTGCGTCCATCTTTTGGCTACTGAATGGTGCTGCTGTGGACACTCATGCGCACGTGTCGGTCTAAGACCCTGCTCTGAATTATTCTGGGGTTATAAGTAGGCATGGAATTGCTGGGTCATTGGGTAATTCTGTGTTTAACTCTTTGAGGAACCTTCAAACTCTTTCACTGCAGCTGCACCATTCTGCATTCCCACTAAATGCTTTTTTTTTTTTTTCCATGGACAATGGACTGTATTGGGAGCTGGCTTCACTGTGCTGTGCCTGCTTCCCTGGAAGAGGGGCTCTGGGCCTCTTTCTGGGTTGTGACTCCATTTTAGAGTCTGGCGAGGACCAGGGGCCCTCCCTCTAGGAAAATGCACGCACACAGACCCACAATTCTGCCCATAGACTTGAGGCGTTTGCTGATGGGCCACCTCTGTGAGCCCACAATACCTTTGTGCAAATGTGAGAAGGCCCCCCACTCTAGGCAGGCATGCCAGCAGCTGTGCACAGCATGGGGGGCAGAGCACAGAGTGGACTTGAACACCACCCCCAGCAGACCCCCTTGTGGAGTGAACAACCTACACAGTTGTCCAGGGCAGTCCTGCCTGCTGACACCCGGAAACACATTTATCTTGCACAGTATGGGGGCACCTGCCTTATGGAACTGACATGTTCCTGAGAACAGCTGCTGCCACAGGAATTTCAGCTCAGCATGCCTGAAATTTCAACTCATGCTCAGCATTGAGTTTCTCAATGACAAGCAAAAGAATCAAGGAGATTTGTTTCCTTGGGCCTCTCTGCCCAGGTGCAGTGATCCAGAGGGAAGAAGCCCAGGTTGGAGGAAAATGCTCAGAGCTCCGTACCCAGCCTCTGTCCTAGAGAGGGGCATATATCCCAGAACTGTCACTACACACCACGGTCCAGGCAGACAAGGAGAGATCTGGTCCCTACTGTCAGCTCCGGGAAGGTTTGGCAGAGACAAGCCCCAGCACCCAGAGCTGCGAGGCAGGAAAGAAATGTATGGGGAGAAGTGGAGCTGCAAGGACCCCGTCTCATCAGTGGGGGGCCAGCCAGCAAGTGACCAGGTGTGGAGAAGCCACTTCCAGCCCCGAGTGACATGCAGGCCCAGGACTTCCCAAGGCGCTCAGTGTCTCTGCGCTCCTACCCAGTCCCCATGCCAGCCCCGAGGTGCTGCTTATCCCCACTCCTAGGACGCAGAGGCGCAGCAAAATGCCTGTGGCCACACAGCAAGGCCTGGGGACACTGAGATGGGACCTTAGCCCTAGACTTGTCCTCACAGCCCTGCTGCATGCCACAGTCACCCTGCCTGCCCTGGCATGATCCCAGGCCTCCCTGGGGCCTCACCCTCAACCGTGACCTGGGAACAGTCGTCCACCCGCGAGGCAGTCAGTCTAGTGTGGGACAAAGAAAACCCCAGCTCACCTCTGCCAAGCATGCACCCCAGGCTCAGGCCCCCGGGCGCGTGGGTGCATTTGCATTTGATCCTCCAAGACCCCAAAGAGTGGCCCCACCACCAGCCCCCAGCACAGATGGATGCAAAGGCCCAGAGAGGCACTCATGGGGCTGGCAGGTGAGGCGCCTGGGCCTGGGCCATGCCTCTCCCTTTTAAAAAGTTATTATTTTAAATCATAGTAAAATACATGTAAACTCTATAATCTTAGCCTTTTTGTTTTTTTTTTTTTTTTTTTTTTTTTTGAGACAGTCGTGCTCTGTTGCCCAGGCTGGGGTACAGTGGTGCCATCTTGGCTCATTGCAACCTCCACCTCAGCCACCAAGTAGCTGGGATTACAGATGTGCGCCACCAAGCCCGACGAATGTTTTATTTATTTATTTATTTTTGTATTTTTAGTAGAGATGGGGTTTCACTATGTTGTCCAGACTGGTCTCAAAGGCCTGGCCTCAAACGATCCACCCGCCTCGGCCTCCCAAGGTGCTGGGATTACAAGCATGAGCCACCAAGCCCGGACAAAATCTCAGCCATTTTTAAGCATACACTTCAGTATACTTACATTGTTGTGCAATCGTCACCACTATCCATCTCAGAACTTTCCATCTTCCCAATAAACACTGTCCCCAGTAAACTCCGTCCCCAGTAAACACTAGCTCTTCATTCTCTCTTCTCCCAGCCCCGGGCACCCACTGTTCTACTTTCTGTCTCTGTGGATTTGGCTACTCTAGGGACTGCAGATAAATGGAATCACACAGTATTAGTCCTTCTGTGTCTGGCTTATTTCGCTGAGCATGATGTCCTCAAGGCTCATCCACGTTGTAGTATGTGTCAGCACTTCCTTCCTTTTGTGTTTTTAAATTTTTTTGAGACAGGGTCTTGCTCTGTCACCCAGGCAGGAGTGCAGTGGTATGATCATAGCTCAGTGCAGCCTCAAATTCCCGGGCTCAAGCAATCCTCCCACTTCAGCCTCCCGATTAACTGGGATTACAGGCACGTGTCACCACACCCGGCTAGTTTTTAATTTTTTTGTAGAAATGGTGTCTCACTGTGTTGCCCAGGCTGATCTCGAACTCCTGGGTGCGAGGATTGTTTCAGCCCGGAAGTTTGAGACCAGCCTGGGCAACATAGTGCAGAGATTACAGGCATGAGCCACGGTGCCCGGCCTCCTCCTTTTCACGGCTGAGTAATATTCCATTGCATGGATAGACCACATTTTGTTTATCCACTCATCCATCAGGGGACATTTGGGTTGCTCCCACCTCTTGGTTATTGCGATGACGCTGCTGTGAACATGGTGAGCAAATATCTGCTTGAGTCCCTGCATTCCTTTCTCTTCTTCTGTACCCAGGAGTGGAATTGCTGGATTATGTGGTAACTCTGTTGAGTGTTGAGGAATGCCATACTGTCTTCATAGCAGCCGCACCATCCTACATCCCCACAACCCAAACCATAAATGGTCGTAACTGGTAAGCAAAAAAACCAACTGTGGTCTGTCTGTGCAATGGAATATTATTCAGCCATAAAGAGGAACAGAAGACTGATGCCTGGTCCAACGTTGTGAACCCTGAAAACATGAGGCCAGGTGAAAGACGCCAGGCATGAAAGGCCAGATAGTGTCTGATTCCTTTCACATGAAATGCCCAGAATAGGCAAATCCACAGAGACAGGGAGGAGGTGAGCGGTTACCAGTGGGAGGGGGAGGGGAGTGACTGCTTATGAGTGCAGGGTTTCCTTCTGGGGTGACAAAAACATTCTGGAACTAGATAGAGGTGGTGGTTGCAAAGTGCTATGACTGTACTAAATGTTATCAATGGTCAGTGTTAGGCCACGTGTATTTTACCACAATGCGAAGGTGTATAGATCTTGGAATCCCTGTCAGGAGAGGAGGACCTTCTAGGCTATTCTAAAATAACCCAGAATCTGCATCCGCCGCACTGCAGCCTGCATCCCACGGCACCTTGTGGGGGGTTTTGGGTGGTAATGGGGAACCCGTGTGTTGAA
Organism: Homo sapiens; assembly: GCF_000001405.40. Classification (NCBI taxonomy): domain Eukaryota; kingdom Metazoa; phylum Chordata; class Mammalia; order Primates; family Hominidae; genus Homo; species Homo sapiens. The sequence continues at coordinate 70,529,399 of NC_000011.10, read as the reverse complement.
CCCCAACTGCCCGGTTCCACTGCACCAGCCACCATTACCAGCTGTGTGGCCTTGGCCAAGTCACCCGCCTTCTCTGGGCCCAGCCTCCCATCTGGAAGATGGGGATGCAGTAGTGGCTGCTGACAGGGCTGCTGGGAGGACTGGGTGAGATTCTGCAGTGGGTACAGACCCTGCTGTTGCAAGTAGTGGGTGCCATGATGGTTTCCTAGCATGACATGGGTCCTGAGCTGGTGCCACATGAGACACTGGTCCTGGCCTGGTGTGCCACTGGCTCCCCAGGCACCCGTTTCTTACTCCCTGGTCCCAAAGGGGAGTAAGTGACCAGGGTGTCTGAACCCCACTGAGTTCCGCCCCAAGCCAGGCTCCAGGATGCCCCATGATCTGCCCCCATCATCACATTGAGGAGATCCCGTCTCCTCCCCTAAGGCTCCCACAAGGCCACCAGTGGGGGGAAATCGTCACGGGGGCCTCCCCAGGACCTTTTATTTCTTCAAACAGGGGAGCCCCTCCTGAGAGGCGGGTGTGGGGACCCTGGAGCAGGAGTCGCCACCTGGGTTCCTCTGGGTGCTGTGCTTCTCCCAGCTCGCCGGCTGCCACGGACCCCCCTTCACCTTTCACCCTCCCCCACTTGGCGTAGGTGATCTCCCCCACGGATGCCGAGGACGCTTCCTTCCTTCCATGCCCCTGGGGAGCCGGCGAGCTGACCCGCTTGTCAGGGCATAGTAAAGAATCGCCCAGGAGAGACCCCCTTCTGCCCTCAGCCTCAGGCTCTGCCGGGCCTGCTTCTGCCTGGGCCTTCATCAGGATGCAGGAGCCCCCCTCCCCATGGAGCTCTGCTGCCCCCACGCTGGCTGACCGGGGCAGGCTAATGGAGCTCTGGGCAACTTGAACACTGCGCAGTAAACGGGAAAGAGCCCCATCCAGCCCCTCCCATGGGTGCCATAAAGGGCCATGAACTGGGGTGTTCTTGTGGGACCTGGAGCCCCTTTCCAGGGTCCCATGGCCACCAGGTGGCACCTGCATTGCGCGTCGAGGCACTGGCAAGGAGCCTCGCGTCAGCCCAGGAGGCTGCATCCCTGCTGAGGACCTGCCAAACCTTCCTGCTTCCACCGGATACTAGGGCACCACAGCAGCCCGAGAGCCACGTTCGTCCCACACATGGACAACCTGACCCTCAGACCTCAGGGACGCCTGGGGACGGGGTCTCGGCCTCTCGGCCTGCCAGATCCTCAGCTGGGGCTGGCAGCATCACGCCGAGGTGCACCTGATGCTCGGTTGGTTTCTGCGCCGCCATCCTGGTTCCTACCTTCTGCCTTGTCGTCTGGGTCCGGATCATCTGCAGGGATGGGAGGACGGTCATGAGAGTGTGGCCTGCCCATTTGCTGCAGATGCTCCTGGCAGCTCTCCAGGTCCTTAACATGCACTCAGGCCCCTCCCTCTCACCACCATCCCATTTTGTGGCTGAGACACCTGAGTCCCTGGCAAGGTCTGGGTCGCCCGGTGAAGGAGCATGGGCGGGAGTCTGGCTGCCTGGCTGCCTCCGCAGCCTCCTCTCTGCCCTTTGCCCTGGTCTGCCATTGTCCCTGGGTGTCCTCTGTCCTCTGTCCTAGCCTCCTGAAGGAGAGTCAGGCACATTCGTAGCTCAGCTTATCAGAGGGGCCTTCTCCATGACCTCGGAGTCTGAGTCACCACCACATCCCCTGAGAGGCCACATGAATGGCCAGAGAGATTTGGGGGCCCGGCCTCAGGGCCCCTGCTCCTTTCACCACCACGGGGGCTCCAGGGAGGAGGCGCCTCTCAGACCCGAGCTGGCTGATGACACCATCAGTGCCATCTCCAGGCTGCTGGAGGCCATTTATAGCAACTGCCCTTCTGAGTGAGGAGCAAATGAGTATTTTAAACACACCAGGAAGCCATGCCACTTTAGGATTCCCCAACTTGAATCAGGCCCCACCTGAGCCCACACCATTCCCCAGGGCCCACTGGGAAGCGGGGACCATGGGGGTCGTTCTAGAATGAGCTGCAGGTGACTGCAAGCTCTGCTCAAGAGGAACAAGGTCAGGGTGAGTCCAGCCCGGCCCCAGAAGGGGTCAGCACAAGTCCACAGCCAGGCCGGCACCACACCCTCCCCAGGAGGCTTTAACTACAGGAGTCCTGGGGGTGGGGACAGGGACAGGACCCAGGCAGAATGTTCAGGAGCATCTGGTCAATAAAGGACCAGGTCTCTGGGCTCTCCCTCCCCACACAGGGCCCGCCCAGACCACAGCTGTGGAATCAGAGCCGTTTGTGGGTCAGAACACCAGCACGATGTGGAGGAGGCCTGGAGGCCAGGATCAGGGAAGGGGACGGTGTGAGGAGGGTCTGGGATGTGGTCGTGTAGGAAGCGTTGAGGACTGGGAGCGTCTGGTCAGCAGCCAAGGTGACCTGGGCGGGGCGGTTGGCATACCTCTGAGACGAGGACAGGGATGCTCCCAGGGTGGTGGCCAGATGGGGCCGGTACAGGGAGGAGAGTGGGCTCAGAGGGGCTCCCCCGGGATGTGATTCCGAGGGGGCCAGGCCTGCAGAGGTCGGCAGCACATGATAGGGGGTGTTCAGGAGGGAGGGAGGGGGTCCTTGCCTGAGAGTAGGGGAGGGGGAGGAGTGGTGTCAACTGAAAAGAAATCACAAAATCATAAAATTTCGAAAGGAGACTTTATTTTGTAAAGGGTTACGCCTGCGAGGTGGCATTGTGACCAGCTGGGAAGCATAGCCTCTGGCCAAAGCCGGAAGCAGGCACTTCAGGGGAGTGGGGCTGGAATGAGGATACGCTGGCTAAGCACACTCAGCAGGTTATAGAAGCCATGAGTATTCACACAGGGGCCCTGACGCGTGTGCGCTGAGCACACATGCATGGTACACGCCTCCCATGTTCACCTCGGGGTAGAGACTTAACATTGAAAGGCATGGCAATCAGGCCCTGCATGTGGAAAGGTGAAGCAGGGACTCAAAGGGGCTCAGTGCAGCCTCTGTGACCCAGCGAGAGCCAGCCCACGGCCAGTGGTCTCTTGTCAGGAGAAAGTCACTGAAATCAGTCTCTTGTCCAGTCACAGCTGTGGTTATGGCTGGTGGAACACAGGCCAGCTGTCAGTGTCTGGAGGTGGATGAGCTACAATTATATTAATGTTGCTTATCCCAAGGCCAGCGCTTGCTTAGCTGCTAGAGAATCAGAAAAGCCTTGTGGCGGCCAGAATCCACCTTATTCTTAGGTTTAGGGTGCAGGATCACCTTGCCTGGCATGGCCTCAGGTCTTGTTTATAGTTTGGTGTCTTATTGCTACCAGGAGTTCATTCCATTACTCTCCGGATCTCTGTTTTAATGTGAGTGCTGGCCAGTTGTGTCTGAATTGAAAAGGTGGGTGGGGGGTGGGGGCAGAGTATGCCAGGGCCTGTCCTCCTGAGAGAGGCCTGCTGGCTGAGAATGATGGGCAGTTGCCCCCCAGGCCACCAAGACTAAGGTGGAGAAGTCCAGCAGAGGAGACAGGAGTCACAGAGCAGGGAGGGGGAAGGAAGCTTCTGAGAACAGGACTTTCCCGCCATCACCTCCACAAAACTAAAGGAGCCACATCCCTGGGGGCTAGGAGGGGGGTTAGCTGGAGAGCAGAGATCCCCTTCTGAGTGTGCTGTTCAGGGGGCAAAGTGGTGGCTTGGTCCCATCCAGGACCTGGTGTGTGTGTTTACGGGGGTGCCAGGGCTCCGTTCCCCTGGCGTTGGGAGGTGGGGCTGCACAGTACCAGGACCCTGTTCGCTCCTGTTCTGATGCTGCCAACCCTGGCATTTCAAAAGAAAGAGCCTGTTTTCTCCCCTACCTCGAAGCTCGTTTCCAAATGCCCTTTTCTCTCACCTCTCTCTTAGTCTGTCTCATGCTCCTAGCAGAAGGCAGAAAAAAAAAAATCCACCATCCCCTGCCCATCCCTGGGCCTGCTGGCTGGGGTTCACAGACCCGGGATGAGCTGTCCTGGGTGTTAGGGGCTGCTGTCCTTAACTCTTGGAGAGGGGCTGCCACCCACAGAGTCTGTTCCTTGGGTGAGCCTGGGGACTGGTACACAAAGCTAACAGAAGTGACCTAGCTGGGCAAGCCTGGGCAAGGTATACACCGTGGCCCAGGAGCAAGCCAGAGAGGTGTTTCCCAGAAGAAGAGTTACCTGCGGAGAAGGGCCTGGATGCGCTCCCAAGTCCTCGAGGCCTGCACTGGGATTCTGTTGCTGGTGCTGGCCAGAGCCTCCACACGCGTCCCTGTTTGCCATGGGTACTGTAAGTGTCGCTGCAGCTGCCGGGCTGTCAAGCCGATTGGCAGCAAGGCCTGTGCTGCTGCAGCTGGGACCTGCACAGAGCCTTATCTTACTCTGGTCCCCACTAGAAGCGGGCAGGCTTGCAGAGGACTTTGTAGATGGGCTGGAGAAAATGTTCAAATGTGGCCTGTGTTGCCTCCACACTCCACAAAGACCTGCCAAGCCTCGTGCCTGTGTGCGTGTGAGCATGTATGTGTCCATGTGTGCATGAGATGGTGAGAGGCAGCGGAATGTTCCCCCCTTGGAGGGGCTATCTCAACATGTTCCAGAGCACTGAGGACGCAGAACCCTCACTGAACTGGCAGGCCCCTGCATCTCTGTGGGCTTCCCCCACCCTTCTTTGCATAGAAGGCATCCGAAGCATTTGCTACTTCCTGCTCATGATCTAGTTACCGTAATGTCATCAGTATCGTGGACAGCATGATGTTTTCTGGAAAGCTGAGCTGATGGGATCTCTGAGGGCCCCGGCATGGCAGAGAGCAGGAGGCTCGGGGTAGCCTGAGGACGGGCTGTGCATGTGGACCACTGGTGTTGTCAGGTGAAAGCAGACTCCTACTAGTACTCCTTGCAGATCAATGTGGAGCAAAGGAATTCACAAGGTCTTAGCTGCATCCGAGTGTCTGGGGTTGTACCGATTTGCTCCGGTAAAGATAGCACATTGGGAACAGCAACCTCAGTGGGTGTCACCACCAGATTAAGTTGAAGATAGTCCATACCTTTCTCCAGGCTCCCTGGGACTCTGTGCATCCACGCTGGTAAGGCGAGCGTGGATGTGAGCGACACAGCTGCCCCTGGTGCTTTCCCATCTCCGATGGTGGCATTCACAGCTGCACTGCCCCCCAGGGGGTGGGACTGCTCTTGGTTACTCTCCTGGTAGAGAGGGGAGGACCCAGGGCTCCGCTGTAGCTTCTGTCCCTCATCTGTAAAATGGGATCCCGTCGCCACCTGGTCCATAGGGTGCTAGTGAGGACTGAATGGTGTAACTATGTGAAGTCCTTAGCCCAGGGGCAGCCATGTCGTCAGTGCTCAGTTGACACTGGCTGTTAATATTCCCTTGCTAGTCACGCTGCAAATATGGCCAGGCCCCCTCATGTGCCAGGTATTCAGCCTGGGCCCTGACCCCTGACAGGGGCCTTGAAGCCAGCATGCAGTGGCCGTGCGGAGCAGCACAGGGGAGGGAGGACAGCTGAAGGACACAGCAGGATGAAGGGTGCTGTCAGAGGAAGCTACCCCAGCTCTCCGACTCTGCCTCCATATGATGCTCTTCCACTGCTTTGAACTGAAATTATGGATATTCTTGTTGAGAACAAGATAGTGGACTGAGAATCCCGTACAGCCCCTGATTCGTGCACAGCCCAGCCCCAGCAGCGAGCGCCTCCTGACACAGGAAGCGGTGAACACTGCCCTCCAGGACCGGCTGCTGCACAGGGTACATGGGAAGGACAGCCAGGGAGGGGGCAGGACCATAGACAAAGCCTGCTTAGGTGGGAAAGCCGGGCTGCAGTACAGGGCTTCGGGGCAGCACCGGGGATCCTCCCCAGCAGAGCAGGGCCTCTGCATCCCCCCTTCCAGTCACACACCCGTCCTCAGGCATTCTCATGGATAGACTGCCAGAACTGCTGCTCCCCTGCTGCAGATAGAGCTGATGAGGGCCAGAGCCCTGCTCTGAGGTCACAAACTCACCTGACAGTGGGGCAGCTGAGACTTGAACCCAGGCATTCCTACCCTGCTGTGTTTTACCACAGTCCCAAAGAGAACTGCTCAATAGTATTTATAGAGCACCTGCTGCTGTGAGGGCTGGGAATCTGTATTTGTAACCAGTCGCATTGAGGTGTGAGGCCAGCCTCCTCCTGGTGCTCTGGACAGAGAGGCCTCCCGGTGTGCACACAGCAGCCAGCTGGCCCGGGCAGATGCAGAAGCACACCCTGCTGTGCCACCCGCGTGCTTTGATGCTCGGGGAGGAGCAGGAGACAAGCAGCTGCCCCTCCACACCCACACCAGCATTGCAGGTGTGGGCCTGTGGGTTTCCTTGCACCCGCAAGCCCTCTGCCGGAGACCTCGTGGCACTGTGTGTAAACATTTTTCAAAGAGGGTGTGGATTGGAGCTGCGGGTCTGGAGGGAGGCCTCAGTGAAGGTAGCCTGCCCGCGGCCGCACGTTGCCGGGGCAACTGTGGCCGCTAAGAGAGGAGCTGTGGCATTTAGGGGCCCAAATGCCTGGCTGGCTTGGGGCGGCTTCCCTTCTGCACGAGTCTCAAATGATGCCGCCTGGTTGGAGGTGGGGGCAGTGCCCTTCTCTTCCTTCTTTCCTCTCCCCCTCTGATGGCTGCAATAACTGAGGGACTGGGACACGGTCCGAATGGATGCCAAGGACAGCCTTGAAAAAGCTTAGACAGTGTGAGCAGGTGGCCGGCCAGCCCGCGGAGCTGGAGCCGGGTAAGGGGCCTGGGCTTTCAAAGCCTGAGCCAGCAGGGACTCGGAGGCCCTGGGTAGGATGAGAGACGATAGAGGGGGTACCACCAGAGAGCTTTCTAGTCAAAGGAGGAAATAAGATCGGGGTTTGAATAAGCCATGGCTGGAGACAAGCTAAGAATTAATGAGAACCCTGCACGTGCAGAAGTGTGGCTGCCCTGGGAGGGCGCCCGTGCCTGGACAGCCATGCTGTGGCCACCCCTTTGGTACTTTCTTGTATCTTTTTCAAGAATAAATGAATTTTTAGAGGTTTGATTGGCAACGTCCAGCAAAAGAGGGACACTGCCAATCAATCAAATCTAGATAGAGGTTAAGCCGTGCATTCAGCCATGCACGCAGCAGGATAAGCCATCCTTAAAGAGGCAGAGACCAACAAGGACAGAGCAGAAACGGCGATGGCGGCTGCACAGCAAGTGGACTCAAAGGCCTCAGAAAGCTGGAGCGGGGCTGTGGTGGGGAAAGCTGGTACAGTCAGAATCACGTGGCGGAACTGCAAGAGGCTGTGGCCTCTGCCTAGGAGGTGGAGGTAGCCTGGGCTAAGGGCTGATGGGTAGTTTGGATAAGAAACCGTTAGAGCCAGCAACCCCACAGATGTGAACATAGCCCAAAGGTGCACTCGGAAAATTAGAACAAGGACTCACGTGGCTGTTTTCAGCTCTGTTTGGAGAGCAGAACACTAAGCACCAGACCCACCAGTAGGAGCCTGCAGTGTGTGCCGCGTAACAGCCTTGCAGCGAGGACATGTGGCTGCAGTCAGGTGCAGGGAGCGTCTCTGGGAGCTGCCGTGGCACCGTCTCCAGGGGGTGTTGTTACGTGGGAAAGGCAAGGCGAGAAGAATGTGACCAGCGTGCTGCTGTTTACCCAAGGAAGGTGGGGAGGGAATGTGCACACACACGTGCACACTCACCCACACACATGCTCACACTCACCCACACACATGCTCACGTGCACACACACATACACATACAGAAACACACAGGTATCTGCTCATTTCTCCTTTTTAATGGAAGGATAATCCACCAAAATAACTTGTTTTAATTTAGCATTGCCTCAAGGGGGAGAATACAAGAAGAGGAAGTAGAAGAGAGAGAGTAGCAGGTTCAATTTTGGAATTGAGTAAATATTTCACGTAATTGTAAAACAGTCAAAATTTCAAAAATCTCAAAATCCAAAACAAAATAATAGAAATGAACATAACTGCTAATTAAATTAATGGCATTAACAAATTATGTCAAGTGGCAATTTGCATGTCATTGCAAACTGGAAAGAAATCATAACCTCTTTTCGGTAATCCTGTTATGAGTAATGACATTGGTGGTGTTAGTCTGAAAGTAATGATAGATGGATAGATGATTAATAAATGATAGAGCAAATAGATCATGACCTTAATGGCAGTCATTAGGAACCTAGATTTTCAGCAAAGAGAAAGAGACACCAATATAAAAGAAAATAAGTAAAAACAGCATCATCCTAAATTTCTGTTGAAGCTATCAGTATAATCATGAAGAGGGTAGAATATTTTGTCACATCCAAAAGCAAGGAAGGTATTGAAGACACAAAGTCACATGTGATGGGCTCAGGAGCCAGTGTGAGGAAGGGCTGCTCATACAGCACAGTGGAGGATTCGAAAGCACGGCAAAAGGTAGCAGCCTAGAGCATCCTGTAGAACCGGAAAGGAAGGAAGTGGTCAAAAAACAAAAGGCTGGAGCAAATCCCAGGGAGCTCCCAGAGGCCAAGGAGCTCCCAAAGACCACGGCCGGGACAATTTGAGCTAGAAAATAAAGTCACATTTGGTTATCATTCAAAGTACAACATGAGTATTCATGGGTCCACACTGATAAATAAACAACTGAAAGATAAAGGGAGGAATAGACAAATCTTCCCTAACATGTGCAAAGATACTCTGTCCTCAAGGAGGTGGTGTGTAACTCCCCACCCCTTAGGTGTGGGCAGTATGCAGTGACTTGCTTTCGAGAGCACTGTGTGGAAAGTAGGGAAAGGAGAGTAACTTCACAGCGGGGGAGCCCAGTGAGCCCTCCCTTGGCCAGGCGAGCAGGGCCAGCACCAACAGCGAAAAGTCTTGGTGACAGTGTGTGCCCTCGATACTATGTGACAGGAATGGCTCTTTACCTCCTGAACACCCATATATACCTCAGTCTAATAATGAGGAAAAAAAATCTTAATTCAGGGGTAGAACAAAAGACCTGACCAGCAGCCAAAACTGTCAAGGTCAACAAAACAAAGTCTAAGAAACCATCCCAGCAGGCAGAGCCTAGAGCAGCAACTAAACGTAATGTGGTGCTCTGGACAGATCCTGGGACAGACAAGGGACGTCAGGTAAAAATTAGAGAAATCCGAATAAAATGTGGGCTTTAGTTAATGAAATATATCAATACTGGTTTATTAATTGTGACAAATGTCCCATACCAGTGTGAGATGCTAATAATAGGGGAAACAGTGTGGAGTGTATGGGAACTCCAGATACTGAGTTCACAATGTTTTTTGTAAATCTAAAACTATTCTAAAATAAAAGATTTGTTTAAAAACAAAGACTAGACCAGGCGTGGTGGCTTACGCCTGTCATCCCAACACTTTGGGAGGCTGAGGCAGGCAGATTGCTTGAGCCCAGGAGTTTGAGACCAGCCTGGGCAACATGGTGAGACCTTGCCTTTAAAAAAAAAAAAAAAAAAAAAAAAATTAGGCATGGTGGTGCATGCCTGTGGTCCTGGGTCCCAGCTACTTGGGAGGCCGAGATGAGAGAATCACTCGAGCCCAGGAGATCAAGGCTGCAGTGAGCTGAGATCATGCCACTGCACTCCAGCCCAGGTAACAGAATAAGACCCCGTTTCAATAAAATAAAATAAAAACAATAGTAATTGTAGTGGATTCAAACTTTTATCAGCTATGTTCTTATAAACATTCTTGAGTTCATAATGGCACTTTTTGTTTTTTTTTGAGACGGAGTTTCACTCTTGTTGCCCAGGCTGGAGTGCAATGGTGCGATCTCGGCTTATGGCAACCTCCGCCTCCTGGGTTCAAGCGATTCTCCTGCCTCAGCCTCCCGAGTAGCTGGGTTTACAGGCATGCACTACCACGTCGAGCTAATTTTATATTTTTAGTAGAGATAGGGTTTCTCCATGTTGGTCAGGCTGGTCTCGAACTCCTGACCTCAGATGGTCCACCTGCTTCCCAAAGTGCTGGGATTACAGGCGTGAGCCACCATGCCCCGCCCATAATGACACTTTTTAAAGAACTGGTCACTTGAAAGAAGTGACTCATTCACATGAAAACTGATGAAAGGCGAGTATCCGGCCCGTATCTGGGCCTTCTCACATACACTGTGCCTCAGAGTCATCCAAGTGTTGAAAAGGGAAAGTTTCTTCTTAAAAATTAGTGTGGCTGGGTGCAGTGCTCATGCCTATGATCCTAGCACTTTGGGAGGCCCAGGTGTATCACTTGAGCCCAGGAGTTCAAGACCAGCCTGGCCAACACAGGAAGACCCCATCTCTACAAAAAAATACAAAAATTAGCCCAGTGTGGTGGCACACACCTGTGGTTTCAGCTGCTCAAGAGGCTGAGGTGGGAGGATCGCTTGAGCCCAGGAGGTCAAGGCTGCAGTGAGCTAAGATCATGCCGCTGCACTCCAGCCTGGGTGACAGAGCAAGACCCTGTCTCAAGAAGTTAAAATAAAAATTATTCCAACTAGTAAGTGGAGAAGGAGCAACAGAAGTTGAACATCAGCGTTCTGCAGCTCCCAGGAGGTGAAGGATCTGGGCATGGCATTTACCAGTGGCTGCTAAAAACACTAAGTGGCAAGCTGACGGGGAGTGGGACAGGCTGAGGGTGCTTGACCCACCGGTGCTGTCTCGTCGCAGAAAGACCCAAGCAGCTGTGCCGGGGCTCCTGGCGTGGGTATGCCCGGCACCGCCTGCAAAGGGCTCCTGGATGCAATCCCGCCTCTGACCACCACTAATAGAAGCAATGCCGCAGGATGCAATTGACTCGGTTTCTTCAGCAAATGAACTGCAAAGGGATAAAAGAGGAATGGGGAAAGCCTAGAGATGTAAAAAGGCTTCAGAGACGTGCCAGCCAGATGTGACGTGTGCATCTTGCTCATGAGTCAAGTAAACCAGCTGTACACTCAGGGAGCCTGAGCCATGACGCGGTGCCTCATGATACCAGGAATGCAGTCGCTTTTTAGGCATGAGAATGGCATTGTGGTTTTTGGTTTTTGTTTTGTTTGAGACAGGTTCTCTGTTGCTCAGGCTGGAGTACAGTGGTGTGATCCCAGCTAACTGCAGCTAATCTCCCAGGCTCGAGCAATCCTCCCACTTCAGTTGTGTTTCTTCTTAATAAGAGTCTCTGTCTTTTCATAGAAAGCATGCTGAGCCATTTCCAGGGAACGCAGAGGGATATGATCGCCCCAGGGGCTGGGTGGGTGCTCTCGGAGCCAGCAGTGGCTGACGCTGGCTAAAGGGACAGCACTGGCTCAGGGTACTCATCTCTCTACTGTCATGTAACATTGGGCTTCTTCCATAATAAAAACTTGTAGAAATGAGCCTCTTTTTAATTAGTAGACTTTATATTTTGAGGAGTTTATGGGGAAAAATGAGTGAAAAGTACCGACTTGCCACATACCCCCTTATATCTCTCCCTGTTTTCCCTATTTTTCAATTGGCTTGTCAATTGTAGCAAATGTCCCACACAGTTGAGAAGCCAATATTGATACACCATTATTAACTAAAGCCCGTAGTCTACATGAGGGTTCACTCTTGGTGTACATTCTGTGGGTTTTGCCAAATGTATAATATCCTGTACCTACCATTATAGTATCAAACAGAACAGCCTCACTGCCTCAAAAATTCTCTGTGCTTCTGTTCCACCTTCCTTCCCTCCCCCTGAGCCCTTGGCAACCACTGATCTTTTTACCTTCTCCATAGTTTGCCTTTTCTAGAATGTCATGTAGTTGGAATCATACAGTGTGCAGCCTTTTCAGATTGGCTTCTTTCACTTAGCAACATGCTTGTAAGCTTCCTGCAGGCCTTCCCATGGCTTGGTAGCTCATTTCTTTTTAGTGCTAACTAATATTCCGTTTTCTAGATGGACCAGTGTGTTTGTCCACTCACCTCTCAAAAGACATCTGGGTTGCTTCCAAGTTTGGCAATTATTAATAAAGCTGCTCTAAACCTCGGCATACAGGTTTTTGTATGAACCTGTTCTCAACTCATTTGGGTAAATACAAAGGAGCACAATTGCTGGATCATAGGGTAAAAGTGTGTTGTTTTGTAAGAAACTGCCAAACTGTCTTCCAAAGTGCCTGTGTTATTTTGGGTTCCCACCAGCAACGATAAGCATTCCGGTTGCTGCACATCCTCGCCGGCATTTGCTGTTGTCGGTGTTTGAGATTCTGGCCATTCCATAGGTGTGTAGTGGTGTCTCACTGTTGGCTTGATTTGCTAATTCCACATGATGTGGAGCATTTATTTGCCATCTGTGTATCTTCTTTGGTGAGTTGTCTATTCAGATATTTTGCCCTTTTTTTCACTCTGTTGCCCAGGCTGGAGTGCAGTGGCACCATCTGGACTCACAGCAACCTCCACCTCCCAGGTTCAAGCGATTCTCCTGCCTCAGCCTCCCAAGTAGCTGGGATTACAGATGTGTGCCACCATGCCCGGCTGATTTTTGTACTTTTATAAGAGACGGGGTTTCACCATGTTGGCCAGGCTGGTCTTGAACTCCTGACCTCACTCAGGTGATCCACCCGACTCGGCCCCCCAAAGTGCTGGGATTACAAGCATGAGCCACCATGCCCAGCCCCATTTTTATATTCAGTTGTTTTCTTACTGTTGAGATGTAAGAGTTCTTTCTTTTTGTATTTCAAATACCAGTCCTTTATCTGATAAGTGTTTGTTTTGCAAAGATTTTCCCCCAGTCTGTGGTTTATCTTTTTATTCTCTTCAGAGTGCATTTTGCAGAGTTAATTTAAGGAAGTCCAACATCAATTTTGACTTTTATAGATTATGCTTTTGGTGTTGTATCTAAGAAATCATCACCAAACTCAAGGTCATCTAGATCTTCTCTTATCTTCTAGAAGTGTCATAGTTTTGCTTTTTACATTTAAGTCCGTGATCCACTGGGGGTTAATTTTTGTGAAAGATTTCAGGTCTGTCTCTACATTCATTTTTGCATGTGGATGTCCAGCATGGCTTGTTGAAAAGACTGTCCTTTCTCCATGGAACTGCCTTTGCTCCTTTGTCAAAGATCAGTTGACTCTATTTGTGTGGGTCTATTTCTGGGCTTTCTATTCTGATCATTGGTCTATTTGTCTGTTCTTTCACCAGTACCCCGCTGCCTTGATTACTGTAGCTGTATAGTAACTCTTGAAGTTGGGGAGTGTCAGCCCTGTGACTTTGTCCTCCTTCGATATTGTGTTGGCTATTTTGGGCCTCTTAGCTTTCCATATAAACTTTAGGATCCATTTGTCAGTATTCACAAAATAATTGGCTGTGATCGAACTTAGTCTTTTAGGAGCTACTCTGAAATATGAGCTGCCTTCCAAGGAACATCAGACATTTGATGAACTAATATGAAATACGGCCCAAAACAAACACACTGAAAACAACTGAAGAAACCAGTATGCAGGAAGAGTAAGATTAAGAAATGTATTATTAATATGCTCAGTGAGATCAAAGAAAAAAAAAGTAAAATGTTCTTTCTGAAATGATCAGAGAACAAAATAAGAGTTCCTGAAAATTAAAAATATTATATAGCAGGTATAAAAAAAATTTTTTTGAGACAGGTCTCGCTCTGTTGCCCAGGCTGGAGTGCAGTGGTGTGATCAGGACTTGCTGCAGCCTCAGCCTCAAGGGATCCTCCCACCTCAGCCTCCTGAATAGCTGGAACCACAGCCACGTGCTGCCATACTTGGCTAACTTTTAAATGTTTTTTTTTTTTTTTTTTTTTTTCAAGGAACGAGGTCTCACTATGCTGCCCAGCAGGTCTCAAACTCCTGGCTTCAAGCAATCGTCCCACCCCAGCTTCCCAGAGTGCTGGGATTATAGACATGAGCCACCGCTCCGGGCTGGCATTAAAAATTTGAAAGATAGATTGAAAGATAAACTTGAAAAGAATTTCTCAGAAAAGAAAAAGATATGGCCTTCGAAGAAGATAATAAAATTAGAAGGTCAGTCCAGACGGTCTACTGTGTATAAAATAAGGATACCTCAAAGAGAAAATAAAAGAAATATTTAAAAAGTCATTGAATGGCCAGGCGCAGTGGTTCATGCCTGTAGTCCCAGCACTTTGGGAGGCCAAGGTGGGCAGATCACTTGAACCCAGGAGTTCAAGACCAGCCTGGGCAACATGGTGAAACCACATTTCTACACAGAATACAAAATCATTAGGCATAGTGACATGCATCTGTGGTCTCAGCTACTTGGGAGGCTGAGGTGGGAGAATCACCTGAGCCTGGGAAGTCAAAGCTGCAGTGAGTCACGATCACACCACTGCACTCCAGCCTGGGCGACAGAGCAAGACCCTGTGTCAAAAATTTATTTTGTCTGATATTAACAGCCATTCTGCCCAGGAACTGTCTTTTCTCATTTATTAACTCTCAGCCTCTCAGTGTCTTTGTATTGAAAGTGTACGGACAGCATAATTAGGTCTTCTTTTTAAACCATTTTATAAGGCCTGATGTTTAGTTGGAGTTTTATTCTATTTAACATTTAATAGAATTGTTCATGTGGTTCCATCTAGGTTTACAAGTTTGTCTTCTGTTTATCTCCTCAGTTTTTATTTTTCCCTTTTTCTGCCTTATTTTAGATTATTTAACTATTCTTAGAACCTTATTTTAATTTTTCCATTGGCGTTACACTGTAGCTCTTCACATTCTTTTAGCAGTGGATCAAGGATTACAGTATACATTCTTAGCTTTCCATAGTCTACTTAGAGTTCAAATTGTACACTCCATGTAAAATATAAAAACCCAGCAACCATATAGATGCATCTTCTTCACTCCTGCCTCACTTTATTCTATAATTGTCATGTGTGTTACATCTACACACTTGTAAACCCCAAAATCAGTATTATTTTTGCCTAAAACAGTGATATCTGCTTTTAAAATTAAGAGGGAGAATCATCTTTTATTTTGTATCCAGGTGTTCACCATTTGTGGCACCCTTTGTGCCATCCATAGATCCAGTCCCGCTTCACTTCAGCTTGAAGAACGTTCTTTAGTGCAGGCTTTCTGGCAACAAATAACCTGGTTTTCATTTTTTTATAAAGGTCTTTATTTTGCCTGTATTCTTTAAAGAATTTTCACCAGAAATGGAATTCTAGTTGTGTTTTTTTTACTTTCACCTGTTAAAGATGTTGTTCCGCCGTCTTCTACAAGAGGTTCTTCTCCATGGTTTCTGATGCAAAGTCTGCAATCATTCAGTCATTTTTATTTAGAGTGTGAATAATGTAAATAATTTCTCTGGCTGCTTTAAGATTCTCACCTTGTCTTTGGCTTTGAGCAGAATTGACTATAATGTCCCTATATAATTTTTTAAATACTTATCTTTTTGGGGATTCACAGGCTTCTTGAATCTATAAATTTATGTCCTTCACCTAATTGGGGAATTCCTTGGGTACCATTTTTTCAAGTATTTTTTATGACTCATTTTCTCTGTCTTCTTTGACTCTAATTTTCCCCCCTTCTGAGACTCTCGTTCACGTTATGTTAGACCTTTTGATCCTTAATACTCTCTGTTCTACTTTTTAAAATCTTTTTTTCTCTCTTCTTTGGATTGGATATGTTCTCTTGGCATGTCTTCAAATTCACTAATAATTAGCTCTGTCATATCCATGCTGATGTTAAGCCCAGCTGATGCATTTCTAACAATTCCATATAATTCTTTTTAAAATTTCCTTGGGATTTCCTGTCTTTTATTCATTATAAGCCTATTTTCCTTTACCTAGTTGGGTATTGTTACAGTAGCTGTTTTTTAAAGTCCTTCTCTGATAATTCCAACATCTGGGTCATCTCTGGGTTTGCTAAATAAGTTTGAGTTGTATCCCAAATTTCGTGAATGTTATGCTTTGGCAACTCTGGATTATATTACATTCCTTTGATGGGTGTTAATGTTTTTGTTTTAGCTGATAATGAGTTTGGTTAAACTCAAATTGCAACCTTTGTCTGCCCTGCAGTGGCAGCAGCTCAAATTTCAGCCTTATCATAGCAAGCCTATTTGAGTCTTCCTTACACACACAGCTCAGCTCAGACATCAACCAAAGACCTATGAGAAGTTTACACACAGAATATGAAACTACCCTTCTCTGGCTCTCTCTTTTCTGGAGTTCTCCCCTCACTTTGGCTGCTATGGCCACTGTGGGCTGTATCCTCTGATTTCTATCAGAACTGCAGGTTTGTGCAGGATCTGGATTTAAAAAAAAAAAACAAAAAACTGCAGGTGACTCATACCATAATGCATCCATTGCACAAAGCTTCTAATTTTCAACTCTCATCTAAAATCTGCCTGTCTTTGTTCACTCTTCAGAACCTTCAGAGAATTTATTTGTTGGTTTGGGGGTGGGGATTGTACTCTGTCTAGATTTTATAGCTATTACCTGCAGAAGAGTTAGTTAGTCTTAGGAATTTACTTTACCTTATTCCCCAACCTCAAATTTTATACCCAGCCAAACTACCAATTAAGTGTACAGATAAAGCCATTTTCAAATAGTCAATGTCTCAAAAAAATTATGTCCTAACTCTATTTGGGGAGAAGATACTGGAGGATGTCCTTTACAAAAAATGAGGTTTTTGAACCAAATAAACAAATACAGGGATTCAGGAGATCCAACACAGGAAAGAATCAGTCAAAGGAATCCTGAGGATTAGAGTAATGGGGACAGCTGCTAGAAAACACTTAATCCTGGTTGTTCAGTGCAGATCAAAAGTCTTCAGGAAATATTTCTTCAGGAAGACAAACTTAAAATGGATAATGTATTTGAAGACTCTGAAAAGAGATTTACATAATTAGGGAAGCATTTGGATTTGAATTACTGTTAAGTACATAGAAAAACCGACCAACAAACAAAATTATTTTGCTCTAGGGAGAACAAAATGTACAGGAAAAGATGAAGTAACCATAGTATACTATAGAGTTTAAGCTATGAATAGATTTTACATAGTCATGATGTAAATCCTGAATGGTGATCTAGTTAAAATTTTGATATCAATACATCTAGAGGATGGTGGTACTGGGAAAACAGTGGGGAGGGAGGATTTTTTAAAAAGAGCCAAATTAGTGGTTCTCAACTGATGGTGTCTTGACCTTCCATAGGACATTTGGCAGTATCTGGAAACATTCTTGATTTTCACGCTTGGGGGTGGAGATTATTGCTGGCAGCTGGCAGGTAGAATTCAGGGACACTGCTAAACATCCTACAGTGCACACCCACAACAAAGAATTAATTGGTCCAAAATCACCATAGTGCCACATTTCACAAACTCTGAGCCAAGTCATCCTTTTCCATCACAGTGTGTCAGCGGATAATATCGAAAATGTAAATATCAAGTAGCAAAAATAGGTGTTCAGAGATTGAGTGATAGATATAAAATTAAATAGCTGAAGGCTCAGAGTGAGAAGTAAGGCTGGGTTGGTGGGGTTTCATCATGACAATCCTTGTGGAACTCTTTGTTTCTGTAAACTCTGTGTATGTGTATGTACAACTTTTGATATTTTAAATAACGATTTAAGTGGAAGAAGAGAATTATTTACAAAGGAAGGCAGGTATGCCCATTCTTCACAGAAATTCCCTGGACTGTGGCTGATGATAGGCTTGGGTTCTTGCCATCTACCTGGATGTGGCTGTGATTCACTCACTCTGTAAATGTCTCCATGTCTGTATGTAAGGGTGATGCATGGACAGGCACATTACTCTTTTTTTGGAGTTATCTGGATCCATGATTTCTCAACAGTTTCTCTCTACTCCAAGGCAGTTATCCCCAGGAGCTGCAGTACTTACCTGAGCCTTCTATAAATCTGGCAAGTGATCAAGCCATACCTTCCCCTGGTGGCAGCATTCCAGAATTGCAGGTCCAGGTTTTTTGAGGGGCACCGAAACCCCATGGAAGCTCAAGATGCCAACCTGAGCATATGAGGAAACAGCAAGCATTTCACCTATTCTGCAGTTTCTGTCACCACATGAGCAATTTCTGGCATCTGTTTTAAGGACTGTAGCTGGTTCCAAAGTCTCATTGCAGGTTAAACTGATTTTAGGTTTGTTTAAAGGCTGGGAAATTCTAAAGATCCTAAAGCTTTTTTTCCTCTGTCCCTGCTGAACTGGGTAGGGAAATGTAACTGAAGTATCCAGTCCTGCCTTGTTGCGTGCTGGTCTTGTCAATTAATTTCACGTTGAGTTGAGTTGCCAGCCATGTGCCTTTGCCCCACTCTTCCCATAGAAGTGTTGATGGGCGCTGGGGCACACTCCGTTGGCATCCTTGAGCCTTGTTGTCAAAGTGCTCACCTTCACACGGGGAGCAGGTGCACAAAAACCCAAAGCCACACGACGCACAGCTTTGTCCTTGGTATGTTTCTTACTTTTGGGGAAGGACTTCATCCAAAGCTTGTTTATTTTGCAGAATAGGATGAGAACTTAAGACCAGCATGGTCGACGGGAGGTTGGCGCAGCCTCTTTGGTTGGGGCTGGCTCTGAGGCAGCAAGGAGTAGGTGCTGCCACTTCATGTGGCTGCGCAGCTTCTGTCCGGAAAATGGAGTCACACTTCCTCTTCACCAGGAAAGGGGAAGGCAGCTGGGAGCATGGGCTCCACCCTTTGTGTGCCCAGCCTAGGGAGGACTCCAGGAACCCCTAGGACTCACTGTGCTATGACTCGCACAAGGCAGAGACACTTCCTCTAAAGGTAGAAGACAGTGACATGGGCCCATCCTGGAGGACACCCTCTTCCTGCAGACAGGTTCCCCCAGCTCCTGGACAGAGGAGGAGCAGGGAAAGGAGGGACAGGATCTGTATCCAGAGGCCTCACAGACAGCTGGGTCCAGTGGCAGAAACTTGGGGGTGGTGGCGCTGGCAGAGGCAGGAAAGACAATCTCTTCTCAGGGACCCACATTACATGCCCCAGTTAGCCCTGCTAAAGGGGACAGTTTCAATAGGACCTCTGTGGGGTGGGGAAGGGCAAAAGCTCTGCTACAAGCATGAGCGCGGGAGGGCTGTGGCCTCCAGCCTGCACTGCCCACTCCCTCCCAGGGCTGCGGCAGTCATTTTCCAATGACAGTGCCTCTGAGTTCCCACTCACAACACCCCTTCCCCCAGGACCTTTAAGATGCCCCAGCCACCAACCTTGGCCCCAGGTTTGCTAACAGCAGCAGCATCTGGGGGCTGTGGCCTTTGCATGCCAGAGCTGCCTCTGCCATCTCTGCAGGTCTGGGTGAACTGCGGCCCCAGGGTCTGCTCCTCCAGTCCCTGCCTCCCAGCTTCCCTTTAAGACCAGTCACTCCTGGGTCACCTGCTGGCCAAGACACCTCCTCCCTCCCCATCTCAAGCCTGGTACAATATATGTAATTGCAGGGGATGGGAGACGGAAACAGCTGTGGCCAGGCTCCTGGGTAAGTAAGCACAGCTATGGTTTGTCACTTGAGTTCTTAGTCCGTTTGGGCTGCCGCGACAGAATACACAGATCAGGTGGCTTAAACAGCACTTATTTCTCCCAGCTCGGGAGACCAGAAGTCCAAGATCATGGCACTGGCCGGCAAACTGGTTTGCAGAAAGCCATCTTCTCTTCACAGGACAGAAAGGGCAAAGGGTTGCTCCAGGGTCCCTTTTATAAGGGCACTAATCCCATTCACGAAGGCTCCGCCTCATGATGTAATCACTTCCCAGAGTCCCCGCCTCCCAACCCCATCACACTGGCGGTGAGGGTTTCAACACATAGACTGGGGGGACATAGACATGCAGCCACTGCAAGTCCCCAGCTTCAAGTCGTGGCCAGCAGGGTGGGCTGAGTCAGAGCTGAAAGACAGGGTGAGGGGGCAGGGGAGCTGAGGAAAGCTGACCCGAAGGCTACACCAATGCTGAAGACTCAGAGCTACATGCCAGCTGGCCGTGCTCTGAGCTCCTGCAAGGAAGAGTGCAGAGCTCCATGCTGGGAGCCCCCCCTCAATGGGATAAATGGGACTTGAGGCCATTTTTGCTCTGAGACCAATAGCCAGTGTCCCCACACTGGGCCCCTGGGGGAGGTCGTGGGACCAAGAGCCAAGACTGTGGCCCAATCAGTGTCTGCTCACATTGGGCAGCGCTGGAGACCTGTGCCACTGCATGGGCAACAGCTGGTGCTGCAGGGGCAGGTGAGCCTCAGTGGGCAGCAGACAGAGATGCACTGTGGCTGAGGGCTGCAATAGAACAGTCCTCAGGGTGGTAACCAAGAAGGCCGGGCAAGGCACAGGCCTGGTGACCAAGCACTGCAGGTGGGCAGCTTCAACCAGACAGGGACTGTCCCACAGCTCTGGAGACAAGAAGTTTGAGATCAAGGTGGCAGTAGCATGGGTTCCCTCTAAGGCTGTGAGGGAAAATCTTCCAGGCCTCTCCCATAGGAGCTGACGGTTTCCTGGCAACCTTTAGCATCTCAAAGCATCACCCTGATCTCACCCTTCATGGCGCCTTCTCCCTGTGTGCATATCTCTATATCCAGACTCCCCCGACTCTCTTTCTTTTGAGACAGGGTCTCACTCTGTTGCCCAGACTGGAGTGCAGTAGCACAATCATGGCTCATTGCAGTCTCGACCTCCAGAGCTCAGGTGATCCTCCTGCCTCAGCCTCCCAAGTAGCTGGGACCACAGGCACACACCAGTACACCTGGCTAACTTGTATTTTTTGTAGAAATGGGGTCTCACTATGTTGCCCAGGCTGGTCTGAAACTTGTGCTTGAGCAACCCACCCACCTCAACCTCCCGGAGTGCTGGGATTACAAGTGTGAGCTGCCACACCTGGCCCAAATTTCCCCTTTTCATAAGAACACTAGTCACCTGGGTTAGGCTCACCCTAATGGCCCCTTTTTAACTTGACTGTATCTGCAAAGTAAGGTCATATTTTGAGATACTAGGGATTAGGACTCCAGCATATAAATTTGGGCAGGACACAGTTCAGTCCAGAACAAGTGTCTGGGGACACAGAGATGATGCACCAGTAGGCAAAGTAGGGCAGGGGGCAGACTCTGCCCCGCCCCAGGACTTAGCCCTGATGGTGGCCTTAGGGGAAGCTGGAGGGATGGGATGTGGGGAGGGGTGCTGAGCATTCTGTCGGGAAAGGTCAGTGTGGGCGGAAGGTTGGGATGGGTTCTCTGTGCTCAGCTGAGGGGGACAGGGCAGGTGTGTGCCCAGCAGCACGTGGGCACCATCCACCCCCATGAGCCCTGGTGCCCTGTGGCGTTCCCAGTAGGCAGGCTCTCATTGCCTGAGGTCAGAGCCGGGCACAGGCTGTCAGTGCGGCCAGGTTCTCACCAAGGGGTCTTCCTGTCCTGGGCCTGTATGATAGAGGTTCCTGTGGCACACTGTCACGGCCTGTGCCCTCTCGGCAGAATCTAAACCATACCCTGGAGGGGTGCAAAGCAAATGTGCGTTGCAGGAGTTACTACCGGTCTGAGTTCATTTGCAGAGCCTCTAAACACTCCAAAAAATCACAAGCCCCGCTCTTGCGGGTTCCTCCCAGCCCCAGCTGCTTTGGGGAAGTCGGCATTTTTAGTGTCTTGATGGTATTTAGGGTCTAATTACAAACGCGCGTCACTGGGACCACATGCTTGGTGCTGGAACTGGCTCTTCATTGATGGAAACGATGTGGTTTCTATATTAAGTGCAAGATTCGGGGCCACTTTCCTGGCTTTTGCAAGCCCAAGTTTGAGTTGGGGTCCCCCACAGGCCCCTCCAGACCTCATGTCCGTGTCTGTCCACTGGGCCTGCATCTAGGGTTCAGGGTAATGCGGAGTGGTGACAGACGGGATGGCCACCTGCCTCTGCCCCAGCGCCCACATGACATTCCCCCATTCTGCCTCCTCCTCATGCTCAGAAAGGCTGTTGCAGGCCCCTCACAGACATCCCTCTCCCTCTGCAGGGGAAAGATTCTGGGCAGAAGGTCAATGTGTTTTGAGATCTGAGCTCTGACACAGGAGACTGGCCTGGGAAGCTTATATTGATACAGGGCTCACCAGTCACCTGTGGCTCCCGTAGGAAATAGAAATCAGTTTCATGAATGTCACCCAGGCTGATTTTGAGACCAGCAATGTGCAGAGTTCAATCTGTCCCTTCCCAAAATTCTAAACGCAGATGGCATCAAAGGCAGTGATAGCAGTTTTCTGTTTCACTGGTGGCTGGCAAGAGCCACAAATCCAATGCCCCCTCAAGCTGAGAAGGTGACGTCAGGGCCCAGGAGGCTGGGGCGGGCGGGCACAGCAGCAGTCACAGCCTCAGCTAACAGCAGGGGAGGATGCCGCATGCAAGTGGGAGGCCCAACTCCCCAAGTGCGAGGGTTCTAATTTTTCAATGAAAACTGAAATTCTAGACTTTCTATGCAAAGGTCTTATACTCTTTAAATTGTGACAGCTAAGTTAAAACTGACTGAGGCACTGTGTGGGTGGGATTTGACCCTTGGTAATCGCTGGATGGGGACCAAAGGGAACATCCTAGGATGTGTGTGGATGGTTTGAGGCCCTGTTGGCACCACCTCCCTGCCCCCAAGTGCTTGCCAGGGCAGGAAGCCATGCTGTTTACTGAGGACACCCCGCTAGAGAGGCAGGTGTCCTGCCCACGGGCACCCAGCAAGCAGCAGGGCCCCCACAGGCTCCGGACCCAATAATATGCTGATTCTGGAGGGGTGCAGGCCCACCAGGACCAGGGCTCACCGGATACCATCCCTCCATGAAGCAGGAGGGAGGGCCCTCCAAGTGGAGCTGGGACTGCAGGGAAGCTCGTCCAAAGCAACTTTGTTTGGAAGTGGCTCATGACCCCGAAAGACCTGGGCGAGACAGATTCTGGACGTCAGAGGGGCATCAGATGCCCAACAACTGATTCCAAACCTAGCTCCACCCCTGCAAGCCCTGTATGCCTCTTTGTCATCAGCTTTCAGAGAAGGCCAAGTGATGTTTCCAGGGCCCATGGGAGCCTCATTTCCTCTGAGCTCTCCTGAGCAGGTCCTGCCATTTGCTGCAGTCTGCTGAGGGCAGCAGGTCTACGAGGGGTACAGGGGATGGAATCAGGAACTGGGGAGCCCTGATTAGGAGTTGGGTGGGAACAGCAGCTTCTGCAGACTCAGATATGAGACATCAAATCTGGGCAGCCAGCCTGGCCCTGTGCAGGAGCAGCTCTGGCTGGGGCAGCATGAGTGTGTGGAGGTGCCACCAGAACGTGCACCCAGGCTGTCGGCTACAGACAAGGAAGGTGCTGGGGCCGCCAAGGTCCTTGGCCCCGCAGCCAAGCTTCCTGAGAATCCCCCATGAGTGGCTCATTCCCCGAGAGGCCTTTCTTTGGTCCTTTGCCTCCCCTGCCCAGAAAAGAGTAATGTCTGTCTCTGACACTTCTGAGGAAAAGGGCCCTCCAGCCCCTTGACCCTTCCAAGGCACAGGAACAAACTGCTTCTCCCAAAGCGGCCAAGGGCCAGCTCTGGCCAAGATCACAGAAGGACAGCATCCAGCCACCACAAATGAACCACGGGAGATTCTGGAGGATGAGGATTCTAGGGAGTGAGCCCAAGGCCGTGATGGTTAGCAGGCTGCAGTCAGAGGCCACATCCCCAGCCCCTCCCTGCCTAAGTGGCCAGGCTGTTAAAGTCCCCATCAGCCCGACGAGCCCTCAGGAGGCCGCAACTTGAGCTTGGCTTCTCCAGTGACTGGCAGCCCATCCCCGTGCCAGTCTCGTACTCTCCCCAAGCATCAGATCCAGAGAATGCCCCACAGCGGGTGGCAGGAGCAAGCAGGCAGTAATATGCACTTTCTTGGTTGGAGCCCCCTCAAGGCCCGGCACTGGGGGCCCGCCCAGAGCAGGAAAGCTGGTCCCAGCCCATCTCAAGGTGGGGCCGAGTCCTCCCCTCGCTCCCCACAGCCTTGCAAGGGATGACCCCTGGGGATCTAGTGGCCAGGCAGCTGGGGGCTCCCTACTGCCAGGTCTTCTCACCAAGGCCTCACACATTGGCCTCGCGGCTCCTGAGCCTGGGCAGCCTGCCTCCTCCATCTCAGCTTGAGACCCCAGTGTCTCGGTGCCCCCCCACGTGTGTTTGGCACCTCATACTCACAGCTGCTCGGGTCAGATGCCTCATCTCTGCATCGGGCCTCAGCACTCCCTGGCCCATAACTTCACCCTGGCATCCAAGGCCCTGCTCTCAGGCCTTGGCCTTTTCTGCGCCCCCCTGCCTACCGCTTCCTTGCCCATTCCCACTCCATGACTCCGCCCACACTGCTCTTTCCTGGTGGGTCCAGGCCTCTGTTCAGTCTCCTTTTACTTGGTTCTGCCTTCTTAGGTGGTACTCAGCCACCTGAAGTT
Organism: Homo sapiens; assembly: GCF_000001405.40. Lineage (NCBI taxonomy): Eukaryota > Metazoa > Chordata > Mammalia > Primates > Hominidae > Homo > Homo sapiens. The sequence continues at coordinate 70,505,076 of NC_000011.10, read as the reverse complement.
ATGTGTTCACTTCTTTGTGTGTCGGCCAAAACTCCCTGATGAGGACGCAAACTTCCCACAGATGGAGGCAGAGACAGCTGAACTGCCTGTGCCTCATGGCTTTTAGTGGTACGGGGAACAGAAACACTGGAATGAGTGAATGAATGAATGAATGAGCAACAGCCACTACCCGGGTGTGCTCATGGGAGGGGAGAGAACCCGATAACGCGTGGCTGGTGTTCGGTTGCCTGTCTGTACCAGAGCAGCGAGGGTCCTGCAAGCTGAGGTCTGCCCTCCGAGAACTCCCGGTGCTGTCTTCCTCGATCCGGCTCCTTTACTTCCTAAATCCATCTGCTTTCCTAATTACATTCTGAGAACCTCAGTGAAAGGAACAGCCCCCAGGAGTCACCTTGCAAAGACCGCTGCCGCTGTAGGTGGGCCTCTCTCCCAAGGCCCCATTAGGATAGTCCTGCTCCCAAGACTCTATCTTCAGGGCAGTGCAGGGTGACCAGCTGTCCAGTGGACCCAGGACACTGGATACTCACTGCTGAAACCGGGTGGGTCTGAGTACATGGGAATGAGCCGGTCCCACAGCAGAGACTGCAGAGCAGCTGGCACGGGGACTGCCCTGGCCCCACTGAGTCCTCCCTGGGCTCCTCGCAGCCCTGCCTGGAGGACCTCTGCAGCCGTCTCGTAGGTGACCAAAACTGGCACATCCTGGGCCTGTCAACAGTATGGGGAGCCAGGCACTGGGCCTGTCAACAGTATGGTGAGCCAGGCAGTACCTGCTTCTATCCAGCTCTTACAGGGATGTTGGATTTGTGAAAATCCACCAAGCAGCACACAGGCTTTAAGTTTTCTGTTTGTGGGTATACCAGATGTTTAGTTTTTGAAGAATCTATAGCAGGAGGATATGCGTACAGCACAGTGTGGCTGGTGAGGGGCATGACGTCTTGGCTGTTGTTTACGATCAGGGTGCTTTTCTTTGTTCGAAGGTGGCGTGTGAAGCAGCTGTAAACTTCACCTTCTGGGGCTTCCCCCTCCCTGCTGCCACCTAGAGACAGCTGCCTCTGGGCTGCGCTCCCATTCAGGAGCTGCTGGGATGAAGGTGCCAGAGGCCCCCTGTGGAGCTCAGTTCCATGGGCAGGGGTGAGGCCGGGGCCTTTTCACAGCAACATTTGAAAACCACTAAGTGTTACTCCTGCAGTAGCCAGGGTGGGCAGTGTCAGCCCAGACGCCCACCCAGTTCCAGTCTCCATCACTCGGGTTTTCCTCTGGGAGTAGCGTGGGGCTGGGAGGCAGAGGCCAAGGCCATCTGCTGCTGAGCATTGCTCAGGGAGGTGAGAATAGCAGAGGGGCCAGGGGGATGGCACCCTGAGTCCGTTCCTACTTCCGTGTCAGGTGCATTTGCCATGGTGAGGACAAATAGGGCAGGAGGTAACCGGCTCCTAAGAGTTCCTCAACTGCAGGGCAGTGGCCATAGCATGGCAGCCTTGGGGGTCCCCAGCCTGCCACTCACCGTCCCAGGAGCACTGGGGCAGCTAGTTGTACAGACCAGCACAGGGACAGGGCCCCCACTCTTGTAAGCACCCTGCTGGGCCAGGCTTTTCTGCCTTCCCAGGCCTCTGGAGCGGGAGAGCAGGGAGGGAGGGAGTGGGAGGAAAGGGGCTGCTTCAGTGTGATGTGCATTCCCAGAATACATGAGAAGCAATTAAGCGCCACGTTTCCTCCTCCTGTGAGGATGCAAAGCCTGGCACTGCAGCCCAGCCCTGGAACTCGCCTGTCAGGCTCTTCACATGCAGTCTCTTGGTGGCCCTGAAAATTGCCCCAGGCCTGTAAAAGTAAGCACCTAAGGATGCTCAGGTTAAATAGAAATCAGCCCTTCCTCTGCAGCAGCTGTGGAGGACTCAGCAGAGAGCTGCAGTGTCAGAGGAAGGCCTCCCCCAACCTCCTGAGCCACAGTTAAGTGACCTCCACAGTCACAGCAGCATTCATTCTGGTTTCCCCAAAAGCACCTTTGCTTCCAAAAAGATGACGGTCTCACTCCCTTTGCTTCCCTGCATTTGCCCCCTTTTTAGGAGCCCACATGTCTCTGCCTTGGGTGGGTGCCAACTGTCTTCCTCTCCGCTGGCTCTCACTGATGCCATCCTCTCCGCCTTCCCACAGGTTAACAATGAGAATGTTGTCAAAGTCGGCCACAGGCAGGTGGTGAACATGATCCGGCAGGGAGGGAATCACCTGGTCCTTAAGGTGGTCACGGTGACCAGGAATCTGGACCCCGACGACACCGCCAGGAAGAAAGGTACATGCCCCACATCGCCCAGCTCCAGCCTGGGGCCCTACTGGGGGGGGGGGGTGGGGGCGGGCAGGACAGCTGGGGGGCAGTGGGCCCTCTCTCCAGCTGATCCCACACTTCTGAGAGCCCAGGCACAGGGGTGAGGCTGGAATTTACCGCCAGAGCCCACGACAATGACTTGGGGCTCACACGCTGCCGGAATCATCCATGTCCCACCAGGAGTGCCCTTTTAGTCACTAGCAGGCGTCCCTTCCGCAGGCTTCCCACTCAGTGCCCTGTCCCCTCCCTCCCCCTGCCCAGGCCCACCCATGAGGGCCTGCACTGCAGTTCAGGGATATGGCAAGATCCTCCTGAGCACCTGTCCTTTCCCATCATAAGCACACCTGCACAATCCCTGACCACCGCAGCCAAACAGCCTGAGACCCACCTGCCAGCCACAGGGCCACTGCTAGCCTTATTCCCATATCTGGAAACATGGGCTGGGGTCTCACACCCATCTCTCCTCTGCCCTCCAGCTCCCCCGCCTCCAAAGCGGGCACCGACCACAGCCCTCACCCTGCGCTCCAAGTCCATGACCTCGGAGCTGGAGGAGCTCGGTAAGTCGCACACCCGGCCCAGCCCTGTACAGTCACCATGCCGGTCCCTGAGCTGCCCTTTGCAAAGCACCAGGCTGTGCATGACCCCACGCTTGCTCGCTACCCCCCTCCTGCCCCTGTACCCAGACGTGCATCAGGAAATGCCCCTGCATGCCCCGCAGCCCCATGTGTGCACCTCCCTCGGAGCCTCGCGGGGCGTTGTTGCTAGTCCTGCCTTTCCTCTTTTCTGTTTATCTAACATTGTTTTGTTTTGAATTTTTGGGCCTCTCACTAGTGGATAAAGGTAAGCAGCCCCACTGGGTCCCCAAAGCAGCTCCCCCTGCTGTCTAGGGCACCCCCACTGACATCCACCTCAGCCCAGGCCTCGGAGGCCTGTGTGAGCTGCTCCCCACGTGGCTCAGACCAGAAGGCTCCATCCTCCGGGGATCTGTGTGTAGATAGCGTGGGCTTGGCAGAGCAGTCTGGTCTGCACAGCAGGCTTAGGGAACGCCCGGCACCTTTGTGTAAGGTCTGCAAGCAACAGAGAGAGGCTCTGGCCCTCTGACTCCATCTTGTAGGCAGGGGAAGGGCGACTAGCAGCCACGTGGGCCATGCTGGCCATGCAGGATCCTGTTTGTTCCGGGGAGTCACCATGGAGCCAGGGACACCTTTGGAAAGAGGGTGGCTCTGAAACACACAGAGATGGCATGTAGGTGGAAACGCTTGCTCCACTGGAGCACAAATTGGAGCTGGTGAAGGCAGCTTACATGGGCGCAGAAACGAGCCCCCGCCCAAGGCCCACGGTCCAGTCCAGCTGGCCTGGGGGGTTGAGAGCCAAGCCCTGGCTGGTGCTCTCACTCACAGGCCCCGTCCTCCCTGCACTCTGGCACAGGCAGCTTTCCCGAGAGGAGTCTAGCAAGTGCTAAGTGCTGCCACAGCAGTGATGTCATCCTTCCTCGGCCCAGGGCGCTGAGGCCGGCCAGGCCGCTTCTCACGAGGTTCTGGGGCTAGAGTCTGAGGATGGGCATGAGGCCTCAGTCCAAAACAGCAGCCCTGCAGTGGCGCTGCCCCACCCACCCAGAACCAGTAGTGCCCCGCGTGCCCCAGCCTCACAGGCGACGGAGGAGGTGACCAGCCTCCAGGCCCTCTCCACAGAGGCCTGTCCTGGGGCTCCCCAGAGGGACAAGCCTAGCAGCTCTCATCTTTGCAAGGGGTGCTCCTGAGAGCTCAGCTCAGTCAAGAAACAACAGAATGAGGCAGGAAAGGCCACAGGTGCACTCTAAAGGCTGGCCCCGCCACCTCTGCTCATGTCTGCTCTGAGAACTCCTCCCTACTTTGGCAGGGTGCTGGTGGGACAAGGGGTGCTGAGGAAGAAGGAAAGCCCCTTTCCACTGCCAGGCAGTAGGTTAACGAGCAGGGCAGACAGGACAGAGTTGTGCGGGCAGCCAAGGTTTGGGGAAAGCCACTCCATGGATAGCGCAGCCTGCGTTCGCAGCGTTCCAGACAGCCCCTGCCTGCCGCCCCATTGCCGGCCCAGCCTGCTCCTGAGGCGCCCTGAGCTGACAAGGCCCGAGTGTAGGCTGCGGGCGGGCGCTGCATCCTGGTGGCTCATGGCGGTCCCCTTTCTGTTTGCAAGCCTCGGTCCGGAAGAAGAAGGGTAAGGGAGGCCCAGTGTCTGTCTCAGCCCCCTGCCCATCACCCCCCTGTGGAACAGAAACATCCTTTGTGATGCCGTGAAGTCTCAAATGTGTCGCAAAGCCTTGTTGGCTTCTCCTGCTGGGTCCTGCCCGAGGAGCCCTGCCGCCCTGGAGCACATTCATCTGTCTGTTCTTTCTGCTTGGCTTCTGTCTGTGATTCCCCAGCGTGTCCTGTGTTTCTTCCCTGACCTGTGTTCACATCGTCATGACCGTGAAGCTGGCCGGACCCCTGTTTGGTCTCAGCTGGGGCTGCCTGGATGGGGGGTTGCAGATGAGCAGAGCCTCTGGCTGCATTCCTGACCCTCAGGACCCCTTTGTGGTGGGCAGGAACTGCCTCCCTTTAAGGCCCGGAAATCACCCATTCCCCAAGAGGCTGCCCTGTGCCCTGTGGGGCACTAGAAGGAGAAGGGAGCAGTGTGAGCCCTTTGGCTACACCTCCCCACCCAGGGCTGGTGTGGAGTGGGAGACTGGCAGTCACTGTGGCTGTGGGCAGCCGGACCGCAGGCCCCAGATAGACTCAGGTTCCCCCTTTCACAGCAGCAAGCACATCGGGGGGTATTGCTCGCCTGCTGCTGGACACAGCTCCCCCAACAATTAAAAGCAGCACTCCCAGCTTTTAATTAATCCCTTGGAGTTGGGAGGAGCCTAGCACCTGGCCCTAAGGCACATCTTAACTCTGTCCCAATCATGTTAGATGAGATTGGGTGAGGTGGGCACAGAACCACCACTGTCCCGACCTGTGTCATCCCAGCGGCCTCTCTGCAGCAGCCCCGGGCTTGCACCAGCATCCTACAGCTGCCCAGAAAACTCCCAGCGGGCTTTCTAGGCCCCACTGCTGCGCCGAGGATGTGGTGGACACCCGGGGTACAGAATACCCTTCTTTCTATGTCGTGCAATTACGTTTGTGTGTGAACACCCCTTCAATCCAAGGCCAAACCCCAGCTCACGGGAATGGCCCTCTATTCATCACCTAACTGAGGAAGATGCCCCACCATGGCTGCCAGGGACCCAGTTGCCAGAACAGCGTGGGACAACAGAAGTCCCTTGTCAGGGAGAACAGTTCGGGACTCAGGTGGCTGAGCCACCGTGGGCGCCTGTGGCCTGCTGGGACCTGGCCCCATCCACACCACCCTCCTCCCCCAGGGTGGCATCAGAAGATCCACCTCCCGTCTGAGCAAGAGAAACTGGCTACAAATTTGAGCTTCCAGAGCCTCAACCCCAGATATAACAGGGGGCAAGGGTGTGGGCAGGAAGACCCCAAAGGGACCAGCAGCCGTGGCCCAGCCTGGTCACACTGGGGGATCCAGCTGGGGACTGAAGACACCGAGCGTTGCTGACAGCCCCTGCCTCTAGGGCCATGAGGGCATCCCATGGCGCACATGCGAAGTGCGGGGCACATAGTGGATGCACGGCAAATGCTCCAGGCCCCTCGTGCTGCCTCCACCTGTCTCTGGGAGGACTGGCCTCGCCTCGGAAAAAGCACTCGTCACACTCCAGAAAGGCCATGTGGAACAAAAGTCAGGCCTTTACAGTTGTATTGGGTTGAAAAGTGACCCCCAAAGTTCTGTGAATGGGACCTTATTTGGAAATAGGATCCTTGTAGATCTAATCAAGATGAGGTCATGCTGGACTCGGGTGGGCCCTAAATCCAGTGGTGTGTCCTTGTAAAGAAGGAAGGAACAAGCCAAGAAACACCATGGATTTGATCCTCTCCAGACCCCTGAAGGAGCCTGACCTTGGACTTCCAGCCTCCAGAACTGTGCAGGGATACGTTTCCATTGTTTTAAGCCCCCCGTGCATGGTCATTTATCATAACATCCCTGGCAAAGCACCTCAAATCCCGGGTCTGTCCCCGCTGGCTTTACCCTGCTTAGTGATCCCAGGTTTTCAGTTCTCCATCTGTAAAATCCTTGTTTAGTCTTTAAGTGTTCTCTGAGCACCTGCCCTAGTGCCCAGACCCTGTGCTGGGCTCAGGAAGAAGCCGGCTGTCAGGCAGGATTTGGGGTGGGGCCTCTGCCCCTGGGCACATGAAGGGGACTGTGGCCTTCACCCTACCAGGCACCTATGGCTGTACCTTCAGACTCTAGCCCTTGGAAGGTGTGTGACTCAGAGCCTGCAGGCCAGGACCAGTCCACCAGGGTCCAAGCACACCCTTCCCACCCTGCACTGCCGCTTTGGAAGATTAAACCAAGAGGCCGGCCAACTGGCAACAGCCGCTGCTTCTAACACACGCGGCTTCTGTCCTCTAACATCTGGCGCTGCAGATGTGTGTGTTTTCCTTTTGGAAATGGAGTGACATTTGTACTCTCTCACCCAGAGACAGGATGTAGTAGCACTGCAACTCCAGAGAAGTAGACAGACCACTTCAAGCCCACATAAGGGGAGAGAGCAGTGGTTGAGAACTGACAGGGTCCCTGGACCATGCCAGAGGATGTGAAGCAGACCATGAATCAGGTCCCAGGAAAGCTGAAGAGGTGGAGCAGCCCCATGCAGCCCTCCACAGGTCTGGTCTGCTGCTTTCCCCCAGAAGGTTCTGAAGAGTCAACAGGCAAACAGCTGGGCACTCTGCCCCTCAATGGGGCTGGCTCCCAGGCTCTGGGCCTATTGTGTGGCCACAGGCAAAGGAACTCGCTGGACAGTGGACCTAGTGTCACTTCAGTGCAGAGCCTATTTTCCAGGAGACTCAGCCACCAGGTGCCTGGGTGGTCCTGGGCCTCCCAGCCTCGGCATGGACGCTGGGGTCGTGTCACTCCTCGATTTGGTGACTCCCTTGTGATTTGCTGAGGATGCAGAGCAGTGGCAAGATTTCTCTAGCACAGGGCACACTGCTTCCTGCCCCCTATCAGGGGAACCTGCACTGAAGTCAGCCCGTGGTCCAGAGTCAGCTCATGGGCTGGGGGGCTCTGGTAACAGGCAGGTGACAAACCTACCTCCCCTCCCTTTTCCCTGTGCCTGGTCAGCATCACGTATCTAGTAGAGAGAACACACGTTTGCTCAGAGGGCTGAAATGCGGGTGACTGCTGGGGCATCTTCATCAGCTCCTCACTGGAGTGTTTTGGGATTTGACAGTTTCAAATCTGTCTGAGGCTTGTTTGTTTTCTGTCACCGAACAATTCATTCTAAGACTGCCAGGGGCCAGATTCACTAATCCCCTTCATCCAGAGTCCCTGAATAAAGACCTAGTTCTGAGCTTTTATAAATTAAGCATAATCCTTAGGAGCCTAGAATGAGAAGCAGGAATCTCAGTCCTGTGGCTTTTCTGAAAAGTCTCCATATCCCGGTAAACAAGATCTCCAAGATAAGGACTGAGCAAGTCAGGCCAGCATGATCCCACTGGCCACGTCCCCAAGAGACAAGGGCCAGGAGGGACCCACACCCCTGTGGGGAGCCAATGCAGGGTTTTCCTTTTTCATTTGAATTACACTAACTCTAACTTAAAAACGAATGCTAGCCCCTGACCCTACCACCCCAACACGCCCGGCTGCTCTCACATGCTCTAGTTCAAAAGAACATTTGTTTTGGGGTTATTAGGAAGGGAAAGGTTTAAAACAGAGACCAGATGTCCACAGGCAAGGTGGCCACAGTTTCAGGGATGCACCTTCAATGACATGACCAGCCCCACCCTCTGATGTGGCGACTGTGATGATGGGTAGGGTGCCCCCACCCCCGCCTCGTGGTTCTCCTGGACGAGGCAAACCATGCCAATGGTGACCCCAACCATTTCCAAACAAACTTTCTGCAGCCGTTGCCCACCAGGGCCCAGGGCTGGGCAGCCCATCACATGGCAGGCACAAGGCTTGGGGGACCCCAGCGCCAGCCCCAGCTCCCGCCTGGTCCCATGGTTTGCCCCCATATGGCCTTACGCATCTCAGACCTGAAATGTTTTCCCTTCGACATGGGAACAATCCCTTTACTACAGCCAGCTTCTCATTAGGATGAGAAACAGGATGATCGGCCCAGAACTTCCACCAGATTCAGGGACGGCTGTCATTATTGACCAGGACACCTTTCCTTCACCCTGGGCACACAGTTACATGAGGTGTATTTAACAAGATGCCTGCCGCAGGCCCTGAGGTCCTAAAATCGCAGCCTGCAGCCTGTTCATTTTGGGAATGTGAGAAGTCGAGGCGGTGCCCCAGGGAGGCCGGGCAGCAGACCCTCAGTGTGCAGTGGATGGAAATGAATCAGCCTCATCAGCTGTGGGGTTTGTTAATACATAAAAAACAGACACATGGCTTCTGGAAGGGCCCAGTTGGAAACGGGAGCTTCTTGAAGATTTGGCTCATTTAAATTGTAATCCCAGGAAAGCTGTTATGCCCTAGAGTCCCACCTTCCTTGATGTGCCCAGACATGGCCAACAGCACAGCAGAGCCTGGCCACAGCCTTCCCACACCCACCTGCGCCCAGGCCTTCCCCTGCAGGGCCTCGGCCGTCCTGCATCTTCTGGGTCTGACACCTGTCAATGTTCAACGCCGATGACTTTCCCTCACCTCCGCTATTCAGCCCCAGCTGCCACCTTAGCCTCTGAGCTTACCATAGCCTGGAAGTCAGGCCTGGAGGGATGCCCAGGCGTTTCTGGCTCGGATGGGCCTTCCTGCATCTCCACAGGTGCAGGTCTGAGCACAGGCAGGTGGCAGCCAGGAAGGCACCCTTCCCTGTCTGCACCTGTGTACAGTATCAGGTGGGCTGGATTCTGCGGCTGCCCCCAGAGCTCGCCACCTGGAATGCCCCCGTGGGATGTTTTGTTGGGCTCCAGCTGCTCTTCCCCTAACTTGGTGGCATCCCTTCTGGGTCATGTTCATGGAGGTACATGCTGCTGCACCCCGCTCAGGCCTCACGCTCCACTGGGGTCAGAGGAGGGGCCCGGGCCAGCACTGTCAGGAAGCAGGTCCCAGGGTATCCCCACCCCGCAGTGCCCTGGCTCACCACAGCTATGGGACATAACTCCCTGGTGCAGGAGACACATCTCAACCCCCGTTTCATTGGAGAAAAATACTCTGGGGGCCACCAGCGGCCACATCTCACTTGAGGCAAAGAACAGCCACTGCCTAGCGCCCCCATTTCCAGGGATAGACCAAGCTGGAGTTGCACATCACAGCCGGCCAGAGGAGATCACCCAAGCATCACCTGGTCCCAAGTCAAGGGGGAGAAGCCCAGCTGATCGGCGAGGCCAGGGAACAGAGGCCGGCACAGAAACCAATTCGACCCCAGCCATCCAAGGAGTCCCAGCCCAGCCCTGGGAGGGGAAAGGCTCCTTGGAGGAAGCAAATTGCTGGGACCATGGCAGGTGGACCCAGCCCGTGCAGCCCAGGGAGGTTGACAGGGACCCCAGCAAAGGGAATGTGAGATGAGGCAGCCATGCAGCACCTGCTGCAGCCGGAGGAGCTGGGATGAGGGCCTTGAACGCAGGTGAGGACAGCACGGCTCTGGACTGGGGTCACAGGTCACAGCCAGGATGTCCCCACTGCCAAGTGAGATGAGAATCGGGTGTTTCCTACCGTGCCTGACCAGTTCCCTGAGAAGCAGATGCTTAGCATCCACTGGGGGAATGACAAGGTCCCCAAGGAGGCATCAGGCTCATCGAAGAGCCAGCAGGGCTTGTGGGTCCAGGAATAACAGGAGAGAATGCATGAGCAGGGACGCAGAATTGGGGCCCAGTGAGCCTGCAGGCCTGGTCAGCTGGACTTGGTCATGAAGGGAGAGAGTGCTGTGGGGGGAGATTTGGCTGCCCGGACACTATGGGGCAAGGGCTTTCTTGCTTTGCGTGAACACTTGGCATTTTGCTGACAACTGGAAACGTGGTCCAGGCCAGGGGTCGGCAAACACCTCCCTGAAGGGCCCCATGGTAAGTGTGCTGGGCGTGACAGCCATATGGCCTCTGCTGCACATTCTCCTGCCTTTTCTTCCCCATCCTTGTTTGAAGACTAAAAGTGTATGGCTGGGTGTGGTGGCTCACACCTGTAATCCCAGCACTTTGGGAGGCCAAGGCGGGCACATCACTTGAGGTCAGGAGTCTGAGACCAGCCTGGCCAACATGGTGAAACCCCGTCTCTACTAAAAATACAAAAATTAGCCGGGCATGGTGGTGCTCGCCTGTAATCCCAGCTACTCAGGAGGCTGAGGCACGAGAATTGCTTGAACCCAGGAGGTGGAGGTTGCAGTGAGCCAAGCAGCCCAGGTGACAGTGAGAGTCCATCTTAAAGAAAAGAAAAAAAAGTATAGACTGCCCTGAGGTTCTGGCCCGGTGGGGGCAGGACTGGCCCAAGGGTCTGGAACACAGGCCTGGAACCAGGCCCCTCATGCAGACTCTACTGTGAGAGTGTCCATAGGTGTCAGAGTTGTGTACGTCTCAGCTGCTCTGCAAGGTTGAGGGGCCATCACAGGGCGCCTGGCTCAGTGTCCCCAGCACACCCCCATTTCCTCTCCCCAAACTTCCTCTTGTGGGGACCTCTGGTCTGGGCTGCCTTTGTCAGGAGCCTGATGCCTTTGTGTTGGACAACCCTGATCCGTGCCGTGGCTCTGGGAGCTTTGCCCGTGGGTCAGCTCCCCGTGAGAAGCTGCCATGACAGGTAACTTCCGCCTCAGCTTGAAGAACAATTTGGAGATGGGGGCCTTCCTCCCTGCACTCTGCTCAGCTCTAACTTGCACAATAGCCTCATGGCTCAAAGTCTGGGCAAGGCCCTAGCATACACTTCATGGGAGCCACCAGACCCCAAGAGTGGGCTTAGGGTGGCCAGAAGGCAGAATGTTCCAGATGGCCTGCTTCTCCCCAGGGAGTAAGGCCAGTGCTGTCTCAAAGGCTCAGAATGGGGTACACCCACCAGATACCACACTGGCTTTGTCCCAACCCAGTGACATCTTAGAAGTACAGCTGGGGTCACCTTTTCCAGAATGCACATCGCGACTGGAAGACCAGCTCTCCAGGTCTCAGTGGCACAGGGCCCTTGCATTTAAACAGCCTTAGACACACCCTTATGCCTGATCCCAAACACCCTGAGATGAAGCTAAGGCGTCAGGAGAGCTCTGGGATGTGCTTCAGTTTTCAAGTAAAAAAAAAAAAAAAAATGTGCTGCAAATGTCCTCTTTAAAAAACTTTTGTTAATTGCTAAGGATCCCTTATAACTAAACTTTGGTTTTCTTTTTTTTTTTTTTTTTTAAAGGAAATGGGAAGGTTCTGCATTGGGGAAAATAAACAGAGACCTTCCCTCTGCAACACTTACTAACGCCTGGGGCCACGAGCACCCTGGCCTCTGAAACACCCACGCTGCCTTGGGTGGCAGATCCTCATGTCTTGGCAATCACAGTTACAAAGGAACCATATGTCTGAGTCTCTTCAAAAAAAAAAACAAAAACAAACAAAAAAAAAAACTTCAAAAAGTCAGTTTAGTTAACCCTCACAAGAATAAATCCCATTAGAAAGAATCAAGTGATTCCACTAAAGAAATGGCCCAAATGGCTGTAATCCCAGCACTTTGGGAGGCCAAGGCCGGTGGATCACTTGAGGCCAGGAGTTCAAGATCAGCCTGGCCAACATGGTGAAACTCCGTCTCTACTAAAAATACAAAAATTAGCTGGGCGTAGTGGCAGGTGCCTGTAATCCCAGCTACTCTTGAGGCTGACGCAAGAGAATTGCTTAAACCTGGGAGGCGGAGGTTGCAGTGAGCCAAGATTGCACCACTGCACTCCAGCCTGGGCAACAGAGCAAGAGACTGTCTCAAAAAAAAAAAAAAAAAAAAAAAAAACACAGAAATGTCCCAAAAAACAGAAATGTCCCAAAAAGCTTCAGAGCCCTTGGGGGCTGGGCACTTAAGAAGGTGGCCGAGCTGTGGAGGGTCTTCTATGTCCATGCCTCGTGCATGCCTCCGAGGGCAAGGTCCTGGGAAGGAGCCCATGCCCCAGTGGGAATGCATGTGGCAGAGGCACACGCATGCTCCTCACAGCAGCAACAAATGCCCCCTGCACAGTTTTGGATGTTGGAGTGGCTGCTGCACCTGTGCGCTTTCCTATCTACACCCAGCTTCCCCCACTGGTGTTGCTGCTCCAATCCTCACGGTTCTATTGCAGATAAACCCGAGGAGATAGTCCCGGCCTCCAAGCCCTCCCGCGCTGCTGAGAACATGGCTGTGGAACCGAGGGTGGCGACCATCAAGCAGCGGCCCAGCAGCCGGTGCTTCCCGGCGGGCTCAGACATGAACGTGAGTGGCCGTACCTTGGGACCACGAGGGCGGGGGCCGACGGTGCCCAGGAAGTGGGTGGGCTGTCTCAGTAGCTGAGGTGCACACGCTTTCATGTCTGGTTCGTGCTGTCCAGAGGTGGGGCCCAAATCTAAGTGGCCACAGGACAAAGAGCCGGGTCTGTGCAGACTCACAGTGGTGGGACAGAGCAGGCTGCATCCAAGCCCTGCCCTTACCGCTCACTCAGTGCCCTGAGCCTCGAAGGTGTCCTGTCATACTTGGCTGAGGACCCGTGAGCACATGGAAGTAAGGGGCCTTGACACACTCTTCAGACAGAGGGGCTCTTGCCTCCTGGTCCACCCAGAGCACAGAAATGCTCCGGTGTGGAAGAGGCCGTCTGTCCCACATCCCATGTGGCAGTCCCCCACACTCTCCGAGATCCTGGGCAACACTTGTCCTCGGAGCCAGAAGTGCCATGAAGGGCTTCAGTGGCTGCTGGGCGCAGTGGGTGCCTGGCTCAGAGCAGGCTGCCCGTGCCATGGTCACCTTCCCTAGGCAGTCAGGAGGGCACACAGCTGGAAAAGGGCCTGGGGCAGAGGCTGCTGATTCCCCCAGGCACGTCCTGAACAAGGCGTGGCCTCCTGGACCCTTGGATTGCTTCTCCATTGTGCAGAGGCAGCCATCTGAACCTGATGTCAGATTCTAGCACTGCCTACCTGTCCTGATTGCTTACCTTAGTATTCTCTTTGAACCAGTATCAAACTGCCTATGTCTAGCTTTTTCTTGAACAATAACACCTATAAATATTATAAATTTACCACAAGGCTTTTCTGTAATGTGCATTAAACAACTGTTAATAATTACAGTTACAATATCTGCCCTCACACCTCCTCCCATCACCTCTGAACTCCACAAGGGGACTTCCCCTCCAGGCCCTGCCTGCCGGTCCTTGCCTCCCACTTTGTTCCCAGTCCTTCGTGGCACCCACATGCCCCACCAAGTTGGGGGGGTGTCTGAGACAAGGTGCCCTTGATCTCCCAAAGGGTCCCACTTTGCTCCTCAGCCTCAGGGCCATAGAGTGAGACAAACAGAGGCTGTGGACACATGGAAACTGCATCTCAAAGCTGGAGCAATAAAAGCTTGCACACGAATATTTCCATTGAGCGTCCGCATCTGATATTTTCCCGGGTTGGCCTTCAACACTACAGGTTTGGGGCCCTGAGCCATCTCAGTTTTGCAGACAAAACAACAGCCTGGGGAAGCGAAAGAGTTGGCAGCACCAGGACTCTGCTTCCAAGGTGGAGGGGAGGAGGGGAGCTCTAGGCTCCTCCTGGGACAGGCTGAAGAGGGAGGAAGCTGGGGACAGCTCACTGCTGCAGACTCCAGGCTGTGCCCCTGAGCAGCTCCAGGGCTTGCTTAAGCTAGCTGGCACATCATGCTCACCCACACACCACCACAATACCTGGTTGGCCTTTGCACACACTGTGGGGCTGGTGTCAGGAGCCCATTTTATGAAAGAGGAGATGGTGGCTCCTATGTAAGGACTTGATGGTCACATGGCACATGGGGAGTGGGGTATGGACCCAGGCCAGACCCCACTGCCCACCACGCTGTGCCCTTTCCCACAGGACATCCAGCCTGGCCCCCCTCTCAGAGAGACGTATCTGTCCAGCTGCTCTGGCAAATGGTGTTGCAGCAGACCACATCTCCATGGAACAGGGCATGCTGCCATCCTAACAGGGCCAAAGGCCAATAGCAGCTGCAGCGAATAGGAAAGGCACCTAGAGAGGGACCTTCCTGGGTCCTCAATGCTGTGGTTCTCATCAGCCCCACTGGAGACTTTAGGTGGCTCCAGAAGCAGCTTGGGGAAGCCACAGTGACGGAAGTTCCCTTGTGGTCTCTGGGCCCTGTGACCGTGGGTGGGGGCTGGCCAGGGCTGCGTCTCACCCTAGGCTCTCTGGTTTGCAGTCTGTGTACGAACGCCAAGGAATCGCCGTGATGACGCCCACTGTTCCTGGGAGCCCAAAAGCCCCGTTTCTGGGCATCCCTCGAGGTACGATGCGAAGGCAGAAATCAATAGGTAAGAAGTGTGGCACTCCCCCACAGAAGTTGCCCCTGGGCTTTCAAACACAGCCTTAGGCCCCTCAGGAATTCTGAGCCCTGGGCCTCTCACAGTTGCCTTGGCGTCCCACCCCAGCAAGGCCCTGCCAGCCCACCCACCAGAGGGTGGGAACCTGGCCTTGCCCACTAGGGAGCCATTGGAACATCTGAGTGGCATGAAACTCATCCCCCCTGAAGGACACAAAATCTAGGGTGGCTTCTGTCATCTTGAAGCCCAGTTATCTGTGATAATTCCAGCAGGGTAAAGCGGGAGGGTGGGCGGGGTGGTGCGAGCCAACCCCCCTCCCCCACCCTGCCCTGCTCAGGGTGGGAAGGGTAAGTGGGTTCCCTGCATTCCCCAGCCACCACCAGGCCTGGAGTATGAGCTCAGCAGATGTACTTCCAAGGGTGGTTGGGTCAGGTCTCGAAATGAAATAATGTACTGTGTGTTGCAGAAAACTGCCTTCCTTTCTTCTTAATGTCACAATTATTCCTATTGACCCTGTTGCAGGCAAAGGTACACTTGACCTTGAGACAAGGTCACACTTGACCCTTTGAGACAGTCCCTTTGTGAGATAATTCAGCATTGCCTTTACTGTGTCAATTCTGGTAGAAGCTAAGGCCCTTGCCCTGTGAGAGTTGTGGAGGCAACCCTGGGACTCTGGTCTGCCCAGCCCACCCCAGGGGCACTGTCCTGTGTGTTCTGGAAATGCCTCTGGGCTGCTGTGCAAAAGCGCAGCGTGCTTGTGAGTCTCAGGTGGATAACTGTAGGCAGTCACTAGGCAGTAAGTGGCCGTGGAGGTGGTGTCTGCTGTGCTTAAAGCTCCCCCTGCACCAGCAAACTCAGGGAAAGCTGCGTATTTGTCTTGCGGTTACTGGTTAATAACAACTGATTTCCTCCTGTCAGACAGCAGAATCTTTCTATCAGGTTAGTGAACCTTACGGTTTGGAATCTGTAATCTGAATGTAACCCAGTTTACTTTATAAGGTGTATTCTTAAATTAGTACTCCTTGGGAACAGAATTGCCAGACAGCCAACTCAGAGTGACTGGTCAATGGAGAACACTTTGAACGAGCCATCTTTGCAATGCCAAAATGTCCTCCCACAAGGAGTATGTTAAATTTGGAATACCCTTATCGAATGGAAGTTTTCATTGGAATAAATTATTGTAGTTTGTCCTAGGACTTTTTTTCATTTCAAGTAATTTATTTTGCTACCTCTTTGAAAACCTGCATGCTCCCAACATGAAATCCCTGTGCCACGCGTCTGTCGGTGTGTGTGCGTGTCTCGCTTCCCTTCTCCAAGTGCTCCTGTTGACGTGTCTGTGTCTTCAGCTGTTGAACAGTCTGTAAAGTCACACCTAGGCAACACACCCAGAGAACCCTCAGGCCACCCTGCTGGCTGTCGTAGGACCTCAGCTGCATCCCCACACATTCAACATCCACATATTTTCATTAGGTCAACTCATACTTTGTGCCAGGTCAGCCACACTTGGACCCTGGTTAGTTGCGATTATGGTGGTCCACTGGGCTCTCAGCCCCTGCTCCAAAGGGTCTTGGCAGGACCACTTTCAGGGCTGCCGCTGGGACCCAGAAGGGGCTCACTGAGGCCTGGCTCAGGATCCTATTCCTGGCTCAGTCCAGGACTTTAAAGGAACCTGGGCTCCCTCCCCTCAGGGGCAGGCTCTAGAGCCCACATGGCCCCTCCTCTGAGCTGCAATTCCCCAGCCATCCATCTCTCTGAAGGTCCAGAGAGCTCGAGGACACATAGAACCCTTAGTGGGGCCCAGTGAAGTCAGGCAATGAAAGGATTCACATGACCCTGGAAGAAAAGCACCTCCTCCCAGCACGCACAGAGCCAACCGTGGGCAGATGGCTTCGCTCAGGGTGGCAGAGGCCTCCCTGTACATCTGGGCAGCCGTGGGGCTCAAGTGCCATCTGGACGGTGGACTGCACACCATCCTTGCCACATAAACACAGCAATACCTGCAACCCTTTGCTCTCATTTCAGATGCACAGGTGACAGCCTTAGACCCCTGCCCTAAAAACACCCCCAGGAGCCCTTACCATGCCTGAAGGGGCATGGTGGAAGGATACCTCCTGGTCTAGCCAACCCCGCCCCAAGCACAATGCCACAATGCCAGCACAAGCACACGTAAGCGCACACACACACGCACAAGCAGCCCCAAGGCGAGCTGCCCACTTGGCCTGCAGACTGGCACACGGCTCAGCGTCAGGGGCCCTCCTGCCCTGGCCTCACACAGCTCCCCTGCTGCAGCCTGTGCCTGGAGGCCCCACAGCAGCAGCGTACTCACAGCATCCCCAGTGCCTTTCTGTTCTTCCCTTTCTTGTCCTTTGGCTCACGACGGGCCATGTGACTAACCACTCGGCATCGTGGCTTGTGCTGTGTTTCCTGAACATCCGGTTCATCATCTGAATTTGTGAGTTTGTGGAGATGTAGCGTATCGCACGTTCCTAGGAACTTAGGCTTTGTTGCTATTGTGACTTAAAGCTAAACCTGTTTTCTGCTTGTAGGAATAACAGAGGAAGAGCGGCAGTTTCTGGCTCCTCCAATGCTGAAGTTCACCAGAAGCCTGTCCATGCCGGACACCTCTGAGGACATCCCCCCTCCACCGCAGTCTGTGCCCCCGTCCCCACCACCACCTTCCCCAACCACTTACAACTGCCCCAAGTCCCCAACTCCAAGAGTCTACGGGACGATTAAGCCTGCGTTCAATCAGAATTCTGCCGCCAAGGTGTCCCCCGCCACCAGGTCCGACACCGTGGCCACCATGATGAGGGAGAAGGGGATGTACTTCAGGAGAGAGCTGGACCGCTACTCCTTGGACTCTGAAGACCTCTACAGTCGGAATGCCGGCCCGCAAGCCAACTTCCGCAACAAGAGAGGCCAGATGCCAGAAAACCCATACTCAGAGGTGGGGAAGATCGCCAGCAAAGCCGTCTACGTCCCCGCCAAGCCCGCCAGGCGGAAGGGGATGCTGGTGAAGCAGTCCAACGTGGAGGACAGCCCCGAGAAGACGTGCTCCATCCCTATCCCGACCATCATCGTGAAGGAGCCGTCCACCAGCAGCAGCGGCAAGAGCAGCCAGGGCAGCAGCATGGAGATCGACCCCCAGGCCCCGGAGCCACCGAGCCAGCTGCGGCCTGACGAAAGCCTGACCGTCAGCAGCCCCTTTGCCGCCGCCATCGCCGGAGCCGTCCGCGACCGTGAGAAGCGGCTGGAAGCCAGGAGGAACTCCCCGGCCTTCCTCTCCACAGACCTGGGGGATGAGGATGTGGGCCTGGGGCCACCCGCCCCCAGGACGCGGCCCTCCATGTTCCCCGAGGAGGGGGATTTTGCTGACGAGGACAGCGCTGAGCAGCTGTCATCCCCCATGCCGAGTGCCACGCCCAGGGAGCCCGAAAACCATTTCGTGGGTGGCGCCGAGGCCAGTGCTCCGGGTGAGGCTGGGAGGCCGCTGAATTCCACGTCCAAAGCCCAGGGGCCCGAGAGCAGCCCAGCAGTGCCCTCCGCGAGCAGCGGCACAGCCGGCCCCGGGAATTATGTCCACCCACTCACAGGGCGGCTGCTTGATCCCAGCTCCCCGCTGGCCCTGGCACTCTCCGCAAGGGACCGAGCCATGAAGGAGTCTCAACAGGGACCCAAAGGGGAGGCCCCCAAGGCCGACCTCAACAAACCTCTTTACATTGATACCAAAATGCGGCCCAGCCTGGATGCCGGCTTCCCTACGGTCACCAGGCAGAACACCCGGGGACCCCTGAGGCGGCAGGAGACGGAGAACAAGTACGAGACCGACCTGGGCCGAGACCGGAAAGGCGATGACAAGAAGAACATGCTGATCGACATCATGGACACGTCCCAGCAGAAGTCGGCTGGCCTGCTGATGGTGCACACCGTGGACGCCACTAAGCTGGACAACGCCCTGCAGGAAGAGGACGAGAAGGCAGAGGTGGAGATGAAGCCAGACAGCTCGCCGTCCGAGGTGCCAGAAGGTGTTTCCGAAACCGAAGGTGCTTTACAGATCTCCGCTGCCCCCGAGCCCACCACCGTGCCCGGCAGAACCATCGTCGCGGTGGGCTCCATGGAAGAGGCGGTGATTTTGCCATTCCGCATCCCTCCTCCCCCTCTGGCATCCGTGGACTTGGATGAGGATTTTATTTTTACAGAGCCATTGCCTCCTCCCCTGGAATTTGCAAATAGTTTTGATATCCCCGATGACCGGGCAGCTTCTGTCCCGGCTCTCTCAGACTTAGTGAAGCAGAAGAAAAGCGACACCCCTCAGTCCCCTTCGTTGAACTCCAGCCAACCAACCAACTCTGCAGACAGCAAGAAGCCAGCCAGTCTTTCAAACTGTCTGCCTGCCTCATTCCTGCCACCCCCTGAAAGCTTTGACGCCGTCGCCGACTCTGGGATCGAGGAGGTGGACAGCCGGAGTAGCAGCGACCACCACCTCGAGACGACCAGCACTATCTCCACCGTGTCTAGCATCTCCACCCTGTCTTCCGAAGGTGGAGAGAATGTGGACACCTGCACAGTCTATGCAGATGGGCAAGCATTTATGGTTGACAAACCCCCAGTACCTCCTAAGCCAAAAATGAAGCCCATCATTCACAAAAGCAATGCACTTTATCAAGACGCGCTCGTGGAAGAAGATGTAGATAGCTTTGTTATCCCCCCGCCCGCTCCCCCGCCCCCGCCGGGCAGTGCCCAGCCTGGGATGGCCAAGGTTCTCCAGCCAAGGACCTCCAAGTTGTGGGGCGACGTCACAGAGATCAAAAGCCCGATTCTCTCAGGCCCAAAGGCAAACGTTATTAGTGAATTGAACTCTATCCTACAGCAAATGAACCGAGAGAAATTGGCAAAGCCGGGGGAAGGACTGGATTCACCAATGGGAGCCAAGTCCGCCAGCCTCGCTCCAAGGTAAGTCCGCGGTTGGTGCACATGCACACCGCTCTGCGTGCACTGTCCCTGCTGACCAGGAAAGGCCCTCGGGTAGCAGCCCCAGCGGACACGAAGAGGGGAATTCGTAAAGCCTGTGTGGGCCACGTCTGTTAATGCAGTAACACTTCTTTTTCTCATGCTCCTGGACTCCGGGATAGCCGAGTAATGATCACAGCCATCCTGGTGGGACACAGCACTCCTTCATAAAGACTTGTAATGAAATGAGGTTGCTGGAAGCCCTCCTCACCTTGGCTTCCAAAGAGAAGCTCTACTCTCTCTTCTGTGCCCTCCAGATCTCTGCCAGGACCACCTAGAAGGCCGTTTAGAGCCTCGCCAAAGCCCAAACCAAGCTTCGAGTTGGTTGCAGGAGACTAGCTGCCCCAAGAGGGCAGCGAGTGGGTGGGCGGTGGGTGCAGGTGTCTGAATACACGTGTGGGTTCTTCTTCCCCTCCCATCACTACCAGGTTTGCGGGCTTGGGAGGCACAGGGTCATGGCTGTACTGGTGAACTCTAAGTGCAGTACATTCTTCCCTGCCAGCCCATCCTGTCCCAGGGGCAGAAGCCTCTAGCTGTGTCCATGTCAGCCCTTCACAGTATTGTGCAGGGTTTACATTATTTCCATTGGAACTGAACGTAGAATAAGTCAGGAGTCATTTCTAGACGCAACCAGAGGGCTCTATCTGAGGCTGTCTGGAAGGAGCCTATATTTGATCATTCTTGCACTGCTATAAAGAAATAGCTGAGACTGGGTAATTTATAAAAAAATGAGGTTTAATTGGCTCGAGTTCTGCAGGCTATATGGGAAGCATGATGTTGGCTTCTGCTTGGCTTCTGGAGAAGCCTCAAGAAACTTTCAGTGATCACCAAAGGGGGAGCAAGAGGGAGTCGGGGGAGGTACCACAGTCTATTTAAACAACCTGATCTCATGAGAGCTCACTATGTACAGTAGCCAGGGAAGATGGTGCTAAACCGTTCATGAGAACTCCCCCACCATGATCTGATCACCTCCCACCAGGCACCTCCTCCAACACTGGAGACTACAATTTCACATATGAGATTTGGGTGGGAACACAGATCCAAACCGTATCAGGGCTCAGCAGTCTGTGGCTTTGGGGAGCCCCATTGGCTCCCGTGATGGCTTATGGTTCTTGGTTCTCCTTCCCTGTGGTGTGCACCATTTTGCTGTTCCCCAGGTGGCAGCATCTTCAGTCTCTCCCACTGATATTTGATCTTGGGTTTCATCATTTTGACTAATGAAGCCTCTCTCCATACCCCTGCTGGGCAGGCATTTGATTTAAGCCACTCAGTGCATTAATCAGTGACATCACATACAGCTGGGGCTCAAGATGCAGACTGAGAGCCCCAATTTTCCCAGTTATTTTTCAGTGTGGATGTAAATAAATGACTTGGATGTCATCTATTACTCTAAAGGAGTATCGATAGGCTGGCATTGGTATAGAGAAGCACAGTTACACTGCAGACATTCAGACAGTGCCTCCAGTCAAGGAGAAAGTCTAAGAATTATGTACGTATACACCTACAAGTACACTCAACAGCCTCCAGGAATTTTGAGAAAGGGTGTTGCTTTGCCGCTCAGGCTGGAGTGCTGTGACGTGATCACGGCTCATTGCAGCCTTGCAGCCTAGACCTCCTGGGCTTAAGCAATCCTCACACCTCACCTAGCCTCCTGAGTAGCTAGGACAATAGACGCATGCCACCACACCCAGCTATTTTTTTTTTTTTTTTTTTTTTTTTTGGTAGAGATGAGGTCTCACCATGTGTCCCAGGCTGGTCTCGAACTCCTGGGCTCAAACGAACCACTCACCTCAGCCTCCCAAAGTGCTGGGATTGCAGGCATGAGTCACTGCACTGGGCCAAAAATCTGAAAAACTGACTAGTTTAACCCTTCCCCATTACATACTAATGTGGCTCTTCCGTCATTACTCTATGTGGAAGCAATAATTAAAGAGGCCTTATCTTAGTGTTTCACATTTTTACAAAACACTTTCTCATGGGTGGGTAATTTTTATGACAACTGGGGAGCAGGTATGAGTCACACCCATTTTTCAGAGGATAAGTGGCTTGTCCACATACACAGCCAGCAGGAGGCAGAGCTGGGACACAGGCTGGGGTTTCCTGACTCTCACTTCCCCTTGTAAGCAATGTCTGCAGTAAGGAAGGAGCTGGAAGGGAATGGCTCTAGGGCTGGAGGAAGGAATCCACTGTTCAGGTCAGCAGGGCATCCTGCACCAAGCTGTGCTCCCCTGAGCACTCCACTCGGGGAGTCCAGGGACCCCGTCCATGGAGACCTCTCCCTGAGTGGCAGCTGGACAGCTCATCCCCTCTACTCGTCTTCAGGCTGGGCCAGCTCCTGGGGTGCCCACAGGGGAGTGGGACCCCAACTTGCAGCGTCTCTAGGGTTTCTCTGCCCTGCATTTCTCCAGGGGGACCCTGAGAGGGGGCTGGCTCAAAGCAGACTTCATAGGGCAGAATCCTGCTGTACTCTGAAGGAGAGCAGCTGCATACCACCGCCGACCCACGCGTGAGTGCCAAGAACGGCCGCCTCCCAGCTGTCCTGTTATTTATAGCCCGGCTCTCTTACAGTAAGAACAGGAGCCCACACCTATGACACAAAGCATTCACCAAACGCCAGGCACTACATTCCACGGCACCCCTGAGCCAGGGCCTGTAATTTTTCCCACTGTGTGAACAAGGAAGCAGAAGGCAGGGCGGTGAAGCTACTGAGCCGAGGCTACTTCACAGGAAGACGCGGAACTAGACCTCCAACCCATGGAGCTGGCTCAGGGTTTGACTCCTCACCTTGTGGGAGCCAGGGACTGCCTTGGAAGGAATGACCAACTGGCAAACCGAACACCTGCAAGGCTGAGACTGCCGCGGGCGGGGCTGCTCTCAGGCCTCTGACTGTCCTTAGGCCAAGCTCTTTGGTCAGCAAGAGGCTAATAGCAGGCTTAGTCACTAGGAGGTCACCCTGCGGCCGATAACAGCAGGCTTAGTCACTAGGGGTTCACTGGCACTGCCAAGCTCCCAGAGGCCATGTCTGTTCCCTTCTTGCTCCCGGCCAAGGGTTACACTTTACACTCAGAGTTGGACTAGAAACAGGATGGCCTGAGGCCAGAGGACAAAGATGAAGAGCATTCACTGTAGGCACTAAACTAGGCTCAATCCTCTCCCTCGCCCTTGCTTCTCGGATCTAATAACCTCACCAGGCTGAGCACTTGGGACAAAGCCCCCATGGAGGTGCGCCACGGCCACGGGACACACTGACAAGGACAAGTGGGGGGCAGTCAGAACCACCACTGGGGGGGGGTCCAGGACGGAGTTGCCAGGGCACCAGAGCTGTCCCCCTTGCCGTGAGGGCTGTCTCCTCTCAGCCACAGACCTATCTCTCAGCATGTCTCCTTTGCTGGGCGTGGTCTTCACTGATGGGCCCTGGGCATTTGATCATCTGAGGATCAGAGGGAGCCTTAAGAACTCTCACCTGAGTTCACCGCCTGGGCGACTCACCACCACCTTTAAATGCATCTAAAAATTAAGAGCTGTGAATGGCCCTGGGCAAAATGAGGCACGAAATTGGATGAAGGGAATTCCTACCGAGGAAAAAGAAATGAGTTTTTCTAGGGAAAATTGAAAACCAGCCATGCTTTTTGAAATGACAGATAAGCAGTGGTGTAAAAATCCCATTTCCATAGAAACAAGTTTTGACTGCCCAAGAAAGGGACAATTTTTAGAGCTGTTCCTCAAATGTTCATTCATGAAATGGGCAGAAACCTCAGCTGAACTTGACCCTTTTAAAGTTCCTCTCATCCTTGGATTCTTCCTTTCTTTTCACTTCTTGCAAGAATCCAGGATGGGATCAAAGGAAGCAGCTGAAGATTAAACAACTAGATCCTTGTTTTCCTTGGGTATGTTTGATTTAACTTTAGCCGTGAATGAGTCTCTGATGCTCAAAGCTCTTCCCTGAAATCAAGGATGACATGGAATTTGCAGGCGTCTTAATTACAAATACGCCGACGAAAGGAAGATGATGAAGTAGTTCTCTTTAGTACATAATGTTAAAAGAGAAAAAAGTACATCATATTAGAGGCATCTCCCAGGGTGATCTGAAAACACCCTGCCAAGAATGGAGGCGTCAGTTCTAAGAAAAGTGTTCCAGGACCACCTGGCCTGATTATTCCAGGAGGTAGTCTCATCTTTGATCTCAAACTGGATCAAAGTGAAGGAAACTGGTTTGGGGAAGGAAGAGTGAGTGTGTCTCTGTGAAGAGTCAGTGGTCCCTCCTCAGCAGAATGCCAAGACAACAGCTGCCAGCCCAGAGGCCTGACAGTGCTGCACGCTGGGGGTCCCAGCACAGGAGCCTGGGGCTGCAAAAGCTCAGAGCCGGAAGCTCCTCAGGTGCAGGCCTAGGAGACTGACTGGACACTCAGACTTGGAATCATGGCCCAGCCCCACTGTCTCCTGAATTCACCAGTCAGGAGTTCACTGAGCTACTTTCTATAAGCCTAGTGCCAGGCTGAGGCTAGAGAGTAACGAGGAATACACCAACAAGGATGCCTGGACCCTCAGAATGGGGCAGCAATTCCGTCACTAATCATTCACTCAACAAAGTTAGGGATTGCCTTTATGTGCCAGGTGCCATGCTGTGCCCAGGATTTATCACTGAACAAGAAAACATTCCAGATGCCCCTCCCTTTGGGGAGCTCAAATTCTCGAGGGGAGAAATGGACAACAAATAATAAGACAAACCCAAACTGTGACAAATGCCACAAAGGAGCCACAACATGCTAATAGGTTAGTGACCAGTGCAGAAAGGGGCTGTGATGCACCAGCAGGTAAAAATAACCACGTGCAGAAGAGAGCCACGGGACACCAGCAGGTTAACCCTGACCACATGCAGAAAGGGCGGACTAGGATGCCCTAGCAGGTTACAGTGAGCATGTGCAGAAAGGGACTGACACTCTGCAAGGAAATGACATTTGAATGACCAGAAATTTAAAAAGGAGCCAACCTTGCAGAAAACCAGGAGTGGAGCATCCCAGGCACGGGACAGAGAGTACAAGGCCCTGAGGCCAGAAAGTGCCTTCTGTGCTCATGAAACCATGGCCAGATGAGGAGGGCTGGGCAGGGCCAGGTCACAAGAGGCTTGCAGGTAATGGGCATGAGCTGAATGGAGTTCCAGATATGGCTGCCTTCAGAGGGCTTCAGCAAAGTCTTGGCATGACCAGACTTTGTTTCCTGAAGATGGCCCAGGCAGCTGTGTGATCAGGTGAATGCACTGGTGGCACAGGGAGGCTGCTGTGGGAGTGTAGGGCCTGCATTCTGGAGACAAGCAGGGAGACTCAAGGGCTAAGTGCCTAAGGAACCCAGGAGAACACAGCAGCTTGCCTGACTTATATGCTTTGACCCAAAACAAACTTGCTATGACCCAGGAGCCCCAGGTGTCATGTGCCCTCCAGCTTTATTGAGAGATACTGACACATACCAGGCGCCGATAGTAAAGCCAGATAAATCTGATGTTCTTTACCATCGCTTCCATGGCAGAGGTCAGCTTCACATTTGCTCTGTATGTGGGGGCAACAGAGCAGTGAGTGTGTGCTTGTGGGGGTCCCCCATGGCTTCTGTTAGGGTGCATGGCCTATAAGAGTTCCCCAGAGTCCCCTCTAGGTCGCCAGCCCTTTGCAGTGGGTGGGGTCCAGAAGGGACCTCGAGATTGGCCTTCGCTTCCCCATGGGATGGATGGGCTTCAGGGAGATTTGTCCTGTGAAACTCCAGGTCCCAGAGGCCCCTGAGGGAGTTCAGGCTACCTGGGATGTGAGCTCAGGCGAGTTTTCCTCCCGAGGCCCCTGCGCCTGCTGCCTCACGGTACCTGCCTCCCCTTCCCAAGGCCTCCAGTCCCTACTGGGCTCTCTGCAGTATTATCCTGACAGCCTCTTGATTTTCAAATAACTTTGGGTTGTTAAAAAGTTATCTCTGCCCAGCTGGTCCCAGAGCACAGACTGCTTCAAAACTGACTTGGTACTAGAAGCTGCCTCACGGTGTTTTCAGCATCTCAGGACCACTAGGTGGTTTGAGGGTTTCCAGGCCCTGATGGAAAAGTGAATGTGACATCAGTGAATGCGACTGTGGGTGGCTGGGAGCACTAGTCAGGATGTGCGTCCATCGGGGCTGGTACTTGCGGGCGTTGGGCAAGGATGAATGGGAGTGCCTCGTCCTTGCCCATCAACAGGCAAATCTCAAGTCAGAATCTTCCTCCCCATTTTGGACATGAGGCCCTTTTGGCAAAAGCATATCACAGGGTTAATCTCTCTTCCCAAGAGGTGGGCACCTTCTTGATCTTAGCTGCGAACCTCCTGGCCTGAAGACCTGGATTCCTGGTGGAACTGCCGCGGAGCCTCAGGCTGCCTGCCCCACTCCCAGGTCTGGCTCTGTAACTCGGTCAAGTCACTTAACTTTCTGATCTGGGAAAAGGATATATTATCCATCAACACTTCAGTCAACAATTATTTATCGCACCCCTGTTCTGGGCCAGACCTCAAGGACTAAAACTAGACCAGGACCCCCTCATGGCACTCAGAGCTGGGGGTGAGGCGGAGGCCTGGCAGCTGCTGAGACACAACATAACACATGGCACAGCTGGGCAATATGGGCTCCAGTCCCCACATCCAGGCCTCGGGGAAGCTAGGTAAGGACTTGCTGCCTCCGGTTCTATCTTTTCAATGCCCTGCTTATCAGGAGGCTGTAAAGATGGAAAAAATAAGAAAGCAGTTTGGAAATAAGTGCTATTTTCATGCAAGATGGGGGCTCATCACTAAAATGCAGAGGCGTGCGGTGTGCTGGAGAGAACATATGTTGACAGGCTCCAAGTCCAGCCTCAGTGCTGGCCAGGCCCAGCAGGCCCTTGACAGGCGGCTCATGGGAGGGACAGAACCAGCATGCCTAATCAGCATCACTGACCAGCCCCTGGCCCATGTTCAGCTACAGTTAAAGAGCAGATTACTCTAGCTATGCCAGAGGCTGATGCAGGAGGATCACTTGAGGAGGTTGAGGCTGCAGTGAGCTATGATTGCTGCATGACCCCGTCTCCAAAAAAAAAAAAGCCAAATTGAATTTGTAAACAGTAAAAAAGCCACTTGCTTCTTTACTTACCTCACCCCAATTAACTTGTACTGACTGATGAAATAAGAGCACCTCTCTGAGTGTCTCAATTACCTTGATTTTTTTTAATTCTCACATTTCTACATGAATGTGATTTAAAAGGCAGGGTAGACAGTGGTGACCTGGTGGGGAGTTGGGTGTGAGTGTGTATATGTGTCTGTGTTCTAAATCAGGGCAGCAGATTCCTGTGTGTTCCGACTGGGAACCCAGCGGTTGCTTAGCAACGTAACCATCTGTGCAACCGGGAAGATCCAGTGAATATCATCAATGTGATTAACCAAGAGAGTCAAGCTGCTGAGGAGGGCAGGGCGGGCAGCCCAGGGTGGCCTTCACCCTGCGTCTCACACTCACAGGCGGTTACTTTCTATAGCAATGTGGGGCAGGACACTGGCAGGCCCCAAGCACTTGACGCCCATGTGATTAACGGCTGGGCTGTCATCTCATGATGTAGACTTGAAGCAAAGCACTTGTCCTGTTGGGGTGCCCTCCCCCACCAGGAATGTTCGTTTATCCTCCCTAAGCCACAGGAAAGACAGTTCAGGCACCTGAGGTAGGAAATTGGCAATAAGCTGCTTCTCAGTGGGCTTCAGGCAGAGGCGAACTTCACTCCAATGCTACTATTTTCTTTCTTTTTTCCTGGTTATTTTTCTTCTTTACAAGTGGTTACATTATCCCAAGCCAAAGAAGGAGAAGACAAGCTTGTGAGTTTCCCACGCTCCCTATGAAAGTGATGCCATATTGATGTTTCAGCTCTGGGCAGGCTGTGGCAGGCCGAAGGGACCACCACGGATGGGCTTTCAGCCAGGGTCTGCCCCACTGCCTTCATTTCATCTGTCGAAAAGCAGCTTTTTTCTGTTTCTTCCTTTCTTGTTCATTAATTTTTGCAGTGTTGTCTCAAGTCATTCCATTTGTCATTTTCATTTGCTCCCATGACCGGTGTTAACAGAAGAGGGTCGTGCTGAACAGAAGTAAGTGCCACCTGCTGTGCTGCTGCGTGACCCCGTGTGTGCCACTCTCGCGCTCCCGCTGCCCACCGAGGTGTTTGCAGAGCCTCCTCTTCGCTTCCTAACCACACACACAGCTGCCTGCAGAGCCTTTCCTTACAAAAACCAAAATCAATCCCAACTACCTGGGAACAGCTGGGTATTTTCCCAGTGAGGGCAGCACTGGGGCAACCCTCTGGGCCAGAGATACCCGTGGTGAATACTGCCCAGGCGTGAGGTAGGTGCTCTCACTCTGGGGCTTTACTTGCCTCTGCTTCACAGGCCTGGTGAGCACCAAGGCCAGGCACCAGTCATGCTGCCACGGTGGAGCTGCCCAGAGTCAGGGCTGCAGGCACAGTCACCATGTAGTCAGCTTTAGCAAAAGCACATGGAGACCAGAACTTTACCCCAGCTACCCCTCCTCCTCTAGTCCTCTGTGGGCATATGTCTTCTTGTAAGATGTTTTCCCATTTTATAGGAAACATTCCCTGTGCCCCAAGGTCCTTGGCCCTAATTAACACCCCAAATCACCTCTGAATGCAGTGGCTTTCAACTTACCCATTATTTGATTTCAATCATCTTGGCTTAATTGTTTTATCAACGTGGACAAATAAGCCTTCCCCAAAACTGTGCTCTTGTGACTCTGGAATAAACACAGAAGAACAGGCCACAGCACCCCCAGTTTTAAGTTGGAACTGGAGCTGGTCTTTCGACCTTCTTTGAGTACCAGAGAAGGGGGGGTTGCAGGTTTTTTCGTGTATCCTATGTCCATAGGCCACCTCTCTCTTGAGAGTATAAACTGAGATACTAGAGGGTGCTGGCCCCTCTCCCCTGCTGTGAAGCCCCACTGGGCTCTGATTTGATTTCGGGTTTTTTGGGGGTTTTTTTATTGTTGTTGTTGTTGTTTTTGAGAAGAAGTCTAGCTCAGTCGCCCAGGCTGGAGTGCAGTGGCACGATCTCAGCTCACTGCAACCTCCGCCTCCTGGGTTCAAGCAATTCTCCTGCCTCAGCCTCCCAGTAGCTGGGATTACAGGCGCCCACCACCACACTCAGCTAATTTTTTTTTTTTTAATTTTTAGTAGAGATGGGGTTTCACCATATTGACCAGGCTGGTCTCGAACCCCTGACCTCAAATGATTCACCCACCTAGGCCTCCCAAAGTGCTGGGATTACAGGCGTGAGCCACCGTGTGCAGCCTCTGATTTCTTGATTGTGAGTAACTGGGCCCAGAAACAGTGGAGGAATCCTCAGAGTCTCACCTGCCTTGTGCCTGTTGGTGTGAGCAGTATAACCAATGACCAGCAAGCCACCATTGAGGGTGGGGGCAGGTTCTAGATGGGGATGCCTGGTTTGTAACATCTCCCACTCAGGGGCACCCAGCCCTCTGGAAAATAGCACGTGAACACCCTATGGGTGGATGGGGTCCCTGGCCCAGCAGTGCACCCACCAGCCCCTGCAAACACTTCTCACAGTAGGATTGAAGCCTCAGTCCACAGCACAGGCCCCTTTCAGATTTGCCCCTCCTTTCTCACTATGGACTAGTCCACACTTTAAGCAACAGTGACTAACATCAAGTAGGAAACTGACCCACAGCTTAGGGGAACCTAGGTAACTGATGGGTGGTTTCACCCAAATATACATCCATGGTAAAGAAAGAGAAAAGAAAAAAACGGAGAGAGACAGACTAGACCAGCAGCGGGGCCCGTCTCCAGGTCACTCCCTTTGCTTTTAGCTCCTGGAGGGTTCTGGGCCATTAGCTTTGTGCATACCCTGGAATGAAAACCAAGGCCCAACCAAATGGCCTCTAAGGTTCAGGGTCTCTCAGTGTCTGGGGAGTTTGTTAATTGCAGACACCTGGTCCCCATGCACAGCACTCCTGCTTCCACAGGTTTGAGACGAGCTCAGGAGTCCTCACGGCCCACCAGTGTCCCAGGTGGTTTCTATGAAGGGTCTGTGGGCTCCTCTTTGGGAAGTGCTGCTCTAACTGGTCAGCCATTGAGCTCCAAAGACAGCCCCAGTGCAAGTCGATGAACTGGCCCCCAGCAGACGGGCAGGGGCTTCAGTCTTGCCCTCCAGGGAGTCTCCCCACACGGCAGCATCTCTACTGTTTGCAGCTCTCCCCCTCTTGCCCATGACCCTTTCACTGAGACACTGCAGCCCACCACCATTCACGGTCACGATGTCACACCAGTGCACTCCTCATGCTCTCCAGAGCCCCTCCACCCAGGGTAACCCACCACATAGGAGGGAGAGGAGCCCACTTCATGTGGGAAGATGTGGAGACAGGAGAAAAGTGCACCCAAGCTGGCATCTGACAGAGCCAGGGCTCCAGCAGACATCTCTCAAGTCCAGGTCTTGAAGAGAGAGCCGTGGTAGGATGGATCTT
The DNA here is from genome assembly GCF_000001405.40 of Homo sapiens. Taxonomy (NCBI): domain Eukaryota; kingdom Metazoa; phylum Chordata; class Mammalia; order Primates; family Hominidae; genus Homo; species Homo sapiens. The sequence continues at coordinate 70,474,750 of NC_000011.10, read as the reverse complement.
TTCAGAAGCGGTGGGTGGGCCGTTCATATCCACGTGAATGGGCCCAAAAGGCAAGAGACCCACACCTCTCCTCCCCTCCCCAGTGGCTGTGGCTTTCCTAGGGACAATAGGATGAATGGGCTTTCAGTGTGGGGACAGCAAAACATGCACTAGGGCCCAGAGTGGCAGTTCTCTTGGTGTGGAGAGTGCCTGCCACAGGCCTTGGCCAGAGCCCGTGAGGGAGTGGTGTGTGAAAGGCCACCTCCACGTGGGTAAGCGTGAGGACTTGGACTTCTCTGGCACTGAGATGGGACCTCCTGCCTGTGGGAGTCATCTGGCCACCACCCTGGGGCCAGTAAAGGTTGGAGCTAGAAGGGTCGTCCTCCCTGACTTGAGCTCTGAGGGCTTTGCCTGCCCAGCCAGAGCGGCAAGGCACAGGGGACCCTCGGGGACGCCCATGGCCACCCTGGGGAAGACAGGGCTCCTCACGCGTTCTGCTTTTCAGTAAGGCCCGTGTGTCCTACCAGTGAGCCTCTCACATGAAAGGGGCTAAAAATAACACAGGGTACCCCAGCTCCTTCTGCAACAAAACTGTCCACTGGGTGGGCGCTGGACAGTGCTGCCTCAGGAAGGTGAGCGCAGCCCACACTGGCCACACAAGCCACGCCCTGCTGTCTGGGTTTCCGGGTGATCTCAACCCCTGAGTGCCCTGCGTAGCTACAGGGGTTCCAGTTACTGAAAGGGGCCACCTGGGAAGGATCCTGCCCTGCTCTTGTCCATTTACCCAAAAAGCCTAAGGCTGCCAGGCGGCTGAGGGGCCTGTCCTCCAGGTGTGCTCCTTCCCACCTGCTGAAGCTGAGGCGCTGGAGATGTTGCCTGGCACGTTCTACCCAGGTGACAGGACCCCACTCTGTCCCTGTCTCCGTGCCCTCTTCAAGGGACCCCTTCCAAATGCCTCAGTGGCCACCCTCCCGAGGGTCCCCCGGCCCTGCCCCCCAGCACAGGCAGGTCCCCCAGCCCCTCTGTCCCAGTTCAGGTGAGTGGGCTGACGTGGTGTGCTCCCCCCAGCACAGGCAGGTCCCCCAGCCCCTCTGTCCCAGTTCAGGTGAGTGGGCTGACGTGGTGTGCTCTGGTGTCTCCAACTTTGCTCTGGCCCCTTTCTCCCCCTCCCCCACCCTGGCATGGCAAATCATTCGTTCACTGCCAGTGGATCTGCCACTAGACACTCTGGCATGGTTTGGGCGTCTCCCTCGCCTTCCTGGGTGATCTGCAGCCAGCTGCCCTGACTCGGTGACCTGCCTTGTGATGGTTTTCTCTGTGTTGCTGTTTCAGAAGCCCGGAGATCATGAGCACCATCTCAGGTACACGGAGCACGACGGTCACCTTCACTGTTCGCCCCGGCACCTCCCAGCCCATCACCCTGCAGAGCCGGCCCCCCGACTATGAAAGCAGGACCTCAGGAACAAGACGTGCCCCAAGCCCTGTGGTCTCGCCAACAGAGATGAACAAAGAGACCCTGCCCGCCCCCCTGTCTGCTGCCACCGCCTCTCCTTCTCCCGCTCTCTCAGATGTCTTTAGCCTTCCAAGCCAGCCCCCTTCTGGGGATCTATTTGGCTTGAACCCAGCGGGACGCAGTAGGTCGCCATCCCCCTCGATACTGCAACAGCCAATCTCAAATAAGCCTTTTACAACTAAACCTGTCCACCTGTGGACTAAACCAGATGTGGCCGATTGGCTGGAAAGTCTAAACTTGGGTGAACATAAAGAGGCCTTCATGGACAATGAGATCGATGGCAGTCACTTACCAAACCTGCAGAAGGAGGACCTCATCGATCTTGGGGTAACTCGAGTCGGGCACAGAATGAACATAGAAAGGGCTTTGAAACAGCTGCTGGACAGATAAGGACGGCTGCTCTCCACCTCGCAGACTGCTCTTGTTATAAGTAGAGATGGGCTCGTGCTGAAACATCTGAATGCCAAGCGAAGTCTGTGAGCATCAACCCCACTCCATGGGTTTGTCTCCTGGTACCCAAAGAAATACTGAGTTGTGTCCACAACATGGCTGGGTCTTCAGACCCCTGGCTCACCATGTGGGTGTCTTGGGCAGTTTCTATCACACATGGGACAAGGGGAGGGAGTTTTTCTAACATGGAAAAAGATTCTCAGCCTGCCGCCCAGCATGCAGGTGGCCTCGCTTTGCCGGGTCCGAGAGGCTCCCCGTCAATTTTGCACGGGATCCTAGCTCTTGTAGGCAGACACCAGTGCACTCTAGATACCTCCTGAGACCTCCGTCCTCTGCTTTCCGGGCAGCTCTCACCACCCCAGGCCCCGGCATGAGGCCTTTCCTCAGTCCTGTGGCCTCTCAGAGGACACCTGATGCTCACCTGCCCCTCTTTCTCCTGCACTTGGCTTGCAGTGAGATGCTCCCAGATGCATTTGTCCAGTGCCCCATCATGGGCCTGAAAGGCAGAGAAACTTTTTCCTACACAGATTCTTTTCCCCATCTCCTCCTGTGGTTTGCATCCATGGCTCTTTGGCCATGAGGTTCCTGGCAGTGCTGGGAGTTTGGATGGGATCGTGCCCAGCTTTGCTTAGCTTTCTTTATTTCTGCAAATCTGTTAGCATAATTCCAAGGTGGCCAAGCAGATGTCACATGGAGTTAGTCAAAGCACAAAGTCACGATTCCACAATGGAGGGGAGACCTGGCCAAGGGAGCCAGCCAGCGTGCAACTGCCCAAGCTCCAGGTCTCCAGGACAAGAGCAGTTGTCTGCCATGAGCACCCATCCAGGATGGAGAATAAGGGCTTCTCTGCCTCTCAGAATTCTTTTTAATTGAAGATGTCTTGAGCTCTGCAAAGATCAGAGCAGGTGAGCATCCACTTTGACATGAAGGACAAGAAGACGCATGGCTCATGGCGGGCACATGCGGCTGCCAGTGAGACAGCGTCTCCTCTGGGAGCTGGGCGGGCACAGCATCCTCAGTTCTGTGCCCAGCCAAGGGTGAGCATCTCTGCTGAGACAGTCCTTTTGCTCTCGGAGGCCAGGGAAGATGGTACTTAGAGGCTTTTCCCCTATCGCTCTGGGTGTCTAGGAATCCCACCAGCTTGTCTTAACAGTACAACAGCTTCTTTGAGGACCCAGTGGGTATGGAGTATAGACAGAACCCAGGGTTGAGAACAGAAGGTGGGCGGCAGGATCAGAGTGAAAGCAGAGGCGTGAGGAGAGGAAAGCAGGGAGGTCTCCTGGGCTGCCAGGTCAGCCTCTCTGGCAAGGCTTTCTTGAGCCCCGCCCCTTTCTTTCCCCGGAGTCCCTCCACCCCATAACAATACCTCGAATTTCCAAAAGAGGTCACCAGATGCACATGGGCCGCAAAACACACAGTCAGGCTTCCAGCACATTCTCCCCCATTTGGAGGATACTCGAATGTCAGGTTTTTGGTTTTATTATTATTTCAGAACTAGCTCAGCCCATCTCTAATTATAAAACATGGTTTTGTTTTTTTTTTTTCCTTTTTTTCTTGATTAGGTCTGGAACAGCTCTAGAATGAACACATAAAATTTAGCAATTTAAAATCTTTCTTTACTGCAAGTTTAAATAGTTGTACAGATAGTTTATAAGCACAATATTTTAAGAAAAAAAAGTGGCTGGTCTACTAGGCAGCCTTTGTGCCACTTCAGTGCTAGAAAGTTAAAGAAAAAAAAACTTTTGTGATTTAATAATACTATTTCTGTGGAATAATTATAAAAGTATGACCTTTTTAAATCAACCTTATTTGGATGCATCTGAACCAGCAGAGCTGTGTTATATTTTCTATCTTTGCTAGAACTTCGTCATTGAAGGACAATTTCTTCAAAGTGGTTACAATTCATAATGCAGCAGTTTCTCCAAAAACAAAAACAAAACACACACCACACACACGCGCTTTTCCAGTCACACACCCCTGATGTTGGAACCAAGTTTTTGGACCTTCTGTTCCAAAACCTTTTGCAGGTCAATCTTTGTATTTGAAATGATCCAATCCAACTTGAAGTCAATTGAATATTAAGGCGCTTTACTTCCGTGTGCTTTCAGTTTTTCCATCATGAGATGAATGAGCATTACTCTAGATAAATTTCAAGACAGGATACTACAGGTGGCCTGCTGAGGCTGCCCCATATTTTAGAAAATGTAAAAATGGTGGTTTGGCCATTAATTTGTCTTCCATTTGATGATACCGCAAAATTCCGTGAGTCCATTCCTTTGGCATGGCACTTTCCCTGGGCCTACAGTTGGTATTACCTCTGTGCTCAGTGCCAGGCAAAACACTAGCTCAAAGGAGAGTCAAGGAAACCGCTGGCAGACGATAACCAGTCGAAACTCGTGACTTCGGTTTGTTGAACTTTGGCAGCCAGTTGGTGAGGGCCAGATGTTATTCCCTTTCTTAAAGATACTCCAAGCCACATGCCACTAACCACAAGCAAGCTGGCTGCAAGACTAAAGAGCTGATAACATAGTTTATTTTTACACTGTCTTATTATAGAGAAGTAATAGACCTATCAGAACCTGCACTGACCAACAAATAAACACATGTTGCCAAGATGAATCGGTCTCTATCTCTATCTGCTTATTTTGGTACTGAAAGCAATAGTTCCTCATTCAAATCACCACCCACTGTTCTCCCCCTTTGGGACATGTTAGGACGAGGCCCTATTCCATGCCCCTCTTTAATGGTGGAACAAATGTTAAACTGCTCATCTAAAGATCATGTTGATATTATTCCAGGTTTTAAGATCAACTTTTGTTACATACTGTAATTTAAATAAACTGCATTTACATGCCTAGTTTCTGTAATATTGTGTATACAAAACCCAAATCTCTCAAAATGTAAATTATGTATACCTGCCAAGATACCTTTTCCAGGGTGTCTGCGCACATTTTAAGTTAATTCACATAATATAAAAATTACTCAATGTGACTGTTGATTTGCTGAACTTTACATATCACAAAGTGAATTATTTGTGATACTTTAGTTAATAAAATGGTAAATTTTTTTCTCAGTTATTGAACAAGCAAGCATTATCCAGTTGATCTGGCAATGACTTTTTGTGTGTGGGCCACAATATTGATTTTCCCATTAACAATTTTTTTTTGTTTTTTAAATACTAATATGTTTCACACTATAGTTTGTGTAACAACACGTGTTCGCATTATCTATGTTGCTGTTACTTTTGTGCTTTTATTCTTTTTAGACTTTATAAAAAAAAAAAAAAGCTCCTGTAATTTGCACTTTCTCCCAATCCTTAAATCTCTTGTATGGCAACCAAAATTACTGTAAAAAAATAAATATACTATTGCACTAAGGTTGTGGTTCTGATTGCAAACAAACAGTGAACACTGTCTGAATTAAACAAAAAGCTGCCCGACTTGCAATCTAATGTAGATTATCTCAGGCATTGTGGCCAGCTCTGCCTCTCTAAAACTGACCAGAAAAATCTCTCTCATCGAGTAAACAGGCTCCTGTCACTGAGCTAATCTGCCTTGGTTCCATTTCCTTATTCTCAATTTATCAATGGATACGTGCATGTTATTTCAGAATTATGCAAAACGTCAAAATCTGCTTCTGTGACCGCTGCTATAGGCGTGGAGCTGAGGCTCGGCTTTTCCTTTTGTTCTGGGTGGAAGCAGCGGTGCCGCGGAGGGCCAGCCAGATCCGGACCCTTCCCTTAGGGTCCAGTCTCCCCACACCCCAGCAGGGTGTCTTCTAGCCATAAGGCCAAGGGAGTGGCAGAACTGGGCCGCCTCTCTGGTTGACAAGCAAACCACATGCTAAGGCTTGGAGCAAGAGAGAATTTGTGTCTATTGGCAAAGAACTAAGCCAGGAAGACATGGGCCATCCCTCCGCTTTAGGGAAGCATATTTTAAACCTAAACGTTGAACTTCTTCTTTGGCCTCACCAGTGAAAACTTGTTGTCTTTAGTTCCTAAAGTTTCTTCTACTTTGGCACATTCCCCAGTTGAGCAGCAGCCTCTATGCTTCCACGTTCAGGAAAAATTCCAGTCCTCATATCTTTTGTAGTTCACCCTCAAGCTCTCCCGCTTCACCATCCAATAGTTTCTCCCAAACCTTGGCACCCCCCTAGACTTTGCTTCCAATGGTTTCTTCCAGACCACTTTTCCTAGATGAATATATTCGTTTACCTTACTAGGAAAATTATTGGAAGATTTTTTCTTTTACTTGAAATTGGAGGCATTTTAATAACTGGCGAACTGGAATGTGTTTCTGTATTTGTAGACAACCATGAACCCATGCAAGTAGGTGAACATTCCACAGTGGCTGGGTGACCACAGCAGCTGCATGCAGACAGGACTGCCCGTGCTTTGTGGGGAATCAGAGAATTTCCAAACTTGTTTCTCAGACTTCCGCAGATCTCATCACTTTGATTTCTAATCCATGCTGTATTGGTGATTTTGTTTATCGTTCCTGTAACTTGTTCTACATTCCACAGTCTTTACCGTTTTATGTTCAAAATTACAACAATCCCTGTCCATTGATTCCACTCTGGAACTCTTTGTTCATGCCAATTTTGAAATTTTAATACGAGCCTTCAAATAAACACAGAAAAGAAAAAAAAAAAGGAAAAAAAATAAAGTGTGTGCCTTGGGTGTTTTGAACCTGATCTGCATAAAACCATATTGTATTCAAATGCTGTATCTTTCATGAAAGGATAAATATATCTTCAATGTATTAATGTAGCTGATAAAATAGTTATAGTGCCTTGTTTTCTGAACTGAGAAGCCCATATCAATGCACAACGTAAAGAAAGGACGGTTCGAGCTATGAAATGTTGAGGACACCTACACGTGATTCTGGAGCCTTTCTCATCATAAGACTGTGGAAAATACACAGTCGTTTAAGTTAAAAATAAAAAGTAAATTGAAATAAGATTGTGTTATCAATTAATTTTCCATTAAAAGTGCTCTCTACTGTATCATTTTCAGTATTTTCATTTAATTAAAATACAAAATGTGTTTGAGGATTTTCATGGAAAGGAGAAAAGTTTAACCACAGGAGCCCTGGGCTCTCTGACCTACTCCCCTTGTGCTGTGCCGCCCCCCGGTGGTACTCATTGGTAATGCTTAACGAAGCCATCAATATCAATCATTTCGACGTTTTGTTATAAATATACACAAATTCATTTTTAGTGATTGAGGCCACTCATTGCAGGAAAACTGTTTCCATTTTTCACAAGTGAAAGTGGCAACATGTGTGTTTTTCTTTCGACAAAAAAACGATGTGAGAAGTACATCAGTGTAATTCTTGTCTCAATGCTGTCATGCTCCATTTGCTTTAAGTGCGAAGCTTCCCTGAGCAGCCTCTGCCTTTCTAGAGGATGAGCCTGCGGTGTAGTGAGCATATTAGGGCTGCCATCTGCCTGTGGGACCAGAATAGCCACAGCAATAGTGAGCGTTTGTGGGATTCCGGACAGATGGGAGCGGCAGCAGCCCCATCTTCTCGGGGGCCCCCCCGCAAACAGGCCGCAGAAGTTCTGGAGGCAGAGCACTGCCACAGGCTGTCCTGCCACACACATCTCTCCAGGGAGTGAGGAGCTACTCAGATCCAGAACTCCCCACTGTGCCTGCTCAGCTCACAGACTATTATCGGTGTGGCTATTTACCAGCCAGAAGAGTCCACTGGAATTCAGACTGTGTAGTTTCAGGCAACAATGCAGCCAATAATCCAAGAACCTGCAGGGTGCTCAGGGAGATGTGGCCAAAGCTTCTTGGTCACCCTGCTCCACATGTGCTGCTACCTCCGCTCCAAGTATGAAGCATGTGTCTGAGAGCCAGAGGAGGGGCCCTGGCACTGCTCACAGCCACTGGGTAAGACCTGGCAGCCAGGCCCTAGGCCCCCATGAGGTAGGGACCACGGAAATGGCCCAGTTCACAGGACAGAGTGTGGAGACCCCTCACCAGCCACCTGCATCTGGGGGCCGGCCCCTCTGACGCGGTGCTCCTGGAAGGCAAGCCATCCTGCCATTGCCCAACTGTAGTCATCTCTGCCCAAGATGACTGCAAAAACAGAATTAAGCGTGTTCTCCAAACCCCAGAACCCGGGGAGTGGGAAAAACACATAGCCCCTGCAGCCCTGCAGAGGTGGCCACAAGCACAAGCATTCTGTGTGTATACCCAAGAGGCGGTACAGGTTGGAAACAGCACTCAGTCTACCTAGTGCTATCTGGGACGGGCACCGTTCAGATCACTGCACCCACCACGTGGCTAAAAGCCCTGTGAGGTAACAACTAAAGCCCTATTTCCCAGATGAGGAAACTAAGTCTTGCCAAGGTCCACAGCAAGTGGAGAAGCAGAGGTTGCTGTGCAGCTTCCCAAGTCTATCTACAGGTGACAGAACCCAGCCCGGGGCCTTGGGAACCATCGCTGGCTCCGAATCTGCTCCACCCACAGGGTGCTTCCTCTCCCTGCCCCATCTGACGTCATATGTGCAGGGCTAAGAATTCAGGAGGCGGGGCAAGGGGGGAGTCCCTACCAGCTGAATCACCTCAGGGTTGTGGAAAACGAAGACCGAATTCAGTGGCAATCTGGTTACCTTAATTCACTCCACTGGGATCAGGAGAACCAAGACCTAGAAACCCCTGTTTCTCAGAGAAAGGACCCAACATTTGTAAAGTCCCCTTGGCTTAGAGGGCATGTGACACATGGATCTGCTTTAATTCCCACAAGAATCCTATGAGGTTAAGCATCACTGAGGTGACTATCTCCTTTTCTCACGAGGACACCGAGGCTTGGAGAACCAGTTGCCATTGCCCATGGCCTCCAGGCACCTACACAAGTTATCCCCAGACTGTGGGCCCTCACCATGGGGGCAGAGTTGCCCGAGGCCAGTCCTTCCCAGGTCCTCCATGAAGCCTTCCTCTTGTGGCTGTGAACTGCCCAGAGCCCTCCCAACACACACCTCTGTGGCCTCAGCCAGCCAGAGCCCATTTCTGTTGCTTACAACCACCATATGACAGAGCTCCTAGCCCCCCACGATGATGATGTGTTTTCTCCCACAGCCCACGGCCTCCCTCTGCCAGTCAGAACTGGGGCAGCCCTTTCCTCTCCTTCCACTGTCACCCCCATTGGCAGAAGAGAAAGGCGGAGCTAATGAAGAATGAGATGGGGGTCTCATGGCTCCCGAGTGAGCCTGGAAATGGCTTGCCAGCCCCATGCAGCTGTGAAGCTCCACTTAACGCCAAGGGCATGGCCAGCTGCCCTCCTGGCCTTGGAGCCACCTGGGAGAGCTAAGAAACGCTCCATCTTCACAAGTGGGAGTTTATACAAGGTGCCCGATAGAGACATCGAGGCTCCAGGGAAAACCACACAGCCTGAGACCTTTAACACCCAGCATGCTTGCTGGGAAAGACCAGCCTCCCTCGCCAATAGGCATGGGACCAGCTTTCTCCGGTAGGCCCCAGGAGGGCTAAGTGGAGAGTGTGGTGGGAAGGAAGGAGACCACAAAAAGAGAGGTCTAGAAATAGCAGGAAACACAAGCCACCTGTGCATTCATAGCAGCGACACAGAGACGGCCACACTGACCTCAGCTCTGCCACTCTGCCCACCAGGTCCAGAGCCATCTGGCCCCACCCACCCTCCTCTTCGGGCTTCCTCCCTGCTCACCTGGCTCCAGCCACAGTGCCACCTCAGCGCCGCCTCCCTGTGGGGTCCCCGTACCTACATGGCTTCCCAGATCACCTGATTTAGAATGGGACTTACTGCCATCACCCCCTCCCACATCCCCAGGGCACTTACTGCCACCTTCACTGGCTTATTGCTTTACTTACTTGCTCACTGATTAGTGCCCACCGCCCCACCCCGCCCACACATGCCTCTGGAAGACAATCCCCGTGGGGGAGGCACGGCCTGTTTCATGCACTGCTGTAACCCTGGCCCAGGCAATGTCTGCAGGGACAGCCCCTCCTAGAGGCCCCCTCACAGCCTCAGCCCACTGCAGCTGTGCCCATGCTGTGGCCACTCCCACTCCTGCAGCTTCCATCTGGTCCTCAGACACCTGGTAAGGAAGAGGGGATTCCCCAAAGGCTCGGAGCACTGCCTGCCCCTCCACGGGCCCTCCTAGTCCCCTGCCTGGAAAGTGCCTGGGAGTCTTCCACCTGCCCTGCTCCCCGAGGCCACCAGACCCACGGACTTCGCCCGTCCTGTCCCAGGGTGTGGAAAGGAACACTTCCCTAGTCCTCTCAGCGGCCGCAGCAGAAGCAGACTGTGTTCTGGGCGGATGCTTGGGCTGAAACCCCCAAACCCCACGAGTCTGTTTCTGGCACACGGAGCTGGGCTCCACAAGGGAAAGACGCCTGTATAGACTGGCCCCGTTTCAGTGAGTGGAAAGTCCCACAGCTCCTTGGGGTACTAAGGGGATGCTGGGAGGGTGCGCGACTCGTGCACCGAGGCCCACAGTGGAGGGGCTGGGAGTGCAGCCATTCTCCCAAAATCAGGTGTTTGGGGTCGCGTATCGCAACCCCCAGCTTCCGGAAGGAGACACAGTGTCTGCCCTCGGCTCACCTGAGCGTAGCTTCAAAGACCGCAAAGGCGTCCCTGAATGAGGACAAAGATTCCAGCCTTGGCCCGACTCTAGCCGGGCGCCTCGGAGACCTCACCTGGCCTAGGCTTAACCTCGGCCTATGGAAACGACAGCCTCTCAAACCCCATGTCTCCGCCCACCTCTCGCCTGTCATTAAGACTTCAGCCAACACTAATGGCTCAAGGCCGCCGCCCCGGGAGGCCCCAAGGCCCCTCAAAGGCCCAACTCGAGGAAGGGCAGGGCTGCCGGAGAACTGCTGCTCCAGCCGCGCCGGCCGGGCCCAGGCGCGTTCCTTGGAGCCTTCACCGCGGGGAGCCGGCACCTCAGTGATTCTGGCGTCGTGCACCCGGCGTCTCGCTCCAGGACCCGAGAGCCGCCGTAGGGAGGGTTTGCAGAACCCAAACCGCCACACCTGCCAGCGCATCCACACCCACAGCCCCGAGGCACGCTCCACTTGCGCCCCTACTCACCCTCATTCTCCTCTCAGTAGGCGAAGGGCGCCTCCGCGCAGGCAGCCGAGCTCAGGTGGCGCCGGGCCTGCTCCCGCGTGCGAAGCCGTCCTCACGCCGCAGCGGCGGGGCCTTCGCCCTCCTCGTGGCCCGCAGCCCCCGGCTCCCAGGCCAGGGATCTGGGTGAGGGCGAGGGCCACAGAACGGGGAGGAGATTGGTCACTGGGGGCCCCCACTCTGGAAGGGGCCAAAGCCAGGCCCACCTTTCCCCCCAACAACCCCCGCGCCACCTCACCCAGGTCCCAAGCAGGATGCAGCCACCCACGGCCGCCATCCCACCTTCTGAGCCTGGCCTGCACTCTACTCCCGCCTTTGAACAAGGCGGGCAGAGGACTCTGGGCCCACTGGTCACATGCCTCACATTGACCAATCACTGGCAAAGAATGGGGATCCACGATTGGCTGAGCTAGAGTAGGCAGGGCAGCTATCAGCCAATCCCTGGGACCAGGAGGCGGGTCCACAGACGAGGCAGGTGCCCTGGGAGGGAGCTGGGATATTGATGTCCCCTTAGGTGCCTGTATCCTCCTAAGGGAGCAGTGAGAAGTCCCTCCTTCAGTGTGGGGGTGCACATGTTTGAGGTTTGTTTAAGAGTTATGGCTTTGAATTTCAAAGCTATGTAACCACATTAGGCACACCCTGGAAAATGGAGAATTGCCACAGCCCTGCCACCAAGCTGAGTTCACCTCCAGTCCTAACACCCACCTTCTCCCTGCATTGAATCATGACGCACCTACACCTCCACTCCTGCTTCCTTGGCTTCCGTTTAGCCCCCAAACCTTGCTTGCATGGCCGTCAGTCCCCAGCCCTTCATGGAAATGGTGGTGTGAGATCCCATTGAGTGGTATGGTGTGATGTCCTTGACAATGTCCTTTTAGTTGGCATTCGGGATAACGACCACTTTTCGCTATTACGGTATCATCTTACATCCAGTCCTCTGAAGGTGTGGTGTTCACATCACTATGGTGCTGCTGCATACACTTCAACCCACGAGACAGACCCTAGGCAGGGTCTGTGCAGAGCGGTGGGACAGATATAAAGAGGACATGTATTGAAACAGAGTCAGGGCTCCAGCCTCAAAGAACTCTTGTCCTCATCCAAGTTCTGGAGCTTGTTAGCTATGTGGCCAGGGCACCTTAACACAGATGTGAACATTTTCACTCTGACCCCTGGACGTAGATCAAACAATGGAAGTAAACAGTTGTGTCTGTTGATATCATGTTTGGCTGCAAATAACAGAAACTCCAATTAAAAGCAATTTAAACAAATAATGGTTTATTCTTTTCATATCACACAAAAATGTAAGCTCCAGAAGGGCCTGGATTTGTCGGTCTTGTTCACTGCCCCAGCACCTAGAATAGGATGTTCTTAGTATGTGCTGGAGAAGAGGTGGGTGGTTCCCGGCTTTGGTCTGACAGCTCAACAGTGTCAAGTCTCAGATTCCCTCAAACTTACCACCTCACAGCACCCAAAGGCTGCTGCCACTCCACACACGACATTCTCTTCCAAGGTAGGAAGAAGGGACAAGACTATGACAGCCAAGTCTCTCTCTTTTAACAGAAAAGTCAATGCTTTCCCAGAAATGTCTACCAACACATCAGCCACAATGGTGTCTGCAGCAAATTAGAAGCAAGGCAGACTGGCAGAGTGAGTGGTTAGCTTGGCACTGTGCTGCCAGGAACAAAATGGGGTGGGTGGGATGGAGGACAAAATGTTAGCAAGGCAGAAGGGGAATGGACAATGGGTGGGCACGTGGCAGATGCTAGCAAGAGTGTGTTCAGGTGGAGTGTCCTCACTGAGCATGTGTAAGTGTATGGTTCATTGGCATTAGATAAATTCAATGTTGTACAGCCATCACCACTACCTAGTTCCATCACCCTAAACAGAAATCCCGTACTCAGTGAGCAGGCCCTCCTTGTTCCTGCCACCACCCCATCCCCAGCTGCAGGCAACCACAAATCTACTTAACATCACTATGGATTTGCCTATTCTGAGCATTTCTTATAAACGGAATCAGGAAATATTTGTCCTTGTGTAACTGGCTTATTTACTTACTGCAGTATTTCAAGATTCATCCAAGTTGTGGCAGGTATCAGAACTTTGCTCTTTATTATGGCTGAATATTATTTCACTGAATGAGTAGATCATATTTTGTTTATTCTCTTGTCAGTTGATGAATATTTGGGTTTTTTCCACCTTTTGGCTATCGTGGATAGGGCTGCTGTGAACATTTGTGCATGAGTTTTTGTTTGAACACCTATTTTCAATTTGGCGGGGGTTGGGGGGGCGTATACTGAAAAGTAGAACTGCTGGGTCCTGTGGTATTGCAATGTTGAACTTGTTCAGGATCTGCCAAGCTGTTTTCTACAATGGCGGCACCATTTGACATGCCGCCTGGAGTGCATGGGGGCTCCCATTTCTGTCTGCCGCATCTCTCCGGGAGAGTTATGTTTGAGCTGGGAAGGGGCCAAGCTCCATCCGTCTCACTCCTGTGTGCAGCACAGGCACTGGGGATGGATTTGAGAGTCAGAGACTCTGCGTCTCCCACACGCACCAGGCACTGCTGGCGAGGCTAGGTCTGCATCCCTGCATTCCACTTCCCTGAGCACAGGAGGGGGCATTTGTGAAAAGGGGGATGCCCAGGCGTCCTCTGGGAACTCGGATTCAGTAGGAAGGAAGCCTGGGAATCTGTTTTCAACAGGCTCCCAGGGGAGTCTGATGGGAAGGTGGAGAAACTGCTCCATATAACCCCATCCTCAGTTGACTGGGGCAAGGGGTGGGTGACAGACACCAGTGCTACAGCCACAGGCCCTCAGAGTGCAGGGTGCATGGGTGACTTTAGTGGCAGGGCAGCTTGTATACCGGCTGTCTGGCAGTCCCCTGTGGCTCCATCAGCCCCTAGTTTACAGAAGAGGAGGCTCTAAGGCAGTGATTCTCAGGGTGTGGTCCCTGTACTGGCTGCAGCAGATCAGATCACTTGGGAGCTGGTTAGAAATGCAAGTTCCCCTGACCCCCAACACACACACACACACACACACACACACACACGCGCGCGCGCGCGCGCAATCAGAAACTCCGGGCACAGCCCAGTGAGCTGTGTGTTAGCAAGCCCTCCAGGTGATCCCATGCCTGTTTAAGTCTGAGCACATAAAAACTTTCATTCCTGCAGTATAAACCTCCCCCAAACCTCCAGCTGTGGGACATCAGGGGACACAGGGGGACCACTGCAGCCACTGTGGTTTCCCATATGGCCATGCAGCACTGAGCACTGCCCCACAGTCCCAGAGGCAGTGGCCACCTCATGAGGAAGGGGCCGCACCACAGCACTGCCCAAGCTCTGCCTGTGGACACCTCTGCAGCAGCTCATCTGGCCACAAGGAACACCAGAGAGAGAATACTGTGGCCTCTGATGCTGAGGATTGGCCAGGGTACCCCTCCCACTGAGCTCCACTGTCCAGGGCAGGACGAACCTCAGCTGGGAACCAGCCACCTGGGTTCCAAGACTACACCAACCACTGACCAAGGAAGCAAGGAACCTGTCTGCGCCTCTGCCTTCTCATCTCAAAGGGGCTAACAGTCGCTGGAACCCCAGGGCCTTTGTGGGAGCAAATGAGGTCCTGGGTAGGAAATTACCTAGCAAAGCAAAAGGAAATATATGGTTAGAGGTTGAATTATTTTGTGTGCTTTTTGTTTTGTTTTGTTTTGAGATGAAGTCTCGCTCCATTGTCCAGACTGGAGTGCAGTGGCACGATCTCGGCTCACCGCAACCTCCGCCTCCCAGGTTCAAGCAATTCTCCTGTCTCAGCCTCCCGAGCAGCTAGGACTACAGGTGCCTGCCACCATCCCTGGCTAATTTTTGTATTTTTAGTAGAGATGGGGTTTCACCTTGTTGGTCAGGCTGGTCTCGAGCTCCCGACCTCAGGTGATCCACCCACCTCAGCCTCCCAAAGTGCTGGGATTACAGGTGTGAGCCACCATGCCTGGCCTGTTTTTTCTAAAGAGACAGGGTCTCACTATGTTGCCCAGGCTGGCCGCAACCACCTGGGCTCAAGTGATCCTCCTGCCTCAGCCTTCCAAGTAACTGAGACTAGGTATGTGCCACCACGCCTGGCTAGTTCAGATTATTTTTTAATTAATAAGTAATACTACGTGTGGTACAAAATTCAAAAGGCAGCAGGAAAAAGCATGTATCCCCTCCTAATCAACTCCCCAGCCCCCTGGGCCCTTTCCCAAAGCTTGGGCCTACTAAGAATCCCTTGCAATGTTTTCCAGGGCTGGTGCTTACATCTGCAAGCATAGATGTAGGAATCATTTTAAAAACCCAAACAGAGCTCACTCTATGCATTTCTCTGCAATAGTCTTGTCCTTTTTAAAATTATTATGAAATGTATCAGGCATACCAAAAGGATGGAGAATAACAAACAGCCATGCCCACCACCCAGCTTCAGACATCAAACATTACAGGTACAATACAAATCCTTCATACTGTCCAGATTCCACCCTCTTTCCTCCTACCCTAGAAGTAACCACTGCCCTGAACTTGGCGTTCATCATTTCTGTGCCTGTTTTTATTCGTTTATTGCTTATGTATGCTTCTATAAACAATATGTAGTATTATTGTGTTCATTTTAAAACCTTATATAAATGGCCTCTAGCTCATGCATAATAAATTAGCAATCCTTATGAAGAGAACCATGCCCAGCACAGTCATCACTCAATTAAGTGTTGGCCACAATTATCATTGATATTATAGTTATTGGCAATCACGAATCCTTCTGCAGCTGGCTTATTTTGTTCACTAGCATTTTGAGATCCATCCAAGATGACAGATGTAGTCTAAATCATTTATATTCACAGCTGAATAGTATTCTGTGAATATATCAAAATTATTTAGCTATTCATCTGTCAATGGATCTTCAAATTATTTCCAATTTTTCACTATTAAAAACAATGCTATTTTGAGGGGGAGGGATGGCTAGGTGGAGCACAGAGGATTTTTAGGGCAGTGAAACTATCCTGTATGATACGTGTCCTTATTCATTTGTCCAAACCCATAGAATGCACACCACCAACAGTGCACCCTAACGTAAACCACTGGCAGGTGGGTGATGGCGATGTTTCCATGTAGGTTCATTGCTTGTAAGAAATGGACCACTCTGGTGGGGAACGTTGACATTGGAGAGGCTGCTGTGTGTGGGGCCAGGAATATATGGGATATCTATGTACCTTCTACTCAGTTTTACTGTGAACTTAAAACTGCTATTAAAAAAAAAAAATTAGTCTTGGGTAGTGCAGTGGCTCATGCCTGTAATCCCAGCACTTTGGGAGGCCAAGGCGGGAGGATCACTTGAGGTCAGGAGTTTGAGACCAGTCTGGCCAACATGACAAAACTCTGTCTCTACTAAAAATAAAAAATTAGCCGGGCATAGTGGCACATGCCTGTAGTCCTAGCTACTTACGAGGCTGAGGCAAGAGGATCACTTGAACCTGGGAGGCAGAGGTTGCAGTGAGCCGAAATCGTGCCACTGTACTCCAGCATGGCAAAAGAGGGAGACTCTGTCTTAAAAAAAAAAAAAAAACTCAAATAAAAATTTTAAAACATTGATTTTCTACGTTATGCTAAATGAAAGAACCCAGTCACAACCATATATTATATGATTCCATTTACAGGAAATGTCCAGAACAAGCAAATCCATAGAGACAGAAAGTAGACAAGTGGTTGCCAGGAGTGTGGGTGGCGGGAGGAGGAGGATGGGAGGGACTGCTGATGGGTAGGGCCTTTCCTCTGGGGTGATGAAAATTTTCTGGAATTAAACAGTGATGATATTTCCATAATTCTGTCAATACACTAAAAACCATTGGACTGTACAATGTAAATAGGTAAATTATATGGTATGCAAATTATCTTAATAAATCTATTTTTTAAGAAAAAGAAAACCAAAACCAATGCTTTTCTAAATGTAACGTGGGATCCTAGATTGGATCCTGAAACAGAAAAAGGACATTCGCGGAAAAATTGATGAAACCCAAATAAAATCTGTCATTTAATTAATAACATTCTACCAATGTTAATTTCTTGGTTTTCATAAATGTATCATGATTAAGATGTTAATTGTAGGAGAAAACTGAGCAGGGTAGTATACAAGAATTCTCTGTATTGGATTTGTAACTTCTCTGTAAATCTGAAATTATTCCAAAATTAAAAATTCATGTAAGAAGCAAATGCTGTGATGAACGCCCAAGTGCACGGCTATCAGGGCAACTCTCGGGTGCTCGTGCAGGAGTGGAACTGCTGAGTCATCTCCAACCCTGTGGAAATTACTGAATTGTTTCTTGCGGGGCCCGTGGCTTTGTTAGTCAACAGTGTAGCCTGGCGATGGTTCCCAGGCATCATTGTTCTTTGTAGGCTGTCCAGTTCCTTTGCACAGATGTTCTGCAGTGTATGCAACCAGCCCTCGTGGATGGGCAGTGAAGTCTCCTTTCTCTGCCTGGCCGCCCCGTCTGGGAGGTGAGGGGTGCCTCTGCCCGGCCGCCCCGTCTGGGAGGTGAGGGGCGCCACTGCTGGGCCGCCCCGTCTGGGAGGTGAGGAGCGCCTCTGCATGGCCGCCCCGTCTGGAAAGTGAGGAGCGCCAATGCCGGGCCGCCCCGTCTGGGAAATGGGGGGGGGCGCCTCTGCATGGCCGCCCTGTCTGGGAAGTGAGGGGCGCCTCTGCATGGCCGCCCCGTCTGGGAGGTGAGGGGCGCCTCTGCATGGCCGCCCCGTCTGGGAGGTGAGGGGCGCCTCTGCCCGGCCGCCCCATCTGGGAGGTGAGGGGCGCCTCTGCCTGGCCGCTGTGTAATCTTCCAAGTGTGAAGTGACAGGCTTTCTGCAGGTGTACCCAACAGCTCCAAAGAGACAGCGACCATCAAGAACTGGCCATGATGACAATGGTGGTTTTGTCGAAAAGAAAAGGGGGAAATGTGGGGAAAAGAAAGAGAGATCAGATTGTTACTGTGTCTGTGTAGAAAGAAGTAGACATAGGAGACTCCACTTTGTTCTGTACTAAGAAAAATTCTTCTGCCGTGGGATGCTGTTAATCTATAACCTTACCCCCAACCCCCTGCTCTCTGAAACATGTGCTGTGTCCACTCAGGGTTAAATGGATTAAGGGCGGTACAAGATGTGCTTTGTTAAACAGATGCTTGAAGGCAGCATGCTCGTTAAGAGTCATCACCACTCCCTAATCTCAAGTACCCAGGGACAGAAACGCTGCGGAAGGCCACAGGGACCTCTGCCTAGGAAAACCAGAGACCTTTGTTCACGTGTTTATCTGCTGTCCTTCTCTCCACTATTATCCTATGACCCTGCCACATCCCCCTCTCCGAGAAACACCCAAGAATGATCAATAAATATAAAAAAAAAAAAAAAGTTGTCTCCTTTATGAACATGCTCCTGTAGCGAAGATAAATCCTTAGAAGCCGAACTGTGAGCTGAAGGACATGTTTAATTGTTGCCCACCCCCTCCCCCCTCCCACAAGATGGTATCAGGCACGCACATCAGCAATGGCAACATTTTCCATGCGCGAACCCATGCCCATTTTTTGCTGGATCCAAATAAGAAATGCAAACATCTCTGACAGTTACCATTGCTGCTGAAGGAGTGAAGGACACACCATCCCCCAGTATGCCAGATTGGTATATCGATTACGTGAAAGGAAAAGAAAAACTCAGGACCCCAATCCACTCCACCCAAAGGAAAAAACTAAACTGAGAGCTGAGTCGTGCAAGAAGCTGCCTTTCCTTTTGTTCCCAAGCAGAGAGTGACGGATAAAAGGCGAAATGTCTCCACTCTGTTCACCGGGTTTTGTGTAACGAATATGTAACTGACGATTCCCCTACTGCCCCTTTTCTCTTGCATCATGGGAATTCCGAAACGTGGCCACGCCCTCCCTTCCTTCCCCTCCTGCCTGCTTTTCCCTTTAAATACTGAAGCCCTCAAAACCACCTTTGGAGGAAGGCACAGGCCTGTCTTCCAGGCACACATCCTTAACCTTGGCAAAATCAACTTCTAAATAAATTGAGACCTGTCTCAGACACTTTTTGGTTTACAATTATTTCATGTTGAAAACTGGAGGAACTGAAAACTGGAGAAATGATGCCTGGGAACCATGACCAGTAGTTTCAGAAAGGGTGAGGTGACCTGTCACTTCCTGCATGCAGGTAGCATAAGGATGCCTCTGGGAGGGGTCCCCTCTCTGTGCCAGGGCAAGAAAGCAGCCCTTATCACCAGAGACTGGACATCGGGGGCTGCAATGGGCCTGAATAAACATAGATAATGCAGTAGCCCTCATCTTCCACCTACTTTACATGCCCCTGTACGTCTCCAAGTGACTCCCCCAGAAAATTGACTGCCCCAGCTAGATTTTCTTTGTCCTGTCGTTTCTTCTCAAATTTATTACTCTTTGCCTAAAAAACATAAAAGCATCTTTGTATTCTCGGGTGGGTCTGAAAAAAAAAAGAAAGAAGGAAAAAGGAGGCTGGGCACAGTGGCTCAGGCCTGTAATCCCAGCACTTTCGGAGGCCAAGGCGGGTGGTACACCTGAGGTCAGGAGTTCAAGACCAGCCTGGCCAACATGGCGAATCCCCGTCTCCACTACAAAAACACACAAACAAGTTAGCTGGGCGTGGTGGCACACACCTGTAATCCCAGCTACTCGGGGGACTGAGGCAAGAGAATCACTTGAACCTGGGAGGCGGAGGTTGCAGGGAGCCAAGTCGCACCACTGCACTCCAGCCTGGGGGACAGATCAAGACTCCATCTCAAAAAAAAAAAAGAAAAGAAAAAAGAAAAGGACAAAAATAAAGTAAAAGCATCTCGCTTGGGCTACATCTCCAGGCTTCCCTCCTTTGTGAAGATCCCCACAAGCATTCAAAACTCATACAGCATGTGTGCTTTTCTCCTGCTCATCTGCCTGGTGTTGATTTAGTTTCTAAAGCTGGCTGAAGAGCCCACTAACAGCTAAAGACGGGCAGGAGGTGACCTCTGGCTCCCCTGCAGTGCTTTCTAAACTATGCCAAAAGGTAGTAGCCTAAAACAGCCCTAAATGTGTATTATTTTCTGCTGTTTCTGAGGGTCAGGAAGTGGGGAGAAGCTTACCTGGGTGGTTTCGGCTTAGGGTCTCATGAGATTTCAGCTGAGATGAAAAACAGAAAGTCATGATTCATGAGAGTGAGGCTGGCTGACTTTCTCATGAGAGAGGACGTGGAGGGGATGGAGGAGATTGCTGGGGATGGAGGATTTGTTTCCAAAGCGGCTTGCTCACCAGGATACTGGCAGGGGGCCTCAGTTCCTCACCACACTGACCTCTCCATACAGCTGCTTGAGTGTCCTCATGACAGGGCGCTGGCTTCTCGAGGAGCTAATGATCTAAAACAATAAGGCAGGCCAGGGGAGGTGGTTCACGCCTGTGATCCCAGCACTTTGGGAGGCCGAGGTGGGCAGATCGCTTGAGCCCAGGAGTTTGAGACCAGCCGAGGCAACACAGTGAAACGCCATTTCTACAAAAAATACAAAAATTAGCCAGGCATGGTGGCACATACCTGTGGTCCCAGCTACTTGGGAGACTAAGGCAGGAGAATCACTTGAGCTCAGGAGGTGGAGGTTGCATTGAGCTGAGATTATGCCATTGCACTCTAGCCTGGGTGACAGAGTGAGACCCTGTCTCAAAAAAAAAAAAAAAATCATCTACAAAAAAATCCCACAGGTAACACATACGTTAAGGGTGAAAGATTGCATGCTTTCTTCCTAAGAATGATAACAAATGTGTTCACTCTCACCACTCTTACTCAACACAGTGCTAGGGTTCTAGCCACTGGAATAAGGCAAGAAAAGAAATAAAAGATCAGAAAGATACACACTGAAAAGGAAGAACTGAAACCCCCTGTTTGCAGATGACATGATTGTCTATGTAGAAAATCCCAAGGAATCCACCAAAAAACTTTCTAGAAAACTTGCTACAAAAAAAAAAAAAAAAAAAAAAAAAAAAAAAAAAAAGGCCAGGCAAGGGGGCTCACACCAGTAATCCCAGCATTTTGGGAGACCAAGAAGGGAGGATCACTTAAGTCCAGGAATTTGAGACCAGCCTGGGCAACATAGGGAGACCCCCATCTCTATAAAATTTTATTTTTATTCTATGTTTTAAAATTATTATTTTGAGACAGAGTCTCACTCTGTCACCCAGGCTGGAGTACAGTGGCATGATCTCAGCACACTGCAACCTCTGCCTCCCAGGTTCAAGCAATTCTTCTGCCTCAGCCTCCCGAGTAGCTGGAACTACAGGTGTGCACCACTACAGTCAGCTAATTTTTGTATTTTTAGTAGAGACAGGGTTTCACCATGTTGGCCAGGCCAGTCTCAAACTCCTGACCTCAGGTGATCTACCCACCTTGGCCTCCCAACATGCTGAGATTACAGGTGTGAGCCACTCCACCTGGCCCCCAAATTTTATTTTTTTAATTAGCCAGGTCTGGTGGCTCACACCTGTAGTCCCAGCTGCTTGGGAAGTTGAAGTGGGAGGATCGCTTCAGCCTAGGAGGTCGAGGCTGCGTTGAGCTGTGATTGTGCCACTGCACTTTAGCCTGGGTGACAGAGCAAGACCCGTCCCAAAAAACAAAAAACAAACAAAAAAAAAACCTAAAAATGACACATACCGAAGGTGTTGAATGAGAAAAAAAAAAGTAAATAAGTAAATTTAAATGATACTAAAATCTCAGCCCCTGGAAGAGCACAGTGGGCAGACCCTCCATCCTTGTGGGCTCTTCGTTGGCACCACATGGGTTTCCTGCACGCAGCCCTGCCTCATCAATGTCACTCTCTGGATGAGCTGGACTAGTGCAGTGACACGGAACAGGCAGGAGGTGGGGATCACCAAGTGCTGGGAGTCAGGAGCTTGCTGGGCACTCCTCAGCCCCAGAACCCACAGGGAGTTCCCATGGGACGTCAGTGTTGTACTTCTCAGGAGCAAAGTCCTTAAAGATGAGTATCATCAATAAAATTAAATTTTTAGGCCGGGCACGGTGGCTCACGCCTGTAATCCCAGCACTTTGGGAGGCTGAGGCAGGCAGATCATGAGGTCAGGAGATCAAGACCATCCTGGCTAACACGGTGAAACCCCGTCTCTACTAAAAATACAAAAAATTAGCCGGGTGTGGTTGCAGGCGCCTGTAGTCCCAGCTACTCGGGAAGCTGAGGCAGGAGAATGGCCTGAACCTGGGAGGCGGAGCTTGCAGTGAGCCAAGATTGTGCCACTGCACTCCAGCCTGGGCAACAGAGCGAGACTGTCTAAAATTAAAAAAAAATAATAATAACAAATTTTTAGAATTTAATCCTTTGTATTTCAAGAGTTACTACCCATTCACTTTGTGTATGCTATAGAAAAAAAGGGGTCCTCATATTTCATTTACTGAAAGCAAAAAAAAACAAAAAACCCAGGCTGGTGCAGTGACTCACGTCTGTAATCGTAGCACTTTGGGAGGCGGAGGTGGGTGGATCACTTGCAGTCAGGAGTTCAAGACCAGCCTGGCCAACATGGTAAAACCCCGTCTCTACTAAAAATACAAAAATAAGCCATTGTGGTGAGCACCTGAAATCCCAGCTACTCAAGAGGCTGAGGTGGCCGGGCGCCATGGCTCGTGCCTGTAATCCCAGCACTTTGGGAGGCTGAGGTGGGCAGATCACAAGGTCAGAAGATCAAGACCATCCTGGTTAACATGGTGAAACCCCGTTTCTACTAAAAAAACACACACAAAAAATAAGCCGGGCATGGTGGTGGGCACCTGTAGTCCCAGCTACTCGGGAGGCTGAGGCAGGAGAATGGCGTGAACCTGGGAGGCGGAGCTTGCAGTGAGCCGAGATCGCGCCACCGCACTCCAACCTGGGAGACACAGTGAGACTCCGTCTCAAAAACAAACAAACAAACAAACAAACAAACAAACAAAAAAAAACCTCTGCATCAGTTTTTTTTTTTTTTTTTTTTAAAGAGACAGGGTCTCTTAAGTGATCCTCTCCCCTAAGCCTCTCAAATAGCTGGGGCTACAGGCGCACACCACCACACCCAGCTATTTTTTTTTATTTTCTGTAGAGACGAGGTCTTGCTATGTTGCCCAGACTGGTCTTGAACTCCAGGCCTCAAGCAATCCTCCTGTGTCAGCCTCCCAAGGTGCTGGGAGAACAGATATGAGCCACCATGCCCAGCCACTATTTCTAAAAAACCATCTTTCACTTGGTGAGAGTGTGGGACGGAAGTGGATGCGAGTCCTGGTCACGGTGAAGTTCTGACCTTTCCTTTGTCACAGAGCACATGAATGCTTGGATAGCCACAGCTGGCCACATGCGAAGCAACTCCCGAGGATATTGAAATTATAACCAAACAGGACTGCCCAGTGCAAGGGGAGAGGGCCCTGGTGCTTTGCCTGCCTGTTGGGTATCTCCCCTCCACTAAGACCACCTTGGCTTTCCTTTGTGGGAGCCCCTCCCCTGCACACAGCCCCCAGTTCTAGGGATGGCCCATGTGACCTGGCCTGGCTAGTATCTTCCATCCCTGGCTATACGGATTGGTTCAGGAATGGGTGCATGACCAAAGTCAAACCAATAAGTCCAAATCCAGAGATCTGCACTGGAACAACTGGGCTGGAGAAGGGCTCTCGCTGATGGGGTCCCATGCTATGTACCACTAGGCATTGCCCGTCCCTTCATGAGGAGACTCTGCCTTAAAATGAAGTGACACAGGGCAAAACAGACCCAGGAAATAGAGAGACCAAGGCCCGAGAACACAGCAGAGATCCTGGATCCAACCCTACCTGAAGGTAGAGGTACCTCTGGCCTTCCAATACACAAGCCAACAAATTCCCTTCTTTGCCTCAGCCAGTTTGATTGCAACTTTTATCACTCATTTTCTATCTGATGCAAGAAGTTAAACCTTCTCTGGTGTGGGTCAATCTGAGGCTCCCAGGATGTTCACAGAAAAGGTACAGTGAATTAAAGGAGAGACAGAATGCTATCACAGCTGGCCCACATAACTACAAGGCCTCTGAGAGACCCAGCTTAGCTGCTGCTTGTTTAGATAACACAGACATCCATTTTTAGGGTTGTATTGCAGCACCGGCCTTGGTTATTCTCCTGAATATGCAGATCCCCACTTACTGCTGGAAGGCTAAAAAAGTCACGTGTGCTCTTCACCCCCACTCCCTCACCTTGCCAAGTCCTGAGTCCTGGTTACACCAGAAAAATCACACGGCCATACAAACTAATGCCACTATAAATGTATAATCTATTCCTGGAATTAATAAGCAATTATACCAAGGTTGCAGGATACAAAGTTAATGTACAAAAGCCATTTGCTTTCCCAAATACCAGCAATGAACAAGTATAGACTGAAATTTCAGTCAGTTTTAGCACAACACAGTCGATAGGTTCCTGGAAACTGACTTTAAGTGAAATAATGGTCTGTATAACAAAACTAATTTACCATAGACTAACTCATATGAACAAGAGTTAAGTTCTTACAGCATACAGTAAGTAATTTTGCTTAAAGTCAGTTTCCAAGAAGCTATCAAGGACATTAAGTGAGGATTTATTGTATAAATGCATGATCTCAAACAGCAGCATGGCCCCCCTCATTCCTAGTATAATATCCCCTCAGATCCTGCAGAAGCCCCTGAATAAAGCTGTCACCAGTTTTTGTGTCCTCTAAATCTTTGTCCACATCAGTGACAGAATGATCCTTCCAAAATACAGATCGGGTCACTTCTTTGCTTAAAATTCAGTAACTCCTCACTGCATTTAAAATGAAATCCAATTGTCTTGAGATGACCTATGAACCTTTCTGATCTGCCCCTGCCTGTGTCTCTATTCTCCACATGTGCCGGATGCTTCAGCTGCATCGAAGCCCTTGATCACACACACTCACACACACACACACACACACACAGTCTCAGCCTTGCCTCTCCTGCTACTCAGACTTCCCTGTTTCTCTTGGTTTACTTGAACTTGTTCTTTCAGACTCAGCTCACTCCTGACCTTCTCCCAGAATCTTCCCCTGAATCCACCCTCCTTCCTCTGAGTGACCCTGGCCTCTGTACCTTTCATGTAGTATCAAAATTGTCTGTTTTTCACTACATCACAAACTTCAAGACTGAATCATTCTCTATTTGCTTTTTTAAAAATTAACCATTTTAAGTGCACAATTCAGCAGCATTTAGTACATTTACAGTGTGTGCAACCACTTCCTCTATTTAGTTCCAGAACATTTCTATCACCCTTAAAAGGAAACCCTGTACCCATTAGCAGTCATTCCCCACTCCCTTCTTCTCCCAGCCCCTGACAACCACGAGTCTGATTTCTGTCTCTGGATTTACTGAGATTGTCTCTTTTATCCTTCCATCACCAATTCTTAAGCAAAGAGGTGGGAGTGGGAAATCCAGTTTGTACAATGAGAGGGCAACCAAGCTGTCCTGAGTTAGTGGCCCCACCTAGTGGCTAGTGTGGGAAATGTCAGTCAATCTCTCTTCCCCATCTCAGGTCGCTCCAGCCCCCTTGGGGATCCTGATCCAGCAAGCCTTCTGTATTTTCTTGCACCAGTCATTAATCTCCTTTAGGCAAAATCTTGCTCAAATATCACACAACTTCTTTTTCCCCACCCAGATCAGATGACTAAACAAATTATGTCAATATCACTCTTCGACCACGGACAGATTTTTCACTCTCCCACCCTTTCCCTGAGGTCATATCCCTTTCAGGACCAAGCCTTATTCAGGTACCCTTTCCAAATGCGCACTCCTGCCCCCACACATCTGTTAAACCCCAAGGCTCAAAGTTCTAGTATATTGTTACTGTTTGACATCCAGAAAAATGCCTGGATGGTCTCACGGTGATCAAGACTTCAGGGCTGGCCTTCCATTCTGTGTTCTTGCTTCCTCTTTCCTTTGTCCCCCTGAAGATTTTCTTGATCTTTTTGCAAGCTCAACTTTACATTTAAAAGATACCTATTACAATTTATCTACCATTTTTGGTGTTGTATGGCAAAAGAGTTTTCATAATGTCTAGTTAAAAATACTTCCAGAACTGAAAGTCCTTGTTTGAGTTTTCACCATGAGCATGTAATGAATCACTTGTGTATTTGTAAGAAAGGAAGCAAACAGAAAATTAAATGAGAGGAGGAGGGAAAGAGGGGCCCATTCTTTGGAAGCAGAATTAAAGATAAAGCAACAAAAATAATATGCATTTTGATATCTTAGATTGGCAAAGAGGTTTTTCTTTTTGAGATGGGGTCTTGCTGTGTCACCCAGGTTGGAGTGCAGTGGCATGATCACAGCTGACTGCAGCCTTGACCACCTGGGCCCAAGTGATTCTCCCACCTTAGCCTACCAAGTAGCTGGGACCACAGCACACACCACTATGCCCAGCTTAATTTATTACTATTATTATTATTCATAGAGATGGGGTCATACTACATTGCCCAGGCTGGTCTTGAATCCCTGGGCTCAAGTGATCCTCCTACCTTGGCCTCTCAAAGTACTGGGATTACAGGTGTAAACCACCATGCTCAGCCTAAAATTTTTATACCTGAATTCTGCAAAAATAAGAAGAAACATGCTCTCACATGTAAATGAGTGCCAAACATGCTAGAGGGAAATTTTGTACTCACTGACTCAGTGGATCAATTGGGATTCGTACTTGGACTCATAATAGAGACTAGAAATAACAATGGTTTAGATAAAATAGAAGCTTTACTTCTCCATCTCACTTTTTAAAAAGATCCTAAAGCAAGTTGGGTGTGGTGGCTCATGTCTGTAATCCCAGCACTTTGGGAGGCCAAAGTGGGAGAATCGCTTGAGCCCAGTTCAAGACGAGCCTGAGCAACATAGCAAGCCCCATCTTTGCAAATAATAATGAAAACAAAAAAATCTGGGCATGGTGGCACACACCTGTGGTCCCATCTACTCGAGAAGCTGAGGTGGGAGAATGGCTTGAGCCCTCGCCACTGCATTCCAGCTTTGGTGACAGAACAAGACCATGTCTCAAAGGAAAAAAAAAGTCCTAAAGCAGGCAAGACCAGTGCGGCAGCTCCATGATGCAAACATGAATCTAAAATCTTTCAGGATGCCTCATGGTCAAAAATGGCTGGCAGAGCTCCAGCCATCAGCCATCACACCCACACTCCAGAGAATAGAAGGGAGAAATGGGAAGAGTGGTGAGATCAAAGGATACTCCAGCTGTCTGTCCTTCTAATGACCAGTCCCAGAAATCCTCCACAATTGAGCTTTGCTTCCAGAACAGTCACAGAGCTAAATCAGATGACAAGTGACAGACAACTGTAGTCTTTCAACCGCATTGCAATGCTGAAGAAACTTGGGACTGTAACAAAGAGGAGAGCAGGGAAGGCATATTGGTTATTAGTGTCACACTGGGCAATCCCACTGCTGAATATTCACCCTCCAGACTCAGGCGCACAAGTGTGCATTGAGTCTCAGGACAGGACAGCGCTGTGGTAACAGAAAGATGCGGAAAGCCAGTAAATGTCCCTTGATGGGGCTGACCTGACCTTCACACACAAATGAGATTCTCTGCAGAGGGTACAAAAAGAATGAGACAGAGAAAGATGGACAAGCTGGGCGTGGTGGCTCACACCTGTAATCCCAGCACTCTGGGAGGCCGAGGCGGGTGGATCACCTGAGGTCAGGAGTTCGAGGCCAGTCTAGCCAACATGAAACCCTGTCTCTACTAAAAATACAAAAAGTTAGCCAGGTGTGGTGGCAGGTGCCTGTAATTCCAGCTACTTGGGAGGCTGAGGCAGGAGAATCGCTTGAACCCAGGAGACAGAGGTTGCGGTGAGCTGAGATGACGCCATTGCACTCCAGCCTGGGCAACAAGAGCAAAACTCCATCTCAAAAAAAAAAAAAAAAAAGAGAGAGAAAGATGGGCAAAATATATCACATTGATAAAGCACGTTGTAGAAGGTGAAGTACAGTATGATCCCTTTGTATATAAAAAGGGATTTCTGTACTATACATACATGCTCCTATATGCAGAGAAAATTTATAAAATTACCCATAAATTATTGACAAAGTCGCCTCTAGGAAGGGAGAAAAAAGAGGAAGAAGGCTTTATTTTTTTCAAGTTACACTGATCTGTACTGTCTGGATTGCTTTTGAACTCATATATATATATATATTTTTTTTTTTCTTTTCTTTTCTTTTTTGAGATGGAGTTTTGCTCTTGTTGCCCAGGCTAGAGTGCAATGGTGTGATCTAGGCTCACCACCTCTGCCTCCCGGGTTCAAGCGATTCTCCAGCCTCAGCCTCCTGAGTAGTTGGGATTACAGGGGCCCACCACCACGCCTGGCTAGTTTTGTATTTTTAGTAGAGATGGGGTTTCTCCATGTTGATCAGGCTGGTCTCAAACTCCCAACCTCAGGTTATGCGCCCGCCTCGGCCTCCCAAAGTACTGGGATTACAGGCGTGAGCCACCACACCCGGCTTGAACTCATATTTTTATATTAAATATGTTCAGTCAGAAAAGTAACAGTAAAATAAATAAAAAGGTCTGACAATTGCTTAGAGGCCTCCCTCAGACTGTGCCACACCCTCCTGCTCCCCCATCCCAGGCTCTGAAGGTGCAACACTCAAGAGAAATGCAGCTTCTGAATTACTTTCTT
The DNA here is from genome assembly GCF_000001405.40 of Homo sapiens. Lineage (NCBI taxonomy): Eukaryota > Metazoa > Chordata > Mammalia > Primates > Hominidae > Homo > Homo sapiens. The sequence continues at coordinate 70,446,002 of NC_000011.10, read as the reverse complement.
TGGTTGTAATTGCTGGGGCTGGAATGATGGCTTTGAGAAATATTCTTGCATTCCTTTAGGGCTAGTGTACCTCCCATTTTCCCTGGAGCCTGCTCCCACCAGCTTTCCCCTCCCTCTGCTGCGCCAGCCTCCTGCTCAAGGTCCCCGTGACCCCCATGCTGGAGCAGCGGTCAGATCTATCTTCATCTCCCCTGTGTCCGCCACAGCCTCTGACACCGCGGCTGCACTTCCTCTTTGGGATGCCCTGGCCACCAGCTCCTAGGACCCCATCATCCTATCACTGCCTGTTGTTTCTGGGTCTTCTTTAGGGGTCTCTTCTCTTCTCCCTGACCTCTAAATCCTGGGATGCCCCGGGTTTCACCCTTGGCCATCTTCCCAGTCTGCAAATACCCACATCTAGGGGTTTAATCCAATCCATGGGTCTAACTCATGCTTACAATTCTAACACTTACATTCCCAGTTGGGTCTCATCCCTGAACCCCACACGGAATTCCAGCAGGTGCTTGGATGTCTAACGGGCAGTCAAGGAACCTCCCTCAGTCCTTCCCGTTTCAATAAAAGGCAACTCCATACTTCCTGCTGCAGGCACCAAAAACCTTGGAATCATCCTGACTCCTTTCTTTTCCTCTTGCTGTGTCTAATCTGCTAGCAATTCTCGCTGGGTCTATCGTTAAAGCACAGCCAAATGCTAAGGCCCGCGTATCCCGCTCCGCTGATGCCACCCCTGTCTACGCCTCCACACCTCTTGCCTGGGTTACTGAACTGACCTCTTAACTGGGGTTCCTTCCTCCTCCTGTGCCCCCCTAAAGATCTTCTGAACACAAATTCATCTCCCTGCTTGGTTGTGAACCCTGGAGTGGCTCCCATTTCACTCAGGGTCAGGCTGAAGTCCGCACCGCACAGTGTATAGTGTTCGCATTAGACAATGAATGAAATCCGTTTCAGTGAGCTGGTCTGGAAACCAAACCATTGCTTAGACTGTTGTTTCTATGGGAAGATGAATTCTGAGCCCTGCACCGCAGATTAATTAAACCACATCAAAATTCTAAAATTCTGCAGGAAAAAAAATCCTACCGTAAACAAAGTGAAAGACAAATGGAAAAATAGGGGAGAAAGGTAGGCAAATCTTATAAATATACAGCACATAGAGAAAAACAAATCTTTCCTAAACAAATGTAAAGCTGTTACTCTCTCATAGTGAGAGGTACATTAAACCGACAATATGAGACCACCTCAACCTATTGGCAAAGGTTTTTTTTTTGTTTTTTGTTTTTTTTTTCTTAAATTTATGAGACGGAGTCTCACTCTGTCGCCCAGGCTGGAGTGCAGTGGCACGATCTCAACTCACTGCAAGCTCCACCTTCTGGGTTCACACCATTCTCCCGTCTCAGCCTCCCGAGTAGCTGGAACTACAGGCGCCTGCCACACCAGGCTAATTTTTTGTTTTTGTATTTTTAGTAGAGACGGGGTTTCACAGTGTTAGCCAGGATGGTCTTGATCTCCTGACCTCGTGATCCCCCCCCGCCCCACCTCGGCCTCCCAAAGTGCTTCGGTTACAGGTGTGAGCCACTGTGCCCGGCGTATTGGCAAAGCTTTTTTTTTAACCTGCTAATGATCAGTGCCAGCCGTGGTGCAGAAGGCAGGCAAGCTGGTTCTCCCCATGGCAGGCAGTTGTCAGTTTCCACCCAAATGTACAAGAACCAAGAACTGAATCACATGCCCAGGGTGACAAGGCAGGAAGCGTGGGGCCAGGATTTGAACTCAGGCTGACTCCTGGGCTGAGTCTCCTGGTCATCTTTCCTGAAACCAAACCCTATTCATGGCTCTCTGCTCTGGCAAGCTGTTGGGTACAAGACCCACCATGAGGGGGACAGAAGGGTGGGGACCCCGGCTCTCAGAGTTGCTCAACCGAGAGGCAGAGAGCTTTAATTGAAAAGCAACACGTATCACACTAATGCTGCTGACTGGCTCGGCTCACTCGTTCCTTCGCTCAATCAGCTGCAGATCATTCATCAAGCACCTTCTGGGCTCCCGGGACTGACCTTGCAGGGGAGGGGAAGAGAAAATAAAGACCCTGTGCAGAATGCCCAGGCAGACATCACAGTATACGGACCTCGTGGGGATGGTGGCCTGGGCTCCTGCGGCTGCCGGCGCAGATGACCAGGCTCGGTGGCCTCAAACAACACAAACGTCTCCCCTTAACAGAGCTGCAGGCCGGAAATCTGACCAGGTCTGCTGAGCTGAAGTTAGGGCGTCCGCGGGGCTTCCTTCCTGCTGGAGGCTCCCGGGGTGTCCACTTCCTTGCCCGGCTTCCAGAGGCTGTGGTGCTCCTTGGATCCTGGCCCCTGCCTCTTCCACCTGTAGGGACTCTTCAGATTGCACTGGGCTCACTCAGATGATTGAAAGGAATCTGCCTTAAAAAAAAAATGTGGTAAAATATTCAAAGCGTAAGAATCACGATTTTAACCGTGTTTCCATGAACAGTTCGTTGACTTGCAGCACAGTGACACTGTCGCGCTGCCGTCGCCGCCGTCCAGCTCCAGAACGCCCGCAGCTTCCGCTAGAGTTCGCGAGGGTTTGTCTGACTCCTCCAAACCTCAGTTGGAACTGATCCCATATATCGAAGGTGAGGCCTAAGGAAGTTCTTGGGTCATGGGCACGAATCCCTCGTGAATAGATTAATACCCTACCCAGGGGCGGGAGGGAGTTGTTGGTTTTTTCCAGAGCTGGTTGTTCAAGAGCCTGCACCTGCCCCCCTTGCTTCCTCTCCCCCACGTGATCTGAGCACACGTGGGCTCCCCTTCCCCTCCCCCATGAGTGGAAGCAGCTGAGGCCTCCCCCAGGAGCAGACATGGGCATCATGCTCCCTGTACAGCCTGCAGAACCCTGAGCCAAATCTCTTTTCTTTAGAAATCAGCCAGCCTTGGCTGGGTGCGGTGACTCATGCCTGTAATCCCAGCACTTTGGGAGGCCAAGACGGGTGGATCACCTGAGGTCAGGAGTTCCAGACCAGCCTGGTCAACGTAGTGAAACCCCGTCTCTACTAAAAATACAAAAAAATTAGCTGGGAGTGGCAGCAGGTGCCTGTAATCCCAGCTACTCGGGAGGCTGAGGCAGAAGAATCGCATGAACCCAGGAGACAGAGGTTGCAGTGAGCCGAGATTGCACCATTGCACTCCAGCCTGAGCAACAAGAGTGAAACTCTGTCTCAGAAAAAAAAAAAAGAAAAGAAGTTACCCAGCCTCAGGTATTCCTTTATAGCAACACAAAGAGACTAAGGTATATTCCCAAATGGAAACTCTGTGCCTATTAAACGTTAGCTCCACACCCCCCACCCCGCCCGCCAGGCCCTGGCAGCCACCATTCTCTGTCTCTGTGAATTTGACTGCTCTAGGGACCTCACGAGTGGGATCATACTGCATTTGTCTTTTTGTGACTGGCTTCTTTCACTTAGCATAACATCTTCAGGTTCATCTGTGTTGTAGCATGTCAGGATTTCTTTTAAGAGACAGGGTCTCACTCTGTTGCCCAGTGCGGTGGCGGGACTATATAGCTCACTGTAACCTTGAACTCCTGGGCTCAAGGGATCCTCCCACCTCAGCCTCCTGAATAGCTAGGACTGTCCTTCCTTTCAAAGGCTGAATAATATTCCACCGTCTGTATTTATGTATTTACATTTTATTTACCCACTTTCCCACAGATGGACAGTGAGTTGCTTCCACCTTTTGGCCAGAGAATAATGCTGCTGCTATGAATATGGGTGTAGAAATATTTCTTTGAGACCTTGTTTTCAACTATTTGGGGTATATACCCAGAAGACATATTGCTGGATCATATGGTACTTTTTTTTTTTAATAGGATTTGCTATACTGTTCACAGCATCTGCCACATTTTACCTTCTCACCAACGGTGCATGAGGGGCTCAATTTCCCCACATCCTCGCCAACTCTTGTGACCATCTTCTTCATGGTAGTCACCCTCATGGGTGTGAGATGTTACTGCAATGTCTTGGCTCTGTCCCCCAGGCTGGAGTGGGGTGATACAATCATAGCTCACAGCAGCCTTGACCTCCTGGGCTCAAGCAATCCTCCTGCCTCAGCCTCCTGAGTAGCTGGGACTTCAAGCGGGTCCCACCACACTCAGCTAATTTTTAATTTTTTGTAGAAACAAAGTCTCCCTATGTTGCCCAGGCTGGTTTCAAACTTCTGGGCTCCAGTGATCCTCCTGCCTCAGCCTCCCAAATAGCTGGGATTACAGGTGTGAGCTGCCCTGCCCAGCCTCCATGTGGTTTTTGTTGTTGTTTTTTTTTTTTTTTTTTTTTTAGACGGAGTCTTGCTCTGTTGCCCAGGCTGGAGTGCAGTGGCACGATCTCGGCTCACTGCAAGCTCCACCTCCTGGGTTCACGCCATTCTCCTGCCTCAGCCTCCTGAGTAGCTGGGACTACAGGCGCCCGCCACCATGCCCGGCTAATTTTTTTGTATTTTTAGTAGAGACGTGGTTTCACCGTGTTTGCCAGGATGGTCTCGATCTCCTGAACTCGTGATCCGCCCGCCTTGGCCTCCCAAAGTGCTGGGATTAGAGGCGTGAGCCGCCGTGCCCAGCCTCCATGTGGTTTTGATTTGCATTTCACTAATGATGGGTGATGCTGGGAATCCTTTCTCCTGCTCGTTTTCCATCTGTGTATCTTCTTTGAGACATCTATTCAAATCCTTTGCCCGTTTTTAAATGCTTTGGGTTTGTTGTTTAGCTGTAGTTCCTTAAATATTCTGGACATTACCCCCTTATCAGACGTATGACTTGCAAATATTTCTTCCCATTCTCTAGGTTCCCTTTTCATTGTTATGTCCTTCAATGCTGTTTTTTAAATGACAATCAACTTACCTTTTTTTTTTTTTTTTTTTTTTTGAGATGGAGTCCTGCTCTGTCACTCAGGCTGGAGTGCAGTGGCGTGATCTCGGCTCACTGTAACCTCCGCCTCCCAGGTTCAAGCGATTCTCGTGCCTCAGCCTCCCAAGTAGCTGAGACTATAGGCACGTGCCACCACGCCTGGCTAATTTTTGTATTTTTAGTAGAGACAGGTTTTGCCATGTTGGCCAGGCTGGTCTCAAACTCCTGACCTCAAGTGATCCGCTCGCCTCGGCTTCCCAAAGTGCTGGGATTACAGGCGTGAGTCACCACGCTCGGCCCAACTTAGCTATTTTTCCTTTCGTTGTCTGTGCTTTTGGTTGCGTATCTAAGAAATCATTGCCAAATCATGAATGTCATGAAGCTTTCCCCGTTTACTTCTAAGAGTTTTATAGATTTAGGTCTTGTGTTTAGGTCTTTAATCCATTTTCAGTTAATTTTTCTGTCTGGTGAAAGGTAAGGGACCAACATCACTCTTTCGCATGTGAATTTCACTTTCCCAGTGCCATGTGCTGAAAAGATAATCTCCCAATTTGAAGGCCAGCTGATTAGAAACATTAATTCCATCTGCTACCTAATTCTCCTTGGCCATGCGGGGTAACATCATCACAGGTTCTGGGGATTAGGATCTAGACATCTTTGGGAGGCCAGGATTCTGCCCACCAGAGGGAGATTGGGCCTGCAGGGACTCACGTGCATCTCATTCACACAACCTACTCAGGAGAACACAACTGACCTTTGAACAAGGGTGTGAACTGTGAGCGTCCACTTATACGCATATTTTTTCAATCAAACATATAAAAAATACAGTATTCGGGCTGGGCATAGTGGTTTATACTTGTAATCCCAGCACTTCCGGAGGCTGAGGCAGGAGGATGGCTTGAGGCCAGGAGTTCAAGACCAGCCTGGGTAACATAGTGAGATGCCGTCTCTACAAAGACCTAAAAAAAAAAAATTAGCCAGGCATGGCAGGTGTGCACCTGTGGTCCCAGCTACTCAGAAGGCTGAGGTAGGAAATTGCTTGAGTGAGGGAGGTGGAAGCTGCTGTGAGCTATGATGGTGTCACTCCACTGCACTCCAGCCTGAGTGACAGGGACCCTGTCTCAAAAACAACAAACAATATAGTATTCACAGAATGCAAAGCCTGCACACACAAGGCCAACTTTTCATAGATGTGGGTTCTGCAGGGGACTGGGGGACTTGAGTATGTGCAGATTTGGGTACAGGAGGGAGGTCCTGGGCCCAATCCCCTGCAGGTACCGAGGGACAGCTCTATTCCTAGGTAATAGCAGGAGGTGTAATTCACAGAAAATATGAACAAACATTAAATCCAGAGATAGCTAAGTTGGGCCGAGCTGACAGCTCACAAATGACAACGGAGCTGTCTCAAATGGTTTTTAATCGAAGAAGCACTATTATAACAATGACAGTAGGTAGGAAAAAAAAGCACCTTATCACACAACATAGAATTCTTTGACTATGTTGCTGTCTGTGTGCATTTTCACAATCATCATCAAAAGCAGAGCTCGTCTTCCCATGGGAGGTCAAACAGGTCAGAAGAAATAATCAGAGGGAAAATGGGAGAAAAGAAACAACAGAATTCAAAACACAGGACTGAGGGGCCGGGTGCGGTGACTCACACCTGTAATTCCAGCACTTTGGGAGGCTGAGGCAGGTAGATCACTTGAGGCCAGGAGTTCAAGACCAGCCTGGCCAACACAGTGAAACCCCATCTTAACTAAAAATACAAAAATTAGCCAGGCATGATGGCAGGTGCCTGTAATCCCAGCTACTCAGGAGGCTGAGGCAGGAGAATTGCTTGAACTTGGGAGGCGGAGGCTTCAGTGACCTCAGATTGTGCCACTGCACTCCAGCCTGGGCAACAGAGTGAGACTCCGTCTCAAACCCCAAAACCAAAAAACATGGGACTGAGATGAGAAAAGGGGAGAATCCTCATGTTTCAGGCAAAACAAGTAAAAATTATTAAAATCTATTGTTACCTTTTGTTGTTCAGATATCTTCAGTGTGTTCCATCAGACTGTGGAGGTGTATCCTGGCAATACATCTCAAATTCAAGCAGGTAAATGGATCTAGCAGGCATCTGACTAGAAAGAGGGGTTAATTCTTTTATCCTCACTTTCAGATGAAGAAATTGGAGCTGAAGGTCAGCAAGGCAGGTATCAAAAACCGTGCCCACTCCACGCAGGCCCTGGCGTGGAGGGACGCAACAGGGAGAGCTTTCCTCTGAGAGGCCCCTGGCCAGGCCCGAGCCGTGTTCTCAGATCTCCTTGTTCTCCTTTCAGAACTTCCTCTTCTCCTTGGTTAGAATTAAACACAGTGGTGGGGGCCGGGCGCGGTGGCTTCGCGCCTGTAATCCCAGCACTTTGTAAGGCTGAGGCAGGCTGATCACCTGAGGTCAGGAGTTTGAGACCAGCCTGGCCAACATGGCGAAACTGTCTCTACTAAAAATACAAAAATTAGCCAGGCGTGGTGGTGCACACCTGTAGTCCCAGCTACTCGGGAGGCTGAGGCAGAACTGCTTGAACCTGGCAGGTGGAGGTTGCAGTGAGCTGAGATTGTGCCATTGCACTCCAGCCTGGGCAACAGAGCAAGACTCTGTCTCAAAAAGAATAAATTGATTAAAAAAATAAAAATCAGCACAGTGGTGGAATCAGATTTATTGTGTCAGCTTCCCCAGTGCTGAGCCATCTCTCTTACTCAACATCTCCCCTCCAAGGCCCAGCACACAGTATGTGCACAGTTAATACCATGTCAGCCACTCTGAACATCTTGGGTTGAAGAAGCATTCGCCAGCATATCTTCCAGGAGCAAAGTAAGCATTTTCACCCCGACAAAGCACTCTCCATGCTGTGCCCACATCTGAGCGCCCAGAGTGGCCAGCAGTGGCTCCAGTGGCTCTTGGAGGTGCCTGTGTGCCGACGGCTCCCTATGTGCCACAAAATCGTTTTCCATGTCTGGGCACCAAGAGAGAAAAGCACGTCCATGTCCTGCCCTCCCTCCTCCAGCAGGCTGAGAGCAAGCTGCTCCCAGGCAAGCATGCCCCTAGGCTGTTCTTCAGGCCAGAGGGGACTTGGGGAGTGAATCCAACTTTGAGACAGAAGGCACGGTGAGCTGACATTAAAACGACCACATCTACGCTGGGCACGGTGGCTCATCCCTGTAATCCCAGCACTTCGGGGGGCCGAGGCAGGTAGATCACTTGAGGTCAGAAGTTCTAGACCAGCCTGGGCAACATGGTGAAACCACGTCCCTACTAAAAATACAAAAAGTAGCCAGGTGTGGTGGCATGCACCTGTAGTCCCAGCTACTTGGGAGGCTGAGGTGGGAGGATTGCTTGAGCCCTGGGTGCACAGGTTGCAGGAGCGGAGATCACGCCACTGTACTCCAGCCTGGGCGAAAGAGCAAGACCCTTTCTCAAGAAACAGAAACAAAAAACCCCAACCACATCTAAAAAGAAAGCGGCTAAGATTCAGGTGGTTGGCTCCAGGCACTCAAGCTGCCAGGCCACGCTTGGCCACCAATAGAACAGAAACACAGACCCACTCAAGATGTGTCCCGCTCCTGTTGAGCCCCTGCCATGCTCATCCGCAGGCGGCACAGGCACACACCGACTGGGCAGACAGTGGGCCAGCGGGGGCCCTTTCTGCATGGCCCCCTCCCTTCGTCACACCCTGTCCTCCAGCCCCCTGACCCCGTCTGCCCACCCTGGCTGGGACTTTCCCCTGGTTCACAAGCCTTCATGCCTCATTTCTTCAGGACTCAGCTCCCTGCAGGTGGCTGCAATCTCACCCAGCAGACAGGCCCTGTGTGGGACGGGGCTCGCCGTTAGGGCTGCAACCCTGTGATGCAGAACCCACAGCAGCCCGGTTGTGGCAGGAGGGCGGGGGCACTCTCACGTTAGGCTCCTGTGGGCAGAGCTGGCAGAGGCACTGTTTCCTAAGCCAGAGGCAGGTGTGGGACAGCCCAAGGGAGGAGGCAGTGCTCCGTCACCACCCAGGTTGGAAGGGGTAGCAGGCATGTCGTGTAGCCGAAAGCTCCCTGGGAGCACCTGATGGGCAGAAGTGTGAGCCGGAACCCAGCTCCCCAGCACCCCCGGCTCCCGAGGGCACACCTGCTCCCTCAGTGCCACTGTTCCCCTTAGCCTTTAACTTCTGGTGCCCCTGAGCAAAACGAGACTGGGAGCAAAATCCCCCTCAGGATTTGAGAACTGTAATTCAGAAATGACTTTTAAGCACAGAGTGTTTTATTTTGCTTGGAACCTTTGTGCAAAAAACTGAATCATCTGCCAGAGTAAACACATTTCAGTTCATAAGCAGCACCTTTGAATGAACACTGAAAAGGGAACGTACGGTTCGGTCTAAAGCCAGAACAGAACGCGTGAGACGCACTGGACGGCAGGAGAGCCTCCGCCAGCCCAGGTCCGGGGCGCAGGACACCGAGAGTGTCGACGCAGCTTCCACTGCAGAACGGAGTGACCACAGACCAAAGCAAATCACGCAAGTGGATCAAAAAATGTTTATTCTGAATTCTTTAATTTAAAAAAATCATACCTATGAGGTGTGCTACAGGAATTCAGATACAATAAGTTGCATATAAAACCCGACCTCATTGCTCATTGTGGTAAAGCAAGGATGATGAGAAAATGCACCTCAGGAGCAAAAACACGCTTCACGGGCACTCCGGGACCCAAGTCCCGAGACATTTCCACGTGACCTTCTGGAAAGACACACCGCCCACCTGACTGCACGACGGGACTGGTCCAGCCTCCCGGCTCCTCAGGAAGGAGATGAGTTTCCTACAAAGTGAGTGGCCACAAATGCCAGGACAGCGGTGTCCTGGAGCTGTGGGGGGACCTTGGGGAAGAACACACACTCATCTGCACTTCACACTTCTAGCCTTCAACTGATCAAACTACTGAAATTGAACATGATATTTTGGCAAAAATACTACACCCCCATTGACAGGAGGAGGGTTCCTGGCGGCTCACAGCAGAGCAGGCACTGCCTTCCTTCCCAAGGCCGAGAGGCCATGCTGTGACATGGCACACACACCGCCCCAGGCTGCCCGGTGGCCCAGGGACCATATGGGTGACAGTTAAGACATCAGCCTTTGTGAAAAGCCAAGCCCGACGCAGACCTCAACTGCACTGTGCGTCCCAATCCAGAGACCCGCGGGGCAGGGGAGGATTTCAAGGACTCAGTGACACTGCCCGGCGGGGACAGGAGAGGCTCCCAGCAGCCCTCCCGGTGACCTGGGCATCAGGGGATGGGTAGAGATGAGGACAAGCCGGAGTGGGCACAGGAAAAAAACCAGGGTCTCTGCTAGAAGTCACCTGATCCTGCGGGCTGTCACGGTATGACATAGGCAGATTTCCCATCTGACATGGCAGCTCCTGTGCTCTGGGTGACTTAGCTCCGGGTTAACTTCCATCAGGCCCAGTCCTCTCCTCCCCAGCAGTGAGACTCTAGAGGAAGCCCCTCGTCTGGGACAGTCCTTCCTGCCTACCCGCCACAGGGCCGACCTGAGGCCTCGTGCTTGTCCTGGGAGGTCCCGACTGCACTTGATGGGCACGAGGGCAACACGAACACAAGAGAATGCGAGCTCCCTGAAGCTGCCGCGTGACAGTCAATTTGGCAAAAAAGAAAAAAAAAACCATCAATGCATAAAACCAATTACCAAAGTCCTCCTAAGGAATGTGATTACAATATATTAGCAAATTCTGTGGCATAAACATTTTCAAAAGCATCAGCAAAAGTATTAAATATAAAAGCAATGTGTATATTCCCCTCCCCACCTTCAAAAAAAAAAAAAAAAAAAAAAAAACAGAAAAAACCCAAAACCACCCAAGAACCAAAGAAGGCCTGATCTGTAGTGTGAGGATCCAGGGCGCAGCTCCGGGGGGGGGCTGGGGGCCCTACTGCCGCAGCTCCACATAGTTGGCTGGGAAGAGCCCGTACCGGCCCTTGCACACCCCGCGCCACCAGCCGTCGTCAATCATCTCGATGTTGGTGATGATGTCATCAGGGTCAAATGAGATCTCATCATCGCCCGCTGGGGAAGAGAACACAGAGAAAGATGCTGAAGTGCAAGCGTTTCCTGGTCTGCCAGAAAAAAAGCACAACCCAGAGCAAGCTCCCAGGCAGCCTGCTCAGAGATGCCCCCTGCAGAGATGCGGACCACCGCGGAGGCTCCTGCTGCCTCTCCCATGCCACCAAGGCCAGGATTTGTGAACATGAACCGAGAGAGTACAAAGAGGCACAGAGCCCTTCACACAAGCACCAACCCCACCCGGACCCCTTCCTCAGGAGCAGGTTTCCACCACATAACTCCAGCCCCGCCTGCCCTCCCTTCCCCTCTCTCTGGCAGACGTGTCTGTGGAGGGGGTGGGGAGATGGGCTGCGGAGGCCGCAGTGGAAGGACAGCCAGGGGACACCCGGAGAGAAGCCCGAGGTGATGGCTGAAATGGGAATGGAGGGCAAAAGCCACGGTGATGAGAATCCACGCACAGGTGCCGAGATGCCACAGACACACCCACATGCGTGTACGCAAATGCACGTGTGCAAAAGGCACTGAACGGGGACGGCCAGCGCTCACTTATGGTAGAATGCCAGCTTCCGCGCTGATGGAAAGTTGCAAACGGGAAGCACTCAAGAGGCAGAGGCCGGGGGTTCTGAGGGGAATCCCACGCCACCCGTAAGATGCTTGTCAACTGCAGAGGGGTGGTGGTGACTTTGTGGACCAGGTGGTGGCTGAGACAGAGGGACAAGTGGATGCTATGCGGCCCAGCAGAGAGCCCCACCGCATGGTCTCCAAGACCTCACCGCCACCAGAGCACAGCTCAGCCTGGCCCTGAGGGAACACGGGGCGGGCGGCTGAGGCCAGCCCAGGAGCTGAGGCTGCTCTTAAACTGCCAAGGCCGCAAAGGGAACTCAGGGGAACGTGCAGGCCACACGGGAGCTGGCGGCCGGGGCAGGACAGGCAGGAATGGGGTCTCGAACATCAAGGCATCTGTGCGGCCCCCTCACCTGGAGGGTGGGGTGTCCCTGTGGGACAGCATCTTTGATCTTGGGAAACACGCTGGAGTCTTTGGGGGTGGCAGCACCCCTGCAGCTCTCCAAGGGTTCAGAGAATACTAAAGATAACAGGGGGTGTGTGCGTGTGTGTGCAGAGATGGAATCCGGGTAGGGAACATGGGAGTTCTTGGCACTATACCTGCAACTTTTCTATATCTCTGAAATTATCTCAACATAAATTACTTCTAAAACTAACAACGCTAGAGAAGTGAATTCTCAGAAAACAAGCAGAGGCAGGCGCAGCTGCCTGGGTCTCCCCTCCAAGTGCTTTTGCAGGCCGCTCACCAGCCTGGTAGTCGTACAGGGCGACGGCTGTGATCCCCAGATCGTTCTCGTACTCATCGTAGGTGCTGTCCTCTAAAAGAAAGCCATGACAGAGCTGAACAATACAAAGTCCCACACAGGTTCCCAGCCTTCTCAAGTTTTAGACGACACTTCCTAAGATTTTGTCTCAAGGACACAGGGCGGCAGCTGAAACCCTCCCTTCCTCTGCCCCTGCCCACCCGTCCCCAGCACAATGGGGATCTTCCTGGGACCCAGCACAGGAGCCGATGCCCCAAATGTGCCTAGAGCACTTCCCTCCAGGGACAAGAAGACCCTATAGCAAGCAAGCAAAGGCGTGTCAGTGGGAAACCCACGCTCCTCGCAACGACGCCACAGGTCGAGCAGGATGTCCCGGGAGCTCCCTGCCCTGGGCAGGGCGCTGCAGCGTGGGGCCCCAGTACCTGCGGGATAGTGGCCCGGGGCCTCTGCGCTTTCATAGACAGCCTCTGTGGCATAGGCCAGGCCCTGCTGGCTGCTGGCCTCTCGGTAGTCAGCGGCCTCCATGCTGTACACGGGCTCCGGCTCCGTCCCACTCACAGGGCCTCTGTAGCTCAGCTCTGCCTTGAAGGAAGCCGCATCCTGGGGAAGGGTCACACGCACATGGCACGGGGCCCATGCTGGCTTCTAGAGAGCAGTAGCTGTACTGCCACAGCCAGCAGAAACCCACGGGCCATCTAATTCTCAGTCCCAGCCAGGACTGAGAAAACAGACGCGGTATAGGAAGGCCAGGCCTGCCGGTGTGTTCACCATGGTGGTGAGTGCCCACATGCCATTTCCTTCCCGATGATGACCCGGTCCTCACCACCGACACTCCAGTCCTGCAATAACCACGCCCACACAGCAGGTTAGGAGACACGCCCCTGCCCACACTGTTGCCTGGGGGTAGAGCCTGTCTTTGTTGGGTTAATTTGGCTGATTTCTTTTTTTAGGCCTCATCTCCAAGGCCACACAAGGCACCCTTGGGCCGAGCGGCCACCCTCCTGCCTGTGCTGCTCGACCCTGGCCCTGCCTGACAGCGGCTTCACCACGTGGCTCCAGAGCAGCTGAGCCTACAGACAGGGCATCGCCAAAGAATCACATTCAACTACAAAGGTGCGCAGTGGAACACCTCTCTATCTATAACCACTGCCGCTTCGGAGCCCCAGCGAAAATTCTGAACTGCTTATCACCGACAGTGGCTTTAATCAATGTTTCTGACCAGGGTCCACCTGATGTCACCGGCAGTGACTGAAAGAAAGCAATGCCGACAGCTCAGAACCGCGCACCCAGGAGATCTGGGAAGAGCCAGTGGTGGAGAGCTGCTAGCCAGGGAGAGTAATCGGGCAGGGAGAGCGACTCCACCCTCAGCACAGGCACCAGGAACCACACAAGGGCTGAACTGCACGGGAGGGGCAGGGTCGGAGCTTCCTTGAGGCAGATGGCGCTGGCTGCCAAGGGGAGGGACTAGAGGGGGAGGCCGGTTCCTGACAAGCTGCAAGGCCTCACTTACCACATCCCCCCAGGGCCCGGCAGGGTAAAGGCAGCAGGCAGCAGCGTAGCCAAGGAGGGACAGTCGGGTGGTGACAAGGCCACGGCCATCGAGGCCCAGATCCCAGACCCGGCCTGTCTCCAGGGCTCTCTCTGGGCTCCTGAACTACCATGGTCTGGAGTGTGACCCCTGTAACTGACTGGCTCCTGGGCGAGCAGAGATGAATGCATAGACCAGGATGATGGCCATGGGATGGAGAAAGGGCAAGGGCTGGGGACAGGAGAGGTGGTTACAGGTAGAGGGTGTGGTTAGCGCAGAGGTGCTGGCGGGGAGCAGGAGACCCAAAGTCAGGGATGGGCGGGGCATCGGCAGGCGGCTCCGTAACTCAGGGATGGGGACGGAACACTGGGGGACCCATGAGAGGGGGTCAGCAGCACAGGGAGGGGCCGGACAGCATGTCTGCAGCCACACTCATGAGGGGCTGCAAGGCTGGAGAGCTGAATGGGGCAGGCATAGAAGGCAGATTGTGCGGGAGGCAGGGGCTCAGTGATGAAGGAGGGCAGCACTGCCATTAGGGAGTGAGGCGGCGTCCTGCACAGCAGAGAGCAAGTGGGGTGAAGACACCCCCATCTGATTATCTGATAGCAGGTGACTACAGCAGGGACTGCAGTGACAGTGGCCAGACTACAACAGGCTGCAGAGGGGTGAAAGGATGGCATGTGGGCCTGCACAGCTATCCCCTGACAGCACTGAGGCATGTCACCCACCCCCCAGGCGCTCCTGGCCCACCCCTCTCCGGGCGTGGAATGCAGCGATGCCCTCTACACCCACGCCACACTGCCTGCCTGCAAGGGCTTCCTCCACTCCACAAACAGGACCTGGGCTCTGGCAGTAAGTCACTCACGCTCATTCAAACACCAAAGACACCAACCTCATAGACGGGGCTCGAGGGCAGCCTCTCCTCGGTTGGCTGAGGTGCGGGCGACACAGGGGGCGTTTGCGTTTTGGCTCTGGCTTGCTCCTGTGATTGAAAACAAACAGCAATCAGAATGCTGCCATGACACTCTGCACTGTCACGCCTGCCGTGTTTCAGAAGATCGTGTGCAAGCTCTAGGCATGCTCTGGGGAAAGGAGTGGAAAACACCCACACCAAGGCTGAGCTGGAGCACCAAGCCTCAGATCCCACCAGCACCCCAGCAGGATCCGAGGGGCAGGGGAGCTGGAGCACCAAGTCTCAGATCCCACCAGCACCCAGGCAGGATCCGAGGGGCAGGGGAGCTGGAGCACCAAGCCTCAGATCCCACCAGCACCTAGGCAGGATTCGAGGGGCAGGTGTGCTCTGAGGCCGAGATCACACAGCCAGTGACGCGACAGTGCCGGGACTGGGCCACAGCTCATTCTCGCCCACACACGATTAGATAGTTTAGGCACAGATTTGGGAGTCTGAGTTGATGCTGCAATGGGTTGAGACTTTGGGGACCTTAAAATGGGCTGAGTATGTTTGCACATGGGATGGACATGAAGCTTTAGGGGCCAAAGGATGAACTGGGGTAGGATAATAGCCCCTCAAAGCTGCTGACATCGCAGTCCCCAGACCCCATGGGGAGGGACTGTGTATGTGATGAAACTAAGGGTTCTGTGATGGGGAGAACTCTGGACTGCCTGGGTGGACCCAATGTAATCACAAGGTCCTGAGAGGAGGGAGGCAGGAGTGTGAGGGACAGAGGAGGGGCGGTGACAACAAAAGCAGAGGCTGGAGATGGGAAGACAGGGCCGAGGGGCCACCAGGAGGAACACAGCCCTGCTGACATCTTTGAGGACCTCTGACCTCCAGAGCTATAAGACACTAGCTGTGTGCTGTGTGTGGTGGTGACTACGGCAGCAACAGGAAACTCACTGACAGCCTGTGGGCTCCAGTGCCAGACGCTGAGTCTGAGGGTGAGGTGGCAGGCACAGGCACACTGGCCAGGGAGCTGCCCAGGCAGGATCTGAACCCCAGGTGTCCACTCCAAACCCCTTCCCTCCTCTCCCTCTGCAGGCGGCCTTGCTCTAACGGGAACAATGGTAGTGCTGTCTTGTCTTTTTGAAGAGAAAACCACCCCTGGTCTTGAGACCCTAGCACGGTTCCTGGCATCTATGGCCTTGCTTGACCCCAACAGGACAGTTGTAAATTCCCACGTCACCTGATGCCATCCACAGGTTAAACACCCAAAGTAGCACGTCCTGTGTGGCCCTGCAGGGGCAGGGCCTGGGGTGGATAGGAGAAGCCCAGGCTTCCAGACAGGCTGGGCCTGCCCCACACTGCAGATGCCCCAGCTGCAGAACCACACCTGGTAACTTCACACACACACATCTGTAGGCCTCAGGCTCTATTCACAACCCCCCTGATCCAGCTGAGCACAAGGAAAGTCCTTGTCAGTGGCAAGCCACCCAGGCTAGACCCAAAGCACCCAGACACAGGCTCGTGCTCCGCCCCTGCCAGGGGTGCACTTCTGGCATCTTTCTCTGGGAGCGCTTCTCCACAGCCCAGGGGCTTGGGTGAGCGGGGCTGGGCTGGCCAAGCAGAAGCAGGCCCCGAGAGCAGGCTGCCTCTGCACAGAGTCCCCTCCAAACCCCAAACTTCCACCTGGGAAAGGAGGGGCTTCCAGAGGGGGAGGGGTGAGAAGAGACTCAGGCTGACATTTGGACAGGAGCCCCGTGGAGGTGGAAGCCGACAAGACTCTGCCGTCAGCTCAGGGACAGAGGGCAGGGCAGGTTGGCGGGTCCTGGGGCTGGACCGGCAAGACCAGGATAGCGCTAGCCGGCTGCCTGGAGCATTGTGGCCAGAGACTCAGCCTATGTGTGGCTGCAAGTGACAAGTGCCTTAATGGAGAGCCTTAAAGGAGAGTTAAACATGCCTTCCAAGGAAAACCTGGCCAGGAGAGAATAAGCCCCGCCCAGGCCCCAGAGCTCCCAATCCCCTCGGCACAGGTCCCAGGGAGGGTGCGCTGCGGCCCACTCCTTGCCACTCACCTCCAGCTTCCTCCTGGCCTCTTCCTGCTCCTGCCGCTCCTTGGCCATCCGCTGGGCTCTCTCCGCCTCCGCCTTCCGCCTGTCCTCCTGCTCTTTCTCCTTAGCGAGGTTTTCAAAGTTAGCTCTGATGTTACTTGTTTTGCTGGTCACTATAGAGGAAGGAGGGAGGACGTGTGCCTTGAGCACAGCAAAAACACTGCTCCTGGACAACAGCCCCACCCACACAGAGTGACCTCCCCAGGAACCGGTCATCCCCCTAACCCCCAAGGAGGGAAAGGTTCTTGCAGCTGCCAGCTCAGCCCACTGGTCCGGAGCCAGCACTGGGCACCTGCCGCAGGGCACTGCGTACCTGGTGGGACTGGCAATCCCCCTAAGCCTGGCATCAGGAAGATCTCTAAATAAGACGGTATCTTCACCACCACACTCACCTTTTTAAATAAAAACAGCCAATTTCCCTTAAAGACATCTGTCCTTGATAAAGCAGTTAAGGTACTGATGTATACTGTAATTGACGTATACTGAGTATAGTAAATCTCAACCAGAGTATACATTTTTTTATATTGTGTGTGACAAAAATGGAAAAGAGGGCAGTGGCTCATGCCTGTAATCCCAGCACTTTGGGAGGTTGAGACGGGAAGACTGAGATCAGGAGTTTGAGACCAGCCTGGGAAAGACAGTGAGACCCCGTGTCTATTAAGAAAAAATGATAAAAATTTAAGTCAAAAGTGGGGAATATGGCCGGGCATGGTGGCTCACACCTGTAATTCCAGCACTTTGGGAGGCTAAGGTGGGCGGATCACGAGGTCAAGAGATCAAGACCATCCTGGCCAACATGGTGAAACCCTGTCTCTACTAAAAATAGAAAAATTAGCTGGGCTTGGTGGCAGGCACCTGTAATCCCAGCTACTCGGGAGGCTGAGGCAGGAGAATCGCTTGAACCTGGGAGGCAGGGGTTGCAGTGAGCCGAGATTGTGCCACTGCACTCCAGTCTCGCGACAGAGCGAGACTCTGTCTCAAAAAAAAAAAAAAAAAAAAAAAAAAAAAAAGTGGGAAGACACATGAGCCTTCCCTGCTGTGTCCGGGACTGTGGCGGTGGCTGTCTGTGTCTCAAGGACCATGAATAGAACCATGAGAGCTGCAAGTTGACTGTTTTCTCATGGAATAGCGTTTTTCCCTGAAATAACAACTGACAGTCCAACTATGGTTATGCAAAGCTGGGTATCTGGCAACAGTTTTCTCCCAAGTGAATGAACTAAGCCTATTGTGTCAAGAAAAATTACTGGAGTATTTGTTGCCAACGGGAAAATTCCAGCTTTCAAGTAAAAGACAGAATTTTGAAAAATGTGAGGCTGCCACATGAACATGCTGATTTCCACTCAGCTTCTGCAGATGAAATAGATGATGACAGCAAATGTGATTTTTTTTGGTATTGTGGAATGAGAAGTGTCCACAACTGGAAGACGAGCACAACTCAGAGACCCAGCATTTTCCAAATGACCAACACACAGTGCTGCCCAAGCACAGTGGGTAGCGAGTCCCTCACAGGGCCAGAGGAGCCGGCCTGCAGGACCACCACTGCCTGGCACGCTTGGGCGGCGTCGCAGAAGGACACCCACGCTGCCCTCAAGGTTACAAACACTCCTCCCTTTCCCAATCGCCTACCTAGGTGATTCCACATGTTCTTCCTAAACAACGTAACATCGATAGACTGCAGAGGCAGATGTGAGAGTGCAGCCATCTTCTATTAAAGAGATTTACAAAACAAAACAATGCCGGTCTTCTCACTAAGTGCTGGGATTACAGGAATGAGCCACTGTGCATGGCCAGTTATATTATTATTTTTATTTTTTGAGATGGAGTTTAGCTGTTGTCGCCCAGGCTGGAGTGCAGTGGCGCAATCAAGGCTCACTGCGACCTCTGCCTCCAGGTTCAAGCAATTCTCGTACCTCAGTCTTCTGAGTAGCTGGGATTACAGGCGTGGACCACCATGCCCAGCTACTTTTTGTATCTTTAGTAGAGACAGGGTTTCACCATGTTGGCCAGTCTGGTCTCAAACTCCTGACCTCAGGTGATCCACCCACCTCGGCCTCCCAGAGTGCTGGGATTACAGGTATGAGCCACCACACCCGGCCAAGGTTTATTCTTTTTAAGTGAACCAATTAATAACTTTCCAATGTCGCTCATGCCTGTAATCCCAGCACTTTGAGAGGCCGAGGCAGGTGGATCACTTGAGCTCAGGAATTCAAGACCAGCCTGGGCAACACAGTGAGACCTCATCTCTACTAAAGATAAAAAAATTTGGCCGGGCACAGTGGCTCATGCCTGTAATCCCAGCACTTTGGGAGGCCGAGGCGGGCAGATCATGAGGTCAGGAGATCGAGACCATCCTGGCTAACACGGTGAAACCCCGTCTCTACTAAAAAATAGCAACAACAACAAAAAAATTAGCCGGGCGTGGTGGCAGGCGCCTGTAGTCCCAGCTACTCCGGAGGCTTGAGGCAGGAGAATGCCGTGAACCCGGGATGGGAGGCGGAGCTTGCAGTGAGCCGAGTCCGCGCCACTGCACTCCAGCCTGGGCGACAAAGTGATACTCTGTCTCAAAAAAAAAAAAAATTTAACTGGGCAGGGGGCATGCGCTTATAGTTCCAGCTACTCCAGAGGCTGAGGCAAGAGGACTGCTTGAGCCCAGGAGACTGAGGCAGCAGTCCTGCCTGGATGACACAGCAAGACCCGGTCTCAAAATAAATAAATAAATAAACCATTCCTCTCTCTCTTTTTTTTTTTTTTTTGAGACGGAGTCTCGCTCTGTCATCCAGGCTGGAGTGCAGTGGCGCAAACTCCGCTCACTGCAAGCTCCGCCTCCTGGGTTCACGCCATTCTCCTGTCTCAGCCTCCCGAGTAGCTGGGACTACAGGCGCCCGCCACCATGCCTGGCTAATTTTGTTTTTGTATTTTTAGTAGAGACGGGGTTTCATCGTGTTAGCCAGGATGGTCTCGATCTCCTGACCTCGTGATCCGCCCGTCTTGGCCTCCCAAAGTGCTGGGATTACAGGCATGAGCCACTGTGCCGGGCCACATTCCTCTAATTTCTAATATAGTCAATGTCATCAAATACATCAACATCTTGGGGGTTCTCACGAGTGGTCAAAGTGTCAAAGCGTCCTGGGCCCTCAATCTCTGAGAACTGTGGGTCCATAGCCCCTGAAGGAAGTCAGTGGTGGCTCTCTGCATCCTGTGTTAAATTTAGCACTTGCTCTCATGTATGTATAACATTTTCCCCAACTACTTGACTCTCCGGGGCAGGGCCCACATCTGACTCCATCGTGTGTCCAGCACAGAAAAGGACAGGTTTCGAGCTCCCTGTCAAGGGCCCAAGAACGAGCAGCAGAGAGAATGTCTGCTGTCGCCTGCACATCGACGTCATGATGTCTTCCTCCTGTCACAGCTGCGACCGAGCGGCTCAGGGAGTTGGGCAGGCCCCAGCTGCTCCCAGAAGCTGGTCACTGGCAGTGTGGAGGCCCTTGTGAATGTGCACTTAGCCCCTTTGCTCTGGGAAGAGCCCCTTGAAACGGGCCCCACTGAAACGGCTGCACCATGCTGCGTCTAAAAGGTGACTCTAAACCTCTGCAGGAGAAACAAGATCTTCATCAGAACGATCATTTTCTTTCCCAAAAATACGCAGCAACAACCACGCTTTCAACTAGTGGTGCATCTGCTCCTGGCTGTTTCACAACTGTCCTTCCCCTCAGTGTTTTCCTGGGAAACCACACGGTGCTCCTGGTATCAGCCGGGACTCACCAGCTTCGACAGGTACTGTCTTCTGGTAGGCAGAGGACACCTGGGTGACATCCTCAAAGGTTGACGCATTCTGCAGAGACAGGACATGGGCGTCAGGAGAGCACTTTTCTCTTTTCTCCATGCCCTGTGGTAGCTCCTGCCAGATGCAAATGCCTTCCCCAGATCTTCCCAAAGGCCCAGCCACACAGCCCAGAGCACTCTTCATGGCCTCTCGGTTTTGCAAACTAACTGAGGCATGAAAACTATTACCAACCACATTTGCAGGCAATCGTGGGTCAGCATTAGCATAAGAAATGCATGTATCTCCATCTGCTCTACCACAAACCAATTCTGGGATCAGCCTCAAGCCTTCCCCACCCTCCGTCGCCACCCAGAGGTGTGAGCATTTACAGGAAGCGAAGACGCTGGGGACACATGCAAGCCTCCAGTGGCCCGTCCTACACACTACCCAGTGGTGCAATCACACCTTTCTGCATTGCAGGGGACTCAACTATGGTCTGACCAAGCGACGGCGATGACTCTTACGTGCTGACTCAGGTGGAGACTGTCAGGGCTCATGGAGACCAGTGGCCGTACCCAGTTTCACTGTGGGTTTCACTACCTCTGATGAGAACACCTGAGGCTCAGAAGCCACCAGAGCCCCCATACCATGGCCCCTTTCTGCCCAGCACCTCCTGCTTGCCCCCTTCCTGGCCCGCCTGTCCTTCCTCGGACCCCGCTCCCTCCTCCCATCAGTCAGCTCCAGCGTCTACTCCATGTCCCTTGAGCTGCTTGCACCTGTTCAAAGGCAAGGCCATCAGCCTTACTGGGTCCCATCACCCACTGGGCCCTCTGCAGACATCACCTTGCCCTGAGGGGGCAACTTCACCTCCCAGCCTGGGTTGTAGCCCTATCCCCACAATGTATGGGGACCCGGGCAGTTACGTCACCCTCTCTAAGCCTTGGACTCCTCCATCACACAGCAAACAGAGAGAGAAGCTCCACCCCCTCCTGGATGAAAGACAATGACACGAAAGGCCACACCCACACACTGCCTCCTCACGTGCTCACAAGCTCAGCGGTCACCGCCAACACCAGCAATGCTGACCACAGACACCCACAACACAGGCAGTCCCTCAGGTTCCGGCCTCAAAGCCACAACCTCTGACTCACCCACAGGGGAGCTCCTTCCCTCCGTCTGTCCCAGTGCCTTGCAAGGCCCCTGCTACCTCACTGGGTCCCCCTGCCCAGTGTCCTCTGACCGCGTGCCTACTCCCCTCCCAACTCTGCACGCCACCCGGACCCGGCCCCGGCCCTACCCCAGCTCTCTCTCGCTGACACCCACATCTGCTCCTCCCAGTTCTTCGGCTCCACAGTTGGCCCCACGTCCACCCCACATCCACCCGACTGCTCCCTCCCCTGCGTCCCTTGGCGCCAAACACCATGCCCTGCTTCTCCACCACCCGAGCCCCTCCAGCTCTCTTCAGGACCACACCCCTCTGCCCAGGCCAACCCCCACAACCCAGACTCCACGCTGAGGCCGGGGGCTTCTCAAAGTAGACCCCCCCAGTGTTCCTTGCCTGCTAACCTTTCTGGGGCCACGCACGTCAGATGCTCTGTGGTGTGTGACGCATGTCACGACATGCAGAATGCTCTGTGGTGTGTGGGGCTCTCCAGGGCCAGCTCTATCCCCGCTCCCCACCCTCCCTCTGCAGCTAGGCTCCTTGAGAACCTGCAGTGACTCCTGTCCCACCCAGGCCCACACCTCGCCCCTCCGTGGTCTCCTGAGCCTTCTCTCCTGGTGAACTCGCGCCTGCCCTCAGAAATGAGCCCAGGCTACTGCTCCCTGGGGAGCCCAGCCCGAACACCTGCTCTGCCTGCCTACGCCCCTGGATGGTGCTGTGTGGTCAGCTGCGAGGCAAGGACTGACCCTGCCACCCCTGACCACAGGCCACGCGCAGGAGCAGGCAGTGTGGAGCCCGCGTCTCTACGAGGCTGAAGACGGGAGACATGGCTCATCACCGCACACGCAGCGCTGGCTGCCAGCGAGGTAGCCCCACACGCAGTCTAACACACTCAGGTTCCAATCTGATTTACTATTAAGAATTTAAGTTCAAATGGACATGAGCCCTCGAGGCTCTCACCTCTCATGTTAAACATCTGGGTTCCTATGGCTGCAGCCAGGTGCTGAGCCTGCCTGGCCTGGGGCCCCCAGTTAGGAGGTGGGCCGGTGCCAGCGCCTATCCCACAGCACGGCCATGAGGAGCACAAGACTGTCCGAGTCAGTCATCGCCACCACCACCACCACCACGACGGAAATCACTTGTGCCCCACCCCAGCGCGTGGATGTTGGCCAGCACGGTGAGCCACGCCCACCAAGAGCCCCTGCAGGCAGAAGACACTAAGCTCCGGGGCTGGAATATTTACCTTATCCATCCGATCCTTCTGCACCCCATACTTCCCGCCGAATCCTTTGGAGTAGTCTGAAACGTGGCAAAACACAACACTTACTCTGAGGTGGAGGCGAGCATGGGGGTGGCCGTGGGTGCATGCAGACAGATCCAGAAACAGCCCAAGAAGGTGCACCACAGCGGGAAGAAACGAGAATGGCCAAGCGAGGCTTCACTTGCAAGGCAAGTTTTGCTTCCACCCATGGTCGTGAGACACAGGCAGTGAGAAGCAGAGCACAGGCCAGGGGCAGAGGCTTCAGCATTCCCTGAGGGGCAGGAGGGGCAGGAGGGGCGGCGGGCAGCAGGCAGGAGCTAAGCGAGGAAAGAGGGCACGGACAGGCCTTTGCAACGCGCCACTTCAATAGCACAGTCTTCCGCACCAGCACGGGCTTATTCTCATCTGCTTCCTGTGCGCCTGCTCTACTGAGCGCTAAAAAGAGGCTCAATCGCAGTTTGTTCTCTTGCTTTTTAAGAGAAAAAAAAAATCCATGTGGAAATTCTACCAGCCAAAGACTTCCGTTGCAGCAACACAGATCCACATGAAAGTCACACTGTCATGCAGCAGTGATGCCACGGAGAGCCACTGCCATCTCCATGCAGTCTGCGGGACCACCCCAGGTGTGTCTACCTGCCCACACCTGAACACTGCTGTGTGTTTCTAACGCTGCAGGTGGAAAGCCTAGAGTCTTCCCTGCAAGGTTAGGGAATTACTGTTTTTCCAATTATGTGTTCAGGTTCTAATAACCAAGTCCAAATTTTGAAGGTAACAACATAACTGCTCTAAGGAAGGATGCAGAGCTGGCTTCACGTACATACTGTGTGGCTCTGTGTGGAGATGTTACACACATATGGTGTCATCAAACAGAACAAACAAAAAACCTCCCAACCCCGGCCAAAAACACCACCACAAATGAAACACAGAAACCACACAGAACACGCCTGTCTCCTGGCCCTTGCTGCTACGAAGCCCCTGGTCAAATGGCCAGTGGTTTGGTTGAACCAACACCTCTCTCCTCATCTGGAAGGCCTGACTCAGTGGCTCACGGCAGTCACCAATAACAGCAGAACAGCCTCGGGCAGAATGCTGCTGGAGACCGGAGATGCCCCAGTCCAGAGACTGGATGGGTCACCGGGTTAGAAAGATGGCACCCACACACTAACTGGCGCATCCTGCCATACACAGATCACAAGTTCACAGGGAAGAAAGTGAACCACTCAAAATCAGTGTCGCTCTACTAGAAATGGGTTTAAAGTGCCGAACAGCCTGACAGCTGACAAGTGGTGACACAGGAGGACTGTGTTGCAGGTGCTGACGGTGAGCCCTGAAGTCTGTGCTAGAAGTGGCCGCACAGGAGGGTCGGGGGGAGGGTAGGAGGCTGGTGGCAACTGTGCCTTGCTGGGACTCGTGCTTGGCCAGCTTCTCCTTGTAATCAAACCCCACAGCAGCGGAGTCCTGCCTCTCCGACTGAACACCGAATTTGCCTCCAAAACCAGTCTTATAATCTGAAAATCCACAAGCAACGGTGGGGAAAACAACCAAAAGAGGAAACACAGTTGGGTTAGAATTGCATGAGCATGCGCAAAAATCAAACACAGTTTCCAGAAAGCAAGGGCTCTCCTGAGCTTAGGGCCTTTGAGATCCTACTCCCAGGCTCAGCGCCAGAAGGTGGCTCCAGAGGTCAACGTTAAAGAATGAACTTAAAATCTGAACATTCAGCGAAGATCTGGAACAGCCTAAGAACTGTACTTCAAATAATTCAGTAAAGGCACTCCCGGCTGTGCAGTTCATTCTTAGCGTCCTACGCACACTGCAGACGAGTGTGCGTATCTGTGTACACGGGAGGAGAGACCCTGCAGATTCGGAGGGCGCTGCAGCCCCATTAGCCCCGCTCCTGCTTCTCTCAGGGCTGGGTCACACTGAGAGGCTTTCAGCCCCCTCAGGCTCCTTTTTCCAGGGAAGGGGCACCCATTCCAACAAGAAAACACTTTCGGTTCAAAAGTAAGTATCTCCTGCCAAAAACCGTGGCCCACTTTATAGACAAGAAGCCTGGATGAGGAGCACTGCAGGCTTGGCCCATGTCCCCACTCCCGGGTAAACCCAGCCCCCCGCTGCAGGCCTGACACATGCCCCCACTCCCGGGTAAACCCAGCCCCCCGCTGCAGGCTTGACCCATGTCCCCACTCCTGGGTAAACCCAGCCCCCTGCTGCAGGCTTGGCCCGTGCAACCCACTTCCAGGTAAACCCAGCTCTCTGGGGTACCACCCCGTGTCAGCAGGGAGGGTTTGTGACTACACTAGCTGGAGGGAACTGGGGGATTGGGGGGGCACACAGGACAACTTCAAACAGTGAAGACAAAACAATGTGCAGCAGGCACACGCAGACACAACACATACCAACTGACCCCGCAAGGAACAAAAACAAACTTCTAAAACCATCTCGCATACAGGCAGAGTGAATGTACCTTTTTGGGATTCATGCAGCTGCAATTTCTCCTGGTGATCCCAGCCAAGGGCACATTTGTCTTGTCTGTCTGTCTGCACACCAAATTTTCCTCCAAACCCTTTCACATAGTCTACATGCACAATGAAAGGCCAGAACCCATCATTAACAGGTAGTGCAGGTCACAGGTGGAAAGTATGTTTTCAATACAGTTAAACGCATATGATTCACTCAATCTACTCTTCCCTTCCGGATCTTTGGTAATACTTTAGATAACATCCATGAAGAGGCCCTCCTTGGAGAGTGGCAGGAAATAACCTAGTCTATGACCTCAGCATCGTGACTAAGCCAGACAGGACCCCATGGAAGCTCCCACGCATGCGGCTTCCACCCGCACCATGAGACAGCACAGGCTCACACGGGCAACACAGACGTGCGGGGTGTGGCCACCACGATAAGCAACGCCGCTGGGGCTGGAGCGCCATAACACTCAAGCTGCGAGTTCCTATTTAGCAGCTGTGTTTCTGGATGTGCCGTTTTCAAGTTGGGCATTTCATGAAAAAGAGACATCTACGTTAAGGGCTATCAATAACGCTTTGTTTTTCCTTTTCCGGTGTGGCTACCACCTGTCACATTACTAGCTGCTGGCTGGAGGGTAAGATAAAACGGAAGACACCTTTCTGGGACTCGTGCTTCTCCGTTTTGCCTTGATACTCAAAGCCAACGGCGCTCTTATCCACTTTGTCCTTGTCGATACCGTATTTGCCGCCGAAACCTTTGGAGTAATCTAAAAACAAACAAAAAAGGACTACTTTAAAAGGAGCAACGAAATCAGTGAACATGCAAGTATTTTATCCTTTGATTAAAAAAACAAAAATCTTTCAGGTCCACTGTAGGACCACTGAATAATACAGACAGTATTTAAAGGTGCTATTTATGTGTAATAACAGAAACACAAACAGTGGTAACCAGAGGTGGGGGTGTGTGCCTGCAGCCCAGCTACTCAGGAGGCTGAGAAGGGAGGATCACTTGAGCCCAGGAGGCGGAGTCCAGCCTGAGCAACATAGCAAGACCCCATCTCTAAGTTAAATCATTAGCTAATATTTTAAAAATTCAAAAAACAGGCTGGGGGAGGGGGCTCACGCCTGTAATCACAGCACTTTGGGAGGTCGAGGTGGGTGGATCACCTGAGGTCAGGGGTTTAAGTCCAGCCTGACCAACATTATGAAACCCCATCTCTACTAAAAATACAAAATTAGCTGGGCGTGGTGGCCCACACCTGTAATCCCAGCTACTCGGGAGGCTGAGGCAGAAGAATCACTGGAACCCAGGAGGTGAAGGTTGCAGTGAGCCGAGATTGCGCCACTGCACTCCAGCCTGAGCAACAAGAGTGAAACTCCATCTCAAAAAAAAAAAAAGAATTAAGAAAAAAAGTTTTTTTTTTTAAAGTACAGCAGAGGCTGGACACAGTGGCTCACACCTGTAATCCCAGCACTTTGGGAGGCCAAGGTGGGCGGATCATGAGGTCAAGAGATCAAGACCATCCTGGGCAACATGGTGAAACCCCGCCTCTACTAAAAATACAAAAATTAGCTGGGCTTGGTGGTGCATGCCTGTAATCCCGGCTACTCAGGAGACTGAGGCAGGAGAATTGTTTGAACCCGGAAGGAGGAGGTTGCACTGAGCTGAGATCGCACCACTGCACTCCAGCCTGGCGAGAGAGAGAGACTCCGTCTCAAAAAAAAAAAAAAAAGAAATAAAGTACAGCAGATGAATTCCTGTAACATCATCCATTGCATCCAGAAGCTAGCAGGAGATGAGAGTTTATGATAAGGCTCTAAGCTCAGGAGGCAGCAGAAGGGCAAGGCTTTCAAAGGCCACTCTTCACAAACTGAAGCACGCAGGGGGATGCCAGGAAATAGGACACACACAGCATCCTCCAGAAACTTCAGTTCTACTCAGAATGAAGCCATTTAGCATGTCACTGTGACACCAAAACATGACTCTCTCATGGACCCACTAACAGCACAAGGCAGAGGATCAAGGCCTGGGAGAGAAGGCCTGAAGCATCCAAGGAGCCTTGCGTCTGCCCAGGTGCTCGGCCTGTGCTCCCTGGCTCCCTGGAGTCACACACTCATGCAGCTTCGCGGAGCATGCGCTGCTCACAACTGTGTGGTGTCGGGAAGAGGAGGAATGGACTGTTCCCAGGAAAGAGGCAGAGAGCAGAGGCAAGCAGCTCTGTGCGGCAGGCAAGGCCTGACCGGCAGGAAGGCAAGGCCAGGCCAGGCCGCGACAAACTACAAGCCAAGCTGCCCTCCAGGCCACCGGCACTTTCCTCAGGGAAATGCCAAGCCAGCATGGTCGGATCTTCCAGTGGTGTTTCTTGCTTTGGGGTAATTTTTTTTTTTTTTGAGTTTTTAAATAGTCAAGCTCTCACTTTTCAAATGTTGGCAAATATTTTTAAAAATTTAAATGTGCAGGCCAAACAAGAGGCACAGGGAAACAGGCAGGCCACAGCCTCTGCAGCCCTGGGAAACGCTCTGAGTGATGGTGTACAGGCTATGCAGTGGGGAAGGAAGAACTCAGCACAGCCTCCAAGGACAACTTGGCAGTATCTATGGAAATTTTACATTCAATAGCCTTCGACCCAGCAATTCCATGTCTAGGAGTTGATTCTTTTGAATAATCACTTGTGAACAAAACACAGGTACAAGAATGTTCCCTGCAGTCAAGTTTCAGCTGGGCGCAGTGGCTCACACCTGTAATCCCAGCACTTTGGGAGGCCAAGGCAGGGCGATCACCTGAGGTCAGGAATTCAAGACCAGCCTGGGCAACATGGCAGAACTCCGTCTCTACTAAAAATACAAAAATTAGCTGGGCGTGGTGGCGTGTGCTTGTAATCCCGGCTAGCCGGGAGGCTGAAGCACGAGAATTGCTTGAACCAGGGAGGTGGAGGTTGCAGTGAGCAGAGATCACGCCACTACACTCCAGCCTGGGCAACGGAGCGAGACTCCGTCTAAAAGAAAAAAAAAAAAAATTTACAGGTCACACCTGTAATCCCAGCACTTAAGGAAACCAAGGTGGGGGAGGATTGCTTGAGACCACGGAGATCAAGACCAGTCCGGGCAACACGGCAAGACCTCATCTCTACCAAAAATAAATAAATAAATAAATAAATAACCTAAATTCCACATTCAAAAAAGGAATGGTTACATGGACTATGGAATCCTCATACGATGGGGAACTGTGCAGCCATTCGAATTAGGAAAAGCCCACATACACTGGTACGAAAAGAACACCAAACATTTTCAGTTAAAAAATCTACAACAATCACGTGTGCAGAGAGAAAATGCCCTCGTGGGTGTTTCTGGAGCAAACGCGTGATTACAGACCGTGGGGTCCGCCCCACCTCTCTGTGACTCGTGCTTCTCCGTCTTGCCCTGGTAGTCGAAGCCCACCGCGCTCTTGTCTACTCGGTCGGCCTGCACGCCATACTTGCCGCCAAAACCACTGGAGTAGTCTGGAGAGACAGGGCAGCAATTAGCACGGGGGCCTGAGGACGAACTACACTGTTCCTTTTGTTAAACTAAGCAAAAGTGTGTAGGGGTTACAACTCACAAACACATCAAGCGCACATTTTAAAATGTACAACAAGCCACCCACTGCTCCATACAGGTGACGCTGGACCCTGTTTCACAACAGGTGCATGGGGGGGTTCTGGGCCCTGTCAGCTGTTACAGGGCAGTTCCTTTGTGTAGTCAGAAATGACGCTGCATGCCCACTTTGAAAATCAACTGCTCAGGTAAAAGCTGGAAAGCTTCATACAAAGAACCAGCACTTTGGAGGCTGAGGTGGGCGGATCACTTGAGGCCAGGAGTTTGAGACCAGCCTGGCCAACGTGGCAAAACCCCATCTTTACTAAAAAATAGAAAAACTAGCCAGGGGTAGTGGCACACACCTGTAATCCCAGCTACTTGGGAGGCTGAGGCAGGAGAATCGTTTGAACCCAGGAGGCGCAGGTTGCAGTGAGCCGAGATCGTGCCACTGCACTCCAGCCTGGGCAACAGAGCGAGACTCTGTCTCAAAACAAACAAACAAACAAAACAAAATGAAAAAAATGGAAAGAGAAAGCCTCATATGAAGAAAGCCATGCAGCTGAACATGGGAGACAAGACCCTGATCCTCCGCCTGCCCACACCACAGCTACCTCCACCTAGACTGCACCGAGACTGCGTAAGGACTGAGAGCTTGTTCCGCGGATGATGCAATGACACAAAGGAGGAAGAACTAAATAAGCTTGCAAAAAATAAACTGAGAACTTTAAGGTGGCGATATGCTTTGGTCTTTCAAAAAAGAGACTGCATGATGTAATCAAGATTAATCACCAGCAGTTAAGACCGTATGTGTATAAGGAAAACAAGAATTTAACAACTCTGGTTTCTAGCCTTGGGGGGAAGTTAGCTTTCTGCCGATCAATCTGTGAGCTCTCTTTTCCAGGAGGAGCGCTGCCCAGATGAAGGGAAGGCGGCTTCCGCTACAAGGGGGAGAAGCCCCACAATGACAGCAGATGCCAGGGCTCCGAGGGGGATGTGTAACGGGGAATACATCCATCATGTGGTATCCAGATGATCCAGAAACATGAAGAGGAGGGCAGAGTCCTCCTTGTGGCAACAGCCACCGCTCAGGAAACGGCTTCAGGTGGCTGTGACTCTCCCCATCAGGGCCCCCGGAGCGCGGGGAAACGGCTTCAGGTGGCTGTGACTCTCCCCATCGGGGCCCCCGGAGCGGGCTCTTTCTGCACCTTTCGCGTCTTACCTTTCTGGGAGGCATGCTTCTCAGTCTTCCCCTGGTATTCAAAGCCTACAGCAGACTGTGACGACCAAAAACACATGAAAAAGTGGGGAGAAATACTTTCCAATGTCCCTGAAACAATCTCTCTGAATTCATGACATGACATTTAAAAAAATATGAAACACATGATGCTGTGACCTCTGGGTTCCTAAGCCAGGTGCAGGTGGCAGTGACGCAAGAGCTCTGGCATCCTAAACGGACAGGCCCACTGCAAGGCCCAGTGGGCGGCGCAGGCCAAGCCATATCCCTGGTGACCTGCCCTCCCCAGCATGCGGCAGCAGGGAATGCTCAGCTGATTCATTCCACGGGCTTCACAAAAACTCGCTTCTCAAATAAGTCATGCTGAGAACATTAGTATTAGTAATGAGAATAGCAGTGGCCACCAGGGGTGCACTCCCACCAGCCAGGCACTGCGATGGGCATCTGAGCAAACACCCGTGAGATAGGTATGATCATCCTCCTTTCACAGACACATAAATTCAGAACCGTGGCTAATATGTCACAAAGCCACAATCTGCGACCAGCATCAGCTCCCTGCTCCCTCCAGGCTCCTGATCGCTCCTCTATTAAACAAAAGAGCCAACAGACCCGAGCCGAAGAGAATCAAAGAGGCTCGGGCCTAGGATGACTGCAACAACACCTGGACGCAAAGCCTGGGTCCTGGACACGAGCGCATCCTGCCCCCCCGGTATAGGCTCTGATGTCACTCTGTCACAGTAACACACATGTGAGAAACACGGGTGGAAACGGTCCCTGCTGGCACATTGGGACAGACACAGGGCCATCCAGTACTGAGGCACGTAGTGAAGAGCGACCGCAGGGACTGCTACAGCAAGCCCGCCGCATCCTGCTTCCTCTCTCTGAGAGCCCAGGCTCTCAGAGCATCCTGGGAGGCAGATGCCCCTCTCTGCAGTCCCCCAGAGCTGGAGGGCACCTGCCTGCTACTACAAGTGGCCCAACAGGGCTCAGATCTACGGGGAACGCCCCCCTTGCCCCAACCTGCCCCAGTCCCAGTGCCACATCACTCACCTGATCAACTCTGTCCATCTGGACACCAAACTTGCCTCCGAAGCCACGGACCGAGTCCACCTGCGAGCAGTGCTTGGAAAGTTTCGACTGATATTCGTGGCCGACAGCTGACTGGAACAGGGTTCAAACACAAAGCATTAGACACCAACAACACTGCGGCGCTTCACTTCCTCCCAGAGCAGGGCTGGGGGAGGCCACATCCTGGTCAGTGCAGGGAAACCTTACATTAACACACCCATCTGGGGAGCCAAGGAAGGCGACACGACTCCTGGGAGGCCCGGGTCCTTGGTGCAGGCTTTTTTTTTTTTGAGACAGAGTCTTGCTCTGTTGCCCAGGCTGGAGTGCAGTGGCGGGGTCTCGGCTCACTGCAAGCTCCGCCTCCCAGGTTCACGCCATTCTCCTGCCTCAGCCTCCCGAGTAGCTGGGACTATAGGCACCCGCCACCATGCCTGGCTAATTTTTTGTATTTTTAGTAGAGACGGGGTTTCACCGTGTTAGCCAGGATGGTCTCCATCTCCTGACCTTGTGATCCACCCGCCTCGGCCTCCCAAAGTGCTGGGATTACAGGCGTGAGACACCGCGCCCAGCCCTTGGTGCAGGCTTTCACGGCCCACCCCAGCCCTTGGGCTCCTGGAAGCTGCACACGAACCCTGGACACAGGTCGGGGCCACCAGTGGGGATTTCTGACACGACCGGGCATGAAGAAGGTACACAGAGCTGGCAGCCTGTGGCAGGATCCGTGAGACCCGCTGGTGTGGAGACTGCTGGCATCTACTGAAGTGGGACCTCTGTGAATCACATGACCAAAGAATCGGCACAAAAAATAGTCTGCCAGCAAACTATTTTGTTCTAATAGACTATAAACAAAAATAGTCTGCAAGACACAGGCTCACACTGGATTTCCGCTGAGCAGCACCCTGTTCAGGCAGGAGCCAGCTGCCGGCTCCCATGCCAGCTCATTTCAGCATCATTAATGTCGTCAGCCCCCATCAGCGCACACAGGTTTGGGGACCTTCTGTTCGCCAAAGCCAGCAGGTAAAGCCCAAGGTTCCCCTGGGCTTTCCAGACCCGGCACCCAGCTCTTCTGTAAATAACGCCTCTGGGACACAGCCACAGCCATTCACAGGTGTGCTGTCCACAGCTGCTTGTGTGATTCAGCAACTCCGTTCGGCAGTTCTATTGAGAGACCCTCTGGTCCACAAAGTGGAAAAGATCTCCTACCTCAAAGCACTGGCCCTGCTCCAGTCCTGACACCGAGGCCCCAGGGTTCTGAGGCTCCCTCCTCACAGCAGAGCCGGGTCAAGGACTCCTTCACAGACAGTGCGGGCACATGGCCCAGCAGAGGGCGTGGAGAAAGTCCACGGCACATCGGGACCCCTCTTCTCACTCCCTCTAGCATGTGGAGCCACTCATGCTAACCTGCTAACCCAAGCAGCATCCCACACCGGTGCTGACGCAGCAGGCAACTCAGAGAGTGTCCACTATTTCCCCTATTGAAAAAGCAGGTCTTGCCCTAAGCCTTGGGCCTGTGCTGCGCCCTCTTCTTCCCACGTTTGTTTTGAGGTTGGCAGCTGACTCTCTTTCCACATGAGCCATCACCTCCAAACCCTCTGTGGCAGAGACTGCCCATCCGTGTCCTCCGGGGTCTCACCCAGAAAACAGAGATGAAGGAGTGGCAGAGGCAGACGTGCCAAAGGGATTCCCCAGCATGAGTTTTCATCAGAAGGAAGTTACAGGAAAACTGATCTAAAGACATGCCCAGAATGACAACTAGGCAAAGTTTCCAGCTTTTTGATTGAAAGGGATTCATCTCCAAAATTGCCTTCGATTTCACATTGACAAAATCTGTTATTAAACAATCACGCTGGGGAGATTGTATCTTGAAGCCTGAATATGTAGACTCAGGGCTACGGGATGCAAGGAGACAAGGGATCAAGAAGGAAGCCTGCCCCGCGTGATGGATGCAGCCACCGCTGGCCGCAAGGGAAAGGTGCAGTGTGCTCAGGCCCCAGCATAAACAGAATCCTGACAGCCCGTCCAGGCTCCTCTCGCGTGTGCTTGTCCTCAATGTCTTCTTTTGTTCTGGAAGTCTCTAGCACATATTCCTCAAGTCTTAACGCAGAGATTTCAATTTTTTATTTTTTTTTTAGTTTCTGGAGTGGGCAAGTTACAAATAACTTAAGCCGTTTCCCCTTCGGTTTGGAATCTGAGTTTAATCTATTTATTTCCTGAGACAGCGTCTCTCTCTGTCGCCCAGGCTGGACTGTAATGGTGCGATCACAGGACACTGCAGTCTCCACCTCCCAGGTTCAGGTGATCCTCCCAGCTTAGCCTCCCAAGCAGCTGGGACTACAGGTGTGCACCACCATGCCCAGTTAATTATGTTTTTGTAGAGATAGGGTCTTGCTATGTTGCCCAGGCTGGTCTCAAACTCCTGGGCTGATAAGATCATCCTGCCTCGGCCTTCCAAAATGCTGGGATTACAGGTGCCAGTCCCGTACCTGGCCCTGAGTTATTTTTGACAACGTATCTGTCCCATGGTGCTGACCTGAGCTGAGCGCTAACCTGGCCCCGATGCCAGCTGGGACTGAGCAGCAGCAGCATCCCTTGCTGGACTCGCCCTGCTAGGACAGCTCTCCAACTTGCCGGCTGAGAGGTGAGAGCAAGGCTCCATAAGCCTCCTTGGTTCCATGAGAGCACTGGCCTAAGGGGGGGGCACGTGGCACTGAGCCAGGCACAAGGTGAGGATGACAAGTCCCGACCCTTGAAAAGCCCAGCCCGGAGGGGAGTCTCCCTGGGAAGGACAGCAGGATGAGGCAAGGACAGCTCATGAGGGAAGCAGAGGCTGCTGTGGAGACCGCACAGGAGAGAGGGAAGTGAGGGCTCTTCCAGGGAGCTCCTGGCACTCGGGAAGGCCTGAGCTGCAGGTTCTAGGGTGAGCGAGATTCGCGCTGAAAAAAGGTGCAGGCCGAGCAGCAGCAGAGAAGCCACAGCAGCTTCCCTACCAGGCTCTCCTGACACGTTGCCTTTCTTTTCCCCAATATGTAATTTTCCCAACCCACAGCAGGGAGCCCCATTTTTAGAATAAATGTCTCTCTGCGCTAACTCCCCACAAGCCCCCTAAGCACAGGGCTCGCCTCAGTCTGCAGTGGGAAAGGCTCCTATCTACTTGCTTCGTTCACTGCACTGAACACATGGATTCCGTCTGTCCGTGTGCACACGCTTCGCTCGCTGCACTGAACACGGATTCCGTCTGTCCGTGTGCACACGCTTCGCTCGCTGCACTGAACACATGGATTCCGTCTGTCCGTGTGCACACGCTTCGCTCGCTGCACTGAACACATGGATTCCGTCTGTCCGTGTGCACACGCTTCGCTCGCTGCACTGAACACATGGATTCCGTCTGTCCGTGTGCACACGCTTCGCTCGCTGCACTGAACACATGGATTCCGTCTGTCCGTGTGCACTTGCTTCGCTCGCTGCACTGAACTCAGGGGTCCGTCTGCCTGTTTACACTCCTAAAAGCTACCAGACTTTTTTTAGACTCCAAAGATGATGATTCTGCACACATTGCTCTTCTCGGTGTCAGGGCATCTCTGTGGTAGTGACGCAGCAACATCCATGTCTCTTTCCTGCAGAAGGTCCCTCACCCCACTCCTCCCCCAGGCTATTTATGGTCGTGGTTTGGGGTGCCCTGCCGGCCCACCACATCATCTACTCTGCGGGGGACAGAGCAAGGTGCAGCTCACTGTGACACGGCAACATCATCCCGTGCCCAGCTCAAATGTTCATCTGGCTGGTGCATGAGGTGGGAGAGGGGTATGGAATTACCGGCTGGAATCCGACACTGGCTAACACACTTCTTTCCACAGAGTAAAGGCAAGCATCTGTCAGGTCAGAACAAGCTTATGTTGCTCAGACTCAAAAGTTCACCTCCAGGATGTCTGTTTTACTGAAGAAACATGCAAACACACTGCGATCTCTTCCATCTTCTCTCCAGGAAGGAAAAGGTAGCCCTCCTGAGCTAACGTGGCTCCCTTTCTTAAGGTAGAGAGGACCTAAAGCACGGGTGCAGCCGGATGCATTTGGCCAACGTCCTCAATCAACGTCTGCGTGGCAGTCTGCATCCCATCAATGACAGCTGCTGGGAGGCTTGCCCAGACCTCTCGAATAGAGTGAGCACTGTCCCCAGCCTGGTACGCGCCGAATTTACACGAGGGAGACTGCTCTGATGGTCACTGAACGCATGAAGGATGTTAGCCAGGCCTTTGGCTGGATTCCGTGTGTGCTGTGAACCATGGGGACCTACAGATTTGACTTTGGTCTTCGGACTGGCATGACTTAGGCTACAGACTGGAACCACAGGCATTGACAGTGATGACACCTAGAGCCAGGATGCTTCTGGACTTCTGTCCTATCACAAGGCTGCCTCTGAGGGCCAATCTCCCTCTCTGGGCCTCCCCACTAACACCCGTGCTCCAGCACCTCTGAGGATTCCTAAAGAGCTTTGAAGAAAGCTAGAGTACTTCATGAGTAAGTCCAATCAACAGGGGTCTACTCCGGGCAAATCGCAACCTCAGCAGATGGACTCAAAACTGCTGATCTAAGGAAAGACTGAGGGACGACTCTGCCACCCAGTCTAGTGGTCCAAGCACACCAGGAGCCTGGCATAGGCAGCCGCGGGCCACTTACCTTATCCATTCGGTCTTGTTCCACACCAAATTTCCCTCCATAGCCATGGGAAGCTTTTGGTCCTGTTTCAAGTTCCTTCTCCTTAAGGGTCTGATGCTCTTGAAAGACATTCTCCCTCAGCTTGTGTATGCTTGATGGAAGAGATGAAAATAGGAACAGATCAATAAAACAGACGTGCAGCTTTGCCTCCTGGTATGATAAATAAGAACAGGTGACATTATCTTTGTAAATTTGTAAATCTGCTTATCTGATGTTCACCGATTCTCTCCCTGCACTGTGCCTTCCTGACTATTCTGCCGGCTGGTACACCCACTTCGGCAGTCTGCAGTATCAGACGCATGCTCTGTGGGAGACAGAACACGAATCTGAAGGCAGACACTGGGATCATCCCAAATCCCCGCTAAAGATGGCTCTACTGAAGCCTGACCTTTATTTCACACGCAGAAAATAGGAAAGCTAGTCTGTAATCATCCAGAGGTAGAGGGGGAAACACGAGGCTATGGTCCCTTCCTCGGCCACTGGCAGAAGTCCAGTGGTGCTGAACATTCAGATGATTCGTCTGTACTTGAAGTACTCCAGCTTTTTTATACATTCAAAGATGAGAGGAAAGCGTTTCAGAATTTAACATCTAAATGCCATTAAAAAATTTTAATACAGCAGATAATGAAACAGATGACAAGGTTTGCTCAAATCTGGTAGGCCAGACACAGCTGTCATTGAGAGACCCCAGAGTGATAAGAAGGCCACTTTGGCATTCGGACTTTCTGCCCAGGAGACACCAGGACGCCACCTTTGACATCTGGACGACAATCCTAGAATTGAAGATGAAATACAAACCAGGCTTGGAAACCGCCCAATACCCTTATGAGCAGGAGAAAGAAAGACACCACTCCTAAAACCTGGGAAGGCCCCAGAGCATGAAGAATGGGCTTATTCCCCATGTGTTCCTCTCTGAATCCTAACCAGCCCAAGGGTTTTGTACTGGAGAGTTGTTTTTTCTCCAAGCCACCCTCCGAGACATGTTTTGAAGCCACAGGGAACAGAAGAGATGAGAAGAGGTATGATGACTCAACGAATTCAGGAGTCTGCTTAACGCCATAGCAAATACCCAAGGCTACAGTGGACTCCCAAGTCAGCCCCATTCCAGTCTCTTGTCCTGGGCAGCCGCACGGCCACCGGAGTTCCGAAGCTGCTTCTGTGGAAGGGAGTGTGCTGAGCAAGCCAGAGAGGGACTAAAACTTGTGTATAAAAAGCCACTGGGGGCCAGGTGCGGCGGCACACACCTGTGATCCCAGCACTTTGGGAGGCTGAGGCAGGAGAATCACCTGAGCCCAGGAGTTCAAGACCAGCCTGAGCAACAAAAGCAAGACCTCATCTTTACAAGAAATAAAAGCACTTAGCTAGCCATTGTGGTGTGCGCCCATGGTTCCAGCTACTCAGGAAGCTGAGGTGAGAGGATCGCTTGAACCCAGGAAGTCAAAGCTGCAGTGAGCTATGATTGCACCACTGCACTCCAGCCTGGGTGACAGAGTGAGACCCTGTCTCAAAATAAATAAATAAATAAATAAATAAATCTTTAACAACAAAATAAAAAGCCATTGTGCAGGCTGTGCCTTCTTTTCTGGAGGAAGGACTAAATCTTTCTCAGCTGAAGGGACCGTGGTCAAGCGGGACAGTCTTCCCGGGATACTGAGGCGGTCACCGGGTCAGTGGTGCTGCCTTCACAGCCAGGGAAAGGAGGATCCACTCTGAACCCAGCGTGGCCTAAAATAAAAGTCTGAGCATATTTTAAAAGTTCCTTTTATCTACACTTTCTGACGAAAAAAAAAACTGCCCCAAGAGCTGGCATTTTAGATAGTGCCAAGTGAGAAACAATGACAGGGTTCACTCAGTGCCCAACTCTGGGCTTTCGATAAGAACACAAAGCTCACAGTACCTCACTATTAACACATAATCATTTCCAGATAATAAAAAAAGGGACAGGGCATTTAAGGTCTCAGTTATTCAGACATCTCATACTTTAGAAACCTCTCGCTTGTAAGGTAGAGCTTAGGGACAAATGTTCCCTGATAAAAGCCACAATACTGAGAAGCGGACACTCTAAAATTATAAATACGGAAATTGTTTGCAATGGGAATTTAAAAATTACTGAGCACAGAAGTATCTAAATATACACATATAAACACACACATTACACAAATACACATATATGTGTGTGTCTTATATTCATTTACTGCATGGGTATCAGGTCAAGAAGATAAATGCAGTTTCCACACGGGCTGTCCCTCCACAGATGACCATGGGCCCTGTTGCACCTGGGGCTCCATCCGCAGAGGGGCCCTCGGGAGGGTGGTGGCGACGCCTCTTACTTGATATGCTCCTGGTGCCCGGAGCCCTGCACCGTCTTGGCACCCCATCTTTGCTCCTTCTCACTCACATCATTCTGAAAAGAAAAGCGACCAGTAAATCTCACAGCCTGGATTGTGACACAGACAAACCACCACCCCATCAAAGAAAAACCCAGGAGAGCCACTTCCACTTCATGAAAGAGGAAAGCAAAGGCTGGCGGCTCCTACCACAAAATCAGGGTCGGTCTCCCAGTCATCGGCCCCCGCGTCATCCTGGGCGATGGACACAGCGTGGCCTGCTGAAGCTTTCCACATCTGAAAGAGCAGCCGGGGAGGGTTACGGAGGCCTCAGGGCGCCATCCACAGAGGCCAGCAGATGAGCCCTTTGGCCAAAACTACCGAGATTCTAGGCAACCCAGGAGGACGAGGCTGCAGGACCAGCCAATCCTTCATGATCCATAAGCCTGACTGACAACCACAGGAGTAAAAGAAATTTCACCTCGGGGTTCTAACACTGCCGTCACCTGACGTCAGAAATATACTGGAAATACTATTTGGCTTCACCTTGAGTGAGAAAATTTTCTGGAAAATAAAAAAGTCGTGTGTGCACTTATTTATTCATTAAGAACATATTCCTGTTCTGTTCAATCATATGATGATAGTTTCCAACCAAAAATAAAAGCACCATTTTGGATTATGTATTATAAATATACTAAATGTTACTAATGGTAAATCTCATGGTATGTGTATTTTATCACACATTTTTAAAAAGTGCACCCATTTTGATTTCAAGTGCTTACTGAAACCATAACAATAATTTTCCTAATTCAGACTTACAATTTAATAAATGTTTCAAGTAGTTTATTGGAGAATTGCTTTACTCTCTACTTGGAAGAAAACAGGAATATAAAATGCCACCTTTTCCTCTATCAGGCAGCTCTGCAAGTGGGCAGCCACCTTCTCCCTCAGCCCTTGAAGACTGGAAGGTTTTCTCTGTTATACAGAACAATGGCACATCTGTAAACCCTAACAAGACAATTCTTGTAACTGCAGTGGTAAAATATAAAATTTTAAGGTTTTTTTTTTTTTTTCAAACTATGTATAAAAAGAAGTGATTCCTTTTCCACAGAAATAGTAATACAATTACACATAGGCCACAGAGCAACTGAGAGATTATTTTAAATCAAACAACCATAAGCTGTGCCCAGGGGTCTGAACTGAGGACACCCAATTCACTTTTTCTCAGGTGCCATGTTGGGACTCTAGCGCCCTGAATCAGGACTGGACAAAACCCCTTCGCAGCTTGAGAATGTCCCATCTGGCTCCTCTCCCTCCAGCCTGGCTGGGTCTCAAGTCCAAATCCAATGTGACAGTGAGGGACCAATCAGGGCAGCGTGCTCTCAAATTTCTAGGTGCGACTTTGTCTCTTGGGGAAGAACCGTCTGCCAAGGGGTGTAGCAGGACTAACAGTGCCCCTGGAACCTTCTGTCAATGCCCAAAGCATGGCAAGAATTTCCAGAGTGATCTGCTTTTGCCAGGATTTTAGAAAACAGATGAACTAGAATCTCAGAACGGAAAGGCACAACCAGTCCATCTTGTCCCAACGCGCCCATTTATAAATGAAGCAACGGCTGCAGGAAAGAGAAACGGGATGCTTGGTCTCCGGCCGCCCCATGGCACCATGCTGCCCTGGCGAGGGGGCTGCCCGCCTGCAGGACTTCAGCTGCCCATGGTTCCCACCACTGAGAAGGTGGCTGCAAGAAAGGATGGGAGTCCCTGCAGGGCTGGCGAGGCCACCTTCACCCCCAAGGCAAAGGAGAAAGGCGGCAGGTGTCTTTGCCTGGTACTTTTTCAGGCTCATCGGGGAGAGATTAGCAGAGCACAGTCTCTGCTCATCTTCCCGGACACAGCTTCACCAGCGAGCGGGGTGGGCACTTGCGAGCTTCACAATCCTGTGCCTGGGGGCCCCACCCATGTTCATGGGGTGGGGAAGGGGCCAGATTTCCCCTCAGGGAGGACAGGAATGGTTCTCTTCCTCAATTCCAGAGTTTTCTGCAATTGTCTCCTCTAAGTCATATGCAACAGAAACCTGACTTTATTTTTTAAACAATGAAATTTCCTTCCAGAATATTATCATCTCTCTCCCAGTAAATCCACAGAAACAGCAACCTCCCCCGTTTCCTGTTAAAGGGATTTTTGCCCTTACCATCCACAGGAAAAGAATGTTAGGATGTTCACAATGCACAAGTACCTTTCTTTCCGCTTGGAGATAAAAGGCTGTTCACGAAATTCTGTTTAAAACACAGTAATCCAATGAGGAATTTCCAGGCATTGGGGACTGATTCCGTCTGTAAAAAGATTAAGGGTAAAAAGCTGAGAAGGATGTATGTTGAGCAGCTCCCTGGGCAAACCCTTCTGTGTGGAGATCTTTTTAGAAAACTTCAGAAATCTTCCCAAACGTAACAAGGTTTTGTAATGAAATCTGAGAGGAGGATGGGAAGACTTGCATTTTACTAATAAAAAAGTTCAACAGAGAGAAACTAAAGAAATAAGTTTTAAAAGATTTCTAACTACATGATGACTTTTTGTCTTTTTTGTTTTGTTTTTTTTGAGATGGAGTTTCACTCTTGTTGCACAGGCTGGAGTGCAATGGCACAATCGCGGCTTACCGCAAACTCCACCTCCCGGGTTCAAGTGATTCTCCTGCCTCAGCCTCCCAAGTAGCTGGGATTACAGGCAGGCGCCACCACGCCCAGCTAATTTTCTATTTTTAGTACAGACGGGTTTTCTCCATGTTGGTCAGGCTGGTCTCAAACTCCCGACCTCAGGTGATCCGCCTGCCTTGGCCTCCCAAAGTGCTGGGATTACAGGTGTGAGGCATGGCGCCCGGCCTACATGATGTTTCTTATGAATGCAAACAGAAATTATTGCCTTAATTGCTAGTATGCATTTACTGTTTGCCATAATTCTTAGAGATTTTCACTTTTTATTCATTCTAATTAATGACATTATAAAATAAAATTGTTACTGTGAGCTTTTTAAAACAATAATATAAGAAAAACACTCCTTGAGAGGATCATGATATGGCCGGGAGGAAAAACCAGTATGGTGACTGTCTATCAAGACATGAGACTGGCAGCTGGAGAGCCGAGGAGGAGGCGGGCTGCATTCCTAATGAACGTACACGGTTACCGCGCAGGGAGCAAGACTCCAGCTCCCCAGAGGGTGGCCAAGCACACGACCCCTTCCCTAGGACCACACATCAGCCTCAACTGGACACCATACTGCTAGACAACACACATGGACGAATGAAATCCCCTTGTCCCTAGGAACAAGCCGGTCACAGGCAGAGTGGTTTCTCACGCATTAGGAACTAGGGGATGGTGCCTGGCTGGCCCTCCTGGTAATTAATTAATTTCCTATCTGGTTTCTGACCCAACTGTTTGCTCCATCTCTCTCCCCAGTTCCCTTCGGCAATCCTAACTTCTACAGATTGCTTGCTACATTCTGGTTACTGCAGTTATTAGTGTAATCGGCAAGCATCTATACAACTCTGCCTAAAAATTTAGCCAGGCATGGTCGTGTATACCTGTAGTCCCAGCTACTCAGGAGGCTGAGGTGGGGGAACTGCTTGAGCCCAGGAGCTCAAGGTTGCAGTGAGCCATGATCACACCACTGCACCCCAGCCTGGGAGACAGAGAGAGACCCTGTCTCATACATAAATCAATCATAAAGTAAATAATAAAAATCTACTCATGAGCAGCTAAGGATAGGCTCAGATCCACAATTTTATACTCTCAATATTGGAAATTTAAAAAACAATCACAAAAATAACCAATAGGAAATAAGTTTGATTGTTTTGTGGATCCAAAGATAAAAAGCCTCTAGAGCCCTACCTCAAAACCATACAGAAAAATTAACTCAAAAATGAACTAAAATCCTAAAAGGGTGTAAATTTTTGTGACTTTGAATTTGGCAATAGTTTCTTAGATATGACACCAAAACACTAGAGGAAAAAAATAAATTGTACAAAATTAAAAATTTTGTGCTTCATCAAGAAGGTGACAAGACGATCCTGAGAGAAAAGTATTTTGAACTGTAGATCCAGAATATATAAAGAACTCTTGGCCAGGTGAGGTGGCTCACGCCTGTAATCCCAGCACTTTCGGAGGCCGAGGCGGGCGGATTACTAGGTCAAGAGATCGAGACCATCCTGGCCAACATGGTGAAACCCCGTCTCTACGAAAAATACAAAAATTAACAGGGCGTGGTGACGCATGCCTGTAGTCCCAGCTACTTGGGAGGCTGAAGCAGGAGAACTGCTTGAACCCGGGAGACAGAGGCTGTAGTGAGCCGAGATTGCGCCACTATACTGCAGCCTGGCGACAGAGTGAGACTCCATCTCAAAAAAAAAAAAAAAAAAAAAGGAACTCTTATAATTCAATAAAAAGGACGAATAACCCCATTTAAAAATGATTGAAGGATCTGAAGAGACATTTCTTCAGAGGAGATATACAAATGGCCAACAAGCTCAGGAAAAGTTTGTTCAATGTCATTAACCACCAAGGAAATGCAAATCAAAACTGCAATGAGAACCCACCTCATACCCACTAGGATGA
Source organism: Homo sapiens (assembly GCF_000001405.40). Classification (NCBI taxonomy): domain Eukaryota; kingdom Metazoa; phylum Chordata; class Mammalia; order Primates; family Hominidae; genus Homo; species Homo sapiens. Next base: position 70,402,993 of record NC_000011.10, on the reverse strand, counting down.
CTAAAATAAAACAGCCAATGACAAATCTCAGCAACAGTGTTGAAAAACTGGAAGCCTCATAGACTGCTGACAGGGATGTTAAATGGAAAAGGTCTGGCAGTTCCTCAGAAGGTTAAACTCAGGTACTGTATGACTCAGCAACTCCACTCCTAGGTCTATGCCCAAGAGAAATAAAGTATAAGCACACAAAAACTTGTGCGTGAGTGTTCAGAACAGCACTATTCATAGCAGCCAAAAAACAGAAACACTCCAAATGTCCATCAACTGATAGATACATAACATGTGGTCTACCTAACACAAAGGCATTTTATTCTGCCACAAAGAGGATCCAGCAGTGACACCTGCTACAGCGTGGAGGGACCTCAAATCCATTGCGCAAAGGAAAACCACGCACAAAAGACCACATATTATACGATTCAATTTCTAGGAAATGTCTGGAGTTCACAAATCTACAGAGACAAAAGATACATTGCTGGTTGCCCAGGGCTGGGCGGATGGTGGTGGTGAGGATAGGGAGGTCATGGCTAAAAGGTACAAGGGCTTCTTTTTGAGGTGATAAAATTATTCTGAAATTGACTGTGGTGACAGTTGTACAACTGCATGAAGATACTAAAAACCAGTGGAGAGTACACACTACACAGGCGTATTGTATGGTATGTGAATTATATCTCGATAAAGCTGTTACAATACGGTTCAAAAGAAGATAATGACTCTGTCCATCCTCAACATTAAACCTTCCTTGCAAACGTCAGTGTACAAATCAAGATTGCACAAACGTGAAGTAATCTTGCTGTCTAGACAGAGTGAAAAATTCCTCTACACAATAACTTTTTTTTTCTTTTTCAGACAGTCTTGCTCTGTTGCCTAGGTTGGAGTGCAACAGCGCGATCTCGGCTCACTGCAACCTCTGTCTCCCAGGTTCAAGTGATTTTCCTGCCTCAGCTTCCCGAGTAGCTGGGATTACAGGCATGCGCCATCACACCCAGCTAATTTTTTGTATTTTTAGTAGAGATGGGGTTTCATTATGTTGGTCCAGGCTGATCTCCAACTCCTGGCCTCAAGTGATTTGCCAGCCTCAGCCTCTCAAAGTGCTGGGATTACAGGCACGAACCACCGCGCCTAAAAGCCCCCCACCAGCCTTTTTTTTCTTTTTTTTTTCTGAGACAGGGTCTTGCACTGTGGCCCAGGCTAGAGTGCAGAGGCACAATCTCAGCTCACTGCAACCTCTGTGTCCCAGGTTCAGGTGATCCTCCCACCTCAGCCTCCCGAGTAGCTAGGACTACAGGAATGCACCACCACACCAAGCTGATTTTTCTCTCTCTTTTTTTTTTTGTTTTTTTTTGTTTGAGACGAAGTCTCACTCTGTTGCCCAGGCTGGAGTGCAATGGTGTGATCTCAGCTCACCGCAACCTCTGCCTCCTGGGTTCAAGCGATTCTCCTGCCTCACCCTCCTGAGTAGCTGGGACTACAGGCACCTGTCACTACACCCAGCTAATTTTTCTTTTTCTTTTTTCTTTTGAGATGGAGTCTCAGTCTTTTGCCCAGGCTGGAGTGCAATAGTGTGATCTCGGCTCACTGCAACCTCCACTTCGCAGGTTCAAGCGATTCTGGTGCCTCAGCCTCCTGAGTGGCTGGGACTACAGGCATATACCACCACGCCCGGCTAATTTTTTGTATTTTTTTTTTTAGTAGAGACGGTGTTTCACTGTGTTAGCCAGGATGGTGTCAATCTCCTGACCTCGTGATCTGCCCACCTCAGCCTCCCAAAGTGCTGGGATTACAGGTGTGAGCCACCATACCCGGCCAATTTTTCTATTTTTAACAGAGATGGGGTTTCCCCATGTTGCCTAGGCTGATCTCGAAACTCCTGGGCTCAAGCAATCCACCTGCCCTTAGCCTCCCAAAGTGCTGAGATTACAGGTGTGAGCCACCGAGCCTGGCAGAAGAATGTTTTAAATGACAGGACAGAACCATCCGTCCACCATCAGCTTTCCATTAGCCTCAGCATCTATGGCAGAGCAGGAGGAGAAAGGAAACAGACACTTGCGTAGCCAAAATCACCATCACAGGCACACTCCCTACACCACACTTACTCAAGGGAAACCCCGCCCCCAACATTTACTCCGTTTACTCAAAGCAGTGCGTGAGCAGATGGGGTGGGCCTGGGCCACAGTGAAAGCCAAGCCTGCTCCTGGAGCACAGTCCCCTGCTCTTGGCTGGCCCAGGCCATGGGAATACTGCAACACAAGGCAGCAACCAGCGCTCACAGCAATTCACACTCTCAGGACACCTTTTCTGAGCACCTACTGCGTGGCACAGACTGAAGATCTGAATTGCCGATTATGTGTGCTGTCATTTTAAAAGTGTTTTAAAAACAAGTCCATCAAAATGCTACAATTAAAAGTCAGCTTTAGCTGGGCCTGCAGTCCCAGCTACTTGGGAGGCTGAGGTGGGAGGATCGCTTAAGGCCAGCAGTTCAAGGTTGCAGTGTGCTAGATGGCACCTGTGAAGAGCCTCTGCACTCCAGCCTGGGTGACAGGGTCTCGCTCTGTCACCCAGGCTGGAGTACAGTGGTGCGATCGAGCTCAATGCAGCCTCCAACTCCTGGGCTTGAGATCCTCTGCCTCAGCGCCCCAAGTAGCTAGGACAACAGGTGCAAGCCAACATGCCCAGCGAATTTCTTTTTTTGTAGACACAAGGTCTCCCTGTGTTGCCCAGGCTAGTCTGGAACTCCTGGCCTCAAACGATCCTCTCACCTTGACCTCCCAAAGTGCAGGGATTACAGGTGTGAGCCACCGCACCCCTGCCCCAGGTCAAAAGAAATTTCTTTTCAGTAAGATATAGCAGAAGGTTAGCTTCTAGTTCTAGGGGACCTAATATCAAAACAACCCTGCCTCCCCAACTTTTTATTGAGTCCCACTTAAAAGACTCTTCCTTGTTCCTTGAGTATCTGGCGAATACTTCTCTAACCAGAGGAGAAACAGGACTGACTCAGTGCTCTGGAGCCAGTGACTCACCCACACGGTCAAACACGTGAATGGAGACAGGGGCAGGCGGCCAGCCCCTCCTGCGCCACGGCCTTGGGCCCGGCCGGGCTTGAGGGCTGGATCATGCCTGAAGGACCTAGTGGGTGAAGTCCCCCCGACAGAGCCTGCGCAGCCAAGTCAACACTGAGCCCAAAGGGAGCGCATGGGATTCCAGGGAGCGCTCACCGGATGCCTCCGGAGCTTCCTTCAGCAGAAAATGAATTCCTCCCCAAGGGGCCCCAAACGTCCACAGATTCCAGCGGGAGGAAGCCCTGTCCCTTCTCACCCAAGGCCTTCCAGCTTCAGGGATCAGGCATCCCTTAGACTATCCAGGTGATGGAAACGTAACAGAAAGCCCCAAAGCACCGTTCTGGTGATTTTAAACACACCCCGAAGGAGGGACGGTTCCAAATTTAGAGCCTCACGACTAGCTGCAGCCGCGCCTCGCTGCCTCCACTGACCTGATTGCAAAACCTCCGCTCAGGTGCAGGCCGGGCGGATCCCCAGCTGCTCCGCCACGTCCCACAGCGAGCCCCTCAAAGTCGCGCACCCCAACCGCCTTGACCCCGCGGACCCCATCCCTTTTCCCTGCGCCTGGATCCCTTCCCCTGGAGCCCCAATCCCCTCCCCTCGGACCCTATACCTTTCCTCCGAGCCCCGACCCCTTCCCCTCGAACCCCAATTCCCTTCCCTCGGACCCCATCCCAGTAGCTCTGCGCCTGGACCCCTTCCCGTCAGACCCCAATCTCCTCCCCTCGGACCTCATCCCTTTCCCTCTGCACCCAGACACCTCCCTCTCAGACCCCTCGCCCTTTCCTTGAGACCCCCCACACCCACCTTCCTTGGCCCCTCGAACCCCGGCCCCCTCCGCTCAGACCCCCGAACCCCACAGGCCCAGCCCCTCTCCCTCGGGCCCTAATACCCTCCCCCTCGGAGCCCATCCCCCTCTCCTATTCCCTCGGACCCAAGACCCCTCCCAGCCTGGCCCCTCTCCTGCCCTGGAGCCCCCCGGCGCCCAGGGACCCTCCCCTCAGAGCTGATACCCCAATTTGGCCCCTTTCTAACCTTCCTCCGCGGACCCCAGCCCCAAGCCCTCCGTGCCCCCTTGCCCCCTGCCCGGCCTCCTTGGGCCCAGACCCGTCCTCGTGGCCCTCGCGGACCCCCGGCCCTCGCCCTGCCCCGCCCCAGGCCGGGAAAGCCTCGCCACTCTGCCCCGGCCCCCGAAACCGCAAGCGGAAGAGCGGTGAGACCGCTGCGGCCGCCGCTTCCTTCCCCTTTCGCGGCCAGGCGACGCCACAGGAGGGAAGAAGCAGAGCCCGGCCTGCACCCCGGGCGGACGCCGCGCTCGCTCACCGCCGCCTGGGGTCGGTCCGGCCCGGGTCGGCCCTGGATTCCGCCGCGCCAGCCGCTCCCAGGCACCAGGCTCTACTTCCGGTTCCGAGGGCGGGGGCGGGGCCGCATCCGGGTCCCCGCGCGACCCCGCCCCCTGCCCCGCCTCCTCCCGCGTCTTGGCCCGCAAGAGTCCCGGGGGTCCGCCCGCAGCTGGCTAAGCGCTAGCCCGGCCTGTGGCGAGTCTGCAGAGCTCGCCCGGAAGTAGCGTTGCGCGCGCAGAGGATGGGCGCTGAGCAGCACACAGCCCGCGGCGGGGTCTCAGGATCCGCGGCGCTGCCCGGGGCCGGGGGAAGGAAGCCAGCCGAGGAGACGCACGTGCCCTGAGTCCGGGAGCGGGGAGCCTCTTCATCTCTCCATCCTCCCTCCGCGCGCGCCCTCAGCCGTCCTCGTCCGCTCACCATGCACCTCCCCTCCAAGAAAGGGCCACATGCGTGCCAGGGACGCGAGCCCCGGCCACAGGGACATAGCAGCCTAGAAGGTGAGTCAAGCGTTAAACCACATGGGTACTCACCTGGGAAATGAGATAAATGCCAAGAAGTGAGAGTTTCATAACATCGTATTGGGGAGACGGTAGGACCTGAACCCCTGGGAGACCAGAGGTTTCTTTGGGCGATTCACATGTTAGCCAAGATGTGAAGGCCCTATAAGAGTAAACAAGGTAAGGAGGGAAGAATTTTCCAGGCAGGCCAACAGCAGGTTCCAACAGCAGGGCCAACAGAGGTCCCAAGGCAGGAACGGTCTTGCAGCAGGGGAACTGGAGGAGGCTCAGCTCAGCATGGTAGAGGGCTAGTGGTGCAGCGGAGCTGTGGTGTGAGAGGGGCCAGGTCATGCAGAGGCCGATAGAGCACAGCGAAGACCTCGGTCTTTATTCTGGGAGACACGGGAAGTCCTCGGAGGAAGTTAAGCTGATAAGAGACATCATGAAGTTTGGGCCAGGCGCAGTGGCCCACGCCTGTAATCATAACACTTTGGGAGGCTGACATGGGAGGATCGCCTAAGGCCAGGAGTTCGAGACCAGCCTGGTCAGCATAGTGAGACCCTCGCCCCCGCCCGCCATCGCTAAATAAATAAATAAGACATAATGAAGTTTGAATTGTAATGAGATCACTCTGGCTGCTGTGTGGAAGATGGATGGGAGAAGGGCCAGGTAGAGCCTAATGTAGCCAATTCGGGCAGACCGCTGGTGGCAGGTAAGATGGGGAGAAGTGGATAGATGCAAGAGGCATTTAGAAAGCTAAACTGTCAGATGTGAGGATGAATTGGAAGTGCGGGTGGCGGAAGGAAATGTCAGGTGTTGACCATTTTTTTAAAGGTAAAATCATGACCTTCATACACATATAAAATGAACACGTCAAATATTTTATTTAACTCGATAATGAATACATCATAAGTTGTTACAAATTGTTTAAAGAATTTGGCCAGATGCAGTGCCTCGCGCCTGTAATCCCAACACTTTGGGAGGCCAAGGCAGGAGGATTGCTGGAGGTCAGGAATTTGAGACCAGCCTGGGCAGCATGGCAAGACCCTGTCTCTACCAAAAAAAAAAAATTTTTTTTAAGAAAAAAATTAGCCAGGCATGGTGACGTTTACCTGTGGTCCCAGCTATTCTGGAGGCTGAGGCAAAAGGACCGCTCCGGCACGGGCAACAGAAACCCTGTGTCAAAAAAAAAAAAAACGGAAGACGAATGCTGAAATGAATTTGCAAAAACTGCTCTATCTCTAGTGCAAAGGTCAATTGCATTTAACTGGACACAGCTAATTTGCATTTTCTGTGCACAAGGATTGTTGGCCAGGCTTGTAATACCAGCACTTTGAGCGGCAAGGCCAGAGGATTGCTTGAGCCCAGGAGTTCAAGACCAGCCTGGGCAATATAGACCCCATCTCTGAAAAAAAAAATTTTTTTTTTTACATTGCTGACTGTTTTTTTTTGTTTGTTTGTTTAATCTTTAGAGACAGGGGCTGGAGTGCAGTGGTGCAATCAAGGCTCACTGCAGCCTCGATCTCCTGGGCTCAAGTGATCCTCCCACCTCAGCCTCCCAAGTAGCTGTAGCTGGAACTACAGGCACGTGCCACCACACTCAGCTAATTTTTTTTTTTTTGAGATGGAGTTCCCCTCTTGTTGCCCAGGCTGGAGTGCAATGGCGCCATCTCAGCTCACTGCAACCTCTGCCTCTCGGGTTCAAGCAATTCTCCTGCCTCAGCCTCCCGAGTAGCTGGGATTACAGGCGTGCGTCACTTTGCCTGGCTAATTTTGTATTTTCAGTAGAGACAGGGTTTCTCCATGTTGGTCAGGCTGGTCTCGAACTCCCGACCTCAGGTGATCCTCCCGCCTCGGCCTCCCAAAGTGCTGGGATTACAGGCGTGAGCCACCATGCCCGGCCTCTAATTTTTTAATATTTTTGTAGATACTGGGTCCTGCTGTGTTGCTAATGCTGGTCTCGAACTCCTGTGCTCAAGTGACCCTCCTGCACTGGGATTACATGTGTGAGCCACCACATTGCCAGGCCACATTGCTGCCTGTTTTTTAAAGGTTAATTTCTGCCTCTACAGAGGTATGAAATCATCTAGTCAAAAAAGCAGGCATAGCCGGTGGTGTCCATCTCAGAGGGAGCCCTGTGACTGTATTGATCCAGCACAAACCCCTCCTCTCAAGTCCCTCACTGTGTCACACCTTTTGCCATAAGAGGTCATAGTCATAGGTGCTGAGGATTAGGCTGTGGACATATCTTTGGGCGCCCACGGAAATGTTCTTATTTCTATTAAAATTGGAAAAATGAACTTTTAGGTTGAAGAAAATGTATTTTATTCAAGAAAACATGTAAAGAAAATATAGCAGCCAGGCGCGGTGGCTCATGCCTGTAATCCCAGCACTTTGGGAGGCCAAGGCAGGTGGATCACCTGAGGTCAGGAGTTCAAGACCAGCCTGGCCAACATGGTGAAACCCCGTCTCTAAAATTAAAGTACAAAAATTAGCTGGGCTAATTTTACAGAGAAGGAAAGACAAAGCTCACTGCAGACTTTTCAGCAGGAGGGCAGCGTTCGTGGCTTAGAAAGACCAGTCTGCTGCCGGTGAAGAGCAGGGTGCTTCAGAGTGGCTCCCAGAGAGAAAGGGGCAGCACACTCTTCCACATGCCCATTGTGCTCCCCAGGAGAATGTGTGGCAGAGACTGAGGCTGGCCACAGGAATTACACATACAGTGTAAAATTTGCAAAGCAAGAAGTATAGCTGTGCTCAAAAATAGGTCGAAGCCGGGCGCCGTGGCTCATGCCTATAATCCCGGCACTTTGGGAGGCCAAGGCAGACGGATTTCTTGAGGTTAGGAATTTGAGACCAGCCTGGCCAGCATGGTGAAGCCCCATCTCTACTAAAATTCAAAAAATAAAAACAAAAACAAAAACAAAACTGGTGGCTGGGCGTGGTTGCTCACGCCTGTAATCCCAGCACTTTGGGAGGCCGATGCAGGTGGATCACTTGAGGTCAGGAGTCCGAGACTATCCTGACCAACCTGGTGAAACCCCGTCTCTAATAAAAATACAAAAATAAGCCAGGCATGGTGGCAGGCGCCTGTAATCCCAGCTACTTGGGAGGCTGAGGCAGGATAATCGCTCAAACCCGGGAGGTGAAGGTTGCAGTGAGCTGAGATCGCGCCATTGCACTCCAGCCTGGGAGACACAGCGGGACTCTATCAAAAAAACAAAACAAAACAAAACAAAAGTGATATCTCTGTGAGCCAGAAATGAAGAGAAATGCAAAGTGCTGAGTGGGCCTGCAACTGCAAAGCTGCTGGGCCTGGGTCACCCACGCTTGTAAAAGAAGCACGCAGCCAGGGGCGCACCAGTGGTCCCAGCTACTTGGGGAGGCCGAGGTGGGAGGAATCACTTGAGCCCAGGAGTGCAAGACCAGCTGGAGCAACATGGTGTGAACCTGTCTCAAAAAAATAAAAATAAAGAAAAATTTTAAAAACCCATGCAGCCAAAGAGGGATGTCCAGACAGCCTTATGTCCAGGACCTGAGCAAACCAGTCCCTGACTTAGAGTGCAGATGGGACCTGGGGCATTTGCACCACCACGCAGGGCTGTAGGACTCAATACAACACGTGTGACGGAGATGTAGCTGTCCACCCAGCGCCCCCACCCTCCTCGGTACTAAGTGGACATGTGGGTGTCCAGCTCTACTACATTTCCCAGCTTCCCTTGGAGTTGGGAGCTGCCATGTGGCCAGGTTCTCGCCCATGGAACATGAGGGGAGGTGACATGCATGGCTTCTGAGCCTGGACCATCATTCCTCCCCGGGGCTGCCTCCTACCGTGGACCAGCTTCCTAGGCTGCTGCAACACATTATGACAGACTCAGTGCCTCAAAACAATGCAAATATATGCTCTTCAGCTCTGGAAGCCAGAGTCTGAAATCAGTTTCATGGGCTAAAGTCAAGGTGTCAGTGGGGCTTGTTCCTTTTGGAGACTCTAGGGGAGGAACCATCTGTGGCCTTTCTAGCTTCTTGCATCCCTCAGACCCATGCATTCATCTTCACACCTGTTTTCTCTCTGTACGGATATGTCTCTTTGCCTCCCTATTACAAGAACATTTGGGATCCCATTTCAGACCCACCCAGAATATCCTCCCATCTCAAGATCCTTAATGTCATGACATCTGCTAACTCCTTTTTGCCATGTAAAGCAACATCACATGTTCTGACTATTAGGATGCAGACATATTTGGAGGCCATTATTCAGCCTACTACAGGTGACAGGTACAACCTTGGAAGCCCTGTTTTGAGGATGGCAGAGCCCACCAGCCTGCATCCCTCCAAGACTGCGTGGAACAGATCTTCCTTACTATCCCTTTCTCCTCCTCTGCCTGACCTGGACATACACCCTGCCCTGTTACGTGAAAGCAAAAGAAAATCCTGTTGTGTTTAAGATATTGCGTTTGGAGTCCATTTGTTCCAGATGTTTAGCCCACCCTAATACAGAGAGGTTGAGGCAACTGCAGAACAGGGAGACAGACAGCGTCACACACAGTGAGGAAGAGAGAAAATGAAACATTTCCTAATTAAAATGAACCTAGAATGTAAGTTCCAAAGGGATTGTAAAAATGAATACTAAATAAGAAAGCCAAAGGCCAGGCACAGTGACTCATGCCTATAATCCAGCACCTTGGGAGGCCGAGGCAGGTGGATTGCTTGAGCTCAGGAGTTCAAGACCAGCCTGGGCAACATAGTGAAGACCCTGTGTCTACAAAACTTTAAAAAAATTAGCTGGGTGTGGTGGCCTGTGCCTACAGTCCCAGCTACTTGGAAGACTGAGGCAAGAGGATCAGCTGAGCCCAGGAGGTCAAGGCTGCCAATGAACCATGATTTCGCCACTGCACTCCAGCATGAATGATAGAGGGAGACCCTGTCTCAAAATATAAAATAAATAAGAAAGCCAATACTGTGAACAATGGGAACATGAATTATTAAAGTTGAATTTTATATTGTAGAACATGAGTATGATTTTAAAATTATGTTTAGAACCAGGCCATGTGGCTCATGCCTGTAGTCCCTGCTACTCAGAAGGCTGAGGTGGGAGGATCCCTTAGGCCCAGGTGTTAGGAGTTCACGGGTACAGTGAGCTATAATCATGCCAGTGCACTCCAGCTTGGGTGACAGAGTGACTCTGATTTAAAAAAAATGGGAATGGGACTGGGCGCTGTGGCTCACGCCTGTAATCCCAGCACTTTGGGAGGACGAGGTGGGAGGATAACCTGAGGTTAGGAGTTCAAGACCAGCCTGGGCAACATGGTGAAACCCCGTATCTACTAAAAATACAAAAATTAGCTGGGTGTGGTGGCGGGCACCTGTAATCCCAGCTACTTGGGAGGCTGAGGCAGGAGAATTACTTGAACCCGGGAGGTGGAGGTTGCAGTGAGCCGAGATCACCATTGCACTCCAGCCTGGGTGACAATAGTGAAACTCCATCTACAAAAAAAAAAAGGAAAAAAGTCACCGAGATTGCCAACCCACTGAATCAAAAGAAGCAATAAATCTTGGTTGTTTTTTACTGTTACATTTTGGGGTGGGTCTTTAAACAGCAACGGATAAGAAAATATAGCAGATGATCGTGGGGTGGGAGCAGGGGACAGCATAGAACATATTAGACAGAAAACCTAAGGGTATATTTCATATACATATTGACAAAAAAATGCCAAACTCTGGAAAGTATTAAAAGAGATTTATTCTGAGCTAAATGCAAGGGCCATGACCCATGAGGCAGCCTCAGGAGGTCCTGAGAACATGGGCCCAAGGTGGTTGGGTTACAGCTTTGGTTTATATATTTTAAGGAGACATAAGACATCAATCAGTGCATGTGAGGTATACATTGGTTCCATCTGGAAAGGCGCGACAACTCAAAGCGGGGGCTTACAGGGCATAGGTGGACTCAGATTTTCTTTTCTTTTTTTTTTTTTTTTGAGACAGAATCTCACTCTGTTGCCCACGCTGGAGTGCAGTGGCATGATCTCGACTCACTGCAACCTCCACCTCCCAGGTTCAAGCAATTCTCTGCCTCAGCCTCCTGAGCAGATGGGATTACAGGCCTGTGCCACCATGCCCGGATAAGTTTTGTATTTTTAGTAGAGACGGGGTTTCACCCTGTTGGTCAGGTTGGTCTCAAACTCCTGACCTCGTGATCCACCTGCCTCAGCCTCCCAAAGTGCTGGGATTACAGGTGTGAGCCACTGTGCCTGGCCAGTTTTTCAGGTTTCTTTGGCATCCTCTTGGCCAAGGGGGAAGGGTCTATTCAGTTGGTTGGGGGTGCTTAAGAGTCACTTTTGGTTTACATACCGTATCAATGGCTGTGTAATTGTCAGGGGCGTGTGAACCAGAGCAACTCCATCTTGAATAGGAGCTGGGTAAAATGAGGCTGAAACCTACTGGGATGCATTCCCAGATGACTGAGGCATTCTAAGTCACAGGATGATGTAGGCGGTCAGCACAAAATACAGGTCATAAACACCTTGCTGATAAAACAGCTTGCGGTAAAGAAGCCGGCCATAGCCAGGCGTGGTGGCTCATGCCTGTAATCCCAGCACTTTGGGAGGTGGGTGGATCATGAGGTCAGGAGTTCAAGACCAGCCTGGCCAACATGGTGAAACCCCGTCTCTACTAAAAATACAAAAAAATTAGCTGGGCGTGGTGGCGGGCACCTGTAAACCCAGCTACTCAGGAGGCTGAGTCAGAGAATTGCTTGAACCCGGCAGGCGGAGGTTGCAGTGAGCCGAGATCGCACCACTGCACTCCTGCCTGGGTGACAGAGTGAAACTCCATCTCAAAAAAAAAAAAAAAAAAAAAAAAAAAAAGCAGCAGCAGGCGGCCAAAACCCACCAAAACCAAGATGGCGGCGAGAGTGACCTCTGGTCGTCCTCACTGCTACACTCCCATCAACGCCATGACAGTTTACAAATGCCATGGCAACGTCAGGAAGTTACTCTATGTGGTCTAGAAAGGGGAGGCATGAATAATCGGCCACCCCTTGTTTAGCATGTCATCAAGAAATAACCATAAAAATGGGCAACTAGCAGCCCTTGGGGCTGCTCTATTCTAAAGGTTTGCTCTATTCTTTTGTTCCTTTGCTCCCCTAATAAACTTGCTTTCACCTTACTCTGTGGACTTGTCCTGAATTCTTTCTTGTGCAAGATCCAAGAACCCCCTCTTGGGGCCTGGATCTGGACCTCTTTCCTGTAACATAATAAACCACCCCAAACATAATAAACCATAAAAGGTGGTGGTGTTTACTGGTGAAACCTTTCATCATGCTCATAATTTTGTGAGTCAGATGGGGGATGTGGGAGCGGCTTACCTTCATTTCAATGGTCTCCACTGGAGTGGCTCATCTGGTCAGCCATGGCTGCGATGAAGACCGGGGTTCTATGTCTGGGCCTCGCTTCTGAATGTTGGGTACGTCAGAATGGCTTCTCCTCCAGCACGGCTGTGAGAACTGGCATGTCCAAGTTGGCTTCATCACGTGTATGGCTGGCACTTCGAATAGGATGGCGGGAGCAGCTGGGGACAGACACTAGACAGCTCTCTCCAGTCTTTTCATGTGGCTAGCTTGGGCCTCCTTACAGTGGGGTGGTCTTGGAGTAATAGGACTTATTACTTGCTAGTCACCCAGACTCGAGTGCAGTGGCGCGATCTTGGCCCACTGCGACCTCCGCCTCCCAGGTTCATGCCATTCTCCTGCCTCAGCCTCCCGAGTAGCTGGGACTACAGGCGCCCGCCAGTATGCCCGGCTAATTTTTTTGTATTTTTAGTAGAGACGGGGTTTCACCATGTTAGCCAGGATGGTCTCGATCTCCTGACCTTGTGATCGGCCCGGCTCGGCCTCCCAAAGTGCTGGGATTACAGGCGTGAGCCAGCTCACCCGGCCACTTGGTGGCTTGTTTCTTTCAGAACGAGAATTCCACAAAACCCAGGAAATCGTCTTGTGACCTAGCTCCAGGTCTCAAAGTTATGTCTGCTGCATTCTTTTGGTCAAGCAAGTCACTAAGGCCAGCCCAGGTTTAAGGGAGGGGAGTTAGACTCTTACCTTTCACTGTGAGGAGTAGCAGAGAATTTGCAGCCTGTCTTAAATGTTTTGTCACATACTGTATGTGTTTCATCAAGTCTAACATGTTGTGGGAGCCAAGGCCCTTGGCCCCCTAAAGGTTTGCTGAAAAATCACTGGCATGAGGCAGATTGGCTAATCGGAGAAAAGGCACACACATGTATTTACCATGTATACACAGGAGCCTTCAGAATAGAGACCCAGCCCCCCAGGAGGTACAGGAGCTTATCCAGGCTTGTCCAACCTGCCTTATTTTGTTGTTCTGTTCTAGGCTTTTGGCAGCCCAACGCCATGGTTTTGAGTTTCTGTCTCTAGTGATAAGTAGAAAAGAGGGATAAGGAAGGGGCTTTACTGGGCCAACCAGAAAGAGACTAGGAACCCATGACTGTATTCTCTCCTTGGGCACCACTGTCAGGTCTTGAGGCCACAGAATGAATGAGGGCTTGGATCCTGGCAAATGAGGTTCTGGGAAGACGGGAGGAAGAGGTCTGGCTAGCAAACGGGGTCTTGTTACATAGATGAAACCTCACAAGTAGAAGTCGTCAGGGATGATAAACGGCTCTTTTCAGACTTTTCAAGGTGTTATATAAGGCCTGGGTGCAGTAATGGAGATTCTCTACAGATGCAAATTGCCCTGACAATAGACAGCTTTGCAGGGCCACTTCATCTGTTGGCCCTATAACAGCCATTACAAATAATGTCAAAAATACAATTTGGAGTAAATGTTTCTGTTGTTGTCGAGACACAGTCCGGCTCTGTTGCCCAGGCTGGAGTGCAGCAGCCTGATCACAGCTCACTGCAACCTCCACCTCCTGGGCTCAAGCGATCTTTCCACCTCAGCCTCCTGAGTAGCTGGGGCTACAGGCACACACCACCACACCCAGCTAATTTTTGTGTTGTTTGTAGAGACGGGGTTTTGCCATGTTGCCCAGGCTGGTCTCGAACTGATGAGCTCAAGCAATCCACCCACCTCAGCCTCCCAGAGTGCTTCAGTATCATTGCTTATAAGACACATCCTAATTTAAGATACCAAAACATGAAAAAATGTTCACAGCAGAATTGATGAAATGTAGTGTGTGCATGCTGGGTTGTGATATAAAATATTTCAGCTGTGGGCTGCAGTTAGAGTTTGAAACTGGGCAAAATTACCGTAATGAAGTGAAGGGGTAAGCAGCAGTATTCTCAGACATCCAAAGACGAAGACAGTTTATCACATAGAGGGTCTGCCTGAGACAACTATTAAAAATTGTTTTTTGGACTATTTTTTTGAGACAGGGTCTTGCTGTGTTGCCCAGGCTGGAGTCCAGTGGCATAATCGTAACTCACTACAGCCTCGACCTCCCAAGCTCAAGTGGTCCCCCACCTCACCCTCCAGAATAGCTGGAACTACAGGCGTGTGCCACCACACCCCGCTAATCTTTAAATTTACTGCAGAGGCAGAGCCTGTTGCCCAGGCTGGTCTTGAGCTCCTGGCCTCAAGAAATCCTACAGCCTTGGCCTCAAAGTGTTGGGATTACAGGTGTGAGCCACTGCACCCAGCAAACATTTTATTATGGAAAATCTCACACAAATGTGAAGGTGGATTAATGTAACCATCATGAATGCACCATCCACCTTCAACAGTCACCAATCCACATGGTCAGTGTTGTTCAATCCATAAGCCCTCCCTCCCCTAAGATGATGATGATGATGATGATATTTTTTTTTTGAGACCGAGTCTTGCTCTGTCACCCAGGCTAGAGTGCAGTGGTGCAATCTCGACTCACTGCAACCTCCATCTCCCGGGTTCAAGCAATTCTGCCTCAGCCTCCTGAGTAGCTGCGATTGCAAGCGCCCGCCATCACGCCCAGCTAATTTTTGTATTTTTAGTAGAGACGGGGTTTCACCATGTTGGTCAGGCTGGTCTCGAACCCCTGACCCGGTGATCCACCCGCCTCGGCCTCCCAAAGTGCTGGGATTACAGGCGTGAGCCACCGCGCCCGGCCCCCTAAGATTATTTTAAAGCAAACCCCAGACATCGTGTTATTTCATCTGTGAATACTGGGGAATATAGTCTTACCATGTGCCCCCCTGTGTTATAATCAAAGTATCCCACTTGCCTCACCAATAAATAATATAGTCATAATAATGAAAACAGAGAACATGGATTTGATCCCAACAACTTGACTTAACCTCAGCTGGGAGACTGGGAGAGGGGAAGGGAGGTGCCAGGTGCTCAAATTCTCATCAGCCACAAGACATGGCCCAAAATGGAGGAAGCAGGACGCCACGCTGAGCGCATATCATTTGGGAGTAAGAAAGCAAATAGAAGGAATAGCCAAATCCATTCCCCATGGTCTAGGGAGCAGGGAGAAAGAGAGGAAGGGCAAGGGCAAGGGCTGCTGGTTTTATTCTTTTTTTATTTTTATTTATTTTTGAGACGGAGTTTCGCTCTTGTTGCCCAGACTGGAGTGCAATGGTGTGATTTCAGCTCACTGCAACCTCTGCGTCTTGGGTTCAAGCGATTCTCCTGCCTCAGCCTCCCTAGTCGCTGGGATTACAGGTGCCCACCACCACGCCCAGCTAATTTTTTTTGTATTTTTCGTAGAGATGAGGTTTCACTACATTGGCCAGGCTGGTCTTGACCTCCTGACCTCAGGCAGTCCACTCGCCTCACCCTCCCAAAGTGCTGGGATTATAGGCGTAAGCCACTGCACCCGGCTTGTTTTTACTTTAAATGATGTGCATGTATGACTTTGATTATAACAAAAAACTTAAAAATGAAAATAGGGTGTTGGAGAATTGGTGATTCAACTCCCTCAAGACTTACAGTTTCTGTAATACCCCCATTCCTAAATTATATTGCTTTTGTTTAATGAGCACATTTTGGTCTATTTGAAGATGAGAACCGTGTAGTGTTAAGGCAGAGTCGTGCTTTGTCGACCGCCCTTCATCAGGAGTGAAAAATTGTGCTCTGTTGGCTTCTTTTGAGGTCGATTGGCAAGACCTATTTAAAGTATTCACGACCAGTGGCTGGGCGTGGTGGCTCATGCTTGTAATCCCAGCATTCTGGGAGGCCGAGGCGGGCGGATCACGAGGTCGGGAGATCGAGACCGTCCTGGCTAACATGGTGAAACCCCGTCTCTACTAAAAAATACAAAAAATTAGCTGGGCATGGTGGCGGGCGTCTGTAGTCCCAGCTACTCAGGAGGCTGAGGCAGGAGAATGGCGTGAACCCGGGAGGCGAGCTTGCAGTGAGCCGAAATCGCGCCGCTGCACTCCAGCCTTGGTGACAGAGTGAGACGTCTCAAAAAAAAAAAAAAAAAAAAATTCACAACCGGGCGCCGTGGCTCACGCCTGTAATCCCAGCACTTTGGGAGGCAGAGGTGGGTGGATCACCTGAGGTCAGGAGTTCGAGACCAGCCTGGCCAAAATGGCGAAACGCCGTCTCCACTAAAAATAACAAAAAATTAACCAGGTGTGGTGGCGTGCACCTGTAATCCTAGTGACTTGGGAGGCTGAGGCAGAAGAATCACTTGAACCCAAGAGGCAGAGGTTGCAGTGAGCCAAGATTGTGTCATTGCACTCCAGTCTGGGCAACAAGAGTGAAACTCCATCTCAAAAAAAAAAACCACCTCACAAGAGCTGGTGCATGACAGGTCACATGAAGAAAGGTGGCATATTACCTAATACAGGTCCATTTGCATTGGTGTTCTCTGAAACCCTGTCTGGAGTTTTATTCATAGGAGACAGTAAATATGTAGCGTGAACATGAAATGGTTCTCAGCATTTGATGTTGTGTGATGCAGGCCTCCCCAGAGGACTTCTCCCTCCCTCCATGCCAATGTCATGGCGCAACTTGTACTCCTGGGCTGTCTCTTGGATGTACAGGCTTAGAAACGTTTCTTTTTCCTGGAAGGGTGAAATAATGTTCTTACCACGGTCTCTCCAGCACCAAAAAGAGCCTGGTACAGAGTAGATAGATACTCAATGAATGAGTGCTGAATCGCTCTGAATGGAGAGGGGATGCCCACAACTGCATCTTTTGCCAGGTGATGCTTCGCACACTCAAGTTTGAAGATTAACGGTCCTAGACGTCAAACCTATTTGCATGCCAAGTGTCGTTTTATTTTAAAATGTCTTCACTTTTTTTTTTTTTGGTAGAGAAGGGGGTCTTACTACGTTGCCCAGGCTGGTCTTGAACTCCTGGCCTCAAGTGATCTTCCCAGCTTGGCCTCCCAAAGTGCTGGGATTACAGGCATGAGCCACTGCCCCCAGTCCCTTTTTTTTTTTTTTTTTTTTTTTTTTTGAGATGGAGTCTTGCTCTGTTGCCAGGCTGGAGTGCAGTGGTGCGATCTTGGCTCACTGCAACCTCTACCTCCTGGGTCCAAGCGTTTCTCCTGCCTTAGCCTCCCGAGTAGCTGGGACTACAGGCCAGCTAATTTTTGTATTTTTAGTAGCGACTGGGTTTCACCATGTTGGGAAGGATGGTCTCGATCTCTTGACCTCGTGATCCGCCCACCTCGGCCCCCCAAAGTGCTGGATTACAGACGTGAGCCACCACACCCTGCCCAGTCTCTTTTTTTCTGGAAGTTTTAAGATACTCGACGCATGCCTTTGGCTTTGTTCAGCCAAAAGGGACTATTAAATGGAAAAAAGCAGGGAGGCACTACATTATGTTTTAAAGCTCACACTGAAGTTAACCTCAAGAACTAGAAAGTACAGAAAACAAGGCTTTCCCTACATTAAGCAGGAAGATCAGCAAACACAGGTTCGAAACAGGAAAGCACTGAACACCCGATGGCTGCCTGAGAGAAACGTCCCAGGACACACTGACCCACGTGACAGCACGTGCCACTCAGACGAGGTGTCAGCAACGGAGACAGAATGAGGAAACGGAGACCAAGGTGACGTCGGCAGTGGCCGCTGATGCCTGCTCCAGGTGGGGTGGTGGTGGCCATGGGCTCTGCGAATCCCAGGCTCAATGGCAACACTGAGGTGGGAGGAGGGGAAGGGACACTTGCTGGTGTCTGGCTTTCCTCTTGGGCATCAGCTTCCAGCCCTTCAGCCTCAGCTCACCAACTTCCATGGGTGGGCCCTGCTTGACTCCCCCAGCCTGTCAGCGTGTCGCCTCCCCTCTGCCACCCTGGGCTGCTTCACAACTCAGGACCGGATGTGAGCTATTAGGGAACCAGGCTTCCTGATTTCCAGAGGCCATCAGTGTGGAAGGGTGCAGGCCTGGGAGCCACCTTTGTGAGCAGGCAGGGAGAGCAGGTGGGAGTGTGAAGCCAGCACCGAGGAAGGAAGCAGAGCTGGGAAACGGTGTTAAGGGACATGCGTGCATGCGCGCGGTCCACGGCCTAGGCTCTGCCTTTGGGCCCTACCCACCGACTGTGTATGTGAGCCCCCACATTTGCATTTAACAATTTAACACCAGGCACCTGTCTCCTGCAGTGATGCAGGCTCGGGACCTCCAGAGCAGCGGGCAGGATGACGCCCTGAACCTGCACTTCATCTCCTGGCTGCTTTATTCTGTCAATTGACTTCTGTAATACAATTTCCATATGGTGACACTGCCTTCCAAAACAGTTAGAGCTTATTCTCAGTATTCTTCATTGGCAGTGGAAAATGCTTCAGTACTTTATTGAAAGAAAGCAATAAATAATACTGTGATAAAAATAGTTCAAAAGTAGACTGTACATACTTTGTTACATAATCAGGAAGTTGACAAAAGATTAATAGAAAAACAGAACAGTAACAATGAATTGTACAAGTAAATTAAAAGCAGAAACCAACTGAAAAGACAGGCTGCCTCTGTCTCTGGATCTGCTGCACAATAAATACCACGCCATGGTCTGACACACTTTGCTGGCTTGTTAATATGCCATTTAAAAAGTAAAAGCCACATCTGCAACTTACACAATCCAAAATGGCTAGAGCATCAAAGTCTAAAAATGTCCCACTAGGTTCGTTCTTTAAACATGTTTACAAACAAATGTAAAAAGATGATTTACATAAGAAAAATAAGGCCTTTATTAGAGCTGCACTGCACTGCTTTCTGGGTCTCCTGCCTTCATCCACTGTGTGCGCCGACTTGCAGGATGAGAGCGTGGTGCTTGGTGCTGGCCCTAAGGGGAGCCACATGGGTGTCTCTCCACCCGCTCCCAAGGAGCAGAGGCAGGGAAGAGGGTGCAGGGGCTAGACTGGTCCCCAGGTTACCCCATCCCGAGTCTCTCCAGCTGAGAGAACTGCTCCCAGCTCACAGTCTCAGCCACTGAAGACAAGCTCCCCAAATCCAGAGACTAGGCTAGGAAAGCGTTAACCAGTGCTAGGGGCTTCTCATAGTGTTGTGATAGTGTTTTCAGTCCACATCTTATTAGGAGCTGATATTTAACACCAGCCATTTTAAATCTGTTCATGCTGCAGAATAAAGCATCTCTTGCTAGAAAAAGTACAGTTAAGGTCAGTCATGAAAATACAACAATTGCTTGAAATTAGGTATGCTTATTTCAGGATGATTGCTGTAGAGCTAGGCTGCGTCCGTAAAGGATAATGCACATGGCTTCTGTCATAATTTTATAAACGTAAAATCCTTTGTCATGGTTTATCATTAAAAAATTAATGATAATTACAATAAATGCATAATTTACAAAAGCCCTCTATTCATAGGATTTATACATACAAGCATTACAGTACATTCATTTGAAAGACTAAAATTAGGTATAAGAACATGATTTGAAAGGATATTTATAGCCTGGATATACATGAAAAAGTAAGTAACTATATAAATGAAGAGTCATAAGTTTACATAAATATAAGAAACATTAAATTCTAAAATATTTTCTCTATGGTATTCATGAATTTTTCACTAATTAAAAACTCTGTAATAAAATATCTTAGGGTCCATATAACAAGTATTAACAAGATTAAAGATTCCACTGGATTCCAAAATGTAGTCTTTGTTGGATTCAAATGCTGCATAATCATCTGTAGAAGTAGTGTGGGTAAACTGGAAAATAAACACAAACAAAAAACCACTCAGTACAGGCCGGGCCATACTGACGAACGGGAACTTCTGATGCTGGGGCCCAAACGTCCCCCCGACACTGACCCCTCCCCTCCAGGACCCCTCACTTTCTGTGCCGTAGCTGCTCTGAGAATCACTGGCTAGAACATCAAGGGCTATGCACATCAATGAGACAGCTCCTTGGCTGACTTCATTTTGGCTTACGTCTCCATGTTACCAATTACAAATAAAAGATGAACAAACCAGTCAAATATTCCAACGGAGACCTTAAAATTGCTTAGAACAGCAAGGAGAGGGCGGGCCACTCACCAGCCAGAGTCCGCAGTTTTAAGAACCAGTCTCTCCAAACTGAAAGGCTATTAGTGTCACACTTAGTATAATATATAATTAACCACAAAACTTTGGGCTTGTTTCATTCAAGAATGTGTATTTAAAACAAAGCAAGCTTAGGAATCACAGCAATGTGCATAACGACGTCAGGAGGAGAGACTCTCCCCTGACGCTCTCTGCCATGCTCTGCTCTCCTCCCCACTCCACCCCCATGACATCCACAGACAATTAAAATGAGTCAGCATTTTCAGGTTTAAGGAAAAGGTGAAAATACATTTTTTTCCTTAAAAAAAGAGGACACACTAACCTCTTTATGATCAATTGTAACAACAAAATGATCTTAATGGGTACGGAGAGCTTGTGTCTATATATATTTTAAATTCCCCAAAAACTGCACTGGCTTTCATGGTCCACACCCCTAGTCTGGCACTGCAGCTCCGATGACTCCTGCTGTGCCTCTGAGCCATCTCTAGGGGTTGTGGTGCTCTCTACTCACCAACAGGAGACTTTAGCAGGAGTAAGTCCTGACTGTAGCAGAATCCAACCTCTGTGTTCCTGATACATTGCCTGTTTCAACAGCCACGAGAGGAAGCGTGCAAACACAGCGTGCAGTTAGTCTTAGAACATCACATGAGGGCACAAGTAGACACACATCTTCACACCTACAGCAGTGCCTACGGAGGGACCTGAGGGGAGCTGCCTGAGTGGGCGGGATGGAGCCAGAGAGATCCAAGTGTCACCCAGTGGTGGCTCTCCCCAGCTCCCAAAGAGCCCCGGGAGACTCTGGAACACTACTCCGAAATACCAAGCACCAAATGGTACAGTAACAATTTCAAAATGTACATCTGCATAAATGACCCCTACTTAGAGTGATCCCTTTATCTCTTACTAAACTCTGCATTCATAGACCAATGGGGCTTTCTCCCTGCCCTAAGTGCTCCATCTCTAACACTGGTATGAAGGAAACACCAAGCGGCACTGCTGATGCTGCCCAGCCCCACTGAGCGCAGAGGCCAACGACGTCGGGTACAAGACCAGTCTAAGAGGAGGGAGAGAACCTTGCTACCCAGCACTAGCTGGGTGTCTGGGAAGCCGGTGCCCTTTTCTCCTGGGGAGGAGCAGAGCAGGTGCAGAGATCTGGCTGCAGGGGTGGGGCGTTGGCCAGGGAGTGGGGTGAAAGCTGATCTAAAAACTGAAGCCCAGTCTCAGTTCCTACCAGAAATATTAATCATAGAGACCACAGATTTTGGTTCTTGTTCAAGAAACACAGTGTGGCCATAAGTAAGCCCGATTTCCATTAACAACTGGGATTTTAAGTTTTTGCAAATCGGAAGCAGGTACTGGCTGCTCCCGGTTATGTTTTTTGTTTTCCCACAGGTATACCAGGAACACTTAATCAACATCCTGCATGGTTCCAGCAAAGACATTAAGACAGTTGGGACTGTTGGTGAGGACAGATGATCTTCACAAACCCTCTGACTCTTAAGAACCTGGGAGACCTGCTGGAGTTTACCCCACATTCCCTTAATTAAAAAGCCATTAAAATAGTCAACTTTGCTGGGCACGGTGGCTCGCGTCTGTAATTCCAGCAATTTGGGAGGTCAAGGCAGGAGGATTGCTTGAGCCCAAGAGTTAAGACCAGCCTGGGCAACATGGTGAGAGCCCATCTCTACAAAAAATTCAAAAAATTAGCAAGGCATGGGACCACACCTGTGGTCCCAGCTACTTGGGAGGCTGAGGTTGCAGTAAGCCGAGACTGAGCCACTGCACTCCAACCTGGGCAACAGAGTGAGACCCTGTCTCAATAATAATAATAATCCCTTTAGCAGGCTTGTGCCTGAGTTATTTAATGTAAGGGTAAAAAGTCTTCTTTATAATAAATTCCCTATACCTTTTAGGTTTACTTTTTTTTTTTTTTTGAGACAGAGTTTTGCTCTTGTCGCCCAGGCTGGAGTACAGTGGCATGATTTCGGCTCACTGCAACCTCTGCCTCCCAGGTTCAAGCCATTCTCCTGCCTCAGCCTCCTAAGTAGCTGGGATTATTGGCATGTGTCACCATGCCTGGCAAATTTTTTCTTTTGAGACAGTCCTGCTCTGTCGCCCAGGCTGGAGTGCAGTGGTGTGATCTTGGCTCACCACAAGCTCCGCCTCCTGGGTTCATGCCATTCTCCTGCCCCAGCCTCCCGAGTAGCTGGTACTACAGGCGCCTGCCACCGTGCCCAGCTAATTTTTTTTTTTTTTTTGTATTTTTAGTAGAGATGGAGTTTCACCGTGTTAGCCAGGATGGTCTTGATCTCCTGACCTCGTGATCCTCCCGCCTTGGCCTCCCAAAGTGCTGGGATTACAGGCGTGAGCCACCGAGCCCGGCCGATTTTTTTGTATTTTTACTAGAGACAGGGTTTCACCACGTTGGCCAGGCTGGTCTCACCACGTTGGCCAGGCTGGTCTCGAACTCCTGACCTCAGCTGATCCACCCACCTCAGCCTCCCAAAGTGCTGGGATTACAGGCGTGAGCCACCGCGCCCGGCCTAGGTTTACTTTTCATCCATCCAAACTCTCATTCTTAATATTCCTGTTAACATTTAACAAGGGAGATGTGATTTATCAGAAGGAAAACTGAAATTGAAGCCACAAGTAAAACAAGAAAGCACTCGTGGACTCCAGGTGACAGAGCTTGAGCTGAAGGCCAAGTCACAGTTCTGCTTTCTAAGAATTATATGCATGACTCTTGGAAGAAAAATGCTAATTTGTAAAAAGTTCCTAGTTAAAAGATATACTGGGTTTTCCCCCTTGAGTATATTATCAAATTCTGGCAAACAATAAATAAATAATACAGCTTTTTACTAAAAATGCCACAAAGTAAGCTATTCTCACCCAAAGCGTCCAGCTTAACTAAGGTTTTATTTAAATGTACTTTTCTTTTTATTTTTATACAGGTGATAGAGAACAAAATTTATGAACCTACGTACGGGAGGGACTGATGACAAAAAAAATTGGCAAAAACCCCATTCGCACAGTTTTCAATTATTATTTTTTTTTTTTTAGAGATGGGGTCTCACTGTGTTGCCCAGGCTAGTCTCAAACTTCAGCTCAAGTGATTCTCCTGCCTCTCAGCCTATCAAAGTGCTAGGATTACTGGTATAAGCCACCATGCTTGGCCCCTAATTAGCACTTAAAAAAAAATTTTTTTTTTTTTTGAGACAGAGTCTCAGTCTGTCATCAAGGCTAGAGTGCAGCGGCACAATCTCGGCTCACTGCACCCTCTGCCTCCCAGGTCCAAATGATTCTTGTGCCTTAGCCTCCCAAGTAGCTGGGATTACAAGCATGTGCCACCACACCTGGCTAATTTTTGTATTTTTTTTTTGTAGAGACGGGGTTTCGCCATGTTGGTCAGGCTGGTCTCAAACTCCTGGCCTCAAGGATTAGCACAGTTTTTAATGCCACTTCCTTTCCTCCAGTCTGCTCACTGGCCTCAGAAGTGAGCATGAGTGACCTGTGTGTAGCACAGGGGCTGCCAAACAGCCCCGACTGACACGGGCTCAGAACTTCACCAGCTTAATGAATGAGGCATTCAATCATCGCAACTACTCTATGAGGAAGACACTACCATGACGACCATTTTACAGATGGGGAGACCGAGGCCAGGGTAGTTAAATGACTTGTTCAGGGTCATGCACCTCCTAGTGGCAGAGCTGGAGTCAAACCTAGGCAGCCTGGCTCTTCAACCTGTGCACTGCCTTTCATTAGATGAGTACAAGGGCAGAGTTGAGAGACCTGTAAGGAAGCCATGGTCAACTGTTAACCTCAAATCAAAGTGGCCGTCTAAGGGAAAATCCCAAACTGCATGTGAAATCATGGCAGTGATGCTCTCTCTCTGGCTGGTATAGTCAATAGCTGCCTCGCTCCACTGGGGACTTCTTGGAGGTTCACCTTCCTCCCTTCCCTGCCCTCTAATGGGTAGACATGTGACTGCACGGAACAGCAGCAGCAGGGAGGGCAGAAAGCATAGGCAGAGCTCACACAAGCTGGAAACTGTGTGTTCTTAAAAATGTACTCAGTTATTTTCTCTGGTGTGGAGAGCAGTAAATTATGTGGTTTGGAAGCTACTACTACACTACTATTTCCTGAAAGAGCTTTCTAGCACGGCCTGTCACAGACACAAATTTACAAGTATG
Organism: Homo sapiens; assembly: GCF_000001405.40. Lineage (NCBI taxonomy): Eukaryota > Metazoa > Chordata > Mammalia > Primates > Hominidae > Homo > Homo sapiens. The sequence continues at coordinate 70,378,479 of NC_000011.10, read as the reverse complement.
CCTCAGTCTCTCTCTGAGAACACAGACGAATACTGAGCTTTATTAGTTGGAAAAATATGCTAAGATTCAACCAGACAAGCGTGTTTTAAAAATTCTATTATTATGGTTAAACTTTTATAAACAAATGTTAGAGTTAATTTAAAAACATTTATATTTGGACATGCAACCATACTCAAGTGCCTTGTAACATATTAAATAGGCCGTTTTAGATCATTATTAATGTTCCAGACAGAAAGCTGCTCATGCTCCCAACAAGTGACAGGTTAGTGTGACCCATCACATACCGTCCATCTGCATCTTCTTTGGCTGCATAGAGGGGGAAGACATAGAAGAAGTCACCCGGAAGTTTGCAGGGAGAGTCTCTGCTGACCCAGCAGCTAAGCCACGAATGTCCTTTGGTCTAAACTTTTTTCTCCATGAAGGTGCTCTCCTAAAGCTTTTATCATCATCCTGGTAAATTAAGGAACAAAAAACAAGATTCATTTAAAAAATAAAGGTCAGAGATGTAAAGTTACATGTCCTTTAAAATGACTGCTGATCTCGAGAATGTATTCTTGTCCACATGTATTTAATCCCTTCTTGATGACCACACAATATATTGCCCAACCTGGAACTTCAGCGTGAAACGGGGCATGGTGATGGTCCGGCTGGGCCTCAGCTGGCGAAATGAGGTCGGTGCTGGGCCATGAGGATGTGCTCCTTCTCCACAGCATCATGTTCTACTTCTTACACCTTGCAGGAATCACTTTCTTGCAACGTAATACGTTTTTATTTATCTTAAAAATAGTTTATTTTTCATTTTTATTTATGTTTTTACAGACAGAGTCTAGATCTGTTGCCCGAGCTGGAATGCAGTGGTGTGATTATAGCTCACTGTAACCTCAAACTCCTGGGCTCAAGCCATCCTCCCACCGCAGCCTCCTAAGTAGCTGGAACTACAGGTGTGCCCCTACCACACGCAGCTCTACAAACAATTTTTAACTAGAAACAATTTTATCTTATGCCAGGATATAGCAACAAGTGCTTCATCTTTAGAGGTGGTCTTCTATTCTCTCTGTCAAACTCAACTTTTCTTAAGGTCCAATTAAGAGACTCCTAATCGTGTGGAACAAATGAGTCATGGTTTTAAGGGGAAATTAACATTTTGTGTTTTTAATATACTTCTGAAACATGCCACCCCACCCATGCACAGGAGTATGGGGGTACACTCTGGACTGGGGTAGGATAACTACTGGTCCCCAAAACCCAACTTACAGACTCTGTTCCTAAGCTGCAACCAATGTTTTATGATGTGAAAACCATTTTTGAGGGATGTCAAAAATTAAATAGCAAAAATAAAAACAAAACTACCTTCTTGAAGGTATTACTTTTGTGGGTTTTTTTTTTGCGGGGAGGGGGTTTCTTTTTGAGATGGAGTTTCTCTCTGTCGCCCAGGCTGGAGGGCAGTGGTGCGATCTCAGCTCACTGCAACCTCCACCTCCCAGGTTTAAGCGATTCTCCAGCCTCAGCCTCCCAAGTAGCTGCGATTATAGGCACCTACCACAACGCCCGGCTAATTTTTGTGTTTTTTAGTAGAGATGGGGTTTCACCATGTTGGCCGGGCTGGTCTTAAACTCCTGACCTCTGGTGATCCGCCCGCCTCAGCCTCCGAAAGTGCTGGGATTACAGGTGCGAGCCGCCGTGCCCGGCCCAGGTATTAGTTTTTAAAGGCTCATTTGTGAATAAATGTATAAGAGCAAAGCCTGACTTCTAACATCCAGAGAGACTGCCTAGCTACATGATGTCCCAAGTATAATAATAATAACAGCTTACATTTCACACACATTTAAACATTTACACACATTTCAGACATTTAAAGAACATTAGGCCAAAAACTTACTTCATCAAACCTTCTATCAGTCCCCATGACCAAAAGGTTGTTAAATTCTCTTTCCAAGACAGCACGAGCCTGAAATAACCAAAGAAAAACAAATAAAACTTTCATCAAATCTAATTTGAAGGGTGTTAGCATCGTAATTGTTTTTTAAACCAAGACTTAAACTCCCTCACTGCTGGCTGGGTCTGGTGGCTCACGCCTGTAATTCCAACACTTTCGGACGCCAAGGCGGACAGACCACCTGAGGTCAGGAGTTCAAGACCAGCCTGGGCAACATGGTAAAACCCCGTCTCTACTAAAAATACAAAAATTAGGGCCTGGGTGTGGTGGCTCATGCCTGTAATCCCAGTACTTTGGGAGGCCGAGACAGGCAGATCACTTGAGATCAGGAGTTTGAGACCAGCTTGGCCAACATGGTGAAATCCCATCTATACTAAAAATACAAAAATAAGCCGGGCACGGTGGCGTGTGCCGGTAATCTCAGCTACTTGGGAGGATGAGGCAGGAAAATCACTTGAACCTGGGAGACAGAGGGTGCAGTGAGCCAAGATTGCACCATTGCACTCCAGCCTGGGCAACAAGAGCGAAACTCCATCTCAAAACAAACAAAAAAACAACTCCCTCACTGCTATGACTACATTGAACCATAATAATATTTTAAATCAGGGCATCTAATGTGGAGTCAATGGATGGGCTTTTGCAGAAAGGGATCCATGATCCTTGGAGTCATATTAACAAGGGTGTGTTGTGTGGGTTGGTCAGGGGTATTGGCCAAAGATATTCAATTTTTTTTTTTTTTTTTCCTTTTTCTTTGGGATGGGGGTCTCACTCTGTCACTCAGGCTGGAGTGCAGTGGCGCAATCAGAGCTCATCACAACCTCCACTTCCCGGGCCAAGCAATCTCCCTGCCTTGGCCTCCCAAGTAGCTGGGACTACAGGCATGTGCCACCACACCTGGCTAATTTTTTTGTATTTTTTTGTAGAGACAGAGCTTCACCATGATGGCCAGGCTGGTCTCGAACTCCTGGACTCAAGCAATCTGCCTACCTGGGCCTCCCAAAGTGTTGGGATTGTGGGCATGAGCCACCTTGCCTGGCATATTCAATGTTCTGTAGAGGAATAAAAGTTCCCTGTTTTTCAAATGAGCCCATGAGTCAAAAAGAATGGCATAAGGCAATTACCCATAAAAACAAAATTAATAAAATCTTCATGTGGCACACCTAAAAACACTTCTCTTTCCATGTAAGAACTAAATATATGTCACTCTTCTGATCAGGCACATGGGCTGGAATGAAAGATCGTCCTTATCTGGTTTATTGCAGGACTCTCATGCTTCCAACAGAAAAGGGAAAGCCAATAGACCAAAAAAAAAAAAAAAAACCAAAAACTAGTTGTCTGAAGTTTTTTTTTTTTTTTTTTTTTAAAGTTTCTTTCTATTCGAATAACTAGCTGTCTATAATCAGGGTGCCAACTGAACAATGAGTGCAGACACAGACAGGTTTGGCGTCACCTGTGTGTTCTGCGTCGGGATCTGTAACAGCAGTGCCAGTGCACTGAAGTCGAAGGTTTCATCTAAGGCCAGAAGTGCTCCGTGAACACCACTCTCTATAAGATTGTTTGCATATTCTTTAAGGCCAATTGACAGGATCCAGCGAATCACTCGATCATTGCTCCAAACAAGCACGTCTGCAAAAGAATAAAGACAATTATAAAAGTGGCTTCAGAAAGCCATCTTTATCACATGTACCCTGTAATGCAGGAGAAAGATTCCTACCATGGTTCCTAATCCTTCGGCTCCTGAGAAAAGTGCTGGGAGACACTGCTAAATAGACAACCATTTGCTGCACTGAGACAATGGTGTCCTGGCCCTGCTCCACTCTCAGGGAGACTCTCCCATTAGAACTCATCCTTCCAGTGAGCACGAGAGGAATGAAGTTATTATTTCTAGAGAAAAGAAGATGATGAGGATCCAGGGATCAGAAGCCAGAGGACTGCAAGAACTTGAATACCTAACATGTATAAACATGCTTCACACACAGACTGGAGAGTCTTCTGAAATACTTCATCACGGATGGAGCTGGCTCCATAATAATATGAACACTTTGCTCAATTCAACAGAAACCTCTCATTTCTAATCTCGAAGTCTTTGTCTCATTTTAAAATGAGAGAAACTTAACAATATCATCCAGCACATTAGAGACTTTGCAGAAAATCTTTTTTTTTCCTCTCTTTTTCTTGACAATGTCCTGCTCTGTCACCCAGGCTGGATACAGCCTGGTACCATCATAGCTCACTGCAGCCTCAACCTCCTGGGCTCAAGTGATTTTTCCCACCTCAGCCTCCTGAGGAGCTGGAACTACAGGCGTGTGTCACGAAGCTCAGCTAATTTTTTTGTACTGACAGGGTCTCACTATGTTCCCCAGGCTGGTCTTGAACTCATGGGCTCAGACAATACTCCTGCCTTGGCCTCCCAAAGTGCTGAGATTACAGGCATGAGCTACCATGCCCAGCCACAATATCTTATGCAAATTAACAAATTATTCAATTTGCTCTATTAGATCTAAAAATAGCCACTCTAAAAATATATGCAGATGATCACCAATCACTTCCAAAGACACTTCCAAAGATCTTTGTCTATTGGAAAAAGATGTAAAATAGATACAGAAAACAAAACAGATGGACATATTTCATTGCCAATGCCCTTTTCTGGATAAAAGTCCATACATATACACACACTGTATAAATGTCGACTTACGACTTTTCTCCTGATTCACATTAACTCAATCACAAGTAGACTTCCCTTCAACTGGGCCATCTCCCAACCATATTTTTATCCTTAGTTTCTTTCTTAGTATAAAGTGGGGATGAAAACAGCACTTAGACTGACAGGGCTAAGGTAAAGATGAAAGAAAGCAACCCCTGAGTACTTAGAACACCACCTGGCACCTACTCACTGTTAGTAAGACTGGCCTCTTCTTATCATTATTGTTATTGGTGACTTCCTTGCATTCCAGGAATTCTGGGAGTCATTACTCTGAGCTTAATGTTTACTGTCTAATTTTAAAAGCAAATTCTGACTGGGTGTGGTGGCTCACACCTGTAATCCCAACACTTTGGAAGGCCAAGGTGGGAGGATCCCCTGAGCCCAAAAGTTCGAGATCAGCCTAGGCAACATAGCGAGACCCTGTCTCTACAAAAAAAAAAAAAATTCCAGGCATGGTGGAGCACACCTGTACTCCCAGGAGCTACTAGGGAGGCTAAGGCAGGAAGAGCACTTGAGCCCAGGAGTTCAAGGCTGTAGTGAGCTGTGATCACACCACTGCACTCCAGCCTAGCCTGGGCTACAGAGCAAGACCCTGTCTCAAAATAAATTAAATAAATAAATAAACAAACAAACAAATAAATTTGAGTACGAGTGAGGGACTCCCCAACGGAGAAGAGAACCAACTCCACGTCTTCTGGATGAATGTCTCACATCCTCTAACGCCTCCCTGGCCTGTGTTTTCCAACTGAAATGCCTTTTCCTTACCCTAAGCAGCTCCTCCTCCTTCTTCAAGGACCAGCTGAAATGCAGACGCTGCCTCTCCTTCCCCTCCGGGAGCAGAACTGCACGGTGCTCTCCTGTTCTCCTGAACCCCTTGGATAAGCCCCCAGTCATATTTCTCACACTTGAATCATCAAGTGAGCTTTGCTCTGTTGTTATCTAACAGTGTGGAACAGCATTTCGGAGTGAAGGAGTACACAGGGCATGACCAAAGGAAAACTCTCAACTCACAGGAAACGACTAGCCGGAGACATTTAACCTCCAGACTGATGTGTGAGAACACAGGGAACAGTTCTCTAGCTGTGGAAGAGAATCTCAAAAGCACTCAACTTCATCCAGCCCTCCTCTGCAATGACACTAGACTAGTTAGTTTTCTCCACTTAAATTTAGCCTTTCTTGATTTTTTGAAAAATAGGAAGTCACTGAGGCTCCAAACACACCAGCAAGTAGGAGTAAACCGAATCAATTAAATGTCATGTACTAACCTTTTATTTCACTCTGACTTTCTTCTCTTTTTCTTTCCAGTTCTTTCCGGTCATAATTTAACCTTCTCAGGCACATAATTCCACACTGGAAACTGTTTCTATTTGGAAGAAAAGAGAGATGATTTAGAGATGGTAACAGTGAAAAATCTTAGCCAATTATTAAGAACTATCTCCATTAAGTTACCTGTGAAAACTGTCGACCATTTTCAGCTGCCCTCGAAGGTCTTTCTTGGTCAAGTGGTCCAGCATCCTGGCGTCTACAAGGCACTCCATGAAGTAGCTGCGGTACTGGGGGAGGCCCAGGCTGGGGAGCCACTCGTTGCCGATCCACTCGTGGTTCATGTCCCCATAGGCGAGTGTCTGCTTTTCATAAATGGAAAAGGTCAGTTACAGAGGAAGTCTCAAAAGTAGTTTATATCATTTTTAAAATGAATTTTTAATCTATTACCTATATTCTCAAAGGCTAAACTAATGATAATTTTATAATTGCAAAATAATTTGATCTCTTCTCACCTTTTAAATTTGTTAGTAAAATTTTTATACAACAGGAATAGTAACATGAAAAATATATGATTCGTTGTGATAAATTTAACTTTTAAATCAAACTACAAAAAAACTGTAACTGGCTATAAATTTCCTCTCTGAGATAGTTTTTAGTATAATAATGTGACAAAGATTGATCACGACTCATGAACAAGTTTGAAGGCTCAATTCAACACTGCTCACTAAAATTATCTCTGGTTGGTTTACATTTTAACACTTTGTTTTCCTAAAGAAAAAATCCATTTCAAAATCAGTAAAAGTCAGTTAAAATATAGTTTTAGAGAAGAGATAAAGCAACAACCAACAGGACTAAATGGGGAAACAGGCAAATTCACAATTATAGTTGAAAAAATTCAACACTTCTTTCTCATAGCAACTGATGAAAGAAGCAAAAAAAGAAAAAAATTAAGAATATAGAAAACCTAAACTAACAACCCTTAACAAACTTGACCTGACGTTTCATAGAACACACCACCCAACAACAGAATATAGAACACTCCACCCAACAATGGAATGTAGAACACGCCACCCAACAACAGAAGATAGAACACGCCACCCAACAAGAGAATACAGAACACGCCACCCAACAAGAGAACATAGAACACGCCACTCAACAACAGAATATAGAACAATCCACCAAACAACAGAATATAGAACACTCTACCCAACAACAGAATATAGAACATGCCACCCAACAACAGAATATATATGCTTTTAATGTCTGTATAGTATATTCTCAAAGACAGACAAATCTCAACATACTTAAAGAGACTGAAATCAAGGTACATTCTCTTGACTTCAACAGAAATTAGAAATCAATAATAAAAAGCTATCTAGAACCCCCTACTAAATATTTAAAAATTAGCATACTTCTAAATAATTCACAGCAAGAAATTACAAGGGGAAATTGCTCCCTCTGTCGCCCAGGCTGGAGTGCAGTAGCGCGACCTCGGATCACTGCAACCTCGCCTCCAGGGTTCAAGTCATTCTCCGGCCTCAGCCTCCCGAGTATCTGGGATTACAAGCACAAGCCACCACACCTGACTAATTTTTGTATTTTTAGTACAGACGGGGTTTCAACATGTTGGGCAGACTGGTCTCAAACTCCTGACCTCAAGTGATCCACCACCCACCTTGGCCTCCCAAACCGCTAGGATTACAGGCGTGAGCCACTGCTGCCCCACCAGAAAATATTTTTAATTTAAAGAAAATTTTTAAAAAATTCAAAAATTGTGGGAAACAGTTAAAACAATACCGTGAGAGCAAAAATCACGACAAAGGATTATCAATGAGAAAGACCTCGAAAATCAGTGATCCAAGAGTCTGCTTTTAAAAACTTAAACTAGCCTGGTGCAGTGGCTCACACCTGTAATCCTAGCACTCTGGGAGGCCGAGGCAGGCGGATCACCTTTGGTCAGGAGTTCCGACACCAGCCTCGCCAACATAGTGAAATCCCATCTCTACTAAAGATACAAAAATTAGCTGGGCATGGTGGTACATGCCTGCAGTTCCAGCTACTCAGGAGGCTGAGGCAGGAGAATGGCTTGAACCCAGGAGGTGGAGGTTGCAGTGAGCCAAGATCATGCCACTGCACTCCAGCCTGGGAGATAGAGCGAGACTCTGTCTCAAAATTAAAAAAAATTAAAACTTAAACTAGAAGAACGAATGAAATCCACGGCAAGCAGAAGGAACAAGGTAAAAAAGCAGAAATCAATGAAACAGAAAACAGAAAAATAACAGCAAATAAACCAGTGAAATGAAAATCTAGTACTTCATAAATATCAATCAAATTAACAAACCCTAGCCGGACTAGATAAGACAAAACAGAAGATATAAATCACCACTATCAAGAATGAAAGAGGGGACCAGCCTGGCCAACATGGCGAAACCTCTTCTCTACTAAAAGTACAAAAATTAGCTAGGCATGGTGGCACATGCCTGTAATCCCAGCTACTTGGGAGGCTGAGGCATGAAAATTGCTTGAACCAGGAGGCGGAGGTGCAGTGAGCTGAGATTGAGCCACTGCACTCCAGCCTGGGCAGCAGAGCGAGGCCCCATCTCAAAAAAAGAAAAAAAAAAAAAGAGTAAAAGAGGGCAGCCAGGCATGGTGGCCATGTCGGTAACTTCAGCTACTCAGGAGGCTGAAGCAGGAGGATGGCTTGAGTCCAGGTGTCTGAGACCAGCCTGGGCAACACAGCGAGACCTTGTCTCAAAAACAAACACAAAATGACAACAAAGAGGGGACATCAATATAGATTCAATAGACATTGAAAGAATAAGGGAATACTGTGAACAATTTTAAGCAACTTAGATGAAATGGACAAATTTCTTAAAAGATAAACTACCAAAGCTTCTCAGAAACAGGTAACACGTATCTCTATTAGAACCTGAAGTTGTAATCATAAATCTTCTAACATACAAAAAAGAAAATCTCTACCCAAGATAGCTTCACTGGTGAATTCTACCAAACATTTATCAACATAAATAAATAAATAAATAACCACGATTCTACACGAAGTGTTCCAAAAAAGTTTGAAACACCTTATCTCATTCTATGAGGCCAGCATCATCCTGAGAGCAAAACCAAAGATGTAACAAAACTATAGATCAGTAGCCCTCAGGCAGATCCAAAAATATGTAACAAAATATTGCCAAGTCAACAACATATTAAAACAATAAGATATCATGACAAGTATGGCTTATTATTCTAGAAACATAAGTTGATTCAACATTTGAAAAGAAAAATCAATGAAACTCACCATATGAAGAGATTGAAAAAAAACCATATCATCTCAAAAGATGCAGAAAAAGCATTTGACAAGATTTGTCATCATTTATGGAACTCCAAGCATTCCGGAAATGTAAGAAAAGTGCCTCAACTGGATAAAAGGCATTTACAAAAACCCTACAGTGAACATCATACTTAATGTAAAAGACTGCTCAGCTGGGCATGGTGGCTCATGCCTATAATCCCAGCACTATGGGAGGCAGAGGTGGGCGGGTCACTTGAGGTCAGGAGTTTGAGAACAGCCTGGGCAACATGGTGAGACCCTGTCTCTTTAAAAAAAAAAAAAAAAAAGACTGACTGTGTTTCTCCTAAGATAAGGAACAAACGAAGGATGTCCACTCTCACCACTTTATTCTACACTGTACTGGAAATCCCAGTCACTGTAAGAGGTCAAGAAAGAGAAATAAAAAGCACATAAATTGCAAAAGAAATAAAATTGTCTTTATTTGAAGATGACAAAATTATCAGTGTAGAAAAGGAATCTACAAAATAGCTATCAGAATAAGTGGGTTTAAGCAAAGTTGCAGGATGCAAGGCCAATTTATAAAAATGAACTATATTTCTAAATACTAGCAATGAACTGAAAATTGAAATTTAAAAAGTATCATTTACAGTGGCATCAAAACCTGCAAAATCCTCAGGGATAAATCTAACAGAATGCATGCAAAATGTGTACAATGAAAAAGAACTAACACATTCTATACACACACATATCGAAGGAAGGTACCCGAGGTACCTGAAGTCTGCAGCTGAGGAAGACTAAGTTATGGTCACCAGTCATAGCTACCTTATGGTATCTTTGTAGTGACTCTCAACTAACACCATGTTGGTCTTGAAACTATGGCTTCCAGTATCATTTGTTATTTGGTCCAAACTAGAAGCAATAACTCAAATTCTAAATTTAAGTTAAGCAATAACTCAAATTCTCTAATTTAAACAAAGAATGTTTAAATTCTACTAGAAAAAAATGCTTCACTACCTTCTCTAAAAAGAGAGAAATATGCCAAACATTTTTGGGTAATTATCAGCTATCTAACAGCATCACCATGCTTGATTCACTCTTCTAAACCTTACCCTTACAGGCCTGATATTTATTTATTTATTTAGAGACAGGGTCTCGCTCTGTCACCCAGGCTGGAGTGTAGTGGCATGATCTCGGCTCACTGTAACGTCCACTTTCCGGGCTCAAGCGATTTTCCAGCCTAAGCCTCCCAAACAGCTGGGACTACAGTCTCAAGCCAACAATACCTGGCTAATTTTTATATTTTTTGTAGAGACAGGGTTTCCCCACGTTGCCCAGGCTGGTCTTGAACTCCTGGGCTGAAAGCGATCCACCTGCCTCAGCCTCCCAAAGTGCTGGGATTACAGGTGTGAGCCACTACACCTGGCCTAGGCCTGATACATGTAGCAGGGATATCTGGTATTATTCTCTTGCTTGCTGATTATGTATTCTTAAATGGGGAAATTAAACAAAGGAATTGTCTAAATAGAAAACTGCATGGAAGCAGAACCCTACTTGTTTCTGTTTCCTCATTATATGCTCTGCTCAGACTCCTGAAGTGGCCTATAACATGAACTCCCAGAAGGATCAGGCTCCATCCCAGGGAGACCCACCTCTTCTCCTGGGCTGCCTTAGCAGCCTTCTGGAAAAAAAACATACCAGGTGATGTCAGTCCAGAGAACATCTGAACTAGAAGAGACACCCACTGCACAGTGTTTACTCCCAGCACTGAAACAGCCACAAGTACAACCCAGTCTTATGAACTCCATAAAATGGGAGCTCCATGACGGGGGGACCATGGGTGTCCTGCTCATAGATGCTCCACGCAGCCAGCACTCTTACTAATTTTGTTAAATGAGGTATAAATGGTTTTGACCACGCCTTGATGTCTTCCTCCCCTAGTCTCTCGGCGCAGCTCAAAGTTCTCCCTGGTTTAAGAGCTGGCCACTGTGTACTGCCCTTGGCAGCAGGTGGCAGTCCCATCTGGAAGACAGGAAGGAGGGAAAAGTGATACGAGCTTCCACTAGACTGCATGTCGGCTAGTTCTGGAGTCATCACCACAGCTCAGTCTTGTTTATATTTCCACCGCAAAGAGCAAGGTTAAGCTTATTTAATTTACACTTCCTGTCCCTGACTCAGGCAATTTCATACTGAAGTATTAACCAAATTCTGCTCCTTGGTGGAAAATATACTGAAATTTAAGTAATTATGAAATGTACCCTGTATAATTCATTTATGGTCATTATTGGTCCTATAAAGGGATATCTAACAAGTTAAACAATGAGGTTATTTATCTGGAGGAGAGGCACAGAATGCTTAAATCAAGAGAGAAAAAAGCCCACAGAATCACATTATAGCTACTCTATTTTGTTAAAAAATACAAATAAAAAATAAAAATAAAAAAAGGTGGGGGGACAGTCTAATGAGCTAGATTTTAGGAGTACCAAGAGAAGGAAACAGCTGCTTCAACCATCACCTCGTAATCAGGAAAATTATGATTTAAAATCCTTTTGATTCTTTTCAGATATATAATGATTATTCTGAAGCCCTCAAATACAGTCCATTCGGGAAAGCCTCTAGAACTGCCTGTCCACGCCTCATGGCTGCAATGTGCCACTGAGACATACACCCTGACCACAGAAGGCCAGTGGCGTCGCACGACATTTCGGCAAGCTGTCTGAACATACAGAATGCAAAACAGTTGGGATAGAGTTTTTGGTGAGTTAAAGAATTGAGAAGCTGAAAATTCAAATATACAGTACTCAAGAAGAGGCTTAATTCCTTAGGATTCCATTAGTAAGAAAATCTTTAAGTGGACATAGTATTAGGATAGTATTTAGTAAAAAATCAACACAAAGGCACAGAGGAAAAGTCATTATGCCAATTTTTGTGTTTGGAAATTTATTAGAGCACAATTTCCCTATCAGTATATCTTGTAATAACATTACCCTACCAGGAAATTACATACATAATCTCAGAAGCTGCCTAAGCCACAAGACTTTGTATACAAGATCATATGTTAAACAAAGCAATCTATATTAATTAAAAATAACTGCCATGGCACCATATGAGAAATGTTCAAAATTGTCCATGAGACGTACTCTTTGATGCTATGTTTTGCTTGACCAGTGCTTTCAAATCATTAACAATCCTGTACTCCGAATAAACTAAGATGCTATAAACATCAAAAAAAGTAGATTACACAAGTTTTCATACTCCAATTGCTTTTTGCTGCTGTACATGTAGTGAAGAATATATTAGAGAAAGACTCCAACCTGAGCCCAGCTTCCCTCCTCATCTTCCTGGGGTTACGTGGTTAGGAATGCAAAAGAACATAACTATTAGTATTGGTGAGCTCGGTAATGCAGGCAACGCAACTCTGCAGGGAAGATGCAGCTTCACTGAGTGAAAAAGTTCAGACTATCAAAGCATCATGCAAAACTCATGCAAAACCAACAATTTCAACTTCTCATGCAAGGAGCAGACTCTCTCCGTGCCAAGCATATTCATGGAAGGAGAAAGGGCCACACAGTCAGTCACATGGAGGCTCAACTGAGATCTCTCCAAAAGGAGAGCTAGATTAAAGCTATTCTAAAAGACAGAGTCTACCAACTTGAAGTTCCTGGAAAAAATCTAAAATAAAATACAAATTCTACTTACACATTTCAACTAATAACTAAAGGAAATACTTATCTGGAACGACTGAATGGAAAACAACATTTTGTTTTCAACAAAAAGGCAAAGAACCCAGACGGTCTTAAGTGGAAAACGCGCTGGGAGGAGTGCAGGCTGTGGGGCGTGACTAACCGTTTGCGGCGTGGCTGCGAGCGTTTCCATCTCTTCGTGTGTTAACCAGACATTTCCTGTGGTCTAAGGTGACCCCAGTGCACCAACCACATCCAGGGCAAGGGAAGCAGTGACAAAGAGGAGAGGGGCACACGCATAAGCCACAGGCACAGAGAAGGGGCCGAGGAGGCAAAGTTCGCTCTTCTCACTTTTCAGTTCAGATGCCCGTACAGAATAACCATTCCCTGTTAACACTGGGTCGTCAACACCATCAGGAGAAGAGCACACGATGACGAGAGCTTTAGATGCCATGCTTACCCGAGGTATGTGAAATATCAAGAGAAGAAAACACGTTGTGTACTTCTGGAAACTTTGAGTAATTCTCAAGTAACTATTGATTCAATATATTTAAAGCAGATTAACAACAAAGAACCCAGCATGAAACTCTTGCTTTGGCTATTGGAGGGCTTTCTCGCAGATGTTCCGTGACGGCCTGAAAGGCTGAAGGCAGGCCACAGGGCAGAGGGGGTCACTGCTAAGCAGTGTCGATGGCTCTGTGCAGCCATCAGAACCAGACACGAGACAGACAGTGGCCTGTGTGTCTACTTGAGGGAGATTTTTTCCTTGCATTTTGACATGGTGTGAAGAGTCTGCCTTATGTGAGGTGTTCTCCATCATTACTGAAGACAGTGGATAAACATGGGAGAAACCACTCAGCACCTTCATTTTCAGCAAGGCCACTGTCATGTGAAACAACCAGGGAAGAGCTCAGACACTGCTCCTGAGGCAGGCTGTGGGAAAGGAGCTCTTGGAGCAACAGGGGAGGACAAAGCTTATTGTTCATCACCATAATTTGTTCATTAAGAAGAAAAAAATAAATAAAACAAGTAAAACCCCTCAAAACTTTTTTTGTAAGGTAACTGGGAGCCCTAAATCCAGCGCTGACGTGCTCCTTGGAGAAATGTGTGAGGCTCTTCATTGCAACAAGAATTTGTTTTCTCCTGAGGAGACTAAAAGCAGAGACTGGGAATCCAGCCAGTGTAAAAAGTCTCAACTTTATAAATCTGGAGTTGGCCTGCCCTTATCTCCCAATAACCATTCTTGTTTTTATTAACATAGTTCTTCTTTTTCAAGTAGGATAACCCTTCTTAAGGACTTTGAGGGACTTCCCACATGGAGAGAAACTGTATAAGTACAGCTCATGTTGGATGAACATTTGCAGATTTGTGAACTGCTTGAAATCCTGAGCTCCCAGGGTCTTTAGCTCCCCAAATGGAAAACACCTACAGGCCAAATAAATCAAATACAGTAAAACACTGGTTACAAGGCAACCAGTGATCTCATCTTTATTTTCCCCTTTAGTTTTTATTTTAAAAAATGTCCGCAAACTGGAATGATGGGGAAGGGAGGATTAGAATTCTTTAGGGACCTTTTCCAAGCATGGCTGTGCATGCCTGTAGTCACAGCTACTTGGGAGTCTGAGGCAGGAGGATCGCTTGAGCCCAGGAGTTCCAGACCAGCCTAGGCAACAAAGTGAGACCCATCTCTACAAAAAATACAAAAATTCCTTAGGGATCAGTTTTGACGGTGGGATAACAAGTATCTCTTACTAGTATGTCACCTATATTTCAATGGATGCTTCTGGCTGGGCATGGTGGCTCACACCTGTAATTTCAGCACTCAGGGACTCTGAGGCAGGAGGACTACTGGAGGCCAGGAGTTCCAGACCAGCCTGGTCAACACAGCAAGACCCTGTCTCTAAGAAGTTTTTAGAAATTAGCTGGGTGTGGTGGTGCACACCTGTAGTCCCAACTACTTGGGAGGCTGAGGTGGGAGGATCGCTTGAGCCCAAGAGGTTGAGGCTGCAGTGAGCTACGATTGAGCCACTGCACTCCAGCCTGGGTGACAGAGTAAGACCTTGCCTCCAAAAAATAAAAAACTTAAATAAATAAATAAATGGGTGCTTCTAAGAAGCCTGGAAGAGCCAGTCCTCTGAACTAGACAGAAAAATTTTACTCAAGATGCTACTTACACATGGAATGATACGGATGAATTCACAGACATAACATTAAGTGAAAGAAGCCAGACACAAGAGAGTGAATACTACATGATCTTGTTTATACACATGAAGAACGAAACTAACAGAGCAGTCTATGGCACCAGGAGCCAGGCACTCATCCCTAGGGAAGGGGCAGTGCCTCAGAAGGAGCAGGAGGCCTCCAGAGCCCTGGTCAGATCCCATTTTTCAATGTAGGTGTGGACCACACAGGGGATGCTGACTTTACAGATTCATTTAACTGTTCACTCATACGTGCATTTCTCTATATGTATATTATATTCCAGTAACATTTAAAAATACACTATAATTGGCTTAGCAAATATCTTTATATATAGTACAAATGTTAATTACTCAGTTTGAATCATGAAAACTGAAAAATGAAATTCAAAACATTTAATTATAAAATGTGTCCTTAAAATATTAACTTTTTCCTTCAAGAGGCCCTTAGACTGATTCAATTTTGATAAACTCAGCTGGGTGTGGTGGCTCACGCCTGTAATCCCAGCACATTGGAAGGCTGAGGTGGGAGGACTGCTTGGAGCCCAGGAGTGCAAGACCAGCCTGGGCAACACAGCGAGACCCCCATCTCTACCAATTTTTTTTGGTATTTTCGTATTTCATATTTCCATATTTAAATTTGTAATTGCTTTTCTATGTTTAAAAAAGCTCATATTTTTATACTATGAAGCCATTCTAGCCAATCTTTCATAAAAGCATTTAATAAAGTTTCTTTTGACCATCCAATTCCCCAAAATTAAAAGTTCTAATGTATGTGATGCTAAAATTTTGAATTAGAACTATACTTCATATGCTGTTAAGGAACTGGAGAAGCAATGTAAACAGGGCAGTGATACCTTCAGAGAGGCATTCCCTGTTTCCAAAGAATGCAGGGGTTGTCTCTGAACGTACCGTTCTAGATGTGGGCGGGGCAGACGGGCTGGTCAGCGACATGATCTCCTGGATGGCCAGCCTCAGCTTCAGCCTGTGCAGGGGGTTGCTGATGCCAATCTCACGCTGGATCTCTGTGTCGGACAGGGCCGACATGATGGCCCCGCTTTTCACGTTTGCTCGGCAGGCAGCCACATACCAGGCTGGCATCCCAACCCAGAGCTGGAGGCGGAAAGCGGAAGGAAGGCAGCACAGTGAGGTACAGTCTACAAAGTAGAACAGTAAGTTCACATACTGTAACCCACGCAACTGCATGTTAAATGAAGGATGTACCTCTAGCCAGACCACAACCGTTGGCCCGTCCCATTGGGCAAAAGGTAAACCTTGTCTCCGGGCTTCCTCCAGCAATTCATGCCTATAAAGGAGAAGATATTGAAAATTAAAGAATCAGCCAGGCATGGTAGCTCACACCTGTAATCCCAGCTCTCTGGGAGGCCAAGGCAGGAGGACCACTTGAGCCCAGGAGTTCAAGACCAGCCTAGACAACACAGCGAGACCCCAACTCTACAAAAAATTTTAAAAATTTGCAAGGTGTAGTGACACACCCCTGTAGTCCCAGCTACTCGGGAGACTGAGGCAGGAAGACTGCTTGAGGCCAGTAGTTCAAGAGCAGCCTGGGCAATATAATGAGATGCATCTCTACAAAAATTAAAAAAAAAAAAAAAAATCAGCCAGGTATGGTGACGCATGCCTGTAGTCTCAGCTACTTGGGAGGCTGAGGTGGAAGGATTGCCTGAGCCCAGGAGGTCAAGGCTACAGTAGGCCATGACTGTGCCACTGCACTCCAGCCTAGGCAACAGAGTGAGACCCTATCTCTAAAAAAAAAAAAAAATTACAACCAGCAAAAACAAAATCAAGGAACCACTATTATACACATATATAAAATTAGTTAACGAAGTGTTCTGAGCATTTGCAAAAGTCTAGCAGTATACAGTCTGCCCTCTGTATCTGCGGCTTCCACATCCACACAGTCAACCAACTGCAGATCAAAAATATTCAGTGGGAAAAAACAAAAAAAACCAATACAGTACAACAGCTATTTACATAGCACTTACATTCCGTTGGGTATTGTAAAGAACCTAGAGATGATTTGAAGTCTACAGGAGATTATGCCTACGTGATACGGAAATACCATGCCATTTCATACAGGAGACTTAAGCTTCCATGGATTTTGGTATTCAGGAGGGGTCCTGGAACCAATCCCCCATAGACTCTGAGAGACGACTATACATGCTCATCATTTTCCTTTCATCTTCTACAGCTTTAACAGTATCAACACCATCCATTTCACACTAGTTCTGTGCATACTACAAAGAATGCCTGAGTGAGAAAATACTGAATGACTCCCTCTGACTCTCTACAGAATCCCCGTCTCCTTACAGAATCAGAGGTTAACATAATGCTCTCTAACATAGGTATTTCAGAAATAACACTATAAGCTTGGTGAATCTCATCTTATTTCTCAAGTGTTTACCTACAAGGCTTTCAAAGAGGCTAATTGTTTTAAAAAATAAAAAGTCTCAGAGAGAAGGTGTCATTGTAATGGAGAGGACACATACATTTGGTTTGCAAGTACAGATATCCCCAAGTCATTCAAACATCCCTAGGCTGCTTTTAGTCCATTTTTTCTATAATAATTTCATAAGACATATACCATAGAATCTCTTATTTTTAAAAATTTGATATTGGCTCTTCAATACATTTCAATAGCAGCAGACTTTTCTTAGGAGTATGAAGTGGTATCGCAAGATGCGAAATGAAGAGGTTGGGAGGAAGGGCGCGCTGCATGGCGCCAATCACCAGGTGGTGGCTGAAACCCTGCCTTCCGTTCCCTTGGGACAAATGCCACTCAAAGACAGCCAGTAGAGCTTCCTTCACACACCAGTGGGTCTAGGAAGTAGTACAGGTAATTCCTGCCACATCAATCCCAGAAAAAGCTCTGAACGCTAACAATCTGGTTAACTGCTAAGGCTTTGAGCGTCCGGGGCCTGGCCAAGGCGCAGGGAGGATCTGACTGCTGCCAAGTCAGGAGGGTTCCCAACTTACGCTCAGCCTTGGCACTCTGCCAGAGACTTCGTTTTTTAACATGTAATAGATACTCACTGTAAATAAAAATAATTGTCAAAAAATAATTCTTTACTTCTATTACTTGGAGACTGGTGTACACTGTCCTAGACTTCACCAGTACCCTCTTCCTGGCAATGATCACTAGCTTTTATAAAAAGTCTTTTCCAGAATGGAGATGCTTCTGGGTCCAGAGGCAACAGTGGAAACAGTGTTAAGACAGTGGAGGTAGACGGATGTGTCTAAGAGTCACAGGAAGTTAGGGAGAAGGCAGAGGAGACCCCATCTGGGTGGCGGGCCCAGGCCTCGGTGTGTGTCCTGGCTCCCCTCCCCTATCAGACCAGTCCATGATCTGTAAGACCAAACATGGGACCATGCCCCTGGGCTGGCACTCCAGGTGGGAACACCAGAGCCCCTGTTTTCTCTGGGGGGACTGTTCCAATCACGGGAAGAAGGCCCCTGTGTCGAGGGGATGCAGAGTCCAGAGCCTGGAGATGGCTGAAGCCACTCCACCCTGGCCCTCTGGGCCGTTCATTTACATGAACAACTACATTCCTCCTTTATTGCTTGATCTCAGACTTGGCTCTTTCACTTGCTACTGAGAATGCTATAATGCAAAAAGGTCATATAATTTGTGAATAATGTTGTGCATTTTATAATTAAGACATAGCATAACGGTAAAGTTGTCTTTCATAATGAGAAGCTTGTGTGAGTTTTTGCTGATCAAACAGTATGTAAGGGATGGGAGGAAGTACTTTCTCTCAACTATCGAAACTAAATATATTGCCTTACTTTCTTAAGACTGAAGCTTTTCAATCCTCTGGCACCCTGCATAGAGTGAACAAGACTTGCTTTCACAGGTACAGTTGCTACCTGGGTGACAGAGCAGGACCCTCTCCAAAACCCATAAAAAAACACCACCACCACAAGTACAGTTCTGTGACCCAGGCATAGCCCCTCCCATGCTCCATTGCCATGGCACACTGGCAGAGTCCTGAGGAAAGATGTAGGGTCGCCCTGATGAGAAATGGATGGAGTCAGCATTTCTCATGCAAAACTAAAAAGATCCTTGGGCCAGGTGTGGTGGCTCATGCCTGTAATCCCAACACTTTGAGAGGCAGAGGCAGGAAGATCACTTGAGGCCAGGAGTTCAAGACCAGCCTGGTCAACATATTGAGACCTCTGTCTCTACTAAAAATAAAGGTCAAGGCTGCAGTGAGTGGTGAACGCGCCACTGCACTTCAGCCTGGGCAACGGTGCAAGGGCCTTCTTTTATTTTGCAAGGGCAAAAATAAAAAAATAAAAAGATCCTCTCAGGAAGCTCAGCATAGAGCCTGTGGCTGGTGACTGCCCACACTCAGCCCAGCAAATCTCCCGAGTCTGCTTACCCTGAGAAAGCACTACGAAGACAAAAAGGAGAACATGAAAAGGGAACACTTTAAAAGCAAGGTTACTTCAAGAGATGGTGTTTCAAGAACGCTGGGGAATTCTAAAAGTGCTGTGGAGGCACTATGCGCTATCAAAGCTGACGAATGGCTCTAGGACAGCCAGCCCCGACTTGCGGGTTCATTACTACGTATCCCAGGCACCAAACGCGCCCACCATGCTGTGTCTTACAAAACTTGAAATCAGCTTGCCACCAAACTCACCAGATTCCTTAAGTTCTCTGTAAGTGAAAGCATCTGGCTGTGTAAATTTTGCAGTTAAAACACACCTTTGAGTTAAATCAGGGGTTAATAAGAAGAAAATAATTCTGAGAAATATACGTTCGTTCTTAAGATGGCATAAATATTAAACTGTATTCACACAATACTTTTTCTGGAAAACGCAAACTTTTTTTCACATTTATATGTAGACATTTTAGGCCAGGCGTGGTGGCTCACGCCTGTAATCCCAACACTTTGGGAGGCCGAGGTGGACAGATCGCTTCAGGTCAGGAATTCGAAACAAGCCTGGCCAACATGGTGAAACCCCATCTCTACTAAAAATTCAAAAAAATTAGCTGGGCACGGTGGCACACGCTTGTAATTCCAGCTGCTGGGAGGCTGAGGCAGGAGAATCACTTGAACCCAGGAGGCGGAAGTTGCAGTGAGCCAGGATCGTGCCATTGCACTCCAGCCTGGGCGACAGAGTGAGGGACTTCGTCTCAATCAATCAATCAATAAATAAAGCACTTTTTCTAAAATCAGTTTTATCTCAGTTTAAGTGAAAGAAACGAAACTGCCCTCTATAGTCAGACAAATAATCTTTGTACTTGGAAATTTTCCCCACTAAGGAGCTGGTACATTTCAGAACTTCCACATGGATCCCAAGCACAACATAAAGGACAGAGAAGTTTTATTTCACTTCCTCATACTTACTATCATAAAAACAGTAACATTAGCAAAATCTAAGGAATGAAATTTTCCTAGCATGTTTCCAGGAGGCAGAAAGTTTAGCTCTAACATTAAGTTTCACAGGGCCAAATGGCAATTACCCAAGTTATTTGAAAACATTCTTGGCTGGGCGCGGTGGCTCACGCCTGTAATCCCAGCACTTTGGGAGGCTGAGGCGGGCAGATCACGAGGTCAGGAGATCAAGACCATCCTGGCTAACATGGTGAAACCCCGTCTCTACTAAAAATACAAAAAATTAGCCGGGTGTGGTGGCGGGCGCCTGTAAGTCCCAGCTACTCGGGAAGCTGAGGCAGGAGAATGGTGTGAACCCAGGAGGCAGAGCTTGCAGTGAACTGAGATTGCGCCACTGCACTCCAGCGTGGGTGACAGAGCGAGACTCCATCTCAAAAAAAAAAAAAAAAATTCTTACACAGTTCAAGCATAGCAATGTTCAAATCAGATTTTGCTGTTACGTGGTTTCTATAAATTTCCATTTACAGGGAACCAAAAAACTGAGTATTCCTATGGTACTGTTAACATAAAAGCATTTTACCTAAAATATAATCAATACAGCATTTATAAAGGCTTTGAAAAGAAAACTAAAATGAGATAGATTTCACAACAGAAAAAAATCAGCTGGCAACTCTAGGGGCTAAAGGCAAAGGGGCCTCTAGGGGAGAGGGTCCCCATAGGCTCTGGTGCATCTTTGGGCCCCAATTTCCAGATGAGCACTGGTTTCTCAGGGCACTTAAAAGTGGCCAGATGATTTTTCCCACAGTCACAGTCATCATACAGCCCGTCAAGTTTCACCCTGTAAGCCTGGCATTACCATCTTCCACATTGCTCAAGCTCAGCCCTTATCCCATGGACTACACAAACTGCCTATTTTATTGCAGAACTGGGTTTAGTTTTGTTCTACATTTGTTGGCTCACTTGGGCACTGTCTCAGCCTATCTACTTCATCTACAGTCAGCCAACACGCAACTCACCCCGCATCCCAGAAGGCCCAGGGACAGAAACCCGATTCCTCCACGTCCTCACCCTGGGGCATCACAATGCCTGTTCTCCTTTGTTCAAAGCCATCCCAAATATTAGAGCTTATTGTCAGAAGCAGACTTAGTTTAGAATTAAAGCTGAATAAACGGGCTATAAAATCAGGAGTCTATTTGAGATAAAACTACCCGATCTACGGAAGAGAGAAAAATGCAGCATGGCGACTGTTTCGGACAGACCAGCAGTATGAAGAGCAAATCCTGAATGCTGGCAAGCAACAGTCGCTGCACTGGCCACAGCTACAACTTGTTTATGACTTGCTGGTACTGTTTAAAGAACTGTATGCACATTATCCCATTTAATTCTCATAAAAGCCATACAAGGTATGTACTACTAGGATCCCCACTTTACAGATGAGAAAACTGAAGCACAGAGATGCTAGGCCACTTCCTCAACGTCACAAAGTGAACCTGGGCAGGCGCCAGGGCCGACTCCAGTGCTCAGGCAGCTGAGTCCAACTCTCACCCACCCTATCTCCTGGTTGGACAGCTTTCCAAGATGATAGGGATACCAGTGTGAGTTTCTTCGAAATTTCACAAACACTAAATCTTCCAGAAAGTACGGCTTAATTAAGGCTGTAGGTAAAGCTTTCAGAATATAATGTATATATACATAGCTAGCTATTATAATTAACAAACACTAGTTAGAGCTTAGGCACAACTGAAAACCATTCAATGAGATGAAGAAATAACACAAAGCTTACTTTTTTTGAAGTTTACGATTTTTTTCAGCCTGTCCCCCCAATTTGCTAAGTCCCAAGGCATCCTGAGATGAGTTATCCGTCTCGGAAACACCAGCTGTGAGGAAGCAGAACAGCCCAGAAGTAAAAATCAGCATGACAAAGCTCTATGTTTTCATAAATAGGCAGATGAATATTTGCAGGTTCAGATTTAAATCATTTCTTAAGGCTAAGTTTCTGACTAGACAACCAAATGCCCAAGACGGAAATGCTCAAGACAGGAAATGTGTTGTACCTGAGTGGCAAGTGAGCATAAACTGCTGCTCTCTAGCTCCCATGCCTTCACAGCTGCTGCTCCCTGGAGAGCACACGGCTCCTGGAGCACCGCGTGGGAACTGATGGCACCGAAGGCAGTGCCTTCCTCCCCGACCCCTGGGTGCTGAGAAGGGTGCGGAAAACCAACCAACCTTGTCCTAATGCTTCTTTGCCAGTTTGTCCAGGTCGGCCCTTTTCTTTCTTGCCAAACAAGCGGCCAATGGAGGACTTAATGCCTTTCTTCTTTGGGGCTTTGTGGAGCGAGTCCTGGCTACTGTTGCTACTGCTGGGGTTGCTCACGGGACCATCCTGGGAGCCTGTGGAGCTTCGAGGAAAGAAAACGGATCTTTACTATGTGCCCTTGTAGGATACTTCACATATTAACAGTCGCAAACTTCCCTACAAGCACTTCCAGTCTCTTTCACACACATCTTCCTCACCAAGTGCATCATGCATGATAAAGGCAGACTCCCGGCGAGGCCAGCGCGGAGACCCATTCTGGGCAGCTGAGACTCTCTCTGACATGGAGCTCCCCTCCCCTTCAGGGGAGGCCCTGACTCCGCGCCATCAGGTGCCAAAGCCCAATGGTCTGCCTGCTTCCCCTCCAGCAGCTCCCACAACCGCCCTGAGCATTACTCTACTCAGCTGAGAACCGTGGCAATGTTAACTGCCTGAGGGGTTACTGCAAAAATTAATATACATGCCTCCCCTGCATATTGCCTGGCACAGAACCGAAATCCAATGGAATTTAAAAAAAGAGGGGCCGGGCGCGGTGGCTCACGCCTGTAATCCCAGCATTTTGGGAGGCCGAGGCGGGCAGATTATGAGCTCAGGAGTTCGAGACCAGCCTGGCCAGCATGGTGAAACCCCATCTTTACTAAAAATACAAAAATTAGCCGGGCATGGTGGTGTGCGCCTGTAGTTCCAGCTACTCGGGAGGTGAAGGTTGTGGTGAGCCAAGATCATGCCACTGTACTCCAGCCTGGGCAACAGAGCAAGACTCTATCTCAAAAAGAAAAAAAAAGATAGCATAGATAGCATACTAGTAACAAAACAGCTGATTGGTTTCCTGAGAGGGGACACTCACTAAATTGGTAAGTACAACTTGGAACTCTCCACAGTTTACAAAAGGCACAAGAAAGGCACGGGTTGTCCTAGAGAGCGGTTCCAATACCAAGCCTGTCATCTGCTTGCCAAACTCTCCATCAAGAATAGAAAGTAGTCAATTTATAGACTCTGAAGACATGAAGTTTTTCCAAAACTTGCTGATATCATTTAACTCCTTTCTTTCCAAACTAAGCTTGCCCAAACAGATATGCATCTTCTGCTGGATTTCACTATAGCCCAGAGCAGTGGTAAGCATTCTAAGTGTAACATGTAAATACACTCAACTGAATTAATGGGTAATTCTACAAAATCACTGTTTTACTCAAGGAAAGATTTGTCGATTTCTCAACACCAGAAACGAAAAGACAGGTGCGCTCTGCATGGGGCTGCTGCAGGCTCCTTACTTCCTTATGTCCCTGATGTCCTCGTGGCTGACGGTGTGCAGCGCCCCTTTGTGCAGCCGGTCTAACCGAAGGGCTCTCGGGGAGGAAGGCGGGGAGGTTTCACACTTTATGGTTGTCTTGTCATCTCGTACCTCTTCTCTGGAAGGTGGCAACTGAGGGGTGAGAGAAGTGCAAAGTTAGTTAACAGCAGACTGTGAAAAACTCAGGCCTTAAATTATAGCCATAAACTTCTTTGAAAATCGATTTGCTGTGCTTTCTGCCAGCACAGAAAGTCTTGTTTCAGTCTGGCACCATTCTGAAGGGCCACGCAGCACAGCACCACAGAGTTGTCAGACTCCTGGTCTGCCTCCCCACGAGCGTGCGCTGGGGCCCAACAGGACACAGGTATGCCCCTCATCCTCAGCCTCCTCCATGCAGCCCAAGGTTCTGCCCTCCCCGGAATCCTAGGCACATCATGAGGACAGTCTCTGAAGGGGCAGCAGAGATCTGAACAACACCGATAAACCACATCGTTACAAATGTGAGACAGCATTAACTTGCACTAATGAAGAGCCAGTAACAAATACGTTTATCTCCTGATGTCCTTCAAAAGAAACACTAGAGAGGGCAAGAAACCACTTGGGCAAAATTGTCAAATACCTTTTTTGTCTGAACGGGGTAAAAATAAACAAGGAACAGCCCATGACCCCCATACACATGTGTATGGCTCATATTTCTCAATGTTTGGATGGACACTATAAATTCAAGCACTTTTATGCAGTTTAAACATTTTTGTTCAATATAGCTTAAAAGAAAATACTTCTAGGCTTATCATTACAAGATGATCTTTGTCAGACTCCCAGGGTTTTTTTGTTTTTGCAGTGGAACGTGAATACGCCCATGTGCTGAGGGAGCAGGATGGTGGTTAACAACAGTGAACAGACTCACCCCTGCAGGGTCTAGGCAGATCCTGCTTATACATTTGTGTTTTCTGGTTTTGAGTGGGACTGGATTTCATAAAACATGTTCAGCAAGCATTACTATAAACAGCAAGACTTGAACAGTGAACTTTATTTTATTAAAAATAAATTTTAAGAGCCAGGTTCTTGCTGTGATTCCAGGCTGGACTGCAGTGGCTATTTGCAGGTGTGATCATGGTGCGGTGCAGCCTCAAACTCCTGTGCTCAACTGATTCTTGCCTCGGCCTCCAAAGTAGGTGGGACTACAAGCACGTACCACTGGGCTCAGTTTGAATTTCTGCTTCTTAAATGGGATTGTGTAAAGTGTATCAATCCTACTGTAGCCCCACTGTGGCTCAGGGAGGACCAAGTGCATTCAATGCAAAATGGAGCTGTGCTCATTTAGGACAGAATCTCAACTAACAGTTAAAATGCAAATGAATCCTGCATCCTTTCCTAATTTCCAGTTGCAATCACAAAACAATGAAAGGCTTTCAAAGCTAGAAATTATCAATATGAAGCTTAAGTTTCAAAATTCAGGTTAAAACAATCATCTGTTTTAAAAAAACAAAACCAAAAACAGAGTACAGAGAAAGCTGACACGCAGCCAGCTATAAGCTGGTAACAGGGTCTGGGGAAAGCCCCGTGAGCCTGGCCAGCGCTGCCCTCCTCATCCCTCCACACGCCGCCCTCCGACACCTCCACACGCCGCCCTCCCACCCCTCCACACGCCGCCCTCCGACACCTCCACACGCCGCCCTCCCACCCCTCCACACGCCGCCCTCCGCACCCCTCCACACGCTGTAGTGCTGTCACGTGCCAGACTTCTGCCTCCATCCCAGCTCAGGCCTACTAGAAAGCAGGGAAGTCCTCTTGGTCTACACCAACACCACTGACACAGAGAAGGAAGGCGACAGTCTCTTGTAGACAAGGCCTGGCACTCTGCACGCACCCCTGGTTTAACCTCACAACCACCCGAGGCCTAGGCTCCTCAAAGACACCAAGTAGCACGCTGAAGTTACCAGTGACCAACAGGGCCAGGTTATCATGCCTAAGTGTCAATCAACATGCTACTTCCTTCACTGAGAAAATCTTGCTATCAAAAAATAAAGAAAAAACAATCCAACAGAAGTCAGCTGAACTGAAGGCCGTGCTCTGTGTCTTGTTGCTGCTGGTGTAAGCTCCTTATCTCACCACAGACAGCCACAGGTCCAATGCCACTTTAAGTGGCACTGTTCTATCATTATCTTCACTTCTCAGGAGAGTAAACCAAGGTACAAACAGACTCCAGGTCACAAACTCATCAGTGACTGAACTAGGATCTGAACCCAAGCAGTTTCACTAAATCACTCAACAGAGCAGCTCACAGACAGCTGCTGACCAGGTCCCACACTTTTGTCAGAGGACAGCTGCCTTTAGGTATCTCTGAAGAGCTGTCCAGTCACTGCACCATCAGGCGGGTTTCAAACAGGGGCACAGAATACAGACCAGAGCATGAAAGTTATGAGGGAGAGATTTGGGGTCAACATAAAGAACAGCTGCTGAGCAGATCTCCTCCTAATGTACTCTACTTCCTTCGAGAACAGGAAGGCCCAATCCACAGTTATCTCTAAAGAGAAGTGGCCTTGGACCTCCTTCTGTAGGAACGCTGCCAGGGAGGTCAGAGTATCTGAGACAAGTAAGGCTAGATGGTGAAGTGGTCAACTGTCAGGTTTTGAAATCAGACAAATCTGAACTCAAATCTGCACTGTGCACTGTGGGGCCTCTCTAAGCTTTAGTTTCCACATCTGTAAAATGGGGATAACAACAGTAACCTCACAGGGATGTGTATGGGGATTAAATACGGGTTGAGCATCCCAAACCCAAAAATCTGATATTCAAAATGCTCCAAAATCTATAATTTGAGTGCTGACATGATGCTTGAAGGAAATGGTCAATGGAGCATTTCAGATTTTGGATTTTCAGATTTGAGAGGCTCAACTAGTAAGTGTAATGCAAATATTTCAAAATTTAAACAAATCTGAAATCTGAAATACCTCTGGCCCTAAGCATCTCAGATCAGGGACACTCAGCCTATACCAGACTGGGAAAGCACTCAGCACAGTGCCTGGCATACAGCAAGAGCCCAATGCTAGCTGTGATTATTATGAAAATGGGTCCCCCCGCATCTACATTCTATAGCTTTGCACTAGTAATTTCTTATTTTTAAAACTACTACATCTATGAATAAGCATGTAATGATCAGAAGGCTGAAAAGGTGAGAGAATGGCAAGCTGTTACATTTGTCCCAGTGTTCTGTGAAAACCGCTAATGACCAATTTCCAATAGAACAATTGTCAGTAAGGTGCTAGGTCACTTTAAACACTTCCATTAAAACGCCAACCATTCATTATTATACAACTACATAATGCTACATTTATGGAAAATATGATAGGTACTCTTCAATACATTATGGAGATACAAAGATATGTTAAATTACTAAACAATTTACCTTTCTACGATGTTTCCTTAAATCACTAGGCTGATAGATGCATGCAAAGAAATGAAGAGAAACCAGATTTACTATATACACTTTGAAGTTAAAAATTCAAGGATCAGTATAAGCAAATATATTAAAATAGAAATGACAGGAGACAGGATTTAGAGAAAATGTAACTGGATACAGAACCATTTTTTCACCAAAAAATTTAAATATAAGTTATTAAAGGTTTATTAGAGAAACACTATAAATTATTACTTAGATAAAATTCTATTTCATGTGTTTTATTAAAATATGGCATTCTATATAATAAAAGGCCCTAACAATCATCTATTCTAAGCCAAACCTCTCTATAACTTAGTTTTCTTTAATAAAATCCATGTTATAATTAAAAATATTCCAACGGATGAGGAAGTTACTGCAATACCAATTATAAAACTGAACAAACCTACTTTTAGTTAATCACCTGTTGGACATTAATGTAAAATCCTTACCTAGAATTTGATTTACCACTTTTCAAAAATAAATTTATTGCTTAAAGCAAGGTATCCTGTGAAAATATATAAGAACAAAAGCTAGCATAATATTAGGTAGAATCTTTACATCCATCCTATGATTCACATAAGATATTTTAATTTAAAAATAACCTATTAGAGATAGTTGATGAGACTCAACAGGCTGATGAGATTTACAGTCTTGAACACAATCATCAGAACCAGAAAGCATACTGTTTGTGTAAACAGCTTCCATTAATTCTACGCTTAGATTAGTTATGTAGGAAACACTTATGAATTACACAAATCCTACATAATTTGAGTAAAAAAACTCTTAAACACCTATGTCTTGCCTGTATCCATACTTACTATATAGTAATACACTAATTTAAATTACCATTGAGAAAAAGATACTTTTAACTGAGAAAAAAACAACCCATTAATAAAGTCATCACAGCACAAACTCACAAACATGATCGAACACACACAGTTGCGTGGTTACCTGAGCATGCTGTGAAGAATCGCTATAGCATGGGGTGGAACTGGGAGGGGAGGTGGATGAGTAAACTACTGACTGATGGGGACCTGAGGTCTGGATTAAAAATGAATCTGGAGATGGCTAAAATAATAAAACAAAAGGATGACAGGAAATCAAAACCAATGACGGAAGCATAGAGACTGTCAGCCAGCATACAGAATTACAAAACCAGAAAAAATATATATACATACACAACTGTTTTTACGAATTCTCTGGACAGAAATAAGCACAAGCCCACAAATAAAACAGTCAAAGAGTTTAAAATGTTACCTAATTAGTAGATGATGTAAATTATAAAAACAGTATTTCAAAACACTGCAAAATAGACTAGTTACCACCTCATATGCCACTAAAATGATTCACCGTCGATTTAATTGCATGCTGGCTAACAACACAACTAAAAACGAAAATAGATGGTAACGGGAAAAAATATGATAGAAGCACAGTTAAAAAGCAAATGGTGTAAATATGAAATATTTCATTGACAACACACTGACAAATTCTAAATATACAAGATAGTTTGGTTTTTTTTTAGATAAAGATGGGGTTCTCACTATGTTGCCCAGGTTGGTCTCTTAACTCCTAGCTCAAGCAATCCTCCCACCTTGGCCTCTCCAAAGTGCTGGGATTACAGGCGTGAAATACCATGCCAGGCCCAAAGGAAAGTTTTAAACATTCCTCAGATCTGCACACTTTGCAAACACCAAACACCAGAAGGTCATTGCATTTCCAGGTGAGAGGTGACCCTAAGCTGTGAAGGGAAGAAGCCCATCTGCTTCCTTAGGGAGCCACGAAGCAGCTGGCTTGTTCACGGCTTCAAATGCAGAACCCATTTCATGTTTTTCCTTTTTTTTTTTTTTTTTTTTTTGGTAGTAGATGCCCAGGAAGCTGGTTGGGCACTCCGAAAGGAAAGAAATGCACTGACCCACTTTGTGCATTTTCCCATATGCTCTGATGTCTGCCTTTATTTACTTTTGCTAAGTGGTTTTTCCTATAAAACAGAAAATATTTCCCCTTCTGGCTGCTGTACTTTGCACAGATGTCATGCCTAATGTCACACAAACAAATGGTGTAATGCTAGCCTGGTCATCCAAATATTAAAATTTTTTTTTATATTTTTTGGGATTTGTTTTGAGACAGGGTCTCACTCTGCTGCCCAGGCTGGAGGGCAGTGATGCAATCATGGCTCACTGTAGCCTCGACCTCCTGGGCTCAGGTGATCCTCCCACCTCAACCTCCAGAGTAGCTGGGACTACAGGCACACACCACCAGGCCCAGCTACTTTTTGTAAAGATGGGGTTTTGCCATGTTGCCCAGCTGGTTTTGACCTCCTGGGCTCAAGTGATCTGCCCACCTCAGTCTCCCAAAGTGTGAGGAATCACAGGCATGAGCCACCACGCCCGGCCCCAGATATTAAAATTAGTTTGTCATAACTGAATGATTAAATAGTAACTAGTTTTTATAATCTTGAACCTCTTAGAATAACGAATGTACTTGATTTTCTTGTGGGTAGATTTGTAGTGTCCAAGATTTCATACAGGTATGCTGAGGGCAGCCACAGCAGGGAAAGGGCGGATACGTACAAGGGTCATGACGCCCAGTCTGTCCACTTCCCGAGCTGGGCTGTGAGGGATCCTTCGTGGGGTGGAGCGCCCACTGCCCGGAGGGGAGGAGCTAGCAAGCGAGGAAGCAGGGTAGGGGGGAATGGAGCTCATTGATCTAAAACGACCAAGATTGTCTAGACTTCCACTGCCAACTCGACTTTCAATCTCCTCTGCCCGCTGCTCTGTATTTTCTTTTTCTTCCTGAATCAACCTAAAATAAAACAAAAGCAGTCAGTCCTCCTGTTTCGGCAAACAGATTAATGTGTTTGCATGAGAAAAACCATGCTTATACTCTGTATTACTATGAGTAAACTCCAGTAATAAGCTGCTCAAACAATGAACACTTCAGCAAAAATGTTCTACTCTTTTTAAATTTTTATTTATTTATTTTTCTTTTGAGATGGAGTCTCGCTCTGTTGCCCAGGCTAGAGTGCAGTGGCGCGATCTCGGCTCACTGCAACCTCTGCCTCCTGGGTTCAAATAATTCTCCTGCCTCAGCCTCCTGAGTAGCTGGGATTACAGGCGCGTGCCACCATGCCCGGCTAATTTTTCGTATTTTTAGTAGACACGGGGTTTCACCATGTTGGCCAGGCTGGTCTCGAACTTCCAACCTCGTGATCCGCCTGCCTCGGCCTCCCAAAGTAGTGGGATTACAGGCGCGAGCCACAGCTCCTGGCCAAATTTTTTATTTTTTCAGACAGGGTCTCACACTGTCATCCCGGCTGGAGTGCAGTAGCATGATCACAGCTCACTGCAGCCTCGAACTCCTGGACTCAAGGGATCCTCCTGCCTCAGCCTCCCAAGTAGCTGGGGCAACAGGTATGCACTACCACGCCTGGCTCATCTTTTAAAATTTTTTTTGTAGAGACAAGGTCTTCCTATGTTGCCAAGGCTGGTCTCAAACTCCTGACTTCAAGACATCCTCCAACCTCAGCCTCCTCCCAAAGTGGTGGGATTACTGGCATGAGCCACCACACTGGCCTCAATCTTTTTTAATATACTACATCTTACAACAACAAAAAGTAAACCTTCCATTGAGTCTTGTTGGTTCTGGATATCATTAACATTTGATTTTACTTATTTACACAAAAATTCTGGAGAAGGCTGGATGGCAATTTTTCCTATGGTTGCAATTAATAATTTCCTTACTAAGTGATATTTTAAAATTTTATGACCCTTATCTCCCCTATTCTTAGAGCAAAGCTGAAGAAATCTACAGATTTCTTCAACTGGAAATCAGGAACTCTAATATAAAGAACAGATGCACAAAACAATTAGGAGTTTCCCAACACTTAACTGTTTAGACTAAACGAAAATATTGAGTTGGTTCTTTTTTTTAGTTTAAATTTGAACCAGAGCGTTATCTGATGGGATTCTCTACCATCCTCATGTAAATTTCTGGATTCATGCCAACCATGCTACATTAATTTGGAATTCAAGATTAACGCTCCTCTCTCCTAGAGTGTCATGGATCACTAGACAGCAGTTTTAATATTTGACTGTGCCAATAATAATTATTCTAGTATTAAAATATAGAAACCTTGCAATAACCCTTCCAATTAAAGTTCTACTTACATTTCTAAGAAAAGTGCTTTTTGATCATTATTAATAGAAGAAAATCCACAAGTCAGTGGACAGAACACTTACATCAGGTCAACTTTCTGCATAAAGAGGAAACACTTTTATCTAGCTATACATCATAAGAAATAAAAACAAAAGGTATATAATCCTTTCCCAGCTCCCATAATGATGAGGAAAGACGATCTTTCTGAACGCTTCATCACACTAATTATTTTGCACCTCCTCCTTCAAAGGGCCCCCATGCCTGGCAACAGATGCTGCAGAGGTCTCTTCGCCAGTTTTCAAGGTGGCACATGAAATGGGAGTTATAAAGTCAAAAACACAGGCAGCACACCAACTTCTTACTTCAGAATGTACAGCCCTATTTTTTTCTTTTTAATAAAAAAAAAAAGCTGGAGTAACACAGCTCTTGTTGATGTTTCTCTCAACCTTCTCTTCTTTACCTCCTGTTCTCTCTGACCAGGACTGGCACCTCCACCCACGTAAACTTCACAAGCAAGTCGTGGCAGCACCCCACCCAGACCTGCTGCAGGACTCCACACACACACCTGCTCCTCCCTTGGATTCAGGCTAGCCAAGCAGCACGTCAGGCCAGGGCCCGAGGGTAGATCCCAGGCACCCCCTGGTCACACTGCTGTGTCCCTAGGCCAAGCCAGCGTGGGCAGGGTTTACCGGTCTCTTCATAAATATAAAAGCAATTCTTGGATTCCATTCTACAGTTGGCCCGTTTTGTAAGTTCTGCATTATAACTGCTAAAGTTGCTAAAGAAAAACCCTTTAAAATACTGACGAGACAAGAAAGATTCAAACCTGCAATCTGAGCACTCACTGTCCATGTTAACTTCACACAGGGAAAGGAACACTGGAGTGGAGCCGTGCACTCCTGAAGAGCTCCAGTGTTCTGTACCAGGCCACTGTGTGACGGGACCTGAACATGTGAGGCTCTGATGTACGCACACTCATCACAGTGCCTGGCCTAATTTTTATATTTTTTGAGACAGATCTCACTCTGTCATCCTGGCTGGAGGGCAGCAGCATGATCACAGCTCGCTGCAGCCTCGAACTCCTGGGCTCAAGGGATCCTCCCGCCTCAGCCTCCCAAGTAGCTGGTGTGACAGGTATGCACTACCATACCTGGCTCATTTTTTTTAATTTTTTTTGTAGAGATGAGGTCTTCCTATGTTGCCAAGGCTGGTCTGAACACAGCCCTGGCTCAATTCCTAGTCTCCTCTAAACCAGTGTCTTCCTCATCTCAACAAACAGACTCCATCCTTCCAGCTGTTCAGCCCAAAGGCTTGGAGTCATCTCTGACTCCTGTCTTTCCTTCTCACCCTGGATCCAATCCCTCAGCAAATCTTGTTGGCACTCCATAACAATACACTGAACATGCTCCATGTGCTCCTTCTCCTTCCTCCTTCACGCCCCTGCTCAGACGTCACCCTCACTATACTGACTCCCTGGCCTCCCTTCTTAAAATTCTTATTTCCCTGCTCACTCCACAACTCAGGGCCGCCCTGAGTCCCACTTCCATGCTTATTACCATCTGACGTACAGGGATCGTTTAAAAATATGTCCACAAACACTTTTAACACTCGTCCCTTTAAGAGGTGGAGGGTGATTCTCACCCCAAACGCTGAGTGTGGGCAGGACTCAGCACCTCACTCAAATGAACAGAATAGAGAGGAAGTGAAGGCTGTGGCTTCCAAGACCAGGACTGGAAAGGCTGTGGGACTTTCTCCTCGCCCTCTCCTAGAGTACGGGCTGCTTGCATCACAATGCAAGGACCCTAGAGCAGCCCCGGTGGCCAGTTCCAAGTGGTGGCTGATGGCCCCGAGGCCTCCTGCCCCAGTTGGGTCTTTCTGTGGCTCCAGCCTTGCCAGATTGAGCCGGGACTGTCCTGCTCTGCTGCTCCTGTGCTCACAGGAGCTGTGAACTACGAAATGTTCACTGTTTTAAGCCACTGAGCTCCGTAGTAATTTGTTCTACACCAACAGTCAACACACACACACTACCAGACTCTATCTGTCGACTGTTTGTGTCCTCTGGGATGCAGGCATTCTTCCTGTTTTATTACACACTGCTGCAGGCCTAGGACTCTACAGGTCTGTAATGGGGCCTGGCCCAAACTAGCTGTTGAGTGACGATGGGGGCTAAAATTATACTTGCGTGTATTGAAACAAACGCTGCTGAACAGACCAAAGTAAGAAGGTAAACGTTCTACACTTTTAAACGTCACTACACACAGCCTCTTCTGTGCAGGAGGCTGCACATGCGGCAGGTGATAGCAACGCGCTCCTTTCAGGGTTCAGGGTCAAGGAGGGACACTAAGACCAGAAGAGGGTTGATAAGCAACCCTTCCTCCCGCTTCCCACCATATGCGCCCGCTCCGGTGTGCATGTGTTCTGAGTGCTGGTCTCTCTGGTGAGTGGCACTGGCCTGTGGAGGCAGCCACTGCTATTCATTCAAGGCAGGCTTCAGTCCGTCATCTCTTCCCAGCCCACCACCGTGCACACCTTTCATCTGCACTCTGGATCAGGAAGGTAGGCCGATCAGCCTCCTCCAGATGTGCTCAGCTCATGTGGCCTTCCAGGTGCAGCTTTCAGGACGGCAGTGGGAGCTGGGCTGAGCCCCTTCAGCACCCTCCAGCTATGTGGCGAGCTTCTCAGGGGAAGGACCTCTCAGGTCCCACAATGTCCTACAGAAAGGTACTAGTGCCGTAACTGTGGGGAGAGTGCCCTGGTTACCTGAATTTTATATTCAAGGGCAATTTCAGACCTTAAAATTCTTAAAACAGAAGTTAAGTAAGTTCTATTATTATGTAATACTTAGAAAATGTTAATAGTATTTCATCCAGACTTTTCCAGGCAAGATGAGATTCCTCAGAGACACCCATGCGTGTGGTGAGTGTCATGCACGGTTGCACACACCTGATCTCTTTGTTGATGGCGTCCAGCTGCTCCTGAAGCATCATGGCTAGTGTGTGCGCGTCGGCCTGCCCGCTGGGCGATAGCAGGTCAACTGAGCTGAGGAGAGTGTCCCTGTCATCTTCACCATCAGACACGTCAGCATCACTCTCGAATGCTTGTGCTACATTTGCCAAGACACTAGCTTGCTGGGCACGTTCCCAATCCTGCTCATTAAGAGTTTGTACCTATAAACAAGAAAACCAAATCTCAGTAGATAAAGTAACAACATTAGTTGTAGAAACATAAATCTATCGGAAATTTAGGAATTCTTTAATGAAAGCCCAAAAGATTTTAGAAAGATGGGCCATGCTTATAAGGTACTGACATGAAGCAGGCAGTATTTAAGAAATTGGGGAGGGCAACAATCCATTCCTTGGACCCTTGTGATATTAACGCCCTAACATGGACATGTGGCATTTCCATGGCGAAATACACAACTGGGAGATGGCAGAGTCAGAAACAAAAACCGAAAATCAGCCGGGAAGGGTGGGCAGGGGGAGGATGAAGAGAGGCTGATCAATGGCTGCAAATATAGCCTTAGAAGAAATAAGACCTGGTGTTGGACAGATCAGCAGGGTGACTAAAGTTAACATTACTAGGTGATACACGCCAGGCGTGGTGGCACATACCTGTAAACCCAGCATTTTGGGAGGCTGAGGTGGGTGATCACCTGAGGTCAGGAGTTCGAGACCAACCTGGCCAGCATGGCGAAACCCCATCTCTACTAAAAATACAAAAATTAGCCAGGTGTAGTGGCTCATGCCTGTAATCCCAGCTACTGGAGAGGCTGAGGCAGGAGAATTGCTTGAACCTGGGAGGTGGAAGTTGCAATGAGTCCAGGTCGCGCCACTGCACTCCAGCCTGGGCGACAGAAAGAGACTCTGCCTCAAAAAAAAAAAAAAAAAAAAAAAAAAAAAGGTGGTACATTTCAAAATAGCTGCAAGGGAATAACTTGAATGTTCCTAGTGTAAAGAAAAGAGAAATACGTAAGGTGATGGATATCCCAATTACCCTGATTTAATTATACGAATGTATCAAATTATCACATATATCCCCAAAATATGTATACTTAATATGGATCAATAAAAAAATACACCTTACTCCAATTATACATGCTACTGGAAAGTTACAGAAATAAAAAAGATTTAAATCCATATCAACTGAGTTCACTCAGTTGCCGTAAATTTCATAAGTGTTTTCAAGTTCCCTCTAACCAACCTGCGTGTCCACATCCCGCCCTACCTGAGGCTGGCACTACCAAGCTCGAACGAGGAAAAGGAGGGCAGCAGCAACTGAGAGAATCAAGGGCAACCTCAAGAATGGCAGTGTATGCGGCATGGGCAGCTCAGTGCTGAGTGGCCGTGTCTGACTGAGGCATTATGTATGTCATCAGAATGCAGAGGGAAAAGTGTGTGTGCCGGGACCTACGCAATCCCCCCAGGGGTGATTCTTTCATGCCACCTCACTCTTCAAGCCCCCAACACCTCCTCTCCCATTCTCACTCCCAACTGGCGACCTTCCCATTTCATGGAGACAAAACCAAGGCCTGCACTCGGCCTTCCTCCTCTCTGAGGTCAGCCCCACCTGCTGGGCAGCAGCCTCAAGCCCTGGCTCACACCCGGATCTCCGGCCATCACAGCTCCCTCTCTGGATAAGCAAGTTCCACTAGCTCGTCCCATTAGCATAAGGACATCTTCTCCCCCATCTCACCTTAAAACACCACGGCAGAAACCAAGGCCCTTCCCCAGTCCCTGCCCGGGCGGGTCTCCTTTCACCCACGCCTCCACTGTTTTGCTCCCAACCAGAGTAAAAGATCCTGGTGAGCCACCTCCATTCTGTCTTCCTCTCCCCACTTCTCTAGACCTTGCTGCAGGCCAGCTTTCAGCGCTTACTTCCCTGCCAGCGGGACTATTCTATGGCAGTTCCAACGTGCTCCCCGTTACTAAGGCCACCAGCTGTCCCTTTGTCCCGTCTCCCACCTGACCTGGCCCATCAGCAGGGTGGGCTCCGCTGCTCTCCTCTCTTCCCTGAGCACTCTACCCAGTTGGTCCCAGGACCCTACCCCTCGCTGGTCATGCCTCTGTCTCATTCCTTCCCAGTCTCCCCACCGATGGCCTTGGAGCACCCCAGAGCTCCATTCTTAGACCTTGTCTCCATCCAGGCACCCATGAGGTGGTGTCATCTTGTCTCATGTTTCTTAATACCATCCATATGCGCAAAATGCCCCAATTTTCATCTCTAGTTCTAGATGTCTCTTGGGTTCCAGACTGTGATATTCAACAGCCAACCTGCCACCTCCCCTGGACAGCTGACAGTCCCATCAACCTGAACATGGCCCTGGCTCAATTCCTAGTCTCCTCTAAGCCAGTGTCTTCCTCATCTCAAAAAACAGACTCCATCCTTCCGGCTGTTCAAGCCCAAAGGCTTGGAGTCATCTTTGACTTCCTCTCTTTCCTTCTCACCCTGGATCCAATCCCTCAGCAAATCTTGTTGGCACTCCATAACAATACACTGAACACGCTCCATGTGCTCCTTCTCCTTCCTCCTTCACGCCCCTGCTCAGACGTCACCCTCACTATACTGACTCCCTGGCCTCCCTTCTTAAAATTCTTATTTCCCTGCTCACTCCACAACTCAGGGCCGCCCTGAGTCCCACTTCCATGCTTATTACCATCTGACGTACAGGGATCGTTTAAAAATATGTCCACAAACACTTTTAACACTCGTCCCTTTAAGAGGTGGAGGGTGATTCTCACCCCAAACGCTGAGTGTGGGCAGGACTCAGCACCTCACTCAAATGAACAGAATAGAGAGGAAGTGAAGGCTGTGGCTTCCAAGACCAGGACTGGAAAGGCTGTGGGACTTTCTCCTCGCCCTCTCCTAGAGTACGGGCTGCTTGCATCACAATGCAAGGACCCTAGAGCAGCCCCGGTGGCCAGTTCCAAGTGGTGGCTGATGGCCCCGAGGCCTCCTGCCCCAGTTGGGTCTTTCTGTGGCTCCAGCCTTGCCAGATTGAGCCGGGACTATCCTGCTCTGCTGCTCCTGTGCTCACAGGAGCTGTGAACTACGAAATGTTCACTGTTTTAAGCCACTGAGCTCCGTAGTAATTTGTTCCACACCAATAGTCAACACACACACACTACCAGACTCTATCTGTCGACTGTTTGTGTCCTCTGGGATGCAGGCATTCTTCCTGTTTTATTACACACTGCTGCAGGCCTAGGACTCTACAGGTCTGTAATGCGGCCTGGCCCAAACTAGCTGTTGAGTGACGATGGGGGCTAAAATTATACTTGCGTGTATTGAAACAAATGCTGCTGAACAGACCAAAGAAAGAAGGTAAACGTTCAAAGGTGAATTCTTTTCACTAAATGACGAATATATGTATTCAATTACTTCTTTTATTTTGTAGAAACAGGGTCTTACTCTGTTGACCAAGCTGGAGCGCAGTGGTGCAATCATAGAGCTCACCATAGCGTTGACCTCCCGGGGCTCAAAGGGATCCTTCTACCCCAGCCCCAAGAATAGCTGGGACTGCAGGGACATGCCACCATGCCCAGCTAATTTCTTTATTTGTAGAGACAGGGTCCTACTATGATGCCCAGGCTGGTCTCAATCTCCTGGGCTCAAAGGATCCTTCTGCCTCAGCCTCCTGAGTAGCTGGGACTATAGGCACACACTACCACACCCAACTAATTTTTTCTTTTTTTTTTTTTTAATAGAGACAGGGGTCTCCCTGTGTTGCCAAAGCTGGTCTCAAGCTCCTGGCTTCAAGCGATCCTCCCAAAGCACTGGGATTACAGGTGTGAGGCACTGCACTCGGCTTTTTATTTTATTTTTTAAGATGGAGTTTCACTCTTGTAGCCCAGGCTGGAGTGCAATGGTGCTTTCTCAGCTCGCTGCAACGCCTCCCGGGTTCAAGCGATTCTTCTGCCTCAGCCTTCTGAGTAGCTGGGATTATAGGCACCTGCCACTGTGCCGAGCTAATTTTTTGTATTTTTAGTAGAGACGGGGTTTCACCATGTTGACCAGGCTGATCTCAAACTCCTGACCTCAGGTGATCCACCCGCCTTGGCCTCCCAAAGTTCTGGGATTATAGGCGTGAGCTACCTGCACCTGGCCTACTCATTTATTTTTAATCACTACTTTAAATCCATGATTATCATTGTATTTAAAAGTGACTGTATTTTTATAAGAATTCCTATTAAAAGGAAAAAAAAAAAAAAACTACAGAGGCCAGGCACGGTGGCTCACACCTGTAGTCCCAGCACTTTGTGAGGCCGAGGCAAGAGGACTGTGTGAGGCCAGGAGTTCAAGACCAGCTTGGGCAACACAGACCCTACCTCTTTAAAACAAAAACAAAAACAAAAACAAAACCCTATTTTAAAAAATGCTCTAAAAGCTAAACTCTTAGTCAGAAAATAGAAAATGAGAGGAGGGCAAGAAAGCAATGACCTATCAACATTTTTATCCCAAAGTAGTCTGAAAGCCACGGGATAAGTAGGTAACTTTCACGTAAGCAGAGGTATTTCACACAAAGACCTTGCCTTGGAAGGCTCATCTCGCAGGGCTGCCAGCCGGCCTTTCTGTGGGCGCCGCAGCACTGCACTGGTGCTGTAGGAGTCTGTGTGGCCGTCTGCCATGGGGAACCTGAAATCTGGGACACTGCCCAAGTGGGGTCGGCTGAAACATGAAAAATAAGAATGATCATTATTAGAAGAAAAGAAAATAAACTCTCTTTTAGTTAAGGCAGAATCTATCAATTTGGAAAAGTTATTCCACACAGGAAAGGGTCTCCAGGGAGGGCACTGCTCTCATCTGCCCCAAGAGCTACATGTTGCCTGCTCCAGGCCAACAGTTTTAGTCTCTCAGCCCTACCAGGTAGAAAGCTCTCCAGGAAAAGCTGTGCAGACAGCCAAGGTGATGAGCCACAAGGAGCCCAGCTGTCTAGGATGAGAGAGACCCCTCCTCTGGGTCCAGGTGTCTGGCTCTGCATTTCTGCTCCACTTTCCCAGGGCTGACGAAAAACACAGCCACACGCCACTGCTGGCCTTCAACTGCTCTGCAATTGTCCCACCCGTGCCAGCATCTGTGGTGTGAGATCTTGGGATCTGTCATTCTGCTCTTACATCATCAGTGTCACACTCTGCTGGGCACCTAAATTAAGATATCCAAATATTAACTGATCAAAACTCCTCCTGTGTTTTGGAGTTTCGCCAATGATGTGTCTCCTCAGTACCAAGCTCTAACCTTTGAGTTACTTTTCTCTCTCGCTTCCTACTAAGCTACAGGCTCCTTGAGGTCACACCATTAGCCACATCCAGTTAGGCTGCCCACATAGCCAAGAACTGGCCTGCCACAGGTGCTGACAATATGGCTGCTCACTGGTTAATACCATACCCATGATGAAGTGAAGCACCTCTTAGTCTCATGTGGTCTAGTTCAGCCCTCAGTGCTTCAATGTTTAGGACAAGCTGATCCTACAGAAAAGCAAAAGACTTACATTACTGCTATCTCTTTTAGATTTTAAAACCACTTACTTCAAATGTGCTCAGATGTTGGGCATAACCCTAACAGGTTAAATCAGCAGTTACAAATACCAAACATTTTAATTCTGGGAAAATTTTCTCCAAGAGTACTGCAATAAACATAAACACTCAGACTACTATATTAACTTTGTAAGCCCTAATGAATGAAAAGCTGTGTCTTAGTCATAGAAAAGCTTTTCAGAAGATAAACACCAAATGATTAACAATTATTAGTTTCGTAGAGAAGCAGACTCTTTTAGAGGAGAAGGGGAACAATATTCACGTCCTGTGCATCTCTGTATTGTGTTTAATTGTCTTACATCAAGTATGCACCCATCCCTGTGTCATGGGTATACTTGATCTCATTTCTAGAGCTGTGCTGTCCAACACTGGCCAGACGTGGCTACTGAGCCCTGTAATGGGTTAGTCTAAATGGAGATGTGCTATGACTAGGAAATACACAGTGGAAAAAGAACGCAAAGTAGCTCACTTGTTTCTATTAATACATTATGAAATAATAACATTTTGCATATACTGAATTAAATAAAATAGATTTTACCTATTACTTTCTAAAATATGACTATTAGAAAATTAAACATTACATATGCAGCTCATATTATATTTCTGTTGGACAGCACTGTCATTGATGCTAATATTTTAGCTTCAAATAAACCCAGAAAGGACTCCGAATTCTGAACCATATGCATAGCCAGACTCAAAATCACCTGAAATACAAAGGCATTCAACATACAAGCCTGAGAGTGCTAGAAACTTATGGCAGTGGACTATGAGAGCCACAAACCAAGCTGCTCTCCACTGTCAGACATCTGCAGTAACTATCATCATCATCAACTCAGTTCAACTTGGCTCTTCATGGATTTAGAGAAGATTTCAGTACCTTATCGTGTTGTGTTTCTTCTAACTGCTTTTTTGCACTTTCAACTTCTCTTAAAAGAGAGTTCTGAAAAAAGACAGATAGTCCTTTAGTGTTTCTTTAAAATGTCCCATTTAAATATAGCATGGCTGTATTCGTTTAAAAAAAAAAAGGACCACACAAAGGGAACGGAGTAAAAGAGCACACCAGCAAGCACTGCTGTAGTCCCAGGGTTAGACCGTGAGGCGGCGACACCTTCTCTTATATCTCTTACTAATATATCTACTCCTCACCAACTGAACTTCCTAAAGGTAGGTATGTCAAGTTCATGGTGCAAGTTCATTTTAATCAGT
This sequence comes from Homo sapiens, assembly GCF_000001405.40. Taxonomy (NCBI): domain Eukaryota; kingdom Metazoa; phylum Chordata; class Mammalia; order Primates; family Hominidae; genus Homo; species Homo sapiens. The sequence goes on along the minus strand of NC_000011.10, from coordinate 70,337,098 downwards.
TAAACTGGCTTATACTAACTTTTAGGCTTTACAATTTCTTGGTCACTTGGGAAACCTGAATTTAAGTTTCAAATGCATAATTAAAATCAAAGATAAAAACACTGCTCCATTAAGGCTGACCCACTGATCAAGGAGGTGAGTGGGATAATGACTCTGTATGGTCTCTGGAAATGCCCTCCATGGTCAGCACCGTGTAAATAAACGTGTCATGCAATGAGCGGGAATCATTAGTCTCTCAGATGAGCAGACCCCAATCCTAACAACCAATCTCAGGGCAGTTTCTGAGTCCCATCGCTAGGGACACTGCACAGTCAGGACAGGCTTTATCAAACGGGAATCCAGCTGCTGCCCATTAGAGCTTCTCCGACACAGATTCTAGGATATCCCTTCGCTCTGGTGACAGCTAACATGTTTCCATGATGACAGTACTCAGAGTCCAGGCTTAAACTTTTTCCAAATCAAATGAAAAAGAACGAAGGTAGAGGTTGGAATATTTATTTGGTTTCAGCTGACTGAACCCTTTCTAGTACACGATACAACCTAAGTGACCTATTTATAAATGAGACAGAAATTAACTTTTTTTTTTTTTTTTTGAAACAGGATCTTGCTCTGTCACACAGGCTGAATGAAGTACAGTGGCGCAATCTTGGCTCACTACAACCTCCACCTCCTGGGTTCAAGCGATTTTCATGCCTTAGCTTCTCAAGTAGCTGGGACTACAGGCGGGTGCCCCCAGGCCTGGCTAATTTTTATATTTTTAGTAGAGATGGCGTTTGGCCATGTTGGCCAGGCTGGTCTTGAACTCCTGGCTGAAGTGATCTGCCTGCCTCAGCCTCCCAAAGTGCTGGGATTACAGACGTGAGCCACCACGCCCAGCCAGAAATTAACTTCCAATGCATGAATAATAAAGGGGTGAGGGTTGGGCCCAAAAAATGATCCTAGTGCAGGGGCTGGCAAACTAGAACCTGACGGCCAAAACCAGCCCACTGCTTGTTTCTACAAATGAATTTTATTGGAACATAGCCAGACTCATTCATTTACACGTTATTTATGGCTGCTTTTGTGCTAATGACTTGATTGGCATAAAATTATTTAATTACTCATAACTACTAAAAGCCTAAAATATTTACAATCTGGCCCTTTATAAAAACCACTTACCTACTCTCATTCTAGAGAATAAGAATGATAAACAATTTCCCATACACACAAATGGGGCATGGACTTAGCAAACAATAAGTTAATTCAGTGACTGGATAACTGTGCATACCTTTTCCACTTTAAAGAATAATTCCCATTTTCGGTAACAGCTGCTAACCACTGTTACACACGCCTGCTCAGGGGCAGATGAGCAATCTTTTGGCAGAGGGTGGGAAAGCTCCAGCATGTCCGTGTTATCTAACTTACCTTATCTTCCAAAGCAGCCATTCTCTCTTTAAGATGAAGTTGAAGCCTCTCATTAGATTCTGAAAGCAGCTTGTCAACAGTGTCTGATAAACGTTTATTATGTTCTTCGTTCATTTTTTCTCTTTGCCTTGCCTAAAGCAGGAGAAACAAAGTCTTATAAACCTCACGTAAATCCTCGATCATTATTTTAAAAGCACAAGGACCAACAGGGTGAGCCCCATGTGTGCCCTCCCCTCCCCCAGTTGCTCCCCACACTGCCATCTTGAGTGGACTTTTGCATGGTGACCAGAACCAACTCATGGACACAGGGAGCACGGGACAAGTCTTGGAAAGGTCATTAACTAGAAGGTCCCACTGCTCCTGCCACAGGACTCCTCAGGAATGTCACTAGTTGTTAACTGTCAGAGGGACTTAAGGAGCAGATTTATAGCAGATATTTAGAGGATGAGCCTGTCTCCACGCTGGTAGAGGAATTTCCCCTTGTGTAACTAAAAGCTTGGGTCTGGATTTGGGGAGGAAGGGTGAACTTAATTTACAAAGCAAAAAAGTTAAAAAGTTTGTTTTGGAAAAAAAAATTGTGCTAGAGAGACCTTCATATTTTTTCTTTATATCTTTATGTTGCTTAAATTTCTCGTAATGGAAATTTACATTCAAAAATTATAAATAATTACCTTAAGTAATTTTAATATGTAGTAACAAAACTGACATGTCTATTATTTTATAAAACCATAATCAAATTCATGGTTTAAAACCTTTGTTTCTCAAATGACAGGCAGAAAGGGACAGGAAGTGTCAGTAGGTGGCACCTGTCCAGGTGGCACCTCCATGCCCTCATCGCCCAAGTGCCCTTGCAGTGCTCAGGGGGCTCCTCCCAGGCAGGAGGCAATGGCACGGGGTTACGACGTGCACCCGAGTCATGCTGCCCAGGCAGGAGGAGACAGCCATGAGACCGCGCCATCAGCAGTGCATTCGAACCCCGTGCGCCCAATTTCTGCACTGGGAAAACATGGGTAGTGACCTCTCCTTTTCTCATAAGGTCTAACATGTAGCAACTATCATTACCTGAAAGGGTCCAGCACATCATGTGCCATACGGAGTATCGCATACTTCCTCTTGGGAAAGAAACAATATCCTTCTTTGTGCTTATTTTCCGTCAGCATTTAAATAATTTTTAAAGAACACAGCTTAAAGTTCACTGTTGTGTCTGTGAGCATGAGTGTGCATTTTGGAAGGGGAGGTGGGGACTGCCTAAAATGCACCCTCTCACTGGGAGTCGGAATCGTCGTTTCCCAGAAGCTCCTTTGATTCTCTGCAGGGCATGGCCAAGAATACAGATTTCTGGTGAAAACAAAATCTAGTAGCCTTAAATTAATGTTATAAAGTGGGCTGATGTGACGGTGCAAGAGTTCTAAAATTAGACGCTGCATGCTTCCTTTCTCCACCTACTTGTTAAAGAGAAATCTACCCCAAACCCCAGGCCTGGTACCAGCTGGCCCTGGGACTGCTCTTGCTATATCTTTTTCCTGGATGTTCCATATTGACATCCACCCAACTCTTTCAGGAAAACAATCTTAGGATTCAATGGACAGAAGTCTCCACTGCCACACTCCTTCCTAGTGCTTTTTATTGTAGCTCAATTACGGTGTTGCTCTTGCTTAGAAACATTCATTCCAACACGCCATTATGTTTGGAGTATTTTAACCTGGGACAGAGGTCAGGCCTCTGACCTGCATGTGGGAATTCAGTGCCATATCCTAGAAAAGTGGACTAGTCATTCAGGACAATGGACCTGCCTCTACATTTGCAGGGGGTAGGGGGGCCACGCCGGTACCACAGCTACCTAGAACAGTTCCCCTGATAGGCCGCTAGACAAGCAAGAAGCATTTTTGGACACCTGAAGTACTGCCTAGGATCTCAAATTTCTTCCGCAGCTCCCAATACTGACTGAAAACAACTACTGTGTGGGATGTACGCATTAGCAGGCGACTCACAGATGAGGGTGCAAAACAAATGCACGCGACCAGAACTGAGCTGGAGGACCAACATCTCAGTCAGGGGTGGGAGGCCCTGAGCTCCCCACAGCCGAGCAATGACCTTGCAGCACCCACTCAGCGCCCCCACCCTCAGGGCTGCATGCTCACCCGCTGCAGTTCTTGATTCTTCTCCTCCAACTGTGCTTCCATCTGTCGTAACCTTTCTTCAATGTTGCCGTGTCTCTCTTCAGCCTGTCAGCAGAAACAGCGTACGCTGACGTCATCCTTACACTTCATTAACGACATGCTGCATACCACTGCAGTGGCAACAGGCACAACATGCTCTGCGTGGGCTGCTCCGCCATACTAAATGGAAAGCATGTACTCATCCATCAACACAGCCTACGGGGCTTCACGTGCTGGGCCATGAGGTGGCTAGCCCTCTTGTGTTGGTGATTCTGAAGCATGGCTGCTGCTGGCGACTGACTGGGTGTTTTCCCCCCAACCCCTATGCCCAATCTCAATGGAGTCGTGATTCTCCCATCCTTGGACTGCTTCTGGTTAGTAAGCATGGAAAGCAGAAAGCAGCGGCAAGCACAAGCAAGGAGCAGTGCACCCATTCTACCTTCCTAAGCTTGGAAGTAAGTTCCAACAGTTTAGCTTCCTTAGCAGCAGAGCTCCCAGAAGACAAAAGGTCAGACTACAAAGCCGACAAGGGACAGGAAAGATAACAGGGGAGAAAAGAAATCGAGACTTTAAAAGCAGATCATGGAGTGGGAGGATAGGTTCTTACAGCTGTTAGCAACAAACTTGCTAGAAGGAACAGGTGTGTGAGCCCTAAAACCATCTGAATGGTCCAGAAGGATGCCCTCCCCAGCAGCTTGAAAAGCTTGAGCAAGAAGACTCAGGACGACAGACAGGGGCCTCAGCTCCTGCTGCTCGCCTGCCTGGCACTGCAGTGCTGGGCTCCCCACGCCCCAGAGGCTGGGTTTGTGCCCGGTGATGCGCTCCCTGGGTACTCGCCGATCCCAGGACCTATGACAGCATTTGCCTCTTTAGCTGCTTCCCTCATGAATGGGGAGAACTTGGAGGGACTGTGTCTTGCACATGCCTAGTCAACAGTTGTTGGACAAATGAATAAATATTACTTAAAAACACATTTTTAAGTAATTTCAAAATAATAAATATTACTTAAAAATACATTTTTAAGTAATTTCAAAATAATAAAATTACTTAAAAATGTGTTTATGAAGAATTTATCTTGATGGTGTTTTTAAAAGAACGGCATCTTCCTATTTCTGAGAAAAACTACCCTTCTTTTACAGAGACTTCTATCCTATGCTTAAGCTGGTGACCAAAACAATTCTAAGAAGCAGTAACTCTCAGATCACACATGCCGTGGACAAATAGTATACAGCTCACAAAACCAAGGTAGACTTCGGGATAAAAGGATCATGTCTGGCATTTACAAAGTGTTCCAATCTCAGATGAAAGAGCACTCAAACCAAATCCGTGCTCTTCCACGGATTTAGGTGCTGATGTAATAAGAACAGTGACAAACAAGGTACACAGGCAAGGCACAGTCACAGGCCTGGCAGCCGAACCAGAATGAAGCTCATGGCACTACCTTGGAAAGCGCTGCCACCCTCTGGGCCAGCTCCGCCTCCACCTCCGGGAGCGTCTCTGCCTTCCTCAGTGTCTGTTGCAGCTTTTGCTCTGCCAATTCCAAGCGCTCCTGTAACTGGCGGTTTTTATCTTCAGTCTATAAAATGAGAGCAAAGCATCAAAATGCAACAAATCTTCTAGCTGATCAGTTTTTAACAGATTGAAACAAACTGAAATGCAGATACAGACTAAGAGAGTCATGATGGAAGAGCTACAGTGATGGGAGTTGCTTCTGGGTCAGGTTTTTGTTTTTGTTTTTGTTTTTGTTTTTGTTTTTGAGACATAGTCTCGCTTTGTCACCCAGGCTGGAGTGCAGTGGCACAATCTTGGCTCACTGCAACCTCCACCTCCTGAGTTCAAGCAATTCTCCTGCCTCAGCCTCCTGAGTAGCTGCAATTACAGGCATGTGCCACCAGGTCTGGCTAATTTTTGTATTTTTAGTAGAGACAGGACTTCGGCATGTTGGCCAGGCTGGTCTTGAACTCCTAACCTCAAGTGATCCACCCGCCTCAGCCTCCCAAAGTGGTGGGATTACAGGTGTGCGCCACTGTGCCCGGCCTGGGTAAGGTTTTCTTGCTGCCAGGAGTACATGCCCACTTTCCTGGTCTTGGTTTCAATGTGCAAAACACCTCTTGTCAAAGTGTTTGCTTTTCCTAAATAACTTTTAAGAAGCTTTTTTTTTGTTTGTTTAAAGACAGAGTCTTGCTCTGTCACCCAGGCTGGAATACAGTGATACTCGTAATTACAAGAATAAGTATGGTTTACGAAACCACAGGAGACCCAATTTCTTACTACAGACTTCACTGCCTTTTTTTTTTTTTTGAGACGGAGTCTAGCTGTGTCACCCAGGCTGGAGTGCAGTGGCACAATCTCGGCTCACTGCAACCTCCGCCTCTTGGGTTCAAGCGATTCTCCTGCCTCAGCCTCCTGAGTAGCAGCTGGGATTACAGATGCGCGCCACCAAGCCCAGCTAATTTTTGTATTTTTAGTAGAGACGCAGTTTCACCATGTTGGTCAGGCTGGTCTCAAATGCCTGACCTCATGATCCACCTGCCTCGGCCTCCCAAAGTGCTGGGATTACAGGTGTGAGCCACCGCGCCTGGCCGCATTTTTTATTTTAGAGACGGGGTCTCGTTCTGTGGCCCAGGCTGGAGTCCAGTGGCACAATCATAGCACAATGAAGCCTTGAACTCCAGGGCTCAAGTCATCCTCCCTCCTTAGCCTCCTGAGTAGCTAGGGCTAAAGGCACATGCCACCATGCCCGGCTAATTTATTAATTTTCTGTAGAGACAGGCTGTTCTCACATTCCTGGGCTCAAGCGATCTTCCCACCTCAGCCTCCCGAAGTGTTAGAATGACAGGCATGAGCCACCGCATCCGACCAAGACTTCATTTGTCATACTATTCATGTATCATAGTGCTCCCACTTAGTTACAAATAGCCAATTGCCTTGAAGTTCTTTGCCACTCTCTGCTCCTTTGGTAAAAATGCTAACAAGCAATAGATTAACTTTCAATTACAACAAAAGAAAAAACTGAGGACAAAATTGGTTAAATCAAATCCTACGTAATCAAAACCTCTAAACTGAAGGAACTCCCACATGTCTTGAACATAATATTCTAAGGTCATAAAAACTTGATATTTGGACTTGATTTCCAACATGAAAGTGAGAGAAAAAGGGTCTTTAACTTCATTAATAATTAACTAAAGCCAGACAAAGGTCGATAAAATCCATTACCTGTCGATGCATAGAATCTTTATTTGCAATTTCATTTTCAAGTTTATCATTGAGGTCATGCACAGATGTGGCTTCACGCTGTGCAGCGAGGTAGCGTTTTTCAAGAGTAGTGATTCTCTCTTCCATATCTTCCTTTTGGGCCATGGCCTAAATTAGGTATTTCAGAGGGGACAAAAAAGTAGGTAATTAACGATTACACATTAAGATACTTAAGAGAGAAAAAAACTGAAGTAAATCCCAAATTTCCAATCAAATTAAAAATTAGCATCCTCAGGCCAGATACAGCAGCTCACTCCTATAATCACAGCACTTTGGGAGGCTAAGGCGGGAGGATGGCTTCAGGCAAGGAGTTCAAGACCTTGTCTCTACAAAAATATTTTATTTTGTTTTTTGAGTCAGAGTCTCCCTCTATCACCTAGGATGGAATGCTGTGGTGCAATCAAGGCTCACCACAGCCTTGACTTCCCAGGCTCAAGGGATCCTTCCACCTCAATCTTCCCAGTAGCTGGGACTACAAGCGCACACTCCTATATCCAACTAATTTTTAATTTTTTGTAGAAATAGAGGTCTTACTATATCGCCCAGGCTGGTCTTGAGTTTCCTGGGCTCAAGAGATCCTCCTTGGCCTTCCTTTGGCCTCCCAAAGTGTTAGGATTACAGGCGTGAGCCAGTGTCCCTGGCCAAAAACATTTTAAAGAAACAAAAATTAGCCACGCATGGTGGCACGCCCCTGTAGTCCCAGGTACTTGGGAGTCTGAGACAGGAGGATTGCTCGAGTCCAGCAGTTCAAGGCTGCAGTGAGCTATGATGGCGCCACTGCACTCCAGCCTGGGTAACAGAGAGAGATCCTGTCTCAAAAATAAATAAATAAATAATAATGTCCTCAAAATTAAATTGATGAAGATGTCAATTTTCTCAAATGTGAATGAAAATGTAACTACCTCAAATACCATAAATATTCACCTATACGATTAACAAAGACTTGTCTCTCTTAATACTATGTCTGGCCACTCAGTTGACCAAGCTTTCCTGTTTCTACATAATATTATAAAAATATATACACTCAAATATCTAAATATTTTTCAAGGAGGTGAAAGTGTCCTCAAAGAAGACGCAGTCTACGTCTGCCTCACGCTACAAATGGTCTCACACAGGACAGGGTGCGGCCTCTCTCAGTGGACACAGTAGTGAGATACAAGTCTCACTTTCTAGGATAAGGGTTGGATGAACTCTCATACAATTACAAGACTCAAGCATATTGACAAATGGAAACAGAAGTACCAGTTTAATTTAATTGGATGCAACTACCTGAAGTCTACAAGATGATTACTATACAGTTTCAAACACTTAAGGCTAGGACCAGAACTTTTTGCTTGAGAAATACCTGTCCTCCACCCCCAGAATTCACTATTTTCAAGTTGTTCCCTATTTATAAAATGACTAAAGTTAGCAAAGTCTAAATATTACAAGTGATAGGGGAAAAAAGCTCAACATCACCGATTAGACAAATGCCAATCAAAACCACAATGAGACAGCATCTCACACCAGTCAGAATGGCTATTGTGGAAAAGTCAATCAGTAACAGATGCTGGTGAGGTTGTGGAGAAAAAGGAATGTTTTCCTGCTCTTGGTGGGAGGGTAAATTAGTTCAACCATCGTGGAAGACAGTGTGGAGATTCCTCAAAGACCTAAAGATGGAAATACCAACCCAGAAATCCCATTACGGGGTATATACCCAAAGGAATATAAATCGTTGTATTATAAAGACACACGCACACGTATGTTCACTGCAGCACTATTCACAACAGCAAAGACAAGGAATCAACCTAAATGCCCATCAATGATAGACTCCATAAAGAAAATGTGGTACGTATACACCATGGAATACTATGCAGCCATAAAACAGAATGAGATCATGTCCTTTGCAGAGACATGGATGGAGCTGGCGGCCATTATCTTTAGCAAACACAGAAACAGAAAAACAAAATACCTCATGTTCTCACTTATAAGTGGGAGCTAACTGATGAGAACACAGGGACAGACAGAGGGGAACAACACACACTGGGGCCTATCAAAGGGTGGAGGGTGGAGGATAGGAGGAAGAAGAGGATCAGGAAAAATAACTAGGCTTGGTACCTGGGTGATGAAATAATTTGTAAAACAAACCGCCAGGACACAAGTTTACTTATGTAACAGACCTACACGTGTACCCCAAACTTAAAAGTTAAAATAAAAAATTAAAAAATAAAAGTGATAGGTCTTAAAAGAATTTCAAAATTCTCTGCATATTAATCTCTGCCACATAATCTCCTGCTGTAGCCAAAGAATAGAACCTTAGGTGACATACTACATGCAAATGTTCTTCCTGTGGTGAATTCCTACATGAAATTACTCAACGTCAAACTACCAAACTGAAAAGCAGACATTCAACGGTTGAGGCGCCTGACAAGGGACAAAGCGCAGGTTAGAAAGTGACAGGAAGGGCACCTGAGAAAGCACTCAGCCTCACTGTTTCATGATCAAATAGTTTCTCTCTTTTTTTTTTTTGAGACGGAGTCTCGCTCTGCCGCCCAGGCTGGAGTGCAGTGTCCCGATCTCGGCTTACTGAAAGCTCTGCCTCCTGGGCTCACGCCATTCTCCTGCCTCAGCCTCCCGAGTAGCTGGGACTACAGGCGCCCGCCACCACGCCTGGCTAATTTTTTTGTATTTTTTAGTAGAGACGGGGTTTCACCGTGTTAGCCAGGATGGTCTCGATCTCCTGACCTCGTGATCCGCCCGCCTAAGCCTCCCAAAGTGCTGGGATTACAGGCGTGAGCCACCACGCCCGGCATTCATGATCAAATAGTTTCTCACAGTTATAATGGCAGAAATATTTGTCAGCAATGAGTATATTGTGACATATTTTTGCTATACGATCCTGATGACCCATGTAGAAGCAAATTCCACTCTTGATTGTTTGACCATTAATATTCAACGCCACAAATTCCTTGAAGGAGCAGGTCAGAAAATGAGAAGACCGCCAGCAACGCCCCCTCCCACAGTTAAGAGACTATACTCACATTGCCCTACGTGAGCTAGCACAGCCAGTATCAATATCTGCTTGCTAAGTATGTGTGCAACAGAAGGCAATCTGAACATAAGAACAAATTAAGACAGCCTAGAAATTGCACAGATGAAGAATCTACAAACAAGGACATTAAAGAATATTAAAGCAGCACAGGTAGGAGAGGCCAGTGTGGCGTCCACTTCATGGCCATGTCAGTCAGTGGGACTAGTTCTCTACTTTGAAGAGCTCAGGGACAGGAGATTTCACAACAAAAATGGGGAGGTAGCTTATGGCAGTTTCACAGCACTCTCTCTTTTTCAATATAACTTATACAATAATCCAAAGGTTGAAAGTAATTGGGAGAGTAAGAGACAAACAGAGAAAAAAAATCATTTAACTAAAACGTCCCAAACATACAACTTCATGACAAGACTGTAGTTTTTGTTATTGCTCACTTCACGGACATCTCGTTGCAATTTTGTGTTCATTTCTTCAGATTTGATGAGATCTTTTCTAGCCGTGTCCAGATCCTCTTCCAGTTCTGTCACATGACTGGAAAGGGAAGCCAGGCGTTCTTTCATTTGGCTCTGTTCCCTTGACTGCTTACTTATGATTTCTTGGAGCTCAATTACTTTAGCAAGGTCTTCCTCGTGGCTTAAAGAACCATCAGAAGATCTCTGATAGGGGGAAAAAAAAATCCTTAAATACCCTTGTTTGGTGAGCTATAAAATAAAAATACTTCCAGGAAATAGCTAAAATCAAAACTGACTTATGCAATCTGTTGGATTACACAACTTTCATGACCACTTCAGCTCTAAGCCGGTACTTTAGCAACTGTTTTCCACATAACCCGACACATACTGTGAACAAATGAAATCAAACAGAATAAAGACAAAGCCTACAGACTTGCCTTTCCACTCGTGCTTGGTGTATTTTCTTGTTCATGGTTTATGTCCAGCACTCCATCTGTTAGAGTTTTTTTCTGATTATTCTGTTCTTTAAGAATCATTAGCTGAAAGCAAAAAATTGAATATGAGTGTAAAATACCTTACATAAGAGAAATAAGTAAAGATAGCAAAACTCCTTTTGGAAAAACACAACTAAAAACTGCTTAACATAGTATAAAAGAGAAAGCATATGGCAATGCTACCCAATCCGAAAATAACCAGATCATTGAAGATGGAATTTATTATCCACTGGCCAGACGAGTCCTTAGGTAACCATCATTTTGTAGTCCTTAAAATGACTCAGATAGGCTGGTCCTCAATTGGGAAGATAAGTAACATGTGATATGTACAACTACAGTCCTTATACTTCTTTTACTTTTTTTTTTTTTTTTTGGAGACAGAGTCTTGCTCTGTCACCCAGGCTGGAGTGCAATGGTGCAATCTCAGCTCATTGCAACCTCCACCTCCTGGGCTCAAGCAATTCTCATGTCTCAGCCTCCCGAGCAGCTGGGACTAAAGGAACATGCCACAACTCCTGGCTAATTTTTGTATTTTTAGTAGAAATGGGGTTTCACCATGTTGGTCAGGCTGGTCTTGGAACTCCTGACCTCAGGTGATCCGCCCGCCTCGGTCTCCCAAAGTGCTGGGATGACAGGTGTGAGCCACCACGTCTGGCCTTATGCTGCTTTTAATAATTAAAGGATAAAAATAACCCCCCCCCAATTCAACTCATGATGAAGTCTCAAGCTTACCTCTTTGTGTGTGGCACCTAATTCCTCTTCTAACAAACTACATCTTTCAAGTGCTACTCGTAATCGCTCTCTCACCTGAAAATAAAAGGGGTTGAGTTTGTGTGTGTGTGTGTATACTGTTTATTTTATTCTTAATATATAGTTAAGTGTAATATATACACTTAATGTATATATTAGTGTAATATAACATAATAAAATACCATTAATGTCTGTCATTGATCTTACTGTCAAGAAAACTTGTTAATGGCTCTAAATTAAGTTTCAGAAAAATAAATCTTCCCCCGAAATATCAGGTTGTTGCAAAAGTAATTGCAGGTTTTGCCCACAATTACTTTTGCAACAACCTAATACTACCCAATTTGTAACAGCAAATCAATATACATTAGTAATTTTAAGACATTTAAGCCAATTAGTACTTTTTAAACCTACAAAACCCTGTCTTCTTAGAGAAGTTATTTCCAAGAATTCAAGAAGCTTCAAAAAACAAAAGTTACACCAACACTTGTGAAGCTGGCCTAATACACAGCATGTGCACAAACCAAGACTTATGTGGCTGATGGCACCTTTTCATCCAGAGCTTTGTGGTGTTCAAATAAGGACTTCAGTGCTTTCAGCACTTCCACTTCGCTGGACACGCCTGCTGGAGACTGCGCTTGTCTCTTCACCACGGTCATCCTAAGAGACCGCTCATGCCTGGAGACAAGGCATTCCAAATGCTCTAACAGCAGCTGAAATAAAAGGCCAAAATAAAGACTTGTTAAACAGCATTTTTAATTTCATGATTGAATCTGGGGCAAATAACTCCTTTACAGTCTCATACTAAAATGAAGTCCCTTCAATTCCGCAGAAAAACAAATTCCTCTCAATTGTATTAAAATATCATAAATTCTCATCACAAATTTCAAGCCATTAATGTGTGATCATGCTGACTAATCACAGTCTGCTCAGTGGGAAAAGGTATGAAAAGTATTTCAGGCCAGACAGAGTGGGTCGTCCTTTCGTTTTGACACACCGCCCCTCCTCCTGACAGTGGCTCCAGGGGCAGGCAGTGAACAGAAAGGTCACACTCACCCTGGTGTTATTCCTTTCTGCTTTCAGTTCAGCAATTTCTTCTTCCCTTTCAAGGAGCTGTTCCCTGCATACATTGAGTTCTTTAGTAAGTGCTGCGAACTCCTAGAAAATCACAAAACAAAATTAAATAAATAAGAAAGACCCCCTAAAGAAAGCCTTTCATCAAGGCTCCACAGTCTTCACACAAAGGCAACCTCATTACAAGTTATGGGGAAGGGATCTCAGTGATCCTCCAGAGAAAGAGGGCATCAATGGACCACACAGATTCCCTAACAAATCACAACACTGACAGACCATCTGACTTCCCTCTATCCCTGCACCCTGGGACAAGGACAGCAGGGAAAGAAGGGGAATCCAAGTCCACCTTCTCAGCAGCCAGAGAAGTCCAAAACATTTTCCTGAACAGGATCCTGACATGAACTGAATGAAGACATTTTAAATGACTCACAGACATGTGATCTAGAGTTGCTGGAGAGAGAGGAAAGATGGCCTAGAAGGCCACCACCCCTGTCCTAGCCTCCTTTTCTTCCTTTTTCTTTCTGAGACAGGGTCTCATTGTGTCACCCAGGCTAGAGTGCAATGGTGTGACCATGGCTCACTGCAGTTTTGACCTCCAGAGCTCAAGTGACCCTCCCAAGTAGCTGAGACCACAGGCTTGAGCCACCGTGCCCAGCCTCTCTTCTAAAGTAATATTTCTTCTGCAAGAATCCCTACTGTGGGTAATCAACTTCTAGCATGACAGCACAAGAAGCTCCACTGACCTGCTTGCTCCCAAGGAAAACAGGTGAACATTGTAAGAAAACAACTGTTCTGAGACTCTGGAGATCGTTCTAAGGGTTCACAGCAAACAACTGAAAATTCAGTAAGAAAGGCCAGAGTCTGTTGTATTTGAACCAAGACTGCTCCCTGCCTCCCCTTTCCAGGTCAGTGAGGCAGCGACTCTGTTCCAGACTGCTGCAGCTGATAATGTAGTGCCCTCTCCCCCAGTTCCACCCCACCCCAGCTACGTGGTGCTGATGCTGCATCCTGGCTAGTGGAGTCATGGGCAAAGTGGGCCTTCCTACCTCTGTCCAGCCTCCATTCTGGAATGGAGGCTCAACTTTGAGTGTGGCAGGCTGAGAATACTGGGGGTCCTGATCAGCTGTGCCCTGGCTCTGTAAGACGGTAGCTGCAGGGCTGGAGTGACAAGCTGAGAGGGCCCTGGCTGCCGCCATAAGACCAGGGGCGTCATTCAGGGAGAAACGAGTTTGGTGACATTTAAACCTCTTTAAATGTTAGGGCACTAACATTTAAACCCTGGGCACTCTCTTTAAACCTAGGAGCAGTGGAGGTCCTAGTGAAGGCAACTGGAGGTGTGGGTTTAATGGAGGCACAGCCTGGACTGCGGCTGGCTAGTCAGCAGGGAGAGCTGGAGAATTCTTGCTGCAGGAGCCCTCCAGAGTAGGAACAAATCTCCTAAAATGACTTCAGAAACTGTTTCTTAGAATTAGCCACAATTTCACTGAATTGGTTTCTAATTATCCCAGGGCACTGCTGAAGACAACAGAAACATATGTGGGGCTCAGAACTGAGTGTGGTCAGAGAGAGTGGAAGACAGCAGCAGGGTGACTGTGGACACATCCAAAGCTGCGCCTGGCTGGGGAGTAACAGCAGAGGCTGAACACAGCGGGGGTGGGGAGGGGACACAAGCACATTCCACTACATGAATCTAGCATTCACTGAACTGCTTAAGCTGGCAAGTTTTATCTTAGTATATTTTATTGCAATTAAATATATATAGACATTATAAACATATTATACAGTGAGTTTTGGAGACAAGGCTGCTCCTGAGACCATAAAATTAGCTAAAGAACATGAATAGCTCTTCAATTCAGTATTTCAGTGCATACTTGCAAACACAAAGAAATGCCAACAATACTAATGAAGATCACCCAAATGTGGCTTAAAACCTGGTAAGGATCTGTAAGTGCTGAAACCTCTTCAGAGATCGAACGCAGCATTCAGAAGCGGGCTCCTGGGCTGGGCAGCGTGCGGGAGGAGGGTAGGGAGAGGCCGCCAAGTAGACCGGTCTTCTGTCCATGTCCTCCCACCAAGTTTGTTTTCCTTCCTAAGTTTCAGAGATTTCTTATGTGCCAATATTAATCATATCAAATACCGATTTACATCTCTGATAATTAACTCTAGCTGACTGTCAGATCATCTAATGGCTAACTTTAACGAAACACTGTCATCTCATGAAGGGGTTCGTACATGAGGAAAGATTATTTCTCTTGCAGGCAAAAAGCAAACAGACTCAAACTAGCTTCAGTTAAAAAGCCATTATTAGGCCAGGCATGGTGGCTCACACCTGTAATCCCAACAGTTTGGGAGGCCGAGGCAGGCAGATCACCTGAGGTCGGGAGTTCGAGTCCAGCCTGACCAACATGGAGAAACACCATCTCTACTAAAAATACAAAATTAGCTGGACATGGTGGTGCATGGTGGTGCATGCCTGTAATCCCAGCTACTCAGGACGCTGAGACAGGAGAATCGCTTGAACCCGGGAGGTGGAGGTTCCGGTGGGCCGAGATTGCACCACTGCATTCCAGCCTGGGCAACAAGAGCGAAACTCCATCTCAAAAAATAATAATTAATAAATAGCCATAATATGGCACATAACTGTCAAGTCAAAGTACAGAGTCGGCTACAGGCCTGCCTGAATTCAGGACCTTGAATTTTATCATTGTGCCCCTCCATCTTGTCCCTGTCATCTGGGTCAATTTTGTGAAGTAACTGCCAATCCACTAATTTTGTCTTTGACTATGTCTGGTCCAGAGTCTATCATCCTGGCTAATATCCTTTTCATTTACTAGATTTCAAGTTCTTCTTCCTTTTTCTTTTTCTTTTTTGGGTCATATCTTCTTACTCTTGTTTCCTTTTGGGCAATTTCTTGTTTGTTTTCATGGATGCTAATTTATCTTTTTAAGCATCTTAAACATACTTATTTTGACAGTTTTTGCCAGACTGTCCTTAAATTTCCGATGCAGTAAATGCACAGCTCTGTAAGGCATCAGCTCTGTGAGGATGTGTATTAGAGGTCTTTGAGCATAGAGGAATTGGGGTCTCGGGCTCATCGCGACAGAAGGTTTTCTGTTGCTGGTGCTCTCCTCCCTGTCTAGTGGCTCAGTCCATTCAGGCTGCTGTAACTAACTCCCATTACCTTTTAAACAACAGAAATTCATTCTTCACAGTTCTCGAGGCTGGAAGTTCAGAAGCAAGACATCAGCAGATTTGGTGTCTGGTGAGGGCCCAACTGCCAGCTTCTATGTCCTCACATGATGGAAGGGACCAGGGATCTCTATGGGGTCTCTTCTAAGCACATTATTCCATTCACAAGGAGTCCACCCTCATGACCTAATCCCCTCCCAAGGGCTCTACCTTCTAATACAGTGAAACCAGGGAGTGGGATTTGAGCATATGACTTTGGCAGAGCAGGGAACACAAAAGTATTCAGCCCATAGCACTAGTGTTCTGTGGTTGTTGCCCTCCAAGCCTTCCAAGGCCTCCGTCCAGAACTAGGTTTTCCATGGTGATGCAGGATTCTGTTGCGTGGTTATGTCACCAACAGTGCAGACCCTGGTAGAGAACCATGGAATAGCATGGCTCATCCCAGGCCTTGCATTCTACCTCCCTAGGACCACAACTGCCAGTAGAGCCCCAATCTGTATAGCAGAGAATTGCCTTAGATGGGGAAACCTTATCTAACTCCAGCTCCAAAAACCATCTAAGGCCAGGCATGGTGGCTCTTGCCTGTAATCTCAGCACTTTGGGAGGCCAAGGTTGGAGGACTGCTTGAGCCCAGGAGTTCAAGACCAGCTTGGGCAACATAGTGAGACCCCATCTCTACAAAACATAAAAAATTAGCCGGGCATGGTGGCACACACCATGCGTAGACCCAGTAGCATAGACCCGGCTACTCAGGAAGCTGAGACAGGAGGACTGCTTGAGCCCAGCAGGTTGAGCCGTGATCACACCACTGCACTCCAGGCCGGGTGACGAGAGCGTCTCAAAAAAAAAAAAAAAAAAAAGTAGCTACATCTAGTTCTAACTCCACTGAACACTTTAGTCCCTGTTACCCTTACCCCTGTAAGAACCCACTTTCCTACTGACACTGCCTGCTTGGAGCCTGCGGCTCAGTGGCCAGTGAAATCCAGTCAATTCAGGCTTACCATGCTAGGTTTCTAGTCTGTTTGTGTACTGAAGGGTATTTCTCTTGCTTGGTGGGCTGGCTATGCTTTTTGGTTTGTTTCTCTACTTAAATTGTACCTTTTCACTGTTGTGTTTGGAGGGGAGATGCATCAAAGCACAAGTGAGTGCTTCCACCTCGATCGGACGTTACAGTTCTTTCAAGAAATAGTGCATATCTCGTCTATGCTGGCCGCTGCAGCAACACAGAAACAGGGCCTGTCCACTCCTCAGGATGCTTTAAAGAACAGACAGACGAGCTGGCAGGAACCTCAGAGCAGTACGTGCTCTGGGTGAGAGGTGACCAGGATACTGCGGGAGCTGAGTTGAAGCCATCCATGATGGGAAGTGGGAGTGCTTCTCGGAAGGTTTGCTGAAGGACACAGCACTTGAATTGAGCTGAATTCTGAACATGCTGTATAGCCAGTGAGAGCCTCTTTCACAAAAGCAGAAGGTATCTGATAAGCAAGGGCTTCAGCAGGGCTGGGGCATGGGCAGCGTGTATGGAGGAAGCCGGTGAGGTCATAAGTGGGCAGCCATTCAGAGAACAACAGCACACAGCATGAAACCTGGATTTAATGTTGAAGGCTATAGAAATCACCTTATCTACAGGCTTTGAGGACTCTGAACAGAAAATGGGGCAAAACTGGTAAAGTCTCAGTCAGTCATTAGCATAAGGGATGTGCTCAAAATGGGTGTGTTGGAGCAATGAAAGGTCGCTGGAAGCACTGCTACCCCCGGGCTGGAGGAGATTAAGACTGGGAAATCAGCAGTGAGTTCACTGCAATAATCCCAGGGATTAATGAGGATCTGAACTAAAATCAATATTAGAGAAAAGAAAGAGCCTAAGTAAGGATTCTCATGAGCCGTGCCCTTCACCCGTTTTCAAAGGATTCCCCTGGATGCTGTCTTCAGAACAGCCTGTGAGAAGGTGAGGCCAGAAGTGGGGAGATGGGTAAGAAATGACTGCAATTATGCAGCAGACCAGGGTGGGCTCACCGCAGGTGGTGAGAAGCAGGGACTCTGGACCTGTTCACCACAGAGCCAGCAGGAGCTCCTGACAGGTCAAAGATCGCAGAGAAAGAAAGGCACGAGGATGCCTCCAAGGATTCTGGCGGAAGCAAGTGAAGGATGGAGTCATTGGTTCCTGAGAAGGGAGTGACTACGGGAAGAGTATGTTTTGAAGGGAAGGTGTAAAAGTTTGGGTTTGGACGTGCTAAATTTGAAATGGTTATTAGACAGTTGAGCGCAATTCACAGTCTGGAGTTTTTGGGTGTGTTGTAGAGACTGCAAATGGGGATAATCATTTTGTTCCATGCAAGTCAGTGAGGCCCTGGGTGGAGGGTGAGAAGAGATGGGGATCAAGCCCCCAACAGTCTCATTGAGGGGCATCAGCAAAAGAGGCTAGGAGCAATCAGGGATGAGGAGGAAAACCAGGAAACCCTTCAAGATCTTTGAAGATCCTTATTTCCAGGAGGATGATCAACTGTATTCACTGATGCCAGTGGATCAAATGAGCTGACTGATGCTTGTTGGTCGGACTTGCTGGAATGGAGATCGATGGTGACTGTGACATCTGCAGCATGCTGCAGTGGCGGGTCAAAACCCTCACTGGACTGAGTTCAAAGAGAATGGGAAGAGTGGAAGTAAAGCAGGGAGTACAGAAAATTCTTCCAAGGAACTCTGCAGTAAAGGGGAAGAAAAACAGTGCAGTGGCTGGAGAAGATATGAGGTCAAGAAAGACCTTTGCAGGATGAGACAGACATTTGCATAGTGAGGGCAAGAATCCAGTGGGGAGGTGGGAACTGATGAGTCCAGCTGAAAGCAGGTAAGTCAAGTGACTAAGAGGAGAGGCTGACCTTTTCTGGGGCACACAGATCACCCGCAGTAAAGGGAAAGAGGGCAGACGACATGGGGTGCGGGGTGCAGATCCAGAGGTGTGGTGGGAGTTGGTGGAACTTCTTTTCTGATTTCTTCCAATTTCACACAGAAAAAAACAAACACAATGTCATCATTCTGCATTTACATTTGGGGAAGATAGGAGAGGAGAAGGTATGAAATGGCATCTAGAAGAGAGGACGGGTAGGCAGCATGCCGCGTAGAAGAAAGAGGGCGGGATGCACTAACAGAGATGCTGGCGGCACTTAGGGCCTCTGCGGGTCAGTGGAGGTGAATGGGCATGGAGAACGGACTGAATGGGGTGGTTTCTGCCAGGTAAGCGCAATGAAGTGGAAGAGGCAAGGGAGCTGAAAGGCTGGCAGGGCTGGGAGGGTAATAATGGACCAGTAGGGGAGATGAAGAATCCTGACAAGGTGGCAGGGTCCTAGGACTGTCGGTCCCAGGAAGGTGGAATATCGGTGTTTTATTTTTAAAAGTCTATTATGAACAAATTTCGTCACCTTTAAATGAAAGCCCTAGTCAAAGCCTAAGTCCTCATAACAAGGAGGACCTGGAAGTGGAGGAAGAGCACTTCACAACTCGGATGATGCAAGAACCATGCAGCCTGAGTTACTACTGCACAGACCATCCATCCAGAAACAGGAAGGCTCCCACCTGGCCCCACCTTCACTCATGCACAAACCCCCCAGCACGCTGTCACTCTTCCGGCACCAGCAGCAAGCCTTTTTCTGTTTCATACAGTTTCCCTAAGGTTTTCCTAAGAACCCCAAACTATCCTCATTTCAACTTCCAGATTTTAGATTTGCCTCTAAAACCAAAGAGAATACAGGGAATTTCTATTATTTTGGTTAAATGTAAGTATTCCCAATATATTCAACTACCAAAACTATTCTATGGTATACTGCTGTGGCTACAGTAGAAAACGAATTCATAGACGTTCATGATTACTCCACTTAAAGAAAAAAACCTTTCTCTCTGCTCAGAAGAATCCAACAACTGAAAATATATCAAAGCAAATTTAAACTTAGCAGTTTAGGTAAACATTAGACGGGACATTCCAAAGTTTAAGATCCCAAAAGCATGTTCCTGTATGTACTGCTTGCATTATTATTGCAGAAAAAAAAATAGTAGGAACCCCAAATATGTGCAATAAATGATCTACCTTATTACATCAGAGGAATCTAATTGTCAGTGTACATTTTTTCCTATTTAGGAAAAAAAAATGTTAAGTTTAAAAATACTGTAAGTCAAATATATCACTAGTTTAAAGTGACATTCTATTTAATAATTAAAGTGTCAAGTATTTTCTGAAATAGAATAGATGCAATAATTACCGGAATATTTTCATTTAAAATATAAATCTGAAGAATGCAAATATGTATTTCTATTTGACATTATCTAGGATTGAGACAACAGAAAGTAACACTAAAATCAGCTAAAGAACTTGGTTTCACATAATGCCTGATAATGCTGATGTTTATCACTTCTGAACGAAAGGTTTAGATCTGGCTAACAGGTTCATATTATATAGACCAGACATTATTACTCAAAAGCCACAATCAGGTCAATTTCAAGTTAAGATCAGATGTGACATTTATTGCCAAAAGTGATCCATCTTTTCCCGTCATTCCGATGGCTTGAAGTAGCCCTATCGCCAGTGGAAAAGGGGCAGCAGAGCCTCATGGTCCCCACCCTCACGTGGGTGCCTGGGCCCTCTTCCCATCATCCCAATGCCTCGAAGTAGCCCCATCGCCAGTGGGAAAGGGGCAACAGAGCCTCATGGTCCCCAACCTCACGTGGGTGCCTGGGCCCCACCCCTTACCCTTTCCTCTTCCCGTTTTCTTTACTTGGCCATGTTACAATTCCACATCTCTTACTCTCTATAATCTCCTTCAATAGCTCTGTTTTGCTTTTTAACTGCTTTTCAACATTTCACTAACCTTTTGCTGAAAATGAAATAAAACTTCACTCAGTGGAATATTATTCAGCCATAAAAAGGAAGGGAAATTGGCAGGGCATGGTGGCACATGCCTGTAATCCCAGCACATTGGGAGGCCAAGGTAGGCAGATTACTTGAGGCAAGGAGTTCAAGACCAGCCTGTCCAAAATGGCAAAACCTCGTCTCTACTAAAAATACAAAAATTAGCCAGGCGTGGTGGTGCATGCCTGTAATCCCAACTATTTGGGAGGCTGAGGCATGAGAATCACTTGAACCTGGGAGGCAGAGGCTGCAGTGAGCCGAGACTGCGCCACTGCACTCCAGCCTGGGCAATGAGAGCCAAACTCTGTCTCAAAGAAAAAAAAATTTAAAAAAAAAGGAAGGAAATTCTGACACATAATACAATATGGGTGAACCTTGAGGATGTTGGGCTGAGTGAAATAAGCCAGTCACGAAAAGACAAAACACTGTAGAATTCCACTTATATGAGGTCTCTAGAGCAGTCAAACTCATAGAGATAGAAAATAGAATGGTAGGTGTCTGGACAACGCTGGGTGGGGAGGGTGAGATAGGGAGTTGGTGTTTAATGGGGATGGAGTTTCGGTTTGGGAAGATGAGGAAGTTCTGGAAATGTGTGGCAGTAATGGTTGCACAACAATGTGAATATACTTAATGCCGTGAACTGGGTGCTTAAAAATGGTTATGATGGTATTTTTATCTTACATGTATTTTACCACCAAAAAAAAAAAAAAAAAAAAAAAAACAGAAAAAAAGAACTTCACAGAAGGCAAAGTCTTGTGTCTTCTCAGTCAAAAAGACGTCTAATAAATGGACACAAGGACATGAGAAACCGGCATGCAGAGCTCACACTGTGATCTTCAGGCAGTAGAAGCTACTCGCCTCAGTCTAGGTTTAAAAGCATGTCAAATTTGAAATAAAGAAAATTAGAAGTTTATATATTAAAATGAATGAGCAAATCATGTTTTGAAACCCTGGTGCCACGATTAAAAGTATGCTAATAAACATCTATATCTATCTGCCCGTCAGTCCATAGATAGATGGCAGGGTGCACCACTCCTAATGATAAAAGGGGGACAGGAGGACACTAGAAAAGAAGACCACAAACTTCACATTTTTATAAATTTTATAAAAATTTGGTCTCATCATCTCACTGAATTCTAAACATGTTCAAAGCCACTGTGACTGAAGTAGCACTGGCTTTTCAATCACTGGACAATATTTGCGTATAACAGATTACATAAACATTTTTAAAGTTCCAATATATCTGATACGGCTGTGAAGCCACCCAAAATCTCGAATTATAATCCCCTAATTCCCATGTGTTGAGGGCAGGACCAGGTGGAGGTAACTGGATCATGAGGGCGGTTACCCCATGCCGTTCTCGTGATAGTGAGTGAGTCTCACGAGATCTGATGATTTTATAAGTGTCTGGCATTTCCCCTGCTTGCATGCACTCCGTCCTGCCGCCCAGTGAAAAAGGTGCCTGCTTCTCCTTTGCCTTCCCCTGTGACTGTAACTTTCCTGAGGCCTCCCCAGCCATGCGGAACTGTGAGTCAATTAAACCTTTCCTTTATGAATTACCCAGTCTTGGTATTTTTTCATAGCGGTGTGAGAACGGACTAATACAATATCTTATTTATTTTCCCTGTCAGTTTCTCTTTAAGAAATACATGCTGAAAAAATGTATGCCCAAACCTAGTATTTAGGGACCACATAAATATTGAGTTAAAAAAACATAGTACAGAACCGCATTTCCATATGATCCTATTTGGTTAAAAGCAAACACACGCTTTTATGTATTTTTCAAGTATATATAAGATAAAATATAGAAAGATACACACCAAGCTGCTGATGCTGGTTACCCACTACAGTTGGGAATGAGAGTTGGAAGTAAGATAATTTTTTTTTGTTTTAATTTTTAAGTCTGTATTGCTTAGTATTAAAAACAAAAAAGATCAGTCCTCCTTTCTGTCTTTCTAAACAATGCTAAACCCAAGGACATGACCAGAATACACGGTGTCCACATGGACACGTAACTTGTTCAGAAACTTTTCCCCAGCCTGGGTTGTCTCGGTCTTCAGTTCTGTTTCCTGGCCCCTTACTCACCACTGCAATTGTCTCCAGCGCCTGCTGCTTTCATGGCACTCACCACCTCTCCTCTGCTAAACCCAAAGGCCAGCTCCAGTCCTCATCTACTGGGTAGCCTCTGACTGTTCACCCCCATCTCTTCACCTCACCCTGTTTCCTGTCTGTCTATTCACAGAATGCTGGTGCTCCTGGGGTTCCACATTTCCGGTCTGCTGCTCACCCTATGCAGTGTGCCTGCCTGATCCGGCCGGTGTCCGTGGCTTCAATCACCTACCCTAGGCAAATGCCCAACCGCACTTTTTAAAATTTCTATTTGAGACACGACCTCAATCTCTCATCCAGGCTGGAGTGCAGTGGGGCAATCACGGCTCACTGAAACCTTGACTTCCTAGGCTCAGGTGATTCTCCTGCCTCAGTCTCCCAAGTATCTGGGACCACAGGCATGCGCCACCATGCCCAGCTAATTTTCTGGAGAGATGGGGGTTTGTCATGTTGTCCAGGCTGGCCTCAAACTCCTGGGCTCAAGTGATCCTCCTGCCTCCACCTCCCAAAGTGCTGGGATTACAGGCAAGATATCTTGGAGGTTCAAAAACCTTTGTCCACACTGAGCTCATCATCATCTTCCTGCCCAAGCTCCCAACTCCTCATAAGCTCTCACGCAGTGGACATCAGCATCCAGTTGTCCAAGTCAGACACTGAGACATCACATCGCCTCCTCCTCCACAGTAACCACTGGCTGAGGACCCCTCATTCGCCCTCACACACATATCTTCTAGAACTGCCCACTCCTCTACCTCCTCGCCCCAGCTTCCTTTATCCAAGCCACTGTGTCTCCTTGGTCTACTAAAAAAGCTGCCTAACTCATCCCTGCCTTCAATCTTTCCCCGCTCGGATCCATTCTCTATGTTTTCCGAAACAAATCAGACTCTGACTTTCCTGCTTAAAATCCTTCAGTAACTTCCCATTGCCCTTAAGGTCAAGCCCAAAGCCCCCCTAATAACTTCTAACCCAAATGAGAAGTCATAACACACACTTCTGTTGCATTATCTGCCAGACATTGTTCTAAGCACTTAACATGGATTGTCTCATCCAGACCTTGATACTCTATCAGGTGACACCATGAGCACACAGAAGAGAGGTCAGAGTGGCCGCTCTAGAAGTCAGCTCCGCCCATTCTGACTCCAGCGTCTCCCTCCTCACCTCATGCCTCACAGCACATCGGTCACAGCAATCTACAGCTCGCTCAACATGCCGTCTGTTCCTCTGCTGGCCCTCCACACCACGGTTGTTCCCTCTGACCTCTGAAGCTGCCACTTTTCCCTGACCAGCTCCCACTTACCTGATGTTCACAGCTTGAGGCCATTTCCTGCAGAGGCCTCCTCTACTTCCCACGTGGGCATGGACAGGTCCCCTTGCTAGGTGGTCACACCCGCCCCCAGCCCCGGCATTCCTCACTTCCCGGCTGCATGTCCAGCTGTCTTCCCCACTCTACTCTGAAAAGCAGAAGCCCAGACCTGTGACAAAGTGCTGGGCACCCAGGGGGAACCCAGTCAATGTCCGCAGCCCAGATGATGGCAATGGAACCAAAGGCACACCCATTCACAAAACCAGAATGCTGCCTATCAGGAAAAATAATGCACTGCACACCTGGGCTCTCGAGTTAGCAAAACACGCAGGCTCCACGATGTTGAGGCGGCACAGGCAAGACGGGAAGTACAGACTGGCTGCACAGTAACCACCTGTGGAGCTGATTCAAATGCAGACTCCTGGGCCTCACCTTGCTGAATCAACACTCCTGTAGGGGGAACCAGGAAGTATATATTTTTTAAATGCTAATTCGCTAGCTAGGCATAGCGGCTCCTGCCTGTAATCCCAGCACTTTGGGGGGCTCGGGTGGGAGGATCATTTGAGGCCAGGAGTTTGAGACCAACCCAAGCAACATGGTGAAACCTGGTCCCTCCCAAAAATACAAAAATGATCCAGGTGTGGTGGTGCGCACCTGTATTCCCAGCTACTTTGCGGGCTGACGTGGGAGCCTCACTTGAGCCCAGGAAGTCAAGGCTGCAGTGAGCTATGATCACACTACTGCACTCCAGCCTGGGCAACAGTGCCCAGGGCAACAGTGCTCAAGGCTGTTTTGAGACCCTGTCTCAAAACAAATAAAAAAAGACAACAAAATGCTAATTCACGGCCAGGAGTGGTGGCTCACGCTTGTAATCCCTGCACTTTGAGAAGCTGAGGCAGGCAGGATCACTTGAGCCCAGGAGTTCGAGCAGCCTGGGCAACATGGTGAAACCCCATCTCTAAAATAGAAATATAGAAAATAGCCAGGCGTGGTGGTGCATGCCTGTAGTCCCTGCTGCTCGGGAGGTTAGGTGTGAGGACTGCTTGAGTCCAGGAGGTTGAAGCTGCAGTGAGCTGTGTCTACACCACTCTATTCCAGCCTGGGTGACAAGGTGAACCCTGCCTCAAAAAAAAAAAAAAAAAAAAAAAAAAGCTGACTCACTGTCCTTCCATGTTTGAAACAAACTGACCCTTCCAACCTCAAACATGTCACTTAAGTTATTATTCCTCTTGGTTTATGTATCCACAAAATGTGTGCAAAGACAGCTACACTCTACCCATGGTCCACAACCGTAACAATCAAATGGGAAAACCATCAAAAGTGCCATTCAACTGAAAGGCAGTATCGCCACCAGCCCTCTAACCCAGGAGAGCAGCTCGACAGGTGTCCCGCAGCCCCTTCCACATTAACACCTCCTCTCTGTCTGCTCCTCAAATGCAAATCCTTGGCCTGTGATGGACTGGTTGATTTTTGCCACATGGCTAAAATAAAGTTACTTAATATCTCAACTGTTAATTCAGTTCTTAGCAGTACTGTTAACAGTTTGAAGAAAGCAGTTGTGTGCATTCCGACGCATGAAGTGGAAAATGATCACACACGCCCTCATCACTGTCAGTCTATGGACAACTTTCTGGATTTCTAGCCTACCCTGCACCTGCCTTTATCTTTTTTTTTTTTTTGAGATGGAGTTTCACTCTTGCTGTCCAGGCTGGGGTGCAATGGCCCAATCTCGGCTCACCACAACCTCCACCTTCCAGGTTCAGCGATTCTCCTGCCTCAGCCTCCGGAGTACCTGGGATTACAGGCATGCACCACCACGCCTGGCTAATTTTGTATTTTTAGTAGAGACGGGGTTTTTCCATGTTGGTCAGGCTGGTCTCGAACTCCCGACCTCAGGTGATCCGCCCACCTCGGCCTCCCGAAGCCTTTATCTTTGCTAACAAAAATCCTCCAAGAATGTCTGCATTCTCTGCCTTTGCTTCCTGGGTGCTCACGGCCTGCCTTCCTGCCTTCACTGCTCACAAACTGCTCCCAAGGGTGAACAACCTTGAGCGCTCCTAAGAACCAGTGTGTCCTCGGCCTCTCTGCTCTCCCGATACTGGGTCCTTGGCCTGTGGATGGACGGCAAACAGCACTTAGCCCTCAAACCTGGTCCTGTCTTCCAGAACTCGTTCAGTCTCCGTTAAATGACAAGGAGCTCACCACTACCAACCGCAGCTTGAACTTAACAAAAACAGAGTGGGGTTTTCATTTGGAAGAGAAAAAGAGGAAAAAAGCCCTTAGTGCTTTTAGAAAAGTACATGGGGCCGGGTGTGGTGGCTCACGCCTGTAATCCCAGAACCTTGGGAAGCTGAGGCAGGCGGATCACGGGGTCAAGAGATGGACATCATTCTGGCCAACATGGTGAAACCCCATCTCTACTAAAAATACCAAAATTAACTGGGCGTGGTGGCGCGCACCTGTAGTCCCAGCTACTCGGGAGGCTGAGGCAAGAGAATCGCTTGAACCCAGGAGGCAGAGGTTGCAGTGAGCCAAGATTGCCCCACTGCCCTCCAGCCTGTCGACAGAGCAAGACTCCGTCTCAAAAAAAAAAAAAAAAAAAGTACATGGATGAAATAAAAATGCACTGTGCCTCTCTCTTAACTTCTGGCTTAGCAACTAAGGAGGGTGCATTTGTGTGTTTCTAAATGTCAAATCAGTATCACTGAAGGTCAAACCTGAGAAACCTTAATTCAAGACGTGGTCTCTTCACCAGCTACAGTGGCATTGCCAGCCACTTTATAATAAACACAATTTATAATCCATCTGGTCCGTCAGCTCTGAAACTATATTATCCTTAATGATTTAACTTGTTTTTTGTTTTGACTCTGAAGGGAGTTGCATTACTTCATAGTAACTGAAATACTGATGTGAATATACATTCAAAAAATTTATGACCATACTGCTTTTATGTTTTAAAATTTTTGTCAAGATAAAGGTCACATAAAATTCTCCATCCTAACCATTTTAAGTGTACAATTCAGTGGTTTTTAGTATATTCACAATGCTGTGTTACCATTACCACTATCTAATTCAAAACATTTTCGTCACCCCCCAAAAAAACCCCATACCTATCAGCAATCACCACCGACCCTCCCTCCCCTCTCCGCCCTAGGCACCCACCAATCTGCTTTCTGTCTCTGTGTATCTGCCTGTTTCGGACATTTCACAGGAATGGAATCATACACTATGTGGCTTTTTGTGCCTGGCTTCTTTCACTTGGCATAGTATTTTCAAGGGTCGGACATGTTGTAGCATATGGTAGCTCCACTCCTTTTTATTCCTTTTTATTTTTTGGAAAACTTTTTTTTTTTTAGGCAAAACTGGGATTTTTTCATGGGAGTTTCTAAGTTTTGCTTCCTGTACTTTTATCATTCTGCTAAGAGCAAACCAAACTATCTTTGGTTGTTGTTAGCATTTCAATACTTAAACACATATAATTGCATAGAATAAGCAAGCAAGACAATTAAAAATATTAGCAGCCAGGCATGGTGGCTCATGCCTGTAAACCCAGCACTTTGGGAGGCCAAGGCGGGCAGATCACCTGAGGTCGCAAGTTCGAGACCAGCTTGACTGACATGGAGAAACCCCCGTCTCTACTAAAAATACAAATTAGCCAGGTGTGGTGGCACATGCCTGTAATCCCAGCTACTCGGGAGGCTGAGGCAGGAGAATCGCTTGAACCCGAGAGGCGGAGGTTGCGGTCGGCAGAGATCGCGCCACTGCACTCCAGCCTGGGTGACAGAGCAAGACTCCATTTCAAAAAAAAAAAAGTTAGCATGTATGTTTCAAAACAACCTGAAATATTACTGAGAATGTATATTTCATATACTTCAGAATTCAAGTATATATTAGTAAAAAAAAACCCAAAGAAAATACATTCTAATTAACATGTTTAAACAGCCTGAGGGGAGGGGCAGAATCAAACCAACAAAATAAAAATAAATAAAGGGCAGAAACCCTTGATTCCAACAGAAATGAAAGCCTTCTACAATCACCTTTTTATTCTTACATTTGTTTATCTCTTCGAGAGAGTCTCGCCCTGTCACCCAGACTGAAGTGAAGTGGCACAATCATAGCTCACTGCAGCCTCCAACTCCTAGGTTCAGCCTCCCAAGTAGCTAGGACTACAGACGTGCACCACAATGTTCAAGTTGGGTTTTTTTGTTTTGTTTTGTTTTGTTTTTTTAAGAGATGTTATGTTGCCCAGACTGGTCTTGAACTCCTGGCCTCAAGCAAACCTCCCACCTTGACCTCCCAAAATGCTGGGATTACAGGCATGAGCCACTGCGCCCAGCCTCTGCGATCAATTTTTTAAAAGAATATTCACTTAAGAGTTTCGGATACATTTAAAACACTAGAAAATAACAAAATACAAACATATGACATCCAGTTTATATTTATAGTATTTTTCAAAGTTCCCAATAGAGCAAGTATGTGACTTTTGGCATTGATCATGCTTACAGGAATATAAAATATTTTTCAATTTCAAATATTTAATAGACCTATGCATGTGCCAAAAAATCAATGAATCATAAACTGTCTTCAAAGCATGAAATCAGAAAATGCCTGTTTGAACTTGACAGTCTAAAGCCATCACTGGCCAGGCGTGGTGGCTCACACCTGTAATCCCAGCACTTTGGGAGGCTAAGGTAGGCAGATCACTTGAGGTCGGGAGTTTGAGACCAGCCTGACCAACATGGAGAAACCCCGTCTCTGCTAAAAATACAAAATTAGCTGGCCGTGGCGGCACATGCCTGTAATCCCAGCTACTCAGGAGGCTGACAGAGGAGAATCGCTTGATCCCAGGAGGCGAAGGTTGCGGTGAGCCGAGATCGCACCATTGCACTCCAGCCTAGGCAACAAGAGCAAAACTCCATCTCAAAATAAATAAATAAGCCATCACTAAGGTCAGTGTATAACCCATATTTCTAAATACATTTTGGCCCTAACAAGGTTTAAAAACAGTGGTAGCAGCAGCAAAGGAAAGGGGATTAGGACAGAGCTTTTTTCTTTGCTTTTGGAGACAAAGTCTTGTTCTGTTTCCCAGGCTGGAGTGCCGTGCTGTAACCATGGCTCACTGGAGCCCTGAACACCCATACTCAACCAATCCTCCCACTTCAGCCTCCTAAGTAGCTGGGACCACAGGTGCACACCATCATGCCCAGCTAATTTAAAAAAAAATTTTTTTTGTAGAGGTAAGGTCTGTCTATGTTGCCCAGGTTGGTCTTGAACTCCTGGCTCAAGGGATCCTCCTGCCATGGCTTCCCAAAGTGCTAGGACTACAGGGGCGATCACACCCAGCCTAACAGACCTTTTTCTTTCTTTTTTTTTACACACACCTTTAGAAAAAGTACTTAATTTTTTTGGATCAGTAATAAAGGTGTATATAGAGAAATCTCCCTTTCAGCCCTGTTCACTCTTCCACACAGTAGGTAACTAAAGTTGTGCCTTTCCTGTTTATCTAGAGATTTTTTAATGCATATATGAGCAAATCTATTCTTTCGCCCTTGCTTTTCTTCAGTTAAGGATATTTCCATATCGGTGCATAACATCCTCCTCCCTTTTTACAGCTTCCTGGCATACAAAGAATATGAATCATAATTTAACTGTTCAACTACTGATGAGGTTTATGTTCCTGCTTCCAATCTTTTGCGATTACAAATAATATGGCAATGAATAACCTTGTAAATACATCATTCTATACCTGTGCATCTATACCAGTAAGATAAAACCTTAGAATTTCTGGGTCAAAGGGAATTTGTAATTTAAAAGATACTGCGAAATTATCCCCAGTAGGCCAGCAACATAATAAAATGCTTGTTTCCTTGTGGCTTACCACCCTGGTGTGTTATTAAACCTTGAGGTTAATTTTCCCTTTTTTCAGATCCATTCTCCATTCGCCATTGCCTATCATACAGGAATCTCCAAAATCTCTTCATGTACTCAACTGGGTGCATGTCTGGCCATCTGCTGGGAGAGGTGGGAAGCAATATGTTTTCTGTGATACCCTGTTGCTCCTCTGAGTCTGTCATGACCCAGGGAAGGATTCTGACGTTTCACTGGAAACAAAGAAGGCTCAGGGGTTTTTTTGTGAGATTATAATACTTCCTCATTTTCTCCAGGTGACAATCTATAATATGAATGGCATGTTATCTCTAACTTCATTATTTACCTTTTCTCTTATTACGTATAAATGACTGGTCTGCTTTTACCTATCCTAACACATTTTTATCCAGCAGAGTCACCTCTTCTTTTGTGTTGCTATATTCTTCTTTGTAATAGCTTCTGACAATCTTCTCTTAAAGCCAAACATTCGTTATCAGAAAGTACACACATCGGGCCTTATGCCTTCTAGGGTTGTCATGCCCAAGCATTTATACAACAAAACATTTTACTGTAAACTAATTTCCCCTTATTTATTTTACATCACAATTGAGGCATTGTATTGATTTTTCTAAAATTATGTGTTTAGGTAGGGTTTTTTTATGAATGTCATTTTATGATAAAAATTATAATTTAAAATACTATTAAAAGGAGACACCAGATTGCTCTAAGCTATCCACTTAGAAATGAACCTGCTGCGTCAAAGGGTTACGTACTTTAACTATCAATGTTTTTAATGTTATAAATTACAGTGTATTTAATCAATGTTTTACTGCTTGTCACTCCCCTATACGTTTACAATTTACAGTAAGAGATTTTTGTGCCTTAACAAAAAAAAAAATTAAAGATCACAAGCAATCCATTTCTCCATTGACGATTAAGATTGCTTCGCAAGTAAGCGTGCATGTGTGCGTGCATGTTTTACTCCAAAAGAAAAAGGTCACTTTGCACCAGTTTGCCCCAAAAGGCCATTTTTCTAGTCCCACAGTACCACCATGCAAAATGAGGGCTGCCTTACTATTTCTAAAAACAAAACATTACTTGAAAAATAATCCATTTATTTTGTTCAAATGTCAGCACAATTTCTCCGTTTTGAATTTTGCTTTTTTAAACCTCCCCATGGCAATAAGGGGTAGATTAAAATACCCTATTACCTAACAGTATAAATAACCATAAACTTATCACTAGTTAGCTTGATATTCAAAGTATTACTTTTACTTAAACATTACATGTATCCTAACATATGCCCAAATATAAGCCAATTTTGAGTGAGAACCTCCCAATTTTCCTATGAAGGAAACTACCAATAGAAGTTTTCTGGCCACTTTAGAATGTAAATTAGTCAACTGTGAGTCAAATTCAGTCCTACATTTTTATTAGAACAAACAAATGGGGCCAGCCTCAGGGGCTCACGTCTGCAATCCCAACACTTTGGGAGCTGAGGCAGGCAGACTGCTTGACCTCAGGAGTTCGAGACCAGCCCAGGCAGCAGGGTGAAAACCCATCTCTACAAAAATTAAAAAAATAGCCAGGCGTGGTGGTGTGCCTCTGCAGTCCCAGTTACTTAGGAGGCTGTGGTGAGAGGATCGCTTAAGCCCAGGAGGTCGAGGCTGCAGGAGCCGTGATCATGCCATTGCACTCCAGCTTGGCCAGAGTGAGACCTTGTCTCAAAAAAAAAGAAGTAAAATAAACAGATGAGTCGGTGGGTTGGTAGGTCAAACTGTTTACTCTAGTTGCATGCTAAGTTACTGTATCTAACAAGCCAATTTCCCACCTAGAGTTCTATCACATGCATTTCAAACATTTCCAAGAAATTCTGAACCTATGTTTTCTCCCCTTTTTTTGCTGTGGCAACTGTCACTCAGCTTTTGGTGAGCCATTTGGGCATCAATTGACACGACCATTTGGTGGCACTGCCACATCCTTGCCTTGGAGAAACAAAGAGTCTGCTCTGCCTGCGGGACACTAGGCCACTGGCTGCCACTCTGTCACTCACAAACTGCCACCATGCTCTGGAACACGGTGGTCATGCCTGGTGATGCTGGCAGTGATGGGACAATCAAAACATGAAGTAAATATATGCAGGTGACAGGAGGGGTGCCAGTGTCTCAGGCACCTTGAACTTGAGAAGGGCAGGGCACTTGATTAACATCCCCACTTCTCTAGTAAAATGAGGGGGTGCTGACCTCCCTGGCTAATGAGGATAGGAAAAATCAAAGTGTTTTCCCTACTTCCACACACACCACCACTGCTGACACCAGATGTCGGGGGTGTAAAGCAATTCTGCCGCTGTGTGCCTCTAATTCCATGCAGTTCTGCAGCTGTGTGCCTCTAATTCCATGCAATTCTGCACTGTCCAGCTGGAGAGTGTATCAATCCCACAGGGTAAGGCTCAGTCCCACAAGACCACTCCCCCAGTCCTTTGCAGGTGCCAAGTACAAGTCCCAGGTTGTGACCTGTGCTTCTGACCAACCAGCTATGAATCAGGGTTCCCATGATACCCTTCTCGGGTTCAATTAAATTTGCTGCAGCAGCTCACAGAACTCAGAGGAGCACTTTACTTACATTTACCCATGTATTATAAAGGATATCACAGGCTGAGCATGTTGGCTCACATCTGTAATCCCAGCACTTTGGGAGGCTAAGACGGGAGGGCTGCTTAAGGCCAGGAATTTGAGACCAGCCTGGGCAACATAGTGAGATCCCATCTCTAATTTTTTTTTTTTTAAAGGCTATCACAAAGGACCCAGGTGAACAGCAGAAGGAGAGATGCACAGGGCAAAGTATGTGGGAAGGGGTGCAGAGCTTCCATGCCCTCTGAGGGCACTACCCTCCAGAAACTGCTACATGTTCAGGAACCCAGAGCCCCCAGAATCCTATCCTTTTAGGGTTTTAGGCTTTGTTACATAGGCATGACTGATTAACATCATTGGCCACTGGATAACCCAACCTTCAAACAGAAGCTAGGGCATGGAGCTCAAAGTCCTAACCCTCTAATCCTGCCTAGGTCTTTCCAGTGACCACTCCTTTTTTCTTTTTTTTTTGTCTTTTCTTTTTTTGAGACGAAGTCTCGCTATCTCCCAGGCTGGAGTGCAGTGGCGCGATCTCAGCTCACCGCAACCTCCGCCTCCTGGGTTCAAGTGATTCTCCTGCCTCAGCCTCCGGAGTAGCTGGGATTACAGGCACACACCACCACGCCTGGCTAATTTTTGTATTTTTAGTAGAGACGGGGTTTCACCATGTTGGCCAGGCTGCTCCTGAACTCCTGACCTCAAGTGATCCGCCTGCCTCAGCCTCCCAGAGTGCTGGGATTATAGGCATGAGCCACCGTGCCAGGCCTCCAGTTACCAGTCCTTACCTTGAGGCTACCTAGGGGGTAGCCAGTCACCAGTCACCTGATCAGCACATAAGGACACTCTCAGTACTCCAGAGAGTCCAGGAGCTTGAGAAGCTCTGTGCCAGGGGCCAGGGCACAGACCAAATGTACATCTCTTCTTATGCTACAATATCACACTTGGCACCGCTCAGGAATGGCTTTAGAGTTCACAGGTAAGCAATTCTCCAGAAAAACCTTAGGGTATGCACAAGCTTTCCCTGATTTCATAACAATTGTAGTTAGCATTTTTCAGGCTCATATTAGCAAGGAAAGCCACAAGCAGCTTTTACATGTAATTAAACAATCTGCCAAACTTTTTCCGTGACATTTATTAAATTGGAAATGTCCCAGATGTGTGTGAGTAAGCATTCTGAGACCGCTTTCCAAGACTTGTCAAGGTTCTGCAGACAGGACTCGGTATATTCTGCTAGACCAAGTGCTACCGAAGAGCAGCACTCGAACACGCGGTAGGGCTGCCCGACACTGCGTCAGACCGGGGTCTAGAACCACAGTGCAATGCTGAAAGAATGCAAGGTACGCCAACTGAGAACGCTGGCCAGTGTTTTAACAGACATGGGAGACCACAACTGAAAACTCAAGCCTCAGCATACGCAAGACCAAGGAAAACTGGGCTGCCACTTTCCTTTCAGCCTGTGACATGGTCTTAGAGATGTCAGGTCAAAATTGGGAAGTTTGCTAATTTAATAAACAGGTATCTCAGAGGAATCAAAGGTCTACGTATAAAGCTGTAACTGAAAGACGCCTTATTAGGGATTTCTTCCTGTGGTGTGGTGGCACAAATGTAGTCCCAGCTACTTGGGACACCGAGGCAGGAGGATTGCTTGAGCCCAGGAGTTCAAGATCAGCCTGGGCAACATACTGGGATCACATGTCTTTAAAAAAAAAAAAAAAAAAAATGGTGTTGAGAGTATCTACGGCTACATTTACATTTACATTCCTGATATTCTGCTGATGAGTCAAGAAAACACAACACTCTAGTGTTCGAGACCATACAGCTAAGGCTGAATGTATAAATATAAATGGACTTGTTAAAGCTTTTGATTCTGTCTCATGCAGTTTTCTTAACAAGCATGACATTGCCTACCAGAAAACGACATAACTGACTGGCAGAAATGATAAAAAGAAAGGGTTTATTGTCAACCAAGGAAGCGTCTCAAGTGCCCTGTCTCCAGCTCACAGCTCTGTTGCCGCAGTGTGCTCCCTCTGCCCGCCCAGACTCCACTGCCCATCTCCATCCTCCCACGAGGCTCTCAGAGAATGCACTCCAGCCCTGGATAGCCACCTTCCTGTGAGCTCACAGCCCTCCATGCCTTTCCTGTTTCCTGGTCAGCCACCCTTCTCCCACTGCTCCCTGGGGAAGCATCCCCTCTAAGGACCAGTGTGGCTGCCCCACCCTACGAAGCTGCTGGCTGCTCCCTCCTCCAATCGAGCCTCTCTTCCCACTGCTGCCATCCCCACGATCCCCTTGATGCTGAATGGGACCTCACAACCCTCAGTTCAACCATTCCCCCTCCTCTGGGAAGGCTCTTCTGGCCCCTGAGGGCAACCTGGCCAGCTCCTTTCCTGTGCTATGCTGGATTCTGTCTACTGTGCCACTGCACAGCCACCGCTTCACTGCACTTTCGTGAGTCCACTTAGACTCCATGCTTCCCAGCTGAAAGGCTGTGCCCATCACTGTTAAAACCCCAAGCCACAACAAGGAACCGAGCAAAGCAGCCATGTTCACACGGTCACTGCATATGGAATTAACTGAGTAATACTGACAGCTCACATTACTGCACGGTGGTCCCGTGAAACATTCATGTGCTGCGTACTGCGTCTGGCAAAGCAGTCTGACGAGAGCTCTATGAATGGTTTCACCCTCTACTTTAACAAGAAGGCATCTCAAAATGAGCCAAAGATTCAGATACACAACTGTAAACGAAGGTCCTTTATTAAGAATTTCCTCTCTGTGGTTCTATTAAGCTTACTAAATAGACATATAAGCTTAAGAACAAGTACCCCTATTAATTCAAGCACTTTCCTGAACAAAAAAATATTTCTAAGGTGCTATATGCTAG
This sequence comes from Homo sapiens, assembly GCF_000001405.40. NCBI lineage: Eukaryota > Metazoa > Chordata > Mammalia > Primates > Hominidae > Homo > Homo sapiens. The sequence goes on along the minus strand of NC_000011.10, from coordinate 70,301,605 downwards.
GTACTCAAAAGATGTAAACTGCAATAACTATATTTGTCTAATGCCTTATGATTTTCAAAATACTTTCATATATTTTATCACATTTTACTCTCAGCAACCCAGTAAGGCACTCATAATTACCTTATTTTACAAATTAGAATACAGACCCAGGCAGATTAGAGAGGTACAAAGGTCACTCAGCTAGTAAGTGGCTTGGGACTCGCAGCCCAATGCAGATGTTATCTTCAGGGGAAGATACCATGGTGAGGACCAAAACCAAGTGCGCAGGGAAGCTGAGTTCTCTCCATCTTCCCTGTGTTGGGGGCTGTGTTGAGTGGTTTGCAGAGACATGCCTCACATCAAATGAATGTCTACTTTGTGCAGGCTAGCATGGTAGATACTTTATGTTAGTTCTCATCAAGTCTACTTATTGGGTAATAAGTAGTATCTCTATTTTACAGATTTTATAGATGGCAAAACAGTCTTAGAGGTGAACTATCTTGGCCAAGATCAGAAAATTGGTACGCAGAGGACCCAAAACTTCTAACAGGTATGTAGGCGAGAGGGAACAAGGAGTGACTGGGCAGAAAACAACAGACTGCCATTGCAGCAGTTAGTAAAAATGAAGGGCCTGTTTACACAGTAAACCCATGACCTTAAATGGAGAGAATCATGCTGGCCTCACCTCCCAGGGTATCTTTTGGTGGTTTCTTTTGCCCCCTCATGGCTTATCTTGATCCTAATATTTCATCTGTGTTTTTCTTAAAGCCGGTAGCATTTTAAAAGTTGGAGTAGGCCGGGCGCGGTGGCTCATGCCTGTAATCCCAGCACTTTGGGAGGCCAAGGCGGGCGGATCACAAGATCAGGAGATCGAGACCATCCTGGCCAACATGGTGAAACCCTGTCTCTACTAAAAATACATAAAATTAGCTGGGCGTGGTGGCGGGCGCCTGTAGTCCCAGCTACTTGGGAGGCTGAGGCAGGAGAATGGCATGAAACCAGGAGGGGAGCTGGCAGAGGGCCGAGATCACGCCACTGCACTCCAGCCTGGGCGACAGAGCGAGACTCCATCTCAAAAAAAAAAAAAAAAATTAGGTGGGCATGGTGGCACATGCTTATAGTCCCAGATACTGAGAGGCTGAGGCAGGAGAAGTGCTTGAACCCAGGAGACGGAGGCTGCAGTGAGCCCAGATCGGGCCACTGTACTCCAGCCTGCATGATGGAGAAAGACTCCGTCTCAAAATAAATAAATAAAAATTAAAAAAATAAAAGCTTGAGTAAACATAAAAGGAATAAATAGTAAAATCAGCCCCAAGCCCCTGAATCCCAGTAGGAACTGGCGGAGAAAAAGCACCTATGAGGAGTGAGAAGAAACCATGCAGGCTTGACTTTGGCTTTGAGGGGCGCATGGTAATGAAGAGGAGTCTGCGGGACATCTCAGGAGAAGGGAGTCCAGGCCTATGGGAAGGGGCAGAGGGCATGGCTGGCAGTGATGGAGGGAGATCTGTGGGGCGGGTGGAAGGGGCAGAGGGCATGGCTGGCACTGATGGAGGGAGATCTGTGGGGCGGGTGGAAGGGGCAGAGGGCATGGCTGGCACTGATGGAGGGAGATCTGTGGGGTAGGTGGAGGGAGCCAAAACACGGAGTCGGTAGCCGGGCTAAGCAAGTCGAGATTCTGTTCCTGCGCCTAGACAGACACTGAACAAACCCTCCCAAAGCGATGGCTGAGGTTAGGCTGGTGGCTGTGGCAAGTGTGCTGGGTGGACTCCAAAGGGAGAGTGCAGAAGCACAGCCTGGACCACAGGCACCGAGGTCCCGGCTCTGAGACGAGAACATCAAAGGCGAGTGTGTATCAGGGGGATCAGGAAAGAAACCCCTGACAGAGCCTCTGAGTGGCAGCAGGGGAGCAGAGGGGCCAAGAGCGAAGCTTGGATGAGAGGCAGAGGGCAATGCTGACTTGGAAGGGAAGGAGAGCACAGTTCTGGCAGGAGAGACAGCAGGACACCCAATGGACACGTCTGAAACAATCACAAAACACAGGGCTGAGGTCCCCGGAGCATCCAGAAGGGAAGAAGACCCCACGATAAAGGCTGCTGGAGGGGCCGAGGAGAGGGTTTGTTCAGATGAAAGTAACTGTCCGAGAACAGTATCTTTGTGGATAGCAAGTGCTACCTTTCCCTTGATTCTTTTCACAGGGGTTTACCTAACATGAAAAGAAATCCCTAATGCCTGCCAGTGTTGAGTAGTAAACAGAGAGATGTCAGCAGAAGCACGGTATTAACATTTTATCCTATGGTGTCTGACCCCTGTAAGAAAAAGAAAACCATTTTATTCTAAAGCTGCAGCTAACAAAAGGCCTACCCAGAACCTGTTTCTTTCTTTTCTTTTGAGACGGAGACTCACTCTGTTGCCCAGGCTGGAGTGCAGTGGTGCAATCTTGGCTCACTGCAGCCTCAACCTACCAGGCTCAAGTGATCCTCTTGTCTCAGCCTCCCAAATAGCTGGAACTACAGGTGTGCACCACCACGCTTGGCTAATTTTTGTGTTTTTAGTAGAGACGGGGTTTTGCCATGTTGCCCAGGCTGGTCTCAAACTCCTGAGCTCAAGTGATCCGCCTGCCTCAGCCTCCCAAAGTGCTGGGATTACAGGTGTGAGCCACTGTGCCCGGCCCAGAACATGTTCCTTTAAATAAAAAGGCATGGTAAAATTGTTCAATGATGACAGAATAACTGTATCTAGACACTTACCCTCTAAATTACTGACAGTTTAAAAAGTGACTGTAACTTACTATGGTAAGTGTCCGTATCTCTTTATGCAGTATCACTGTAAACTTCTAAGAGAATCGTAAAGATGAATGTAACAGCAATCCCCATAGTGAGTCACAGCACAGGAGAACCAGCACTCTAAGGTGGGGAGGCAGGGAAGCTCTTCCCCGAGCCCAGGGAAGCCCTCTGAGCAGCAGCTGATGTTTTCAGGCCAGCACCGTGGGACAGATCAGCCTGGAAGTCTTTTAATGAACAGGTTCTGGGATGAACACTTCTAGGTACACTCTAGAAAATGTCACTTCCTGGCAGCACCTGGGCCTTTTAATAACAACCATTTATAGTAAAAATAGTTTGGGGAACACAAAAAAGAAAGTGCCAGGCATTCATGGGTTTGTGAAAAGCACCCAGACCCTATCTACAGGAATGTGCTTTTAAGCAGTCTCCTAATTCATCATCAAACTGTTTCAGGAACAAGTATTTCTATGGTTTGCACAAGAAAACAACCTTGGAATGTAGATTCTTTCCGATGTAAAACCTTTATTCTACCCACCCACTACTGCCTCCTGCATAGGCCTTCTACCACTCAGCTCAGCACCCCACTACACACAACCAAAAAGGCAATATTTCTTGTTTATGAACCTTTCTCCTTGAAATGGAATAATCAGGAACAGGAATAAAAGTAACATGGGCAGTGATATAACAGAAAAGTTGACGGAAGGAAGGAAACCCAAACATCTGATTTGGATTTTCATTCAATATGTGTTCTTTTTTCTTTCTAGAGGAAAGTCAGAGCAGAGAGGAGAGAATCACATGGCATTTTTTCCTGATAATTCTAGAGGGAAGGAGCATTACCACCACCATGTAAGCGAATGCGAAACTGCTCTCTTCAGATCTCGAGGCACAGCTGTCAAGGGTTTTATCATGCTGTTGCCATTTGTCAGGCATGCTGGCCACCCAGCATCTGAGCCTCTTCCTATGGATGGGAAATGGTCCACTCTTGAGGAAAAGCAAGTGGCCCAGACGAGGGGCTGAAAGCACCAGAAACTTGCTCTCCCAGCCTCTCCTGCATCTGCTGGTGACAACCTCGGAGCACAGACATTACGGGGAAATGGGGCCCGGCTAGCAGGGCCTGGCTAACCAGTGTCCTCCAAACCTGGTTCTCCACCTTCCCAGAGACACTGTGACCCAGTCAGAATCCTTACAATAATTTTTCTGTGCAGATCACACAGGTAGTGTGTAACAAGCCCTTTGACTTAGCAGGCTTATTTTACCCATTACTCATATTTTGAATATGAGTAATTTTGAATTTCATCCATTCTTCTCACACATGAATGCACCCTTCAGACAATACACCCACTGTGGACACACTGAGTACAAGGAGAGACTGTTACTGTGGACACCATATGTTTCCATATTGTTTACATCTTTTTTCATTTTTTCTTTTTTTTTCATTTTAGAGACAAGTCTTGCTGTCACCCAGGCTGGAGTACAGTGGTATGATCATAGCTCACTGCAGTCTTAACCTGCTAGGTTCAGGCGATCCGCTCGCCTCAGCCTCCTGAGTAGCTGGGACTACAAGCACGCACCACCACGCCCAAATAACTTTTTGATTTTTTGTAAAAGTAGGGTCCTGCTATGTTGCTCAGGCTGGTCTCGAACTCCTGGCCTCAAGTGATCCTTCCACCTCAGCCTCCCAAAGTGCTGGGAGCCTGAAGCGTGAGCCACCGTGCCCGGCCTCTCTGGTTTTGTTTTCTATTGATCACAATTAACTTTGGGAATTACAGGGAAAAGCATTCTTTGCCAAAACCAAACTTCTTTAGCCCATTCAATAATGACTATCAGAAGAATGACTAACATTTATTGAATGCTTATTAAATACCAGGCTCTCTTCTGAGAGCGTCATGAATTAACTATCTTCACCACGAGTCTGTGAGGCACGTCTCACAGTGAGCAGCGGAGAGCTAAGGGGACAGCGCAGACCCAGAGGCCATGCTCTTACACACAACCTCAATATCACACCACATTAACAAGCAATCCTCTCCATAAGCAAAGAAACAAATGTGATAAAGAAAATTCTCCTCTCCCTCTCCCTCCCTCCCCCTCCCTCCCTCCCTCTCTCCCTCTCCCTCTCCCTCCTCTCCCTCTCCCCATGGTCTCCCGCTCCCCACGGTCTCCCTCTCCCTCTCTTTCCACGGTCTCCCTCTGATGCTGAGCCGAAGCTGGACTGTACTGCTGCCATCTCGGCTCACTGCAACCTCCCTGCCTGATTCTCCTGCCTCAGCCTGCCGAGTGCCTGCGATTGCAGGCGCGCACCGCCACGCCTGACTGGTTTTCGTATTTTTTTGGTGGAGACGGGGTTTCGCTGTGTTGGCCGGGCTGGCCTCCAGCTCCTAACCGCGAGTGGTCCGCCAGCCTCGGCCTCCAGAGGTGCTGGGATTGCAGACAGTGTCTGGTTCACTCAGTGCTCAATGGTGCCCAGGCTGGAGTGCAGTGGCGTGATCTCGGCTCGCTACAACCTCCACCTCCCAGCTGCCTGCCTTGGCCTCCCAAAGTGCCCAGAGTGCAGCCTCTGCCCGGCCGCCACCCCGTCTAGGAAGTGAGGAGCGTCTCTGCCTGGCCGCCCATCGTCTGGGATGTTAGGAGCCCCTCTGCCTGGCTGCCGAGTCTGGAAAGTGAGGAGCGTCTCTGCCTGGCCGCCATCCCATCTAGGAAGTGAGGAGCACCTCTTCCCGGCTGCCATCCCATCTAGGAAGTGAGGAGCGTCTCTGCCCAGCCGCCCATCGTCTGAGATGTGGGGAGTGCCTTTGCCCCGACGCCCCGTCTGGGATGTGAGGAGCGCCTCTGCCCGGTCGCGACCCCGTCTGGGAGGTGAGGAGCGTCTCTGCCCAGCCGCCCCATCTGAGAAGGGAGGAGACCCTCCGCCTGGCAACCGCCCCGTCTGAGAAGTGAGGAGACCCTCCGCCCGGCAGCCGCCCCGTCTGAGAAGTGAGGAGCCCCTCCGCCCAGCAGCCACCCCGTCTGGGAAGTGAGGAGCGTCTCCGCCCAGCAGCCGCCCCGTCCAGGAGGGAGGTGGGGGTCAGCCCGCCAGGCCAGCCGTCCCGTCTGGGAGGGAGGTGGGGGGGTCAGCCCCCTGCCCGGCCAGCCGCCCCGTCCGGGAGGGAGGTGGGGGGGGTCAGCCCCCGGCCCGGCCAGCCGCCCCGTCCGGGAGGTGAGGGGCACCTCTGCCCGGCCGCCCCTACTGGGAAGTGAGGAGCCCCTCTGCCCAGCCAGCCGCTCCATCCGGGAGGGAGGTGGGGGGGTCAGCCCCCCGCCCGGCCAGCCGCCCCGTCCGGGAGGGAGGTGGGGGGGGTCAGCCCCCCCACCCGGCCAGCCGCCCCGTCCAGGAGGTGAGGGGCGCCTCTGCCCGGCTGCCCCTACTGGGAAGTGAGGAGCCCCTGTGCCCGGCCAGCCACCTCATCCGGGAGGGAGATGGGGGGGTCAGCCCCCCGCCCGGCCAGCCGCCCCATCCGGGAGGGAGGTGGGGGGGGTCAGCCCCCCGCCCAGCCAGCCGCCCCATCCGGGAGGGAGGTGGGGGGGTCAGCCCCTCGCCCGGCCAGCCACCCCGTCCGGGAGGGAGGTGGGGGGGTCAGCCCCTCGCCCGGCCAGCCACCCCGTCCGGGAGGGAGGTGGGGGGGTCAGCCCCCCGCCCGGCCAGCCGCCCCACCCAGGAGGTGAGGAGCGCCTCTGCCCGGCCGCCCCTACTGGGAAGTAAGGAGCCCCTCTGCCCGGCCACCACCCCGTCTGGGAGGTGTACCCAACAGCTCATTGAGAACGGGCCAGGATGACAATGGCGGTTTTGTGGAATAGAAAGCGGGGAAAGGCGGGGAAAAGATTGAGAAATCGGATGGTTGCCATGTCTGTGTGGAAAGAAGTAGACATGGGAGACTTGTCATTTTGTTCTGTACTAAGAAAAATTCTTCTGCCTTGGGATCCTGTTGATCTGTGACCTTACCCCCCAACCCTGTGCTCTCTGAAACATGTGCTGTGTCCACTCAGGGTTAAATGGATTAAGGGCAGTGCAAGATGTGCTTTGTTAAACAGATGCTTGAAGGCAGCATGCTCGTTAAGAGTCATCACCACTCCCTAATCTCAAGTACCCAGGGACACAAACACTGCGGAAGGCCACAGGGACCTCTGCCTAGGAAAACCAGAGACCTTTGTTCACTTGTTTATCTGCTGACCTTCCTTCCACTATTGTCCTATGACCCTGCCAAATCCCTCTCTGTGAGAAACACCCAAGAATGATCAATAAAAATAAAAATTAAAAAAAAAAAAAGAAAGAAAATTCTCACCATTTCCCTTTTGACTTTTTGCCTTTGTCACAAAGCCTCGTTACACTCAAGGTAGGATTTACATCCCCCATTCAAAGACACCAAAATCCTGCTTTCTGTCCCATGTCTAAAGGACGTGGGCATATCCCTTCAGCAGAAACACTGGATTTCCTTCCCAGTGTTCCTCTCCTTTGACCCTCGCCAACTTCCATCACCTCGCCATCTCCAAACGTTCACTCAGGTCTTCTGCAGGTGAATACTGGAATCAAAGTTTACCTTTCTCTACAATTTGCAACAAAAGAACTGTGCAGGCCAGGTGCAGTGGCTCGCACCTGTCATCCCAGCACTTTGGGAGGCCGAGGTAGAAGGATCACTTGAGGCCAAGAGTTTGAGACCAGCCTGGGAAACATGGCGAAACCCTGTGTCTACAAAAAATACAAAACTCAGCTGGGCATGGTGGTGCACTGCACACCAATGGTCCCAGCTACTCGAGAGGCTGAGATGGGAGGATTGCTCGAGCCCAGGAAGTCGAGGCTGCAGTGAGCCTTGATCTCACTGCACTCCAGCCTGGGCGACACAGGAAGACCCTGTCAAAAAAAAAAAAAAAAAGAGAGAGAGAGAGAACTGTGCAGGAACTACAGAGTATTTAAAGAATCAGAGAGCTGAAAGGGATCCAATCGCTAGTCCTAGGGCTTTCCAACTGTCTTCCTAGGACCCCTTCGAGGGCAGGGTAAAGCAGAGGCTGAGGGTCTCAGCAAATGGCTCCCCAGGGCAGCTGACTTTGCCCTGAGCCACTCTGCATGGTTTTACCTATGGAAAAAGACCCTTCGGAGACTGGCTTCTTCCAGAAAGCTTTAAACTACAGGGCCCAGTCCACCCAGTTTATATATGTGGAGAAGTAACACAAGGCTCCAGCAGATTAAGTGATGGCAGACCAGAAGACGCCACTGGCTCCTGAGCCACCTGCTCTCACACTTTGCTAATCAGCAGCTACCACGTGCCAAAGGCAGTGGGGTAGGGGACTGGCCTTGCCACCGCGACTCTATTATGTTTCAAAGCCATTGGTTTTATTTGCTTCTCTATTGTTCCAGTGATTTGTTTCAAGTAATCATCAAAATACCAACGAAATTGCAGGTTAGCAAATTTTAACGTTATGATGGGCCAAGAGTTGATTGATGGGAAACCAAACAATAGTGTCACACACTTGCTATGAAGCCAACATATAGCACACTTAAATCCCCTTGTTCTGCACTGTGAAAAAGTTTCTGGAAAAAGCAATGAAGAAGGGGAAAAAAACTGAAACTTTGAATGCCTTGGATTAACCACGTGGAAGAGCTAGGAACAGAATTAGATGAGCCACTGAAGAACAGGTAGGTAACCGTTAAAAGATCCCGTTTAGGAAATTATTTCATCATTCTAGGATGCATCACTGTGTGTGTGTCTACTGTGTGCCAGAGGCTACGCTCAACACTGGGGACAGAATAGCACCAGGCAGCAGGCCACATGGGCAGGCACCTTGCTCAGACTAGGCTCCCATCCCAGGCAGGGGAAGCCCAAGCAGCTGCCCCGGATGCTCAAAGGTGGAGTAGGTGCAAGGAGTGGAAGGGGATCTAACTGAGAGACAAGTCCCTCCGTTAAAGAACCATAAGTGTGTGCACTCCAGTAATACTATAAGGGGGCAGAGGGGTCTGAAGGATACTGTTGTGCCCACTTTTTCATGCAGTTGAAGAACTCTGGAGTCAGACTGCTTGGATTCAAATACAGCCTCTACCATGTAATATCTATGGGATCCTGAGTGAGTTTCCAATTTCTTCATCTAGAAAATGGGGTCATAACAGTGTCCTGCTTTATAGCACTGTCACGAGGCTTCAGTGGGGGCTCATTCCTATAAAGAGGCTTAGAGGCAATAAACATTCACTATGATCTCATTCTATCTCCCAAACATCCATATACCCAGCCCCTGGACGGTACCTTACACACAGTAGACAATACGAATTTGCTAAAAAATACCCAAATGATTATTATCTCTAATTTACTGTGAGGAAACAGAAGGCTCAGTGATGAGGGAACGTGACAAAGGTAACAAGGGAAAGGGGACATGCGAGTCCAGCTGGCTCCAAGCCCATGCTCCACACAAACCTACTGCTCTCCTTGCCACCCACCCAGCCCGCGCTCCAATGTGGGAATCCACACAGGGGAGGCGGAGTGGAATCTACCTACAGAGGCAGGCAGAAAGGACGCACATGGCCTGCTTCTAAACTATTCACTGGCCGAGTGTGGTGGCTCACATGTGTGATTCCAGCACTTTGGGAGGCCTAGGCAGGGGGGTCACTTGAGCCCAGGAGTTCAAGAACAGCCTGGGAAACATGGGAAACCCTGTCTCTACAAAAAAATACAAAAATTAGCCAGGCGACTGGCCAAGCGCGGTGGCTCACGCCTGTAATCCTAGCACTTTGGGAGGCAGAGGTGGGTGGATCACAAGGTCAGGAGATCCAGACCATCCTGGCTAACATGGTGAAACCCCGTCTCTACTAAAAATACAAAAAATTAGCCAGGTGTGGTGGCACGCACCTGTAGTCCCAGCTACTCGGGAGGCTGAGGCAGGAGAATCGCTTGAACATGGGAGGCGGAGGTTGCCGTGAGCCGAGATCGCACCACTACACTCCAGCCTGGGCGACAGAGCAAGACTGTCTCAAAAAAAAAAAAAAAAAAAATTAGCCAGGCGTGGTGACACATGCCTGTGGTTCCAGCTACTGGGGAGGCTGAGGTGGGAGGATCACCTGAGCCCAGAGAGGTGGAGGCTGTGGTGAGCTGTGACCATGCCACCGCACTCCAGACTGGATGACAGAGTGAGACCCTGTCTCAAAAATAAATAAATAAGTAAACTATTCATTTAAGTCAGCAGATCTCCATCAATCACAAAAAGAAACAGAGGAAGGGCAATGCACTGAATTCCTGTTTGTAAAGTGCCTTCAGGTAACACAAAGAGCACAATGCCTGTCTGCTGAGATCGCCCTCCAGTGTGAACGCCTCAGCATCTATGGTGGAGGAAAATGAGCTGAGCCACAGGGCTGCTAAGTAAAATTTTACTTGGAATTTCTTTAAGCCTTTCTGCATCAATGGGATCTCACACTTAATCACAAGTGAAGTTCTTTAGATTTTAATTTGTATGAAAAGAAATACCACGTCACACTATTCAAATTAATACTCAGGCTATTCGAAATCATCTCATCCTGCCACATCTCTCTTTAAGGGTATGTAGGATACCATGACCTCGGCTGTCATTCATGTTTCCCCCACAAATTATTTTTAAGGTGGAAGAGACTGCACTAGCTTCCTCACAGCACCTTAAGATTTCAAGAGATCGGCTGGGCGTGGTGGCTCACGCCTGTAATCCCAGCACTTTGGGAGGCCGGGAGCTGGTGGATAACCTGAGGTCGGGAGTTCAAGACCAGGCTGACCAACAAGGAGAAACCCCGTCTCTACTAAAAATACAAAATTAGCCAGGCGTGGTGGCATATGCCTGTAATCCCAGCTACTCGGGAGGCTGAAGCAGGAGAGCCATTTGAACCTGGTAGGCAGAGGTTGCAGTAAGCCAAGATTGTGCCACTACATTCCAGCCTGGGCAACAAGAGTGAAACTGTCTCAAAAAAAAGAGATTTCAAGAGATCAATCGCTCAGAAACACTGATTCATCTCAAGTAGAACTTTAACTTTTCTATATGATTCAACAACTTCAGCATGTCACTACTTGAAATCAATTTTTATATTAGTACTGGCAAAGGTTTAAAACTACATAGGCAGGAGGAATAATTGGCCCTTTGCAAAGCAGAAAAACTTGGAAATGTACAATATGCTTCAAGCTCCCAAATTTTCAGAGTAAAATGAAATTTCCTCCTCCGAATAAGAATGAGACTCTGTGAAAAGAGTATGAACTCCATGGTTGGACCTCCCCTGCCAAGAGAACCTCAATCCAAGTCTACAGGATTCAGCCAAGCCCTTACTTTTAGCTACAGGGGAAAAAAATCCACAAAGTGGAAACATTTTGTCCACATCTCTAAATTAGCATTAGCAGGCGCCAACAAAGCCTTAGCTATGCTTCATTTCTGAGAGTGAAAGAAGGCACTGTCACTAATTGCTCCAGGATAACAGGCAAAAACCGGGACTATTCCATGCAAACCAGACACGTCCTCACCCCACCTATCGGAGGTGGGTGCGACAGGGCTAGGTGCAAGACTTCTGAGTTTACATTTTTACAAAGTTCTGGTCTTTTGAACCATGTAAATGTTTTGTGTGTTTGAAAAATAATAAACTTTTTTTTTTTACACAAGGTTTTGCTCTATCACCCAGGCTGGAGTGCAGTGGTATGATCTTGGATCACTGCAACCTCCATCTCTCAGGCCCAAGCGATTCTCGTGCCTCAGCCTCCTGAGTAGCTGGGACTACAGATGTGCACCACCAAGCCTGGCTAATTTTTTTTATTTTTTGTAGAGATGGGGTTTCACCATGTTGCCCAGGCTGCTCTTGAACACCTGGGCTCAAGTGATGCACCTGCCTCAGCCTCCCGAAGTGTGGGATTACAAGTGTGAGCCACTGCACCTGGCTGAAAAATAATAAACTTTTTAAAAAAATGTGTTTTTGAGAGACAGGGTCTTGCTATGTTAACCAGGCTGGCCTCCAACTCCTGGTCTCAAGCGATCCTCCCACCTCAGCCTCTCAAGTAGCTTGGACTGCAGGTGTGTGCCACCACACCTGGTTTGAAAAAGAATAAACTTGGCTGGGCACAGTGAGCCACGCCTGTAATGCCAACACTTAAAAAGCTGGGGCGTGGTGGCGCATGCCTGTAGTCCCAGCTACTTAAAAAGTTTATAAAATGCAAACTCTGAATTAAGAATAAATAGGAACAAATGAACCTGTTTATCAAATTGGTAATTACTTTGGTTATGTTACAACAAATTGTTTTAAACCCATTACTCTAACTATATATTCTTAAGATGTATTTATTTCTAAAGCCAAAAGAATTGCTAAGGAATCCTAAACTTCATTCGAAGGGTTGTTTGTAAGAACAATGTATTAAAATGCTGAACCCATTTTATGAATATCATAGATAAGGAAAACAATGTTAATATTATTAGAAATCAAAATCATCAGTTTAAGCTGTGTAAATATAAAATAAGGGGAAAAAACTTTTATTTTAAAGAATCAGTATGAAATTGGAGGTTTTTTAATGAACATTTTTTTCTAGCTCTGTCCAATGAAAGGACATAAAAGATGCTACCTTCAGCCAGGCACAGGGGCTCATGCCTGCAATCCCAGCACTTTGGGAGGCCAAGACAGGTGGAGTTCTGAGGTCAGGAGTTCAAAACCAGTCTGGCCAACATGGTGAAACCCCATCAATACTAAAAATACAAAAAAAAATTAGCCAAGCATGGTGGTGTGGGCCTGTAATCCCAGCTACTTGGGAGAGTGAGGCAGGAGAATTGCTTGAACCCGGGAGGCGGAGCTTGCAGTGAGCTGAGATGGCGCCATTGCACCCCAGCCTGGGCGACAGAGCAAGACTCCGTCCCCAAAAAAAAAAAAAAAAACAACCAGATGCTACCCCCGTGACAGTGGCCACACCCAGCCCCAAATGCTGATTTCTAAATGCCACTTCCCACTAAAGGGAACCAGGGCTCCTGAGAGGAATGATTTCAGATCTGAGGCAGGAAAAGTACAAAGTAGGCCTGGGACAAATTTCTGTGCCAGAAAGCAATGAAGCACTCAAGAACTAATGGGGTCTTGGCAAAAAGACACAGGAGCCAATCTGAAAGGGACAATATGAGCATCCAAGGAGTAATGACGACGCCTGACTCTAATATGCAGTGTCCTCAGTGACTGAGAGAGCTGGAAAGTGAACAAAGGAGAACACTCTTCTTCACACAGGAATATCTGTTCATCACTGTACACGGACGGACAGCTGGAAAAATCACCTCTTTGCAACTTCCAGGAAGAAGTGATTTGAGCAGGGAACACCATGGACACTAAAACCATGAGGTTGACGGTCTCCCAGGAACAAGTAATTGCAGAGAAAGAGTCAAAGGAGAGGTCTGCAATCACACCTCAGGCAGTGGCCCCACTTTCTATCACCAAGAAGGAGAGCTCTGGGAATTGTGAGCCTCGAAGGGATACAAAAAGCAGAGGGGAGGCCGGGCGCGGTGGCTGATGCCTGTAATCCCAGCACTTTGGGAGGCCAAGGCGGGCAGATCACAACACCAGGAGTTCAAGACCAGACTGGCCAAGATGGTGAAACCCCATCTCTACTAAAAATGCAAAAATTAGCCGGGCATGGTGGCGGCACCTGTAAGCCTAGCTACTTGGGAGGCTGAGGCAGAGAACTGCTTGAACCCAGGAGGCAGAGGTTGCAGTGAGCCAGATTGTGCCACTGCACTCCAGCCTGGGCGACAGAGCAAGACTCCGTCTCAAAAAAGAAAAAAAAAAAAAAAAGCAGAGGTGAGATGAGGCATGGCTGGAGAGCAAGTGAGAGATGTTGAGCCCCAGCGCAGTGGGACCTATACACACTTAGACTTTAACTCTTATAAACGCCTGAATTTAAAAATCTAACCATACAAGTTGTTAGGGCCAACATCATTATGTAATCCCAGCACTCTGGGAGGCCAAGTAGGAGGATCACTTGAGCCCAGGAGTTCAAGACCAGCCTGGGGCACATAGGGAGACCTCATCTTTACAAAAATAAAACAAAAAATTAGCCAGGTGTGGCGGTACATGCACGTGGTCCCAGCTGCTCAACAGGCTGAAGTGGGAGGACTGCCTGAGCTAGGGAGGCTGAGAATACGGTGAGCTGTGATTGTGTCACTGCGCTCCAGCCTAGGAAACAGAGTGAAACCCCATCTCTAAAAACAAATTTTTTAAAAAACAAAAAAAAAAGGCCGGGTGTAGTGGCTGATGCCTGTAATCTCAACACTTTGGGAGGCTGAGGCAGGAGGATTACTTGAGACCAGGATTGGAGACCAGCCTGGGTAACATAAAGACTCCTGTATCTACTAAAAAAAAAAAAACTTAGCTGAAGTCAAACCACTGCATCAGAATATGGGCATTTTTGAGAATCAGTATACACAGGGCAAAACCGGATCGCTGAAAGAGCTGCACCAAATTACTTGGTTGTAGCTAGAATGAAGTTGGCAAGTAGAAGATAAGAAAGGCCTAATCTCAGACAACGGCTTATTTACAAAGTTGTACAAAAAAAAGGAGTCTGCAAGTGAGGAACTATCCACAACTGGGAGAGCAGGGAGGCGCTGGGCCAGGATGTGATGACACAGGAGTCTTCAGCCCGAGGAGGAATGGAGAGCTCAAGTGTTCTGAGCAAAGGAAAGGCAGCTGTACATGCATTTTAGAAAGATCTTGGCCCGGCGTGGTGGCTCACGCCTGTAATCCCAGCACTCTGGGAGGCTGAGGTGGGCGAATCACTTGAGCTCAAGAGTTCGAGACCAGCCTAGACAACATAGCAAGACCCCTGCTCTACAAAATAATAATAATTACATATATGTATGTGTGTGTGTGTGTGTGTGTGTATGTGCATATATGTGTATATGTATATATATAGTATATGTGTATATATATGTGTATATATATGTGTGTATACACACACAGAAAAAACATTAGCCAACCATAGTGGCGCACACCTGTAGTCCCAGCTTCTTAGAAGGCTGAGGTAGGAGCATTGCTTGAGCCCGATCACACCACTGCACTCCACCTGGGTGATAAAGTGAGACCCTGTCTCAAAAAAAAAAAAAAAAAAAAAGAAAGAAAGAAAGATCTTGCTGCAAAAAGGGATAAGATACTGCAGAGAGGCTCCAGAACAGGGGCCATGGGAGTCAACCCGGTGAAGACAAAGGGTTCGGGTCTGAGAGTCAGTGGGCCTCAGGGGTAACCTCCAAGAGATGGAAAGGTCCATCCCACAGGTCCTGGAGACTAGAAGGATAAGGTTAGCGCAGAAAAGAGATAGGGCCGGGAGCAGTGGCTCACGCCTGTAATCCCAGCACTTTGGGAGGCCAAGAAGGGCAGATCATCAGAGGTCAGGAGTTCAAGACCAGCCTGGCCAACATGGTGAAACCCCGTCTCTACAAAAATACAAAAATTAGCAGGGCGCGGTGGCATGTGCCTGTAGTCCCAGCTACTTGGGACGCTGAGGGAGGAGAATCGCTTGAACCCGGGAGGCAGAGATTGCAGCGAGCTGAGATTGTGCCCTTGTACTCCAGCCTGGGCAACAGGACGAGACTCCATCTCAAAAGAAAAGAAGAGACATAGCCACCTGACTACGTAGAAAACTACCGTTCACAGGATGGGGTACGGATGCGGGGGAAAGATGGTTTGAGCCAATATTGAATTTAAGGAGCCCAAAGCCTGCCCAAATGAAAGTACACAGCATGGCAGTCAGGTAAGGCACCTGCGAGGCACAGTGGCCAAGAGTGGAGGAGTACAGTGGGCAGCTGAAACTCCCAAGGAAAACCACCTCCCTAGTTCTGCCTACACAAACATCAACGAAAAGTGGAAAGTGCTCCCACATTACATCATCCATGCATTTAACTTGCTCAAACCGAACTATGTAAGTTTGGTTTTTTCCATTTCTCTTCATACAACGAAAAAAATGTGGGCTAAATAACCCTTTTTACCTATGGAATATTCAGCACCTAGAACGGTGCATGCCACATACAGACACTCAAAATACCTGAATACATTCATGTATACACTATATACATAAACATTATGTATACTGCATGAAAACAGTATGCATTTATGTATATGATAATTAAAAAGTACACATTGTTCTGTGCCTTATGTGATGGGTGATGTTAAGAGGTTTTTTTTTTTTTTTTGAGACAGAGTCTCACTCTGTCCCCCAGGCTGGAGTGCAGTGGTGCGATCACAGCTCATTGCAACCTCCACCTCCCAGGTTCAAGCGATTCTCCTGCCTCAGACTCCCGAGTAGCTGGGATTACAGCTGCGCACCACCACGCCCAGCTAATTTTTGTATTTTTAGTAGAGACAGGGTTTCACCATGTTGGCCAGGCTGGTCTCGAACTCCTGACCTCGTGATCTGCCCATCTCGGCCTCCCATTACAGGCATGAGCCACCGCACCCGGCAAGAGTTTTTAATTTTTGCTCACAGCACTAACTTTATAGCCCAAACCCATGCACTTGAAGTGGCTCTACTCTAACCAGTGGTTTCCACCCTAGGTCCATTCTTCCCTCCATCCCCAGCTCATTATCCACATAGCATGATCTTTTAAAAACTTGGGAGGCCAAGGAGGGAGGATCACCTGAGGTCAGGAGTTCAAGACCAGCCTGGGCAACGTGGTGAAACTCCCGTCTCTACTAAAGATTAGCCGGGCACGGTGGCGGGCGCCTGTAATCCCAGCTACTTGGGAGGCTGAGGCAGGAGAATCGCTTGAACCTGTGAGGCAGAGGTTGCAGTGAGCCGAGATCATGCCAGTGCACTACAGCTTGGGCAACAGTGTAAGACTCCATCTTAAATAAAGAAATACATAAATAAATAAAAATAAATAAATAACAACGCAGCTAAATCACATCATTCCCTCCCCTGAGGCCACGATGCACGCAAAGTACTGAAGCCCTAAGGTACTTAAAACAAAAACAAGCAAGTCTTCACCTCTGTCTGATCCCATCCCAACCTACCTAGCCAACCTTACCATGTTCACTCTTCCCTTCCCTCCAGGCCAAGTAACCATGGCCACAGACCCCAGCTTTGACTCAGCTAAATGCTAAGCTCTCCCTTGCTCTGGCCTTTGCTCAAGTAGCCCCACCGCCAAGAAAGCTCTCATACCTGGTTCCTCTTAGCCTTCATCCCTCAGCTCTAAGCCAATCCCCTCGAAAGCCTCACCTTTCTGGACCACAGTGTGCCTGGCAGCCCACCCCACTCAGTCGAGATCATGGATTTCTTCTGAACCACTTCATTCTATCTGGATGTGTCTCGCAACCTGCACCTGCTTTGAGCATGGGTATATTGTGAAAGTCTTCTGCAGGCAGAGACCCTGTCTCTACCACTGACTGCAGGAGCCTAGAACGGTAATATTCACACAGGGCTCAACAAAATAGGAGGAAGGACTCTGTCTCCTTGCTGACAATTAAAGGTGTAGGAACAGGAAGACAAGATGGCAAATTCAGTGTGTGCAAAAGAGAGATGTAAATGGCCAAATATTATTCTGAAAGGATATATTCAACTATTTCATACACCAAAGACGATGAAAACAAGTATGGTATTTTAAGAGGTGTTTTGCCAACTACTACTAAGAAACAGTCAGTAAAGCAGATGAGGGGGCACCATCTGAAGGGGCAGTCATTAGTATTTATTCTCAGGGAAGAGTCATTTAGCTAGTTTTACCTTATTCCAATTCTTCCTAATTTGTTCACTAAAGTTAAGCTTAGCAAGTACCTTGTTTGCAGCACTCAACAAATTACAGTTGTAGCCAATTTTGCATCATATTAGGTTGAAGCAAAAATAATTGCGGTTTTTGCCATTAAAAGTAAAGCAAAATCCGCAAGTACTTTTGCACCAACCTAACAGCAATACTTGAGAAAAGCTTCTGATTCTTTATACCTAAACCTGGACACTTCCAACATTTGGGGCCAGATAATTCTTTGTTGAGGGGGCTCCACTGCAGAATGTTTAGGAGCATCCCTGCCCTAGCTGTGACAACCACAAATACCTCTCAACACCACCAAACACCAGCGTCTCCTCTTTACTCTCCCCCACCCCCGTCCCCCTTCTCCCCGCAAGCTTGACCCTGGTATCTGCCACTCGGCTGTCATCCTCTAGTCCTACACAATTCCGCCAGGTTGTTCTTTTCTACTGCCCTCTGCCCTCGGATTCTAGCATCCTAGTTTGGGCTGTAACACTTCATGCCCACATTGCAGGAACTGCCTCCTAAATGGGCTGTCTTGCACCCTCTCGCCTCCTCAATCCATCCAGCACACCTTCCACTGCAACCAGCTGAAGCTCACCCATCACTTTGACAGGGAACACCCCTGACACAGGTAGACTTCTTTTTCACTAAGTTTGGATTTGATTTGAAGACCTCATTCCTTAGAATCTTCTGAGTTTTGTACCCCCTGCTTCAGGGATTGGCAGATTGGGAGAGAGACTGGCAAAATTTGGGACCTCACCTGCAATGAAAGGTGAACAGTCTCTCTTCTAGGTTTCACACAAAAGAGTTCTTCAAGCAAGAGGTCTTCTAAAAATCTCATTTGTTGCTTTCAAAAAGACTGTAAAAATCACTGCACTCCAGTTTAAAATAAAATCTCCATTTGAAAATGCAACTGAAACTTTAAAATGAAATTAGAGAGAAGCCCAAAGGCAATATTTGCTTTAAAAAAAAAAAAAAGCACTCGGTCAGTCGGTCAGGCATGATGGCTCATGCCTGTAATCCCAGCACTGTGGGAGGCTGAGGCGGGCAGATCACCTGAGGTCAGAAGTTCAAGACTAGCCTGACCAACATGGTGAAACCCCGTCTCTACTAAAAATACAAAAATCAGCCGGGCATGGTGATGCACGCCTATGGTCCCAGCTACTCAGGAGGCTGAGGCAAGAGAATCGCTTGAACCTGGGACATGGAGGTTGCAGTGAGCTGAGATCGCACCATTGCACTCCAGCCTGGGCGACAAGAGCAAAATTCCTTCTTAAAAAAAAAAAAAAAAAAAAAAAGCCAGGCACGGTGGCTCACGCCTGTAATCCCAGCACTTTGGGAGGCCAAGGCATGCAGTGGATCATGAGGTCAGGAGATCGCGACCATTCTGGCTAACATGGTGAAACCCTGTCTCTACTAAAAATACAAAACAAAAACTAGCTGGATGTAGTGGCGGGCACCTGTAGTCCCAGCTACTGGGGAGGCTGAGGCAGAAGAATGGTGTGAACCCAGGGGGTGGAGCTTGCAGTGAGCCGAGATCACGCCACTGCACTCCAGCCTGGGTGACAGAGCAAGACTCCATCTCAAAAAAAAAAAAAAAAAAAAAAAAAAAATCAGCACTCAAAAAGGAAACATACATGGGATCAAGTCATAGAATAAACATTAGGTAGCTGGGCACACTGGTTCATGCCTGTAGTGGTAGCTACTCAGGAAGCCAAGGCAGAAGGATGGCTTGAGCCCTGGAGTTGGAGATCAGCCTAGGCAACACAGCAAGACCCCATCTCCAAAGTAAGACTAAACACCACGCACACAACCTCTCCTACCTCCCTAGCCTCCTTCTTTGCCACTGCCAGATATGTCATCACAAACCCTCCCTCGGTCTGACACAGGGCATGGGGAAGAGTAGAGACTACAGCAGGGTGGAACAGCCCACACAGTGGCCAAGACGGGAATTGGAGGCCAAGGGCTGTGTCTCCCGCTGGGCAGGCCACTTGCTCTACTGTCTTTAAGTGGTTAAGTGACTGGGCAGGGGCAAATGGGGGATTCTGATTAGAAACTGGACAATGTCATGAGAAGCAGACTGGAAAAAAAAAAAAGAAACTGGACAAGGTAGCCTAAGCGAGGTGAGTGGGTTCTGTATGCTCCCTATCAAGTAATGATAACCAATGTCTCCAGACTCCGCATATGCTGCAGACAGAGAGAGCACGCCCGCTTCAGCTCCAGTTTCAGTGATACGCGGGGTGGCCTGTAGCCCGGCAACCCACCAAAAACTAGAAAAGGTGAGTATGACTTGAAAGTCTGCAGGCATCAAAGAGATGCCAAGGCAGCCACAAATGAAGGGACCAACATTCCAAACCAAAGAGAGGCCCACTGAGGTGAGTCCACTATTCAGAGCCCCCACTCTTTCTGTCAGTGCATTTGACAATTTGGAAGGATTTGGGGGCAGTACACTGATAACTGGGAAGAAAACTCAGCAGAAAGTAGAGGCTACAGAGCTCTAGAAAGCCCCAAGGGTCTGGGGAGACAAAAAGAAGTACAGGCCTGACAGTCAGCCAGGACTTAAGGGGCCAAGATCCCAGAGAAAAGGGAGACACAGGAAATGAGCCCAACACTCTGCAAACCTGGCCGAGAAGCTGGGCTTTCAGTAGTCTCATGGCGTTAAGGAGACAAAACTTGGGCTCCAGGACACGCCAAGAAAGAGGGGCCCTGGGAAACACTCCAGGGTTTCAGATGGAACCCCCGGATGGTTACACCAGGAGCAGGAGGTTGGGGGAAGGCAGCTTCAACTGACGCTTACTGACTGAATCCCAGCCTCTGGTCACCCAGGCCCTGACTGAGCTGAGATGATCTGTCCCTACTCTGGGCATGTGCCAGATGACAGAGGGAAACTTTCTGAAGGAAGACAGCATCACCCAGCGCTTTCTACAGTTTTTCATACATAATGTCTGACTCAATTAAAAAAACAAAAATGGGCGTTATCAACAAATGAACCTAGAGAAAAAAGAAAAACAGAAATGGATCCGGAGGTGACCCATATAATAGAGTTATCAGATGCAAATGTCAACTATTCAAAAATATACTTGACAAAAGGAAAAAATTTCACTAGAGAACTAGAATAGTAAAAGGAATTAAGCAGACTCTAGAACTGAAAATTATAACTGAAATTAAGAACTCAATCTATGGGCTAAACAGCAGATTGGACACAAATGAAGAGGGGATGAGTGAGGTGGAAGATGGGTCAGTAAAAAAAATCTGGACTTTAGATTTTGGGCACAATAGCTCACACCTGTAATCCCAGTGCTTTGACATGTCAAGGTAGGAGGCTCACTTGAGGTCAGGAGTTTAAGAACAGCTTGGGCAAAATAGCAAGACCCTGCCTCTACAAAAAATTTAAAAATTAGCTGGGCACAGTGGCACATACCTATAGTCCCAGCTACTCAGAAGGCTGAGGCAGAAGGATTGCTTGAGCCCTGGAGTTTGAGGCTGCAGTGAACAGTGATCACGCGCGCCACTGCACTGCAGCCTCGGCAACAACAGGGTGCCTGTCTTTTTCTTTTTCCCCGAGACGGAGTTTCGCTCTTGCCACCCAGGCTGGAGTGCAATGGCGTGATCTTGGCTCACTGCAACCTCCGTCTCCCAGGTTCAAGTGAGTCTCCTGCCTCAGCCTCCCAAGTAGCTGGGATTACAGGCATGTGCCACCATGCCCGGCTATTTTTTGTATTTTTAGTAGAGACAGGGTTTCACCATGTTGGCCAGGCTGGTCTCGAACTCCTGACTTCAAGTGATTCACCCACCTTGGCCTCCCAAAGTGCTGGGATTACAGGCGTGAGCCACTGCACCCAGCCACCTGTCTCTTAAAAATTTTTATATACATATATATTTATATATATATATGTATGTACGTATATATATATACACACATATATACACACATGCTAGCTCATGCCTGTAATCCCAACACTTTCGGAGACTGAGGCAAGTGGATCACTTAAGTCCAGGAGTTTGAGACCAGTCTGTGCAACATGGCAAAACCCCACCTCCACTGAAAATACAGAAATTAGCCAGGTGTGGTGGCACGCACCTGTAGTCCCTGCTACTCAGGAGCTGAGGTGGGAGGATCGCTTGAGCCCAGAAGGCAGATGCTGCAGTGAGCTGAGACTGCACCACTACACTACAGCCTGGGCAACAGAGCGAGACCCTGTCCCAAAAATATACACACACACACATCCCCCACACACACACAGGCCGGACACGGTGGCTCACGCCTGTAGTCCCAACAGTTTAGGAGGCCAAGGCAGGAAGACTGCTTGAGCCCAAGAGTTCAAGACCACCCTGGGCAACAGAGAGACCCAGTCTCTAAAAACTAAATACACACACACACACACACACACACACACACACACACACACCTAGACACATACACAGAAAAGGTCTAGAAAATACGGAAAGGAGCACAAGAGACACATAGGACATGATAAAAGCCTAATGTATATCACACCATTGCACTCCAACTTGGGCAACAATAGCGAAACTCCATCTCAAAAAAAAAAAAAATGCCTAATGTACACAAAAATGGAGGCCCTCTGAGTGAAGATGAGTGGAAAATAGGAATATTTATAGAGAGAAGAGCCAAAACTTCCAAAATTGATTAGGAACCAGGCCACCAATACAACAAATACCAAGTTTTGCTAATGCCTGAAGCAAAGAAAATGTTACAAGCCACCAGAGGCAGCTTCAAATCCTGGTGTGAGGAATGAGTAGATGGTGAGATCTTGCTGTGTGTCTGATTAGTCCTTTCTCTGCCTTGCCTGTTTGAGCTTCAGCAGAATTGAAAATGGCTGGCAGTAAGGCTGGGAAGGACTCCAGAAAGGCCAACAAAGGCAGCTTCCCACTCACAAGAGAGCCAATTTGCAGTTCCTGGTGGGCCGTATTCACTGACACCTGAAATCTAGGACAATCAGTCCTGGACGTGTGGGCGCGACTGCCGCTGTGAATAGCACAGCCATCCTGGAGTACCTCACCGCAGAGGTACTTGAACTGGCAAGAAATGCGTCAAAAGACTTCACAGTAAAGCATACTACCCCTCATTACTTGCAACTTGCCATTCGTGGAGATAAAGAATTGGGCTCTCTCTTCAAGTCTACAATTGCTGGTAAAGGTGTCATTCCACACATCCACAAATCTCTAATTGGGAAGAAAGGACAACAGCAGACTGTCTAAAGGCTGCCTGGATTCCTTATTATCTCAGGACCCTAAACACTCTACCAGCTGTCCAGTGTGGCTGATTCCAGTGAACTATATCTCTGTGAAAAACACAATTCTGCCTTTCTGTAATTCTACTTGAGCAAGTTGGAAGTTTAATTAGCTTTCCAACCAACAAATTTCTACATTCAAGTCTTAACCATATTTGTTACTGTGGCTTCAAAGAAGCTATTGATTCTGAAGTAGTGGGTTTTGATTGAGTTGACTGTTTTCAAAAAACTGTTTGGATTTTAATTGTGATGGAGAGTTATAGTAACAAACATTTGGTTTTGCACAAACATTATTTCCACTCTGGTGGATAAACTCAGTAAAAGTCATATCCTCTCCAAAAAATAAAAATAAAAAGCAACCAGAGGGGAAAATAAAAAGAAGTATTACTTCAAATGGGACAACAATAACACCAAAAGCTGACTTGTCAAGAAAAAGGAAGCGAGCTAAAAAAACAATGAATTCGCTGCTACAAAATGGTGCAAGGAAATGACCACGATCCCAGTATTCTATACCCAGCAAAATCATCCTTCAAAACTGAAGGCAAATTGGGCACAGTGGCTCACACCTGTAATCCCAGCAGTTTGGGAGGCTGAGGCAGGCAGCTGCTTGAGCCAATGAGTTTGACCCCAGCCTGGCAAACATGGTGAAACATCACATTTAAAAAAAAAAAGGCCAGGCATGGTGGCTCACGCCTGTAATCCCAGCACTTTGGGAGGCTGACGAGGGCAGATCACCAGGTCAACAGATAGAGACCATCCTGGCCAACATGGTGAAACACCTTCTCTACTAAAAATACAAAAATTAGCTGGGCGTGGTGGCACGTGCTTGTAGTTCCAGCTACTCGGGCGGCTGAGGCAGGAGAATTGCTTGAACCCGGGAGGCGGTGGTTGCAGTGAGCCAAGATCACATCACTGCACTCCAGACCGGCGACAGAGCGAGACTCCATCTTAAAAAACAAAACAAAACAAAACAAAACAAAAACTAAAGGCAAAATAGAAAATTTTCAGGCAAACAAAAATGACAATTCATTATCCACAGATATGAACTCAAAGAAATACCGTAGAAAGTTCTTCAGGGAAAAGAAATATAGGCTGGGCGCAGTGGCTCACATCTGTAATCCCAGCACTTTGGAGGCTGAAGCAGGCAGATCACTTGAGGTCAGGAGCTTGAGACCAGCCTGGCCAACATGGTGAAACCCAGTCTCTACTAAAAATACAACAATTAGCCGGATGTGGTGGCATATGCCTATAGTCCCAGCTACTCAGAAGGCTGAGGCAAGAAAATCGCTCAAACATGGGAGATGGAGGTTGCAGTGCGCCAAGATCGTGCCACTGCACTTCAGCCTGGGCAACAGAGCGAGACTCTGTCTCAAAAAAGAAAAAAAGAAAAAAAAAAAACAAGAAATATAATCCCCGGCAGAAACATGAAACAACAATAAAGAATGAAGAGCAACAAAAATGGTAACTAAGAGGATAAATCTAAATAAACATTAACTGTACAAAATAATTATGATACTGCAAAAGTATATCTAAAATTAAAGTACATAAACTTGTAAGATGCAGCTAAAAGCGTGTAGTGGCTCACGCCTGGATCCCATTGTTTTGGGAGGCTAAGGGGGGAGGATCACCTGAGGCCAGGAGTTGAAGACCAGCTGGGGCAATACAGCAAGACGCTGTCTCTATTTTTAAAAATAAATATAAATTAAACTGAAATATATAAAACAATGACACAAAAGGTAGGAGGGAGTTAAATCCAGTTCAAGTATCTAAGGACTTGACCCTGGGAGACACAATGAGACTGTGCCTGGAAAAAAAAAAATATATATATATATATATATATATCTCAATCAAACAAAAAAAAAGCAAAAAAAAAAAAGTAGAAATTAATGCAATAGAAAACAAATGTAAGTAGAAAAAAATGTAAAGCCGAAAGTTGGTCCCTTAAAAGAACTTACAAAATTGACAAACCCCCAACAAGACTGATTAAGAGATAATATATGAATTACTGATATCAAGAATTATTAAAAGGGAACATCACTACAGATCTTGCAGATAATAAGGATTACAAACCACTTTAAACTTACAAATTGGAAAGTCTGGGTGGCCTGAACAAATCTCTAGCGGGGAAAAATGCTTTATCTAAATAGACACATGAAGAAATATTCAAAATCCTACATCTACCTATAAAATTAATTCTAAAATTTTTCCTTCTCACAAGGAAAACCCTGTACCAGCTGGTTTTGCCAAAGAATTATTTCAAACATTTAAGGAAGAAAACACAAATTTCGTAGGAACTCTTCTAGGGAGTAGAAAAAGAAGGAATACATTCCACCTTGTTTTAAGAAACCAGCATAACCTTGATACCAAATCCCAACAAGGGTACTGAAGGAAACTGAAATTATAAGTCAATCTTTCTCGTGAATATAAATGCAATAATCCTAAACAAAATACTACCAAATATAATCCAGTAAAAGGAGAATACATCAAGATCAGGTTGGAATTATTCTACAATTGTAAATTTTTTTTAAAAGGGAGGTGCTCTTTCTCAGGAGCTCCTGAAGTTGCTTCCCCAGGCTACAAACAATATGCAATTAAAAAAAAAAAAAAAAGCAAGGCGCAGTGGCGTGCGTCTATAATTCCAACTACTTGAGAGGCTGAGGTGGGAAGATCACTTTAGCCCAGGAGTTCAAGGCTACAGCGAGCTATGATGGTGCCACTGCACTCCGGGCTGGGTAATGGAGCAAGACCCCATCTCAAAAATAAACAAACAAAAACAGTTAAATTCCCACATAACAGAAAAATCACATGACTGTCTCAAAAGATGCAGAAAATCCATGTTAAGAAATTTAATACCTGCTCATGGTTTTTAAAAAACTCTTGGCAAACTAAGAAGAGGAGAATTTTTACATTTTGATAAAGAATATCTACAGGGCCAGGTGTGGTGGCTCACAGTGGTAATCCCAGCACTTTGGGAGACCAAGGTGAGAGGATCGCTTGACACCAGGAGTTGGAGACTAGTCTGGGCAACCGAGTGAGTACCCTTTTCTTAAATTACCAGATCTCAAGACAGACTATATCTATGGGAATTTAGACATTGTGCTATTTGTGCAAAGATGACAAAAAGATCAAAGGAGCAGAAGAGAGTCCAGAAACAGACCCACACACTTACAGTCACTGGACTGAGATGACACTGCATGTAGTACACTGGGGAAAGAATAGTCTTTTAAGAAATTATGCAAGGTCAACTAGATATCCATTTAAAAAAAGAAAGAGAGACTCTTGGCCCCATCGCATACCATAAACAAAGTCAATTTCAGATGGAAGATTAAAAAATAGTTTTTAGAAGACAATGTAGAATATCTCATGAACTTGACCAAGCAAATTTCTTAAACAGGACACAAAGAGCATTAAACATTACTGAAAAGATGGATCAACTGGGCTACATTAAAAATTTTACACTTCTATGTATCAAAAGATACAACTGAGAGAGTGAAAAGGCAAACACAAGAGTCTAAAAACAATCTGTCATGCACATATGTACTCAGAATATAGAGAAAACTCCTTCAAATCAGTAAAAAACAAAACAGACAACCCAATCAACAGATGGGCAAAAGATAACCGTTTCACAAAAGACATCCAGGTGGCCAGTGAACACAGGTAGAGATGCTTTACCTCTGCATGTTCCTGGCCATCAGGGAGCAGCAAATTCAGACCATACTGAGCCACCTACCAGCTAACAGCCACCAGAACAGCTAAAATGTAAAGACCCAACAATACCAAGTGCTGAAGAGCATAGGAGCAACTGACTTCTCATACATTGCTGGGGTAGTACAAACTGTCACAACCACCACTTTTGGCACTCTCTACTGAGGCTGAACAAATGCACACACCATCATTTGCATTCCACTTCTTTGTAGAAATCCAACAGAAGTGTACACATATCCTCCGGCCTGGGCAACATGGTAAAACCCCACCTCTACAAAAAATACAAAAATTAGCGGAGGGTGGTGATGCGTGCCTGTATTCCCAGCTACTTGGGAGGCTGAGGCAGGAGAATCGCTTCAACCTGGGAGGTGGAGGCTACAGTGAGCCGAGATCATGCCACTGCACTCCAGCCTGGGCAACAGAGTGAGACCCTATCTCAAAAAAAAAAAAGTTTATAGACATCTGCACCAAAAAACAAACAATATTAGGGGAGCACGTGTAAAAACTGGAAACAACCCCAAATGTCTGTGAGCAGTAGAAAGAATAAGTTCTGTCTGTTCGTGCACGGGATGACCAGAGAGCAGGTGAGAATGAGCAAGCTGCATCTCACAAACATGATGCTGACGACAGAATGAAGAAGCAAAACATACAGATTATTTTACTTCACTTAAACAAAGTCAAGAACAGGCAAAAGTAATCAATGGTGAAAGGTCAAGACCTTGGTTAGCTCTGGGGGACAACTACTGGGAATAGTTAGGAGGGGACTTCTAGGAAGCCTGATAATGTTCCATTTCTTGATCTGGGTGGTGGTATGCAAGTGTGTTAACTTTGTGAAAAGTCCACTGAGATGTATACTTACGATTTGTGAATTTTTCTGCTGTATGCTATAGTTATGTATATTTTTAAGTACACTCTAACTTGCCTCCACAATGTGCCAGGAGCACAAATGCACTTCCTGGACTCATTATCTGGTCACACTACCAGCCACCAAAGATGAACCAGATGCCAGGAAAGGGAAGGGTCCAAAACAAGTTTACTTAATAGTTTCCATTTTTGAAAGGCTGGAATCAGGTGCTCAGGTGGTAACGTGAACCGTTGGCATCATCATGTTATCCACTGAACTAGGCATTCCCAGGCTGCTACACTGAGCAGTGCCAGAAACAAATCACTGAGCAACCATGTCACCAGTGTGTGTGACAACCTCCACAGCCTGCGACTAACTGTACAAAACTCCTGTCACTTCCCTGACATGTCTTGTGTGCCCATTCTTTCCAAAACCTACCTTATTAAGTATATTAGTATTTGATATACACTTCAATACGTGTACCTTAAATTACAAATACAATAAAATCCTGGTAAAACATAAATTGGCTACTTCTTTTAAAATTGTAGTAATAAAATTCAACATAAATAAACTTGGTAATTTATAAGATTGAAATAAGAAAAATCTTAATGATTCTTTAATCCAACAAAAAAGGAACATAGAGCGCTAACGTCAAATTATTGTTGCTAAAAAGGAAACCCACGTTTGGCTTATCAATCTTTCAGGAGAACTGACTACAGCCAAGAAACACATTAAGGCTAGTACTTATTCATTTACTAATTTATCACTGCAGACCCATCATGCGAGTATAAATGTGTGCTTATGCGGGTCTACCTGAATGCACCCCAAAGGCACTTATGATGAGTAACGTGGCGCCTAGACAGCTCTGAAACACATAAATAACCCACTTCTCTCCCACTATGCCCCGTGCCACTCACCTTACACTCTTCTAGTTTTTACTTTCTCCCTTTACCTACCATTAAGTAAATCCTCATTCAACTCCATGAGCAAAGTCTTTCAAACACTGGTCCAAATGTAACATACTCAGAGAAACAATTTCAGTTGTTCTAAGCTTTAAAAATCTTTTTTTTTTTTGAGACAGGCTGGAGAGCAGTGGTGCAATCTTGGCTCACTGCAACCTCCACCTCCCGGGTTCAAGTGATTCTCATGCCTCAGCCTCTGAGTAGCTGGGACTACAGATGCGCGCTACCACGCTCTGCTAATTTTTGTATTTTTGGTAGAGACAGGGTTTTGCCATGTTGGCCAGGCTGGTCTCAAACTCCTGACCTCAGGTGATCCGCCTGCCTCAGCCTCCCAGAGTGCTGGGATTACAGGCATGAGCCACCACACCCGGCCTAAGCTTTAAAATTCTCATCTGCCAAGGAAAAAGTTCCTAAGGAATCAATCTCGAGTCTTCTATCCCCTAAAACAAATGTGACTTACAAAACCTAGATGTTCTGATAAAGGTGGGCTATCAAAATAATTTTTTTTTTCCGTGAAATCAATCCTATTTGTCTATTAAATTACATTAGGAAATTAGAAATACATGAGATAATCCATGGGAAGTACAAGTTTAGCCAGAAAAGGCTTAAGACAACAGAATGGAGGCACCAAATAGATTGGTTGCTTCAGAGCCCTTTTTCAAAAACTCTGGAGAACTTCCTGAACCTAGGCAGTTCCCAAAGATAGGAATGAAAATAATGAGGTATTTTCACATGACTTTAGAGTACAACGATTTGTTCTCCCTAAGAAGTTTAATCCCTAGGAACTTTGTATTTGACTTACAAACACCAGAAACTATCATTTCACAAATCGTTACGGAAAATACTCATCTGAAACATTAACAAAAGATGACACTAATAAAAAAACATTTAGTGGAGAAAAATCTATAGTTTCAGGTTAAAAGCACTCATACCTGTGGAAGTGCCGTGTTGAGCTGTCTCTGCAAGGAATCTCTTTCATGACCAACCTCGTGTAACTTCCCCTGGGTTAAGGCCAGCGTTTCTTGAGTCTCTCTCAGTGTATCAAGAAGGCGGTCCCTTTCTTCTAGCATGGAGACCATCAACTGTTCAAAATGTGAATCTGCATCTGGCTGTGAAGGGGAGCCGGAACCATGGCCTCCACCTCCTCCAGGGGGGCCTTCTGCTTCGCTGATGGTCGGCATCACCTCGCACATCATCTTGAAATGAAAGACCCAGGCTACAGTAATTAAGCTCAGAATACAGGTTCCCACAAATATGCAACTTTACAGGTATCTGTAGCTAAAAAGATGGGCAGTCTCATTATGCTCAGATCTGTTATGCTTTGTGTGTAAATAAGCTGGGAAAACATACACAGGGCAAATATTAAGTGCAAAAATACACAACATGAAGACATTAACACAGACAAAAATCCAGGGAAGGGGTCAAGATCCCAAAGGACTACCCTCACAAAAAAGGGCAAGCCCTGGGGTAGTCTGTTTGCAAAGCTGTACTTGTTTTTGCTGAAAACAAGTGTGCTTCTGTTACCTATTTTTTTTACTTCCCAGTGGGGTGGGGAGGGTGGGGGGGTAGGGGGGGAGAAAGTCAAAACACATGTCACCCAATCATTTTTCAGGAAAAGCACAGAAGGAGCATACAACCAGCAAAACTGACAAGTACAAAATCCATCAGGCATCTTGCAGGAATGTGTGCAGTCAGCTCCCGGGAAGAACTGACGGCTCCCTGAATTCTTGGGCTGGATTTGGTGAGCACTAAAAGGAACCGGATTCGTTAAACGCTGGTAGAAGTGTTTTCCAATGGCTGCAACGGTTGGTCAACCTAACTTACGTAAGTTTACAACCGAAAAAAAAAATCCACAATGGAAATATAGCAGGTCGATACAGCCGGGGGCGGCTAGGAAAGAGGGAAAAGTGAAAGGTGAGATTACGAGAGTCTATTAAGTGTCTGGGATATAAAGACAGCGCCAGGGAAAGGGGAAGTCGCTTCTGAGCCTTTCGGGCAGTACTGGGGGCGCGGTGGACCCCTGAGAGGGGGATGCCCCAGACGGCGCACCTGATGGGGATGGTGACCTCCAGCCTGCTCGAGCCGCACTCCTCCCCTCCTGTATCAGGTGCGGCGGAAGCCCCGAACCCCGGGGGGTGAGGACCGTTGACAACGGAGCCCGCTCGGGCCAGGGCTTTCAGCGGCCACAGGTCCCCGCCCCTCGCCCCAGCGCCCGGGTCACGGGGCGCGGGGCTCGGGGAGGGGCAGCGCGCAGTCCCCGGAGCCGTCCCTTGGGGCGCGGGTGTCCCGCCGGAGCTCTCCCAGCGCGACCCGGCGCCGCGGCCTCGCCCCCACCCGTCCCGGAGCGCACCCTTCCCCGCGGAGACATCTAATCGGCTGCGTGGCCGCCGCGGAGACCGGGACGCGCCGGTGACGCCTGGGCCCCGAGCCTGCCTCAGTGTCCCGCTCCCTTACCTTGCTCGCCGGCGGGAGCGGGCGAGGAGGCTCCGCGGCGGCTCGCGGGCGGCTGCTCGCTCCGGGAGAGCTTGGGAGCCGACGAAAGCAGCCCGCGGCCGGCGTCCGCCTGCCCGCCCCACGCCGCGGCCCCGGGGCCCGCCGCCCCAGTCACTAAGGCCGGCCCGCGGCCGGACACTGGCGGAGCGGAGGAGGAGCGGGCCCGGCTGCGCGGCGCCGGCGTCTACGTGCCCGACGTCGAGCGCGTCGGCGCGAGCGTCAGCACCGCCCCGGGGGCGGGGCCCGAGGAGCACCTTGGCCCGAGTACGCAAGCGCTGTCTCCTCAGGAGGGGGCGGGAGGCGGCCCCGGGGCACTGATTGGCTGAGCGAGACGGGAGCCACGCCCCCCAGGCCCCGCCCGGGTCGCGGGGGAGGGGGCGGTCTCCGGGATGAGCCACAGGTGGGCGCTCAGGTGCTCGCCGGGTCAGCGTCTTCCTCCGGGCGTCCCCAGTTTCCCCCCACGGCTGCAGGGACGCCGGAGGCCTTTGCTGAGTGTCTACCGCGCCTCGAGTTCTGAGCTGGACGCGTCCGGCACGTCAGGTCCCTCCCGAGCTGGAGGCTCTGGATTCGCACCTTGCAGAAGAGCGAACCGAGGCTTCAGTCACCACCGAGGACCCAGACCCCGCCCGCCGCGGCGCCCCTACGGTCTCCCTGGGCCTGATCTGGGTTCAGAAGGACGGAGTTCCCGCCAGGACCCACTTACGGAGCGCTGCCTGCCGCACCTGGGGACGTCCCGGCGCAGCGTCCAGAGTGCAGGCTTTGCCGCTGTGGCTTTCACTCTGCAGCGTGGGCCCGGGCGACTCGGGAAACCCGCCTGGGCTTCAGCGCCTCCGATGTAGGATGGGAAAATGATGCAGACCTACCTGCGAGGCTGCTTTAAGACATGAATCAGATGTGAAGAGCGACTAGTTGAGAGCCTGACGGGCAGCACTGCGCGAGTCTTGGTCATTTCATCTTTTCCGCAAGTTTTTTTTTTTTTCCAGACGTTGTTTCACTCTTGTCACCCAGGCTGGAGTGCAATGGCGCCATCTCGGCTCACTGCAACCTCTGCCTCCCGGGTTCAAGTGATTCTCCTGCCTCAACCTCCCGTGTAGCTGGGATTACAGGCGCACGCCACCAAGTCCAGATAATTTTGTATTTTTAGTAGAGACGGGATTTCTACATGTTGGTCGAGCTGGTCTCGAACTCCTGACCTCAGGTGGTCTGCCCGCCTCAGCCTCCCAAAGTGTTGGGATTACAGGCGTGAGCCACTGCGCCCGGCCTCAGCAAGAATTTTTAAACATCTACTATGGGCCAAGTCTTGTGCTAGATGTTGCAGATACGGAGATGAATAGAGACACCTCTAATTAATTAAAGCGGATGCCCTCCCCACTCCTCCCAGGATTTGACTCGGAGCACAAACTCTTCACAAACCAAAATGTCAGGACACCATCGCCAGTGTCCACTGGCCACTGCTGTTGGTGTGAGGCAGCCAGGAGCCCCTCAGAACTAGTAAGTCTGAGAAGAGGCTGCACGGGGCCTAGGAGAGGGAGAAATGAGCCCGTCCAAGGTGAATTCCTTGATTCTCCATTGTGAGTGCACCAAGAACAAGCACTCCCTCCGACTGACTCTCGCCTACCAGGATCTGGAACACCTTCCATTAATTTATTCGTTCATTCAATAAATATTTATTGACTGACTACACATAGATATGAATATGTACTTTTTGCCCCTAGTTTCTTGCTATTTTAAAAGTGTAAAAATGGCCAGGTGAGGCCGGGTGCGGTGGCTCAAGCCTGTAATCCCAGCACTTTGGGAGACCCAGGTGGGCAGATCACTTGAGGTCAGGAGTTCAAAACCAGCCTGGCCAACATGGTGAAACCCTATCCCTACTAAAAATACAAAAATTAGCCGGGTGTGGTGGCGGGCATCTGTAATCCCAGCTACTCAGGAGGCTGAGGTGGAAGAATAGCTTGAACCTGGGAGGTGGAGGTTGCAATGAGGAGATCATGCCACTGCGCTCCAGGCTGGGAGACAAAGCGAGGCTCTGTCTCAGAAAAAAAAAAAAAAAAAAAACATTGGCCAGGTGCAGTGGCTCACGTCTGTAATCCCAGCACGCTGGGGGGCCAACGTGGGAGGATTGCTTGAGCCTGGGCAATATATCGAGACCCATGTCTATACAAAAAATTAAAAATTAGTCCAGCAAGGTGGGCCACACCTGTAGTCCCAGGTACTTGGGGGATTGAGGTGGGAGGATCGCTTGAGCCTGAGAGGTCGAGGCTGCAGTGAGCTGTGATTGTGCCACTGCATTCCAGCCTGGGTGCCAAAGCGAGACTCTGTCTCAAAAATAATAAAATTGTAAAGTTGATCGCTTAGATGAGGTGTTCTGCAAGTACCCTGTACCTCTCCACACCCCAGCAATTCTGCACAACTCCCAAGTTCCCCTGAACCACTGTCTGAAACCAGCAAATTTCCAGCTCTCCTTAGGGGTACCTGCTTAATGCAGCCAGCTTATGTTTGCACCATGCTCATAAAGTGTCTGTTTTCTAAGAAATCGGCTCAAGGCCGGGCGCAGTGGCTCACGCCTGTAATCCCAGCACTCTGGGAGGCCGAGGTAGGCGGATCACGAGTTCAGGAGATCGAGACCATCCTGGCTAACACAGTGAAACCCTGTCTCTACTAAAAATACAAAAAATTAGCCGGGCGTGGTGGCAGGCGCCTGTAGTCCCAGCTACTCGGGAGGCTGAGGCAGGAGAATGGCGTGAACCCGGGAGACGGAGCTTGCAGCGAGCCGAGATCGCGCCACTGCACTCCAGCCTGGGCAACAAAGCGAGACTCCATCTCAAAAAAAAAAAAAAAAAGAAAAATCGGCTCAAGATCAAAATTTAGTTCGGCAGGGTAGAATGTTCATTCATTTCATGAATATTTGTGCAGCATGTATGAGCCAAGCATGGCTTAGGTCTTGGGAACGCAGAGCTAAGACATCACTTCTAGTATGAGTTCACAGTCTGGAGAAAGAGAAGAAAAACAGACTATTGCAATGTCTGTCCCGTAAACAGTGTGTGACTTGGTGCTGTGGAATCACAGGGAAGGGAGGAACCCGCTCTCCAGCTGGCATCATGGGGGCTTCATAGAGGAGGCAATATCTGAGCTGGGTCTTGAATGATGTGGGATTTTTCCAGCGGAGAAGGGAGACACCCAGTTGGTATAGCTCCAGGAAAATGAGAATTCTGAATTTCATTTTATTTCTTTCTTTTCTTTCTTTTTCCTTCCTTCCTTGCTTCCTTCCTTCCTTCCTTCCTTCCTTCCTCCCTTCCTTCCTTCCTTCCTTCCTTCCTTCCTCTCTCTCTCTCCCTCCCTCCCCTCCCCTTACCCTTCCTTTGTTCTTTTTCTCTCTCTTTTTTTTTTTTTTTTTGAGACAGGGTCTCATGTAGTCACCTAGGCTGGGATATAGTGGTTCGAACACAGTTTACTGCAGCCTCTACCTCCCAGGCCCATCAGTCATCTCACCTCAGCTCCCCAACAAGTAGCTGGGACTACCAGCGCAGACCACCATGCCTGGCTAACTTTTTTGTATTTTTGGTAGAAAAGAGGTTTCACCATGTTGCCCAGGATGGTCTCAAACTCCTGAGCCCAAGCAATCCTCCCACCTCACCCTCCCAAAGTGCTGGAATTACAGGCATGAGCCACCACTCATGGCCCTCATTCATTTTAATTCATTTATTATTTCATTCCCCCAGATCGCAAAATCAGTAAGGGGGAAATCGTAAACAACCTAAATGGCCAAGAAAACAAGATTGGTTAAATTATTGCACTTCCAAATGACAGAAAACTTGGTGACATTCACAGTCATTTTTTTTGAGACTGAATCTTGCCCCGTCGCCCAGGCTGGAGTGCAGTGGGGTGATCTCGGCTCACTGCAGCCTCCGCCTCCTGGGGTTCCAGAGATTCTCCTGCCTCAGCTTCCTGGGTAGCTGGGATTACAGGCACACCTGGCTAATTTTTGTATTTTTAGTAGAGACTGGGTTTCACCATGTTGGACAGGCTGGTTTCGAACTCCTGACCTCAGGTGATCCATCCACCTCAGCCTCCCAAAGTGCTAGGATTACAGGTGTGAGCCACCGCACCTGGCCCACAGTCATATTTTAGATAACTACATATATCATGATTGTGGTGGTAGTTACATTACTATATACGTTTGTCAAATAACTGTACATTAATATGTAGAGTATGCCTTAATTTTTATACATAAACAAAAACTTTTTTAAAAAAGCAAATTCAAACAAGTATACAGAGTGTGAACCCCAATTTGAAAAAGAAAACAGTCTGTGTTTAGATTAAGAATGTATTATGTAAAATTTACCTTGTAGATGAATAACTCTAGAATGTTAAGGTGATACATTTTTAATAAAATGAGTTTTATATGACATGAACTATTCTTGAAATGAGAAATTAAATTTTAAGTTTCAAATTATGAAAGAAAAACATATGTCTACATAAGAAAATATTGTTACTGTAGTCAATTAGTTCTTTATCTTTCCCCACTTCCCGCATATATATATGTATATATTCTTGGAAGGAGATCCATCAGAATGTTCGCGGTGGTTATCTTTAAGTGGGATTGTGGTTGGAAGCTGCATTTCTTTCATTTTGCTAGTCTTTATTTTCTAGATACTTTATCATGAATGTGCGTCATTATTATAATCAATAGGAAAACCTCCAATAAATGTTCATTAAAATTCAATCTGGACAAGTGAGAACCATGGAGAACTGCTTTCAGGAAGCTAACATGACTTTCAGATGGATTTACTCATACCACCCAGCTAAACTACTTCCCAGAAGTATTTATCTGGAAAACATTTCTCAGAGCTTGGGTGACATGCTGTCACCCAAGGCTCTGTCAGGAAAACAGTGAAGATGGAAAATGTTTTCACTCCAGTTCTTCTGTAAAAGACTTGATAAAGAAATTATGATAGAAGGAGTGAGGAGGGAGCAGAGAATTTATCACTACTCCTGGGGTTTCATGTTTGCAAATGTGGCTGCGGTGGAGGTCAGCCAGCCTCTGCTCTCTAGAAGGTGCCTGGATGATGCAGTTAGTTGTCAACCATGAGCATCACTCAGGACACCTCTCCACTCCAGAGATGTAAGCGGCTTAAGAAGGAGGTTCCTGCGGGGATCGTTGTGGTCTGACCTCAATCATAGAGATCAGGATGTGCCCAAATCTACCCAGAACATGTAAAGCCACCTAATGAATGAGTGCTGTGACAACACAGTTCAGGGGGAGGTCTGAGCTGGAGGAGCCCTAGGGCAGTAGATGGTGGAGGATGTGGTCGTTCCTTTAAGAGAAGGGAGCTGAAACCCAGAGATGCAAAACAGATTTCCCTGTAGACACTCAGAGAGTTTGGGGCAGAGCTGGAGGTGGAGCCTTGAGTGAACCCAGGGCTCTCAATTCCCCGTCCTGTCCCCACGTCGTTGTGATCAAGGAGTGGCCTCTTTAAGGAACAACTGAAGAGAAAACATTTTACCAGTTGGTCTGCAGTGCAGCCGAAATAATTCAATTCCCAGGGCCAAGAGCTACCATTTTACTTATTCATCTCATTTCATTCTTTTTTTTTTCCGAGATGAAGTCTCACTCTGTCGCCCAGGATGGAATGCAGTGGCACGATCTCAGCTCACTGCAACCTCTGCCTCCCAGGTTCAAATGATTCTCCTGCCTCAGCCTCCTGAGTAGCTGGGATTACAGGCATGCGCCACCACGCCCAGCTAATTTTTGTATCTTTAGTAGAGACAAGGTTTCACCATATTGGTCAGGCTGCTCTCAAACTCCTGACCTCAGATGATCCACCCACCTCGGCCTCCCAAAGTGCTGGGATTACAGGTGTGAGCCACCGCCCCTGGCCACCATTTCATTCTTAAAATAGTTCTCCAGGGCTGGGAGGCGGAGGTTGCAATGAGCCAAGATGGTGCCACTGCACTCCAGCCTGGGCGACAGAGTGAGACTCCATCTCAAAAAAAAAAAAAAAATAGTTCTCCCCATGGCTATGCCTGTATTCTTTCCATTTTGCAGATGAGAAAACTGAGCCCCTAGTGGCCATAAGCTGGGGAGATCATTGGCCTGAGTGTTCTGGTTTCCATGGCAGTTCGATGCCTCATGGTAAACCGATTAATTAAAAATTGGTCCATTGGCCAGGCGCGGTGGCTCACGCCTGTAATCCTAGCACTTCGGGAGGCTGAGGCGGGTGGATCACTTGAGGTCAGGATTTTGAGACCAGACTGGCCAACATGGCATAACACGGTCTCTACAAAAAAAATACAAAAATTAATCAAGCGTGGTAACACTCGCCTGTAATCCCAGTACTTGGGAGGCTGAGAGGCACAAGAATCGCTTGAACCCGGGACGCGGAGGTTGCAGTGAACCGAGATTGTGCTACTGCACTCCAGCCTGGGCGACAGAGTGAGACTTCATCTCTAAAAAAAAAAAAGAAAGAAAATTGGTCCATCAGTGACTATGACTTGGTTTGTTCAGGTCAGTCCGAAGAGCACGGACACGGACACCTCTGGATGAAGTGATAATAAGAAAATTACAGAGCATTTTACAATTTCCAGAGCATTTTACAAAAAATCTTTAACCCATCTAACTCCCCAAATCCTCACAAGTATATCCTGCATCCTTTTACAGTTGAAAATACTGAGACCTAGAAGGATTAGATAACATACCCCACACCCCACAGTTTATGATTTGGTAAAAACAGTGACTTGAGCTCAAAACTCTCTGGCTCCAAAGCCAATGTTCCTGCTGCTACATCAAAAGTTATCTCCAGGCCCCCAAAGCAGGAGTCAAACCCTTCCACCAGGGGTGGGACACCAAGGTACTGAGCCCTGGTCTCTGTATCTGTCTTCCTGATCCATCTTGTCTGAAATCGTCTCCATTGCCCCTATCCCAACGCCAGGTATAGGGAGGTTCCCAATCCTTTGGGCATCTCCTGGCTGCCTGCTTGGACATGAAGACTTTAGTCTCATTCATAATATAATGTATGTGTATAATTATATTTCAAAGGGAAGTCAAGCATTTTGCACCTTGCTTCTCTTGACAACCTCATTGTGTTCATCAAACAGAGCCACCTAATAAAAATGTCCCGCTGTTATAGGGAGAAGAGCCCAGACAGAGGTAGTCCAACTCTCAGAGGTCTCAGCTGCACTCCCAGCTCTTTACCTTGCCCTGGGGCAAGGCACTAACCTCTACTAAGCCTCACTCTCCTCATCTGTCAAATGGGGATAATAACACCCACAGACCACCCTGCGATATTCGCTGAGGAACTCTTACGGCTGGAAATGAGAGTTGACTGCAGCAGCCCCCCCCAGCTGGTCCCCTGCCTGGTCACCGTGCCCTCTTTGAAGACACTCTGCACAGTGGGTGTGGATGCCGACCCTGGAGACAGGTAGCTTGTGTCAGATTTGGCTCTGCTTCTTTGCCGTAGCTGTGTACTCCTAGGTAAGCTGCTTGGCCTCTCTGGGCCAAATGTCCTCATTTGTAAAGCAAAGATGGTAGCACCACCTCATAGGATTGCCGTGAGGGTTGAGTTGGGAAGCGCCATATGAACAGTATTATCACTGGTGGAAGTCTTTTATATTTGCGCCATGCCCGTCCCCACAGCATGAATCAGGCTTGGACCAACTCTGCTAGCATCTTCTTCCCCTTTGCCCCTGACAAGCTAGAGTCCTGTTCTCATCTGTGACACATAAGGGAAAGTGTGCGGAGACTCCTGGGACTTCCCTCTCTGAAGAAAGAGAGAGCAGAAGAAAGCCCCATGGCCTCTGTCCTTGAGGACTGGGACTGGGGACTGTGGCAGCTGCTGTGAGACCATAAGGAAAGATTCTGCCCACTGTGCTTCCAGGAAATTCCTTCCCACCATCTCACAGGAAATCGGTCCCTTTCCCAATCCTGAATAACAAGAAAAATCAGTCAATAAGGCTGAGTACAGTGGCTCATGCCTGTAATCCCAGCACTTTGGGAGGCCAAGGTGAGCGGATCACCTGAGGTCAGGCCTGGCCAACATGGTGAAACCCCGTCTCTACTAAAAATACAAAAAATTAGCCAGGCGTGGTGGCAGTCACCAGTAGTCCCCACTACTCAGGAGGCTGAGGCAGGAGAATCCCTTGAACCTGGGAGGCAGAGGTTGCAGTGAGCCGAGATCACGCCATTGCACTGTAGCCAGGCAACAAAAGCAAAACTTCATCTCAAAAAAAAAAAAAAAAAAAAAAAAAAAAAGCAAGCCCGGGCGCGGTGGCTCACGCCTGTAATCCCAGCACTTTGGGAGGCCGAGGCGGGCGGATCACGAGGTCAGGAGATCGAGACCATCCTGGCTAACACGGTGAAACCCTGTCTCTACTAAAAATACAAAAAATTAGCCGGGCAAGGTGGCAGGTGCCTGTAGTCCCAGCTACTCAGGAGGCCAAGGCAGGAGAATGGCGTGAACCCCGGGGGGTGGAGCCTGCAGTGAGCCGAGATCGCACCACTGCACTCCAGCCTGGGCGACAGAGTGAGACTCGGTCTCAAAAAAAAAAAAAAAAAAAATCAGTTGATAGATGGGAAAAAAAGGGAAGAGTAGGATTCCCACAGGAGAAACAAACTTAACATAGAGGGAGGTTACCAGCTCTAAGGAATGCACTGATGTCAAGCCAAAAGCTAGGGCAGGGCTGGGCATGGTGGCTTATGCCTGTAATCCCAGCACTTTGGGAGGCCGAGGCAGGCGGATAAGGAGGTCAGCAGTTTGAGACCAGCCTGGCCAACATGGTGAAACCCCGTTTCTACTAAAAATACAAAAAATTAACCAGGTGTGGTGGCAGGCACCTATAATCCCAGCTACTCAGGAGGCTGAGGCAGGAGAATCACTTGAACCCAGGAGGCGGAGGTTGCAGTGAGCCGAGATAGCGCCATTGCACTCCAGCCCGGGCGACACTGCAAGACTCCGTCTCAAAAAAAAAAGCTAGGGCAGGCTGGGCACAGTGGCTCATGCTTATTATCTCAGTACTTTGGGAGGCTGAGACGGGTGGATCACCTGAGGTCAGGAGTTCGAGATCAGCCTGGTCAACATGCCCCGTCTCTACAAAAAATACAAAAAATAGCCTGGTGTGATGGCACATGCCTGTAATCCCAGCTACTTGGGAGGCTGAGGCAGGAGAATCACTTGAACCCAGAAGGCAGAGATTGCAGCGAACTGAAATCACACCACTGCGCTCCAGCCTGGGCAACAGAGCAAGACTCTGTCTCAAAAAAAAAAAAAAAAAAAAAAAAAAAAAAAAAAAAAAAAAAAAAAAAAAAAACAGAAGAAGTAATCATGCCACTGCACTCTGGTCTGGGCAATAGAGTGAGACCCCGTCTCCAAAAAAAAAAAAGCTAGAGTAGGAAGCGCTGACACGTGGAGCTGAAGGTTAAGGTCAACATTCCAACATTCCTAGAACTGGGACAGAAGTATGTGGGAGAGAACCAGTCCATCTTGCCTGTGGCTGTGCCCTGTTGTGTATGCCTGCCCTGGCCCCTGCCTCTGCCAAATGGTGAGTTATTCTTGAAAATAAATGTTGTTGAGTTTACACACATAGTGTATTTTATCCAAATCCTATGAGTGGTATTCTAAGAAATAAGCAGCTAAGTCCTCAAACCGGCAACTTCAACGTGTGATTTTGAATATTAGCACTGTGAACCTTGCTAACAGATCTCAATGTTCGTGTTATTTGAATCCTACCCAGTGTATTTGCTGGCATTCCAGAGTCTGAGTATTCACTGTGGGCTATAGTTTTTTTGTGAAGCAGATGAAATAGTTTCACCATTAAAAAAGTAATCTGGGCCAGGTGCAGTGGCTCATGCTTGTAATTCCAGCACTTTGGGAGGCCAAGGCGGGCGGATGGCTTGAGCCCAGGAGTTTGAGACCAGCCTGAGCAACATGGTGAAACCCCATCTCTACTAAAAATACAAAAACATAGCTGGGTGTGGTGGGTGCACGCTTGTAGTCCCAGCTACTCAGGAGGCCGAGGTGGGAGGATCACCTGAGCCCAGGAGGTTGTGCCTGCAGTGAGTGGTGATCGTGCCACTGCACTCCAGCCTGGCTGACAGAGTGAGATCCTGTCTCAGAAAAAATAAAATTAAAAAAAAAATAAAAAGTAACCTTACGGATGAGTATCAAAGGCATTATGCCCAGTGAACTAAGTCAAGCACAAAGGGTAAACACCGTGTGATTCCACTTACCTGAGGTCCCAGAGTAGTCAAATCCATAAAGACAGACAGTAGAATGGTGCATGCCAGGGGCTGGGGGAAGGGAAATGGGGAGATACTATTTAATGGGCACAGAGTTCCAGTTTTGCAAGATGAAAAATTCTGGAGACTGCCGGGCGCAGTGGCTCATGCCTGTGATCCCAGCACTTTGGGAGGCCTAGGCGGGTGGATCACCTGAGGTCAGGAGTTCGAGACCAGCCTGACCAACATAAAGAAACCCTGTCTCTCCTAAAAATACAAAATTAGCCAGGCGTGGTGGCGCATGCCTGTAATCCCAGCTACCCGGGAGGCTGAGGCAAGAGAATCGCTTGAACCCAGAAGGCAGAGGTTGCGGTGACCCGAGTCTTACCATTGCACTCCAGCCTAGGTGACAGAGTGAAACTCCATCTCAAAAAAAAAAAAGAAAAGAAAAGAAAAGAAAAATCCTGGAGATGGATGGTGGTGATGGTTGCACGCAGTGAAACACTGAGAAAGTACTTAATGCCACTGCACTGTGCACTCAGAAGTGGTTAAGATGGTAAATTTTGTGTTATGTGTATTTTACCACAAAATTAAAAAACAAAAAACAAACAAAAAATCTCTATCGGTGAGGGCAACATAGTGAGACCCTGTTTTACAAAAAAATTTAAAAACGAAGGCCAGGTGTGGTGGCTCACGCTTATAATCCCAGCACTAATGGAGGCCGAAGTGAGTGGATTACTTGAGGTCAGGAGTTCAAGACCAGCCTGGCCAACATGGCCAAACTCCTTCTCTACTATAAATACAAAAATTAGCTGGGTGTGGTGGTGCACACCTATAATTCCAGCTACTCGGGAGGTTGAGGCAGGAGAATGGCGTGCACCCAGGAGGCAGAGCTTGCAGTGAGCCGAGATGGCGCCACTGCACTCCAGCCTGGGCGACAGAGCAAGACTCTGTCTCAAAATAAATAAATAAATAAATAAAAATAATAAAAAATGAGGCCAGGTGTGGTGGCTTACACCTGTAATCCCAGCACTTTGGGAGGCCAAGGTGGGCAGATCACCTGAGGTCAGGAGTTCAAGACCAGCCCGGCTAATATATGGCAAAACCCCATCTCTACTAAAAATACAAAAATCAGCCAGGCATGGTGACAAGTGTCTGTGATCCCAGCTATTAGGGAGCCTGAGGCAGGAAAATTGCTTGAACCCAGGAGGTGGAGGTTGCAGCAAGCCGAGATTGCACCACTGCACTCCAGCCTGGGTGACAGAACGAGACTTCATCTCAAAAAAAAAAAAAAAAAAAAAATGAGCTGAGCATGGTGGCATGAGCCTATAGTCCCAGCCACTCTAGAGACTGAGGTGGGAGGATCACTTGAGCCTAGGAGCCTGAGGTTGCAGTGACCTGTGATTGCACCACTGCCCTCCAGCCTGGGTGACAAAGCAAGACCTTGTCTCAAACAAACAACCCTATACTCTTCCTGTTGCCCAACTTGAGGATGCTTTTGGGCACAGTCCTAAGAAATTTTTCCACAACTGGAATATTTATGATGAAACAAAGATCAAGATTATGAGATAGGACAATTAAGCTTTTAAATGTTGGATATTTGTGGAATTATTCTAAGATTTTAAAAATTAATTTGACATTTATTGTTTACTAATATTCTTTTCTTTTAATTTTTTTATTATCAAATATCTGTATCAGATGGAGGTTTTTTATGTTATTAAAATATGTAATACTGGCTGGGCGCAGTGGCTCATGCCTGTAATCCCAGCACTTTGGGAGGCCAAGGCGGGCAGATCTCTTGAGGCCGGGAGTTGAACACCAGCCTGGCCAACATAGTGAAAACCTGACTTTACTAAAAATACAAAAATTAGCCAGGAGTGGTGGTGCATTACTGTAGTCCCAGCTATTTCAGAGGCTGAGGCAGGAGAATCATTTGAACTCAGGAGGCAGAGGTTGCAGTGAGCCGAGAACATGCCACTACATTCCAGCCTGGAGACTCTGTCTCAAAAAAAAAAAAAAACAATATTGTCAAAATATATTGGTTTATAATAAGAACCATGCACTTCAGATTTTTAAAAATTTTTTTACAGAAAACCTCTGAACCTGCTTATTATGGTCACCCATTCTTTACAAGCAAGTAAACACAATGTTTTTAATAAATACAAAATAACTTAGGGTTTGGGGAATTCTGATATCTCATGCCCATATCTTTTTTTTTTTCCACATCTGCAAAAGATTTATTTTTTAAAGAAATGGATTCTGAGACAAAACAACATGGGGCAGAAGTATGGAATCGAAAATTGGGCTGGGCACGGTTGCTCACGCCTATAATCCCACCACTTTGGGAGGCCAAGGCGGGTGGATCACCTGAGGTCAGGAGCTTGAGACCAGCCTGGCCAACATGGTGAAACCTATCTCTACTAAAAATACAAAAATTACCCAGGCGTGGTGGCGCGTGCCTGTAATCCCAGCTACTCGGGAGTCTGAGGCAGGAGAATTGCTTGAACCCAGGAGGCAGAGGTTGCAGTGAGCCAAGATCATGCCACTGCACTCCAGCTTGGGGAACAGAGTGAGACTTCATCTCAAAAATAAATAAATAAATAAATAAATAAATAAAATAAAATAAAATAAATATGAATGTAAGCTGTTTCGCTAATTTTTTTGTGTGTTTTTTTTTTTGTTTTGTTTTTTGACACAGAGTCTTGCTCTGTCACCCAGGCTGGAGTCAGTGGCGCGATCTCAGCTCACTGCAACCTCCGCCTCCTGGGTTCAAGTGATTCTCCTGCCTCAGTCTCCAGAGTAGCTGGGACTACAGGTGCACGCCACCACGCCCGGCTAATTTT
Source organism: Homo sapiens (assembly GCF_000001405.40). Taxonomy (NCBI): domain Eukaryota; kingdom Metazoa; phylum Chordata; class Mammalia; order Primates; family Hominidae; genus Homo; species Homo sapiens. The sequence goes on along the minus strand of NC_000011.10, from coordinate 70,257,822 downwards.
TGTATCTTTAGTAGAGATTGGGTTTCACCATGTTGGCCAGGATGGTCTCAATCTTTTGACCTTGTGATCTGCCCGCCTCGGCCTCCCAAGGTGCTGGGATTACAGGCATGAGCCACCGTGCCTGGCCCACTAATTGTTTTATAACCACAACCAACTAGTACGAAGAATGCCCTGAACAAAACACAGTCAAGGGGCTGGGTGCGGTGGCTCATGCCTGTAATCCCAGCACTTTGGGAGGCTGAGGCAGGCGGATCACTAGATCAAGAGATCGAGACCATCCTGGCCAACATGGTGAAACCCCATCTCTACTAAAAACACAAAACTTAGCCAGGCATGGTGGAGCGCGCCTGGTCCCAGCTACTTGGGAGGCTGAGGCAGGAGAATCACTTGAACCCGGGAGGCAGAGATTGCAGTGAGCCAAGATTGCGCCACTGCACTCCAGCCCAGCAACAGAGCAAAACTCCATCTCAGAGCAAAACTCCGTCTCAAAAACAAACAAACAAACAAACAAAAAAACAACAACAAAAAACCCAACAACACAGTCAAGACTCAAAGATCAAGGTGTTCCCTTAGTACAACCTGGCATTTAGAATTCAGGCTGTGTCCTTGTTTTTGAATGACATTCTCGAGTCTTGAAGATTAATATCTGTTGGGAATTTGGAAACCGTGTCTGCTAATGTGCTAAGGAAAGACTACTGGAAGGCTTGTGCCCACTGGGAGCTGCCCCCTAGCAGGCTTGTTAAGTGAATAGTAAACACCTGTGTCTGTGTTGGGCACCTTCTGTTAGTTGAGTGTTTGATGCTGTAGGCAATAGCATAGCAGTACAACCACAAAAGCTCTTTCCTTTCTTCCTAGCAGTTTCTTTCTTTCTTTCTTTTTTTTTTTTGGTAGAGAGAGATTGGGAGTGGGGACAAGGAACAGGGAGAGTGGTGGTGGTGGGGGCCTCACTATGTTGCCCAGACTGATCTCGAACTCAAGCGATCCTCCCACCTTAGCCTCCCAAAGTGCTGAGATTACAGGTATGAGCCATTGTGCCCAACAAGTGATGCTTTTTCTTTTTATTTATTTAATACCAGCTAACTTGACAGATGAGACACTTCTTAAAATACCTTTTTTTTTTTTTGAGACGGAGTTTTGCTCTTTCACCCAGGCTGGAGTGAAGCGGCGCGATCTCGGCTCACTGCAACCTCCGCACCCCCCACCCCCACACTCCTGGGTTCAAGTGATTCTCCTGCCTCAGCCTCCCAAGTAGCTGGGATTAGAGGCGTCCACCACCACACCCAGCTAATTTTTGTATTTTTAGTAGAGATGGGGTTTCGCCATGTTGACCACGCTGGTCTCGAACTCCTGACCTCAGGTGATCCACCCACCTCAGCATCCCAAATTGCGAGGATTACAGGCGTGAGCCACAGTTCCTGTCTTCTTTTTTCTTTTTTAAATGTTTTTTTATATATTTTTTTTTTTTGAGATGGCTCACTCTGTTGTACAGGCTGGAGTGCAATGGCATGATCACAACTCACTGCAGCCTTGGCCTCCTGGACTCAAGGGATCCTCCCTCCTCAACCTCCCGAGTAGCTAGGACTAACGGCATGTGCCACTGGGCTGGGCTTATTTTTTTTTATTTTTTGTAGAGATGGGGTCTCCCTATGTGGCCCAGGCTGGTTTTGAACTCCTGGGCTCAAGGGATCTTCCTACTTCAACCTCCCTAAGTGCTGGGATTATAGGCGTGAGCCACCACACCTGGCCAATGACACTTCTTAAAATTACTTTTTTTTTTTTTTTTAGTATGTATAGAGAGGATGTGACAACTGTTAGATGTTGTAATTTTATTCATTCATTCATCCAACAGACATTCTGGTGTGGAGCCACTTTATGCCAGGCACCGGGCCAGGTGCTGAGAGTACATCAATAAATCAAGACATCATAACACACAGTCTTGACGGCTAAACAGATGAAGAAGTAAAAAATATGTAAATCAAGACATCAGAACGCATAGTCTCGGTGGCTAAACAGATGAAGAAGCAAAAAATGTGTAATCTGGTTTGAAAAGTGGTGTGTGCTGCAGGTAGTGACAGCTCTTTAAAGGGGTGCATGTTAATTGGATCTGCGAAATGGAGGCCACAGAGTTGAGCTTGCCCTGCGGCTGTGAGCTCCGATCAGTCTTCCTAAGAAGGGAGGGCCCTCCAGCTCCTCCCATCACATGGGAAACACGATGAGCTGCTCCCAAAAGAAATCAGAGAGGCAGACAAACTCACAGGGGACTAACTACAGATGGGGTGGCTTCAACAGACGATTATCCTCACACATTCTGGAAGCTGAAGTCCGAGATCATGGCGTGGAAAGGTTGGTTTCTCTCTCCCTGGATGGCCGACTTTTCCTTGTGTCCTCACATGACTGTCCCTCTGTGCATGTCTGTGTCCTAATCTCCTCTTCTGATAAGGACACCAGTCATATGGGATATGGGATTAGGACCCACCCTAACAGGCTCATTTGAATTTAATCACCTCTGTAAAGACCCCATTTCTAAATACAGTTGATTTCCGGGGTACTGGGGGTTAGAACGTCAACATCGGAATTGGAGAAAGTGGGGGCACAGTTCAGGCCGTAACAGCCCACCTCGACGGCGTCCTTGGCCATCTCTGGTGAGACTCATGGGACTCCTCCCCCACCTTCAGCATCAGCGCCTGGATACCACATTTCCATTTTCCAGGCGAGACAGCTGACAAGGGTAAAGCAGAACCGCCAGGGATGAGACTCAAAGATCCCAGAATACATTTTACCCTATCGAGACCCTCATTTTAAAAATGAAACTGAGGCCGGGCACGGTGGCTCACGCCTGTAATCCCAGCACTTTGGGAGGCCGAGGTGGGCGGATCACAAGATCAGGAGATTGAGACCATCCTGGCTAACACGGTGAAACCCTGTCTCTACTAGAAATACAAAAAATTAGCCGAGTGTGGTGGCGGGCACCTGTAGTCCCAGCTACTCAAGAGGCTGAGACAGGAGAATGGCGTGAACCCAGGAGGCAGAGCTTGCAGTGAGCTGAGATTGTGCCACTGCACTCCAACCTGGGTGAGGAGCCAGACTCCGTCTCAAAAAAAAAGAAAAAAAAAAGAAAGACACTGAGGAGGCCGGGTGCAGGGGCTCAACGCCTGTAATCCCAACTCTTCCAGAGGCCGAGGTGGGTGGATCACCTGAGGTCAGGAATTCAAGACCAGCCTGGCCAACATGGTGGAAGCCCATCTCTACTAAAAATACAAAAAATTAGCCAGGCATGGTAGCACACGCCTGTAGTCCCAGCTACTCGGGAGACTGAGGCAAGAGAATTGCTGGAATCTGGGAGGCAGAGGTTGCAGTGAGCCGAGATCACACCACTGCACTCTTGCCTGGGCGACAGAGCAAGATTCTATCTCAAAAAAATAATAATAATAAAAATAAAACCGAGAACACCCCAGTTGGGAGTAGTTTCTTGGGCTAAATGATCCCCCCACACACACTTTTTCAGTTTGAGAGCAGTCACTGTTTATTAAATGACCAGATTACAAAAATAATCATGGCAAACCTGTCTCTACTAAAAATACAAAAATCAGCCGGGCGTGGTGGCAGATGCCTATAATCCCAGCTACTCGGGAGGGTGAGGCAGGAGAATCGCTTGAATCCAGAGGCAGAGGTTGCAGTGAGCTGAGATTGCACCATCCCACTCCAGCCTGGGGGACAAGAGCGAGACTTCGTCTCAAAAATAATAACAATAATAATCATGGCAGACACTTTAATTCACCCGTCTGATAAGCCTGCTGATCTGGCCTTCCCTGTTGACAGCAGCTCCACCTTCTGTAACATGGATGGGCTTTTTCTTCATCCACCTCGTGAAAAGGATAATTTGAAGGGCCATGATGGGAGATTACTTGCTCCTTTTTGGTTTTTTTTGTTTGTTTTTTGAGATGGAGCCTTGCTCTGTCACCCAGTCTGGAGTGCAGTAGTGCGATCTCAGCTCACTGCAACTTCCGCCTCCCAGGTTCAAGTGATTCTCCTGCCTCAGCCTCTCGAGTAGCTGGGATTACAGGCACCCACCACCACACCTGGCTAATTTTTGTATTTTTTGTAGAGATGGGGTTTCATCATGTTGGCCAAGCTGGTCTTGAACTCCTGACCTCAGGTGATCCACCCACCTCAGCCTCCCAGAGTGCTGGGATTACAGGCATGAGCCACTGCGCCCAGCCTTTATTTGCTTCCTTGAAGCGTTTTCCAATGATATAGATCTCACGAATCAGATTCTCTGCAGATGATGCCATATTTCCCGAGAGACCGAGCAATCGCAGTGTTATCTGTCAGGGTAAATCCCTATTTTCACATGATATTTTTCACTGTCATGCCTTAAAGATTACTGGAGAGTCATTCCCTTACGCCATATGTGTCATTTTTGTTGTTGTTTTGAGGCAGAGTCTTGCTCTGTCACCCGGGCTGGTGTGCAGTGGTGCAATGATGGCTCACTGCAGCCTTGAACTCCTGGGCTCAAGCAATCCTCCCATCTCAGCCTCCCAAGTAGCTGGGACCAGGGGCACATGCCACCGCACCCAGCTAATTTTTGTATTTTTAGTGGAAACGGGGTTTCACCCTGTTGCCCAGGCTGGTCTCAAACTCCTGGGCTCAAGCGATGCACCTGTCTCGGCCTCCCAAAGTGCTGGGGTTACAGGCGTGAGCCACTGCGCCCGGCTGGAGTTGTAGGTTGTTAGCCACAGTTTGCTTTCACATGTAGCGGGTATCGGGTTCTTGATCCTGGCTGTTGTCTTTCCACGGCCTTGTGTTCACACTGTGTTCGGAAAGGAAGCTGTGGTCTTACAGGTCTTCACACATCAGTGCTTTATGTGCGCCTTACAGATCTTCACGGATCTGTGCTTTATGTTGCAGGAGGTCAGTAGGTTTAGGTTGGTTGGGTCTCTTCAAATGTGAAAAGTCCCCACATATCAGCCAGGCACAGGGGCTCACACCTGTAATTCCAGCATTTTGGGAGGCTGAGGCAGGCAGATCACCTGAGGTGAAGAGTTTGAGATCAGCCTGGCTAATATGGTGAAACTCCATCTCTACTAAAAATACAAAAATTAGCTGGGCTTGCTGGCGGGCACCTGTAATCCCACCTACTCGGGAGGCTGAGGTTGGGGAATCGCTTGAACGCCGGAGGCAGAGATTGCAGTGAGCGGAGATTGTGCCATTGTACTCCAGCCTGGGCGACACAGTGAAACTATGTCTCAAAAAAAAAAAAAAAAACAGAAAAAGTCACCACATATCAAGGAAACGTGTCCCATGAATGGGGCCTTAAGAGCCTGCTCTTTCATGCTGCATGAGTCCCCTGGCCCCCAGCCCGCCCTCCTCATCTCCCCTCAACCCAACGGCCTAGGACCCCACTGATGCCTCAGGGCCTGGAAGCCTCTCCCGCCACACCTTCTCCTGGTCCTGGGATGGCGAAATGACTGCTCACAATGTGGCCAGGATGGATGGAGGACATCATATTGTTCCTCTAGCCCAGTATTCTGAGAACCCGCTGGCTGTGATTCAGAATAAAGGAGAAATGAGGCCTGTTTCTTGGGCAGTGGAGGTGGGGATTTTTTTTTCTTTTTAATTTGGATTGAAGTTTTTAGCTGTGAGTAATGGTTGGCTTGTGCCAGAGAAGGCGGCACCTGTGCACAAGGATGGAGCCCAGAAGGCCTGAGCCTGGGGTTTAGGAGCCGCTGGGAGAGGCGGAGCTGCAGAAAGGAGCCACGGAGCTCCTGGGAGAGTGGGGCCCGCGTCGTCTCAAGCCAGCAGCCAACACCACCCCCGAGATGGCTCCAGCTGGGACACAAAAGGAACCCATGGTTGTGCCGGGAAGTGTTGCCACAGCAGATTTCCAAGAACTGATTCTCAAAGAGAAGCCAGGCAGGGCTCCCAGCCCTGGCTCTGGGAACGCACAGACTGGGGGCTCCTAAACCCCTGAGCGCCACAGCCTCCCCGGGGAAGCCGGACCCTGTTAGCTCGTTGCACTCGATGGCTCCAGGCTTTTCACATGGGCGGAATGGAATGAACACGTGTGGGAATCATGACGAGGATTCCCAAGCCGCTTCCCAACATGGTAAAGTTGTAGGGTAGAACATTCCCACTGCAGACAAAGGCGTTCCTCACCCAAGCCTGAGCACACAGATGGTTAGAAATAGCCCAGGGCCACGTGGTGGGGGGGGGGGGGGGGCGCCTGTAGTCCCAGGAGACCAGGCAGGAGAATCGCTTGAACCTGGGAGGTGGAGATTGCAGTGAGCCGAGATCATGCCACTGCACTCCAGCCCGGGCAGCAGAGGGAGATTCCATCTCAAAAAAAAAAAAAAGAAAGAAAGAAAAAAAAGAAAAAAGAAAGAAAAAAAGTAGCTCAGGGCCGAAGTAGAGTGGGAGAAGGGCCCAAGGGCAGGGGTGGCCTTGGGGTCAGGAGGCAGGACTTTCATCGTACTGCAAGCAGGGCCAGAGAGGCAGTCTATCCACGTGCCTCCATCTGTGTGTACTCCTGTCTCGGTCTCCAGCACGAAGCAGGTGCTTGGCCATCATTTTGGGGAAACTACTGCCCATGGGGGCCTCCTAGGTTCCCAGCCAAGGTGTCTGAGCAGCTGTTTGCTTTGTGCTCTCGGCTCTATAGGCCAAGCAGGCTAAATCCACTTGAACTACAGTAATTCCTTCCTCCTGTGCTGGCTGGACACCTCACTGTGACACAGCACACCCTGCGGTCTCCTTTGGACTAGGCAAAGAAGGGTCCAGATCACCGCACAGGACCTTGTTCATTTAGGTGACAATGATCTCTTGAGGGTCTACAAAGGAAGAACTGGGAAGGCAGTATCTGGGGAGAACGTGAGCCTTAAACACAAACGACACCCATGATTTCCTTCATTACTAGGTGAGACGTGCCCCACAGAACAAGGACAGGGTGCAAGGAGAGCTGACAACTGGGGCGAACCACACTGCAAGCACTGAGCTAGTCTGATGGGGGAGGGCGGTGGGCAAGTGGGCTCTGTGATGGCAGCGCAAGAGGGAAGACCCGGCCCCCACTCTCATTCTTAGCTGCATCCTGGCAAACTCAGGCCATAGTCCAGAGGCCCCTTTCCTCCATCCTACTGAGCAGCCAGTGGGGTTGGAGGGGGCATGAGATGTGGCCCCTGCCCCAAGACAGAGACAATAACACAAACATCTTCACACCACAGGGGGCCCTAAATTTTTGATCAAGCACTTTGACCACTAAGTAAATTTTGAGTGCCTTCCTGTAAGTAGTAGGTGAATAGTGGCCCTCAAAAAGATATGTTCATGTCCCAACCTTTGGTACCTGTGAATACAACCTTGTGTACAATAAGGGTCTTTGGCCGGGCACGGTGGCTCACACCTGTAATCCCAGCACTTTGAGAGGCCGAGGTGGGTGGATCACCTGAAGTCAGGAGTTTGAGACCAGCCTGATCAATATGGTGAAACCCTGTCTCTACTAAAAATACAAAAAAATTAGCCAGGCATGGTGGCATGCACCTGCAGTCTCAGCTACTAGGAAGGCTGAGACAGGAGAATTGCTTGAACCTGGGAGTTGGAGGTTGCAGTGAGCCGAGATTGCACCACCGCACTCCAGCTTGGGTGACAGAGCGAGACTCCGTTTCAAAAACAAACAAACAAACAAACAAAAATAAGGGTCTTTACAAAGGTAATTGACTTAGAGATCTCAAGATGAAAGCATCCTGGATTTAGGGTGACCCTAAATACAATGACTGTGTCCTTATCAGAAGAAGAAAGGACGCAGAGGCCAGGTGCAGTGGCTCACACCTGTAATCCCAGCACCTTGGGAGGCTGAGGCGGGTGGATCACCTGAGATCAGGAGTTTGAGACAAGCCTGACCAATATGGTGAAACCCCATCTCTACCAAAAATACAAAAATTAGCTGGGCATAATGACATGTGCCTGTAATCCCAGTTACTCGAGAGGCTGAGACAGGAGAATTGGTTGAACCGAGGAGATGGAGGTTGCAGTGAGCCGAGATCATGACACTACACTCCAGCCTGGGCAACAGAGTGAGACTCCATCTCAAAAAGGAAAAAAAAAGAAGGAGAAGAAGAGACACAGACACAGAGACACACAGGGACGAGGCCATGAGAGACAGAAGCAGAGACTGTAGGGGTGCGGCCATGCACCGGGGCACACTGAGGGGTGCCAGCAGCCCCTAGAAGCTGGGAGAAGCCTGGAAAAGATATGCCCTCAGAGCCTCCGGAAGGAACCCACCCTGCGGACACCTTGACTTCAGACTTCCAGCCTCCAGAACTGGGAGGATAAATCTCTGTTGTTTAAGCTACTCAGTCTGTGGTCATTTATTACGGCAGCCCCAGGGAATGAACACACTGTTTGTTTATTTGTTTGTTTGTTTGTTTTTTAGACAATGTCTTGCTCTGTTGCCCAGGTTGGGTGCGGTGGCACAATCATGGCTCACTGCAGCCTCGACTTTCCAGGCTCCAGCGATCCTCCCACCTCAGCCTTCCAAGTAGCTGAGACTACAGGCGTGCACCACCATGCCTGGCTTGTTTTTGCATTTTTTTGTAGAGACGATGTCTCACCATGTTGCCCAGGCTGGTCTTGAACTCCTGAGCTCAAGCAATCCTCCCACCTTAGCCTCCCATAGTGCTGGGATTACAGGCGTGAACCACCGTGCCTGGCCAGGAAATGAACACACTCTCATACAAATTTATGCATTTCTACATTGAGTAGTCCATGGTAATATCCTATGTACACTATGAAACCACAAAGCAGTTGGCAGAAAGCAAGAGGTGCATGGGGCAAGGGGAAGATACAAGTAAACTTCAGAGTTGTCCTGGGTACCTAGGGGCCGAATGGTGGTGACGCAGCCATCAGGAGCAACAGGAGGATGGTTGGTCCCAGCATGTTTTATTTCTTAAGTGGACGGTGGTGCGTGGGTGTCCACGTTATGTGATCATTATTTTCATCTTGCAAAACACCACCTCTGTTGTTGGCAAATGAATGAAATCGTTCATAATAAAAGGTTTTTAAAAAGGGCACAAGATTTGAGTCCAGGCATTGAGCTCACTGTCTGCCTGTGCTGGCCTATGGCTGAGGCAGGTCTCCAAAGTTCTCCAAGCCTCAGTTTCCTCAATGAGCAAGCAGGGCCCGTGATGGTGCCTCCTTTCAGCACTGGAGAAATCAGTACCCAGGCAGGTGGGCACATGTGATCAGTCCGTGAGCATCCAAGCACGTAGCTGGTCTCTATAGCAGCTCAGTTCCTTTCCATTAAGAGAGAAGAATGGCTCTTTTGGCCATATAACCTGATACCTTCTTATGACATGGCTTATACCTTTGTGTAAATAACTTAAACCCAGAAGGGGCTGGAATCCTCATAATGCTGCTGTCTCCATCCCTGTGGGTGGCTGAAAAACAGATTCTCTTAGCCCCTGGCCTGTTTCTTTGCCCCTGGCCTATTTCTCACTCTAATATGAACACCAGGAACTGATAGGTGAGAAGTGCTCTCACTGCTCCCAGACACTGGATGCTTTTCTTGCTGTGTTTTCTGTGAATATTTCCAAATAATTGGCCAGCGTCTGCAGGATGGCAGAGGCAGCTGTGAGGAGGCCCTCAGCCTTAGTTCATCAAGCCACCCCGGCATCAAGAACACCTCCCTACGGCACTGCTCCCCAACTTCCAACACACCTGGGGTAAAGTCTACAGTTCACTCCACTCTTACTGGCCTTCTCTGTGGCCCTCAGATCTGCCACACTGGTTCCTGCCCCAGGGCCCTTGTACTCATTTCTCTCCCTGCCCAGGACACTCTGAGCCAGCCCTTCACGAGGCTGACATCCTGCAGCCACTCAGCTCTTGGGCCATGAAGTCACCTCTTCCAGGAGGTCATCCTGCCAAGGAGCCCTGTCCTCTGGCTTGGCACTGTTTCTGCTCCCTGCACTGTTTGCTCACTGCTGGCCTCGGTCCCTCTTGGGGAGGGAAGCCAGGAGCCTCAGGCATGAGGAGATGAGCCTGGCTCTGGGAGGGGAAGGAGAGGAAAATGACCAGGCCACCTGCCGATTCAACCGTGGCAAACCTGTGCTGTTTTGTAATACCAGGTGCTGAGGACACAGGGTGGGCAACGAGACACAGGTTCTGCCCTGCAGGAAGCTAAATTCCATGGTGAAAAAAACAGAAGGCAGGGGGCACGGTGTTCTGGCAGCATGGGGGAAGTAGGGAGGTTTTCTTGGAAGCAGCGACTTTGAAGGTGAAACAGCAAGGATGAGTAAGAGCTTGTCATGTGAGCAGAGTGGGGAGAGGGCCCCTGGCAGAGGACAAGCAAGCATGAAAGCCGGCAGGCACACGGTGTCCACTGAGGCTGGGGTCTCATACAATTTGGCTCTGGGTCCCTACCAAAATCTCGTGTCAAATTGTAATCCCCATGGGTCAAGGGAGGGACCTGGTGGGAAGTGATTGGATCATGGGGTGGATTTCCCCCTTGCTGTTCTCATGATAGTGCATGAGTTCTCACGAGATCTGATGGTTTGCAAGTGTGTGGCACTTCCCCCTTTGCCCTCTCTCTCTCCTGCCACCTTGCAAAGATGTGCCTGCTTCCCCTTCACCTTCCACCATGACTGTAAGTTTCCTGAGGCCTCTCAGTCATGCTTCCTGTTAAGCCTGTGGAACTGTGAGTCATTTAAACCTCTTTCCTTCATAAATTACCCAGTCTCAGGTAGTTGTTTACAGCAGTGTGAGATCGGCCTAATACAGGGTCCCTTCCCTTCTTCTTCTTTTTTTTTTTTTCTTTTTTTTTTGAGATGGGGTCTTGCTCTATTGCCAGGCTGGAGTGCCATGGTGCAATCGCAGCTCACTGCAACCTCCGCCTCCTGGTTCAAGCAGTTCTCCTCCCTCAGCCTCCCTAGTAGCTGGGATTACAGACATGCACCACCACATCCAGCTCATTTTTGTATTTTTTGTAGAGATGAGGTTTCACCATTTTGGCCAGGCTGGTCTCAAACTCCTGACCTCAAGTGATCCACCCCCCTCAGCCTCCCAAAGTGCTAGGATTACAGGTGTGAGCCACTGCACCTGGCATGGGTCCCTTACCTTCTTCCCAAAGATCTGGGGTGGAGAAGCGCTCAGATTTACTCTACCTCAGGTGCAAGAAGTTTTGCAAGAGGGAGTAAGGACATCCCTTTGTCCCATCCCTTTCTCTTTGGTCCCATCCCTTTCTCTTTGGGAGCAGCCTGTGGTCTCCAGGACACCCAGAGAACAGCAGAGAAGAGCCCCCTGGCCGGGCTTGCACGGCAGCTGCCCCCTCAGCATGGACAGAAGGCTCCCCTCCTTCCCCAGCTTTCCCACGGGCCGCAGGCAGGTTCTTCCCCACCCCAGCTGTGTGAGCTCAGGCTCCGGGGGTGGTGTGGGGGAAGATGCAGACACTGGAGGCTCCCACCCACTGGCCAGGCAGGAACTTGCCTAGGGATAATAGGCTTTAGTCACTCATGAGAAAGATAACGACGACCTCTAATAACAACTGAAAAAATAAACCAGAAAACCTCACCACTATGGGGCAGCTGAGCCAGGAAGGGCCAGGCGTGGTCCCTCTGGGGCTTTCAGCTGAAAGAAACACACCTGAGACATGAAAGGTGAGGTGAGAAAGTGGTGGGCAGCTGCAAGTGACCTGTGGGGTCAAAGTCTCCAGTCTGCAGGGGCTCTGTGAGGAGAATGGTCACGCTTAGGTTGGAAGCCCCCTGCTCTGGGCCTGCACCTGCCCTTCTGATGACACACAGTGCTCAGGGCCAATGTCTGCTCTTTATCCCAGGAAGTAAAGAACAGCGCGTGTAGCCAGGCCCCAAGTGAGGTCAGACCCAGAAGAACTCCAGGGAGCTCCAGGAGCACATCCACAGGTTCACCTGAGATCTGCTGATGACCTTGGAGCCCATTCAATGGTCAGTGTGAAGCCATGCGCTCTGCAAGGCACTGCGCTCTCCGGAGCCAAATCACCGAGTCTGGATCCTGGCTCCCTCACTTCCTGTGCCACTTGACCTCTCTGTGCCTTGGTTTCCTCATCTGCTATGTTGAGTAACAATAGTACTCTTGTAGTATTTTAGTACTATAGTACTCTCCTACTACTAGAGGTTAGGGTTAGGGTTCAATGAGCAAATCCATGCATGTGAAGTCATGCAAAAAGGGTCAATAGTTGCAGCTGAAATTGGCACCTTCCTATCCTATAAGGAACCCTCTCTCAGCACAGGTGGTGGCCGCCCTGGGGCAGACGTGCTGGGGCTGTGAGTGCTGATGCTCACAGGAGGCCATGGGTCCCGCAGGGGTCTGGGAGAGTTACAGGGAACAAAATCTAATCTAGCCCCTAATCTGGAGGGGCTTACAGCCCGACGGAAGAACTGACAACAGCAAGATAAATATGTAAGAAGAGCCACTTATTCCACTTGCCTTCAGGCGGCCTATGAGGGCAGGGCACCGTGGCTCACATCTGTAATCCCAACACTTTGGGAGGCTGAGGCGGGTGGATCACTTGAGGCCAGGAGTTTGAGACCAGCCTGGCCAACATAATGAAACCCTGTCTCTAGTGAAAATACAAAAATTAGCCGGGTGTGGTGGTGCACCCCTGTAGTCCCAGCTACCCAGGAGGCTGGGGCATAAGAATTGCTTAAACCCAAAAGGCAGAGGTTGCAGTGAGCCAAGATGGCACCACTGCACTCCAGTCTGGGTGACAGAGCGAGATTCTGTCTCAAAAAACAAACAAATAAAAAAGAGGTCTATGAGGCCAGGGTCTGAAATGTAAAAACAAAATTCCATGCAGTCTGGGTTTTCCCCAAGCGGTCTCCTGACACTGCTCTTGCCAAAGTCTCCGGCCAGCTCATCGTGGAATCCAGAGGCTGCATGCGGCTCAGCCCTTCTCTACTTGACACCCCACAGCACTTGACCCTGTAGAGCCACGCCCTCCTCCCTTCCAGACTGTGACTAAGCCCCCTGGTTCTTTTCTAGGGCCCCTTCCCCTCCTTCCCTCTCCTCCTCCTCCATCTGCTCTCCCTGGCTAGTTGCAGCCATTCCTGCTGTCTCAGTCACCATTTAGATGCTGCTGACCGTATACTGAGTTGGATAATGTGCCCCCCAAATTTGGTGTCCACCAGGAACCTCAGAACGTGAGCTTATTTGGAAACAGGGTCTTTGCTGATGTAATTAGTTAAATTAAGATGAGGTCACAGTGCAGGAAGGTATGCCCTAAACCTAATGACTGGTGTCCTTATAAGAGGGCCATGTGAACTACAAGAGGAAAGGTGGCCATGTGCCAAAACGGAGGCAGAGATTGGAGCGCAGCGTCGCCAATGACTGCCGAAAACCACGAGGAGCTAGAAGAGACAAGGAAGGATTCTTCCCTTGAGCCCTTGGGAAAAGCAGGATTCTGCTGACACATTGATTTTGGACTTCCAGCCTCCAGAGCTAAGAGAAAGCACATTTCTGTTGCTTTAAGCCACCCCATCTCTGGTCATTTGTTTGGCAGCCCCAGGAAGCTAACACAGCCCTCACTGTATCTCGCTACCATCTCCTGAGCTTCCCACCTGACAGCCAGACAATTCCTCACACTCGGCCCTTCCAAAACCCACTCTCCCCTGAGATCTGTTCCCTCTCCAGAATTCCTCATGCCAAGGATTGCACCACTGGCTGCCCAAACCAGAACCCGGTCATCGCCCGGATCCTCCCTGCCCTCCACCCCTGAAACCCAGTGACTCATCAAGCCCTACACATTCCACCTCCAGAGTCTTTCTTGGAGACTAAAGAGACAACCAAATGCGACGCTGGCATCTTGATGGGACCCCGGCTCTCAAAACAAAAACCCAACCATGAAAGGCCATCCATCTGGACACAAACTGGGCAGCAGACGTCACTCCTGTTGTGTTTCCGAGGTGCGATACTGGTTCTGCGATTCAGGAGAAAAATGCCTTCATTCTCAGGAGATGCAGCTCAGGGTGAAGCATCACCATGTCTGAAACTGACTTTCAAATGGTACAGAAAAAGAAAATCCACCCACTTTGCTGTGTCTTGAGAGAGCAAAGCTGGAGATATCAATGATTGTTGACTCTAGGTAGAAGAAAATGTGTTTGTGGTACTGGTCTTTCAACTTTTCAGGAAGGTAAGAATTTTTCTGGTAGAAATTTGGGGGGAGGCCAGGCGCGGTGGCTCACACCTGTAATCCCAGCACTTTGGGAGGCCAAGGCGGGTGAATCACAAAGTCAGGAGTTCGAGACCAGCCTGGCCAACACAGTGAAACCCTGTCTCTACTAAAAATACAAAAATTAGCTGGGCGTGGTGGTGGCTGTAATCCCAGCTATTCGGGAGGCTGAGGCAGGAGAATTGCTTGAACCCAGGAGGCAGAGGTTGCAGTTAGCCATGATTGCACCACTGCACTCCAGCCTAGGTGACAGAGCAAGACTCCATCTCAAAAAAAAAAAAAAAAAAAAAAAGACTGGGGTAATCTTCTGACCTTCCTCATTCTCTGCTCCCACTTCCCTGCTCTGCTGCAGACCCCCAGCACCCCTCCTGCCTGGGGAATCTCTGCTCCAGCTTTGCCAGCTGGCTTCTACACACCGTCACTGCCAAACCCAATCCTGTCCACTCCAACCTGGTGACCACAGTGCAGTCAGAGTTCTCTCTCCAACGCCAGAACTTTCTCATGTCCCTCCCTTGCTGGAAGCCCTCTGAAGCCTGTTCCTGGGACAAGGATCACATTCCTTACATAATCTGTGAGGCCCTTGGTCACTTCTCCAGCCCCTTGCTGCTCTCAACATGAAACTCAACATTCCGGCTGTTCTTATCTTCTCTACACACCTTCTTACCTCCTGCCTTGCCCATGGAATGTCCTCTCCTCTGCCTTCATCTGCCGGGACCATCTTCAGGTCTCAACTTGATATCCCTTCTCTGCAAGTCCTTTGCCCCTGCCACCTGCTCTATGGAGCACATGTACTCTGCATATAATCTACAAAGCTTGTACGTTGTGTAGCAAATACTTTCCATGGTGGGTCATCTCTCCCTTACCCAGCAGAAACTTGTATGAGGGGAAAGATTGGAACTGTTTTATCATTCACTCCTACCCACCTGGCAGAAGACCTGGCACATGGCTGGTGTGTGCCATAGTTTCAATGTGTCCCCCAAAGTTCATGTGTTGGAAACTCCATCCCCAATGTGACAGTGTTGGGAGGTGGGCCTAATGGGAGGTAGTATTTGGGTCATGGGGGTACTGCCTTCCTGAATAAATTAATGCCATTACTGGGGACTGGGTTCCTTATAAAAGGACTAGTTTAGCTCCCTCTTGCCCCACTCCGTACCCTCTTTTGGGCCTTCTCCCATGGGATGACACAGCAAGAAAGCCTTTGCCAGATGTGGCCCCTTGACTTCTCAGCCTCCACAACTGTGAGCCAATACATTTCTGTTCATTATAAATTACCTTGTAATTATAAATTACAGTGGCTCACATCTATAATCCCAGCACTTTGGGAGGCCGAGGCGGGCGGATCACTTGAGGTCAGGAGTTCAAGAAAAGCCTGGCCAACATGGTGGAACCTTGTTTCTATTAAAAATGCAAAAATTAGCCGGGTGTGGGGGTGTGTGCCTATAATTCTGGCTACTCGGGAGACTGAGGCAGGAGAACCACTTGAACCCGGGAGGCAGAGGTTGCGGTTGGCTGAGATCATGCCACTGCAGTCCAGCCTGGGCAACAGAGCGAGACTCTGTTTCAAAAAATATATCAATAAATAAAAATAAAAATAAATAAAGTAATTAATTAATTACCCAGTCTATGCTATTCTGTTATAGCAGCATAAAATGGGCTAAGGTGGTTTGCAATAAGTAATCAATGAGTGGGTGAAAGTATGAGTGATGGCTGGGTGGGTAAGTGGATGGATGGAGGACAGGTGGGTGGATGGGTAGGTGAGTAAATGACATAGTACAAACAAAGGCGCCATCACACTCCAGTGGGGGTGAGGCCAGGTTTAACTGCAGGAGGCTCCTTAGAGGCTTGGAGAAGGCAGCATTTTGACGATGGCTGCAATTTAGTGAGCACTTCTTTGCTGGGCCCCAGACCCTGCACTGGACTGGGTTGCCTCCCTTCATCCTCGTAGAAACCACCGGAGTAAGATATTAATATTTTCCCTCTTCCTAAGTCTCATTACCTTGATAATTTTCATTTTAATAAAATTTAAAAATAAATTTTACCTGCACGTGGTACAGCATTTTAAAAGTACACAAGGATAAGCAGTAAAAAAAAAATCACCTTTCTTCACTGCTAAATCCTCAGACTGTTGTAGACACAGTAGGAGCTCAATAAAAATGAGTTGAATCCAGTGGCATTTTATGTGCAGACACAGAAGCTCAGAGAGATAGGCCAGGCGCGGTGGCTCACACCTGTAATCCCAGCACTTTGGGAGGCTGAGGCGGGTGGATCACCTGAGGTCAGGAGTTCGAGACCACCCTGGCCAACATGTCGAAACCCCGTCTCTACTAAAAAGACAAAAATTAGCCAGTGTGTTGGCAGGCACCTGTAATCCAGCTACTCGGGAGGCTGAGGCACAAGAACCGCTTGAACCTGGGAGGCGGAGGCTGCATTGAGCCGAGATCACACCTCTACACTCCAGCCTGGTGACAGAATGAGATTCCGTCCCCCCCCAAAAAAAAAGAAGAAGAAGAAGAAGAAGCTCAGAGAGATTCAGGAGGTTGCCCGATGCTTCACAGGTTGATAAGTTGGCAAAGTCAGGGATTGGAATCAGGTTCACTGGACTCAAACCTGACCTGTCAGCCTAACAGGTGAAATGGGTGAAGAGGGCAGGCCTGGGGGGTGGTGGGGGGGATCATAGGCAGAGGCTCAGAGGCAGGAAAGTCATGGCATGGGAGGAATTTGGCCAGAGTGGAGGGTTTGTGGCAGGAAATGGGGGTGAAGCTGAAGCTGGCATTGCAGCCTTGAATGCCAGGCTAAGGAGTGGGCAACTAGCAGCTGTGAAAGGCAGGGCTAAAAGCAGCAGCAAGGCAAGAGCTCGGAAGGCAGGAGACCTGGGCGAGTCTCCGGGAAGCTGACACCCCAGAGTGGGACGGAGACCAGACATCGCAGGGAAATGAGCCCGACACGATCTCGAAGGCTTAGTTGAGATTCTGACCTTGTTCTACCCGCTCGTCCTCACCCGGTGTTCGTTAATCACCTCCTGCTCATGGAAGGAACATGACTTCCTGCCCACGCACAGAGCCAGGTGGGCTGTGGCAGTGTACGGCAGAGACCCGGCTGTGCCAGGACTGCGGTGACTGCCCTGTGTGCCACGGCCTCCTCCTCTGAGCACTGACTCACAGCATCCAGATGCGCTGCCTGCTTTCTGATTCGATTGCAGCTGCTGTGGGGAAGAGTGGGTCCCAGCCCCTCTATCCTTTGTCATAGAGGCAGGAGGGTGCAGTGGCTTGGAATTACAGGTCCTACCTCCCAGTTCTCATTTTGTCAACCAATAGCTTTGTGACCCAGAGAAAAGGTCCTTGGTGCCCTGCTACTCAATTTTTTTTTTTTTTTTTTGAGATGGAGTCTCACTCTGTCATCCAGGCTGGAGTGCGGTGGTGTGGTCTCGGCTCACTGCAACCTCTGCCTCCCAGGTTCAAGCGATTCTCCTGCCTCAGCTTCCCAAGTAGCTGGGATTACAGGCATCAGCCAATACACCTGGCTAATTTTTGTAGTTTTCCTAGAGACGGGGTTTCACCATGTTGGCCAGGCTGGTCTCGAACTCCTGACCTCAGGTGATCCGCCTGCCCCAACCTCCCAAAGTGCTGGGACTACAGGTGTGAGCCACCACACCCAGCCTCAATTTTTAGCCCTGTAAAATGGGATGATGTCTTCTCTACCCAGGATGCTGGGAGCAGTAAGACACTGCGTGCACACCTAGAAGGCGTGTAGGAAATGTCAGTCCCGACGTCTTCATCTGTCTCTGAACTTTACTTTCCACGTCTTTGAAATGAGAGTGGTCACTGATGATAGTGGGGAAATTGTGGGTGGGTTCTCAGCCAAGCCAAAGCCAAGGTTGGTTGTAGGGCTGGTGGGCCGCCCATGGAACCTTTTTGCACATGCTATTTGCCGGCAAGGAAGACTCTTTATAGGGATGTCAGGGGCCTAAGACTTGGGGAAGGTAATGAGGAACAAAGTGCTCTGGGCTCCTTAGGAAAAAACTTCATTTGGGAGAGTGGTTTTCAGTGTAGTCTGGGGGTCACACTGCATGACAGTTAAAGAACGTTTTGGAAATGTGGAATGGGGGCTTGCTTATCATGGTGGGTTCTACTAGACATCTACTGGCAGAAGGGAGGGCAGCATTCTGGATCATTCTAGACATTTCATTTCAGGAGAGCGAAGAGGGTCCAGACGTGCTGGCTCACATCTGTAATCCCTAGCACTTTGGGAGGCTGAGGCAGGAGGATCACTTGAGGCCAGGAGTTTGAGACTTGCCTGGACAACATAGTGAGATGCCCATCTCTACAAAAAATACAAAAATTAGGTGGGCTTGGTGGCACACACCTGTAGTCCCAGCTACTCGGGAGGCTGAGGTGGGAGGATCACCTGAGCCTGGTAGGTCAAGGCTGCAGTGAGCCAAGACTGTGCCACTGAACACCTCCAACCTGCAAGACAGAGTAAGACCCTGTCTCCAAAAAAAAAAGAGAGAGAGAGTAAAGAGAACTGTACAAGATGTGGGTTATAAAAAGGGGCATCAGAATTCTGACACATTCTACTCCATGGATGAACCTTGAGAATATCATGCTCAGTGAAATAAGCCAGACACAAAGAGACAAATACAACTCCATGTCCACAGAGGGTTGATTCCAGGACCTCCTGTGGATACCAAAATCCTCAGATGCTCAAGTCACTTATATAAAATGGAGTAGTGTTTGCATATAACCTACATATATCCCCCTGTAGACTCTAAATCATCTCTAGGTGACTCATAACACCTAATAAAATGTCTACGCATCACTTCATTTGCATGGATTTAATGCAATGATAAATTCAAGTTTTGCTTTTTGGAACTTTGTAAAAAGTTTTTGTGCATTTTTTTTCTTTTTCTTTTCTTTTTTTTTTTTTTTTTTAGCTAGGGATGTGGTCTGTCACCCAGGCTGGAGTGCAGTGCTACGATCATGGCTCACTACAGTCTTGATCTCTCAGGCTCAAGCAATCCTCCAACCTCAGCCTCCCAAGTAGCTAGGACTATGGATGCACCTGCCTGTAATCCCAGCACTTTGGGAGACTGAGGCAGGTGGATTACTTGAGGTCAGGAGTTCAAGGCCAGCCTGGGCAACACGGTGAAGCCCCATCTCTACTAAAAATCAAAAATTAGCTGGGTGTGGTGGCCAGGTGCCTGTAATTCCAGCTATTCAGGAGGCTGAAGCAGGATAATTGCTTGAACCCAGAAGACAGAGGTTGCAGTGAGCCAAGATCGCACCACTGCACTCCAGCCTGGGAGACAGAGCAAGATTCCGTCTCAATAATAATAATAATAATTTTTTTTTTTTTTTTTGTAGAGATGGGGTCAAGTGACCCTCCCACCTCAGCCTCCGAAAATGCTGGGATTATAGGTGTATACCACCGCGGCTGGCCTGAGAATATTTGTAATCTGTGGGTGCTTGAATCCATGGATTTGGGACACATGGACATGGGAGTCTGACTGTAATGTAAGATTCAGCCTACACCAGGTGTCTAGCGTAGTCAGATTCACAGAGACAGAAAGAAGCTGCTGATTGTCGCGAGTTTCAGGGAGAGGGGAATGGGGAGTTAGTGTTTAATGCAGACAGAGTTTCCGTTTGGGAAGATGGAACAGAATTCTGGAGATGGATGGTGGTGATGGTTGTGCCACAGTGTGAATGTGTGAATGTTCCTTTTTTTTTTTCTTTTCTTTTCTTTTCTTTCTTTTTTTCTTTTTTTTTTTTTGAGAGGGAGTCTCACTCTATCGCCCAGACTGGAGTGCAGTGGCACCATCTTGGCTCAGTACAACCTCCACCCACTGGGTTCAAGTGATTCTCCTGCCTCAGCCTCCCGAGTAGCTGGGATTACAGACGCACTTCACCATGTCCGGCTAATTTTTGTGTTTTCAGTAGAAACGGGGTTTCACCATGTTAGCCAGGCTGGTCTTGAACTCCTAACCTCAGGTGATCTGCCCACCTCGGCCTCCCAAAGTGCTGGGATTACAGGCGTGAGCCACTGTGCCCAGCTGTGAATGTTCTTAAGGCCCTTGAACTATACACTTGAAAAGGTTAAGATGGTAATTTGTATGTTACATGTGTATGTTACATGTGTTTACCACCATTTTAAAGAAGGGGACCATCAGCTTCAGAACTGCTGATCCTGATTCACATGTCAGAGGCCACAAGAGACCACAGGACAAGTTTGCAGCTCTGGGTGACAGGACTATGGAGAAGCATCCGGTTAAATAAAGGCCCCTTCTGTCCAGATGGCTGAGACGGAGGGAGGAGACAGAGGCCTGGGGTCCAGCCTGCCTTCCCTTCTTCCCTCCAGTCAAGGAAAGTGACTTTTTTATGATTCTTATTTCCTGAGATGTGAAAGTAAACCAGGGGCCTGGGGGTGCAGGAGAAAGATTTCTTAGGTAGTAAGTCTTTTCCCAAATTATTTATTTATTATTTTATTTTATTTTATTTTATTTTATTTTATTTTTTAGAGACAGAGTAGTGCTCTGTCACCCAGCTGGAGTGCAGTGAGTGGCACAATCATAACTTACTGCAGCCTCCAACTTCTGGGCTCAGGTGATCCTCTCGCCTCAGCCTCTGAGTAACTGGGACCACAGGTGCACGCCACCACATTCTGCTCATGAAAAAAAAATTTTTTTTTTTTTTTTTTTTTTTTTTTGGTAGAGACAGGGGCAGGTCTCACTATGTTGCCCAGGCTGGTCTTGAACTCCCGGCCTCCAGTTTTTCTTCTGTCTCAGCTTCCCAGAGTGCTGGGATGGTGGATGTGAGCCACCATGCCTGACCTAGAAATTCTTAATTAAGTGCCACTACTTTGGAAGGGGGATGAAATCAAGTGGTCGGTCTCTGCCAGGATCTGGAATAGGCTGCTAGGGTTCCCAGGCCCCATGCTGATGATGGATCCCTCTCTCCTGGAGGAGGTGGGGGCGCGTGGCCCCACGGGCTCACTCGGCTTGATGGAGAGGCCTCTTCTGAATGCCCAGCTCCCATGTAACATCCTCTGCTGGTCCCAGGTGCCTCCCCCCATTCACCTGGCCTGGGCTCAGTGCCCCATTCACTGCCCTCTGCCTAATGGTTGGCCTAATGGTTGGCCACTCCAAGTGGACCAATGGATTCTTGGCTTGTCCAACTGTCTCCTGTGAGCTGATTCCTATGGGCCATAAACAGGGTGCGACTTGCACCGAGGAGGGATAGGAAGAGAAGGGACAGATGTGGACAGCCAACCTGCAATGACAGCTGTGGTCACCACAGAGATCCCTTATGGGCAGGTAAGATATTCCAGGCACCAGATGTGGTGGCTCAAGCCTGTAGTCCCAGCTATCTGGGAGGCTGAGGAAGGAGGATTGCTTGACCCCAGGAGATCGAGGCTGCAGTGAGCCAGGATTGCGCCACTGCACTCCAGGCTGGGTGACAGAGTAAGACTCCATCTCTTAAAAAAAAAAAAAAGATATTCCAGTTGCTTTACATCCGTAACCCTCCCAGTGGACGTGAGAGCTATCATCTGTGGCAGACTGTATCTCCCAAAAGGTTATTGCAGCAGTGTCTCCTGTCCCATATACTCTTCCACTTTTCCACCTTTCCAATTTTCCACCTTTCCACTGCCCCATCAAAGTCTAGAGTTTACAGCCTGGACAACATAGTGAAACCCTGTCTCTACCAAAAAATACAAAAATTAGCCAGATGTGGGGAGGTGGAGGTTGCAACAAGCCGAGATGGCAGCACTGCAGTCCAGCCTGGACAACAGAGCGAGACCCTGTCTCAAAAACAAAAACAAAAAGTCTGGAGTCTAATTCTCCTGATTTTGAACCTGGGTGAGTTTGTGACTCACAGGCCACCAAGTGGGCAATTTAGCTGTCCTCAGGCTGTCATGTTGGGAGGAAGCCCATACCGGAGCGTCAGGCAGAACCACCCAGTGGGGCCCTTCCTGAATTCCTGACCCACAGAAGCCCTGAGACACAAGAGACTTACTGGGGTTTTAAGCCACTCAGTTTTGGGGTGATTTGTCATGCAGAAACAGATCATTGGAACATCAGTCCATTTCTCAGGTGAGGAAAATGAGGCTCAGAGTGTACCTTTGGAGTACATTTGTCCAAGATCACCTGGCAAATACATAGGAGAGTCTAGACCTAACCCCAGTCTGTGACTTCAAGGTCTGGGCTCCACTTTGCACCTGAACTTATGCACGAATGCATGTCAGTGACTTTGTCTATACCAGTAAGAAAGCCCCTTGAAGTCGTTTCATATGAAAGCAGTCGGGACACAGCCAGGCTTGGATGGGAAGGCCAGGCCTTGTATGCTGACTATTCTGCTATTCTGGGAGCTGGGCCTCCTTAGCGTCTCAGCCTTAGTCCCTTCACCCAGCCTGTATCTCACAGGGATTCCTTTATTAGTATTGTTTCCTAAGTACCTGGTGTGCCCAGGCTGCTGGTGGGTACATAAAAGTCAAAGGCAGCCGGGCACAGTAGCTCATGCCTGTAATCCCAGCACTTTGGGAGGCTGAGGTGGGCGGATCGCCTGAGGTCAGGAGTTTGAGACCAGCCTGGCCAACATGGTGAAACCCCGTTTCTACTAAAAATACAAAAATTAGCTGGGCGTGGTGGCTCATGCCTGTAATTCCAGCACTTTGGGAGGCCGAGGTGAGTGGATCACCAGAGGTCAGGAGTTCGAGACCAGCCTGGTCAACATGGTGAAATCCCATCTCTACTAAAAACACAAAAATTAGCCGGGCATGGTGGCGGGCACCTGTAATCCCAGTTACTCAGGAGGCTGAGGCAGGAGAATCTCTTGAACCTGGGAGGCAGAGGTTGCAGTGAGCTGAGATTGCGCCACTACACTCCAGCCTGGGAGGCAGAGCAAGACTGTCTCAAAAAAACAAAAACAAACAAAAACCCATCAAAATTAGCTGGGTGTGGTGGCAGGCACTTGTAATCCCTGCTACTTGGGAGGCTGAGGCAGAAGAATCGCTTGAACCCAGGAGGTGAAAGCTGCAGTGAGCTGAGATCGCGCCACTGCACTCCAGCCTGGGCGACAGAGCAGGACCCCACTGCAAAAAAAAAAAAAAAAAAAAAAAAAAAAAGTCAAAGGTGAGTAGGATATGGGCTTCCCTGACATCCCAGGTCCCCAGGCTATAAGGAAGAAGGGCCAGTAAAAAAGTAAGTCGACCACCATCCAACCCATACCCCCATGGGGCATGCTTAATACAGAGGGTGAAGCTGAAGCTCTATCTGCAGCAGGTTCTAGAAGGTCACTCCATCCCCCCCATGAAAGCAGATCCCTTAGCCTCCTAGCCTGACAGACAACAGCAGCACCTGAGATGTCCCAGGGGGTTAATGTGTTCTAAGCACTTAGCATATCGACTGGTCTAACCCTCACCAACACCCTTGAGGAAGGTGCCATTCCTATCCCCATTTTACAGATAGGAAGGACTGAGGCGGAGAAGCTAAATAACTTGCCCAGATCGCCCAGTCAGCAGGAGGCAGGCTCCTGGCGGCTAACTCCATAGCCAACACTCACCCCCGAACAGGGAGTGCCTGGTAAATGTCGACTGAACGGTGATCCGCTGGGGCATCTACGCAGAGATGGGCAATGAGTAGGAGTGTAGCAGGAGAGAGAAGCAGGCATTGGAATTCCTGAGGGTGGGAAGCATTTCTGAAGGCACAGAGAGGCACTAAACATCATCTGCTGGTTGACTCTAGCTGGGACACTCATGATGGCTGACCGTGCCAGGCCCTGGGGAGAGGGAGTAGGGAGGTGGCTCCAGCCTGGACGTGGAGGCACTCCCCAAGGCTGGAGCTTCGCAGGAGGACACTAACCTCCCTGGGATGCCGAGGACTCACACTTCATCCTGGGGCGGTGCGTTCAGCCTGCAGGTGTAGACAGTCAATGACTCCAGTTAATGGTGAGGTGAGGAACTTGGCACTGAACAGTGTTGAGTCACACGGTGAGAACGTCTTTCCCTTTTCAACAATCGGTCAGTCCCTCTGAACAAAGTGAGATTTCATCTCGGGCTAGTGATGACTAATGTCTTCTTAAACAAAGTGAGTAGCCCTCAGTTTCAGAGCCTGGAAGGCAGTGGAGTGTATGACGAGTTTCAGAATGTCACTTTTTTATTGCATTCCTTTTCATAGCCACCTCCTGATTATTCCAAGTGATACTGTGTTTCAATCAAGGTTAGCTTTGTGTAAGTGTCTGAAGTCTCCAAATCACAGTGACTTCAATGAGGGTTTATTTTTCTCATACAAAGGCAACCCTGATGTAAGCTTTCTAGGGCTAGCAGGGAGGCTCTGTAATCTTTAAGAACCCAGGATCCTTCTATCCTGCTGCATTGCTTCCTCATGACCCAATATAGCTGCCTGTGCTCCAGCTATCATGCTTGCATTCCAGGCAGAAGGAAGGAATAAAGGGATGCTGAAGGGCACAATCCTCTCCCTCCTTTAAGGCTGTTTTTAGGAAGTTCCACACTCCATTTCTGCACATATGCAGAACTTAGTCAAAGGGCCACACCTGGCTGCAGGGGAGGTTGGGAAATGCAGCCTTGACTGTCTGCTTAGCTAAAAATTGGGGATCTTGTGTAAAGTGAGAAGGGATGAAAAGATACTGGGTGACACCAGCAATCTTTGCCATAGACTGTTTTCTTTTTGTAACAGAGACACAAAAAATTAAAAATTTTTAAATTTTAAATTTTTAAGAGAGTCGCTTTCAAGATACAGCTAAGTAGATAAAAGGACAAGGCTTTCAAGAAAAAGCTAAGTAGATAAAACGAGAGGGGGAGGTCAGGCGTGGTGGCTCACGCCTATAATCCCAGCACTTTGGGAGGCCGAGGGGGGCGTGGATCACCTGAGGTCAGGAGCTCGAGAGCAGCCTGACCAACATGGCAAAACCCCATCTCTACTAAAAATACAAAAATTAGCCGGGCATGGTGGTGGGTGCCTGTAATCCCAACTACTCGGGAGGCTGAGTCAGGAGAATCGCTGGAACCCGGGAGGCAGAGGTTGCAGTGAGCTGAGGTCACGCCATTGCACTCCAGCCTGAGTGACAGACTGAGACTCCGTCTCAAAACAAAAAACAAAAAAACGACAGAGGGTACATGGCTAAGGCAAAAATTGCCAAGCTGACCCTTGAGTCACTGAGCTTTGGGAAAGGAGCTGTGAACTACGAAAAAGCAAAAGAGGTGTCTCGCCCAAAGACCAGGGTGGGGTCAGGTTTTCTATTTAGGAGGAAATCTCTGGCCCCAGGTAGAAAGGGATCTGGGTCGCCAGGCACTGTGGCTAATGCCTGTAATCCCAGCACTTTGGGAGGCCAAGGCAGGTGGAGCTCAAGTGTGAGCTCAGGAGTTGGAGACCAACCTTGGCAACATGGCAAAACCCCATCTCTACCAAAAATACAAATATTAGTCGGGCCTGTAGCCCCAGCTACTTGGGAGGCTGAGATGGAAGGATTACTGGAGCCTGGAAAGTCAGGGATGCCATGAGCTGTGATTGCACCAGTGTACTCTAGCCTGGGCAACAGAGTGAGCCCCTATCTCAAAAAAAAAAAAAAAAAAAAGAGAGAGAGAGAGAGAAGGATCCAGATCAGGAAGAGACCAGAGATGGGAAGGCTGGGAGGAAGGAGTTTGTTCCAGAAGTGAGCCGGCCAGGGCCAGGGCAGGGGAGCAGGAGGCTGAGTGAGGTGGGAAGGGGCCACTTTCCTCTGAGAAGAAAGCAGCGACCAGGCCCTCCCAGCAAAACTCATCAGGGTCTTGGAAGTGGGAGCCAAGGCCACAGGCGGGGGTTGCAGGTCTGTCCAGGGGTTAAGAAGCGTGCGGAAGCTTTGAAGCAGGTGGGGCTGTAAGACGGCAGGAATGTTAAAGGCCAGGGTCCTCTGCCACACACAGAGGTGAGGCTGCATGAGCGAGTGCAGATAACGAACTAATGAGGCTGGTCATCTGCATGGGGCCCAGGACGTGCCTGGCACAGACAAGATCTCCCCTGCCTCCTTACCCCCTCACAGCACAATAAGCCCACTCCCATCTCCTAGAGGGAAAGTGCTGCCGAGCTCTCTAGGCCTGTCCACAGCACAGCAGATTCAAGCCGAGTCTGGCGGCCCCTGCTCCATCTGCCCTGATGCCACGGACAGCGCTTGGCACACAGAGGGAGGCGCACGTGCCTGCGGGTGGACGAAAGAATGAATGGAAGGGTCAGCTCTCGCTTCTGCACCTGAGCATCGTCCAGCGAAATCTCACAGGACAACGGCAGCCTCAGCTTCCCTCCCACAGGCAAGCTCATGGTGGGAAGGGTTTGATTTTCCCAAAATAAAAGGGTGTGGGGCCGGAAGTGTGGCTCAGTGGCCCCTCCCTGGCTCCTCTGTGCAGGCAGCCAGCAGACAGGTTTATTTTCGATGCTGGCTGGCGCTTTCAGTGGAGTATTTTTGGAGTGTCCACAAGCCTTGTTTTAGTTTTCATGGCTATTCTCATGCTGCTGTGAAGTCACCTGGTCCCTCATGCTCCTGGTGACTGCCTGCTGTAAGACAGGGACAGTGGCTGGTCAGTCTTCCCTGGGAGTCCCCAGAAAGGGACGGAAAACCGCCAAGGACTGTGGACTGCGATGGGCTTTGCCCCTGCCCCAAGCTGGGCCACTGTCTGGGCCTGCCGTGCCTGTCTGGGAGCTAGAAGCTTGTGCAGGGCAGGGCAGCCTGCAGAACATCCAGGTGGTCTGGGTCCCAACCCACACTCCTCCACTTCCTAGGGGGCAACCCCCATGCTAATCACCAAACCTGTCAAATGGGACAAGCAGAACCTTCCTTAATAACAGCTCAAGATTCCCCTGAGACTAAAATGAGATGCTAGCCCTCAAAGAACTTTGGGGAAAAAACAAAGTTACTAGGCAGCCTTAATTAACACAGGCCATTCTTCCTAAGTGATAATATATGATTACGCGTTCCCCATAACAGCCAGAAAGTTGACTACAACCTTTAGGAATCTAGTTGTTTTCTTTTCTCATTTTCCAGTGAACAACCACGTGCTTTGGATCTCTAATAAAGTGGGACACTCTTTCATCATGTCATTGTCCTGCGTAAAGGATTTTGCTGGCTCCTTTATTTTTATTTTTATTTTTAAGGAACTGAGTTTCTCATTCAGCTCCTAAGTTTGTACCTTCAAAGCCTGGAACTCAGTATTGCCTAAACCCCCTTGGAGGATTTATAAAAGGCAGAAATAGCACTCTATTAACTCTTTTTCCTATCAAAAGCAGCTCTTGATTGGACTTAGGACCTGTGTTGGCAGATCAAAAGAGAAAGCGAGGTCAAATTTGAGGTTCTCTGTGGCATCGGTATACTGTAATGGAATAAATGTCCTGAAGAAGCAAAAAAGAAAGAAAAAAAAGAAACTGGGTCTCTCTCTGTCACCAGGCTGGAGTGCAGTGATGCGATCACGGCTTGACCTCCTGGGTCAAGTGATCCTCCTGCCTCAGCCTCCTGAGTAGCTGGGACTACAGATGCACATCACCACGCCCAGCTAATTTTAAAATTTTTAGTAGAGATAGGGCATCACCATGTTGCCCAGGCTGGTCTCAAATTCCTGGGATCCAGCAATCCTCTTGTCTCGGCCTCTCAAAGTGTTGGGATTACAGGCTTGAGCCACCACGCCCGGCCTGCCGGCTCCTTGGTGTTTAAAAGATAAAATTCCGGCCCTCACTCTACCTCCAGGCTCCAAGCCCTCTCCTAAGTCTTTCTGGAACCGGCTTGCTTAGAGCTTGCCGCCTCTGGGAGGCACCTCTGATTCCGTGCCCCTGGCCTTTGCACTTGCTGTTCCCTGTGTCTGAGCTGCTTGCCGCCTGATGAACTCCTCCTTGTCCTAGGAAGCCAACTCAAAGGGCCCCCTCTCTGGAAAGGCGGTTTGGTGTGCTGGAAACTCTATGGGCCTTGGAGTCAGGAGCCTTGGGTTGAAGTCCTAGCTGCACCTTGGGACTTGATAAATCACTTCAGCTCTCAGGACTCAGTTTTTTTTCACGTGGGATTATTTCCCTGTTTGTCTCTCCCAATAGGAACTCCTTAAGGTCTGGAACTGCATTGTATTCATCCTGGGGTCCTCTCCTTCCTCCCAGTCCCAAAAAGCATGGGGATATTGCGTTACTATCTCAGGATAAATAAGAACTCAAATCACCAAGTAGCACCTGTAAACCAAAAAGCATCTGAGCAGGTCTGGATCGGTTTAGAAAGTTTATTTTGCCAAGGATAAGGACGTGCCCGTGACAGCCTCAGGAGGTCCTGACAACATGGGCCCAAGGTGGTCAAGGTATAGTTTGCATTTATACATTTTAGGGAGACATAAGGCATCAATCAATACATGTGAGATTTACATTGGTTGGATCTAGAAGGGCGGGACAACTCAAAGGGGCAGGGGCTTCCAGGTCATAGGTAGATTTAAACATATTCTGACTGGCAATTGGTTGAAAGAGTTATTTTCAATAGAAAGGAATGGCTGGGTTATGACAACGGGTCGTGGAGACCAAAGTGTTTTATTTTATTTTATTTATTTCATTTTTTTTGAGTCAGAGTTTCACTCTTGTTGCCCAGGCTGGAGTGCAGTGGCGCCATCTCAGCTAACTGCAACCTCCACCTCCCCAGTTCAAGTGATTCTCCTGCCTCAGCCTCCCAAGCAGCTGGGATTACCACGCCCTGCTAATTTTTTGTATTTTTAATAGAGACGGGGTTTCTCCACGTTGGTCAGGCTGGTCTCGAACTCTCGACCTCAGGTGATCCGCCCGCCTCGGCCTCCCAAAGTGCTTGGATTACAGGCGAGACCAAAGTTGTATCATACAGATGAAGGCTTCAAGTAGTAGGCTTCAGAGAGAATAGACTGTAAATGAAGCTTGTCCAACTGGTGGCCTGCGGGCCACATGTGGCCCAGGACAAATTTGAACACAGCTCAACACAAATTCGTAAACATTCTCAAAACATTATGAGTTGTTTTTTGTTTGTTTGTTTGAGATGGAGTCTCGCACTGTCCTGGGCTGGAGTGCAGTGGTGCGATCACGGCTCACTGCAACCTCTGCCTCCCGGGTTCAAGCAAGTCTCCTGCCTCAGCCTCCTGAGTAGCTGGGATTACAGGCGGCCGCCACCATGCCCAGCTGATTTTTTCGTATTTTAGTAGAGATGGGGTTTCACTATGTTGGCCAGGCTGGTCTTGAACTCCTGAGCTCGTGATTTGTCCACCTCAGCCTCCCAAAGTGCTGGGATTACAGGCGTGAGCCACCGTGCCCAGCTAACATTATGATATTTTTTTGTGATTTTTATTTTTAGCTCATCAGCTATTGTTAGTGTATTTTGTGTGGCCCAAGACAATTCTTCTTCCAATGTGGCTTAGAGAAGCTGAAAGACCGGACACCCTCCTGTCAATCTTCCTTCCTTCCTTCCTTCCTTTCTCTCTCTCTCTCTCTCTCTTTTTTTTTTTTTTGACAGAATGTCACTCAGTCACCCAGGCTGGAGTGCAGTGGCGTGATCTCGGCTCACCGCAACCACCACCTCCTGGGTTCAAGCGATTCTCGTGCTGCAGTCTCCCGAGTAGCTGGAATTACAGGCATATGCTACCATGCCTGGCTAATTTTTTTGAATTTTTAGTAGACACAGGATTTCCCGATGTTGACCAGGCTCGTCTTGAACTCCTGGCCTCAAGTGATCCACTTGAGGCCTCCCAAAGTGTTGGGATTACAGGCGTGAGCCACCTGTGCCTGGCCGCTTAAATGTTTCTTATTAGACTTGAGGTCTGTGTTGCTGTTGATGCTGGAGGGGAGTAACGAGGCATGTCCGACCCTTTCACCTTCTCCAGTGTATGTCTGCGTGTCCACATGTACCCAATGCTTAACACCCGCTTATAAGTAAGAACAGGCGGCTTTGGCTTTCTGGTTCTGCATCATTTCACTTAGGATAATGGCCTTCAGCTCCCTCCATGGTGCTGCAAAGGCAGGATTTCCTTCTTTTTATGACTGGGTCATATTCCACGGTGTATGGAGGGGTGGGGCAGGTTTTACTTTATTTTTTGAGACAGAGTCTCACTCTGTCGCCCAGGCTGGAGTTCAGTGGCGCAATCTTGGCCATTCTTCTGCCTCAGCCTCCTGAGAGGCTGGGATGACAGGCACCCACCACCACATCTGGCTACTTTTTGTATTTTTAGTAGAGACGAGGTTTCGCCATGTTGGCCAGGCTGGTCTCCAACTCCTGGCCTCAAGTGTTCCGCCTGCCTTGGCCTCTCAAAGTGCTGGGATTCCAGGCCTGAGCCACTGCGCCCGGCCACTAGGCAGGTTTTAAATCTGCGGCTCACCTCTTCTGGGCATTCAGTTCACCAGCAGACCACCCACTTCCCCGGGAAACACACTGTGTGCCCTCGGGGATCCAAGTCTGGGGGTTAAAGGGTGAGGATGGTCATCTGGGAGCCTGGGCGCCACTTGGAGTCTCTGCAGGACGCCCCCACATGGCCCTGGTCTGTAAAACCTGCTTTTCACCAGCAGTCTGAGATCAAAGAGGAGTTACAACGTCTATCCTGAACAATTTGGTTGGGAAGATGAGATAGAGCAATTAGTAGTGCTTAACAGCTGAAGGTGAAAACGTCCCTCTGCCTGGGGCAGTGCTGCAGTCATTCCTGAGCCCCACCTGGGACAGAGTCAGACTCCCTGGTAGAGGGACCTGGGTGTCTGCAGTCTGGGCGTGTTTCCAAAAGATCCTTCCACGCATGTTTTGAAACTGAAGCTGCATGTGTGCGTGGAGTGGGTACAGGGCTTGATTCCTGAGCTGTCACTGCCCAGCCCTCAACACCTCATCCCCCTGTCCTTGTCCTGAAAGGCCCTCATGGGGTCTGCCCAGCTCTCCCTGGCCAGCCATTCCCACTCTCAGGAAATTCTCCAGGCCCTAGGACACACCTCCTTGCCCCCAGACACCTCCTGGGGAACCTCATATTCAGGGTTGATCAAAACCAGGCCATCACCTTTGTGGCTCTGTTGTCACCCTGAACATGGTCTCTGTGTCCCCTCCTGTCAGCCTCCTTCATGCCACCCCCACCCTCTCATGTCCCACACCCATGCCAAGCCCCCAACACCCCTCAAATGCATGCCCTCACTACAAACTGCCCCATGACCCTCCTTCTGCCACCATCCCCCACCCCCCAGCCATTCCAGCGGCCTCCTAACCTGGCTTCCCATATCCTCCCTTGCTCCCTGCAGCCTACCCTGTGGCTGAGGCTTGAAAAATGCAAATCTGACCTCCCTGCCTGGACTTCTTTAGGGCCCTGCCCTGGCCCTTGGGACAAAACCAAGCTCATGCAGGCTCTAACTGCAAAACAAAACCAGAAGACAAAATAGAACAGGGCTGGAATCTGTTTAAGCAGAAAAGCAAGTGGTCAAAGGACAGTAGGCAGCTGGTCGGAAGGAAAAGTGAGCTGCCTCTGCCACGGAGGCCAGCCACCAAATGCCAACACAGCGCCTTTGCATATTCAAAACCCTGACATCTCTGCTGCCGGCCTGGGAAATGAGCTTGCTTGTGTCACCAGCCCTGTCTGGGTCCTGGGGCCTCCTGCCAGCTCAAGCTGCAAAGGAGGCTGGCACACAAGGTTGACCTGGAGCCTGGCTCATTTCTTAGACACGGGCAGGGCATCGCAACGGATGGGTAGGCCCCTCCTTCCTTGAATCTTAGAATGACAGAGGGACCTTTGCCCTCCAACCTCCGCTGCTATGCCACCCCACCCAAGCCTCGCCCCAGCCCTCAGCTTGGCCACTTTGGCTCTTCAGTTCCTTCTAGGAGTCCTGTTCCCTCCTGGTTCCAGGCTGTGTACAGGCTGTCCCCCATACAGGCTGGACCCCTGCCAGGAAGGCATTTTATCCCAGCCCTTTTCAACTGGCTGACTGCCACCATCTTTCCTCAGAGAAGCTGGCTTTGTTCGCCCATCCTTGGCCAGGCCCCATATAGCCCAAGTGTAATCACTTCTGTTCGTGTGATTAGTGGACTTAAGCCTGTCTCTCCTGCTCGAATGGGAACTCCATGAAGGCAGGGACATCCCTCTGGTCCTGGCCATGTTTATCACTTAGTAGGTGCTCAATAAATACTTGTCAAAAAGTGAATGAACGAATGATTTGGGGAAGCTATGTAACCTACATTTCGTTTCTTTCACTATAAAATGGGAACACAAGTGATTGTCTGCCTCTTAAATTTGTTTACAATTTTTTGTTTTTTTGAGACAGAGTTTTGCTCTTGTCACTCAGGATGGAATGCAATGGCACGATCTCCGCTCACTGCAATATCTGCCACCATGCCTACCTGATTTTTGTATTTTTAGTAGAGACAGGGTTTCACCATGTTGGCCAGGCTCGTCTTGAACTCCTGACCTCAGGTGGTCCACCCGCCTTGGCTTCCCAAAGTGCTGGGATTACAGGCGTGAACCACTGCGCCTGGCCCATTTTTAGTTTTTTTAAGCAATCAAATTGGTCAGGGTTTTATTTCATGGCCCTCTCCTTCCTGTTCACAATTATAAGGAAATTCCCCCAGGTTTGCAGCTTCTTTTTCTTTTTTCCATTCATATCTTGTATCCATTTGGGATTTATTTTGGTAGAAGGAGTGAGGTAGGAATGCTACAATTTTTCCCACTGTGCCAATCCCATTAATGATTTGTTCTTATACATTTGAAACAGCATTTTACCATATTCTAAATTTCCATATGTAGCACTATGATGCCATTCACTGCAAATATCAGAAAGCTCAACTCAAACTGGCTTCAATTGTTTGTTTGTTTGTTTGTTTGTTTGTTTTCTCAGACGGAGTTTCACTCTGTCTCCCAGGCTGGAGTGCAGTGGTGTGATCTCGGCTCATTGCAACCTCTGCCTCCTGGGTTCAAGTGATTCTACCGCCTCAGCTTCCCAAGTAGCTGAGATTACAGACATGCGCCACCAAGCCCAGATAATTTTCGTATTTTTATTTTTCTATTTTGTATTTTTAGCAGAGACGTGGTTTCACCATTGGGCCAGGCTGGTGTCAGGTGATCCACCCACCTTGGCCTCCCAAAATGCTGGCATTACGGGTGTGAGCCACAGCGCCCAGCCTTTTTTTTTTAGAGAGAGTCTCACTCTGTCGCCCAGGCTGGAGTGCAGTGGTGTGATCTTGGCTCACTGCAAACTCTGCCTCTCAAGTTCAAGTGATTCTTCTGCCTTAGCCTTCTTAGTAGAGAAGGGTTTTCTCCATGTTGGCCAGACTGCTCTTGAACTCCCGACCTCAGGTGATCCACCTACCTTGGACTCCCAAAGTGCTGGGATTACAGGCACGAGCCACCGTGTCTGGCATACAATATTTTCTTTATCCAGTCCACCACTGATGCACACCTAGATTGATTCCATGTCTTTGCTATTGTGAATAATGCTGCGATGAACATACAAGTGCTTGTGTCTTTTTTGTAGAATAATTTATTTTCTTTTAGGTATACACCCAGTAATCGAATTGCTGGGTCAAATGGTAGTTCTGTTTTAAGTCCTTTGACAAATCTCCAAATTGCTTTCCAGAGTGGCTGAACTAATGTACATATTCCCATTCCCATTAACAGTGTATAAGTTAGTGTTCCCTTTTCTCCACAACCTTGCCACCGTCTGTTGTTTTTTGACTTTTTAATAATAGCCATTCTGGCTAGTATGAGATGGTATCTCATTGTAGGTTATTTTATTTTTTTATTTTTAGAAAGGGTCTTGCTGTCACCCAGGCTGGAGTGGAGTGGTGTGATCTTGGCTCACTGCAACCTCTGCCTCCTGGGCTCCAGTGATCCTTTTGCCTCAGCCTCCTTAGTAACTAGGACTACAGATGCGACATTGTGCTTTTGATTTGCATTTCTCTGATCATTAGTGATGATAAGCATTTTTTCATGTGTTTGTTGGCTGCTTATATGTCTTCTTTTGAGAAGTATTTGTTCATGTATTTTGCCCATTTTTCAATGGGATTATTTGTTTTTGCTTGTTGAGTTAAGTTCCTTATAGATTCTGGATATTAGACCTTTGTTGGATGCCTAGTTTGCAAATATTTTCTCCCATTCTGTAGGTTGTCTGTTCATTCTGTTGATAGTTTCTTTGCTGTGCAGAAGCTCTTTAGTTTAGTTAGGTCCCACTTATCATTTTTGTTTTTGTTGCAATTGCTTTTGAGGACTTAGCCATAAATTATTTGCCATGGCTGGTGTTGAGAAGGATATTTCTTAGAGTTTCTTAGGATTTTTGTAGTTTGAGGGCTTACATTTAAATCTTTAGTCTGTTTTAATTTTTGTATGTGGTGAAAGGCAAGGGTCCAGTTTCATTCTTCTGCATATGCCTAGCCAGTTATCCAAGTATCATTTATTGAATAGGAGCTTCTTTCCCCTCCTTGCTTGTTTTTGTTGACTTTGTTGAAGATCAGATGGTTATAAGTGTGTGGCTTTATTTCTGGGTTCTCTATCCTCTTTACTTTGAACCTGTGGGTGTAGTTACATGGGAGATGGGTCTCTGAAAGATAGCAAACAGTTGGGTCTTGTCTTTTTATCCAGCTTGTCACTCTATGCCTTTTTTTTTCTTTTCTTTTTTTTTTTTGAGACGGAGTCTTGCTCTGTCACCCAGGCTGGAGTGCAGTGGCGTGATCTCGGCTCACTGCAAGCTCTGCCTCCCAGGTTCACGCCATTCTCCTGCCTCAGCCTCCTGAGTAGCCGGGACTATAGGCACCAGCCACCATGCCTAGCTAATTTTATGTATTTTTAGTAGAGACGGGGTTTCACCATGTTAGCCAGGATGGTCTCGATCTCCTGACCTTGTGATCTGCCCACCTCAGCCTCCCAAAGTGCTGGGATTACAGGCGTGAGGCACCGTGTCCGGCCCACTCTATGCCTTTTAAGTGGGGTCAGTTAGCCTGTTGACATTCAGGGTTAGTATTGATATGTTAGTTCTTTTTTTTTTTTTTTGAGACAGAGTCTTGCACTGTCACCAGGCTGGAGTGCAGTGGCGCAATCTTAGGTCACTGCAACCTCCGCCTCCCGGGTTCAAGCGATTCCCCTGCCTCAGCCTCCCAAGCAGTTGGGATTGCCAGCATGCGCCACCATGCCCGGCTAGATGTGTGAGATTTTGATTCTGTCACTGTGTTGTTAGCTGGCTGTTTTGTAGACATGATTGTATAGTGTCTGAGGCCTATGTGCTGAAGTGTGTTTTTGTGGTAGCAGATATTATTCTTTTTTTTTTTTTTTTTTTGAGACAGAATCTCACTCTGTCACCCAGGCTGGAAGTGCAGTGGCACGACCTCAGCTCACTGCAACCTCTGCCCTCCGAGTTCAAGTGATTCTCCTGCCTCAGCCTCCCGAGTAGCTAGGACTACAGGCACCCACCACCACGCCCAGCTAATTTTATGTATTTTTAGTAGAGACAGGGTTTCACCGTGTTAGCCAGGATAGTCTCGATCTCCTGACCTTGTGTTCCGCCCGCCTCAGCCTCCCAAAGTGCTGGGATTACAGGCGTGAGGCACCGTGTCCGGCCCACTCTATGCCTTTTTAAGTGGGGTCAGTTAGCCTGTTGACATTCAGGGTTAGTATTGATATGTGAGTTTTTTTTGTTTTTTTTTTTTGAGACAGAGTCTTGCACTGTCACCAGGCTGGAGTGCAGTGGTGCAATCTCAGCTCACTGCAACCTTCACCTCCTGGGTTCAAGCAGTTCCCCTGCCTCAGCCTCCCAAGCAGTTGGGATTGCAAGCACGTGCCACCACACCCGGCTAGATGTGTGAGATTTTGATTCTGTCATTGTGTTGTTAGTTGGCTGTTTTGTAGACATGATTGTATAGTGTCTGAGGGCTATGTGCTTAAGTGTGTTTTTGTGGTAGCAGATATTGTTCTTTTTTTTTTTTTTTTTTTTTTGAGATGGAGTCTCACTCTGTCACCCAGGCTGGAGTGCAGTGGCATGACCTCAGCTCACTGCAACCTCTGCCCTCCGAGTTCAAGTGATTCTCCTTCCTCAGCCTCCCGAGTAGCTGGGATTATAGGCGCCCGCCACTGTGCCTGGCTAATTTTTTGTATTTTTAGTAGAGACGAGGTTTTACCATCTTAGCCAGGATGGTCTTGATCTCCTGACCTCGTGATCCACCTGCCTCGGCCTCCCAAAGTGCTGGGATTACAAGTGTGAGCCACCTTGCCCAGCCTTTTTTTTTTTTTTAATACTTTAAGTTTTAGGGTACATGTGCATTTTTTTTTTAAGAGACAAGGTCTCTCTCTGTCGCCAAGCTGGAGTGCAATGGCATGATCACACACAGCTCACTGCAGCCTCCACCTCCTGGGTTCAAGCAATACTCCTGCCTCTGCCTCCCTAGTAGCTGGGACCACAGGCACACATCACCATGACTGGATAATTTTTTTATTTTTTGTAGTGACGGGGTCTCACTATGTTGCCCAGGCTGGACTCCAACTCCTGGGCTTCAGAGATTCCCAAAGTGGAGGGATGGAGAGCATGAGTCACCATGCTTGGCTGGTATCCTTCTTTAGTTTCTGTGTTTAGCACTCCCTTAAGGACCTCTTATAAGGCTGGTCTAGTGGTAATGAATTCCCTTAGCATTTGCTTTCTGAGACAGATTTTATTTATCCTTTGCTTATGATACTTAGTTGGGTGGGATATGAAATTCTTGGAATTCTTGAAATGATTGGAATTTCTTTTCTTTGGATGCTGAAAACAGCCCCTGATCTCTTCTGGTGTGTAAAGTTTCTGCTGAGAGGTCCATTTCTAGCCTGATGGGGTTCCCTTTGTAAGTGACCTGACACTTCTCTCTAGCTGCCTTTGATATTTTTTTTCTTTCACGTTGACCTTGGTGAATCTGTTGTCTTGTATAATACTTTTTTTTTTTTTGAGAGTCTTGTTTTGTCACCCAGGCTGGAGTGCAGTGTCTCAATTTTGGCTCACTGCAACCTCTGCCTCCTGGGTTCAAGTGATTCTCTTGCCTCAGCCTCCCAGGTTGAATTACAGGCATCTGCCACCATGCCTGGCTAATTTTTGTGTTTTTAGTAGAGACAGGGTTTCACCACGTTGGCCAGGCTGGTCTGGAACTCCTGACCTCAAGTGATCTGCCCACCTCGGCCTCCCAAAGTGCTGGGATTACAGGTGTGAGCCACTGTGCCTGGCCCGTATAATGCTTTTTTTTTTTTTTTTAAAGTATTAGCTCATGTGACTTGGAGGCCAGAAGCAGGGCGGGTTGCTTCAGCAGCTCAGTGGTATTGTCCCTGGCTCTGTGTCTGTTACAAAATGTCATCGTGTTACAAAATCATCCTGTTACAAAATCACATCATGATGGTGTGATCACACCTGTAACAAGAGAGGCTGAACACATCTTTACTGGTGTACTTACTCTGTAGTTTACAAACAAGTCACAGAATCCTCACAACATCCCTTCTAGGTAGCTACTGTAATCATCCATTTTGTGGATGGGTTTACTTGTCTAAGTTTACACAGATGCTAAGTGTCAGGCCTCTAAGCCCTAGCTAAGCCATCATATCCCCTGTGACCTGCATGTACACATCCAGATGGCCGGTTCCTGCCTTAACTGATGACATTCTCCCACAAAAGAAGTGAAAATGGCCTGTTCCTGCCTTAACTGATGACATTGTCTTGTGAAATTCCTTCTCCTGGCTCAAAATCTCCCCTACTGAGCACCTTGTGACCCCTACTCTGCCTGCCAGAGAACAACCCCCCTTGGACTGTAATTTTCCTTTATCTACCCAAATCCTATAAAACGGCCCCACCCTTATCTCCCTTCACTGACTCTCTTTTCGGACTCAGCCTACCTGCACCCTGGTGAAATAAACAGCTTTATTGTTCACACAAAGCCTGTTTGGTGGTCTCTTCACACGGACGTGAGTGAAATTTGGTGCCGTGACTCGGATCGGGGGACCTCCCTTGGGAGATCAATCCCCTGTCCTCCTGCTCTTTGCTCTGTGAGAAAGATCCACCTATGACCTCAGGTCCTCAGACCAACCAGCCCAAGAAACATCTCACCAATTTCAAATCCGGTAAGCAGCCTCTTTTTACTCTCTTCTCCAACCTCCCTCACTATCCCTCAACCTGTTTCTCCTTTCAATCTTGGCGCCACACTTCAATCTCTCCCTTCTTTTAATTTCAATTCCTTTCATTTTCTGGTAGAGACAAAGGAGACACGTTTTATCCGTGGACCCAAAACTCCAGCACTGGTCACGGACTAGGAAGGCAGCCTTCCCTTGGTGTTTAATCATTGCAAGGACACCTCTCTGATTATTCACCCATGTTTCAGAGGTGTCAGACCACGCAAGGACGCCTGCCTTGGTCCTTCACCCATAGCGGCAAGTCCCGCTTTTCTGGGGGAGGGGCAAGTACCCCAACCCCTTCTCTCTGTGTCTCTACCCCTTCTCCACCTTTCTGGAGGGCAAGAAATCCCCAACCCCTTCTTCTTCACTCTTAGCAGCAAGTCCCACTTTTCTAGGGGAGGGGCAAGTACCCCAACCCCTTCTCTTCATGTCTCTACCCCTTCTCCACCTTTCTGTAAGGCAAGAAACCCCCAGCCCCTTCTCCTTCACCCTTAGCAGCAAGTCCCATTTTTCTGGGGGAGGGGCATGTACCCCAACCTTGTATCTCTGCGCCCCGATCCCTTATTTCCACGCTCCGACCTCTTATATCTCTGTGCCCCAATCCCTTATTTCTGTGCCCCAACCTCTTATATCTCTGCACCCTGCTCCCTTATTTCCGTGCCCCAACCTCGTATCTCTGTGCCCCGACCCCTTTCCTGCTTTTCTGGAAGGTAAGAACCCCCGAACCGCTTCCCTCCATGTCTCTACTCTCCCTTTTCTTTAAACTTGCCTCCTTCACTATAGGCAACCTTCCACCCTCCATTCCTCCTTCTTCTCCCTTAGCCTGTGTTCTTAAGAACATAAAACCTCTTCAACTCTTGCCTGACCTAAAACCTAAATGCCTTACTTTCTTCTACAATGCCGCTTGACCCCAATACAAACTTGACAATGGCTCTAAATGGTCAGAAAACGGCACTTTCGATTTCTCCATCCTACAAGACCTAAATAATTTTTGTCGAAAAATAGGCAAATGGTCTGAGGTGCCTGACGTCCAGGCATTCTTTTACACATCTGTCCCTCCCTAGTCTCTCTGCCCAGTGCAACTAGTCCCAAATCTTCCTTCTTTCCCTCCTGCCTGTCTCCTCAGTCCCAACCCCAAGTGTCGCTGAGTTTTTCTAATCTTCCTTTTCTACAGACCCATCTGACCTCTCCCCTCCTCACTAGGCCGAGCTAGGTCCCAATTCTTCCTCAGCCTCTGCTCCTCCACCGTATAATCCTTTTATCACCTCCCCTCCTCACACCCAGTCCGGCTTACAGTTTCATTCCATGACTAGCCCTCCCCCACCTGCCTAGCTATTTCCTCTTAAAAAGGTGGCTGAAGCCAAACGCATAGTCAAGGTTAATACTCATTTTTCTTTATCAGACCTCTCCCAAATCAGTGAGCGTTTAGGCTCTTTCATCAAATATGAAAAACCCAGCCCAGTTCATGGCTCGTTTGGCGGCAACCCTGAGACGCTTTACAGCCCTAGACCCTAAAAAGTCAAAAAGCCGTCTTATTCTCAATATACATTTTATTACCCAGTCTGCTCCCGACATTAAATAAAACTCCAAAAGTTAAATTCTGGCCCTCAAACCCCACAGCAGGACTTAATTAACTTCACCTTCAAGGTGTACAATAATAGAGTGGAGGCAGCCAAGTAGCAACATATTTCTGAGTTGCAACTCTTTGCCTCCACTGTGAGACAAACCCCAGCCACATCTCCAGCACACAAGAACTCCAAACGCCTGAACCGCAGCTGCCAGGGGTTCCTCCAGAACCTCCTCCCCCAGGAGCTTGCTACAAGTGCCCACAGCCCAGGATTCCTCCTGAGCCATGTCCCATCTGTACAGGACCCCACTGAAAATTGGACTGTTCAACTCACCTGGCAGCCACTTCCAGAGCCCCTGGAACTCTGGCCCAAGGCCGTCTGACTCCTTCCCAGATCTTCTTGGCTTAGCAGCTGAAGACTGGCACTGCCGATCGCCTTGGAAGCCTACAGGACCATCACAGACACTCTAAGTAACTCTCACAGTGGAAAGTAAGTCCATCCCCTTCTTAGTCAATACGGAGGCTACCCACTCCACATTACCTTCTTTTCAAGGGCCTGTTTCCCTTGCCTCCATAACTGTTGTAAATATTGACAGCCAGGTTCTAAACCTCTTAAAACTCCCCAACTCTGGTGCCAACTTAGACAATACTCTTTTAAGCACTCCTTTTTAGTTATCCCCACCTGCCCAGTTCCCTTATTAGGCGGAGACACTTTAACTAAATTATCTGCTTCCCTGACTATTCCTAGGCTACATCCACACCTCATTGCCACCTTTTCCCCCAGTTCAAAGCCTCCTTCACATCCTCCCCTTGTATCTCCCCACCGTAACCCACAAGTATAAGACACCTCTACTCCCTCCTTGGCGACCGATCATGCACCCCTTACCATCCCATTAAAACCTAATCACTCTTACCCCGCTCAATGCCAATATCCTATCCCACAGCACGCTTTGAAAGGATTAAAGCCTATTATCACTTGCCTGTTAGAGCATGGCCTTTTAAAGCCTATAAACTCTTCTTACCATTCCCCCATTTTACCTGTCCTAAAACCAGACAAGCCTTACAGGTTAGTTCAGAATCTGCGCCTTATCAACCAAATTGTTTTGCCTATCCACCCCGTGGTGCCAAACCCATATACTCTCCTATCCTCAATACCTCCCTCTACAACCCATTATTCTGTTCTGGATCTCAAACATGCTTTCTTTACTATTCCTTTGCACCCTTCATCCCAGCCTCCCTTTGCTTTCACTTAGACTGACCCTGACACCCATTAGGCTCAGCAAATTACCTGGGCTGTACTGCTGCAAGGCTTCACAGACAGCCCCCATTACTTCAGTCAAGCCCAAATTTCTTCCTCATCTGTTATCTGTCTTGGCGTAATTCTTATAAAAACACACGCGCTCTCCCTGCCGATCGTGTCTGACTGATCTCTCAAACCCCAACACCTTCTACAACCTAGGCATGGTTAGATACTTTCAACTTTAGATACCTGGTTTTGCCATCCTAACAAAATCATTATATAAACTCACAAAAAGAAACCTAGCTGACCCCACAGATCCTAAATCCTTTCCCCACTCCTTTTTCTGTTCCTTGAAGACAGCTTTAGAGACTGCCCCCACCTGAGCTCTCCCTGACTCATCCCAACCCTTTGCATTACACACAGCCAAAGTGCAGGGCTGTGCAGTTGGAATTCTTACACAAGGACCAGGATCGCGTCCTGTAGCCTTTTTGCCCAAACAACTTGACCTTACTGTTTTAGGCTGGCCATCATGTCTCTGTGCAGTGGCTACTGACCCTAATACTTTCAGAGGCCCTTAAAATCACAAACTATGCTCAACTCACTCTCTACAGCTCTCATAATTTCCAAAATCTATTTTCTTCCTCACACCTGATGCATATACTTTCTGCTCCCCGGCTCCTTCATCTCTCTGATCCAGCTGATGTTCACCTCATTTCCCCACATTTCCTTCTTCCCTGTTTCTCACCCTGATCACACTTAGTTTATTGATGGCAGTTCCACCAGGCCTACTCGCCACACACCAGCAAAGACAGGCTATGCTATAGTACAAGCCACTAGCCTGCCTTTTAGAACCTCTCATTTCCTTTCCATCGTAGAAATCTATCCTCAAGGAAATAACTTCTCAGCGTTCCATCTGCTAGTCTACTACTCCTCAAGGATTATTCAGGCCCCCTCCCTTCCCTACACATCAAGCTCAAGGATTTGCCCCCACCCAGGACTGACAAATTAGCTTTACTCAACATGCCCCGAGTCAAGAAACTAAAATACCTCTTAGTCTAAGTAGACACTTTCACTGAATAAGTAAAGGCCTTTCCTACAAGGTCTGAGAAAGCCACTGCGGTCATTTCTTCCCTTCTGTCAGACATAATTCCTCAGTTTGGACTTCCCACCTCTATACAGTCCGATAGCAGACCCACCTTTATTAGCCAAATCAGCCAAGCATTTTTTCAGGCTCTTAGTATTCAGTGAAACCTTTATATCCCTTACAGTCCTCAGTCTTCAGAAAAAGTAGAACAGACTAATAGTCTTAAAAACACACCTCACCAAGCTCAGCCACCAACTTAAAAAGGACTGGACAATACTTTTACCACTTTCCCTTCTCAGAAGTCAGACCTGTCCTCAGAATACTACAAGGTGCAGCCCATTTGAGCTCCTGTAGAGACACTCCTTTTTATTAGGCCCCAGTCTTATTCCAGACACCAGACCAACTTAGACCGTGCCCCCAAAAAACTTGTCATCCCTACTATCTTCTGTCTAGTCATACTCCTATTCACCGTTCTCAACTACTCATACATGCCCTGCTCTTGTTTACACTGCCGGTTTACACTGTTTCTCCAAGCCATCACAGCTGATATCTCCTGGTGCTATCCCCAAACTGCCACTCTTAACTCTTGAAGTAAATAAAGAATCTTTGCTGACCGGACTATGCTGAATCTCCTTAGGCACTCTCTAATCAGATGTCCTAGGTCCTCCCAATTCTTAGACCTTTTATACCCGTTTTTCTCCTTCTCTTATTCCATTTAGTTTTTCAATTCATACAAAACCATATCCAGGCCGTCACCAATAATTCTACACGACAAATGTTTCTTCTAACAACCCCACAATATCACCCCTTACCACAAAATCTTCCTTCAGCTTAATTTCTCCCATTCTAGGTTCCCACGCTGCCCCTAATCCCACTTGAAGCAGCCCTAAGAAACATCACCCATTATCTCTCCATGCCATCCCCAAAAAATTTTCACCATCCCAACACTTTACCACTCTTTCGTTTTATTTTTCTTATTAATATAAGAAGACAGAGGCCGGGCACGGTGGCTCACGCCTGTAATCCCAGCACTCTGGGAGGCCGAGGCGGGCGGATCACGAGGTCCGGAGATCGAGACCATCCTGGCTAACACGGTGAAACCCCGTTTCTACTGAAAATACAAAAAATTAGCTGGGCGCCGTGGCGGGCGCCTATAGTCCCAGCTACTTGGGAGGCTGAGGCAGGAGAATGGCGTGAACCCGGGAGGCGGAGCTTGCAGTGAGCCAAGATAGCGCCACTGCACTCCAGCCTGGGCGAAAGAGCGAGACTCCGTCTCAAAAAAAAAAAAAAAAAAAAGACAGGAATGTCAGGCCTCTAAGCCCCAGCTAAGCCATCATATCCCCTGTGACCTGCACGTACACATCCAGATGGCCGGTTCCTGCCTTAACTGATGACATTCCACCACAAAAGAAGTGAAAATGGCCTGTTCCTGCCTTAACTGATGACATTGTCTTGTGAAATTCCTTCTCCTGGCTCATCCTGGCTCAAAAGCTCCCCCACTGAGTACCTTGTGACCCCCACTCCTGCCCGCCAGAGAACAACCCCCCTTTGACTGTAATTTTCCTTTACCTACCCAAATCTTATAAAAAGGCCCCACTCCTATCTCCCTTCGCTGACTCTCTTTTCGGACTCAGCTCGCCTGCACCCAGGTG
This sequence comes from Homo sapiens, assembly GCF_000001405.40. Taxonomy (NCBI): domain Eukaryota; kingdom Metazoa; phylum Chordata; class Mammalia; order Primates; family Hominidae; genus Homo; species Homo sapiens. The sequence continues at coordinate 70,214,013 of NC_000011.10, read as the reverse complement.
AAATAAACAGCTTTATTGCTCACACAAAGCCTGTTTAGTGGTCTCTTTACATGGACGCAAGTGAAACTAAGTAGAAGAGCTGAGACTCAAAACCAGGTGGCGGCTTGAGGCCAGCCTCCTGGCCACGCAATGCCTCTTAGTAGTAGAGTTCAGTCTATTAGATCTACCTTATTAAATCTGGTATTTCTTGCCGCCACAGGGTTTGTTTTATTATTTATTTATTTATTTACCATAACAACACTTTTATTTATTTATTTATTTATTTATTTATTTATTTTTGAGACAGAGTCTTGCTGTGTCACCCAGGCTGGGGTGCAGTGGCACAATCTTGGCTCACTGCAACCTCCGCCTCCCAGGTTCAAGTGATTCTCCTTCCTCAGCCTCCTGAGTAGCTGGGATTACAGGTGTCCACCAGTATGCCCAGCTAGTTTTTGTATTTTTAGTAGAGACAGGGTTTCACCATGTTGGCTGGGCTAGTCTCGAACTCCTGACCTCAAGTGGTTGGCCTGCCTCGGCCTCCCAAAGTGTTGAGATTACAGGTGTGAGCCACTGTGCCTGGCCTTTTTTTTTTTTGAGACCGAGTCTCGTTCTATTGCCCTGGCTGGAGTGCAGTGGTATAATCTTGCCTCACTGCAACCTCTGCCTCCCAAGTTCAAGTGATTCTCCTGCCTCAGCCTCCCAAGTAGCTGGGATTACAGGTACCCGCCACCACACTTGGCTCATTTTTTGTATTTTTAGTAGAGATAGGGTTTCACCATGTTGGTCAGGCTGGTCTTGAATTCCTGACCTCAGGTGAAATGCCGACCTTGGCATCTCAAAGTACTGGGATTACAGGTGTAAGCCACTGTGCCTGGCCCCATACCTACACTTTAATTTTAAGGCTGCTTGTTTTAAAACAGGCAGTTCCTTAAGAATAGTAACAATGATGACATTTAGTGACGTTTATCCTGGGCTGTCACCCCCAGACCTCGCCACACCACATCTCATTGAACCTTACAACATTGCTGGGAGAGGGAGCATTGGTGAGGGAGAAGAGCTGGCCACTCCCGGTCTGAGCTGGTAGCCCTTTGCTAAGAATCTACCGAGTAAATGAATGAATGGTGAATGAACCAGAATGAAACATACAGCTCAGAGTGCCAGGAGCCCAGAGGTGTATGTGTACGTGGGCGTCAACCCTTCCTGGCGAGTAGGACCCCTGGGATGGCCTGCAGTGACTCAGGTGGTGGGGACTCCTCCCTGGGGTTCCTGGCTGGAGCTCACTGGGCCTGGTCAGAGTGAAGGGCACCGGGGCGGGGGTATGTGGACCAGGGGCGGGGAGCAGAGGCTCAGGGAACAGGGGCATATGATGCATGGGTGGCAGACCAAGGGGCATACCTGGCTCCCCTGAGAAGATGCCCTCTTGCCCTGCCCGTGCCTACTGCGGGGCAGGTGCTTTCACAGTCCGACTGACTGGGCTGGGAAGCCCAACCAAAAGTGAAAGCTGAAGGGGAATCCAGGAATCTGAAACCCTGGGGCGGAGGCATCTTTTGCTTTCCTGCTTGCAAGGAACTCAGGCCCCTGAGAGACGCTAGTGGGCCTTTGATCGCTGCTGTTTACTCATTCACTCAGCAAACACAAAATAAGCCTTCACTCAGAAGCCGCTGGAAAGTGCTGGAAGCAGCCCTCAGGGAGTCGCGCTAGAGGAAGCAGGACCCGGGCAGGAGTGGGGGCTGCAGGGATCCCACTGTGAGTGGGTGCATGGGCAAGCCTGCATCAGAAGGATGTCTTCTGAGCTGGGGGGCTTGGGGTGGATAGTGAGGAAGGCTGCAGGGAGAGGAAACAGCAGGGGCAAGGGCTGCGGGGGAGGGTGGGAGGGGGTGAGGTGACAGTCTTGCTGTGGAGGGAACATGGCACTGGGCTGGGCTCTGCACAGTTGTGTACCCCGTCCCATGCATGATGATGCATGGATTAAGATTTCATCCTGGGCAGGCGCGGTGGCTCACTCCTGTAATCCCAGCACTTTGGGAGGCCGAGGTGGGTGGATCATGAGGTCAGGAGATCGAGACCATCCTGGCTAACATGGTGAAAACCCGTCTCTACTAAAAATACAAAAAATTAGCCGGGTGTGGTGGCGGATGCCTGTAGTCCCAGCTACTCGGGAGGCTGAGGCAGGAGAATGCTGTGAACCCGGGAGGCGGAGCTTGTAGTGAGCTGAGATCACGCCACTGCACTCCAGCCTGGGCGACTGAGCGAGACTCCACCTCAAAAAAAAAAAAGATTTCATCCTGAGGGACATGGGGACATTGTAGCTGGGGTTCTCCAGCCAGAAACTGATTTGGAAGTAGTAAAACATTGCCCAGACTCCCATGATGACCAGGTTTTCATTTCAATAATGAAACATCAATAGGCACAAATATATAGCCAGATGTGGAATAGAAGCCCATGTGTCTAGCCCTTGGAAACTATAAATCGCCAATAAAATTGCAAATTGGGGAGAGAGAAGCCTACAAAACTCGTAGAATTCAGATTAATAACATATTTAACGTCAGGTATGATTACTATTTTTTCCTTTCTTTTCTTTCCTCTGTTTTTTGAGACAGGGTCTTGCTCTGCTGCCCAGGCTGGAGTGCAGTGGCGCAACGATGGCTCACTATAGCCCTGAACTCCTGGGCTCTAGTGATCCTCCTGCCTCCCAAGTAGCTGGAACTACAGGAATATACCACTGTGGCCAGCTAATTTATTTTATTTTTTTTAAATTTTATTTTGAGAAAGAGTTTTGTTCTGTTGCCCAGGCTGGAGTGCAGTGGCGTGTTCTCAGCTCACTGCAACCTCCCCATCCCAGGTTCAAGCAATTCTTCTGCCCCAACCTCCTGATTAGCTGGGTCTACAGGCATGTACCAACACACCTAGCTAATTTTGTATTTTTAGTAGAGATGGGATTTCACCATGTTGGCCAGGCTGTTCTTGAACTAGTGACCTCATGTGATCTGCACGCCTTGGCCTCCCAAAATGCTCAGATTACAGGCATGAGCCACCACACCGGCCTAATTTATTTATTATTATTATTATATTTTAGAGATGGAGTCTTGCTTTGCAGCCCAGGCTTTTGAACTCTTGGCTTCAAGAGATCTCCCACCTCAGCCTCCCAAAGTGCTGAGATTACAGGCGTGAACGACTGTGCCGGGCTCAGCATTTTTAATTCATTCCAAACAGAAGTGCATTCTGTTTAATCATTAAACAGTATGTATGATGCTGTTTTGCTGAAACAAAATTGTAGCTTCATGTCTACAGACTGTCATCAAGGAGGCGTGGGAGTTTGGAAGGCCTTGTACTTGCCATGTGCCTGGGGGTGACTCAAATGGTCCACGATATTCTTTTTCTATTTGAGCCACACCTCAAAAACTTAAATCATATGTCATTTGGCTTTCCATGAGGACCCCATTCATGCATTGAATTGGCCTCTGTTCCTTGGTGACCATTACTGGGGTTGGCATCCATGATTCTTGCCACGGGGTCTCAACTTAGTAAATGATTCAAGAAACTAAGAGCTTCTTTGATGGAAGTATCTTTCAATTGCAAATTTCCCTGTAAAAGAGAAGTCTTGCCTTTATCTCAGCAGACACTGGGGGACGGGTCACTCTGGCATGAGCACATGCTACCCCACGTCATGTTTGCCTGTCTGATTCCAAATGCAATTCACACAGGATTTGTGTGGCTAGAAAGCAGTCAGCAAGATGACTCAGATTAATTATCACGGGAATAAAAATATAAAACAAAAAAATATGGACAGAGTTCGTGGCTTCTAAGAAGAGTCAGGGGACTGTGTTATGACTCAGTTTATTTCTGGCTGCTGATGGGAGATGGGCTGGATGGGTGGAAGGCGGGGCAGAGGCGGAAGATGAATTGCGAGGTCACTCACTGTGGTTGTCCAGTGGAAAGGGCTGAGGCCCCACTGGGAGTGGGGGTGGCGGCAGGTAGCAGAAGAGGTGGATGGGAGAGACACTTGTGAGTTACAAAGTATAGGACCTGGTGCTTACTTTTATTTTTTTTTGAGACAGGGTCTTGCTCTGTTACCCAGGCTGGATTGCAGTGGTGTGATCATGGCTCACCGCAGCCTCATCCTCCTGGGCTCAAGCAATCCTCTTGCCTCAGTCTCCCGAGTAGCTGGGAGCACAGGTGTACACAACCACATCCAGCTACATTTTTTTTATTTTTATTTTTTTTAGAGATGAGGTTTCCCTATGTTGGCGAGGCTGGCCTCAAACTCCTGGGTTCAAGTAATCCTCCCACCTCAGCCTCCCAAAGTGCAGGGATTACAGATGAGAGCCACTGCACCTGGCCTAGCGCCCAGTTTTAATTGAGGGAAGAGTGACAGTGGGGAGAGGAAGGAGGGTTTGTGGCTTGGGCTACTGACTAGATGGTGGTGTCAGGCACGGAACGGGGCGCAGGTTGCAGGGAGGCTGAATTTGGGGTGTGGCTTGCATGACTCTGACAGTGCCCATGTGCTAATCCCTGGGATCTGTGAATATGTTCCCCTACCTGGCAAAGAAATTCTGCAGATGTGTTTAAATTGATGTTGAGATGGGAAGAGGATCCTGGGTTATCCAGGTGGCCCAGTGTAGTCACTAGAGTTTTTGTAAGAGGGAGGCAGGAGAATCAGTCAGAGAGATGGGAAGATGCTCATCTGTGGGCCTGAAGATGGAGGGAGGGGCCATGAGTTAAAGAATGCAGGCAGCCTCTAGAAGATGCAAAAGGCAAGACACGGATTCTCTTCTAGGTCTTCCGGGAGGAACCAGCTTGCTGACACCTGATTTGTAGACCAGGGAGAGACATTTTGGACCTCTGACCTCCAGAACCATAAGATAAACTTGTGCCGCTTAAGGCGGTAAGTACGTGGTAGTTTGCTATAGCAGCCACTGTGAGGCTGCCCCTAGGCAGTTGGGGTCTGGGGCAAGAGAAAGATCTGGGCTAGAGATACCTGGCAGGTACCAGGGACCTAGGATGGGTGAGGCTAAGAAAGGGCTGTGCTCCCTAGAGGAGGGGTGAGGCTGAGGCTGGGGGAGGGTGTGAGGGACCTGAGAGGAGGACAGCGGAGAGGGAGAAGAGCTCCTGGAGAGAATGGTCACGGAAGGTGTCAGAGGCCCTAGAGATTCAGGTAGAACAAAAATGCTGCAGCAGCCTGTGACTTCAGCAAGAATAGTTTGTGTGGGGTGTGGTCTCAGGAGCACCAGGGAGTGAGTCCTGGAGAGGGGTGGCTGTGAGAATCTGGGAGCGAGTGTGAGTGTGGCGTGGAGGGGGCACTGTGTAACAGAAGGCAGAAGGGCAGGCAGCTGGGAGGCTGCGGGAACCTGAAGACCAGAGGGTTGACCCTTTGTTCCAGGAAACGCTTGATCAAATTCCCCTGAAGTCTCCCGCAAAGCACAGACGTTTGGACTTGTCTTCCCTCTTCTGTCTTAGGGGAAAAAGGAGTCAGAGAGCAAGAGACGGCTGTTACCTCCAGCTTTCAAGTAAGCCCAAGATTTGTGCGTACCTTTTCCAGAAACACAAATTCTACCTGATTGTAAAAAAAATGAACATAGAATTTGTTTTTTCAAGTTGCTTTAAGAAATCCATGTCCAAGGCCGGGCGCGGTGGCTCACGCCTATGTAATCCCAGCACTTTGGGAGGCCGAGGCAGGTGGATCACCTGAGGTCAGGAGTTCCAGATCAGCCGGGCCAAGATGGTAAAACCCTGTCTCTACTAAAACTACAAAAAACTAGCCAGGCTTGGTAGTGCACATCTGTAGTCGCAGCTACTTGGGAGGCTGAGGCAGGAGAATCCTTTCAACCTGGGAGGTGGAAGTCGCAGTGAGCCGAGATCATGCCACTGTACTCCAGCCTGGGCAACAGAGTGAGACTCCATCTCAAAAAAAAAAAAAAAAAAGAATACTTTCCCACGCACCCCAAGAAAATCTCTTCCCCAAAGCCAAGCTGCTCACACTTAGGGACAGTGAGGGGCGATGTGTCTATTCTCTATAGAACTCACCCTGACCTGCGCCTTGAGAGCAGGCATGCGCCGGGTCGGGGGTGTACAGTGTGTAGGTCAGGCCACGCTGTTTTGGGATAGCAACCAGCTCAGCGCCACGGCAGCACCCCAAGCTAGTGATGAACTGGTTAAAGCTTGTTTCTGCTAGGTTTCTGAGGCCAACAGGGCAGGGCTACACTTCTGTCCCATTCACTCCTATGGCCTTTGCTCCTAGCAAGGAGTCTGGCACCTGGAAGCGTCAGGTGAAGGTGTGGAGGGGCTTAAAGGCCGGGGTCCACGGCTTACTGGGGACAGTGTCCTGCGGCCTTGGCTAAGATCCCACCTATGGGACGGCACACTGGACTTTCCCAAGGTCATAGCTGGTGAACTGGGACAGAGAATAGCCACTTGGCTTTGATTCTGATACTGTTGGTGGTGCAGGCAAATTCTAAGAGCGGCAAAAGCTACCCTAGCAGACCACTGTTTGCTAAGGGCAGACACTGCTCATGAGCAGCTAGCGAGCTGTCAGGAAATCCAGCCACCCCTCCCAGGTTGGAGCCCTTGACAGGGATCCTCAAACTGGCTGTACTGGGAATATCCAGCATATCCAAAATGAAAGAACCACCAACAGGAATAGAAAATTTTTTGTAGTATGGAAGTTGTAAAGCTGTGTTTTAATAGGATTACCTTAGGAATAAGAGGACTGCTTTTTAAAGATACGAGATCCCGCTGCCTTGGCAATTCTGTTATCAGAAAGATAGTGATTTTGATACAAAACAGTAAGAAACTGTAGAATTGCAGGACCCATAATCCTCACAAGGAAGATTTAGAGAGTGCTGTGTGTCAATCACTCATCAGCACCTCACAGATATTATCTCAATTCGTCCTGGCAACCATCACTGCCCCTACTTAGCAGTCTCAGAGAGGAGACTCAACTCACACAGGGGCCAAGAGCTGGACCACGGCCAACCAGGTCTCCCCACCCCCACCCCAGCCATGCCTCTCCCCACCACAGCACCCCGCCTGACCCTAGTGTCCAGGTCTGTCCCGGTGGCCTCCAAGGAAATGGGACAAAACATCCTTTCTGCCAACTGCAGGGGCAGCAGAACGCCACAGTGGTTGAGCATGGGCTCTGGTGAAGGATGGCGGGGGTTCAAATCCCAGTTCTCCACCTCTCTGCTTCGCTCCGATTCCTGGGCCTCTGAGCTGGTCTCCTCCGCTGTGGAGTAACAGTGTGACTGCTCATCTGCACAGATTCCTTCTGTGCTGGACACGGTTCCAACTTTCCAACTACTCCCGCAGGAGCTCATTTAGTGGAGACAAGATCTTGCTCAGTGTCATAGTGAGGAAGAAATGGAAATATCTGTGCAGGGCCCAAGCCCGGCCTGGTGCGGGAGAGGCATTAATAAACGCAGCTTGAGTTCAGAAGCAGGTGGTCTGTGGCTCACTCAGCCTGGCTTCCTGCTGGGTCTTCACAGTGCTGGGCTACCTTCCTGGAGAGAACCAAAGTCCAGGCTGTGTAGATGCCTGTGGTCCACCAGCGCAAAGCAGCGGCCCATCAGGACGCTTCGGAGGTAGATGCGTCTGAGTTCCATGACATCGGGGACATGGCCCCACTCCTGTTCTGGAGGTCACGGGCCTGCTGAACCTCTTGTACCAGGTCAGCCACCAGGTTCATCTGGCAGGACCTGAGAGCCCCCACCAGGTGGGCCACTGTTGCGTTCTCCTTCTCTGTGTTCTTCCAGATTCTCAGTGACTCCCGCACACGCTCTGTCAGGTTGCGGGGGTATCTGTCCTCGATGCTGTCGATCTTGGTGTCTGAGACTTTGAGCTGACGAGCCAGCCTTCTCCAATCTTTCCCCACATTATCACATATGACGTTAAATGCTGCACACAGGTCTGGGAAGGAAAGAACAGAACGGTTTACCATAGGTTTGGAGACAAGCGACCCCACAATCCTCCCTAGGGCTTTTCAGCACAGACGCCAAGTGCTGAGTGGACAGAGGTGCCTACACGAGGTCCTCTGTAGAGGCTAGAGTCGCCTGGCAGCAAAGGGGCTGCACCAAATGCCCAAGAGTGGCCTGATTCCACCTCAGCCAAACCCCCTGCTCTCTAATACTGTCCTAGGAGGCGTGGCCCACTGAAGACTCAAGTGCCAAAGGAAGTTGTAGTGGAGCTACCTACTTAGAGCAGGAGACACTGAGGGAGGGGCTGGGGAGTTGTGGGAGGGAAGAAAATAGGGTTGATCCCACATCCTGCCCTACAGCAGGCTGAACGATGTCACCCCAAGGTATGTTCACGTGAAATTGCTGAAACCATGAATGTTCTTTGGAAAAAGCATCTTTGCAAAGGTAAGCTGAGGGTCTTGAGAGGAGATCATCCTGGATGACCTGGATGCACCAATGATAGGTATCCTTGCAGGAGACACACAGGGAAGGCCGTGTGAGCCTGGAGTGAAGCGGCCACAAGTCAAAGAATGCCTGGAGCCACCACAAAGCGGACGAGACCCGGAAGGAGCCTCCCCAACAGCATTCCGAGGGTGTGCCGGTCTGTGGCACCCTGCTTATTCAGATTTCTGGCCTCCAGATTGAGGGGGTAGATTTCTATTGCTTCAGGCCACCAGATTTGTGATCATTTGTTATGGCAATCACAGGAAACTAGTAGGCACTCCAATTGTTATTTAGAAAGCTGCCCCGAGTGACCACCAGTCTTCAGTCCCTGGCTACCATACTCCTCATCTGCTGACGTCACCACTGAGATCAGGGAGCTGGTCACAAGACCATAAAAGGCCGCTTCTGGAATGTGAAGAGAGGAAAGGAGAGGCAGGACAGGGTGCTGCTTGGACTACTGGCAATTCTGAGACACCGTTGGCAGGTGTACCAGCTCCCGCAGCTCTGACAGCCCTGTGGGCTGGGCACTGTGTTACCATGACTGTACAGATGAGGAAATTGAGGCACAGGGAAGCTAATGGACATTCCTGAGATCGTGTAGCTAGACGATGGCAGAGCCATGTTCTGAAACCCTAAGAGTGTGGTGCCAGAGTCGACCCTTAACCGCTATGCTGAACTTCTGGGGAGGAAGGCAGAGTCGCCCGCTACCAACCTGTCCATACCCACCGCTCACCTTCTGGTGTACTTTTCCCAGCACACAGTAACTACATGACGATATAAATAAAACCAAGCACACATACATCTCAAATGTCAGCTATGTTTCGTAGACCGCCTTTAAAATGCAATTTATCAGTGTTTTTCCAGACATTAAATATCCATAAAACCCGATTTTTCTACGTCCTGTTTTGTTTGTTCAGTACTGATTTTTTTTAAAATCTGGACTTGACTGCTCTCAGGCAGAGAGCTGTTCTGTCCATCCTGTCCCCAACAGGCACCAGTCTTTACAGAGTGAAACCCATGGTGACACATTTAGGCCCTATCTGATTGGTGACTGAATGGCTGATTCCAAGCTACAGCTTGAAGCCTCTGAGAGGCGTCCCCAGAGCACTCCCAAGCCTCTCCCGACTCTGAGAACAAGGGGGGTAGGGCTGAGAAACTCTGCTGTACTCAGGGTTTCTTTTTTATCCTGGAAGCTGCTGCAATCCACAGGCGAGGGTGGAGAGGGAGTGACCGAGAGCAGGACAGGAAGCCACTCCACAATGAACTTGACCAGAGAGGCAGTGTAGTGGCTAACACTACCCATCCGGAGGCCGGACTGCTTGGCTCAAGCCTAGCTCCGTCAGTTATCGGCTGCGCATTTCGACAAAGCCACTTAACCTGTGAGCCACAGTCCTGTCCTCTGTAAAATGGGAACAGTGATAGCTAACAGTATCTAAGCCACAGGGCTACTGCGAAAATTGTATTTGGCAGTTACAAGGGTAAGCGGCACACTGTAAGCCCCTGGGTAGGAGTTACTGAATGCTAGTATTACTCTCAGACAGCCGTGAAAAGCATATTCCGAGACAGAAAGGAAATGATGCGAGGCAGGCTCACCCAACCTCTGCCCCTCCCCCACACCTTCTCTGACTCATCTTTTCTTCAGTGAGTTTTCTAATTTACCCGGGCAGAAGTGGGTGGAGGAAAAAGGACTGTGCGTGTCCACGCCCTGCAACCTCGAATAAGTTAACTTTTCTGCGTTTCTGGCTCTCCCATCTGCAAAACCAGGGCTGTACGGAGAAAACCCACGCAAATCAAACCCGGCAAAGGGGAGGCGCCTGGAGGCCAACCGGAGGAGCCTCGCAGCACCTACAGCCGGGCGACCAGGCCCTGGCTCCCCCGGCCCGGCCCCGCGCCCACCTTCTTCCCCAGGCGCGGCCCCGGCCGCCGCCCCCGCCTCGAAGTCGTCGACGCGCCGCAGCAGGTCGTGGCGCCGCAGGGAGGCGAGCAGCTCGCGCAGGAGCTCGGTGTGCCCGGGCTCCAGGTCGTTCTGCTCCAGCAGCATGGAGAAGAGGTCTAGGCCGCTCTGCACGCGCTCCAGCTTGCGCTTGCCCACGCGCCCGAGGCATAGGAACTTGAGCTCGGTCAGCTCGCTGCTCGACAGGCTGGACGACACCGAGTGCAGCAGCACCAGGAACGGGTCCATGGCGGGGTCTGCAAGCGGCCGGGGCTGCGGCCCGGCCCTCCGTGCGCCCTCTGTCCTCGGCTCGCTGGCCCTGGCCAGGTCTCGCCGCTTGCCCAGCGGCCCAAGGATTCCACCCCCGAACCTGCACTCCGGTGCCTGATTCACTACAGGAAATCGACAAGAGCGCGTTTTCGACCGTTATCTCGCGAAAACTAAGGGACCCGCGCATGCGTCCCTAGCGAAGCCGCAGCCGTTTCCGCCCTGGCTGGCGGCGCCGCGGACGGGCGCGGCTTCTGCGCCTGCGCCCGGCGTATCGTCTCTTTTCCGGGTGGGAGGTGGGGCCTTGGGTGTCCTGAGAGCCTGCAGGTGGCCCAGCTCTCTGCGGTGAGGGCGGTCGCGCCTCTGCCGAGTCCACCTGTTTGCAAAGCGCGGTGCGGCCCTACTGTGTGCAGGGCCGGGGCGGGGAGGGCGCAGCCCGAACGTCACGTGCCCTCACATCTGTTGGTGACCAAGGTTACTTATGCATTAACGTTTAGGGACAAACGTGGAAAATGCATTCTTTGGTGCCCCTGGAGACATCTTGTGTGTGCAGAAAACACTACTCAGAAGTTTATGTGCGTTTAAACATGTGATTTAAATAATACATGATTTCCAAAGTAGCAGTCGTTTATTCAATCAACAGTATTGAGCGCCTACTGTGCCAGGTAGTAGGGTCTGGGGACAAATTAGTGAGCGAAGCGCGAGGGTCCCCGCGTGCCCGGAGTTTACATCATAATTACAAAAGCGACACGCTCCAGAAGAGAAGGTCGTGGCGGCCGTGGTGGCTCAGCCTGCAATGCCCGCACTTTGGGAGGCTGAGGCAGGATTGATTGAGACAAGGGGTTCGAGACCAGCCTGGGTAACATAGTGAGACCCCGTCTCTATTAAAAAATAAAAATAAGGAAAAATAAGGAAATCGTATAGTATGCCAGAAATTCAGAAGAGCCAGGGGAAAGGGAGTCTCTTCACGGGGTGGGCGTGTGGAGGGTGGGGGGCCCGGTGGTCTGATGGGGCCTCTGTAAAGGCGCAGGTGAAGGCTGGGAGGGGCCGGGTACCTAGGTGTGGGGGGAAGAGCTGGGCACACGGAGAACAGAAGAGCAGAGCACAGGGGACGGCTGGGGTTCCAGGAGCAGCAATGCCGTGGGTCTGGAGGTGAGGAGGGGGTGCAGATTAGGAGAGCCCTCACCAGCCAACAAGGACCCAGCTTTACCACAGGGTGGGGCAGGGGCTGATGCCAGCTGAGTTTGTTTTCTTGAGATATAATTCACATACCATTCAATTCACCCTTTTAAAGTTATACTTCAGTGGTTTTTAGTGTAGTCACAAGGTTGTGCAACCCTTACTGCTGTCTAACTTTAGGACATTTTCATCACCCCAAGAAGAAACCCATTAGCATGTACTCCTCCCCTCCCCCACCAACCACGAATCTACTTTTTTTTTCTTTCTTTCTTTTTTTTTTTTTTTTTGCTGTTTTGAGACAGAGTCTCGCTCTATGGCCAGGCTGGAGTGCAGTGGTGCGATCTGGGCTCACTGCAACCTTTACCTCCCGGGTTCAAACAATTCTCCTGCTTCAGTCTCCTGAGTAGCTGGGATTACAGGTGCCTGCCACCATGCCTAGCTAATTTTTGTATTTTAGTAGAGACAGGGTTTCACCATGTTGGCCAGGCTGGTCTTGAACTCCTGACCTCAAGTGAGCCTCAGCCTCCCAAAGTGCTGGGATTACAGGCGTGAGCCACTGTGCCCTGCCGAATCTACTTTTTAAAATCTATGGATTTGCCAATTCTGGACATTCCATGTGTACAGAACCATACAGTATGTGGCATTTTGTGTCTGGCTGTTTTCAGCATCATTTTCAAGGTTCATCCATGATGTAGAACATATGAGTACTTCATTCCTTTTTTTTCTTTGAGACAGAGTGTCACTCTTTTGTCCAGGCTGGAGTGCAGTGGCACAATCTCGGCTCATTGCAGCCTCTGCCTCCCGGGCTCAAGCGACTCTCGTTTCTTGTGCCTTAGCCTCCTGACTAGCTGGGATTGTAGGTGTGTGCCACTATGCCAGGCTAATTTTTGTATTTTTAGTAGAGACAGGGCTTTGCCATGTTGGCCAGCCTGGTCTCAAACTCCTGGCCTCAAGTGATCCTCTTGCCTCACCCTCCCAAAGTGTTGGGATTACAGGCGTGAGCCACTGTGCCCAGCCTCCTTCCTTTTTATGGATGCATACTATTCCACTGTCTGGGTGTTTGGGTGCCACAGTGTGTCTATCCATTCATCGGAGGATGGACATTGCCTTTGCTTCCACTTTTTGGCTGTTGTGAATAATGCTGCTATGAACACTGAGTTACAGTTTTATTTTGTTTATTTATTTATTGAGACAGGGTCTTGCTTTGTCACCCAGGCTAGAGTGCAGTGGCACAGTCATAGCTCACTGCAGCCTCCTGGGCTCAAGCGATCCTCCCATTTCAGCCTCCTGAGTAGTTGGGATTACAGGTACATACCACCACCCCTGGCTAATTTTCATTTTTTTTTTTTTTTTTTGTAGAAACAGGATTTTGCCATATTCCCCAGGCTGGTCTTGAGCTCCTGGGCTCAAGTGATCCACTAGCCTCAGCCTCTCAAAGTGCTGGAATTTCAGGTGTGACCACCGTGTCTGGTCTTGAGTTACATTTTTTTTTTGAGATGGGGTCTCACTGTGTTGCCCCAGACTGGAGTGCAGTGGCACGATCTTGGCTCACTGCAACCTCTGCCTCCTGGGTTCAGGAGATTCTCGTGCCTCAGCCTCCCGAGTAGCTGGGATCACAGGCATGTGTCACCACATCCGGCTAACTTGCCAGGGTCTGACCCACAGACCTGGGCTGCACTACAGATGAATAATGTACTCAGACACCAGTATTCAGTGAAAGAGCTGGCTAGGGGGCTGGACCTTTCACAAAAAGAGTTGTTCCAGCCCCGCGGCCTGACTAGCTGGTCCTGCAGGCATTTATTCAGCACAGACTTAATGACAAAGGCTTTGAGTCAACACATTTGTGGGTAATTAATCTGGTTGCCCTCCCTCAGAGAGAGTAGTCCTGCCCGTGAATGATCAAAGGTCTGTTTTAGGACAACATGAGTGAACAAGCTATTTAGATAAACTCCTCTACATTCCTATGTATCTACGCCCTAAACTTTTAAGAGAATTCAGCTACCTTCAGCCAAATCTTTTACTGAAGCTATGCAAACCTTCCGGCCTTCCAAGAAAGTTTGTGTCTATTTCCTATAACTTTATCTTTATAATTTCTCCTACCACCTTGACCAATCTCCTGCATTGTGTATGTTTAGCAGAGACACGGTTTCACCATATTGGCCAGGCTGGTCTGGAACTCCTGACCTCAGGTGATCTGCCTGCCTTGATCTCCCAAAGTTCTGGGATTACAGGTATGAGCCAGCGTGCCCAGCTTTTTTTCTTTTTTTCTTTTTTTTTTTTTTTTTCTGAGATGGAGTCTCATTCTGTCACCCAGGCTGGAGCGCAGTGGCGAGATCTCAGTTCACTGCAACCTCCGCCTCCCAGGTTCAAGCGATTCTCATACCTCGAGTTACATTTTTAAAGATCACGCTGGTTGCTGGTTAGAAGCCAGGGGACTACAATAATCCGAATGAAAGGCAGTGCACTCAGACCAGAGGGCAGGTAGCAGTGGAGGTGGTGAGAGAGGGCAGCCTTCTTTAGATTGGGGATGCGCATAAACTAGAGAATGCAGGATACCCTGTAAACTTTGAAGGCTGGTCCATCCATTGATGGAAACCGGGAAGGTGCGGGTGGGGTGGGCTTGAGGGAGGACCGAGATTGGCTTGGGATGTGTGTGTGAGATGCTGCTATGGTTTGAATGTTTGTCTCCTCCATTAATGGGTTAATGGACTGATGAGTTATTATGGGGGAGGATCACACTAAGCTCCCTCATCACGTGATACCCTGCATCGCCTCAAAACTCTGCAGACTCCACAGAGAGCCCCCGCCAGCAGGAAGACCCTCCCCGAAAGTGGACCCTTGACCTTGGACTTCTCTGACTCCATAACTATAAGAAAGAAATTTCTGGGCCAGGTGCAGGGACTCACACCTGTAATCCCAGCACTTTGGGAGGCCAAGGAGGGTGGATAGCTTGAGCTAAGGAGTTCAAGTCCAGCTCAGGCGACATGGTGAAACCCCATCTCTACAAAAAAATACAGAAAAAAATTAGCCGCGTATGCACCTGTAGTCACAGATACTCTGGAGGCTGAGGTGGGATGATCATTTGAGTCTGGGAGGCAGAGGTTGCAGTGAGCTGAGATCGAGCCACTGCACTCCAGGCTGGGTGACAGAGTGAGAACCTGTCTCAAAAAAAAAAAAAAAAAAAAAAGAAAGAAATTTCTTTTCTTTGTAAATTATTCAGTTTCATGTATTCTGCTATAAGCAACAGAAAGCTAATACAGATACCTATTAGATGTTTTGGTGGAGATGTTGACTGGTCAGTGAGGGGCATGAGATGACAGGGAGAAGAGGTGAATTTGAGAGTTGCCTGCAGATAGATTGTGTTGAAAAAACCAAAAGAGTGCAGTCACCTATGAAGAGGGATAGAAAAGGTGACTGGATGACCAACTGGGCTCAATGGCTCACCCCTGTAATCTCAGCACTTTGGGATGCCAAGATGGGAGGATCACTTGAGCTCAGGAGTTTGAGACCAGCCTGGGCAATGCAGTAAGACTTCATCTCTACAAAAAATTTAAAAAATTAGCTGGGCGTGGTGCCACACGCCTGTAGTCTCAACTACTGGGGAGGCTGAGGTGGGAGGATCGCTTGAGCCCAGTAGGTTGAGGCTGCAGTGAGCTGTGATCATGCCGCTGCACTCCAGCCTGGGTGACAGAGTGAGACCACGTCTCAGAAAAAAGAAAAAGAATAAAGATGACCAACAGATGAGCCTAGGGGTGTCCACCTTTAAGGGGCTGGGAGATGTGGGGAAGCCAGTGAGGGAGGCTGAAAAAGCACCATATGACCTTTTCTTGATTAGTGTAGCTATATAGTAAACCTTAATACTGGCTACAGCAATTTCTCCCATTGTATTTTGCTTTGTCAAGATTCTTTTAGCTATTCGAGGGCCTCTGTCTTGCTATATGAATTTTATTTTATTTATTATTTTATATATATATATATATTTTTTTTCTTTTTTATTTTTTTTGAGATGGAGTCTCGCTCTGTTGCCCAGGCTGAAGTGCAGTGGCGTGATCTCGGTTCACTGCAACCTCTGTCTCCCGGGTTCAAGCAATTCTCCTGCCTCAGCCTCCTGAGTAGCTGGGACTACAGGTGTGTGCCACCATGCCCAGCTAATTTTTGTATTTTTAGTATAGATGGGGTTTCACCATGTTGGCTGGGCTGGTCTCTAACTCCTGACCTCAGGTGATCCGCCCGCCTTGGCCTCCCAAATGCTGGGATTACAGGCGTGAGCCACCACGCCTGGCCTTTTTTTATTTTATTTTATTTTTTTTTGAGACGGAGTCTCGCTCTGTCACCCAGGCTGGAGTGCAGAGGTGCGAACTCAGCTCACTGCAGGCTCCGCCTCCCCGGTTCACACCATTCTCCTGCCTCAGCCTCCCGAGTAGCAGGGACTACAGGAGCCTGCCATCACGCCCGGCTATTTTTTGTTTTTTTTGTATTTTTTAGTAGAGATGGGGTTTCACCTTGTTAGCCAGAATGGTCTTGATCTCCTGACCTCGTGATCCACCCGCCTCAGCCTCCCAAAGTGTTGGGATTACAGGCGTGAGCCACTGCACCTGGCCCATTTTGGTCTTTGTCATTAATGTCCAAGGCTATTCTAAATATGTGGGCATATTTAGAATAATGTCATTAATGTCCAAGGCTATTCTAAATATGTGGGCATCCTTGGCTCTCCTTGGGGGTAGTGTTTTTTCCAAAAAAAGAGACTGCTTCCTGAGGGGCAGGGCTCTGTGGTAGGCAGAATACCCCAAATGTCCACATCCCTGCCGGCCCTCACCCTGATGCGCAGACCTGCAGCTATGTTCGTCAGCATGGCAAAAGAGACTTTAAGATGCCATGAAGAGGCCGGGCACAGTGGCTCACACCTGTAATCTCAGCAATTTGGGAGGCCGAGGTGGGCGGATCACCTGAGGTCAGGAGTTCAAGATCAGCCTGGCCAATGTGATGAAACCCCATCTCTACTAAAATACAAAAATCCCAGCTACTTGGGAGGCTGAGGCAGGAGAATCCCTTGAACCTGAGAGGTAGAGGTTGCAGTGAGCCGAGACTGTGCCATTGCACTCCAGCCTAGGTGACAAGAGTGAAACCCCGTCTCAAAAAAAAAAAAAAAAAGCCATGAAGATTAAGAACTTTGAGATGGGGAGATCGTCTTGGTTTTCTTGGTTTAACCCTGCAGACCCAGTCTAATCATGAGGCCTCATAAAAGAAGAACCAGAGAAGAGGCAGCACGAAGACGTGGCCAGGAAGGGGTCACAGACGGGAAGACAAGGGCCTCTGGATGCTGGAGAAGGCACGGACCTCCCCCGGAGCTTCCAGAGGGAGCCAGCTGTGCAGGCACGTCGATTTTAGCCTAGTGAGGCCTGTGCCAGAAACCTGACCTGTAGTAACAGAATAAATTCGTGTTGTTTTGGGCCGCAGAGTTGGTGGTCATTTGCCACCACAGCAAATATTTTAGGTTGGTGCAAACTAATCGTGGTTTTGCACCAACCTAATAGAAAACTAAGGCCGGGTGCAGTGGCTCACGCCTGTAATCCCGGCACTTTGGGAGGCCGAGGCGGGCGGATCACAGGGTCAGAAGTTCCAGGCCAGCTGGGCCAATATGGTGAAACCCTGTCTCTACTAAAAATGCAAAAATTAGCCAGGCATGGTGGCGGGTGCCTGTAGTCCCAGCTACTCGGGAGGCTGAGGCAGGAGAATCACTTGAACCAGGGAGGCGGAGGTTGCAGTGAGCCAAGATCGCACCACTGCACTCCAGCCTGGGCAACAGAGCGAGACTCCATCTCAAAAAAACACAACGCAACACAACACAACACAACACAACACAACACAACACAACACAACACAACACAACACAACACTACACAACAACACTAAGGTAGGTGCCAGGTGCGGGGCCTTTCCCTTCCCTGAGTGCAGCTCCTGCAGGCAGCCAGAAGAGGGCAGCAGCCACCAACAAGCAAAAGCAGGAGAAAGAATTTCTGCTGCCGAGGTTGGAACCAGGTCCGGGTAGTGGCTACAGCCACTGTGAGAAGGGAGTTTGAGGGAATATTTAGGACGTGCTCATTCAGTGTCTGAGTCCTGGCTACAGAAGTGGGATTTTGTTTTTGTTTTTGGAGACAAATTCTCTGTTGCCCAGGTTGGGGTACAGTGACATAATCACGGCTCACTGCAGCCTTGATCTCTCAGGCTCAAGCCATCCTCCCACCTCAGCCTCCCAAGTAGCTGGGACTACAGGTGCATGCCACAACACCTGACTAATTTTTAGCTTTTTTTTAAAAAAAATTTATTTTTTGTAGAGACAGGGTCTTGCCATGTTGCCCAGGTTGGTCTCAAACTCTTGAACTCAAGGTTGCACCACTGCACTCCTCTCACCTCAGCCTCCCAAAGTGCTGGGGTTACAGGCGTGAGCCACTGTGCCCAGCCCCAAAAGTGTGTATTTTTTTGTGGAAGTTGCTTGACTGTACACTTTTGTGCAATTTTCTCTATGTTTTACTTTAATGAAAATTGTGTGAGGAAGAGGGGGAGAAGGGAAGGGAAATGGACAATAGTAAATACATGACTTGGCAGGGCTGAGGAAATGAGGTGTTTGCTGAGCCTTTGCCCCATGGCTGCATTCTGGGCAGGCTCTGGCAGGGGCAGCAGACACCATCCCATCTGAGGAAGCCAGATGAAAATGCCTGGGCTGGTCCCATGTCTCCAGGCATAAGCTGTCTCTTTGCCTTTTGCTCTTCTGCCAAGGCTGTGTGAGTGAGTGGGGGTGAACTGCTTGCTGTGAGCATGTCTTCAGGTCAGAAGGCATCAGATTTACCTTCCACTACCCCCTTACCTCCTCCACCAACACTCCTGCTAACTTGATCCTGAGGCCCATTCATCTCAAAGGCAAAAAGACCCAATTGTCAGTCTATTTTCCATCCATCCACCCATACATGCATCTATCCATCCATCCATCCACCCATCCATCCATCCATCCACCCACCCATCCATCCATCCATCCACCTATCTATCTATCCATCCGTCCATCCACCTATCCATCCATCCATCTACTCACCCATCTACCCATCCATTCATCCTTCCACCCATCCATCCACACATCTATCCATCCATCCACACATCCATCCATACATCCATCCTTTCACCCATTCATCCGTCCACACATCCATCCACCCATCCACCATCCATCCATCCATTCATCCAGCATCCATCCATCCATCTATCCATCCATCCACACATCCATCCATCCTTCTATCCATTCATCTATCCATCCACCATCCATCTACCATCTACCCACCCATCTACCATCCATCCACACATCCATCCATCCATCCACCCAATCAATGCATCCATTCACCCACACATCCACTCACTCATCCACCATCCATCCATCCATTCACACATCCATCCACTCGATCCCTTCATCCATTCACACATCCATTCAATCAATGCATCCATTCACCCACACATTCACTCATCCACCATCCATCCATCCATTCACCCAGTCCATCCATCCGTCCACCCAATCCATCCATCCACTTACACATCCATCCACCCAATCCATCCACACATCCATCCAACCATCCACCATCCATCCATCCATCCATCCATCCATCCATCCATCCACACATCCATTCATTCACCCAATCCATCCATCCATCCACACATCCATTCATTCACCCAATCCATCCATCCATCCATCCATCCACTCATCCATCCATCCATCCATTCATCCATCCATCCATCCATTCATCTACCATCCATCCATTCATCCACCATCCATCCATCCATCCATCCACACATCCATTCATTCACCCAATCCATCCATCCATCCACACATCCATTCATTCACCCAATCCATCCATCCATCCATCCATCCATCCATCCATCCATCCATCCATCCACACATCCATTCATTCACCCAATCCATCCATCCATCCACACATCCATTCATTCACCCAATCCATCCATCCATCCATCCATCCATCCATCCATCCATTCATCCACCATCCATCCATCCACATATCCATCCATCCATCCACACATTTATCCATCCACCCATCCACCATCCATCCATCCATCCATCCATCCATCCACCCACACATCCATCCATCAATCTATCCATCCATCCATGCTTCCATCCATCCATCCATCTGTCCACCACCCAAACGTTCATCCGTCTATCCCCCATCCATCTATCCATCTAATCCTTGCTTGCTTATTCATTAATTCAGCACTTTCTGGTGCCTCCTCTGTGCCTGGCACTGTGCCAGTACTTCCTTCTGGCCTGTTTTCTGGTAAGTGTTAGCATTTATGTTCTTTGCTGTGGCTCTTACAAAACATGGGCAGGTAAATGTTGCCTGACATGTGAGGACACATATCACCTGGGGTCAGGGGCACACAAATGACTCCTGGGGGCCTGAAGATGAGTGTGTAGGATTTGGTGATGTGAGTGCTTTGGGCAGGGCTCTGAGTCCAGCCTTGGGGTGGAGACAGCCCTGCTTCAAGCACACACTTTGGCCAAGCTCTCAATCCCACTGCTGGTTCCAGATCCACAGACAGGGACCTTGGTCTGAGGCTTGTCTAGGGAGGCCCCAGCCTCAGCTGCCCCCATAGCCAGTGGGCAGGCATGTTTGGGAGGGTGAGGAGACTCAGGAAGGGCAGGCCCCACCGGGCTGCAGTCGAATGTGAGCATGAGACCTGGCGAACGTGGGGCTGTGCAGCAGAAGGTGTGATTTCTCAGCAGAACATGCAAACGTGGACTTTAAATGCCTGGTTTTCATATATTAAATTAACTTCAAAAGTTAACATGTGCTGAACCTACCGAACAGAGGTTGTCTTGGGCTTGATGCTATTCATGGTCCACCTCCACCCTCAGAGGAGAGCAGCGGAACCTGCATGGCCGGCCACCAGTGTGTCATTGCCAGGCCTGGTGGTGCAGCCGGTGCCCTCAGACCTCAGGGCCCGCTGGGCTCGCCCCCAACCCTGCCCCCAGCCACACTACTCTAGGGACCAGTAGTAGAAGACTTTTTGTGCCAGGCTCCTGGGTCCAAGGGGTGATGTGCTGCCAGCTTGTGGATGGCTGCAGTGGAGCCCTGAGCCTCTCTGAGCCTCCTGTGCCCATCTGTATAATAGCGGCACTGGCTGCAGTTTCCACCCTACAGCAGCCATGACCCCAAACATAAGTCAGATCCCATCACTGCCCTCATAGACACTGCCCAGCCCTGCCCATGGCACCTACCACCAAGTTCAAAGTCTTCACTCAGCCGGAGCCCTGCATGAGTCGTCTCTAGCCACCTCTCCTGCGTCTCCTGTCACCTCCCTGCCCCTCTGCTCCTGGAGCTCGTCCAGCAGCTGCTGCCTTGGCCTGTGCACCGACTGTTGTGTGTTTCTGGCTCCTTGTTGCTCAAGTCCCAAGGGGCCTCCCTGCGCAGTGTAGTCACTCACCCTCAGTCAGTCACACTCCCTGCTGGATTTTCATCAGCGCTCCCTTTTCTGAAGTTGTCTGGTTCCACGGTTGATTTTCTGGTTCAGCATTGGACTTCCTTTGTGAGAATGTCATGTGGGAGGGAAGGGGCTGTGTCCTTGTTCTTCACCCTTCTCGTCCTAGTGCCTGACACACAGTGGGAGTTCATTTTTTTTTGGTGTGTGTGTGTATATATATATATATATATATATATATATATATATATATTTTTTTTTTACTTAGAGACTGGGTTTCACTCTGTTGGCCAGGCTGGTCTTGAACTCCTGGCCTCAAGTCATCCACCTCGGCCTCCCAAAGTGCTAGAATTACAGACGTGAGCCACTGCACCTGGTCTAATTTTTATTTATTTTTTGAGACAGGGTTTTGCTCTGTTGCCCAGGCTGCAGTGCAGTGATGCAATCATAGCTCACTGCAGCCTTGACCTCCTGGGCTCAAGTGATTCTCCTACCTCACTCTCTCGAGTAGCTGGGGCCACAGGTGCCCGCCACCATGCCCAGCTAATTTTTTTATTTCTTGTAGAGACAGGGTCTTGCTATGTTGCCCAGGCTGGTCTCGAACTCCTGGGCTCAAGCAATCCTTCTGTCTGGGCCTCTCAATGCAGTAATCCCTCATGTGGGATTACCAGCATGAGCCGCTGCACTTGGCCTACAGTAGGAGTTCAATAAATGTTTCTTGAATGTTCCATACATGTTTATGAGGTCTGGCCTTCAGACTTGGCATTAAAGCGCCCTGAGATCTTGGTCAAGAGCCTGTTTCCTCATCTATCAGATGTGGCTGAAGGTCCCCACCTGTGCCCTCCCAGGCTCTGGGAGGACCCATGGAGACAGGAGGGCAGAGGGAAGGGGTTCCCGCGATGCCAATCCTGGGTGCCGTTCTCCCTGAGCCCTCCCTACAGGATTGAGAAAGTGGGTGCCGTTCTCCTTGGGCCCTCCCTACAGGATCGAGAATGTGGGGCCCAAGCTTTAGGAGGATGCGCCTGACCAAGGTGGCAAGGCGCTGTGCTGAGGAGAGCCAGCACAAGGGGGCGCCCGAGGCCTGCCACAGGTCGAAAGAGGCCCTGCCTTGTCCTGGCGGTGAAGGGAAGGTGGCCGACGCCGAGGGCCGCACAAGGACACTGTCCCCAGCCCGAAGCGCCATACTGCTTTGCTGACGCTGTTAAAAATATACGTTCTTTTATGAAGTGATAGTGATTATAGGTGACGGTTCTAAAAAAATGTCCCCACTTGCCCAAATGAAAACATTGACAACCCAAGGTCAGTCCCAAAACGTTTTGAAGAAATTTGGGGTCCATGAAACCCTAAATACTAGTCTGTTGGGTTGTGGGATCAGAGGTCGAGATATGGGATTCTTGGAAGAGCCTGCTAGAAAGTGTGACCACAATCCCCCATCCCAACATACACACACACACACACACACACACACACACAAACACAGAGGAATATGTGGTACATCTGTGCATACACACAAGCACACTCAGACACCAGTACATATGCACACACACCAGCACACATGCACACACACACTAGCATATATGCACACACACCAGCACATATGCACACACACACCAGCACATATGCACACACACAAGCACACATGCATACACACACTAGCATATATGCAGACACCAGCACACATGCACACACACACACCAGCACATATGCACA
The DNA here is from genome assembly GCF_000001405.40 of Homo sapiens. Classification (NCBI taxonomy): domain Eukaryota; kingdom Metazoa; phylum Chordata; class Mammalia; order Primates; family Hominidae; genus Homo; species Homo sapiens. The sequence goes on along the minus strand of NC_000011.10, from coordinate 70,191,081 downwards.
CACACTAGCATATATGCACACATATCAGCACATATACACACACACCAGCACACATGCACACACACACCAGCACATATGCACACACACACCAGCACACATGCACACACACACGCCAGCACACATGCACACACAGCACATATGCATACACACAGCACACATGCACACACACACCAGCACATATGCGCACACACAGCATATATGCACACACACCAGCACATATGCACACACACACAGCACATATGCACACACAGCACATATGCACACACACCAGCACATATGCACACACACCGGCACATATGCACACACACAGCACATATGCATATACAAACACAGGCAAAGGCAAACACGTGTGTGAACCCTGGGGTGATGCACACTGACATGGTTTGGCTCTGTCCCCACCTGAATCTCATGTTAAATTGTAATCCCCACGTGTCGAGGGCGGGACCTGGTGGGAGGTGGTTGAATCATGAGGCGCATTTCCGCCATGCTGTTCTTGTGATAGTGGGTGAGTTCTCACAACATCTGATGGTTTGAAAATGTGGCACTTGTCCCCTTTGCTCGCTCTCTCCTGCTCCACCATTGTGAAGACGTGCTTGCTTCCCCTTTGCTTTCTGCTACGATCGTTAAGTTTCCTGAGACCTCTCAGTCATGCCTCCTGTTAAGCATGCAAAAGTGTGAGTCAATTAAACCTCTTTTCTTCGTAAATTATCCAGTCTCAGGTAGTTCTATTTATTTATATATTTTTTGAGATGGGGTCTAACTCTGTCACCCAGATTGGTGTGCTATGGCATGATCTCGGTTCACTGCAGCCTTTGCTTCCCAGGTTCAAGTGATTCTCCTGCCTCAGCCTCCCCAGTAGCTGAGATGACAGGTGTGCGCCACCATGCTCGACTAATTTTTATGTAACTTTTTTTTTTGGAGAGATGGGATTTTGCCATGTTGGCCAGGCTGGTCTTGAACTCCTCACCTCCAGCAATCCACCCGCCTTGTCCTCCCAAAGTGCTGGGATTACAGGTGTGAGCCACCACACCTGGGCTCAGGTAGTTCTTTATAGCAGTGTGAGAACGGATAATACATACATAAACCATGCAAACACATAAACACAGGCATTCACAAGTACACACACGCACTGTATACACACGTGCATGCACACATAGACATATACACACACATGCATATATGCACACGTGTCCACATGCACACACACCTGCACCCATATGCAAATACAAGCAAATACAAATGCATACATACACACGTGATGTACACAAACATGTAAAGACACAGGCACATGCACACAAGCAAATGCGAACATGCGTGCACATGATGCATGCAAAACACATGCAAATGAATAGGCACACACATGTGCATGCACAAATGCACACACGTACAGAAAGATGAAGTCCCAAGAACATTTAGAGCCATGCGCAGGCCGGCACCAAAGGAAAGAGATGCCTGTCCGTCAGTGCTGAGTTTGCAGGGTCACTGGACTCTGGGGACGGCCTGTGAGTTTCCCAGGCAGACGTCAGGCAGACAGCATTCAAGTGAGAAAAGTGTCGTATATTCAAATTTATTTAGATGAATGTCCAGCCACAGTCCTCTGTGGATTTGTGTACATTCACTTTTTAAAAAAATGGTTTCCATAAAAGGATTTTTGGTAATTGCCTAATTTTTAATACAGTATTTATATACAAAACCCACTTCAAACTACTTACTGTACAAGAGAAAAGAGAAGCATCAGATTGCATGATTTTAGCAAATAATGGAAATGTACGACACCTATGAACTTTGACCACAGTTGGCAGATTAAAGGGAATGTAACATCACATCAATGAGATCTTCAAGACAAATTTATTTCTATTTTTCCTCCTGGCCTTTGCTAAAATGATGTTTCTCTTGGTGCTTGAGAAATTTCAGAGAGTTGTTTAGTATCATTGCTGCAAATTTAGATCACTCATATCATTTATGAGACTTGGTTTTATACACTTTTAAAATAATTGTCCAACAGTGACATTCCTGTGAGTAAAAATATAGAGAAGTGTTACCAAAATATAAGCCTTTATTAATAAAAATCTTTGGTAGTAACAGTATTTTAAATTCCTCTCAACGATATTTGGTTAACTAATAAACTCCCTCCACCTTTGAGCTACAGAAAAAAAATCCTCAATCTACCATATAATTGATATTTGAAAAAAAACCCATAAATATTCTAAAGCTTCCAGGGGACCCCTGGAAGCCCTAAGACTTCTTGAAACCCTGACACCATCTGTGGAAATGCTTCCGAGGTCATCTCTCTCTGCCCATTTTCTGGTCAACCGGTTTTGTCCCATAAGGAAGATGAACAACTCTGAGGTCGGCTTGGTGTGATGGGGGCAGGTGTGTGGCTGACAGTGGGGAGCCTGCTGGGGACGCCAAGGGTGCTGTTTCCTGCTTAATCAGGGACACCTCTGTCCCCTTCTAGCTTTCCAGGGATAACTGGGATGCTCCCACGCCCCCTGTGTGGCTCAGGGATGAGGCACTTCTCTCTCAGCCACTCAACTGATGGAAGGAAAAGGCGATGGAAAGTCTAACTTTTCTGAAACAGGTAGGTGACACCTTTTGGAACCGGAATCAATCATTATTCTTGCGTGGGTTTTCCATTTTCCCTGAAGCATCGCACCAGCTTTTGCGCGATGCCTCGGCTTACCATTTTGCATCTATCTTAAGGAATTAGGAGGATTCAGAGGAGGGTTTCTACGGGCCTCTGCTCACTTTTCACCTCTAGGGAGACTCAAGTTTCCAAGCATTCTTTCTGCAAAGCACCTGCCTTTGCTACCTTATTGCCGTATTACCAGCCATCATTTTGATTCATCTTGAATACTACAGATTAAAAAATATTCCCTGCATAATGGCTTTGTGCAAAAACAAGGGAAAGAAAACAGAAAGAAGAAAGGAAAATGTCCTATCAGAAAGTGGTCCTCCATGTTTGCAGAAAACCCAGGACCCACCGGGCCCTGGTGGGAGCGGGAAGCCGCCTGCCCTGGGAGAGGGTGCCCATCGGTCAGGATGCCCGGCTGGCCTGCCCAGCCCCGCTGGCATAGCTACAGGACGCCCCCGTGGTAGGCATGGCTGGGGGCTGGGCTGCCGAGGCTGTCTGGGCAGGCTTTGGTGTTGTGGTGGTTGCACGGCGGCTCGTCCTTCTGCCGCTCCTTCTCCATCCAGGTTTCCAGCAGCTGCTGCTTGTCTTGCTCCTCCCGCATGAACAGCTCCACCATGAGCACCTTCTCCTTGTGGATCTGCTGGCTGATGTCCTTGGGGATGTCCGGGATGACCCAGTCCACAAAGTCGCTCATGAACATGACCAGGTTCTGGAAGGAGAGGCAACGCGTGGCAGAAGGGAGGATGGCGCCTGGGGAAGTGCTCCTGACCTCTCTGCCTGGCCCCCATCTGGTGGAGTGCCACCCCACCACCTCCTGGCCCATTGACCTCCCTGGGCCTCAGTTTTCCAGAAGCTATAAAGGAGGCATAGAACCACCCGGCAGGCCTCTGGGAAATGTTGGCCGACTTTCTCGAACAAATCTGAACTCAGTAATTGGGAAAATCATCTGAGTCATTCTGAATTCTTTGATCAGGAGACTCAGGAAGTGACCTGATGGATCACACATCGCCAAATCTAACGAGCATCGAGCCTTTGGGGAAAAACATGAAACTGGAAATAGCCACAAATGGATCAAACTTTTACAGTTTGCAAAGCGTCCCAGGGTCTCCCTGAACATCTACCACCTCCACGGAGACATTTCTGGTGGATAGAAGGCAACATAAGTCAGTTTTTATGGAAAAACGGAATCTTCTTGTTTGCTGAACATCTGTCCAGCAAGCACGTGTGAGCACCCCCGGCTGAGCAGGTTCCCGCCACGGGCGGTGCTGGTGCCCCCTGGATTGGTGTCTTCTCCTGGTTGGTGCTCCCAGTCCCCAGCTGGGGCTGGGGTTGGCTGCTCACGCTCGCAGCTGCAGAACTTATGCCCCATCCCATCTCCCTCTTCCCAGCCTGGTCAGCCCAAAGCAGTGACTGGTCCATCTAGGGGCTGCCTTGCCTCCAGGTGAGGCCAGGTCTGGGGTGCCATGCCTGCTCCGGGGCTCCCTTGGGATAAGGCTGGGCTGTCTCTGGCCGAGACCCCTCCTTGCTGGGCTCTCAGGCTCTGGTCTGCGGAACCCAGCCCCACACACCTTTTGCACTGCTTGCTGTGAAAAGCTGATGGATGGGGCCACTGAGCTTAGAGGAGTGGAAGGGCCTGCCCTGTGACAGAACTGGGACTTGAACCCAGTCTTGGGGATTCCAGAATCAGAGCCCTTGGCCCACTGCCTTCCTAGCATCGACTTAATCGAGACTAGAGGGACACCTGCGAGCAGAATCTTGGCGGTGCCCACAGCCCAGGATACTGCCTCTCTGGGACCTCAGCTGCCGGTGCACAGCTGGCACCCTAGCCTGGGGTCCCGCTCCACTGGGAGTCCCTCTGGCCTCAGAGAGTTGGCCCAGACCCCTCCCTAGAGACTGGGCCAGCTGGGGCTGGGTCCCCTGGCTGCTGGCTGCAGCTGGGGTCATCTGACAGCCCACTGCCCTCCTGTCTGTCCTGACTCTGCCTGCTACCACAGACATGGTGTGAGAATGAGAGGGACAGAGGTGGGGTCCCCTTTCTCCATGTCTTTCTTCCTTCCTTCCTTCCTTCCTTCCTTCCTTCCTTCCTTCCTTCCTCCCTCCCCCTCCTCGTCCTCCTCCTCCTCCTCTCCTTCTCCTTCTTTTCTCTCTCTCTCTTTTTTGAGATGGAGTTTCACTCTTGTTGCTCAAGCTGGAGTGTAGTGGCACGATCTCGGCTCACTGCAACCTCTGCCTCCTGGGTTCAAGTGATTCTCTTGCCTCAGCCTCCTGAGTAGCTGGGATTACAGGTGTGCACCACCACACCCGGCTAATTTTTGATATTTTTAGTAGAGACAGGGTTTCACCATGTTGGCCAGGCTGGTCTTGAACTCCTGACCTCAGGTGATCCACCTGCCTCGGTCTCCCAAAGTGCTGGGATTACAGGTGTGAGCCACTGTGCCTGGCCCCTGTCTCTTTCAATAAAGACACTTCTACTGGATTAAACCCACCAGCGAGTCAGAACCCTTCTGCCGGTGCTCATCCGGCCCCTCTATTGGCCTTCCTCTCTCATGAGGTTGTCTTGGGCCCTGTCAGTGCAGGGGGCCTGGGGTCGGCCAAGTCCCCTCCTCGGGTGTCCCAGAGCAAGTTCTCCAAGCCTCTGGAGGAGTCTCTGAACCCCTGGCTTTAGCAGCTCCTGACTTCCAGACTGTAGGCACAGGATGGTCCCTAAATGCTCCCATCTTCAAACCGGAAACAAAGAGGGACCCACCGCACCTGGAAGACGATGACAAACGCCAGCCGGGCTGCCAGGACGGCCCAGAAGTCCTTGGAGATGTCGTACTTGTTTTCCGACCACGGCGGCTCTCGGTAGTCTTTATACCTGCAAAAGACCGTGGTGGAGTCGAGGGTGGGACTTCGGTGGGGCTCAGGCTCTGGCTGGAGTCAGGCAGCTCGAGGGACGCCTGGGAGAGGCTCAGCTTGGTGTGCGGCTGCCTCCGGGAGGGCAGCCCTCTCTTGGGCGAGCAGCCCATGGCCCCGCACCCACGGAGTCTCTCTCCACAGTGGAGGGGGTTGGTCAGGATCCCCCATGGGCCAGGCAGGACCTGACGGGCTTCATGTAAAACACATGTGGCAGGAAGTATCCCCAGGCCCAGCCGTGGGCTCACAGAATCAAGGGTGGGGACCATGTGGTCCAGGAGGTTGCAAACTTTTAAAAGCAGTGGAGCCTTTGTTCCCAAAAGGTCTCACTGGAAACTCCAATAGGCCCCAAGAGTGCAGAGCCTACTTGGTTGAAGTCGGGGGGGTTCCCTAAGCTTGAACCTCCTGAACCTCAACCCAACGCCCATGCTCCACAGAACTTCAGAATGGGTTCCATGAAACACCCCTCCAGTCCATCCCCTCTTTGAGGGAATCTACCAAAGAAAAACCTCTGAGCACTTTATTAGCCAGGTGTGGTGGCTCGTGCCTGTAACCTCAGCACTGTAATCTCAGGCTGAGGAGTTAGAGATCAGTCTGGGCCACACAGTAAAACCCTGTCTCTGCAAAAAATACAAAAATTAGCCGGGCCTGGCAGTGCACGCCTGTATTCCCAGCTACTCGGGAGGCTGAGGTGGGAGGATCACCTGAGCCCGGGAGGTTGAGGTTGCAGTGAGCTTTGATCACGCCACTGCTCTTCAGCCTGGGCCACAAAGTGAGACCGTCTCTAAAAAAAGCAAACCAAACAACAACCAAAAAACACAGCAAAACAATACCCTGAACATTTTATCAAAGTAACTTAAGCAGTTTATCAAACATTTGCGAAAGAACGAAGCTAAGCATTCCGCTGGTGCAGGCAGAGGCGTGTCAGGCAGCCGGCCTGGCCCGCCCTGCCCTACCCGGGTCTGGGGCTGCTTTTCCTCCTCCAGGGTTGCTGCTTGGTCCTCACCTCCTTATCTTGAAGGAACTGCCCCTGGTTCTCATTACCAGCTTTAGATGTAGCTGACTGATCTCCTGCTTGGAGAGTCAAGCTCACTCACACCCCTCTCCCCAAGGTCCTGCCACTGACCTTGGCTCTTCGTGGATATGATTGGAGCCTCAGGAAGGAGGCTTGCCCCATTCATGACCACTGCCCGTGCTCCAGTTCTCCCCAGCCCCTTCCTCTTTTCACAGAGACCCAGAGATGCCCAGGGTCTGTGGGGGCAGGGTGAGGTCTCTGCCTAGGGCCTCCCTCCCTCCACAGCTCCCTGAATCTGGGGGATGCCACACATCAGCTGGAACATAGCTTGAATGGAGCTGACGTCCCCACCCTGCATTGGAAAAGCTTCCCAAAGCTGGACAGAAAATGCCCCCATGAGGGGCAGGATTTCCAGGGGCTCAGGGGCCGTTTGTGCCCCTGTTGGTCACTAAAACCTGAGGTCAGTCGGGGAGGCTAGGAGAAGGGCCACCTGGATTTGCAGGCACAGCCCTGGCCTGGACCCACATCCCTGGTGCTCGCCCACTCCGACTACCACCTTGCTGTGTGTCCCCTGGGCAATCACTTGACCTCTCTGGGCCTCAGTCTGGGCATTCCCTCACTTACTTATGTCACAAGCATTTATTGACCAACTACTATGTGCCAGACCCCACCCCAGGGATGGAGAATTCCGGGGTGGGGGGCGGTGCACAACAGATAGGGCCCTTGCCTACGGAGCTTGATTTCTGGAGGGAGCTGGATGGGAGTCTCCGAGGGCCTATTCAGCACTGAGCTGCCAACTCCTGAGATAGGATCAGGCTGGGCCACGGCTCTGGTGCCAGCTGCTGGGCCAGGCAGAAGTTGCACAACCTGCTTTCCCATGGGAACAAGCAGCCCTGTCCTCCCAGTGTCAGAAGCCACACGCACCAGCTCGTTCCTCTTTATTCTGTGCTCAAGGCTTTGCCTGCTAGCATCTGTCTCCTCTTCTTCAAGTCATAGCACCCCAGTTTTCCCTAGGACCCCCCCATTCTCTGTGACCTCACACCCTGGCACATGACCCAGGCCAAGCCAAGGAGAGCCCCCCTCCTCATGGCAATAGTGGTTGGTTCAAGAATGGACATCTGACCCAAGATGGGGCAGTAAGACTCAGTCCCTGGATTTTCACTGACTATTGGGAAACAGAAGGTCTTCCCACAGGGGCTGCAGAGCAGAAAGGATTGAAGCCAGGAGCTGCTAGGGATCCTTTTCATCAGCAAGAGAACAATGCAACACAGAGGAAATCAAAGTGGAGAGGCAGTGCCAGAGTGGAGCCTGATGGCAAACTGTAGCTCCTGGATCCAGCCATGCCTGAAGCTATCCTGGGCTTCTTAGTTACAGGAACTGGTAAATCACCTCTAATTTCCTCCCCTTAGGCATTTGTTTATTTCTTTATAGATAGGGTCTCACTCTGTTGCCCAGGCTGGAGTGCAGTGGTGCGATCATAGCTCACTGCAGCCTCAAATTCCTAGGCTCAATTGATCCTCCCACCTCAGCCTCCCGAGTAGCTAGAACTACAGGTGAGTGCCACAACGCCCGGCTATTTAAAAAATTTTTTGTAGAGATGAGGTCTCACTATGTGGCTCAGGCTGGTCTCTAACTCCTGAGCTCAAGTGATCCTCCTGCCTGGCCCTCCCAAAGTGCTGGGATGACGGGTGTGAGCCACTGCACCAGCCTTTTTTTTTTTCCTTCTTCTTCTTTTTAAGCAAGTTTGCGTTGTTTCATGACTTGCTCCTGATTTGAGCCCCGTCCAAACCCAGGCTCTCCCAGAAACCCAATAAACGTGGCTTTTCAAAGAGGGGAGCAGAGAGCAGTACCTGCAGATCTGCACCTCGTAGCCCAGGTCCAGGGGGTCATTGGGGGCCGTGCCGTTCTGGAAGTCACTGACGTTGAAGGAGGAGAGGGTGTGGTTGACGAAGCCGTGCATGGTCCCGTTCTTACTGTACATGTAGAGGTACACCAGGCGCGGGATGAAGTCAGACGTGAAGGAGATCACGAAGGCCTGTGCAGGGGACATGGCAGTGAGGGGGACCCCCAGCCTGGGCGCAGAAGGGCCGGCCGCAACAGGGGGTGACCCATCCACAGTTACACTGGACCCTGGCCATATGCCACTGCCTCTGGCGGGGACCATAGCCGCACAGCCTCGGCATGCTGAGTGAATGGATGCAGGGTCGCGGGTGTTCCTCTCAGCCCCCTGGCAGCTGAAGGAGAGTGCCTGGTGGCCAGAACAGTGCACTTCTAGGAGAGAAGGCACCAGGCAGACGCTGGCAGCCTCTTGCTGGCTGTGTGGCCTTGGGCAAATCACCCAACCTCTCTGTGCCTCCATTTTCTTCTTGTCAAAACAGGGCTAACAACACCCACACCATGTATGCACTGTGCCTCTGGGCTTGTTGGAGAAGGGAATGAGGCAGGAAGGGAAAGTGCTTTGCAAGCTCTCAAGTCCTCACCCGGCTCATTCTATTATAGCACCGGCTCTGGCTGGTGCCCTTACAAGAGAGGAAACCAAGGCCCAACGGCTGCCTCTCACATGGCTGTGTGGCCTTGGGCAAATCACCTAACCTCTCTGTGCCTCTGGTGTCTTACCTGTAAGATGGGGCCATGGCAGTCCTCGCCTTCAAGGGCTGTCTGCAGACCAGTGGGCTAGTGTGTGGAAAGAGCTTAGAAGGTTCTAGAACATTCTAGGTGCCTCGTGAATGTTTCCTGCTACTACTTTTTTTTTTTTTTTCAGAGAGAGAGACATGGTCTCACTGTGTTTCATTATGTTGGCCAGGCTGGTCTTGAATTCCTCGCCTCAAGCGATCCTCCTGCCTTGGCCTCCCAAAGTGCTGGGATTACAGGTGTGAGCCACCGGGCCCAGCCTGCTGTTATTGTTGTTGCTGCTGTTGTCCTCAGGAGATGCCCACTGTGCTCCGCAGCTGCTCACAGCGCCGCTTGTTGCAGGCAGGACGTACCTCTGTTCCCAGCTCCACCCACTCCAGCACAGCATGGGCCCTGCCTCAGGGCCCTGCGCGCCTTTGTCTGGGCGGGATAAGGGGCCATCCCGGTGTGCACACTCTGCCTGCAGCCTTCCTGTAATCTGGTGGGAGCGCATGCCTGGCAGAAAGCGTTGCCCACCGGGAAAGGGCACTGTCAGAGGGCTCTGAGGGGCCCTTCTCCGGGGCTGAGTGTCACCCCCTGCCCTCTGTGGGGACTGAGTCCCAGGGCCTGCTGAGACCCTGACTTGGCATCACGGCCCTGCAGGGGCGTCGACCGTCAGCTTTGGGGAGCCACCCCGTGTCCCTCATGTGCATGGTGTCAACTTTTGGCGGGGAGGATTGGGCTCAGCCAGAGGGTGGAAGGGACGAGAGCCATGGGCCCCTGGCACAGCAGACTCCCCATGGCTGCCTCGGGTTTTCATGTCTAGGATGCAGCCTTGGGCTTGAAGTATGTACTGGGGACAGCTGGGCACAGCTAAACCCGGGGAGATCCAGGCCATGGGCAGAGTCAGACAGACCCCGATGGGGAAGGCTGAGGGCCGGGCCATCCTAGCCTGCAGGCCTGGGGATAGGAGAGGCTGGAAGGGGCTGCCATGCTGGGGAGGAGGCTGAGGGGCCTGGAGCCCTGATCCTTAGCAGAGCCGTGTGTAAGGCTGATGAGTGCTCCCTTCTCGCCCCATTTCAGCATCTCCCAAACCTTCTCTACAGAGCAGCCATACGTTTCAGATTAAGGAGAAAAATCAACTTTTTTCTTTAAATAAGAGAACAGAAAGATTGCCAATAAGGAATCTCTGTGTTTCTCTCCCTCTGTCTCTGTCTTCCCTCCTATCTCTGTCTCTGTCTTCCCTCCTATCTCTGTCTCTGTCTTCCCACCTATCTCTGTCTCTTGTTTATTCTCAGTGGACTTAGGGGCGAAGGTGGGCATGGTGGAGAATTTTGCTCAAAGCTTGCAGAAAGGCTGGGCGCAGTGGCTCGTGAATGTAATCCCAGCACTTTGGGAGGCCGAGGAGGGCGAATCACCTGAGGTCAGGAGTTTGAGACCAGCCTGGTCAACATGTCAAAACCCCGTCTCTACTAAAAATATAAAAGTTAGCCAGGTGTGGTGGTGGGTGCCTGTAATCCCGGCTACTTGGGAGACTGAGGCACGAGAATAGCTTGAACCTGGGAGGCGGAGGTTGTAGGGAGCTGAGATCGTGCCACTGTACTGCAGCCTGGACCACAGAGTGAAACTCAGATTCAAAAAAAAAAAACTTGCAGAAAAAGGTTGAAGAGAATTTGTTATGCCTCCCCAGAGTGCACCCTCCCCATGCCATGCGGTCAAGGGACATTTATAACTAGAGAATCCGGGCAGCCTGGGGCTGCACCATGGCTAGAGGCAGAAGACCCATGCCCAGCTCCTTCTCCACAGGGCCCCGGCCACCTGGCAGTTCAGCCGGGACTTCCATTCTGCCAAGGTCCCTGATGTCACTTACATTGATGATGACAGCAAGCTTCCCAATGCCTCTGAGGATATTGTACCAGATTCCTGGGGGAAGAAGAAGTCACAGTTTTAAAGAGCCCTACACTCTCAGTCATTCCAGCTACCAGGCAGCAGTCTGAGCGGGTACCACCCTTGCAGGGGCCAGGCTTTCTCACAGCAGTCAGAGGCTTATGGCAACCAAGAGTCATTTGTTCAGGTCCTGAGGAAGCCAGGCCAGTGCCAGGGCCTGGTGTGTACCAGCCCTTTCTGACAAGCTCACCAGCTTCTAAAAGAGGTGCTTAAAGACAGCTGCTCCCTCAGTGGTTCTGCACAATCTCCCCATGCACCTGTTTAAATGCTAGTTCGCTTAGATGAAACCTTTTTTAATTCCTAAACTGACCAAGATTCAATTGGGGTGCAGCTCCTAAAGCTCTGGCGGAGGATACCTGTATTTAGGGATAGGCCAGACATGGCTTTGCTGTTGAGGAACAGTGCCAGGGCCCCTGGCTGGAGGCACTGAGTCCACAGCAGTGAAGGTTGAACCGTTCCCTATCTAGACACACCCTTGTTCCCTTTACTCCAAGACCCAGGGGTGCACCAAATCACAGATGAACAAGAGGATCACAACACAGCGCCCAGGGCCATGCTGGTCTCTCCATTCGTCTTCCCAGTGGCCATGAGAACTAGCAGGGCCCAGGAAGGAGGCCCTCAATGGCCCAGGAAGCAGGGCCTCAGTGTTGCAATTCCTAGAAATGGTCCAGTGTCCCGGGCTGACCCCCGCCTCACCCTAACTGCACCCTATCATGCCCAGCAATGTTGTGTGCAGCGGTTCGGCTGGGAGCCCAATCCTGGGGCCTGCTCTCTGTGCCCTGAGCCAGCTCTGAGATGGGTGATAACCAGCACTCGTCAGAAACGGCCAGGATGGAGCAAGTGGACATCCTACCTGTGCAGGAGGCTACAGGGAGAGCTGTACATAGCGCTTCTGCCCTAGTAGCTGAGGGGAGCCTCCCAGTCCCCGTTTTTGGGGTGCATGCTGGTGGTCTGCAAAGGCAGCAAGAGCTCAGGCCCCTGTGTGGCCCCGAGCTAGAAACCACAGGCTCAGATGAAACCTCTGAGACCAAGATCTCTTGCTCCCTGGCCCCAGCCAGTGTCAATTCAATGATAGATCACAGTCACAATCATCATCAATCAGAAATGCCCACTGCGGGCTGGGTGTGGTGGCTCACGCCTATAATCCCAGCATTTTGGGAGGCTGAGGTGGGCAGATGACTTGAAGCCAGGAGTTCGAGAGCAGCCTCGCCAATATGGCAAAACCCCATCTCTACTAAAAATACAAAAATTAGCCAGGCGTCGTGGCACATGCCTGTAATCCCAGCTACTCAGAAGGCTGAGGCACGAGAATAGATTGAGCCAGGGAGGCGGAGGTTATGGGGAGCCGAGATCACGCCACTGCATTCCAGCATGGGCAACAGAGAAAGGTTCTGTCTCAAAAAAAAAAAAAAAGAGAAATACCCACTGCAACCCATTGCTGGTAGGCAATTTGAGAAGTGACAGTCACACTTCCCTGACCCCTGTCTCCAGTCCTCGGGCCATGGGGACTATCGCCTTATCCCAGATGAGGAGTTTATTGTAGCTCCGTTTGATCTTTTGCACGAGTGCAGTGGTCCTCAGTTTATTTTTCTGCTGGAGCAGGTGGTGGGGCAGTCACATGGGCTCTGCACACTAGCAGCCCTAAGGCCACCCCATGCTGAATAAAGCACCTGGGAATGCAGGTGAGGGTTGGATGGCACAGCCCTACAAAGTCAGCACTGAAGCACTCCCTTAGGAGTGGAAACACTTCCGACCCGGCTTCTCCTGGCTGGGTGTCAGGGCTGAGGGCCCTCCGTGGACTCCGAGCTCCTAAGGCAGGGTGCTAATTGCACATCCCTGTAGATTCTGGGTCTAGCTTGGTGTCTGGCACATAAGGTGGGTGCTGCTGGGTAAATGTTTGCTGAGTGACTGCACGAGTGCAGAAAGCCCTTTCCAACCAGATTCTGGTGCCGGAGCAGAGGCTGCAAAGCGGTGGCAGGCAGGCCCCATCCAGGCAGCATGGCCATCTTGTTGTGCTTGTCTACTGCTTAAAAATGCAGACGGATGCTTAAAAACCAGGAAAATGTATTTTAAAAAATCAAGACCGGGCGCATTGGCTCACGCCTGTAATCCTAGCACTTTGGGAGGCTGAGGTTGGTGGATCACCTGAGGTCGGGAGTTCGAGATCAGCCTGGCCAACATGGCGAAGCCCCGCTCTATTAAAAATACAAAAATTAGCCGAGTGTGGTGGCGGGCGCCTGTAATCCCAGCTACTCAGGAGGCTGAGGCAGGAGAATCGCTTGAACCCGGGGGGCGGAGGTTGCAGTGAGCCGAGATCGCGCCACTTCACTCCAGCCTGGGAGAATGAACGAGGCTCTGTCTCAAAAAAAAAAAAAAAAAAAAAAAGAAAAAAAAAAGAAAAGAAAAATCGAGACTCCTCGGCTCTGGTCCTGGCTGGCTGGTGCGTCTCCTTGGCAACAGCTGGCTGTGGTGCCCGGGGGCGCCCCCTGCAGGCTGGGCTGTGCACCGCAGCTCTGCTGTCTGTGCTGAGGCCTCCCGGCGACCTCCGACCTCCATTATGGCCGCCTTAGCATCTAAACCCAGACCCCCACTAGAGAGTTGAACGTTTCAAGAAATGTGGGAACAGGCACACTGCTCTGTGGCCATGAAGAACACTCCCAGGACTTAGTCTCACTTGCGCGTGTGGCCCACCTGGCCCTTGGGGCGCTGAGTTTGAGACCTCCGAAGTGGGGTGCTGAGGTGCGGTGGGCCTGGGGTGGAGGTTGAAGTCTTTGGGGCTCCCGAGGGACGTGGCTCCTGAGTTCAGGGCCGTCGAAGTGCAGGACTCAGGCAGGCAAGGGGGTCCGCCCAGGTGATCGCCCAACCGGCCCAGAGAGACAACAGGAAATGGGAGGGATGAGGCGGGGATGAGATGGAGCCGGGAGCGGGGTCTTCCTCGCTTCCGGGCCCCGATGGAGCCTGTCCTGACAGGTCTGCAGGATATCTACGTCCAGGCGGATGGCTCTCCGTGTGGCCCTGCACATCCGCGGGGTGTGTTAGAGAAATGCTGAACCGGCACCCCAGCCCCAGCCCACGGGATCCGCCTCTCCTGGGGTGGGGCTGGGAGCCCCGAGTTATTCTGACGCACATTCCAGGGTGACACTCACTGCTCTAAGGATCTCTGTAAACCAAAAATAAAATTCTAAGGGTCCCCCGAACCATTTGAATGGGGTTCATCGTCTCGGCCAGGGCACCCCCAAATTAACCTGAAAGACTGGTTCAGGCCATGACAGGAAGCAGGGGGCGGGAGGAGGGTCGGACAGGCCTCCTCATGCCCTCCTCCCTTTTGGAATTCAACAAAAGTCGACCAGCATGAACATCAACACAGACCTTGAGTCTGATAAACATTTACAGTCTATTCTCTCTGAAGCCTGTTACCGGGAGGCTTCATCTGCACAATAAAACCTTGGTTTCCAAAACCCCTTATCATAACCCAGACTTTCCTTTCTATTGATAATAACTCAACCAATTGACAATCAGAAATTTTAAAAATAGGCCGGGTGTGGTGGCTCATGCCTGTAATCCCAGCACTTTGGTAGGCAGAGGCGGGCAGATCACCTGAGGTCAGAAGTTGGAGACCAGCCTGGCCAACATGGTGAAACCTTGTATCTACTAAAAATACAAAATTAGCCAAATCTGGTGGCGCACACCTGCAATCCCAGCTACTCAGGATGCTGAGGCAGGAGAATCGCTTGAACCCAGGAGGTGGAGGTTGCATCATGCCATTGCACTTCAGCCTGGGTGTCAAGAGTGAAACTCTTGTCTCCAAAAAAAAAAAAAAAAAGTGTATATATATATATACCCATAATCTGGAAGTCGCCCTGTCCCGCCTTTCTGGACCAAACCAATGTATACCTTAGATGTATCTGATTGATGTTTCATGTCTCCCTAAAATGTATAAAACCAAGCTGTACCACGGCCACCTTGGGCCCATGTTCTCAGGACCTCCTGAGGGCTGTGTCATGGGCCATGGTCACTCATGGCTCAGAATAAATCTCTTCAAATATTTGACAGAGTTTGACTCTTTTCATTGACATCTCTAAGTAAAAGGGGATGCTGTGCTTTTAGAATATTCTTTGGGTGGGCTTCTTTTATGAAAGCCCTGTTGGGGAAAATTGCCTCATTTTTACTTCCCCAAGTAAATTCCTTGGTTTCTTTCCCAAGGAATTTTTCCCACTCTAGGGGATGCTAAGCGCCATTTTCTGGAACAGAACAGGGAGGTATTTGGATAAAGCCAGGTACTTGGCGAGGCCACCACTCCTGCCCACATGCAGTGCCCGGGAGCTGAATGGAGGCTGCACTTTCCCACCAGCAGGCTCTGAAGAACCAGGAAGAAAACAGGAAGTCGAAACCAGGGCTAGGGACCTGGAGCAGATTCCCACGCACGGCTGGGTCCCTGCTGTGACCCGCTGGACGACAGGGTGATCAAGGCACCTGCGCTTTGTGGCACAGCTTCCCCCAGCCACCCAGGGCCTCAGGGGCGCAGGTCACAGGGGCCACAGGGGCCCTCTCTGTCCTCTCAAGGAGCTCGCCTGGGGGCCCTGCACGGATCACAGAAGGAATACAAAAGCCTCTTCAAGGAAAGGTTACGGTTAAGGAACCCATAAACAAACTCGTGAAAGGAGGGCAGATTATGCCTTCAGCCAACCGGACAGGAACCAGGAAGTGAGTAGCTGATCCGTAAGAACTGAGCAAAAACCAGCCAGGTGCAAAGAGTCCAAAGAGGCACGCGGAAGGCCTGCTGCTGGTGGGGACGCCAATGCCTGCAGAGGGACTGCGGGAAGCCAGGGCCACTGAGCTGCTGCTCCCTTTCACCCTGGTGGGTTTGCAAGCTTCATTCAGCCACTGTCTGGGGACAGCCAGAGCTTCTCGAAGCAGAGGGTGCCAGAGCAAACACACGCGCACTGTGATGTGGCAGGTGGCGGGCGGGGGTGGGGTACTGTCGGCTGCCTGAGCATCAGGCCTTTGTGAGGACTCAGTGTGGGCTGCACTCTTCTTTTCTTTTCTTTTCTTTTCTTTTTTCTTTTCTTTTTTTAGCTGTACCTGCTGGAATGGGATGGCACTCTTTTCTTTACTGCCATGGGACAGGGAGCTCCAGAATTTCCGAGGACTGCAGGGAGAACCTGGTGAGCAGACCCAGGGTCCCCTTTTGGGGTCTTCGGTATACAGGGTGAGGTTTTCAGAGGCAAACCCTCTACGCATGCAGGAGGCCCAGGGCTTGAGCTCTCTGGTTCCTGCTCGGCACTGTTACCGCCTGGGCCTCGGCCTCCTATCTGGAAAGTGGGACTGAGGGAGGATTCACCCAGGCTTCCTCCCGGGGTTCCCTGGAGGACACAACAGGCTGAGGTTCTGAGGAAAGTTCATGTTGGAGGCAGCTCTGTGATGCCAATTTTCAAAGCAGCGCTATGCTGAGGCACAGCTTGGGGTGCAATCTCGCCTTGCTCTTGAGAGCGGGTGTGCAAAGACGGCCATGGTGGCCTGTTTTTCGACAGCCTCTTTCTCACTTGTCCCTAAAAGCTAAAAATGGCTTTTTAAATTTATTTTTTAGGTGGAGTCTCGCTGTGTTGCCCAGGCTGGAGTGCAGTGGTGCGATCTCGGCTCACTGCAACCTCCGCCTCCCGGGTTCATGCGATTCTCCTGCCTCAGCCTCCTGAGTAGCTGGGACTACAGGTGCATGCCAACATTAAAAATTAAAAATGGCTTGGCCAGGCACGGTGGCTCACGCCTGTAATCCCAGCACTTTGGGAGGCCGAGATGGGTGGATCATGAGGTCAGGAGATCGAGACCATCCTGGCTAACATGGTGAAACCCCGTCTCTACTAAAAAAATACAAAAAAATCAGCCAAGCGTGGTGGCGGGCACCTGTAGTCCCAGCTACTCAGGAGGCTGAGGCAGGAGAATGGCGTGAACCCGGGAGGCGGAGTTTGCAGTGAGCCGAGATTGTGCCACTGCACTCCAGCCTGGGCAACAGAGTGAGACCCCATCTCAAAAAAAAAAAAAATTAAAACTGCCACAACAAAAATTTGCATGCCCAGCTAATTTTTGTATTTTTAGTAGAGACGCAGTTTCACCATATTGGCCAGGCTGGTCTCAAACTCCTGACCTCAGGTGATCCACCTGCGTCGGCCTCCCAAAGTGCTGGGATTACAGGCGTGAGCCACTGCGCCCGGCCCTGGCCTTTTTCACTTTAAAGTGTGAAATGAAAAATGTATGAAAAGCGTAGCCTTTGGGTAAGAACCATTGCCTAAGACTTGAGGACATTGTCTCTGGGTCCAGGAAGCCTAAAACGTTCACTCTCTGGCTCTTAACAGAAAACAAGTGCAAACCTCTGACCTAGAGCACCAGCAAATCAGCACTCTACCCTTGCTCCACCTCTGGCCATGGAGGGCTGTGGTATGAGGGGCAAGGGGCTCACCCGTGGCCTCAGCAGACGCAAAACAGGGATGCTGGTGGTTAGCAGGGTCTTCGGAGGGTTGGTTAGCTCATGGCTTTTAAAGCCTTTGAAATTTTTAAACAAAATCTCACAGGGCAGTTTAGTATAGAGTGTCTGTGTTCTGAGTCTTCATTACCTGGGTCACCCAGAGAAGAGGTGATGTAGGGAAGCAAAAGTGTCCAAACACAGTGCCATGACCTCTTACCCAGGAGCCCTGGGATGTCCCTCCCTACAAAGCACCAATGTTTCCAGGCCCCTTTCAAAGCCAGGGCCTTACGCAGTGCAAATGTGAAGCTGCCGGGTGAATCACTGCTATCTGATGGTCTTTGACCTGTGAAAATGACGATTTCATCTCTTTTAGTCTACAAGACAGCCAAGCGTAAGAGAAGCCAGAGTTGAAGTTATCTTGGAACCAGACAGTGGAGGATTGGTGAATTTGGTCACCAGTGGATGCTGGGCTTGCCACTAGGGGCCAAGGTGTGGATCAAGGAGCTTCCAGCCAGAACCGCTAACAACTTAAGGAGAAAACACGTACTGGGGTGAGATGATCTGAAGGGTGTTTCCAACGAGAATGACACAAATACCAAGGACTGGAGAAGCCCTTGGAACAATTGATAAAGCTTCCCACATTTTTTTTTTTTTGAGATGGAGTCTCACTCTGTCACCCAGGCTGAAGTGCAATCGCATGATCTCGGCTCACTGCAACCTCTGCCTCCTGGAATCAAGGAATTCTCCTGCCTCAGCCTCCTGAGTAGCTGGGATTACAGGCTCCCACCACACCTGGCTAATTTTGTATTTTTAGTAGAGACAGGGTTTCACCATGTTGGTCAGGCTGGTCTCGAACTCCTGACCTCAGGTGATCCACCTGCTTCCGCCTCCCAAAGTGCTGGGATTACAGGCATGAGCCACTGCGCCTGGTCAATTTCCCACATTTTCTTAAGATTATGTTTGGCCTACAAAAGCTCAACCCAAAGCTATCTTATCAAGCTGGTATGGAATCTTTATTTCAGCAAGGTGATATCCCCAATATGTAATTCAACCTTTTGTTTATTCCAATAATTAGTACGCAGGTGCTATTTTAACTAAAATTGTGTTAAATTTGAGATAAAATCAATGTATTTTTGTAATTTTGTTTTCACCCTGAAAATTGGTCCTACTATAAGACAAGATGGGATCACCCTTCCTGTGATGGCTGGCTCCGGTGGAAGCCTGCGTGGGGCTCCCATACCCCTCACCCTCCTGGACAGATCGTCACCCTGTCTCTGCTTAAATGCCTCTGGTAACAGGGAGCTCACTAATCCACAAGGAAGTCTGCTCTGTTTTTGACACCTCTGACTATTAAAGTTACTCTTTTTCTTTTCTTTTCTTTTCTTTTTTTTTTTTTTTTTAAGACAGGTTCTCTCTCTGTTGCCCAGGCTGGAGTGTAGTGGCATGATCACGTCTCACTGCAGCCTTGACCTCCTGGGCTGACATGATCCTCCTGCCTCAGCCTCCCAAGTAGCTGGGACCACAGGTCTGTGCCACCACATCCAGCTAAATTTTACTTGTTTTTTTGAGACAGGGTCTCACTCTGTTGCCCAGGCATGGGCATGGCTCACTGCAGCCACAACCTATGTGGGCTCACTCATCCTCCCACCTCAGCCTCCTGAGTAGCTGGGACTACAGGAACGCACCATCACGCCCAGCTCATTTTTGTGTTTTTTTGTAGAGACAGGGTTTCGTCATGTTGCCTAGGCTGGTCTTGAACTCCTGAGCTCAAGCTATGTATCCTCCTGGGCCTCCCAAAGCACTGGGATTACAGGAGTGAGCCACGGTGCTCAGCCCAAGTTATTCTTTACGCTGACCTTAAATATACATTCTCCCAAACTCACACCCCTTCTCCACATGGTCAAGGTGTCTTAGTGACGGGGTGAAAAAGCTGGAGTTGAGTTGCATCTTGGCTTTGATCCCTACAGGCAAGCCATGCAATGACTGGGACTGTTCTTCCCTGTCTACAGATGGGGGCTCCTTCCTTCCTTTTCTCTTTTGTGAACATTAAATGATGCCATGACATGCCATGTAGGAGGGCACTTGCTGAACAGCCAACACTCCTTTCCCGTTGGTCTTGCCCTGGCTCTGGGGGTCACACAATTGCTACAGGTGGGTGTCGCCAGCCATCAGAGAGGAAATGTAGTCTCTTGTACCTCCTAAAGCAGCAGGTTGTTGAGACATTCAGATGTCTGGGACCCACTCTTTCCAAACATCCTCTGTGACCAAGGCATCTTGGGAGGGGAAGGGTGGGGACAGGGCTAAGCGAGCCTCCACATCTTGTGTCACCTGCCCCCAGGCTCCACCCGGCAAAGGCTGAGTGAAGAGCCCCAGGAGGGACACCTGGCCAGCTCTGGCTCTAGCTTCTGGAGAGGAGCAACCCCCTCCCCAAACCCAGCACGCACTCGGAACCGGTTCTGCCGGCCCGTGGGGTCACTCACCGATGTCTTTGGCTCTGACAGCTACCGGCCTTCGGAGCTCAGTGACAAACTTTTTGGCGTCCAGGCGGATCTCGATGATGTTGTTCAGCAGCGCAAACAGTGGGGCCAGGGGGAAGGAGGCGACAAACAGGGTGACGAAGCCAAACTGGATGACTGCAGAGAGAGCCCAGTGCTAGTCAGCACCCCGTGAGCCACAGCCCATAAGGGGGGACTCCACCACCCCGTGTGCCGAGCCGCACAGGTCTGGCTGCCGCCCCACCTCCAACGAGCCCACCTGCATGGACCCCACCTGCAGATGCATTAGATGAGCTCTTGGGATGGACCCTCCATGACCCTGGGTGACCTCCAGGCCAGGAGTGGGCTGAAGGCAGAATTCCAAATTTTGCTCTGAATCTCAGTGTTTGACTCTTGAGTAACGGGAATGCTCCCTTATCTATGGCTAATCTTTTGTGAGATAGTCTCGATCTGTCACCACGCTGGAGTACAGTGGCACAACCATGGCTCACTGCAGCCTTGACCTCCCAGGCTCAATGAATCCTCCCACTTCAGCCTCCCGGGTAGCTGGGACCACAGGCATGCACCACTATGACTGCTTAATTTTTGTATTTTTTGTAGAGCTGGGATTTTGCTATGTTGCCTGGGCTGGTCTCAAACTCCTGAGCTCAAGTCATCCACCCAAAGTGCTGGGATTCCAGGCATGAGCCACCTCGCCAGCCCATGTCAAATTTTAAAAAATCATCGCCAAAAGGAAAAGGACCATCGTGAGCTCAAAGGCCCAGCCTGTGGTCATCCCCCTGCCCATGCTGGGAAGGGACGTGGCAGTGGCCCTGCTGCTTCCATCATGGGGGCTCCCTGGGACCTGGGGGACCTGCCTGCATGGCTGAATCTTCCAGAGCCCAAACTTCCCCTTGCATCAGGACTCCTGGATCCGGGTGGGGACCCACTGCCCAGGACAGTCCCTCGCCTCTGCCCCTGCGGCCCTCCCCCTGGGGATCATCCCACCCGGGAGCTGCCTCTGGGGCTTCTCTGGCTTTGGATGCTGCATCCAGCATGGGGCTAGGCTCTAGGAGAAGGTCAGGAAAAGGTTTCTGAGTGGAACTGAGCAGGAAAGCTGGTTCGGGAACTGCACAGCAGGACCCAGTCCAAGGGCGTTTGGTGCCAGGCGGTAAACAAGGAAGCCAGCAGAATGTCACCGTGTGCCTGGCGGGCTGAGTGTGGGCATTGTTAGCATGTGGGGTGGGCCGTGCGGGGTGCCCTGAGTGTGAGCACTGTTAGCAGGTAGGATGGGCCATGGCGGGGAATGGCCTGCAAGTTCTCTCCCTGGGCTGTCTTGCTAGCCCTGGCAAGGTGGGCTGAGTGGGAGGCCTCTGGTCCTGCCTGAGGCCCCTGGAGGGGATGAGGCATTGCTTATGTGGGGCGGTGTGTGCTGTGCATGAGGGCCAGGGGCTGCTGAGGCCTGAGGCTGTGGGTCACTCAGCAGGGTGGGCTTCCTCACTTCCGAGAGGCGCTGCCTACTCTGGCACTAAGGGTATGACCAGGGAGCTGGAGGCGCTGCCAGGGCTGGGGCCTGGGAGGGAGGGTGCAGGGGGGCGGGGAGGTGGGGCATTTCCAGATGAGCTTGTTCTCCCCATCTATCCACATCTGTGGCTTGAGACTTCCTGGGAGGAGCAGACTGGCAGCCCATGGGGTGGGGAGAAAGTCAGTGGGTGTGGAAATGTGCCTTGGTCAGTGGGGGCAGTGTGGGGAACGGGTGAGCCACTCCCCGTGTATGTGGGCAGGAGGCGCCTGCTCCAGAAGTCCCCTTTGTCCAAACCCGTCAGGAACTCGGGACGTGATGTCCAGCCACTAGGAAAATAAATCCAGGGAAGGGGCTGCCACTCTCGCGGCCCACTGCAGGCTGTGCTCGTGTCTTGGGCTCTATTCTCCCTAGGGTTTCCTGTGGAAGGAGCGACCCTGCAGGCAGGGGAAGCCACCTCCCAGACCCCGTCCCTCCTGGCCACATGGCCAATGCTGAGTTTAAACAGCTGGGAGCCATTTTCTGCCTACCGGCCTGACCCTGGTTCAGCTTGGACTTTATTCCAGGAGAAAACAGAGAGGAGCCACAGAACGCCACACTGAAGATTCCTCTCCTCCTGAGTCAATGGCAAGGTGCTCCTTGCACGATTGTCTGGGGAGCCAGGAGCGACATATGTGGACAATTCGGCTAACAGGAGGGGCAGACGGCAGCACTTGTGGTGAAATTAAACAGAAACGCTCCCCACCCTCTAAGGTGCCCTTACCCCCAGGCCCTTTTTAAAAATGCAGCCTGCCAGGTCTCACCTCCAGCAGACCAGGAACAAGCCTGGGAACGGGCATTTTAGAGAAGTTGACCTTGGTGGCCAGGGCACTGCATGCTGGGACCCCCCCTCTGCAGGAGTCTTCCTGACTGCCTTTGTTCATCCATTCAGTCAGCAAACACACATTGAGCACCCACTGTATACCTGGACCTGCTCTAGGGGTAGGGCTATGGGATGAGGAACAAGAGAGGGTGAGGCTGCCGTCCTACCGGGGGGAGACAGAAGAGGGATGACGGGGTGAGGCTGTCTGCTGGGGAGCAGAAACACCAAGCAGAGGAGGGGTGGGGGTCGTGGCCGTGTCGGGGAGGGGCTGCCCCTTTCAAACACAGTGATCAGGGAAGACCCCTCTGTTGGGGGACATTCTGAGTAGAGCCTGGGAGGCAGGGAGAGAGTGAGCCATGCAGGTATTTGGGAGAGGGCATTCCAGCAGGGCACATCTCGTGCAAAGGCCCTGGGGCGGCCTGAGCTCCACGGGGCTGGGGAGCAGCAAGGAGGCCAGCATGTGCAGAGTGCAGGAGGCAGGAGGGAGAGGTAAGTGACCAGGTCAGGGAGAGTCCAGAGCTGTGCGGACCACACCTGGCCTCTTCCCAGTTCTCTTTGGCCACCCCCAAAAGGTATGTGCCACCTCTCGGCATCCTCCTGGCCAGCCACGTGATTGAGGGGGGTAAGGCTCGATCCCTGGGTCTCCTTTGAGACGCCTGCTCTGTGCTGGGGGCAGCTGTCGCCAGCCCACAGGTGAGCAAGTCGTGGCTCCTGCAACTCAGGAGCTCACCACCAGGAAGGGGAGATGAGTCATGGAACCAAAGTAGGATGCTTGAAGGGCCTTGGAGCTGAGAGGAGGGACCTTGGATTGTGGGGGGTTTCAAGTAAGGACGATCTTGCAGCTTAGCAGGGCCGGGCCCTCGGCTGGTGAGGAGACTAAGGGAGGAGGAAGAGCTGCACAACCCAGGCTGTGTCGGGCTGCGCTGATGGAGACCGTGCCTGGGGACCGTGCCTGGGGACTGTGGCTGGGGACCATACCTGGGGACTGTGGCTGGGGACCATGCTTGGGGACCGTGCCTAGGGACGGTGGCTGCTTGACCTGGGCCTCTGGAACACAGGACTCCATCCAGAGCAGCCATGCTCACCGACCCAAGGGGGTGGCAGCACTAGGATCCCAGGGTCTGCATCTCTCTTCTCCCTGCCTGATGCTTATGGAGGGACGCTGGGCACCGCAGGGTTGGGGGCATCATGCCCCTGCAGCCCTTCCCCACTCCAGGTGGCATGCTGGCCTGTTTCTATCCTGATGTCACCTGCCTGCCCCGGCCATCACTCACTCATTTCCATGTACTCTGGGGTGAGGCCCGCGAAGGGCTCCAGGTTGTAATCCACCTCGTACCGCTGTTTCCTCTTCACACACTCCTCGTGGTCAGGGGGGCTCTGCTGCTTCAGCTTCAGGTAGCGGATGAGCTTCTTCATCTTCCTGAGAGATGAGACATCATGCAGTTAGGTTTGCAGGAGGGTGAATTTGGGGGCTTGGGTCTGGCACCTCTAGTGATGTGTCTTTTTTTCTTTTTGAGACAGAGTTTCACTCTTTTTGCTCAGGCTGGAGTGCAGTGGCCCTGTCTCAGCTCACTGCAACCTCTGCCTCCTTGGTTCAAGCAATTCTCTTGCCTCAGCCTCCCGAGTAGCTGGGACTATAGGCACATGCTGCCACGCCTGGCTAATTTTTTGTATTTTAAGTAGAGATGGGGTTTCACAGTGTTGCCCAGGCCGGTCTTGAACTCCTGAGCTCAGGCAATCCGCCCATCTGTGCCTCCCAAAGTACTAGGATTATAGGCATGAGCCACCGCGCCTGGCCTCCAGTGATATTTCTAAGTTTCTGCTTTAAATCCAGAATTTACTTGTTTGCCATCATTTCTTTGTCGATGATCTCTTCTGCCCTTTCCCCAAAAGGCAGGGGGCAAGTGTCATGGCTTTGCTGGCTACAGAAGGAAACGGAGGTGCAGGGAGGGCAAACGACCACTTGTGAACCACAGGAGGGCCCAGCAGGCATCAGGGACACAAGAACAGTGGAGGCTGGTCATGCCCAAGTGGACTCTTGGGGAAGGACACAGATCATGGAAAATGGCCCGACAAGTTCTTGACTCCAGAGACCCAGCAGCCACTGGGGAGGTGGGAATGGGACATGGATTTCCGAAGGGTACAAGGTAACAACGAGGCCAAGTCCCCCAGCCTCCATCTGGAAACCCTGGGGAGCCAGCATCGGGCTTGGGGGCACCTGGTGGTACCCCCCCATCCTCAGCCAGCATGGGGAGTGGGGTGTCATTCTGACTTCCTCTCCCTCCTTCGTCCAAAATGGGGTGGCTTTATTTTTTAATGTTTTTTATTATTTATTTATTTTTTTGAGACGGAGTCTCGGTCTGTCGCCCAGGCTGGAGTGCAGTGGTGCGATCTCGGCTCACTGCAACCTCCACCTCCTGGGTTCAAGGGGTTCTCCTGCCTCAGCCTCCCAGGTAGCTGGGACTACAGGCGCCCGCCACCACGCCCGGCTAATTTTTGTATTTTTAGTAGAGGTGGGGTTTCACCATGTTGGCCAGGCTGGTCTCGAATTATTGACCTCAAGTGATCCGCCTGCCTCAGCCTCCCAAAGTGCTGGGATTACAGTTTATGAGCCACTGTGCGCGGCCCTGTTTTTATTTTTTAAAACAGGGTCTCACTCTGTGGCCCATGCTAGAGTGCAGTGGTACAATCATAGCTCACTGCAGCTTGCAACTCCTGGGCTCCAGCGATCCTCCCGCCTCAGCCTCCTGAGTAGCTGGGACTACAGGCACGCACCAGCACACCTGGCTAACTTTTTATTTTTTTGTAGAGGTGCAGTCTCGCTTTGTGCTTAGGCTGGTCTTGATTTCCTAGGCTCAAATGGTCCTTCTGCCTCAGCTTCCCAAAGTGCTGGGATTACAGGCGTCAGCCACCATGCCTGGCCTGGGGTGGCTTTTGCCCCACCTTCCCTCTGTGTCCTCCTTCTCTCCCTGCTTCTAGTGCCCCCATCTTGGTTGAGGCCCCGCGTCCACCCAGACCCCCGCAGGAGCCACCCACACACCCCTCCGCCTGGCCCCGCCCCTGCCGCTCTAACCCGCTGCAGCACACTCACGGGATGCCGATCTCGAACAGGTTGTTCTGGATCAGCTGTTTCCCCAGCATGATGATGCTGAGCTGGATGCATAGCTCCATCAGGCAGCCCCCTGGCGCACACTGTGGACAGAGAGCAGCATCAGCCACGCTACAGGGACACCGAGAGAGGGACCCCAGCCCTGCAGGGAGGCCCACCCTCATGCTGTGGGTTGACCTGCGTCCTC
Organism: Homo sapiens; assembly: GCF_000001405.40. Taxonomy (NCBI): domain Eukaryota; kingdom Metazoa; phylum Chordata; class Mammalia; order Primates; family Hominidae; genus Homo; species Homo sapiens. Next base: position 70,165,365 of record NC_000011.10, on the reverse strand, counting down.
CAAAAAAAGACGCTCAGGTTCTAATCCCCGCCACCTGGGAACGTGGCCTTATTTGCAAAAAGGGTCTTTGCAAATGTAGTCAAGTCAGGGTGTTTTCATGCTGGGGTGTTTTCAGATGGGGCGCCCATCTGAGGACTGATGTCCTCAGAAAAAGAGAAGGCGCGGGCACAGAGGGAAGAGGCAGCGTGAACATGGCGGCAGAGGGTGGAGAGGCAAGTAAAGGAACCATGAGGGCTTCCGTAGTCCCCAGAAGCTGGGAGAGGCAAGGCAGGTCCTCCCCTAGAACCCTTGAAGGGAACACAGCCCGGCTAACACCTGGATGTTGCACTTCCGACCTTCAGAACTGTGAGACCCCCATCTCTGTTACTTTAAGTCTGTGGGATCGAGTTGCGGCAGCCCCAGGAAACGGACACACTCCGCCTACAGGCTGCTGTGCTTGGGGCTGTGGATGGGAGCGGGGAGCGCACTGGGAGGGAGTAAGCAGGGGTGGGGCAGGGCCTCAGGGCGCCTCCTTTTTTCCAGGGCCACTGGCCGGTCCCATGCACCAGTCAGCATCCACTGGCTCTGCACCACCATGGCAGGCTGAGCCCCACAGGAGGCAGCAGCCACCCCTCTGAGGCCTAATGTCCCTGACTCAGTGGGCCTTTGCCACCTTAGGCCTGGGACCCGGCAAGCAGGTGACAGTCAGAAACCTATGTGGGCTGGAAGTTTAACTTGTCCAAGCAAAGGGAACACCAGTGATGCATGGTGACCCCTGAGGCACAGTAAACTTGTTCTGCATTCCAAATAAAACCTAACAAACCCTACACTTGTCTTGGAGAGCCATGCTTTTGGAAAAAGCAATTACACCATCTGCTTTATTATATGACTTTCTGACCCGGGACGAGTGTGACAGGGGATCATCATGTAAAAAGGAAAGAGCATTTCAGAAGCTTGGCGCAGATGCCCATTACTGTGGAGGAGGCCCGTGTCTTGGGCTGCCCAGGGGCCTGCATTCAGGTAGTGGAACCTCTAGGCTGCACTCCAGACAGCCAGATAATCCTGTACCTGATGTCCACCCCATCCTCGATATCTTATTCCACAGGGTCTTTTTCAAGAAGACTCACCCTCTTATTTTCTGATCAGCTGAATTACTCTGTGGGTTGGAAATGCTGAGACCAGAACCACTGATAGGCTCTGAAGCCCCGGCTTGGTCTGATGGAGCCCCTGGTTGTGGGACAAACAGTGGAGCAAGTCCATGGGCCGTGACAGAGGCTGAACCAGGCTGGCACAACCAGACCTTCTATGGCCAGGATCGCTGGGCAGAAAGCACATGCCACCAGCATGGTGTTTGAGGGTAAAGAGACAAGCATTTCAATGTCGAGTAAAAAAAAAAGTTAGCCAAGTTCTGTTTTGTCCTCATTAATTCATCTTCTTTTTTTTTTTTTTGAAATGGTTCCTTGCTCTGTCACCCAGGATGAAGTGCAGTGGCGAAATCTCAGCTCACTGCAACCTCCATCTTCCAGGTTCAAGCGATTCTCATGCCTCAGCCTCCCGAGTAGGTGGGATTACAGGCATGCACCACCACACCCGGCTAATTTTTTGCGTTTTTAGTAGAGATGGGGTTTCACCATGTTGGCCAGGCTGCTCTCGAACTCCTGACCTCAGGTGATCCACGAGTCTCGGCCTCCCAAAGTGCTGGGATTACAGGCATGAGCCACTGCACCCGTCCCTCATTAATTCATCTTAACCAGAAGAGAAATATTCAGTCTCACAAAAAAAGAAAAGAAAACCAGATGTTGTGTTTTTCTTTCATTAACTCTACAGCGACTTTATCCTTCTAGGTGATTCTATATGAACACACCAGATAAGATTAAAGCCCACCCCACCACATCAGGGGAACAGAAAAGTTTCCAGCAAGAAGGAAAGAAACCTGCTGCTCTTTGCTGAACAAATGTGCTGCAGCTGCTTCTCCCAAGTGCATGGTGTAGACAAATCGTAAGCAAGACAGAAGGGGCTGCCAGAGATGAATAAAATTTCGGTTACCTCTTCCATTCGGAAGGAACGGAAAATGTACACGTAGTCGCCCGGGCGTCCAACAAACCTGAAACGATGGGGGAGGTCGTTAGAGAAAAGATGAGCCCCTGGCTCAGCTCGGGGAGAGACCCCCAAGTGGGGACTGTGCAGCGTGTGAGTCCTGCAGGCTGAGCCTCGAGGGTATCTACAGGCGGCTCTCCCTGCCTGGTGCATCTGCTAAAAGATGACCACAGTGGTTTTCATTGGTCAAAGGTTGGATTCCCAAACCCAGAGAGGGGTCAGAAAAAGGAACTTCTTCAATGAGAGGCCACGAGACTGAGAGGCAGCGGGAAGGGGCCCAGGAGGGGATTAAGGCAAAGACCACCCGGCCTGAAGACTGCAAGCTGCTGCGCTAGCTGCCTGGGACTCAGGATGTGCCGCTGGCACGGTGGGGTCCATGGACAGCTGGCACAGAAGCACTCTGGGGACCTTGGGCAGCTGGGGCAGGTGGTGGCCAAAGGCCACCCTGGGTGGGGATAGACAACCTCTCGGCTTTCTAGGGGCTGGTGTGGGGCGTGTAGGCTTCCAAGAGCTTGCTCCATCCTGGATGCGCTCAGGGGGCACTGGACCCCTTGGCGGGGCCCTGGGACCCTGGGCCAGGAGGGCGGGCATGGCACTGGTGAATCACATGATGTGGAGGAGGCAGCCTTTTTGGGGGCTCTGAGATCAGACCAGCCAGTCCCTTGCAGGAGTGGTGGTGGGGGTGGGGGGCATCATTGTGGGTGGGCCGCAGGCCCCACCGCAGCCTGGGATGGCTCCAGAGGGCCCAGGCGTGGAAGGTTTCACTCCTCCAGGAGCTGTGAAGAGGGCTCAAGTGGCCAGCAGCCGCATTTCCACACCCTCCTCTCTCCTTGTCCCCACTTTGTGGACTCCTCCCTACGTGGACTCCTCCCTACCTGCCGTGGGAGCACCTGGAGCTGGCTTCTGGGGTTCTCTGCCTGGACTTCCTGCTGCTGGAGCTTCCCACTGCCTGGAGTCCCTGGGGTCCCCTCTGCCCAGGGTCCTCACTGCCTGGGGTCCCCACTGCCCGGGGTCCCCACTGTCCGGGGCCCTCACTCCCGGGTCCTCACTCCCCGGTCCTCACTGCCTGGGGTCCCCACTGCCCGGGGTCTGCACTGTCTGGGGTCCCCACTGCCCAAGGCCCTCACTCCCGGGTCCTCACTGCCCGAGGTCCTCTCTGCCCAGAGTCCTCACTGCCCGGGGCCCTCACTCCCGGGTCCTCACTGCCCGGGGCCCTCACTGCCGGGTCCTCACTCCCCGGTCCTCACTGCCTGGGGTCCCCACGGCCCAGGGTCCTCACTGCCCAGGGCCCTCACTCCCGGGTCCTCACTCCCCGGTCCTCACTGCCTGGGGTCCCCACTGCCTGGGTTCCCTGCCACCTGGACTCCCTGCTGCCCAGGGTCCCGCTGCTCTGGAGCCTCAGCAGGGCCCAGGCCTTCTCCCTGACCCTCTTTGGCTGCGGGTGCCACGGTGTCTGCCCTGCCCTGGGCTCCAGGTGCCCCCAACCTGTGGGGAGGGAGAGCCCTCTCCTGGACCTGGGAGAAGCGAGGTTGGGGAAAGGCTGAAGATGTCCCTACCGGCCTTTGAAGAACGCCACGTAAAAGATGGGGGTGTAGGAATTCACAAACTTCAGCAGGAAAGCCTTGAAGATCAGCCTCTCCTCAAAGCTTTTCTCCGTCTTTGGGACCTCTAGAGGGAGGGGTAGGATGATACTGAGGCTGTGGCTGGGATGGCCCCCAACAGCCTGGTCCAGCTTCTGGCTGGCCACTGGCACAGTCACTCAGTCGGCTCTCATAGGCGCACCATGGCCTGTGCTCAGGATACCCATTGAGAACCAGGGAGCTGGGGCCCAGAGAAGTTAAGCAACAAACTCAAGGATGCACAGCAAGAGGCAGGCGACTCCAGCTGCCTGAGTCCAGGCCACAGTACCTGGAACATGGGCACTCACCGATCTTGGTGAGCCATCGGGCTATGCAGCCATACACCTCGTCCAGGAGGATGATGACCACTAGGTTGATGATGACTGCGGTGGCTGTGACTGTGACCCGGATGTTGGACCGCACGGAGGGGGAGGAGTTCATGGCCAAGGCGGCGGCCATGGAGATTCTGTAGATGATGACGCCGAGGACGATGGCAAACGTCACTGCAATCTGCAGGGGGGAAAGGGGCACTCTTGGTTGGGGGCCCACCCAGGACCTTCCTGGGCCTGCCCCATCTGCTCCCTCAGTCCAGCTGTCCCCCAACCTTCCCGCTCTTCTGCTTCAAAACAAGCACTGACATTTCTTGGGCACCTGCCAAATGCCAGGGGCTTTCTGTGCATTAACCCACCAGAGACAGATGGATGAGGGGCTAGTTTCTGTTCCATGGACAAGGACACTGAGGTTCAGAGAGGTTACGTAGACAGGCCAGGTCACCCAGCTCAGGAGCTGGGATTTACCAGGCGGTCTGCCCAAGCCTGCAGTTCACAAGATCTTTGTGCTACCATCTTCCCGGAGCCCAGGCACCATCCCCAAGCACAGCCCAGGACACAGTATGGCCGCCATGCCAGTGGCTTGTCCCAGAGCAGACTGACTGCGGGATGGGGCTTCTCCCCCAACCCATGGTGAGCTCAGGGACATCCTCAGGTGGTGCAGGGCTGAGGTGTGCCTCTCTCACAGCCACCTCCCAGGGACTCCCCTGGTAAAGGAGGCAGGTGTGGCCTGGGATGGGGCAGGGCTTTGGGTCTGGCTGGAGATGCTTTGGGTCCCTTCTCCCAGCCAGCAGCACCCTTCTAGCTCTCCCACCAGAGTGAGCCCCTCCTCTTGCCAAACATACCGTGGGACCAGAACATTCCATAAAACTTGGGTTGGTGGTTGCCTGAGAAACCGTGGTGGGAGTTGGCTACAATGACAAGATTGTTCCACACACCTCTGTCTGTCTGTCTGTCTGGGCTCCCTCACCCTGCCCTGCCCCGCCCTGCCCAGGGGTGTGGATGCCCCATTCTGAGCCCTCATTGAGGATGGATGGACCGAGGGCTGGGCAGGAGAAGCACACAGCAAAGCCAGGCTCCTCACCCAGGCGTGAAACCACCCGCAGGACACAGGCTGTCTTGTCACCCTGTGTCCCCGTGTTCCAGGAAATCGCATATTTGCTCCCATGCAAGGGTGCAGAGGGCAGGTCCGGTCCCTGCTGGCACAGTCACAGGTGGCTCCCAGGACAGGCAGGCCCAGGAGGCCTGGGGCTGCCCTGTGTGTCTCCCAGTTGCAGCCTGGGATGGGTCTGTTTGCCCCAGAGGGTGTCTGCAGCTTTCAGAAACCTAGAAAAGCTCTTATTTCATGTTCTGGGCCGTTACCACCGGCTTCTGCAGGCATCTGCCAGTGACACATGGTGACTGCACCCTGCCCAGGAAAATGCCTGCAGCCCTCACCACACCCTGACTAAGGAGAAGCCCTGCTGCGAGGCGTGGGGACCACTCCCTGGCCAGCTCCGGGGAACAAGGGCTTTCCTTGGAAAACCCCTCGGTCCTGCCAAGAGGCCTCCAGGATGTCTGTCCCCGTGCCAGCATGCGGAGGTGCAGCTGGAGCGCCAGGCCTGTGGGTGACTCAGCGAGGGAGGCCCTCCACCCCAGCGGGCGCGTCCCCTGCCCTGCCATGGGGCAGTCGGGCCCACAACAGGCACGCCCTGCAGCAGGCTCCCTTCCAGTCTCCCTGGTCCATCTCCCCCGCATCCCCAGGACCAGGGGCGTGTGGGGCACATCCTAGGTGCTCAACCAACGTTTGTTCGCTGAATGAAACTCCCAAGTTGAAGACAAAGCTGTGTCCTCTTCAACCCTATGAAGCCCTTGTGACAGGGGTTTACCAGTACGTCAAGGCTGGGAAAAGAGCCGGCTACTTCCCTATCCAATATCCTCTGTCTTTCCTCTACCATCCCGCCTTGCTGAGATGGCAGTGTGTGCTCATTCCTGAGCCTCCCTGCAGAGGAGGTGGCCACGTGAAACAGTTCTGACCAATGAGATGCAAGCAGAGGTGTGGTGGGTCTTCTGCGAAAGCACCTTCAGACAGGGGCTGCCACCCCTGGCCCATCTCTTCCCCCACCCTTCCCCTTCTTCCAGCCTGGAGAGTGGAAGTGATGCTGGAGGTGCAGCAGCCATGTTGTGACCAAGAGGGGACCCACTCCTAGGACAGGCTAGCAGAAGGTCAGAGAAGCCAGTGACTCTGATGGCATCGTGGGGCCACCAGACCAGCCCTAGACGGCCACCTCCTTCCCGGCCCCGCACTGGCCCTTCTGCGACAATGCTGCTGCTTCTGCAGTGGGAGTGGCTGAACCTCAGGCTAGCCTCCCCTGGGTGAGGGATGGGGAGGCTCCGGTTATCTCCCAACCCCCTAGCCTGGCACCTGGCCAGAGGGGACACATCCCCTCAGCACGAGGCCGGGTGCCCTCCCACCAAGTCACCGAGAGCACAACAGCCCCCAGCCCCCAGCCCCCACCGAGGGGGTCCCCTTCTCCAGGTAAGGGGGATGAGCAGGCCCCACCACTGAGGCCACCCTCCTCTGGACTTCTTTATGTCGGCCAGCGTCCCTCTTACTGTACCTAAGAGCATGAGGGGACACTGGATCTTCCCACTTCTTCCATGACTTGGTCAGGGGGCCCTTGGCCCCTCACTCAACCCAGAAAACAAAGACAGCCCCCCGCCTCTGTCTCTCCAAGTTCCTACAGAATGGCATGGATCTTGGAGCAGACAGCCTGACTGGCACCAGCTTCTGCAGGCATATGCCAGTGACTACATGGTGACCACAGCCACCACCTCTGGCTGGCACTGGAGGAGAAGTGCAGCCTTCTGGCTTTAGTTTCTGTATCAGCAGGAGGGGGATGGTACCAGGACTGGCCAGTGATGAGACGCTCTGGTGAGGCCCTCAGTGCACAGCTGCCAACCTGGGCTCCAGTACCAGGACTCGGGGCTAGGTGGCCACAGGAGGCGCTGCCTTCAAGCTGTTGGGCTGGACGAGGGCAGGGTCATTTGTAACATGACCACGGCTGGCTCCGAGTACTTGGGGGGTGATGGAAACACAGCTAGCAGGCGGCCAAGGCCGAATCCATTGGGGGTTGAAGTCCCTGGGATTGAAATCCCCTAAAAGCCACAAGATGTTTGCCCACAAGCCACGTCACAGACTTGTGGTCCCTGAGTAGCACTATCGTGTCCTGTCTGCATGTTATTTATTTAATAGTTTTCTTTTTTAAAATTTTTAAAAATTTGTTTTTACTTAATTTAATGCTGATGCCTGTATCAGGGCTCAAGTCATGTTTTGGTCACAAAATAAACATAAACAGGTTTTTTTTTTTTTTTTTTTTTTTGAGACAGGGTCTCGCTCTGTCACCCATACTGGAGTGCAGTGGCGTGACCACAGCTCACTGCAGCCTCGACTTCTCAGTCTCCAGCAATTCTCCCACTACAGCCTCCCGAATAGCTGGGACCACAGGCGCGCACGACCACGCCAGCTAATTTTTGTATTTTTGGTTTTGCCATGTGGCCCAGGCTAGTCTCAAACTCTTAAGCTCAAGCAATCTTCCTGCCTCGGCCTCCCAAAGTGCTGGGAATACAGGTGTGAGCCACTGCACCCGGCCCATTTAATGGTTTTCTTAAAAAGTCTTCAGTTTCATCTTAAATGATATCTTTGAATCCCAGGCTTGAATTACTAGATACTCAAATAATTGTGTCTCTCAAAATGAAAGCTGTGTATCAGGGACCACAGAAATCATCTCATGTACTCCCTGGCGTGTGAAGCCCCCACTGGGGGTCACTTTGGAACCCTGGTCTCTTCCCATTTTAGGGGTAGTGGTGAGTCTTCCCCACCCACTGCCCTGAGGAGATGGGGCCGGCGCACCCTGGGACCAGTGGCACCACCGTGTGAAAGGCTGAATCAGGTCTTGGAGGACACCAATCGCATCCTTTTTTTTTTTTTTTTTTGAGACAGAGTCTTGCTCTGTCACCCAGGCTGGAGTGCAGTGGTGTGATCTTGGCTCCCCGCAACCTCTGCCTCCCGGGTTCAAGCAATTGTCCTGCCTCAGCCTCCTGAGTAGCTGGGACTACAGGCATGCACCACCACACCAGCTAATTTTTGCATTTTTAGTAAGAGACGGGGTTTCACCATATTGGCCAGGCTGGTCTCGAACTCCTGACCTCAAGTGATCTGCCCGCCTCGGCCTCCCAAAGTGCTGGGATTACAGTCGTGAACCACCACGCCCGGCTGAAGCCAATCACTTCCTTGCGGTTTCCCCTGACTTCGTCTGGCCTTAACCTTCTGGAACTTACCATGAAGATGATGGAGACCAAGTTAGTGAGGTAGGCTGGGAACCGATCTCTCCATGTCAGCTTCACTTTGTCAGTCTACAACACAAAACAATGCCGGTCACTGTCTGGAACCATCACGATGAGACATCTCTGTGTGTCAGCGTGGGTGCATGTGCGTGCGTGCATGGGCCCAGGGACAACTTGAACAACAGAAATACTCAGAAAAACCTCAAAAATGCCCACAGGTGATGAGCCAGTGCAAACGCATAGGGTTCCAAGAAGCATTTCGGGGTTTATCACCTATGTCACAGGATAACGGGAGCAAGAACCGTTTAACACTGTGATTCCTCTGTGTGTAGGACATTGTAATGCCAGCTGCCTTTCTAAAGACTGTTGGACCCACGTCTGGGAGAAACCTGGACTTGGAGTCCATTTCTTCAGCTAAAAGTCTCACTTCTAGGTCTAGAAGATGGAAGATGTTTTCCCAGTGCCACCCAGACCATAATAGTTATTTTTCCTTTGTGGAGCAAGTTGAAACAAGCAGCTAGCACTACAAGTTAAAACGTCGTCTGCGGTGACACATGTCCTGAAGGCTCTCAGAACCCAGGGTTGGCTTGGTCTGGAGAAACCCTAGGTAGAAGCTCATCACTAATCCGGGATGTTTCAAATGGGGGTGGATTTTTCCATGGGAAAATGCATGTATTAGGTCACAGAATGCAGACGGGCATGACACCGGAGGCCACTCGTTCTGGGGTGGGTGGCATGCATGTTAACGAGGAGACCAAGAAACACTTGCAGGCAGTTGTGACAAGCACGTTTCACGAGCTCCAAGTCAAGCCAGAGCCCCACCCCCGTCCCCGCCACCGCAGACCCACCATAGCCATGCAGTGCCATCGCAACATGCTGGGCTCACTGGGTGCCGAAGGAAGACAGAGAAACACGGATGTGAATGTTAAAAAAAAATATATACAACAGTTTGTTGAGGAAAAACACAATCGACTTTGATTGCCTGCAAACAGTCAAGACGCGCGCTGCCCGCAAAATAGAAAAGTACCAATTTCACCCCCGCCATGGCTGTCTTAACCCTCTGCTTCCATTTGTTTGTTGACTCCTCTGGAATATGCCGGCGCTTCTGAGGGGGGGTGGGGGAAAGAGAGCACCGTGCGGTGAAGTGGGAGGCGGCACCGCAGACCGCGGGGCCCAGGGAACCGTCCCCATCTTGGCAGCAGGCTGGCCCCTCCTGGTGCGGGCCGTAAGCTCACTGCCAAGGCTGACTCGGGTTCTGGGCGTTTTAAACAAGTAAGAGACGGCAGAGACCTACGTTCGGAAAGAACATCTGTAACAAAGGTGGTGGAGACGGGAGAGACTCCAGCACGCACCCTCCACTGGACCGCGTCATGCCCCATCTCACAGATGGTGGCTGGATTCCAGCGGGAGGTAGTGGCCAAATGTGCAGGTCACCACCAGCATCTTATGACAGCAAGAAGGAAGCCACACCCAGAAGCCCAAGCACATCCGCCAATTAGGTGGTGGGTCTCTTTCCATAAATGAATTCAGTGCCATAGCTGGAGGGAAATCAAAACCGCAGAGCAGCCACTGGGAGCCAAATGAAACAGAGGAGGAAATAAAGGGTACGGCCCGTCAGAAGCAGACAGGGCCTGGGGGTGCCTCTGAGCTCTGCAAAAGTAAACCCCCATGCCTCTGTTGCTTTCATGTGATCAGAGAGCCTGGGCTGAAACCAAGCCACGGGCCACAGAGGCGGAGGGACCCTGTATCCAAGAGGTGGCTTCCTTCCGGCACCTGTTGCCCAGATTCGCTGTTGTGGCTTGGTTAGGTCCCTTGCCTTAAATGGACATAGTGTGTGTCACAAAAGCCCTTTTCTGCCCCTTAGGAAGGAATTAAATACCCACCTATGCTCACTGCAAGAGGTGCGACCACACAACTACAGGGTGGGCTGTCTTGGAGGCCATACACTGACTCCTGAGACATCTTCACCCAGGCTTGGGGGCCGGGATGCCGCCCTGAAAACACGCCGGATGCTTGTAGGGCCTTAGAGATGATGGCATCCAGGCCTTTTGCTTTCCCAGGAGGGAATGAGGGGCGCAGAGGGCCTGAAGGGCCGGGGCAGAGGGCAGCTGGCACCCGGGCGTGCACATCCGATGTGTTAAGTCAGACAGACAGTCTCTTTATTTTAGGGCGATAACTCCTGCTTTTATAGTTGTATTCTGTTGAGTCCTGCTCAGACCCTCAGGGGTGTTTAAAAATACATACTTCTGGCTGGGCACAGTGGCTCGCACCTGTAATCCCAGCACTTTGGGAGACTGAGGCGGGTGGATCACCTGAGGTCAGGAGATTGAGACCATCCTGGCTAACACGGTGAAACCCCGTCTCTACTAAAAATACAAAAAATTAGCTGGGTGTGGTGGTGGGCACCTGTAGTCCCAGCTACTCGGAAGGCTGAGGCAGGAGAATGGCGTGAACCTGGGAGGCAGAGCTTGCAGTGAGCTGAGATCGCGCCACTGCACTCCAGCCTGGGCTACAAAGCGAGACTCCCTCTCAAAAAAAAAAAAAAAAAAAAAAAAGACATACTTCCTTCCTGGCTATAGGAGGACCGAGCTGTACCCCAGATTCTCATTGTATTTGAAGAGCTGGGCCTTGAGAGGAGGCTTTCTAGAGCACCCACTTTACCCTCCAGATGGGATTTTGGCAACTGTAACCCCCGGCCACTTTGGACCTGTGAGCACTGTCCCCTGACACATTGACAAGGAAAGACAAACCCAGGGGTTTGTCCTGATCAGTCCCCAAGGCTGAAAGTGCAGATATGACACAAGGTCAGGACCTGTGAGAGCTCCCTCGACTGCCCTCATCCCTCCAAGGGTCAGTGCGGGCATCTCCAGCCTCCTTTAGAGGCTGACAAGGCCAGGAGCTCCATGCCTGCTTGTCCCACATCATGTGAAAAACACCATTAAATAAACTTTGCTGGGCACGGTGGCTCACATCTGTAATCCCAGCACTTTGGGAGGCCAAGGCGGGTGGATTTCTTGGGGTCAGGAGTTCGAGACCAGCCTGGGCAACATAGTGAAACCCCGTCTCTACTAAAATACAAAAAATTAGCTGGACACGGTGGTACGCGCCTGTAGTCCCAGGTACCCGGGAGGCTGAGGCATGAGAATTGCTTGAACCCGGGAGGCGGGGGTTGCAGTGAGCCGAGATCATGCCATTGCAGTCCATCCTGAGCGACAGAGAGAGACTCTGTCTCAAAAAACAAACAAACAAACATACAAACAAACAAAGCCGGCAAGCACCTCTGGAGGTCTTCGAGAGTCCTGGCTGCACATATGACTTAATTTGAATGAGACATTTGGGGAAAAAGAAAAGCAATTATTATAAAAAGACGATGACCTCAAGAACATTGCAAAACATGTCTCACCCTCATTCTCACAGTCTGAGTGAAACAAGGAACTGGCCATTTGCTCAGGGGTGCTGGTTTGGCAAAGGCTTCTGTTTCATTGCTCGGCATAGAACAGGAGGGGTGTACTGTGAAAAAGCTTTGAAGCTTCAAAGCCACGTGGTTCCTGTGGTTGAAATGCTGGCTAAAACTTGAGATCACCCTCAGGATACATCATGACAAGAGATCTAGAGGAAGTTTGACAAACTATAGCCCTTTGGCCAAATCTGGCCCCCTGTCTGTTTTTGCAAATAAAGTTTTATTGGAACACAGTGTGTGGAACACAGGCCCATGTGTTTACCTACTGTCTATGGCTCCTTTTGCCGCTACCATGGCAGAGTTGAGCAGCCGCAACACGGGGTTACACAGCCTACAATATTTGTTCTCTGGGCTGATCCCAGGTCTACATGGTTGATGAACACAGTGTTTTATTGCTGGGAAAGTTAACCCACAGTGGCCACCATACCTCTTTGTTTCTGGACTCTTTCTTCAGAGACTTCTCCAAGACTCTGGCTTCGTATTCAGCTCTAGGATGATCCTGTGAATGAAACCAAGTCAAGACAGAGTCCTTGTTAATTTTGAGTCTGAGCTCCTCAGCGTGAGCATACTTGGCAAATCAGTCCATGTATTAGCCTCGGGCACCCTTTGGGTCCAGTTCATAGTTGGCTGCTGAATATTTCCAGTGTAATCACCCCATCTGTGGTCTGGATAGTGACCCAGGATCATCCCGCTTGTGGGGAACCCCAGCCCATTGGGAGGGCCACCGAATCTGGCCTCTGTGTCCTCCTGGAGGTGGAGAAGCCTGTACCAGGCTGCAGTGAACACCCAGCCATGAACTGGCCCTGAGAACATTCTACGGGGGAGCTGTGGGAGTCAGAAGAGACGCAGTAACTGTCGGCAAGCGCAGGAAGCCCAGAGGTGCCAGGCCTTGGGGAGCTCAGCGCAGGTCAGCGAAGGGTGCTGGAAGGAAAGAACAGGTTAGGAGAGACCGGAGGTGGGGAGAAAGCAGAGACCCCACCCGCGTGGAGGAACTGCGGGAACTGCGTGGTAGAAAGAGATTAGGTGCAAGAGAAGGTCCCTCTCCCAGGGAGATAGGCTGTGGGAAGATAGAGGAGCGACAAAAAGTTCCAAACCTTGACAGCCTCCTTCAGGGAACCAGAAAAGTAAAAACAAAAACACAAAGATGTCATTACTTAGGTTGTTATTTTAGAAATAGGACCTGTCCACTAAGGACAACTTTTTTTTTTTTTTTTTTTTTTTGAGATGGAGTCTTGCTCTATTGAGCAGGCTGGAGTGCAATGGCGCGGTCTCAGCTCACTGCAAGCTCTGCCTCCCGGGTTCAAGTGATTCTCCTGCCTCAGCCTCCTGAGTAGCTGGGATACAGGCGCCCGCCACCACGCCCGGCTAATTTTTTGTATTTTTAGTAGAGACAGGGTTTCACCCTGTTAGCCAGGATGGTCTTGATCTCCTGACCTCGTGATCCGCCCTCCTCGGCCTCCCAAAGTGCTGGGGTTACAGGCGTGAGCCACCGCGCCCGGTCCTAAAGACAACTTTCTTAAGAATTAGGATGAAGGTAAATGGATACAGGTGAGCCGGGATGGGTGGGTGACCCTGGGTTCCTTTAAGGTTTACTGCTGCTTGAGGGTGACTGTGGACTGTGGCCTTTGTAGCTGTGGCCTTTCCCATGGTTTTGGAAATTCCCCAAATTTCCAAATTTCAGTGCTGGACTGAAACATCTCAGATTCAGCTAAGGCACACATGGGTCACATGATAGGAGACAAGTGTCCTTCTGCTTCATTACCAAAGTCTGGGGTTCAGGCTATGTGGAGGGGCGGCCCCTGTCGCCTGAGGTTATTACTCCCAAAGGAGTCCCTGACCAGCCGCTGGGGGTGCGAGTGGCTCACTTTGGGAAATTCATTCGGGCTCCTTGGCACTGTGTGTGCCCAGTGACTTCGGTTATCACCCCCAAAATCAAGATCCCAAGCCATCAGGGTCAGGAGATCAGGGAATGGGATCCCAAGGGGTTGAACAAAGGGGACTGGGCCTCACCGCCAACTTTCCCCAGCCACAGGGACATCACAGAAGGGACATTTGAAATTGACTTCTGAACAAGATGGTGACTGCTTTTTTTTTTCTATTTGAATCTTTCTAATTGAAACGGCAAGGGAAGAGACCACCCAGAGAGCTCCCTCCATGGACAGGGCTCTGGGCTCTGCCCCCGCTCTGCCCTGCAGAGCTGTGTGCTGTGGACAGGTTGCATTGATCTCTGTCTGGTCATTTGTGGACAGGATAATGAGATCGGCTGAGGAAGAGGGTGGAGGCTGTTGTCTGGGCAGATAAAGGTGTCGCCCAGTGGCCACTAGCCGGGCAGCCGTTTATGGGGCACTGACTGTGTGCTAGGTCAGGTTCTAAGTGCTTTATATCTATTGATCCATTGAGACCCTACAAATGCCATCAAGTGAGGACACTGAGGTACAGGGATGTTAAGCAATTTGCCTGGGGTCACACAGCAAGGCTGGTGCCGAATCTGGATGGAACTCTGGCAGCCTGGCCCCAGAGGCCCGTCTTATACCCTGTGAGCTGCTGTGCCTCTCCCAGAAAACTCTAATCCCCTTGTCTGTTGACAATATTGTCAACCCAAAGCTGGCACATTTGGCTGAAGAGTGACCCTTGGGTTCAGTCTGAGAGGGAGCAGATTGTGTGAGAAAAGACAATAGAAAAGTTAAAAAAAATTTTTTTTAAAGAAAAAAGGCCTTTAAAAGAAAAATATCTTTAGAAAGAAATGTCTACATTACAATAAAAATGCATGAAAAAGTTCTTTTTTTTTTAAAAGGGAGCATGTGTAGCCTGGGCAACATAACAAGAACCTGACTCTTACAAAAAAATTAAACAATTCGCCAGGCATGGTTGTGTGTGTCTGTAGCCCCAGCTACTTGGGAGGCTGAAATGGGAGGAGGGCTTGAGCCCGGGAGGTCAAGGCTGCAGTGAGCTATGATCATGCCATTGCACCGCAGCTTAGGTGACAGAGGGAGACCCTGTCTCCCAAAAAGTGGGGAGCATGTTTTATAAAATTAAATAGTGGTCAGTGTGGTTGCACCTTACAGCGCGTGCATGAGGTCGCCTCTGTTGTGCACCAAGGCTAATTGTGGGGACTGTTACTCCTTTTCATTCCCACCTACCCTGAAGGGAATTCCTGCTGGACTTGGGATCCCTGGGAGTATGGTTCACCTGGCATCCCAGGGGCTACGTAATATTGAATGTCCCTCTCTCTGGAGTATGAAGATGCCCAACACTGGCTTTCCCTCTATGTTAGTAAAGGATCCGTTCCCTCTTGTCAGCCACGCCCAGCTGCAGGCACAGAGCTGGCTCCAGGGAACGTGGGTTTGGCACCCGGGGAGGCAGATGCTCACGGCCACTTTTGGAGACCCATGGGCAGTGTCCATTTCCTCTCCACCCCCACGGGTGGTGCCGACAGCCCAGGCAGCCCCCAGACGCGATGAGGTCAGTGTGGTGAGCCCTGGCATGTGCCTGAGACCACGCTGGTGGCTGGGTGTCCATGTGAGCATGGGGATGAAAACACTTCAGCAGACAGGGAGTGGTCACTTTGGCCATGGAGGGTGTTCGGAACGCCAGGGTGTTGAGTGGCGAGGCAGGCAGGGGGTGGGGGATGGGGGGCGGCCTTGCCTCAGCTTGGACCAGAAGTGCTTTCTGACCTCGGGCCTCCGTGTAAGTCCCAAGGAGGTCCTGGGGTAGGGGGAACGTGGGGGAAGGGCGTGATATGCACGGCGGCAAACCCACTGACCTCTTCCTCTTCAAAGCCCGTGAGGTCCCAGCGGTAGTTGAGTCGCATCTGTTTCCGCTTCCAGTGCTCCATGAAGGTGGCAGCTGCGGGCAGGGGCAAAACCAGAGTCTCTGATGACATAAAGGCATTTTTTTTTTTTTTTTAGACAGAGTTTTGCTCTTGTTGCCCAGGCTGTAGTGCAATGGCGCAATCTCCACCCACTGCAATCTCGCCTCCTGGGTTCAAGCGATTCTCCTTCCTCAGCCTCCCGAGTAGCTGGGATTACAGGCATGCGCCACCACACCCAGCTAATCTTTGTATTTTTAGTAGAGACAGGGTTTCACCATGTTGGCCAGGCTGGTCTCGAACTCCTGACCTCAGGTGATCCACCTGCCTTGGCCTCCCAAAGTGTGGGGACTACAGGCGTGAGCCACCACGCCCAGCCAAGGCATTCTTTTCTTTATCAGTGTTTGGTGAGAGAGGGTGACATCCTGGGCTGAGAACTTCATGTGAATTCACGTGTTCAGCCCTCCCGCCAATCCTGTGAGGCAAGAGCCGTCATTCTCCCATTTTACAGATGAGGAAACTGAGGCATAGGACACTCAAGTCCCGACCGAGGTTACCCAGCTAGTCAGTGAGGGATGGGCAGCATGGTCTGAGAGCCCGTGCCTCAACCATCCTCCCCCATTGCTCTCGGGGGCCCCGGTTCGGAGGTCAGGAGGAACGAGGGTTGAGCCCAGGCCACTCACTCACTCGGGCTTCAAACCACCCCAGGGGTCTGCCTGCTGAATCGCACTGGCAGCTGCTGCATTCAGCTTCATATTCCCAACAGACAGAGCATGGTTCAAATGCCGCCTCCTTCAGGAAGCCACAGATCATCCCCCTCAATGTGAGAAAAACCCAGCTCCTCTCGGGACCTTCTTCAGCCTGCATCTGTCTTGCCCACGGTGTCAGTGCTGCCTTCCATCAGGATCCCCGTCCCGTGACTTGTATGTGAGGCAGGGATGGGGCCTCGTTCCCCTGGGCCCCCAGTTCCCAGAGGTGCCTGGGACAGACAGGTGCTCGAGTGGGCACCGAATGAGCAACTTTTGTGAGCACACAGCTTGCAAAAGGAGATGCCCTTGGCTGAACTGTTTATCCTGAACGCTTCTCCCTGCAGAAGAAAATCAGCAGAGGCTGAGGGGCAGAGGAATAGGAAGGCCACAGAGTTTCTCAGAGCTCACGATTCTCGAGCTGTTCCTTGCCAGGCACTGTTGGGAGCTGGTCAATCTACAGACCCCTCCAGGACAGGGCCGTTGCCTCTGTCTGAAGATGCTTAGTACAAATTTTAGGGCAATAATACCAGAGTTCAATACCAGCCACTGAGCTCTGTGACCTTGGGCAAGTTATTTAGCCTCTCTGTGCCTCTGTTTCCTCATCCATAAAATGGTGCCCTCTAATAATCAGACTGGGAGTATCAGTGAGGAAGTATCAGTGTGATTTAAGCCTCACGGTGATCATAGGAGGTAGGCGCTATTCCCATCCCCTCCATTTTACAGAGGGGGAAACTGAGGCTCAGAGGGATCAAATGGCTTCTCCGAGAAGCAGCAGCACTGACGTGCAAATAAAATGGGCTGTGCGACGGTGACCGTGCAGAGTGAATTCACAAATGTGGCCCTTAACTGAAGGCAGCGTGTGGCAGGAAAGAACGAAAGTCATGGGTGTGAACCTGGTTCAGAGGTCGTGAGTCTATGCATAACACATCCCATTCCCTTTAAGGCGAGGTGCGAATAGGGCTTCCAAGGATGCACGGGTTTGTCTAGGATGGCTACTGTATCGGCCGGCCCAGCCTGGAAATAGGAACCCCCCGCCGACCCCAGGTCTTTTCATAGCGGAGTAACTTAATCCTGAGACTTGCTCGCACAGGCAATGGAAAAGCTGAGAAGCCACACGGGGGATGGTGGGACCACCCAGAGATGACCCACAGCAGGAGCTGGCATCCGTTTCAGGATGGCAGGACAGTAGGAGGTGCTCAGCGCCAATGCTGGAGCCAGAAATTGGAGCTGCCCAGAAGAAGCTGGGATCACGGAGGAAGGGCTTCCCAGGGGAAGTCAGAGTCTGGAGAAGACACAGTCATTGCTGGGGATGTCCCAGGAAGTGGAGGGAGATGGGGAGCAATATCTCTGCTGCTCCCTTCCTCCCACCTTCTGATTTCCCAAAAGGGCTTCCCACTGGCTGAACCTACTGGGAAGAGGGAGAGCCAGGAGCCTGGGGAACGCGCCTCCCCATGATGCAGAGCTGAGCAGGTGAGGGAATGGCTATCGCTGAAACACCTGCTGGAAACCCAGCCACTCAGCAGACACGCACTGAGCACCATGGCTGGTGAGGAGGGCCACAGGGGGCCCAGCAGGAGGCCCCCAACCCCCAGGGCCCCTGACCCTCAGGAGGCAGACGGTGGGAGCAGCCTGTCTGCGGTGGGCACCCTCCCCAGGAGGCAATGCGGGGAGGTCTCTGCCTCCTTGAAGATGTCCTTTGGCCCCTGTAGCTGCTCTGGAGCAGTGGAGGAGGCCATCCATTCCCTGGTCTCTGCCTGGTCTGCAAGGCCCCCGATGTCTCCTCCACTGTGCTGTGAGAGCTGCCTCTTTCTGTCCTCCTCTGCCCGCCCAGGCCAACAACGCCCTTTTACGACGCTTTCTGGGGCCGAGCACTGCCCGGGAGGGCTGCTCCACGCACACCTGCAGAGTTGGCCTGTTTACCCGCTGTGATGGTTTGTATTGAGTGTCAACTTGATTGGATTGAAGGATGCAAAGTGTTGTTTCTGGGTGTGTCTGTGAAGGTGTTGCTACAGGAGATTAACATTTGAGTCAGTGGAGGGGGAGAGGCAGACCCACCCTTCATCTGGGTGGGCACCATCCCCTCTGCTGCCAGTGTGGCTAGAAAAAGCAGGCAGGGGAAGGTGGAAGAGCACACTTGCTGAGTCTTCCGGCCTTCATCTTTCTCCCATGTTGGATGCTTCCTGCCCTTGAACATCAGACTCTGAGTTCCTCGGCTTTTGGACTCTTGGACTTACACTGGTGGTTTGTTGGGGGCTCTCACGCCTTCAACCATAGACTGAAGGCTGCACTGTCGGCTTTCCTACTTTTGGGGTTTTGGGACTCAGACTGATCCACTACTGATTTCCCTTCTCCTCCACTTGCAGACAGCCTATTGTGGGGCTTGACCTTGTGATCATGTGAGTAGTCGATTCTCCTGAATAAACTCCCTTTCATATGTACAATATCCTATTAGTTCTGTCTTTCCAGAGAACCCTGACTCACGCACCTTCCCTGTCCCGGCCTCCCCAGCTCCTCCTCTTTCCCAGACTTGGCCTCCATTATGACACTCACCCCACTACCGCTCCGGCTCGCCCTCTCTGCACTGGCCAGCTTGCAGCATAACAACAGTCACCAGTTCACGAGGAGGTATCCGTGCACTAGCATTTTACACATATCAGTCAATCTCATCCTCACAACGACCGCAGGCAGGAAGGAGGATTCCCGTTCATAGATTTACAAACTGGAGACCATTTACAAAACTGAGATTCAGAGGCCTGAGTGCTGTGCCCAAGGTCAGCTGCAGGGGAGCAGCAGCCATTGGATTTGAACCTCATTCTCTTTGACTCCAGAGTCTTCACAGAACCACGATACTGGACCAACTCTCTGTGCAGATATTTAACTTTCCTTAAGAAAATAATAGCTGTAGCGTCACAAATCTGATTATTAAAGCATACCATCTTATGGATGAGGAAATGGGGGCACAGAGAGGTTAAGTAACTTGCCTAAGGTCACAGAGCTTGGTGGCTGGTATTGAACCTTGGTATTCTTTCTTTCTTTTTTTTTTTTTTTTTTTTTTGTTTTTTGAGAAGGAGTCTCTCTCCGTCACCCAGGCTGGAGTGCAGTGGTGTGATCTCAGCTCACTGCAACGTCTGCCTCCTGAGTTCAAGTAATTCTCTGGCCTCAGTCCCCCAAGTAGCTGGGACTACAGGTGCATGCCACCACGCCCGGCTAATTTTTGTAGTTTTAGTAGAGACAGGGTTTCATCGTATTGGCCAGGCTGGTCTTGAACTCCTGGCCTCACGTGATCTGCCTGCCTCAGCCTCCCAAAGTGCTGGGATTACAGTTATGAGCCACTGCACCTGGCATTGAACCGTGGTATTCTTGCTCTAAAATTTGTACTGTGTCTTCAGGTAGAAGCAAAGGCCCTGTCCTGGAGGTGTCTGTAGATTGGCCAGGACCCAGACTGGAGCCTAGAATGTAACCTGGCGGCTGGGGGTGGGGTGGAGGGTGAAGATGTTACAAAGATGTGGCTTGTTTGGCTCAGACACGTTTAAAAAATAAAGACATTTGACATAAAAATTATGCATTTCCTGCTTCTCCTTTAAAAGCCAGAAGCATTGGCAGCGGAAGGCTGGAGCTAAGCAATGATCATCCCTTTGTCAAAACTTGGGCATACCTTTCCACTTGGCCACAGACCCCACCATGCCCTATTGTCTGGCTTTTGTGGGCAGTGAGCGTGGGGGTGGAGCTGTGGAGTCCAGGCTTCACCAGCAGGAAAGGAATGTGAAGGCTCGTGCTGCGCCTGGTGGCCAGTCCTCAAAGCTGGCATTGTGAGCAGTGTGAAGAACCACCTTCTAGTGGAGTGAGCGAAGGCAGGAAGAACCCTGAGCTCCATCCTCCTCAAGTAATTCTCCTGCTCCTGAGCCCTCCCTCCTCACCCACACGAGTTCCGATTCCTGCCCTCCGAGGGTCCCAATCCTGGTCCTCCTTGCCAATGTGCCAACCACCTCATACAAATGTTGTATAATACCCAGCTGCTGCCAGGCGCTGGACACGGTGCTTTCCCACGCCTGATCCCCTCGGATCCTGCCCCGGCCCCCTCCACGCAGGGACGACGCACTCCATTTTATAGACACATAGCTGAGGTTCTGAGACGTCAGGGGACTCATCAAGTAAGGGCAGAAACCTGGACCCAGGCCTTCTGATGCCCAGATAGGCTGGCATTAGGGACGGGGCTTCCCACCCACATGAGTGTACAATGAAGAAACAGCCTTGAGTGCAGCAGCCTTACGAGGTGGCCAAAGGGACAAGCCCATCCCCCTGAAATCTGGAGTCCAGGAGTCACCACAGCACACAGCACAGAGGGTGGCAGCGAGCGAGAAGCCAGGCCTGGCGGGAGCGGATAGTTGGGCTATGGTCCCTTCCCACATTGATTTTCACAGCACAGAGTCACACAAACTCCTCATAGAGGCGTCCAGAGGCAGCAGTTGAGCGAAAGACTCTAGGTCTACATGGGATCTCATCAGGGTGAGCATGGGCAGCTGACCACACTGCTGCCAACCTCAGTCTCCACATCTGAGAAATGGGCTTGTTACCAGTGCCTGCCTGAGAGGGTCTATCACAGGGTGTCCCTGACTTCATCCACAAGCGGTGCTCAGGGCAGGGCCCGCATATCACAGGGTGTCCCTGACTTCATCCACAAGCGGTGCTCAGGGCAGGGCCCGCATCTCTAAGGGCTTGACAGAGGACTGCTCTTACGGCCCAGCTCGGTCGCAGGGATCTCCACGTGTCCCCTTGAGAGGCTCAGCACAGGACAGAGGCTACATTTTGTACCACCCCGTTTGTATAAAATACCCAGAATATTTATGGTAAATATATATAAATAAATATAAATATTTATGGTAAATTTTTATGTAGCTGCTCTGGAGCAGTGGAGGAGCCCAGCCCCCCTGAAATCTGAATCCATTGATTCAGGTAAATCCAGAGAGACAGAAAGCAGATTGGTAGTTGCCAGGGGCTGGGGTTGGGGGAAAGGGGGACCGACTGCTTCATGGGGATAGGGTTTCCCTTTGAGGTCATGAAAATGTTCTGGAATTAGACAGAGGCGTGGATGCATAACATGTGCTAAATGCCACTGAATTGTGCACCTAAAATGGTTAATTTTATGTTGTGTGAATTTCACTGCAATTTACAAAAAGCTAGTGATAGAATGATGAGCGTAGATTCCCCTTATGTGTTAATGTGCACCTGCCACATCTTGGAGGAATCACAGGAGAATGGGCCGGAGGGACACACACATGTGTGGTTACCTGTGGCGGGGGGCAATCTGTCCATTTCATCCGGGATTTCTCAGTGTGGGTCTGGGAATCTGGGGTGTTTCTGAATCTCCCCAGGGAGCTTGTTAAAATGCAGATCTCTGACCTACAGAGTCACCCAGGGTCCCCGGAATCTGCATTCTGAACAAGCTCCGTAGGCTGCCAGCAGGCATCTGGAAGTACCGACCCCTCCGTCTTTCTGCCGTCCTTCTCCAACCATCCCTCCATCCATCAGGTTAGCTGCCTCTCCTCCCAGGCTGCATCCCACCCCGCCTCAACTTATGCCAATGTCTCTACTACTCAGGCTTCACTCCAATTTCCCTAATTTCGCGGCACCTCCTTAGCTGGCTGGCGGACTCCCTTTCTGAGCTCTCTCTCCCCTGAGATGCTGTTGCCCAAACCAGGGCACAATCTCAGGTGCTTCATCTGACACTCTCTTGGTTCCCCTGAGCGAGCTGCAACCCGCTCTGTAGCTGCCCAGTGGACAGCCCCATCTCCCCAGTGAGATCCATGCTCCTCACGGGCAGGGGTCGCGTCTTCCAAGCCTCTGCCCTCCACCCCTGAGCCCACCAGCTCTGGGAAGCAGGCAGGGCACAGTCACACATGACCACAGAGCAGGGGTGCATCCTGCTTGGACTGTGCATGTGGGGTCCCTATCCATTTCCCTTCTTGAAATGTGACCCCCTGCTCTGGCCTGACTTGCATCCTCTCAAATTCACATGGAAGCCCTGACCCCCCAGGTGATGGTATTTGAAGATGGGGCCTTTGGGGGTTGATCGGGTTTAGCTGAGGTCATGAGGGTGGGGTCCTCGTGATGGGATTCGTACCCTTGGAAGAGGAGACAACAGAGAACGGGCTTCCTGTCTCTCCCTTTGCCACCTGAGGACACAGGGAGAAGGTGGCTGTCTGAAAGCCAAGGCGTGGGCCAAATCAGCTGGCACCTTGATCTTGGACTTCTCCATACTCAGAACTGTGGGAAATGCATGCCTGTTGTTGCAGGCACCTGTCCGTGGTATTTGGTTATGGCAGCTGGAGCAGACTAAGACACCCACCCCCTGGGAATAGAAACCACCCTTTGCTAACCTCCAGTTCCCGAGAAGTGCAATGTTTGCTTAGTGCAGACTCCATTTCCATGAACTAGAGGTTAGAGAGGGGTCTCCTGGGGAGTGGCGGGGCGGGGGCAGGGCTCTGGTCCTGCACGAGAGTGCTCGGCAGAGATGGGTGGGACACAAAGGCCTCCAGCCTTCTCTTTCGCTCTGAGTCACCGGGCACCCTACCTATTTATCCCTGGAACAAGTTTAGTTCCCGCAGACGATCACAGTGCATCCCCTTCGTCCCCACCTAGCTGGGAGTGACTCAGCTGGGTGACTTGTCAACTCCATGTAAAATCTCAGGCCCAGCCCCTGGGAGGGGTTCCAGTTCCATCTCTGGCATTTCATTAAAGTTGGGACCATCTTTCTCCGGCTTTTTGCAGCCAGGCTCAAATCAGATAAACTCCTTTGTTCTTCGTGGAACTGACAAGCAGTTAAAACCCCATTATTATGCTATAATTTCAGAAAATGGATCCAAGTGAATAGCTAAATAGGGCTCAAGGCTGCTTAATGAGACATCTTATTTGAGGCTTTCAAATGTCAGAAATTCCAGACAGCAGCAAGCTGAAGTCTCTGGGACCAACGTGTCAGCTCCAGGAAAGCTGGACCCCACGGTGCAGTGGAAGCAAAGATTAAAACAGCAGGCTGGAGGTGATTCATCCACCGTGAATACGGACCCCCACACCCCGGCGGGCGGGTGGCCACGACCAGGCTCCCGGCTGCCAGGCAGTAACAGGTTTCTGTCTCTTTGCCATTGTAGGAGCAGAAATGTGAACAGCTGGAGGCCGGAAAAGAAAGGACACAAGCGGAGAAGAAACACCAGAGGAAAAATAATCCCTTAGAGGGTAAAGAACAAATAATTGAATAAGGGATTAAAAAACACACAAGGAGAGATCCCTGGTAATTACCCTTGACAGCCAGTGTGAAAAGGGCCCGGGATGGGGGCTTTGTCCCTCCCCTCTCCGCTCACACCTCTCAGCCGCAGTAGGTTCTTTCCTGTTGCTCCTGTCTTGATTTAGAATAAGCTCCTTTTCTCTAAAGCAAATGCTTCGTGGGAGTGGCCTGGCTTTTTTGTGAATTCCCCCCGCCCCCGCTCAAAATGGGAGCGTGCAGACGGAACTTGTACTTGACTGTATTTGACAGTCGGGGCACATTTGTTGTCTCCCAGGGCTGAAGTGGAGCTAGGGAGGGGTGAGACAAGCAGCAAAGCCTCCCGCGGGGTCAGCAGGCACAGAGTCCCCCACTCCCAGAGTCGGGGGAATGTAGCCATCTGCTACGAAGGGGCTGGCCCGCAGCTCTTGGGGCGCAAGGCACTAGGTGTGCAGTGAAGAACTGCAAAACAGGCAAGCTGGCTTCTCGAAACAGGGCCACCAAATGAACGGCCACAGCCCATGGGGGACGGCGCGCTCAGTAGCACTACGCCTACATGTCCCCTGCTACTGGCTTACGGTACATTCCTGCTACCCCAAGAGGGCCCTGCATGAGGGAACGTTTGGACAGAGAGGTGGGACCAGGGCACGTGCTGAAACCTTGGAGGCAGATGGGCCGGGGTGCGCATCTGAGACGTCTGTTAGGGACCTGTTAGCTGTGTGATTTTGGGCAAGTCGCTTACCCTCTCTGTGCTTCTATCAGAGGCATTCCAACCAGAGAGACTCCATCTTGAGTGAGGACTAGGAAAAATGAGGCCGGGGCTTGCCGGGCTGTATTCCCAGAAAGTGAGGCATTCCCAGCCTCTAGATGTTTACATTAAGGGACAGATTGATAATGTTTACTAAGCAGACCCAGACTCAGGAATGTCCTGATATCCCGAGATGTTGAGAACAAAAGCATTCCTAATTTCGCTTTAGAGATAATAATATTGATTCTCACAAAATATAGTAATTAAGACAATTAATCCTTTATCACAAACCCTTGTAGCAGAGTATATCTCCCCATGATTTTCTTTGTTATCCTCTACATAAACAAGCACTGTACCTAGGGTAGGCACGGTCCTCCTCTTACTTTGGGAATGCCCTATTCTGTAGCCATTCTTTCACTCCTTTACTTTCTTTCTTTCTTCTTCTTCTTCTTTTTTTTTTCCTTGAGACAGAGTCTTGCTCTTGTCACCCAGGCTGGAGTGCAATGGTATGATCTCGGCTCACTGCAACCTCCGCCTCCTGGGTTCAAACGATTATCCTGCCTCAGCCTCCTGAGTAGCTGGGATTACAGGTACCTGCCACCACGCTCGGCTAATTTTTTGTATTTTTAGTAGAGAGGGGGTTTCACCATGTTGGCCAGGCTGGTCTTGTACTCGTGACCTCAGGTGATCCACACACCTTGGCCTCCCAAAGTGCTGAGATTACAGATGTGAGTCACTGAGCCCGGCCACTCCTTTACTTTCTTAATAAACTTGCTTTCACTTTAGACTGTGGACTCACCCTGAATTCTTTCTTGTGTGAGATCCAAAAACCCTCTCCTGGGGTGTGGCTCAAGACCCCTTTCTGGGAACACTTTAGCGTCTTCAACAGAGAAAAGAACAGAGCCTTGGTCTGCTGTGGGGTTACAGAGAGAGCCGGTGTAGAGCCCTTAGCCCGGGGCCTGGCACGGAGGCAGTCCTCAGCGCAGCTCCCAAAGGGAAGGAGGTGTATTTTTGTGGAGTCAGACGGGGAAACTACTCTAGGTGAGAGAAAAACTTGGAGGTAATCCAGTCAGGAACAAGCAAGGCACGTGTTCAGCACACACGCCAGCCGGAGCCAGTTAGTAATGCCCGCGGAGTAGGGCCTAGAGTCAGGTATTTGGGGCTCAAGATGGAGACTTCTTAAATAACTTGAAACAGAAGTACCATTTAACTCAGCAATGCCATTACTGGGTATATGCCCAAAGGAATATCAATTGTTCTACCATAGACACATGTATGCATATGTTTACTGCAGCATTACTTATGAGAGCAAAGACATGGAATCAACAAAGATGCCCATCAATGGTTAACTGGGTAAAGAATATTTGGTGCAGGCCGGGCGTGGTGGCTTACACCTGTAATCCCAGCACTTTGGGAGGCTGAGGTAGGCAGATCACCTGAGGTCAGGAGTTCAAGACCAGCCTGGCCAACATGGTGAAACTCCGTCTCTCCTGAAAATACAAAAATTAGCTGGGCGTGGTGGCGGGCGGCTATAATCCCAGCTACTCGGGAGGCTGAGGCAGGAGAATCGCTTGAACATGGGAGGCAGAGGATGTAGTGAGCTGAGATCGCGCCACTGCACTCCAGCCTGGACAACAAGAGTGAGACACCGTCTCTACTAAAAATAGAAAAATTAGCCGGGCATGGTGGCAGGTGCCTGTAATGCCAGCTACTCGGGAGGCTGAGGCAGGAGAATCACTTGAACATGGGAGGCGGAGTTTGCAGTGAGCCGAGATTGTGCCACTGCACTCCAGCCTGGGCGACAGACACTCTGTCTCAAGATAAAAAATAAAAAAGAATATGTGGTCCGTATACACCAGGGAACACTACGCAGTCATAAAAAGAAGGCCTTTGCAGCAACATGGATGGAGCTAGAGACCATTATCCTAAGCGGACTAAACGAATGCAGGAACAGAAAACCAAATGCCACATGTTCTCACCTTTAAGTGGGAGCTAAACATTGAGTACACAGGGACACAAAGCAGGGGACAGGAGACACCGAGGCCTACTCGAGGGTGGAGGGTGGGAGGAGGGTGAGGATGGAAAAACTATCTGTCGGGTACTGTGCTGGTTATCTGGGTGACAAAATAACCTGTACACCAAACCAACGGCACGCAGTTTACCCATGTAACAGATCAGCACATGTCACCTCTGAGCCTAAAATAAAAGTTGGAAAGAAAAAAAAACTGCAACTAAAAAAAAAAGTTATGAAAAAGTATTTGGGGCTCAGAAACCAGAATTCTGGGGTTCAAGCCCTGCTTACGAGCGGGTGTAAGTTTGGGAAGGTTGCCCTAGTTTGTTCATCTGCCAGATGGGGTCATAGAGCTATTTACCTCCTTCGGGGGGAGTTAGTGAGTCAGCACGCGGGAGATGCTCATGACAGTGCCTGGCACAAAATAAGGCTCACCTACCTTCAGCTGTGATTCTTTTCTTTTCTTTTTTTTTTTTTTGAGACGGACTTTCACTCTTTTTGCCCAGGCTGGAGTGCAATGGCGTGATCTTGGCTCACTGCGACCTCTGCCTCCTGGGTTCAAGCGATTCTCCTGCCTTAGTCTCCTGAGATTACAGGCGTGAGCCACTGCGCCCAGCCTTTTTTTTTTTTTTTTTTTCTGAGATGGAATTTCACTCTTTTTGCCCAGGCTGGAGTGCAGTGGCGTGATCTTGGCTCACTGCAACCTCTGCCTCCCGGGTTCAAGTGATTCTCCTGCCTCAGACTCCCAAGTAGCTGGGACTACAGGCGCGTGCCACTACGGCCAGCTAATCTTTGTATTTTTAGTAGAGACGGGGTTTCACCATGTTGGCCTGACTGGTCTTGAGCTTCTGACCTCAGGTGATCTGCCCGCCTTGGCCTCCCAAAGTGCTGGGATTACAGGCGTGAACCACCGCGCCCAGCCAGCTGTTATTCTTTTCTGAAGGAGAAGAAGTCACTGAATGGACAGAGGCCACCAAGCACAAGGTGAGAGGTTAGGTTTAAGCTCAATCTCCTAGGACCCAAGGCTACGTTTTCAAAATTTCAAAAAGCAACAGCTCACTTTTAACAGCCAGTGCAACGTAGCAACTGGCACCAGGCACAAGCCAGGCATGGCCCTAAGAACTTTGCATGCAGTGACTCCTTCCATGTTCCCAGCAACCCTGTGGGGTGGGACTGTGTCTCCGTTCTACAGATGCGAACCTGGGACCCAGAGAGTAGAAGCAAGTTCTCAGGTCACAGGGCTGGCAGGTGACAGAGCTGGGATTTGAACCTGAGCCGGGCCCCGGAGCTGGCACTGTGAACCCCTTGACTGTATCTAACCGTCCTACTACGCAGCCAAGTCAGCCTGAGTAATCCAGTGACCGTCAAGTGGGCTGCCAGGGCAGGCCGGGCCCCGCTGGGTGGATCTTCCCAGCCTGGAGCTGGGGCACCAGGAGGCTGGGGAGTCACAGCCTCCTGGGTCATGATCAGAGAGAGGGAGACAGGGAGGGATCTGACCGGTGCTGAGGTCTCTAGGAAGGCGAGGGAGGGAAGGAGCAGCAGACAGCGGTGATGGCGGGTGGGGGGGTGGGGGGTTTGTGGAGATAGTTCCAGATGGACGCAGCGTCCAGGGAGGCAGGCAGGGGCAGGCAGGGGCAGGCAGGGGCAGGCAGGGGAGAGAGGACAGGCTCAGAGAGATGTGGCTTCAGTTCCCGGCTGTGCCAATGGAGCCTCACTTTCCTCCTCTGTGAAATGGGGACAGGTTCTCCGCTGTTCGGATACAGTGTGATAAACAACGGGAGCTCTGGCACGTGTGCTTCAGCGGTGACAGACTGCTGCTGACCCTACATTTATAATTCTAAATTTACGATACATTTTGATCCCCAAATTAAAAACCAGAGCTGGGTTGTAGGCCTGGGAATCTTCCCAATAAGCCACGTGGCCTTGGATCACACATAGACATCACCTCCCAATGCTCTGCAGTTGCCCCAGCAAGAAGTCCTCCAACCTCAGCTTGAATGCTTCCCAGCACGGGGCGCTCACCCCCTCCCTGGCCAGCCCAGCTCAGCGTGTCTCACTGCTCACCACTGGAACTCACGCCCTACACCAAGCTACGGACCCACGGCTCCCATTCTTGGCCTCCTCTGGAAAATCGAACGCCTTTGTCCACGAAGAGAAACAACTGCATTTATCTCGAGGCTATGCTGATTTCTGTGCGTGTCTGTCCCCACCTGTGACTGGAATCCCGGGAAAGCAAGACCTGTCCCTCACACTGCTCTGCCCACACCCTCGTGTGGTGGAGCTGAGCGTGTCTGAGGGCGGCTTCCAGGCAAGTGCAGACGCCGACGACAGGCACCTGACCTCACCAGGAAAGGCCTCTCCTGACTCTCCCTGGGCCCTCACTTGCTCACAGAGGCTTGCAGGCCCTGGCTGAGCCTTCGAACCTCAGCAGAGGAACTCCCATCTTCCCCTAACAAACTCCAGGCAGAAGCCCCAAACATGAAATCGGCCAAAGGACGATGTTCATTTAAATCAGGACTGAGGCCAGGGTGAGGCGAGGGAGGTGCTGGTGCTGCAGGTCCCACGACACTCACTCTCAGGGTCATGGGCACCTAAGACGAGATGCCAACATCCATGCTGTACCCAGGCATCCCTCCCTTGCACTTAAACCTCTTGACTGGTGCGGGTTCCTGCAGAGGCCTGTGGGACCGAGTTTGAGAACCACAGGGGACCGACAAGCCCAGAGCTGCTGCCCCCTGGGAATCAGGCCCAGGTCTAGAGCCTCCAGCAGGGTCAGCCAGCCCTGGACGCTCTAGTCTTGGAGGGTCCACAGGCCTGGGGGCCACAGGGCTGCTAGCCAGCCCAACGCATGAGGGACCAGACCCTTGAGGGTTTCTCCCCAAACAACCAGGGTGTTGACCAATCTGCGCTGCCTGCATCCTCTCAAAGGACGACCTTGCAGCAGGAACTCCCAGAAGGAGGGAGGTCTGGGGGGAGGGGCTCGTTCTGTGGCTGCGGCACCCATGCCTGCCCAGTAGGCACTCCCACAGGTGACCTGGAAGGCGTGACTGGGTGATGCTCTGGCACTCAGAAGAAGGAATTTGCAGTGACCAGAATGCCACGTAGCGCTTTGGGCTCCCAAAACAAGAGCCGCAACAGGCGCTTATCACAGAGACCTCTTATCGCCCGGCGTGTTAAGCTCGAAATGGGATCATTACAGCCCAAGACGGCTTCTTTCTTCATCCGGGCTCCTTCAGCCTCTCTCCTCCCTTCCCCTGGGAATGTGCTCTTACTGGGCATGCCTGTAATTGGAGAAGGAGAAAATGAAACACCACGTCCTTCTTTCTCTGCAGAGGAGGGAGGCCCAGTTCTGTGGACCCAGGAATTACTGGACGTTTGGAGAGTCCCACAAAAGTGGGTGCCTTTGGAGTCCGCTGTAGAGAAGAACACCAGCCAGGGGTTCTCAGACGGCTGTGCCCTCCCAGATCCTAAGGTGATGCCAGGGATGGGCAGAGCGTGGGGTGGAAGGACGTGGTGGCTGCTTTCTCCAGGGCCCTTAAAAGCCTTTTATTCATGGTTAAATGTGGGAGCTGTAATTCATAACCCTGTGTGTCAGATGAGACCAGCTCGGCCAAGCCCGCCAGCGTCTCCTTAACTCATGGGAATAGCATGAGAGCTAAAACAAAGTGTGGAGTCCTTTGGAATAATCTAAAGTCTCTCTTTTCCATCGGAGGCCTTTTCTTTGGAGAAGTGGCTACAGGGAGTCTAAGGGCTGAATTCCTCCCAGGGATTTCAGCAGGGAAAGAGGAAACAGACGGATGAAATCAGGGTCCCCAGGGCCAGGGAGGGAGGGTGCCATGAGGCTCCCAATCGCTTCTCTCACACCTTCCCATAGGTGCCCTTCCTGGAGCTGGGCCCCCACTGTGTCACCCCTCTCTTAATCACTGCACAAGCTCCCTCTTAGACTTGCGGTCTCCGACTCGAGCATAAGACAGGAAAGCATCTTTGACACAGCAGCTGATGGCACTGGGTTCTGATTCCTCTGAGCCAGCACACTAAGTTCTTCTCAGCGTGTCCTTGCTGACCTCTCCGGATGCTCTGACACCCCTCTCACCTGGTCCCTGCACCTGGAGCTCCTGCCACAGCCCCGCACCCTTCCCATGGGGCCTTCTCTTGAAACCTACGCTGCAGCTTTTAGAGCAGCGGATACATCAGGTTTGCTTCCCTTGGTTCCCCTGGGGCCCGGCACAGTGTGGGATACACATTGTGCTCAGTACACATGGGCCGATGAGTAGCTCCCACACACCAGGCACGTGCACATCCTCATGCAGGTGGGACACATGTGCTCAGTACACGTGGCTGATGAGTACCTCCCACACACCAGGCGCACGCACACTCTCGTATAGGTTTTCTTTGGTTCTCACATGCTCCAATGTGGTAAGACGGCAGTGACCACCTATTTAGAGTAAGCTATGTGCTAAGCCTCGGCTGAGAGTTCATGTCCGTCGCCTCTGATCCTCATGCAGCCTCATTCTGCAGATGAGGAAGCTGAGGTTTAGAGCAGTGAGGTGGGAACTGGCAGAGCGGGAGTCTGAGCCCCGGGGGCGCTATAGAAATGTACACGGGGCAGCAGGGCTGACCACAGCAGGCGGCACTGAACAATCTTCTAGTGGCTCAGGGGGCTCAGTGCTACAGGGGTCACACTTACTTGTGGGTCATGCTATGGACCACCTGAAATACTGTCTCAGTGGCTGCACAGGCCCAGGGGTCCCAAATGAGGAAACAGAGCTGCTGGCGACCATGTGGAGGAAGCGCTCATGAGAGCCAGGCCCTTCCAGCTGCGCACACAGCGGGTGGGGCTGCAGCGAGGTGCCTCGGGGCTGAGGCCTCTGTGGAGGGAACTCTGCTAAGGACACGGAGCTGCCCAATAAGATTCCAGGGTGAGGAGGGTCTTGAGGGAGGTGGCCGTCCACAAAGCATCTAAATGGAGAAGCTCCAACTCTCACCATTGCCGGCACCCATGCTCAGAGCTGGCGGCCTCTGTCCCGGGTCTCCGGAAGGGTAGGAATGAGATACAGTGTTGGTGAGCCGAGGCAAGAGGACCCGGCCCAGCTGCCCAGGCTGGAGCAGGAGCTGCAGAGGGTGGGCCAGGCCTCCCCTCCCTCACCTCACCTGATACATACCTCGGCTCTGCTGTGCACACCCACCCGCAAACCACACAGGCTCAGCCAAACCCTGAGTCCCAGCTGCAGGATATCTGCGCCAAGCAGGAGGATAACCTGAGCCTGTCGGCTTCCTCGGCTTCATGGGGAATTCTCTTATGCACTGTTGGAGAGAACACCAGCCCCGAATGCAGCCTCCGGAGCAGGGGAGGAGGCTGCCGAGCTGTGTAGGGACAGGGCTCGGGCCTGGAGAGGACGGAGGCGCCATAAGGATGAAGAGGGGAGGAGCATGCAGACCCCAGAGCTGGGTGCTGGTGCTTCAGTCCCTCTCTGCCCAACCTGCTGGGTGCTTCTGTGCAGGCCAGAGACCCGGCTCTACCTTCATCCTCTGAACCTCCTCTAGGTTTCCAGCCTCCCCCGAGCAGCTGCTCCTTGGTCAGGAGGTGCCTGAGCCGGAATCACAGGCCATACTTCGAGGTGCTCTCCATGGAGGATGCTGGCAAGGCTTTGGCAATGCCAGCCAATGCTCTGCTTACTGATGGGGCACGGTACTGAATCCTAGGTCTGATCTTCAGGATCAGCACGCTGGCGGGTAAGGGCCACACAGAGCCCCGCAACCTGGCTGGCCTCTGTCCTCACTGGTCAAACAATTGCCTTTTCAGTCCACATTTGCCCCTTGCCTACCCACAGAGCACACAGGGCAGTGCCAAGCGGGTACAGCTGCAGGTGAGGTGGCGCTATTCTGGCCCCGGGAGCCTGCCCCAAGCAGGGGTACGAGGTGGGACGGAGAGGCCCCTCTGTCTCTACACCTGGTCTCTCTGCCACAAATGCTGCCTCCCCCACACCCATGTCAACTCATCTGAAGGGCCTCACACCTCTTCCAGAAAGCCCTCCTGAACTCCCTCCAGCGCTGTCTCTGTGCCTGGCCCCATCTCCTACAAGGTGGGAGCTCACAGGTAAGGATGGGGGCTTAAGTGCCCGGCGTGGGGCCAGGCCTGGGAGATGGCTCAGCACAGGCTGCCCACTGTGGGCATCTCAAAGCTGGCACAGGCTGAGACACGGGGCTGCAGAGGACAGAATGGGCCTGCTTGCTCACCCAGAACCTCTGTAGAAATGCATTCAGCCACCACTTACCAACCTCCCAAGCCCCGAAAGCTGGAGTTGGGAGTCGGGTAGGACTGGGGTTAGGGAATCTTCCTGGAGGAGGAGGCCAGTGCCTTAGGTTTGCATGGCAGTGGAGCCCAGTGGCAATCAGGAGCTGAGTGACCCCAGGCGATTCCCAACTCTCTTAGGCCTTCGCCTCCTTATCCGAAAATGGGCACATGAAGCCTGCAGGGATGCTGAGGGCTCTAGTGAGACACGGTGCCTCCGGGACCTGGCCCAGGTCAGCTTTCCTTCAGGCTGTGGTGGTCGCCAGCTGCAGCAGGGATGGAGGCAGGACCCTCGGGCCTCCCTGCTCTAAATCAGCTGCCCTTCACAGGCCAGCATACCCTGGTGTCAGGATTTCTCAGAGCAAAACGTCCCTCCTAGGCTTTTCCTAAGGGACTCTTTGCTGGGTCAGGAGAACCCGTGTCTCTCCTGATGCACTGCGCACCCCAGTAACCTGAACACAAAACAGGGGTCGTTTCCACCAGCCCCCTTCCCCTATGTTTTTTCCCGACAACCCCTGCCTGAGGATGATTTCGCAAAGACAGACAGAAGCAGCCTAGGTACCACTCAGACTCACCACTGCCCAAAAACCCAGTGCTCTGGAGCCCT
Organism: Homo sapiens; assembly: GCF_000001405.40. Taxonomy (NCBI): domain Eukaryota; kingdom Metazoa; phylum Chordata; class Mammalia; order Primates; family Hominidae; genus Homo; species Homo sapiens. Next base: position 70,132,085 of record NC_000011.10, on the reverse strand, counting down.
GCTTACCCCAGAGGGCCATGAAGACAGAGAAGAAGACCGTGGCGGGGTTGTCGAAGAGGTGGCTGGCGCGGGCCGTGGCGCAGGCTGAGCTCATCTTCCAGTAGCTGCAGGTCTTGTCGCAAAGCGGGCACATGGTGATATTGTGTCTCTGGTCACACATCTCCATGCTGCAAGAGAGGGGGCAGCCCTGGAGTCACCTTGTTGGGCCATGATGGAGCACCTCCTGGGTGCCGAGCTGGCCTGGGAGAAAGCGCTGGGCCCAAGCTGGGGGTTGGCGAGGGTCCCTCAGGTCCATGCCATAGTGGACATAAGCCGGGTGCTTAGCCATGCCCTGTCCCTCCTTGCCATCCAGGGCAGCTTCACAGGCGTGTGACCCATGCTGTTGCACCAGCCCTGAGCTCAGCAGGGCCTCATGCTTGGTTTAATGCTCCCCTGTTGCTGCCTTAAAACACACAATGGGACGGGCGTGGTGACTCACGCCTGTAATCCCAGTACTTTGGGAGGCCAAGGCGGGCGGATCACCTGAGGTCAGGGGTTCAAGACCAGCCTGGCCAAAATGGTGAAACCCTGTCTCTACTAAAAACACAAAAATTAGCCGGGCATGGTGGCACGCGCCTGTGATCCCAGCTACTCGGGAGGCTGAGGCAGAAGAATCGCTTGAACCCTGGAGGCAGAGGTTGCAGGGAGCCCAGATCACGTCACTGCACTCCAGCCTGGGTGACAGAGCGAGACTCCATCTCAACACAGACGCGCACACACACACACACACACACACACACACATTGATTTTTGAACTAAAGACCTGCATTTTCTTCTTGCATGGGGCCCTGCAACCTCTGTTGCCGGCCTTGGAGGTGGACTCACCCAGACCTGCTTTGTGGTAGATGGGCCCTGGAACATTCACCTCTGGGGTGACCCTGAGGCAGCAGCCTCTGCAGCCTATCCTTGAGCCACTTCTAGGAGAGGCAGAGTTCCCAGCCTGCCCCCATATAATCGGCAGGCACGGTCAAGGCTTGTGCCAATAGCAAATGCTAGCCAGGTCTTTATGTTATAAGGCCTTGGAAAACAGTGAGATGATGAGGGCCCTTGCTCTGTGCCAGGCGCCGTCTATGAGCGGTTCACACAGCATCTCCATCCGCCTGGTGGGGCGGCTGCCTTGGACGTGGCCTGGGTGCTCTGGACACAGGAGGTGGAGAAACGGGGATCCCAGGACTCTTCTCTGGGAGAACGGGGGCTGGGCCGGAAGGAATAGGTCCCCAGCTGCCCGGTGCAGCGGAGGCCCACCCTGTAGGCTCACTCGGGAAGCCGGGGGGGCCTGCCAGGGATGATGGGTCCCGCTCAGTGCAGGCTTCTGCTTTGCTGAGCACAGGTGAGCCTGGGGCCAGATCCCAACTACTGTGGCCAGGAGAGAGGATCTTCATGATGCCTGAGACTCATCTCTGTGCCTCCTCCCCAGCACTGACTTACTCCCACTAATATTAGAAAATACTAATACTTCCAGGCTATCGGCGGCGAGAGCAGGAGCCTCATTACTGGCAGGCACAGATGTTCCACCTCACTTGGACCAGCACTGGGGACTGTTGCAATCCCAGAGCCCAGAGAGGGGAAGTAACTTGTTCAGGGCCACGCAGCAGAGTGGGAATGGAATCCTGGTCTGTGTGTATCTTCAAAGCCCAAGCACTGCCGGCTCTCATCTACTGCTCAAGGGCCATGGGGGGCTCCTTGTGGAAGTTGGGTGGCCTGAACTGGGCCCTCAACTGACTACTCATACCCTCCGTGGCCCTGGCCAAGTCCTTTAGCCTCAGATTCAGTTTTTCGTTCTGGAAAATGAGGAGGGGTCAGAATAAGGTCCCTTCCTGCTCTGGCCTGCTTTGAACTTTCTCCTTTCTGCTGCCTTGGACAAGGCTCTGGGCTCTAAGTACACACCCTGGCTGGTTGGGTCGGAGGGTGATGTGGGGGGATGCTGAAGTGGGTGTTTGTTTTTTGACTTTCTGGATATGCTGAACTTATGCGCAGAACCATGCCTGGTCCACAGCAGCTGGTGCTTAATAAACGTCCCTTGCAAGGCTCTGAAGGGCCTCCTCTGTGCCCAGCATCATGGGCATTCTGGTTCAATTCTCTTCCTTCAGGTACAGTCCCTAAACATTTATTAAAAAGTGGTGTAGGGCCAGGCACGGTGGCTCATGCCTGTAATCCCAGCACTGGGAGGCCGAGGCAGGCAGATCACTCGAGGTCAGGAGTTTGAGACCAGCCTGGCCAACATGGTGAAACCCCGTCTCTACTAAAAATACAAACATTAGCCTGGCATGTAATCCCAGCCTGTAATCCCAGCTACTCGGGAGGCTGAGGCAGGAGAATTGCTTGAACCTGGGAGGTGGAGGTTGCATTGAGTCGAGATCACACCACTGTACTCCAGCCTGGGCGACAGAGTGAGACTCTGTGTCAAAAAAAAAAAAAGGCGGGGGGTGGGGTGTAGGTACTGCATGTATCTGGCACAAAAGATGGATAGGTTAAGAAGAATTCATTGCAGCCACAGCCTGGAGCATGGAGGAAGTGTGTGTGTGTGCATGGGAGCAGGGGTCGGGCAGGGTGAGTAGGCACACACAGCCGTTGGGAGAACCTGCACTCTACGGTCAGCTAGCTCTGGGTTTGTATCTCAGCTCTTGCATTTTGTGATCCGTGTGGCCTTAGTTTTCCCGGCTGCAGAATGGGGTTGCTGATAGTGAAGAGAAGCCGTGTTAATAGGTTGTCAGGAGGATTAAACAACCAACAACCAACACGAGTGTGGCCCTTGGAACAGTGCCTGGCACCCCTCGGCCATCACGTGGTCACCAACGCTGTTGTCATTATTATGCAATAGCCAAGCACTTTGCAGCAGCAGTGAGTTTTAAACACGAGCCAGGAGCCGGCCTTTCGGGGTTTATCTCATGCCCCTCACTCAGCCTCCTCTCTTCTGAGGGCCTCTTGAGGGCAGAAGAAAGCAGCGTTTTGGGGGGTTGGGGGCAGGACGTCCCCAGTTGGGCACAACGCGAGCCCCTCTTCCAGAGAACAGGCATGTGGAAGGCCATCCCCATCATCGCCAGCATGTGGCCCAGGCCACAGTGACCACCTGGACTGAGGATGGCCTGGAGTCCACAGTGGTGGGACTGGGGACAGGCAGGGCCAAGGCGTACACCAACGGCCTGCCCATGAGCCCTACCGCTCTCCTAGGCTCTCCTCCCTGCCCACCTCAGCTTCTCGCACAAACACCATCAGCCCAACAAGAAGCCTTTTTCTGCTGGTTTTAAATCCCCCTCCGCCTCTCACTTCACCGCCTTTAGCCAAAATACAAAGAGCAGGAAGCTCTCTTCTTCAGAGAGGACCGGAGGTACAAGGGCAGCAGGCGGCTCCATGCTGGGGCTTCCCTGCAAGCTTGGTGGGGATGGGGCGGAAGCTGCAGGGAGCACGCACCTCCCGCTTCGCTCCAGGTCGCCTGCTGGGCAGAGGCCTTGGCTTTGGCCTCATCTCCGCCCACAGCGGCTGAATCCTGAGTAACTGCTGTTTGCATTTCTGACCATGTGGTGGAAGGGCCGAGCTGGCATGGCCAACCCCTGGGCTGGCAGAGCCTCCCTGCTGGGGCCACCCTCCAAGGGAAGGAAGGAAGGAAGATGGAGGTCCCCCAGGCTTCCTCCAGGGCTCATGGGGAGAATCCTCACCTTACACTCACCATTTTCCTCCGGCTTTGAGCTCCTAGCCTAAAGCCAGCCTTACAATCCCCACCAAGTCTGGACTACCTTGATCTTTACCACAACCAAACCCAAGTGCCCAGGACCTCATACCATATTAGCAAACAAAGGGAAACCTTTCTCCTGCCTAGGACCAAATTAACACCAAAAGGGAGATAAGCCAGATTCCTCAGAGCTTTGATTCGGGGGTGGGGGTGGGGTGGAATATTTTAGGTGTTATTCATGTATCAAAACATCACTTAAACAAAAATTGACCAGATATGGTCTTTTTGTGCTGCAAAGAGTCAGTTTCTTTCCTAAGACTGATTGGGTCTTTACAGACAGGCTCAGTGGATACATTTTCTAAACTATACCTCTGCTTTAGAGATACTTGGCAGGAGTGGTTCGAAAAATAACCAAACTAACATTTTAGGGCTTTTCTGAGACTTGGAGCCCTTGCAGGGCAGGGTCAGCCCAAATTCCCCTTTATAGTCAATTCCCTGGCAGAGCGATTTGCACGCTGAAGGCACTGCCTGTCGGCATAGAAACCCTGCCAGAGGTTGGGAGCCTGGAATTATCCTTAGGTTCATGTCAGGAAATCTAAGAAACAGCTACAAAAGCAAGCACCAGAGGGACTCTGCACACTGAGGCTGAGCTTCTCAAAACTTGACTCTTTTTTTTTTTGGCTACAGGGCCCCACTCTGTTCCCCCAGGCTGGAGTGCAGTGGTGAGACCATGGCTCACTGTGGCCTCGACCTCCCGGGCTCAAGGGATCCTCCAACCTTAGCCTCCCAATGTGTTGGCATTACAGGCATGCGCCATCGCACCAGGCAAAACTGGACTCTTGTTCTGAAGTCATGTGGGGGAACTGGGCCCCTGAGCGAGGCGAGGCTGTCTCAGGTCTGGGCCTTCTTTTCCGAGCTCCCTGACGTCTGACATACCCTTGGTGAACAGCAGAAGGCACATCGGATCTACATTCAGATGCCTGCCTATGCTGTGGGATGCAATCCTCCCTTATGGAACAGTTCCTGCAGAATTTCTCGGGGCCGTGCAGATAAGGGAAGCAGGCAGCCTTAGGAAGCTGGGCAGGTGGAACCTACTGTACAGCCCACGAGCGCCAGCCTGCACTGAGGCCACTAGCATTCGCATCTCACCTCCCGGGAGCACCAGCCTGCACCGAGGCCTCTAGCATTCATGTCTCACTTCCTGCAAGCACCAGCCTGCACCGAAGCCTCTAGCGTTCACGTCTCACCTCCTGGGAGCACCAGACTGCACCGAGGCCTCTAGCGTTCATGTCTCACTTCCCGCAAGCACCAGCCTGCACCGAGGCCTCTAGTGTTCACGTCTCACCTCCTGGGAGCACCAGCCTGTACCGAGGCCTCTAGCATTCATGTCTCACCTCCCGCAAGTGCCAGCCTGCACCGAGGCCTCTAGCGTTCACGTCTCACCTCCTGGGAGCACCAGCCTGTACCGAGGCCTCTAGCATTCATGTCTCACCTCCCGCAAGTGCCAGCCTGCACCGAGGCCTCTAGCGTTCACGTCTCACCTCCTGGGAGCACCAGCCTGTACCGAGGCCTCTAGCATTCACGTCTCACCTCCCGCAAGTGCCAGCCTGCACCGAAGTCTGGCATTCACGCTCACCTCCCGCAAGCACCAGCCTGCACCGAGGCCTCTGGCATCCATGTCTCACCTCCCGCAAGTACCAGCCTGCACCGAAGCCTAGCATTCATGCTCACCTCCCGCGAACACCAGCCAGCACTGAGGCCTCTGGCATCCATGTCTCACCTCCCGCAAGTACCAGCCTACACTGAAGCCCCTAGCATTCATGCCTCACCTCCCGGCCACACAAGGAAACAGAAAACTTTCTTGTCACTAATGACCAACAGTGAAAAAGAACAAGCCAACCATAACAACTTTTAAAGAATGAAAATGGTCAGATGTTTCTTTTATGCCTTTCTCTTAACAATAAAACATAGCCTAGCACAGATGGGCCTGAGAAGGACTCCCAGACTCCTAGATGGCTTCGAACCATGTCCTTTCCTCCTGACGGCTCGTGGCTTGGCGTGAGGTTTCATGTGTACAGGAATTGGTGTGAGAGGCCAGTGTCCCAATGAATTGTGCAGCTGGGATGGCAGGAGAGGGCTCCTCTGTGTACTGCGGGGTGGTGGGGGTGGGCTGCCGCCTACCTGGGGATGTTTTCATCCATGGTGGCGCATCCGTACAGGAAGACAATGATTCCCACGATGGAGGCAGGGATGAGCATCTGGGTGTACACGCCCAGCCAGGCGAAGTACAGGCCGATCTTCTCCCCAAAATACTTCCTACACCAGGGGAGCAGAGCAGAGTCAAGCCCACTGTCATTCAATACTAGCAGGGAAACATGTCACAGGCCCTCCCCAGCAAGAGCAACTCAAACCAGGGGCACTGGTTCCCTCATCCCAGAAGCAGAGAGTGGGGTCCTGGGCCGCCCCATCAGGTTGGGGGTGCTCTCTGCTTTTCTGAAGCCCTCCCCTCTTCTCTCTTTTTTTGTTTTTTTTTGAGATGGAGTCTCGCTCTGTTGCCCAGGCTGGAGTGCAGTGGCGCTATCTCGGCTCACTGCAAGCTCCACCTCCCGCGTTCACGCCATTCTCCTGCCTCAGCCTCCCGAGTAGCTGGGACTACAGGAGCCCGCCACCACGCCCGGCTAATTTTTTGTATTTTTAGTAGAGATGGAGTTTCGCCGTGTTAGCCAGGATGGTCTCAATGTCCTGACCTCGTGATCCGCCCCCTTCGGCCTCCCAAAGTGCTGGGATTACAGGCGTGAGCCACCGTGCCCAGCCTCTTCTCTTTCTTTTTCTTTTCCTTTCTTTCTTTTTTTTTTTTTTTGAGATAGAGTTTTGCTCCTGTTGCCCAGGCTGGAGCGCAGTGGCACAATCTCGGCTCACTGCAACCTCCGCCTCTCAGGTTCAAGCGATTCTCCTGCCTCAGCCTCCTGAGTAGCTGGGACTACAGATGCTTGCCACCACGCCCATTGCATTTATTTATTTATTTATTTATTTTGAGATGGAGTCTTGCTCTGTCGCCCAGGCTGCAGTGCAGTGGCGCGATCTCGGCTCACTGCAACCTCCGCCTCTCGGGTTCAAGCGATTCTCCTGCCTCAGCCTCCCTAGTAGCTGGGACTATAGGCATGCACCATCACTGCCAGCTAACTTTTGTATTTTGGGTAGAGACGGGGTTTCACCATGTTGGCCAGGCTGGTCTCGAACTCCTGACCTCAAGTAATCCACCTGCCTCAGCCTCCCAAAGTGCTGCGATTACAGGCGTGAGCCACCGCGCCCGGTCCCCACTTCTCTGTGGTGCCTTGGGAAGGTGGGCGCTTTTCCGTGTGCGATGGCCCATGCTGATGGCTGTGGGCCTACTTCCCCTGAGGCTGTGGGCTCCATTCCAAGCCCTGTTCAGCATAAGGACTGGAAAGAACCTTGGCCGGGAGGTGCCAAGAAAACCAATTGCTCCTCATATTAAGCGTGGTTGGCAGTTTGATGGCTTGAATGGATTTCTACCAGTCGAGCTCTGGCGGGCAAGTTGCCTAACCTGGTCGGCCCCTCCTTCCTGCCCTGTGAGGACAGAGATCCTCTTGGGAGAGAAGAAATCCTTCCACATTTGAGGCAGCTCTTTCCTTCCCCTCCACGTCTCAAATCCGGAAAACCCTCCCGCCGCCCAGTGAGGCCAGGCCAGGCAGTGAATTTAGGAGATGGTAAATGTGACTGAAAAGGGCCCGACCTCCAGGGAATTTGAATAAACTGCTTCATCTAATGCTGGCCCAGGCTCTCAGCCCTGCAGGGACATTTTGGGTCTTCCTACACAAGCTCTTTGAGTTCAAACACGTTCCCGGGTACTGAACATTCAGAGCGGTTGAAACCCACAGGGATGTTATCCGACTGCCATCGGAGTAGGGACTTGATTCCCGCAGGCTGTGGCGCGTTCTTACCTGACCAGGTCGATGGGCTGGTACTTATAGAAAACTCCATAGCGTGCCCACTCTTCGTACAGGAGCTGAGGGGGAGGAAGCAGTGGGGTTGGTGACAATGTGGCACTCCGAGGTTGCTCCCCGGAACGCAGAGCTGCGGGGACTGAGCCTCCGTGACATCATTCATTCATCCCATAAACACTTCTTGAGAGTGGGCTGTGTGGGCTGTGAACGTGGGGATGGGAAAGAAGCTTCTGGCAGGTTATGGAATGTGAGCTCTTTGTGATTTGACCTGGAATTGATCTAAATGGGCCAGACGCTGTACGGCTTCTTACCTTTAGGGTTTTTGGTCATCCCCATCAGACACCAAACCATTCTTTATAAAGGTCACAAAGTCACCAGGGTTTTGAGCAGAGAAATACCAGTGGTGAAATTTTAAAAACTCTCACGGGATGCAAAGATACTCGAGGTTTATCTCCTGAGATGGGCTGTCTGATTAAAACAGCTCTTCATGAAATAAGTGAAATTGACACACACCCTGTTACCCCCCCAGGCTTTGGGCAGGGACAGTAATGAGTTTGGTGGATTGGAAGCCTTGTGTGAACATGTAAAGGGTGTCCTGATGAAGATGCTGGGTTAGGACTGCTAGTAAAAAAATAAAAAAATAAACCCGCGCATGTGGGTGGTTAATGCTTTACAGACCTCAACTCAAAGCCCAGGCTCATACATCATGCCCGCCCAGGGCTACAGGGCCACACTCAGGGAAGGCAGGATTCAGGTACCTTGAGGGGCCCAGAGGCTGTCCTGGGACAGAGCAGCTGCCCACCAGGAGCCAGAGGTGGGGCAGCTGCCCTCCTCCTCAGCTCAGAGCCCATTCTGGGGCCAAGCTGCCTCCCAAACTCAGAGTCAAGGTCATGGCTGGGGGACGAGGGAACCCCTTGGAGCCTCCATAACTCCTCCAGTGCCTGGAGGGCAGGAAGTGAGTGTGAGCCATCTCCACAGCTGACATAGCCTCGCGTGCCTGAGCGTCTCCTCTGGGGTAACACGGGCTGTGCACTATAGAGACCCCCCACTGACAAACAGGGAGGGGAAACAGTGCAGGTGTACCCACGGCTGCCCCCACCCAAACTCACAGGTGGAGGGCGTATTCCTGAGATCCATAGAGGGGCCGCCTGCTGCTGCACAGCCCCCCGAAACCACCAGCCTCACCTGCAGCTAAGCATGGCCATGGTTGGAGGGGCTTGTGACTTGTCTGCGGCCCTGGGAAGGTTCCCCCACCCCCGAATCGAGAGTCCTGGGCAGACCCCTTCCCCCATCCCTGTCTCCTCCTTTACACTGAAGGATGCGATCTCTCCTCCCAGGGCATGGAGAGAAGGCAGATGGGCTCATGCGAGTTAGTGATGTGCGAAAGGTACAGGGTGTTTCTGCATCAGTGCGTTTCCTTAGGCAGATAACGATGAAAAGGCCACAGTTTTACTGTGTACATAGGGAAGCCTCGGCCAGCAAACCTTGATGAAGCGGAGCCACACCTCTGCAAAAGCAAAGCAGCCATCGCTAACCTGGGCAGCTTCCTCCTCTCACCTAGAGTCAAGCTGCTGATTTATGCCATAGACAGGTGGAAGATGCGGCAGAGAGTGAGGAGGAGGGAAGGAGGAGACAGAGAGACAGAGGGAGGAAGGGGGGAGACAGAGACAGATGGAGAGACAGAGAAGGAGAGAGGCAGCGAGAGAGACAGAGAGAGGTAGGGGAGAGGGAGAGAGAGACAGAGACAGATGGAGAGACAGAGACAGAGAGAGAGAAGGGGGAGGGAGGGAAAGAGGGAGAGAGACTGAGACAGAGACAGAGAGAGGTGGGGAGGTGGAGAGAGAGACAGAGACAGAGGCAGATGGAGAGACAGAGATAGAGAGACAGACAGAGAGAGGTGAGGGAGACGGAGAGAGAGACAGAGACAGAGGCAGATGGAGAGACAGAGACAGAGAGACAGAGAGAGGTGGGGAGGTGGAGAGAGACAGAGACAGAGGCAGATGGAGAGACAGAGATAGAGAGACAGACAGAGAGAGGTGGGGGAGACGGAGAGAGAGAGAGACAGAGGCAGATGGAGAGACAGAGACAGAGAGACAGAGAGAGGCGGGGGAGATGGAGAGAGAGACAGAGACAGAGGCAGATGGAGAGACAGAGATAGAGACAGACAGAGAGGTGGGGGAGATGGAGAGAGAGACAGAGACAGAGGCAGATGGAGAGACAGAAAGACAGACAGAGAGGTGGGGGAGATGGAGAGAGAGACAGAGACAGAGGCAGATGGAGAGACAGAGATAGAGAGACAGACAGAGAGAGGTGGGGGAGACGGAGAGAGAGAGAGACAGAGGCAGATGGAGAGACAGAGACAGAGAGACAGAGAGAGGCGGGGGAGATGGAGAGAGAGACAGAGACAGAGGCAGATGGAGAGACAGAGACAGACAGACAGAGAGAGGTGGGGAGGTGGAGAGAGACAGAGACAGAGGCAGATGGAGAGACAGAGATAGAGAGACAGACAGAGAGGCGGGGGAGATGGAGAGACAGAGACAGAGGCAGATGGAGAGACAGAGATAGAGAGACAGACAGAGAGGTGGGGGAGATGGAGAGACAGAGACAGAGGCAGATGGAGAGACAGAGATAGAGAGACAGACAGAGAGGTGGGGGAGATGGAGAGAGAGACAGAGACAGAAGCAGATGGAGAGGCAGAGATAGAGAGACAGACAGAGAGAGGTGGGGGAGACGGAGAGAGAGACAGAGGCAGATGGAGAGACAGAGACAGAGAGACAGACAGAGAGGTGGGGGAGACGGAGAGAGAGACAGAGGCAGATGGAGAGACAGAGACAGAGAGACAGATAGAGAGAGGTGGGAAGGTGGAGAGAGACAGAGACAGAGGCAGATGGAGAGACAGAGATAGAGAGACAGACAGAGAGGTGGGGGAGATGGAGAGAGACAGAGACAGAGGCAGATGGAGAGACAGAGACAGAGAGACTGACAGAGAGGTGGGGGAGACAGGGAGAGAGACAGAGACAGAGGCAGATGGAGAGACAGAGACAGAGAGACAGACAGAGAGAGGTGGGGGAGGAAGACAGGGAGAGAGGCAGAGACAGAGGCAGATGGAGAGACAGACAGACAGACAGAGAGACATGGGGGAGATGGAGAGAGAGGCAGAGACAGAGGCAGATGGAGAGACAGAGATAGAGAGATGGACAGAGAGAAGTGGGGGAGGGAGACGGGGAGAGAAGGAGGGAGGGAGCGAGACAGGGACAGTGAGAAAGGACAAAGCTCTGCACCGGGGGAGGAGGGACCCACCCTCAGTGGCTCCCACCACCTTCTGACAGACGTGTGGAGGGGGCCTACTCCCAGCTTTCTACATATACCGCTTGACCTCGGTGGACTTTTCTTTCTGCCAAGAGGCGACATCAGTCACTCTGCACTGTCAAGGCAAAGAAATCCAACTGAAGTGCTGGAAGGAATCCAAGGTGGCACCTTAGCCCCGGTGAGCAGGCAGGGGGGCGTCCAGCCATGGGGGCTGTGGGCTGGAGAACAAGGCCAGCCAGGCGGCTCCAGTCACTGTGACCTGGGAGCCTTCCAGCATCCGGACCCTGGAGGGATCCCAACAACCCTCAGGCGTCTCTCTTGTCGAAACCCCCTGCCAGGACTCACATGGCTGCCACCGGCCCTTGGTGACATGGATGCAATCTTTAATTGGTGTATGTCCTTGCCCGTTGCCCTTCCCTCTAGAATGGAGACACCAGAGGGACCAGGTTTGTCTGGTCCTTCTCACCCTCCATGCCTCCAACAGGGCCTGTGGGTTTTCACTAAGTGACTGTTGAATGAATGGATGAATGGATGGATGAATGACATGTTGGGCTCTGTGGCTCCTAGTCCAGCCCAGGGATGCAGCAGACCTCAGTCCACACCTGGAATCAATCCCCCACAACCCAAGCCACCCCTCTCCCCAACAGGGCCCAGGTGGTCCTACTCTTCCAGTGCCCTGGCAGGGGGAGGCAGCAGCTGCCCACCAGAACACCTTCTGCACATCCAAAGACAGCTCTGGGGGCGTGCCTTGCTCACCTGGGGTTCAGTTCTGTGTAGGTGTGAACTCACCCACGGTCCTGGAGGAAGGGGCTCCCAAGTACTCCTACATGTTTGTGGCCCCATGATCAGGCCAAGAGTGATGGCTGCCCTGCCCAGACCTGCCTCCTGCTTAAACTTCCCTACACTCTCTTCTGCCCACCCTCCAGCTCAGCACAGGAAAATGTCATTGAAATGTCCTTGGCTGCACTTTCATTTCTGCCCTGTGAGGTATCCAGGGTCAGGCACGTGGGGCTCCTGCCACTGATTAGAACAATAATGGAGAAGCCATGGAGTCTGTCACCGGAAAGGCAAAAACTTGGCACCAGGCTGTGATGTGGAGCCATCGTGGCAGAATGCAGAGTTCCCTGCAGCTCTGAGTTAGGACCCAAACACCCATCTAATCCTCCCTCCTTCCCTCCTTTTCTTCTTTCCATCATCCATCTACCCACCCATCATTCATTCCTCCAGCATCTATCCATCATCCCTCCATCATCTATCCATCATCCATCATTAATTATTCATCCCTCTGGCATCCATCTATTCACCTACCTGTCCACCCATCAACCATCCACCCATCCATCTATCATCCACCTATCCAACCATCAACCATCATTAACTATTCATCCCTCCGGCATCCATCTATTCACCCACCCCTCCACCCATCCATCATCCATCATTCATCCTTCCATCATCCACCCATCCACCCGTCATCCATCATTCATTCCTCCAGCATCCATCATTCATCTTTCCATCAGCCACCCATCTACCCATCAACCATCATTCATTCCTCCAGCACCCATCCATCCATTTATCCATCCATCCATCCACCCACCCATCATCCATCATTCATTCCTCCAGCATCCATCATTCATTCTTCCATCGGCCATCCATCCATCCATCATTAATTATTCATCCCTCAGGCATCCATCCATTCACCTACCCACCCACCCATCATCCATCAACCCATCCATCCATCATTCATCCACCCACCCATCATCCATCATTCATCCTTCCATCATCCATCCACCCACCCATCACCCATCATTAATTCCTCCAGCATCCATCCACTCACCCACCCACCCCCCCATCATCCATCAACCCATCCATCCATCATTCCTCCACCCACCCATCATCCATCATTCATCCTTCCATCACCCATCCACCCACCCATCATCCATCATTAATTCCTCCAGCATCCATCCATCCACCCACCCACTCACCCATCATCCATCCATCATTGATTATTCATCCCTCCAGCATCCATCAATTCACCTACCCGCTCACCCACCCATCATCCATCATTCATCCTTCCATCATCCATCCACCCACCCATCATCTATCATTAATTCCTCCAGCATCCATCCATCCATCTACCCATTCACCCACCTACCCACCCATCACCCATCCATCCATCATTGATTATTCATCCCTCCAGCATGCATCCATCCACCTACCTGCTCACCCACCCATCATCCATCATTCATCCTTCCATCAGCCACCCATCCACACACCCACCCATCATCCACCATTCATCCCTTCAGCATCCATTCATCCATCCACCCACACACCTACCCATCCATCAACCATCCATCTGTCCATCCACTCATTCACCCATCCATCCACCCACTCATCCATCAACCATCATTCATCTCTCCACCATCCATCCACCCACCCACCCACCCATCAATCATCTATTCATCCGTCCACCCATTCACCCATCCATAATCTATCCATCCATCCATCCATCCATCCATCCATCCATCCATCTATCCATCCATCCATTATCCATCATTCAGTTATCCATCTCCATCTCTATCCATCCATCTATCATCCATTAATCCATCCATCCACCCAACTGTCATTCATTACTCCTTGACTACCCCCATGGGCCAGGCCTTGTATCCACTGCTGGGACCTAAAATTACATGGGGAGTGGGAATCATTCCAGGTAGAGTAAACAGCTGGGCCTGGACAAACCCGCATTGTGTTTGCTGGGCCTGGCACAGAGTAGTGCCCAGTAGGTATTTCTCAAATGAATAAGTAACTGAATGAGCTAGTCCTGGCACTGACGTGACCATCAGCCAAGCAATCCTGAGACTAGAAAAGCAGCCAGTGTGGCTGGAGAATGGAGGAGGGGGAGGAGGGGGAAGAGGGGGTAGGGTTCAGGGGCCTGTGACCCAGAGAACTGAATTCGGCTAGAAAGGGACTACTGGTGTCCATGGAAGAAGCATTTTTAGGGGGAGGATAGGCATCTGCCAAGTGCCAGAGGGGTGCGGAGGGATGAAGGGGGCTGGACTCTGAGGCTGGAATTGGTCAGGACAGGCCTGTGGAGGGGATGGTCCTTTTCCAACAGGATTGGAGTCGGGAGTTCTGCAAGTCATGGGGTCCCAGACGATGCCAGATGTTACACTAAAAATAACCAAATATGTAATTTTTGTGCTAAGTTAGATAGCATCTTCATCTGGATTCCCAGGCGGGCAAGTTGTATCAAGTACCAAAGATTTAAAAACATGTATGGGGGCCTGTGGGGGAGGCTGAAATGAAGAACATTCCATACACAGAGGTCCTGGCCCCTGGGAATTGGGACAAGGCCACTATTGTGAGGTTGTCAGGGAAGCATCTCTACCCACCACCTGTGGAAGGACCAGCAGATAGGGCAAGGGCTGCACATGCAGGGTCCAGGAAGGACTGCTTCCCGAGAGGGAAAGCTGGGCACATTTGGGGAACAGAGGCTGACGTGGAGACCTGGGGGGAAGGCTGGTATCGGGTGTGGGCCCATGGGAGAGGAGGGAAGAGCAAATGGATGTGGTGGGGACATGTTCTTTTCGGGGGCATGGTAGAGAAGCAGAGCTTCCTGGGGAGCCTGGGTGGGAAGGGTGGAGTTCCCATGCTCAGAGTGAGGGGTAGAGGGTGGGGACCAACGCTTTGGGGAGTGAGGAAAATTAGCAACAGCCACTAAAGAATAAAGGGGCTGGCTGGGTGCGGTGACTCACGCTTGTAATCCCAGCACTTTGGGAGGCTAAGGAGGGTGGATCATTTGAGGTCAGGAGTTCAAGACCAGCCTGGCCAACATGGCGAAAGCCCGTCTCTACTAAAAATACAAAAATCATCTGGGCCTGCTGGCAGGCACCTGTAATCCAAGCTACTCTGGAGGCTGAGTCAGGAGAATCACTTGAACCCGGGAGGCAGAGGGCCTGGGTGACAAAGTGCGACTCCAACTCAAAAAAAAAAAAAAAAAAAAAAGAAAGAAACAAAGAAAAAAGAATAAAGGGGTCACCCAGTGTTTCCCAAAGTGTGTTCCCTAGAACACTAGCTCAACAACTTCTCCATTAAAAGGGTTCCAGGTCAGGTAAATTTGAGAAACACTTCATTGACCACCATCAAACAGGTTTCCCCAATGCGCTGCTGGGGGCCATTGTTCTCTGTGCACCTGGTGTCAGTGGTTCCCAAGTTTATTTGCCTGGGAGCCCTGTGGGATTAGGCCACATGCCAGCAAGGACTGCTGGAGGCCCAGGCACAGTTCAGATTGTCCCGAGAAGATAAGGGAAGGACAGCGTGCAAGGAGTGGGCTCTGGGAGGACAGCTTTCCCTTTCCCATGCTCACGGTCACCTGCCAAGGGCATTTTTGACAATCAGAAAGAGGAAAACAAACCAGCCACACAAAGCTCACGGACTTTTCTCCTGAAAAGGTGAGAGGGGACACCCGCTTCTCAGCCCCCTGCAGCGAGCGCCCTGGGGAGGCCCTGGAGGCCGGTAAGTCCTCGGTCCAGCTGCAGGCCCACCCCGCCCCAGAACGCCTCCAGGCTCTGACAGAGCCACCTCCTGCTCCGCTCCATCAACTTACTTTTCTGTCGTTGAACTCGACGTTTTCACCGTTGTAGTCTCCCTGTTAAAAAAAGAGGAAAGGGACGTTCTTATCATCCAATGGAGCTTTGGAGGCGCTCACATCCATTATGTTTCAAAACATAAACCCCAGCAGCTCTCGTTGACACAAATTAAGATCATCCTGGGGCAACATTTCACACAGAGTGTGAGGGTTGCCCAGGTGTGCCCCCGTTATGATAGAAAGGCCGTGCACGTCCCTGTTGGCCGCCCTGTTGGCCTCCACCACCAGGACGGCCTGAGCCGCCTCTTCCCTCGACACAGAGGGGACTCTAGGAGAGGATCCACGGTCGGGTCCTTGGAACCAGAAACACAAATGAAAGGGGGCTTTTGGAGGCAGGAAGAGTCGTATCAATAGGGTGCGTATATGTCCCACTCTGCTGGGACAGTCCGTGTCTTGCTCCCTTCTCACTGTGGAGCATCCCAAGAGGGACAGTAAATGACAAGGTCATTGTCATCTAATCAGTGAGTCCAAAACTCCCATTCTACAGATGGAATCACTGAGGCTCCGAGAAGCAAACTGACATTTCTGAGGACACACACCTAAGTTCGGTCAGACCCTGACTTGGATCCAGACCTTCAAACCTAAAGGAAGAGAAGGGTCTAAGGGTTGAAAGCCCATCTTGGAACATCATGGGTCTAGACTGCCTATGGCTATGTGCACGTTACCCTCACAAACACTCAAAATGATACTTAACTGTCATTCAGTGAGCCCCAAATAACTACAGTTGACAAAAGTAACTGGGGAGGAGCAGCAAGGGAGCGGCCCTGTCGAGGTTCAGGGCATGGCTGGCCTGGCCTGGCTAATAGTTTTTTTTGTTTGTTTGTTTTGATTTTGTTTTTGTTTTTGAGATGGAGTTTCACTCTTATCGCTCAGGCTGGAGTACAGTGGCATGATCTCGGCTCACTGCAACCTTCGCTTCCAGGTTCAAGTGATTCTCCTGCCTCAGCCTCCCAAGTAGCCGGGACTACGGGTGCCCACCACCACACCCGGCTAATTTTTGTATTTTTAGTAGAGACAGGGTTTCACCACGTTGGTCAGGCTGGTCTCAAACTCCTGACCTCAAGTGATCCGCTCGCCTCGGCCTCCCAAAGTGCTGCGATTACAGGTGTGAGCCACTGCGCCTGGCCTGGCCAATGGGTTTTAAGAATATCCAGGCAGACAAAGCTATGGGGCTCCTGGGGGTCTGTCCAGTGCCCTCTCCCCTCACCAGCAACTTCCATGACCCCTTCTAACCCCTGCCAGGTGGGGACGACTTGACCACACACTCAAGCAAGCAACCAAATGCAGGTGGTCTTGGAACGAAGACGCTCTGAGAGCAGTTTAACCAATTTCCTCCTAAGTCTTCAGGGGATCCTCACCCACCCAAGCCTGACTCCTTTTAGTGTTTCCCAGTTTCTTTCCATGGATGAGACAGCCACGCGATCCCAGCAGCACCTCATTTATACGGAGGTCCTTATGCTGGTGACCTCGTTAGTCAGGAAGAAAGCCAAAAGGCCGCCAAGTAGCCAACATAAATATCAAAGTCCTTTCAGTACGGGTGATACACTCTGATTCCAGGAGACTTCCTCAGGGTCTCAGTTGGAGCATGTGACTCTTACCCACACACAACTCTATCAGGTTGTTATCCGCCTCCCGAGTTCAAGCAATTCTCCTGCCTCAGCCTCCCTAGTAGCTGGGATTACAGGCATGTGCCACCATGCCCAGCTAATTTTTGTATTTTTAGTAGAGATGAGGTTTCGCCATGTTGGTCAGGCTGGTTTCAACCTCCTGACCTCAGGTGATCTACCCGTCTTGGCCTCCCAAAGTGCTGTGATTGCAGGCGTGAGCCACCGTGCCCAACCGACCAGATATTCTTGAGGAATGAATGAATGAATGAATGCAGTAAGCACAGGATTGGAAGGGGGTAAGATGCAGGACAGCTTCATGGGGAGGAAGATGGAAGCAAAAATGTAAAGCCAGAACTACACTGCATGCAGTGAGAGCCTCACCATGGCCACCGAGGCCAGCCTGAACTTCCCTGCAGTCAGTATTCTGGGTAAGGACATGGGTGCACGCGGCTCAGGCCAGAACCAGTCATCTCCCCAAATGCTTAAACATCAGCTTTGGTACTTAGCAGCACGGGCGCCCTTCAGTCATATGGAAAATCTGTGGCTGTAAACTTCCATATTCCCTAAGGATACCTGCCACCCACAGCCTAGGGCTTCCGAGCTCCACTCCTTCTGGGCTGTGCGCCCCTGGGCAAGTGGTCTGAGCTCCTCCAGCCTGTTTCTCCATCTTTAAGGTGGGAACAGACCCCACATGGCTGCATAAGGCACGATGAAGATTTTGAAAGAGGAGATTGTCTGCATGGATCTTGGAGATGCTTCTTGTGAGGCTGGCTCTCTGACAATAAATAGATCCAGCTGATGAGGGAGTTTTGCGCCAGTCAATTTAAACTGTTGACAGTCAATCCCTAAGACAAATGCAGTAGTGGCTGCCAAGAAGAGGGATGCATTTGGCCTCCATGACGGGATGAGGTGGGGACACAGCGAGGCACTGGAGTTGCAGAGTGTCACTAGGGACGGCTTTTGGCCCCAGCTCCTCCAAAGGGGCTGTGTGACCTCAGGCAAATTACTAAGCCTTTCTGAGTCTCTGTGTCTGCACAGGTTATATGAGGTACAGTTCCTTCTAAACAGAGGGCTCTGCACACAGTAGGTGCTCAGATACGTTCATTTCTCCCCTTTCCCTTTTAAGACTTAAAGGGCTAACTCAAAACAAGCAGGGAGGGCCGGAAACATTTTGGCTTCGGTGCCTCAGCCTCTCAGCAGGGATTACCTGCTTAAAGGTCAATCAGGAGCATGGATGTAGCTCTAGGCTGCCTTCTTGGGATCATGGGCTGTGCCAGGCAGGGCTGTCTTCCTGGCACCCAGCCGGAGCCTACACAGGGTGGGACAGAACAACCAGACCGGCTGGGTCCTCTGGAGGAAAGCCTGACAGAATGGAGGAGTGGGCTCCTCCAGACTCAGGGCTTCAGGGCAGGAACCCGGAGCCACTGCCCTGGTCTAGGGGCCTGAACTCTGCCCTTGAAACCTCCCCATACAGCAGGTCGCTGGCCGAGGCAAACCGACTCAATCCAATCTCAATCAACACCACGTTTATTGAGCACTTATTAAGTGCTGAGTGCTTGGGCTTCCTTGAGATGACACACATAACTAAAGGTGGTCAGACGGTGGTGTCTTTGCAGGACAGGGACCATCTGAGGCCCAGAGAAGGGAGGAAGAAGCCACTAGTCCTGGGGAGGAAGGCAACAGGCAGGCGTGGTGTGGGTGCTTCTGTCCGCCTGGGGTGGGGTGGGGCGGGGAAGAGTACCGTAGCAGAAGGAACAGCATGTGTGAATGCACGAAGGGAGGAAGCGGGGCTGCTCAACCACCCCAATCCCCGGACCTACAGTGAGGAGGAGGCCCTGACAGGGAGGCGACGAGGTGACGGGCAGCAGATCTGCCTAGACTCCTTCCCTTGGGGTCAACCGTCTGGAGAATACACCCCTGAACTGCCCTGCGGGATCCCTGCACCTCAAGTTTGTCTAATCCATTGTTTCTTCCTCAAGAAGAGAGGAATTAGGCTGGGCACGGTGGCTCACGCCTGTAATCCCAGCACTTTGGGAGGCTGAGGTGGGTGGATCACTTGAGGTCAGGAGTTCGAGACCAGCCTGGCCAACATGGTGAAACCCCATCTCTACTAACAATACAAACAATTAGCTGGGTGTAGCGGTGCACGCCTGAAGTCCCAGCTACTTGGGAGGCTGAGGCTGGAGAATTGCTTGAACCCAAGAGGTGGAGGTTGCCGTGAGCCGAGATCATGCCATTGCACTCCAGCCTGGATGACAGAGCGAGACTCTGTCTTGTTTCAAAAAAAAAAAAAAAAAGAAAAGAAAAGAGGAGTTAGGACAAGTTATGATTCCTGACCCACAGATGGGGACACTGAGGCTCAGTGAGACAAGGGGCTGACTCCACCACTCAAGGCGGAGGAGCAGGTAAGTGGCCGGGACTGGAATCTGGGTCTCCTTAGTCCCAGGCCTGTCCCTTCTCTCCTGCTTCTTGGCTCCTGGCCTTTGCACATTTGCAAAGTTTCAGAGCTCCTCTGTCTGGGATTCCCACACTGCTCAGGCCCGGAGGCCCATTCCCAGTGCCCTGCTGAACTTGAGTCCCTGTTTCCATAGAGACAACAAGAAGACAATCTTCTCTCTCTCTCCACCCCAAGTCAGCCACTGACATGGGCTATATTTGTCAAAGGGATACCAGTGGGATCTGGAGATTCAGCTCAGGAAGCTGGCCACTTGCTCTGCAGAAATAGACACGTACAGAGCCCTGGTCATTCTGCCAGAGCCCCGGGCCAGCTGGGGGTAGGGGAGCCCAGGCCAGGAAAGACATTCTGTGGACCCGCTGGCTACGAGGTTCAGAGGAAGTCGAGGCAGGAGCAGCTGCCACCCGTGCCCCCGTTTTGGTGGGATTGTTTTGCAAGAAAAGATGGCCCTGTGTGTAACTTCTTGGCCCCCACCCGGGGAACAGGGAAGGCCTGTGTACAGTTGACATTTACAGCGAGAGCCAAGCAGGAAGCTGTGACCACAGGATAATTGCAGCTCCCGGGGGGGTGTGGCCCGGCGGGATTTGGGGAGTCAAATGACGCAGAGATAAATCGTGTGTCAAGGTTACTTACATCGTGCAGTGGGTATGCAGCCGCGTACACACCATTGGCCAGCAGGCTCGTGATGCCTTAAAAACAGAGGCAGAGAGAAGGTTATGGGGCAGGCGGGTCTCCCGCTTCCCATTGTAAAGTCACAGCGGTCACAGGGCCATCTCAGCCACTAAGAGCTTCTCAAAATGAAACGAACCTGACTACGCAGAGCCCGGCCACCTCTGGGGTTTCTTCCCCAGGAATGACAGGGTGCAGCTGGGTTATTGATCTATCAACTAGGAGATGACGAAACACATGCTCGATTGGCAGAATTAGGAAGACACAGAGAAAACCCCAAGAGGCGGCTCTGTCTCAGAGGCAGGCGGTGTGAGCGGACCATGGCTTCACTGTCACCCCAAGCCTCCGATTCACCGGCTCCCCCCACCTGTCCGAGGGCAAGCCTGCAGATGGGGAAGGTGGATTGTAAGTGGTTAGAGAAGCTGAATCATGAGGAAATATACGGATGGAAAAATTGATGGTGTCAGAAAACACACATACAATTTGGAATTAGATTTTAGGTTGATTGGGAAAGCCGGAGGAGGCCCACACTTACCATACTTCCCACATTTCCGCCTTTTACTTAGAAGGGCGGAGTCCTTCTTTCTTCCCTCGCCTTGCCCTGTTTATACATTGGCTATTAGTGAGGTGGAAGGGCCTGACAGGATCAAAGCTACATTTGGGGCAGCAAGCGTCAGTGGCCAGTGATTCTGGCGGACTCACAGCCGTCCAGTGCTCCTGGAGGCAGTGGAATGCTGGCAGGGCCCCTTTTTACGTGGCCCCCAGGGCCTGCACTGGGCACATTATAAAAACACCATGCCTGTGTGTCCTAACAGGTGCGCATGCGGGCGCCCAGCCCCAGGAGACTGCGAGAGAGGACCGGAAAGCCAGGGCCATGTGTGGGGAAGGGTTTCCTGGAAATCAGATCTTGCTCCAAATACATCGTGGGGGCCCAGCCAGGCGGGGGCGTTTCCATGGGGCCCTTTGCTGCTCATGGAACCCCCTGCTTGGCTGAAGAGGCTTCCTAGGCAGTAAGAGCGTTAAGTTTTTCACAGCAGCCTGGGCGGACCACCCTCTGAGACTCCACCTGATAGCGGCGGGAAAATGACCTCCCGAAATCCCCTTGAAAATGGGCCATCTCTGTGGTCAATGACCTGGAATGATCAGGGGACTAAGGGATGCTTAGAAGTCAAAACCAGAGGAAGGGGCTTAAGCCACATGTGTGAGTGAAAAGTTTGTCTGCAATAGAAAGTGAACATGGGGGCCCGGCACAGTGGCTCACGCCTGTAATCCCAGCACTTTGGGGGGTTGAGGCAGGTGGATCACGAGGTCAAGAGATCGAGACTATCCTGGCTAACACAGTGAAACCCCGTCTCTACTAAAAATACAAACAATTAGCCAGGCGTGGTGGCGGGCGCCTGTAGTCCCAGCTACTCGGGAGGCTGAGGCAGGAGAATTGCTTAAACCCAGGAGGCAGAGGTTGCAGTGAGTTGAGATTGTGCCATTGCACTATAGCCTGGGTGACAGAGCAACACTCTGTCTAAAAAAAAAAAAAAAAAAAAAGAAAGTGAACATAGGCCCTCAGCCAGGCTCGCTGGCCTCCTTCCTGTTGCTGGAATGCTGCTAACCTGGTGCTGCCTGCCGCAGGGCCTTTGCATGTGCCACTCCCTCCATCTGGAAGGCCTTCTCTCATCACAGTTCCTAAATCCCGCAGCTAGCCCCACCCTGCTCATCCTGCAAGACTATGGGACACAACTTGGCAGGTGACGGGAATCCTCAGCACTTGCGGATGAATTTAGAGGTGGGTCGACTCTCAGACAAGGTGTCATGGTGAAGCAGGGCTGAAGAGGAGGACCCGCATCTATCTGCCCCGTCACCAGGTGCAGGGAACCAGCCCCGCCACAAAACCGGTGGGAACACAGAGACCCTGTGTCCCCAGGGACCACCCGAGCAGAGAATCAGCCTGGGCCATGCAGCCTGAAGACGCTGGACTTCTATTGCAACCATACACGTTTCTACTGGAAGGAACGCTGCAGGGACCCAGGGGGGAAACCGAGGTCCAAGACCCGGCCCTGGGACCAGAACCATGCCTCCTCCTTACCTCTAGTTACCTTTCCAAGGCTGTGCCCTGGCAGCGGTGACCTAGAGGAGCAATTTCAAAAACCCAAACTCCCAACGTCACCTTCCTTTCCGCCTGACCTCACTGCAGTCGTGTGTACTAGGGCTTGGCCATTCTAGAGGATCTCAGTCCTTTTGACCCTGGATGGGACTCCTCCACACTCCCCTTGCCTTAGGACATGGACTTAGAGACTTCAGGCCTGCAAGGGTATCCCTGTGAGTGAACACAGGCCATATGGTCTGGGGCCAAGCAGCCACCAGAGCTGTCGAGGGTTCGTCTTCTCTCTGTCTCCCGGGCCTGACCTCAGGAATTCCAGTTCCGAGCCCTTGACTCCCACTGCTCTTCATTTTACTTCCCACAGCATTCCTGCCACCACGGGAAGCCAAGGCAGCAAGATGGTCCCTCCTGTATGCACAGACTCCAGCTTTCACCAGACCTGCTGTGTCCCCCGGGAGCCATGGCCTCATCCTTTCAGAGGCTTCTACAGAGTGATGGATGCTACCCTATGGCACGGCTCTCAGCAGGTCATAAGACAGCTCAAGAAGGAGGGGAGGAAAGGCTGGAAATGGCATTCCTTTGCTCTGCAATGTTCTGGCTTTCACAAACTGCCTGCAGCTGTGGGCAAGGGACCCACTGTGGGGGGTGGTTCCCAGCTACACAATTTAATTGGGAAGATTTTGTATCTACGGCTTAAGGGGTTCTGGAAACTGGTACCCAGAAAGCCTGGTCAGGATGGTTTTGTGGCAGCTTCCGGAATTAGGCTGTCTGTACCTGGTGGTGCCTGGTCAGGGGGCGCTGCTTTCAGCAAGCCCAGCTGTGCTTTTAAGGGTCCGGAACAGCCACATGGAGATGCCGCCCCGGCTGGAACCCCAATTACTTCCCACTGGACCGTGAGGGTCAAGAGAGGGCCAGGAATCCCCCGGTCATCCCTAACACTGGTCTGTTTCCAGCCTGGATTTACCACCCGTGCAGGGAGAGCCTGTCCACACGCTCACAAACCCCTCAGGCCAAAGTGAAGGATACATTTGTGTTTAAAAGTGCTGGGCCATAAAACTGCCCTGCACGCTCCCAACCCAGCCCTCTTGTCTGGAACTGTTACACAGGCTTAAATCAAAACCCTCTTAAACACCCCAAGCCGGCTGCCTGCCTCCCACAGAGATGACTCGGAGGTGAGATTCCGACTTGGAAACCAATGCTGATCTCAAGCCCCAAAAACGTGCTTACCCATGCTGTACTTGGCCTTTGTACACGTCGTTCTCTTCAAGATCTCATAGACCTATTGCAGAGACAAGAAGGGGGGTGAGCAGTTACTTAAGGCACCTTCCACGAGCAGAAACAGTCTGCTGTGGCTGGAGAGGACCTGGTCACACGTTACGCATGAAGACCTCCTTGGTGCTATCTTCCAAGGAAAGACAATGGCATTTATTCAGGGAGGGTTGACCCAGCTCCGGATTCTCAACACTGTCAAAGGCTTGAGCTTCTCAGGGAGAAACAGGTGCACCTGCAGTTCCCATCTTTCACCTCCCAACGTGGGAGTCATGGCAGTTGGCCCCAGCAAAGCACTGCCGTGCCCTCCTGGGCCTAGTGCTGGTGTCCTGTGTCACAGCTGTGCCACGTACCCTGCCTGGTGGATTTACGGTCCCCTCGTGCTGAGAGCTGAGTTGGAACAGCACCACTCTGGGACACAGCCCTGAATGTTCTAGGACTCTGGGGGATCAGGGGTGGTGGTGGTGGGGCGGGCCTTGGGATCCATTCCCCACGGTGGCAGGAGGCGGCCATCATCGGGCTCTGGGTTCCTGGTGCCTGGGCAGAGCCCTGCTGAAGGGATTCCCCCCCGGCTGCCTGCCCCTTGACTAGTGACGTGTTTTGTTTGGTGGCCTCAGCAGCTCCGGCTTGGGAGTCTGTCTGCCTGGAACCTGGCGCCAGCTCTGCCATTTGCAGCTGTGTGATTTTGGACCAGCGACATCACCACTCCCGGCCTCAGTTTTTCCATCTGTAAACTGGGGTGAGAAGAACTGGTCGTGCTATGCAGACGTGCATTTCAGAGCATGCCAATTCTGCCTCCACTCTCTCAGGCAAGGCCAGCGTCCTTCCAGTTCCCCCTGGCCCAGGCCATCTGACCGCTTCCCCGCCCCGCCGCCTCCACTGGACCCACCTGTCCCAACAACCCCGCCCCCTGGCTGCCTCTCTCACTTTCCAAACTCACTCCTGCAGCCACAGGGCCTCCGCCCTGGCTGTTCCTTTTCCCAGAAGCACTTGTCCCCTTCAGATTGGAATAGGTCCAGGGTCCCCTTAACAACCAGGCCTTGAGGCCACCACCCTCCCGGTGGCTCTGTCTTCTAGCTCAGCTTGCCTCTCCCCACCTGCCGGATTATAAATGTCCTCAGTGCCTCTTTTCTCCCACCCAGCAGGTGCCCAATACATCCCTGCTGAATGAAGGAAGGAATCGCCCACTAGGCTGTTCTCAATGGCTCCCTCCCCATCATCCCTCAGATCTAATCGGTTCTGACCTTGCTGATTCTCCTGTAACCACCTCCTCCCTTCCACATGCAGTTATGGCCCATGTTTATGACCACTGCCACCAGCCCTCATCCACCAGTCATTTACCCTCCCACAGCTGGCCACTGGCAGTGATCCTTCTGGAACGGATCTCACCACATCCTCAACCTAGCTCCACAACCTTCTATGGCTCCCCAGCGCCCACAGGCCAAAGGTCTAAAATCCAAGACCAGCACAGTGGGCCTCTCCCTATCGAGTACTGCTGTTCTCTGACTCCTATCCACTTGCACACTGGACCACCCCAATGCCAGGACAGATTGAATGGTGTGGAGGAGAGGAGTGGGGAAGGGCTGTCAGTTCTCCACGGCTTTGCCTAGAACCTCAGCCAACCCTGCAGGCTGTTGGATTTTGATGACTATTAGGCCTGACTAACCAAGGCCAAAGCTATGAATTATCAGTTTCTTTGGAGCATGTTGGCCATTTAGAAACTGGCCTCCAGGGTCTCTGGGAGAGAGATGCCCTCCTCCCTGCCCCAGATCTGTCTGTCCCAGCAGTGGCTCAGAACCCCCCGTGCTGGTACGACCTGCACCGACCTCCTGCTGGCTGCCTGCCAGTCTCAGGTGGTGGTCATGAGGAGTAGTTGTCTGGACAAGGTCACCCTGACTGTCTCCTCCCAGCCCTCTGTCTCTGCCCGGCCAGGCTGGGCTTTCTGGGCAGGGAATAGAGAATAACAGCGAAAGTTTGGCTGCCAGGTTAATTTCTTGTTTAGATAGAAGTTGGGTCCTGAGCCATGCACAGCCCCAGCTTGGCTGGTGGACAGGTTGGATAAACATGAAGCCAGTGCCTTGAATAGGGCAGGGTGGCCTGGTCAGATTTCAAACCTCAGTTGGCTCCTCTGGCAAAGGCCTGGAAAGAGATCTCAACCCACGCGCCTTTGCCTCCACCAACCCTCCCTCCTGCCCACACCTGCCTGCCCTGAAAGCCCCGAATCGTGGCCTGATGGTCAGGCACGCACAATCCCACCACGAGGCGGCTCTGAGACATGTGCTGGGAGCTGCACAGATCCAGAAACACCGACCTTTGAAATCACTCCAGGGGTCTGGCTTCCCTCCTGCTTTCCCAAGCTCTGTGCTGATTCCCTTCCTCTCAGCTGCCCCTGCCTGGGGCACGACCATCCCCTGGGCCCCTCGTTGCCCTCTCCCTTTCATTATTCTAATTATTTCTGTCACAGACAATTAGAGCCGGCTTCCACCGGGAGGAGTTTCACCAAAATGAAATTATCATCTGGATCCCCAGGGCCATCTTGCCAGTGAGCCGTTTCCAGGCGCGTGCGATACTTACAATCGTGCTCCGGGTTTTGCTGTCGAAAAAGGAATCCTTATCAGACAAGTCAAATCTGTGGAAATATCGGGAAGGAAACAAGACACAGTTCACCAGAGCTGGCAGTTCTCTGGGTTTCAAGGCCCTGGGAAACCACACTGTCCCCATTAGCCGTGACCGTGAAATGGACAGAACTCTGTCCGCACGCCAGGTATGACCCGTCCGCCCCTGGGCATTTGGAACAGACTGTTTCACTGCCCCCGCACCTGGGCGAGGCCTGAGACCCACATAGGTGGGAAGTGACCTAGGAGGCGAGTACGGTCAGACCACCCTCCAGCCCCCCACCCCCCACAGCCCCCCAGAAGATCCCTGCTTCCTTTTGATGACATCCTCAGTGGGCAGTTTTGAAAGTCTCTGTTTCAACAAGGCGGGGGACAGGGGCAGTATCACCGCCACCATCAGACAGCTCCAACCTTGAAAACAATCTCCCTGTATTTCCAATGGTTTGGGTCCTGATGGGCTGCATAGGGATGGCCCGAGGCTTCCTGAGGGTGGAGGGGCATCTTGGGAACACACTCCCTGCTCTCCCTGCTCTCCAAGGCACTTCGGGGAGAGCTGGGGAGGGCGGCTGGGCCAGTTTCCACCTCCACGGAGCCTGGAGGTGAGCTTAGCCCTGTCCAGGCAGCAGGGCTGACAGAGTCGACCCAGGGCAGAGACGAGGGAGGTCGGCGGGGGTCCTGGAAGGAGGGCGGTTTCCTCTAATGCCCCAAGCCCCTGTTCTGGATCTGGAGGAGAGGGCTGGGCTTGGGGGTTGCTTCCTTCTCTCTGGTGGCATGTCCTGTCCGCTCTAGGAATCAGGACCTGGTAAATGCATCCAGTGATGCTCATGGCTCCACCCCTACTACATTTATAAGCAAGGGCCCCTGTGAGCTGAGGCACCTGTTCGTCCTCCCTGTCTGCTTTTCCATGCCCCCGACCCTGTGAGGCCAGCACTGTCCAGGAGCCCTCCTGCCCGCCAGAGCTTCCATCCAAAGTCCCTCTGGGTTCCCATGACTCAAGCTTTCTATTCCCACCTCTGCTCACACTCCAGCTCCGCCCAGTGAGGCCAGCAGAGGCCTTGCAGTCACTGCTGACCCAGGTGGCTACGCCCCACTGCCCCTCGGGAGGAGGGAAGTTTCCAGAATAGACGTGGCCCTGCCAGGCAAGCCAGCTGGCGGTGAGTCCCTGGGGCCTCAGGCCTCCTGCCTGGGGATGCTTTTCAATTTCTGCCACAAGGAGTGAGACTTACTGGGGCTCAAGGCTGCCTGGGCTGCAGGAGGCCTGGTTGGCCAGACACTGGAGGGGGATGGGGTGGCGGGGCAGGGGTGCGGAGCGGGTGGGAAGGCATGTCTAGACCACTGCTTTGGGGTCCTCACTCAGGCCAAAGAAGTTTTTCCTGCGTCACCAAGCAGAACAAGATGCTGTGTCCCCCTAACTCATCAGTTAACGGTGATCTTAGAAATCATTTCCACAGCCTCTTCTGGGCTCAGCAACCACAAAGCTCTTACAAGAACACGCTCTTCTTTGGGGGACAGATAATCAATCTGCATTTCTCATGCTAGAAGGTTAAATCCCCACACACAGGACCCTTTGGGGAGCAGGCTGGGGGTCCCCACTTACAGATGCTGCTTCTCCCGGGAGAAGGGATAGGAGAGTCTCTTCATGGTCTGGGGCCTGTGCTCAGCCACTTTGGGCTGGATGGGATCTGTGATTTTCTGGAGCACAGAGTTGATTTTTTTCAGGAGGCCACGGGTCTCATTAATGTGGTACATCTGCAGATAAGACAAGGGACCGGGGAGCTGCGTCACCCTGCTGGACCATGATCCGTGGAATCTGTTCTCGGATGGTCAGAGAACCATCCCACCCCATGCAACGGGGCGTCCTGAGAGCAGAGCACCTGGGTGGGCCAGAATGCACCGCCCCACCCCGCCCACGCCATGAAAGCCCAGAGTTTCAGGAGCGCCCAGCCAAAAGCACAATTACAATGCATTCCAGAGAACTTCCCCGCTAAACTTTACTTTTGCTTCAAAAGAGGTAATCCAAGTGGTCTCTGAGGACGCGAGAAGCAGGAGGCTGATTTACTACCTAGCCCGGCTTCACCCGTCCGCCTGCCAGAGTAAATACCGACTCCAAGCTAAGCTTCTGGGAACACACTGTCAAACTGCTTTTTAGATACAAAGTTTTCACAGATTAAAAAGAAAAATCCCCGTAAGCCAGAAAATGTAATTAAAATGAATCTGATAAATTAGCTGAGATGCCACAAACACGAAAGCACCACGGCCCGAACTGTAACTGTGTCTGCAAGTACAGTAAATTCCCCGGGGGCCGAGAGGTGGGCTTTTCTGCCTGCACCATCTCTTGGTGGGGTTTGGTCTGGGGTCTCTAAAGATCACCCAGGGTTGGGTCATATTCACCACGGTCAGGACCCCAGAGCCTGGGGGCCTTGTCACATCGAGCCACATGGTCTTTGCAGGGGTAGCCGTGAAGCCCACTGGGTTTTTTTTTTATAAAACTCAGGGCCTCGAGGTCGGCATGTTTCACTGCCAGGCGTCCAAGTGACCTCTAGACTTGGCGATTCATTTCGGAGCAGGACCATCAACACCAACCTTCTTCGTCGGCATCTTCAGTTTCAGAAACTCGGCCTCTCTGCACAGCACGTTCCAGGGGGCATGGATTTTCACAAACCCGACTCCGTGGATTTTAGTCTGGAGAGAGAAGGAAAGTTCTGGGTTGAGGGGGGGCGGTGCATCTCTGTGGAAAACCACCTTGATCTTCAGAGGCCACCACAATTTATCGAGCAGCTACTGTGCATGGCTGCTTTTACCGCGGCCTCATTCCACGTTGACAACACTTTGAGGCAAAGCTAGAATTCCCTTTAGCAGAAGGTGGGAGGAAGTGCAGGGGGCTGTGGGAGCTCCCCCAGGTCATACGGGAAACTTTAAGAGCCAGGAGGGTCTAGAGGAGGATCCCCGGTGGGTATAGACTCCAAAACACCAGGGAAGTTTTCAGGAGGGTTTAGCCAAGGGCCCCCAAAGCAGGCTAGGCCACAAAAGAGGACCTTTCAGGATGCAGAGCCCAGGCCCCTCGGCCTCCACCTGGAATCACTCAGGGACCTGTGGGTCCCTGAGCAGTGCCGAGGAGGGGACGACTGAAGATGGTCCCCCCTCTGGGCATCTTCCCCTGTGGGTCAGGGCCACACCTCTGCCTGCTCCAGGTCCACTGCCCGGGTTCCCTTGTATCTGCACTGACTTCATCCTAAAGAGAATGGCAGCCTGGTGCATGGGCTTGAAGGCAGGCCCGAGTTCAAGTCCAGTGCCCTCCCTAAACAGCTGCCAGCTTGGCCAAGTCACCTCTCTCTGGTCCTCAATGGCAACAGTGAACAGCAGAGAGTCACCGAGCGCTGGCTGGCGAGGATGCGGCACCAGCTAGGGGCTTCATGAGAACCGACTCCATCAACCTTCATGGCCAGCTTGATGAGAAAGGCCCCCTTTACAGATGGGAACACTGAGGCTGGGGGAGATGAAGT
Source organism: Homo sapiens (assembly GCF_000001405.40). Classification (NCBI taxonomy): domain Eukaryota; kingdom Metazoa; phylum Chordata; class Mammalia; order Primates; family Hominidae; genus Homo; species Homo sapiens. The sequence goes on along the minus strand of NC_000011.10, from coordinate 70,102,244 downwards.
CACCACAGCCTACAGTCTTGCTGCTAGCAGGGTGGAGCTGTGCTCAAACACAGGCAGCACTGCCCTGACTCCCCACTCTTAATCGGGGATCAGATGCAAAGATGGCCCCAGCGTCTCTAGCTTTCCCTCTCCCCTCTGGATTTCGCGTTTAATAGAGTCCCTTTAGCAAATGAGCAGCATCTTTGCAGCCACAACGTATTTCCCCATCAAAGACACATGTCACATCAGTCGGCCTTCCTGTCACCCTGAGACCACCCAGCTGCCCAGGGTGCTGACGCAACGAGAAGGGAAACAGTGCCGAGTCTCCCTGAGCCAGAGCTGCCTAAAGGCAGTGGGGGCCTTGGTCCTCCGGGGCTTGGGGGTCAGACAGAGGCTTCCAGACTGAGGTCCCATCCACGTCTCCTTTCCACAATTCTGAGCCTTAAAGGAAGGGATGGGAAGTCTTGGCAAAAAGGCAGACGGGAGGAAGAGCGAGTGCCGGCCGGGACCTCATCCATCCCCTCCGGGTGCAGAGCGACCAGGTGCAGGCTCAGGGCCTGACCTGGGTTCTGGACCCCTTGAGTGTCTGACACAAGTACATAGGTTCATTGTAGCTTGTTGACAAAAAGCAATGAAGCCAAAGTCACTTGGGGATGAGTTTTTTTTTTTTTTTTTTTTTTGGTTTTTAATCATTTTTTTGTTCTTTTTTGAGATGGAGTCTCACTCTTGTTTCCCAGGCTGGAATGCAGTGGCGTGTTCTCAGCTCACTGCAACCTCCACCTCCTGAGTTCAAGCGATTCTCCTACCTCAGCCTCCTGAGTAGCTGGGATTACAGGCATGCACCACCACGCCTAGCTAATTTCTGTATTTTTAGTAGAGACGGGGTTTCACCATGTTGGCCAGGCTGGTCTGGAACTCCTGACCTCAGGCGATCTGCCTGCCTCGGCCTCCCAAAGTGTACTTGGGGATGAGTTTTAAGAAAACAAAATCTGAAGTGGGTCAAGTCAATGTACCCAGCGAGAGCCTCGGTGGAAGCCTGTGAACGCGACGGTCCCAGGGACCTGGGCAAAGCTTCCAGGTCCAGCAGAGAGAGTTAAAGGTGGGGCCCCAGCACCTCAGGTGACCACCGAGGAAGGGAGACCCTCCTTGACACCCCAGCTTCATCCCATGCTTCTTCCTGATCCGATAGAAAAGCAAATGGCAATGGGGTGAATCCTGTCTCATCGCTCCTTCTGAAGCCCACCGTGGTCGCTTATGCTGATGGTGAGGCCCCCGGCTGCGTCCACGAGGCCTGCCCTACGCCATCCTCTCCCCAGCACCACCGCTCAGGCCTCCTCTGTGCTGCCCTGCTGCCCACGGAAGGCTCAGAGCAGCCGCTTTGCACATATTTATGGAATGAACGAACGAAGGGCAATAATACAGTAATAGTAATAGTAATGTTGACAGAGGCTGACATCCACTCAATGTCAGTTCCGTGCCGGTCCCTGCTGCGTGCATTCCATGCATATCAACTCATTTTATCCTCACTGCAAGCCTGTGAGGCAGGTCCTGTCATCATCCTCATTTCACAGCTGGGGAAACTGAGGCCCTGAGGCGTGTGCCATGCTGGCCATTGCGGGATCCTCCTGCAGCTTCTGTAACACGTGACCCCAAAGTGGGTGTTCATTCTCCTTCAGCTCTGGAGGCCTGAAGTCCACAGTCAAAGTGTCTCCAGGGCCATGCTCCCTCCGAAGGCCCTAGGAGAGGATCCTTCCTGCCTCTCCCAGCTTCCGGGGGCTCCAGGCGTCCCCTGGCTGTGGCCACATCGCTCCAGCTGCTGGCTCCTTGATGGCATGGCCTCCTCTCCTCGCTGGGTCTCAAATTTCCCTCTGCCATTCTCTGCTATTGGATTTATGGCCCACCTTAAATCCAGGATGATCTCATCCAGAGATGTTTAACTTCATTCCCTCTGCGAAGACCCTTCTTCCAAACAAGGCCACGTTCGCAGGCTCCAGGAGCATGTGGATCGGGGGCCACCGCTCAGCCTCTGCTCCCACCCTGAAGCTGCAGGTTGCGGTCCTGCAGGGCTTTGTGCAGGGGCCTGTCCCAGTGGTTAGGGGAGCTTTGCAGGAGCACGGACCCAGGAGCGGGGGCCTGAAGCTGCTTCAGGGAGACAGCAGGACTAGGCTGCCCCAGGCACGGTGACTGGAGAATGTGCGGCGTGGGGACCCTTGTAGGGGAGCCCAGGGCTGAAGGACATAAGGTGTGGGTTTGGGCTCCCTCTGAGAACTGATGATCTCAGCGTGAACTGGAGGAGGCAGTGCCAGGGGCTCCGGCAAGATGAGCCCAGATCCTTCTGTGGCCCTCGAGGGGCAGATTGAGTGGGCACTGTGCTTAGAGGCCTGGGACGGCGTGGCCTGGGCTGGAATCCTGCCCTGCCCCTGTGTGGTTTCCACAGAGTGACTTAATCTCTCTGAGCCTACATTTCCTCATCGCAAACTGGGTATCACAAGGCCTGTTTCCCAGCAGGGGAGCCTCTGGTGCTCTTGGCAGCCCTGGTCCAGCTGAGCCCCTGCCTGTGCAAGCACAGACTCCTTCGGCCAAGAAGCTTGAAGCCACCTCCTCAGTGCTGGGGAGCCACGGAGGGCACTGAGGCTGGAGAGGTGGAGGTCTTCCATCCTGGTGACCCACAGGAACAGCACTGACTTCATGGGGCACCTCTGAGTCAGGAGAAAAGACAGCCCACGTGTGGGAGAGCCTGTCTTTTCTTGTTGCAGACACAGATTTATTTCTGGGCTCTGCTCACTCACATGCAAAGACCCAAAATATATTCCTCTGAGTCCATGAGGATTTCTGCACGGTGGTCAAGGAGCCGGTGGCTGCTGCTGGCCTCCCTGGGAAAACATGCACCCCCGTTTACATGAGCAACAGGGTCTCTCCCAGGGAAACATCTGGTGAGATTCGGGAAAGGGGTCATGAGACCAGTTCGGCAAAAACACATGTGGGATGTTTTAAAGCATGGTGCCCGGGCTGACCACAGCCTGTCCCCAGCAGGAAGACACTGGGAGTGACAGCCGTGTCCCCTTCGCCCCCAGCCAGCGCCCTGAGGAGTGCATTCTGCCCCGACTCTTGGCCCTCAAGCTGGGGTCTTTGAGGTTCATGAACCTACTTTGTCGAGAGCCACGGCCGTGGGGGTGGTGAGGCCCCATCTGGCCAGACCATGGGGCTCTGCAAGGGGACAGAGTCAGCCCCCCAGACAGCCCCCAACCAGAGGGGGCAGAAGATGCTGACCTTAGTGCAGTGACTAACTATGCCGGCGGAAACCTCCCTCTGAACCCAGCCCAGAAGAACTCTGACCTTCCTGGAATTGCTTCTGACATTTTCGTTTCAGAAGAAAGAAGAAAATCACAAACAGAAAGGAGAAGTGAGTCCCCATGGTGGATACACAGTGGGCAGGGATGCTGAGGGTCCCCGCTACAGCCCCCGTGGCCCGAGGGCCTAGACCCTCAGTCCACGCGGTGGCCCTGTGTGCTTCTATCATCCAGTCTTGGCCACGGATGGGACTCCCTGCAGCTGGAGCGTGGGCTCGAAATTGCTAGAAGATTTGAAGGTTTGCACCCCTAAAGATCAGACCTGGGTGGTTTTCGGGTTGCCCTTGGCTTCCTAGGGGGTGAGCTTCTTTCCTCACCTACCCTGGTCCTCACAGGCCGCTTCATACCCTGGAGGGCATTGTTCACTATGGATGTCTGGCCCTCAATCATGGCGTCGGGGTGCTGGAGGGCTGAAGCCTGAAGGTCAGAGTGCTACTGAGAGGGGCCTCCCCAGACAGCACCTCCCGTGTCAGGCAGGAACCATGGGGTGTGTGTGCCGTGCACAGCAGGCCAGGCACCTCCCATATCGGGCAGGAACCATGGGTGTGTGCTGTGCACAGCAGTCCAGGCCACTGGGTGCAGGGGAAAGCCCAGGAGCCTCATCGTTGGTGGGGTTTGGGCCCGAAGGCCCTCGAGCACCCACAGAACACCTGGACAAATCCCCGTTTCCCTGTTTGCAGCTTCCTCAGCTCCCAAGGAGGAGAACACCCAGCCCTGCGGGGAGCCGTGTGGCCCCATTAGGAAGGCACAGGACTCTTCTGACCCTGTCTGTCCACGAGGACGCGGGGCTGCTGTGGTCTAATCCTCCTGCCGTCGGACTCGGGGGCAGACACCAGGAGCCTTGGCGGGTGCCCCAAGGGGTTCACATTCTCTGCCATAAATAGGCTTTTGGGGCATGTGACGCCCAGTGCCACATCCCTGGTCAGCCCTTCATGACCAGGCGAGTTTTCAGCAGCCCTGGCATCTGCCTGTCTCTCCCCGTTGGCACCAGCTTCCAGCACGGATAGGAGCTGGCACACTGGGTCTGAAGCCAGGCTTATCTGTTTAGCTGACTGATGTATCCCTAGGACGGGGAACAGCAGTGGCCACAGAGCAGAGGCTCAGTGATGTCCACTGAGTGAGGGAGAAGGCAGAGGGAAGGCACCCGACTTTATAAAGCGCCTACTCTGTGCCAGCCTAGGACAGCCCCGGCTTTCAGACTACCATCCGCCTTCTCTCCAACCTTTTGGTAGCTATGGATGTGTCCACTTCAGTAAATATGGACGAGGGGGCAGGGAAGGCCCAGAGCCCCTTGTCCCAGGCCCATGAACAGTAGATGTGGAGGAATCTCAGCCTGACCTTGACCCTGCAATGCTCACTCCTACCCTCCACCCGCACGGCTCCAGAGGGCACGCGGGCAAGATGGGAGATGCTCTCAGTCCCTGGGCAGGGGTCTGCCTGGAGAGGTCATTGCCGGTGCCTGGTATTTCCCACGCCACAGTTACTGCTGATCACGTCCACACTGCATAGGAAGACCTGGCTCCCCATAGCAGGGACACTGCTATGAAGCACAGTTGAGGGATTGCTTCTGGAGCAAGCATACATCCCCCATTATCCTGACGCAGTCTCCAGACTCGAGTCTCAGGCGAGCTGAGGACCCAAGGAATGCAGCCGTGGGTGGATCAGGCGCCACTGCTCTTCCCCAAGCATGGGGCAGGGACTGGGCTGTGGACATCTTTAATCCCAGCCCTTGCCATGGGGTCTGGTCCTAGGCCTGCTCAGTGATGTCTTGTTAAAGAAATAAATGATAGGTAAGTCAGCAGAAATATCATTTCACATTCCTGCTTCTGTTGAAGGTGGTAGATTACTCAGATCAACCCTCCCAGGATACATAGTAAAGAATGCACCACAGGAAAAGAAACAAGAAATTCAATGACCTGAAACAGCGGTCCCCAACCTTTTTAGCACCAGGGAGGACTGGTATTGTGGAAGTCAATTTTTCCACAGGACAATGCTGGGGTTTCAGGATGAAACTGTTACACCCCTTGATTATTATTATTATTATTATTATTTTTTGAGACAGAGTCCCACTCTGTCACCCAGGCTGGAGTGCGGTGGCGTAATCTTGGCTGACTGCAATCTCCGCCTCCCAGGTTCCAGCAATTCTCCCGCCTCAGCCTCCCAAGTAGCTGGGACTACAGGCATGTGCCACCATGCCCAACTAATTTTTGTATTTTTAGTAGAGACGGGGTTTCACTATGTTGGCCAGGCTGGTCTGGAAGTCCTGACCTCAGGTGATCCTCCCACCTCAGCCTCCCAAAGTGGTGGGATTACAGGCATGAGCCACCGCTCCCGGCTGAAACTGTTCCACCTCTGATCATCAGGCATTAGATTCTCACAAGGAGCACACAATCTAGATCCCTCGCATGCACTGTTCATAACAGGGTTTGGGCTCCCAGTGAGAATGTCATGTCACTGCTGATCTGACAGGAGGCAGAGCTCAGGTAGGAATGCTCGCTGGCCCACCACTCACCTCCTGCTGGGGGGCCTGGTTCCTAAAAGGCCACGGACCGATACGGGTGCCCAGCAGAGGAGGAGGAGAGAAAGAGAAGGAAAAGGAGGACTGGAACCCACCCTGAGAAGCTCTGGCCCCTACAGCCATGGCGCCTGTGAAGACCTGGGCACCTCAGACTGTGGCTTTGGTTCAAGGTGGCTCTCATCTATAACGCTGCAAACCTTTCTGGACAAGGTCACCTTTATCAGAGGCTTTGGGAAACCCCACAGATTATAAAAGGTCAATGACTAGCAGACAAGCGAAGCAGACCCGCCCCCACCAGGGCAAGAGACAGCCCCGGGAGGAGAACCAGCTGAAGTGACCGAGATAGAAATCGGCCCACTCAGCTTGGGATTAGCAAAGGATGAGCTGGGTAATAAATCAGCTATGCTTAACTCGTTTAAAGACATAAACCTCAAGATAGAAAAGAACTGCAAAGGACAGGAAACTATTAAAACATGACATAGCTGACTTGGAAAAGAACCAAATAGAACTCCTAGAAATAAAAAAGATCATAAAAAGAGTTAAAAACTCAACAGATATGTTGGGAAATGCTCAACCCCTCCAAAGACAAGAAGGCACATGGGGCTGGTGCAAGAAGATGCTGGTGAGGGGCTCCGGCGGGGGTGAGGGGCTCCTGCGGGGGCGAGGGAAGCCCTGATTTGCAGCATCTGCCAATTCCCATGGTGTAAATACCCCACCGTGGCCTATTTCAAGCCAGCAACGGGTAACAACCAGCTTGCAGAATTCCAGAAGGACATGACTCCAGCACACCATGGGCCTGGACACAGATGAGGACCTCAGAACTATAGCCAGAATGGCAAAGATTTCACCCCAGCAGCCTGGGATGCCCTGTGGCAGAGCTGTGCAATGATGGTCTTGGGGTCACTTTAAAAACATGAATTTTTAAAAAGGTCCAGAATGAATTTTCTTTCCCTCTTTCTTTCTTTTCTTTTCTTTCTTTCTTTCTTTCTTTCTTTCTTTCTTTCTTTCTTTCTTTCTTTCTTTCTTTCTTTCTTTCTTTCTTTCTTTCTTTTTCTTTCTCTTTCCTTTCTTTCTTTCCTTTCTTTCTTTCTTTCTTTCCTTCCTTCCTTCCTTCCTTCCTTCCTTCCTTCCTTCCTTCCTTCCTTCCTTTCTTTTTCTTTCTTTCCTCTCTCTCTCTCTCTCTCTTTCTTTTTTGAGACAGTCTCATTTTGTCAACCAGGCTGAAGTGTGGTGGCGCGATCTTGGCTCAATGCAACCTCCGCCTCCTGGGTTCAAGCAATTCTCTTGCCTCAGCCTCCTGAGTAGCTCGGACTACAGGCGCCAGCCACCACGCCCGGCTAATTTTTGTATTTTTAGTACAGATGGGGTTTCGCTATGTGGCCAAGCTGGACTTGATCTCCTGACCTCAGGTGATCCTCCTGCCTCAGCCTCCCAAAGTGCTGGGATTATAGGCATGAGCCATGGCACCCAGCCCAGAATTCACTTTAAAAGAAATATGTTTCCATGAAACCAAGACAAGCCAAAAGAAAATCAGGCCATGATAAAAGTCATCCAATCTGTTTCGCGCCTCAGCTGAAGACTGGGGAGGCATAAAATCTTTAGGGACCAAAGAAGTCTGTAACAGTGGAATGAAGAGCAGAGAAATAGCTTCATGAATAGACTAGAGGTTCCTAACATCCCATCGTGCAAGAGGCCCATTCTTCCTCCCCTGGGGGAGAACGGGGACTGCAAGTTTTAGTGCAGAGTCTCTGGGTGAGGTTAGGGGCCAGGTTCAAAGGCCAGACGTGCCACTCTCAGCTCAGGATCGAAATTCTGCCCTACCTACTCATGGTTCTGGTAGGAAGCCCACACGGAGTGGGGAACTGACAAGTCTCATGAGCATGTTTATTGCTTTTATTTGTGCTGATGAGCTGGGATTAGGCCCGAGACTCCTCAAATTCCAGGCCCCCACCCCCGATTCTCAAATCTGTGAGGGCCTCTCCCCAGCCCCTGCCAGTGCCCAGGGCCCTGTGGACAATGAATGCAGCCCCAGGACTGCCTCCCACACCTGCCCACATCCACAAGGCCTCCATGGGAAATGGCAAGAAATGGCTGCCCTTCCCTGTCCTGAGGCCATGGCAACCCTGCCACCACCCTCCCTGGTCACCTGGCGGCGGGCAGGGGCGGGGTCTCCACATGCAGGGAGACCCTTCTCTTCCAAGGGGGACTTGCGGTTCCCCTCTGGCAGGAGCAGGGTCAGGCCCTGGGAGTGGTGAGGAGTGGGCTCTGCCCCAGGCCTGTGGGTAAGGGGCGTTTACAGCCAACGCTGGCCAGCTCTGTCCCTCTGTGGGCTCGAGGATTAACTCTCTTGACCCTCACCCACCACTCCACAAGGAAGGTCACACTATCAACTCCATTTTACAGATGGGGACGTTGAGACCCAGAGAGGTGAAGCCACTTGCCCAGGGTTGCTCAGCCAGGAAGTTTGAGCTGGGTCCACATCCGCATACCGGGCTCTCAGAGGGGCTGGGCGGGGTCTGAACCCGCACTCGGAGCCCCGAGGTTGCGTCTCCACCACCTATGCATCCAGCCGTGGGCTTTGTCTGAAAGCAGCCCTTCTCCCATGGAGTCCGCCCTCACTTGCTTTTCAAAAGCAGCATCCATGAAGATGGCGAACAGATGCTGCTGCGGGGACAGCCCCACCCACTACGGGGATGCATGTGGAGAACCAGCGGCGAGCCAGTGGGGTACAGACTTGAGCCCTGGGCAGCGACATGAAAGCAAACAGACTTTTATAGGGTTCCAATGTCCACGGCCTTCTCAGGATCTACCAAAGCCTGGGTCAGGTTCAACATCAGGGCAGTGTGGGCCTCAGCCGCCCCCCAGCACACACAGCCAAGAGTTTAGTGTGTGGCGTTCTCCGCAATGACCCCATGGACATAAATAATGTCCAGCAGGCTTTGAGGCTGGACTTCAAAAAGGCTAATGGGTCTTAGTTGCAAGAAAACATGTTGGCCATATCTTCTTTAGTCCCTTTAATGGGAACCCTGAAAGCTGACCCCATGGCTGTCAAAGGGAGGGAGAGAGAAGGGGAGGGAGAGGGAAAGAGATGGAGACAGAGAGGGAGGGAGAAGGAGAGAGAGAGGGGGAGAGAGAGAAAGTGAGAGGGGGTAGAGTGAAAAAGAGGGAGGTGGGAAGAGAGAGAGAGGGGGAAGAAAGGAGAGAGAGAAGAGAGAAAGGGAATGATAGAGAGGGAGAGGAGACAGAAGGGAGAGAGAGACAGAGAGAGGAAAAGAGAAAGGACAGAGAGACAGAGGGAGAGAGACAGAGAGAAGTGAGAGAGAGAGATAGAGAGGTAGAGGTGAATAAGAGGTGAGGAGGAGGACAGAGAGAAAGGGAGATCAAGAGGGAGAGAGAGAAGGAGGGAGAGAGAGAAGGAAGGCCCTGCCTCAGGGCCCTTCTCTTTTCCTGCCCTTTCCTGCCCTGCAGTGCTGTCCTGAGGTCTCTGGGCCCCTCCTGTAAACCCACTTTGAAGGCCGCCCTGTGGATCTGAGTGCCCATGCCTTCTTGACCCACCCCTGGGTCTCTCTTTGGGACATGGCTCCGACCTCAACAGGCTCTTGGCTCTCTGGAGCCGGCCCTGGGGTCTTGGTCTGGGGTCACCCTTGGGGTACCACACAGTGCTCCAGGGGCTCATGTGGATACTGGGGGTCTTGCTCTGGGGAAGCCTCTCCTGGCTTGTGCAAAAGGCCCTTCCCACACTCCTCACATCTCAAAGCATGGTCTGGGAAGGACCAGAGCCTCAGCCACCCCAGGTGCTGGGTCCCCCAGACCAGCTGAGCCAGAGCCTGCATTTTGACAAGACCCCCAGGAGTTCCTGTGTGCATCCTGGGTCCTGCAGCAAGGCAGACCAGGCCAAAGCTGGAAGCTGTCACTCCCCCAGACCTTCCCTGGCCCTCAGCCATGACCCTGCCCCATGCTGCTACCCGCGTGCTCCAGCCTGCCCCATCCAAGGCAGCCAACTCCAGGATTACCTGCCCAGTGCAGCATCTCAGCTACTGGAGTGGGCTGAGTGGTGTCCCCTACAAAGATATGTTCAAGTCCTAACTCCTGGCACTTATCAATGTGATCTCACTTGGAAACAGGGTCTTTGCAGATGTAACCGAGTTAAGATAAAGTCGTAGGGGTGGGCCCCAAATAGAATGACTGGTGTCCTTACAAGAAGAAGACACACAACAGAGACACACAACAGAGAGGGCCGAGTGACCACAGAGGCTGAGATTAGAGTGATGCGGCCACTAGCCAAGGAACACTTGGAGACCCAGGAGCTGGTAAAGGCAGGAAGGATCCTCCCCTGGAGTCTTAGAGGGAGCGCGGCCCTGCTGGCACCTTGATTGTGCACTTCTCACCTCCAAAGCTATGACAGCATCCATCTGTGTTGTTTTAAGCCCCCAGCCTGTGCAGGTGCAGGGCATGACATAGCTGTTATCCGATCTCCAAGAACTGGCCCCGTTGTGCACTCAGCCAAGCCCATCTGCCAGGTTGTCACAAGATGTCTCAACACAATGAACCTCCCGACTCAGTGAGGAGGCACGCACGGGGCATAGGGGTTGCTCACTCCTGTGTGGGGCTCGCAGCACACTTTGCCCAGGAGTGACACAGTGTGTCCCACCCACCGGCGCCCCAGGAACAAAGGCCAGGTCACACCTGCACAGCCAGTGGCCTCCATGACTGCTGCACAGTCCTGGCCACAGCAGATGGTCCCAGAGGTGGCTGGCACCCCTCAGGGGACCGTCTTGCTCATCTGTCCCCCTTTCTCTCCCTCCATGTCCTCTTCTCCCTCTGCCTCCTCATCCAGCCTTCAGTGCAGGGATTCTCAACTGGGGGTGGTTTTGCCCCCCACGTACACTGGCAATGTCTGGGGACATTTCTGGTTTGCTTTCACAACTTGGGGAGGGAGGTGCTACTGGCCAGGTAGAGGCCGGGGATGCTGTTAAATATCACCTGCTTCAAAGCAACCAGTCATAATTTTGGGGGTGGGTGTCATAGACAGTGTGAGAATCTGATAGACTCTGTGGATTTTTCTCCCCAGGAAAGCTCACATAAGCCCTGAATTTTGCTTCCAGTTGGGTAAGATTGTGCAACTGGACTCTCTTGGAGGTGATCTTATTTTCAAAATCGCAAACCCTTTGCTCGTTGTAATCTGAGCACCCCTCCGGGAAAGGTTCATTCCCAAGAGTGCTTCTTCCCCCTGAAATGAACACGGCAGCAGCTCTGTCTGCTAACCACGCTGGCAGGGGCCCACACACACTTCAGACGCTGCGTGTGCCCAAGCAGCCTTTTAATAGATTCTGGCTCTGCCCCTCTCCAGGAGAACAGGCCGCCCAAACCATCGCTCCTTCCAACAGCCCTAGGGGCTGGTGCAGCTCAGATGAGAGCTCTGGGGTTTCCAGGAAGCCTTCATAAAACAGCTTATGATTTGAGAGGCTCCAGCAGGGATGTGGGAACATCTCAACTTCAGCCCTTTGAAAACTTGAATGGACGTTTCTACCCCACAATCACGGTTTCATCTTAAACATGGCCAGATCAACTGCTGAAAAGCCTCTTTTAGCCCTTGAGCCAAGTTACCAGTGAAAAGTTGGGGTCATTTCACTGGTTAAAAACTAGATCATTTTGGTGACAGTAACCAATGTCCTTATGTTTTGCTTTTTAGCTCAAAGTCATGATAGAGAATATAAAATATTTAAAAAGATATTTATGAGATAGTATTTAATGAGACTTGGAAAGGGTCTTTTCTCGTCCTTCTTGCCGCTTCAGTATGAACAATAATATATGACACAATATCAGCCAAGCATCTGCCACAGGCCAGACTCTGAATTAAGCACTTTGCAAAGGTTACTTATGATAACTCAGTGATGCAAATACTCTTGCTATCTCCATTTTACAAATGGGGAAACTGAGGCCTAGCTTTTCCATCAGGATAAGTGGAGGGTCTGGGATCTGGCAGAAGTCAGTCAGAATTACTAGACCCCAGAAGTTCCTGTTGAGCGTTAAGATCTCAAAGTTGTAGTCAGGAAAGAATGAGGATGGAGTGTAAAATCCCCTGGGGAGGGGCCAGGCGCGGTGGCTCACGCCTGTAATCCCAGCACTTTGGGAGGCCAAGGCGGGCGGACCACGAGATCAGGAGATCGAGACCATCCTGGCTAACACAGTGAAACCCTGTCTCTACTAAAAATACAAAAAATTAGCTGGGCGTGACGGCGGGCGCCTGTAGTCCCGCTGAGGCAGGAGAAGGCGTGAACTCGGGAGGCGGAGCTTGCAGTGAGCCGAGATTGTGCCACTGCACTCCAGCCTGGGCAACAGAGTGAGATTCCGCCTCAAAACAAACAAACAAACAAACAAACAAACAAACAAACAAACAAACAAACCCTGGGGAACAGATGAGACACAAGGACCATGAAGCTCAAAATCCAGCTCTCTCGGCCTCAGCTCCCAGAGAGTGGCCTCGGCCGCCAAGCTTCCCTGATGGAGCCGATTCCTTCCTCCAGTTCTAAGTTGACATGCTGAAACAAACCCTGTATAGTAGCCGCATTGTTCTGAAAGCCACAGGGCTGGAGGGCAGGACCGTGCGAAAACCCATCAGGAATCCACTGCTCGCCTGTTCCAAGTGTCTAAGACAAAGTCGGGCAGGACACTGTTCCCTGGCAGCTGCCCCCAAAGGCAGGGAGAAAGTCTCTGAATCCTTGTCAGGATCAAACTTTGCTTCCTGATCATCAAAACTTGTAAGGCTCCTCACCTGCCCTCAAAACTCCAGAGGGACCCATCTGGGTGGCCGAACTCACAATCTCCTGCCGGGTGGCCAGACCTCAGGAAGGTGAAAGGAGACCCAGACAGATGCCCCAGGTTCAACAAGACCCTTTGACTCACTAGGCCAAGGTCCAGGGAGGCCCCATGGAGCACGTTCCATTGATTTCAAGGAAAGTCATATCTACTTGTCACAAAACAGAGGCGTTTCCACTCCAGGTTCCCTAATTAACCTGCTTTTTGGTCTAAATACTCCGAGGACATTCTTATCACTGGACCAAAAGCATTTAAGGACATGGTGGTGCCTGTGGATGAAATTTCAAACCAAAGCCAACGTTCATTTTCAACATCCACTGGGGACTCCATGGTTTCTAAGTTAACCTGCCGACAACTTTTTCTGTTTTCGATGTGTTTTAGAGACTTTGTCGATTCTTGGGTAATCCGCACAGTGATGGCTCTGTAGGCTGGGGCCCTTCACCCAATATTCATGGAAGGAAGGGTTCCCGTGCACAGAGAGGTTAAGATGACAGCCAGAGAGCACACAGCAGCCAGCAGAGCCGCTGAAGGAAGCACCGCTGTGCTAGGGCTGCTAAAGTCATTCTCTCTGCACACAGCTGCACCCTCGGCCCCGCAGCAGCCAGGCACTCGAGGGGGGTCGACCTTTTGTTCTCTTTTGAAATCTTTCTTCTAGGAAGATTCGTAGGCTTTGCTAGGGAGCAGGGCTTCAGAGCACAGTGTTACAGAGCCACGGACTTCAGAGCACCAACGACTCCCAGGGCTCAGCTGGACCCACATCTCACTCTACAGACGAGAAACTGAGGCCCAGAGAAGGGCCGACCCCATCCAGGAAGACTCCCAGGAGAGCTTTGTCCTCCCTCCCCCGATTGGCAAATCTTCCCAGGAAAGGAGCTGACCAGAAGCAGGCGATGCTCTGACTCTGAAGGTCATGGCTGTGAAGGCCAGACCCTCTCCCAGAGCAGACATGGCCAGAGGAGCAGGTCAGGGCTCCCTAACTCTGTTCAAAAGCAATTTCTACCCCACCTTAACAAGAACAGTGTTTTTGTCTGCTGCCCTGTCTTCTTCTTCTTTTTTTTTTTTTTTTTTTTTGAGGCAGAGTCTCACTCTGTCGCCAGGCTGGCGTGCAGTGGCGTGATGTCCGCTCACTGCAACCTCTGCCTCCTGGGTTCAAGTGATTTTCCTGCCTCAGCCTCCCGAGTAGGGGGGCCACAGACACATGCCACCATGCCCAGCTAATTTTTGTATTTTTAGTACAGATGGGGTTTCACCGTGTTGGCCAGGATGGCCTCGATCTCTTGACCTCGTGAACCACCCCCCTCAGCCTCCCGAAGTGCTGGGATTACAGGTGTGAGCCACTGCGTCTGGCCCGTCTGCCCCTTCTTTAAGAACAGCTTAAAGCTAAAACAAGATACCAGCCTCGCACCCTCTGACTATGGAAGCAGCTGCCCCCCTACTGCCCCCCACGCAGCCCACCCCCCACCCCCCACAAACAGCGCGCAGTGAGATAGTTACGTCCTCGTCCCGCTCCAGCTCCAGGCCCGCCTCCAGGAGGTTGCCCTCGTACTCCTCCCTGCGGAAGCGCTTGTCATCCTCGTGGTAGTCCATCGGGGGCTCCCCCGAGCCTGCATCCAGCGACGCCCCCTTGCCCGGCAGGGGGTGGTCCTGCTTGACGCTGCGAGCCCCAGAGGGGGTGTCGCTGTGCTGCACCCTCCTGACCAGGGTCCGGTTGCCCGAGGGCCTCTTGTGATGGTACACCAGGATGTAGTCCACCTTGCGCCGGCCGTCCCTGAAGTACAGGCCATACTTGCACTCGGCATCAGGGTCCACAGATAAGGAGTTCAGCAGCTAAGGGTGGAAGAAAAGACACCCATTCACCATCGAGCTGCTCGTGATGGGCCTTTGGAGGGTGCGCTGCTCCCTTCATCCACTCACTCCTCACTCACTCGTTCAACAAACACTCCCTGAGCGCCCTCCACGGGCCAGGCACTGTCCTAGGGCCTGAGATACACCTGGGAACACAGCAGAAGACCCTGCCTTCAGGGAGCTGAACTTCGAGAAGGAGGTATTCACTGCTAATCATTCATGAAGGTGCCAAGCCACATATGGTCCCCCAGAAGCCCTCCTGGTCTATGGAACTAGAGCAGGCTGGATGTCAGGAACCTCCCTGGCTGCTTGCAAAAAGCTATGGTAGGGGATGGTTAATGGGTACAAAAAATAATGAGAAAGAATAAGACCTAGTATTTGACAGTACAACAGGGGACTATCATCAATAATAATTTAATTGTACATGGACAAATAACTAAAGGAGCATAACTGGGTTGTTTGTAACACACAGGATAAATGCTTGAGGGGAAAATACCCAGTTTTCCATGAGGTGATTATTACGTATTGCATTACCTGTACCAAAATATCTCATGTACCCCATAAATATATACACCCACTATGTACCCACCCAAATTAAAAATTAAATGAACAAACAAAATATCCCCCAGCAACAAAAGCTATGGCAAAAGCTACCAAGTGAATGAGGGCTCCCCATGCACATGGATAGGGGCTGAGGCAGAGCTGAGCTCAGGTTCTGTGCGTGCAAATCTCAATCTCTGATGGCCAGTGTCAGAGGCAGTGCCATGTCAAGGTGGCCACAGGGCCACTAACTAGCTGTGTGTCCAGAGGTGAGGCTTTCACTGTCTTAGTCAGGGCTCTCCCCCAAACAGAGCCTGAGCAGAGGCCAGGGGTGCAAGCGTTTTACTTGGGAGGTGATCTCAGGTGCCAGAGTAGGGTGAAGGGGAGGGAGGCTGACAGGGGTGGGTTAAGGAGCGGCCACCGCTATGTGCAGCTGGGGTCCGTCCTGCTGGGGACCCTCGGAGTGACCTTGAAGGGCACATCCCACTGCCAGTACCCAGAGGGTGAGGAAGTTGGGTGATCATGCACCCGCTCTGGCCCTTTCTTGGCTGGGGGTCACTCCTGGGGTGTTAATGACCCTGCGCTTGCACCTTCCCCACACGTGGCCTGCGGCAGCACCTGCACGGTCAGTCACCTTTGGGTGCAGAGGACAGTGAGCCACTGGTATGGATGGGCACCGCTGGTGGGTGCCCTGGGGTGACCAAGGGGGCGGGGTTAGGGCTCCAACAGGGCCTGCCCTGCCTCAGTTTCCTTATTTGTTTGAAGGACTCTAGGGGGCCACGGGAGATAGCAGTATGGAGCAGTTTGTTTAAAAACCAGATATTCCCACAGTGGCAGTGTGATGGGACCATTGCTAAAGCCAAGCCTGCATTGCTGGAATTCCCGAGGGGTTTGGCCGGTTATCAAGACAGACAGGTCGATCAGCAATCTGGGTTTCCGAAATAAGAAAAAATAAAAAAAGCCATGCTGGGTAGAACCTAACAGGCAACTCCAAGCTGCTAATGGTCCACAGAGCTGTGCCTCATCCCTCGAGCTGGCCGCCTGGTTTCCACCTCAGTTTCCTGTGGCTACGTGAGGACGCTCCCTAGGGCACTATCAGTTCCCGAGGGGCATCATCCGAGAAGAGGGCCTCCCTGATGGAGTGCAGGGACGGCATGCTGCGCCAGGCAGGGCCCGAGCACCTGTGGCCTTTGGACAGAGCTGTGCTTGGGCCTCGCTGGCCTGGAGGGTCCCCCCACGTGGTCGCCTGGAGCCCCTGGGCAGCTTCCGGCTGCACCATGGCTCTAAATGGCTGTGCACTGGTCGGGAAAAGGGGCAGGCAGAATCCCTCATTCGAGGCAGGTGGGCTGTATACAACCCAAAGTGTATCAGGGAAGCCGGAGGGTGGAGCCCCTCCCCAAACAGTCAGCACTGCAGTGGGGGAGAGGGGGAGGGAAGGCCTCGAGTGGAGGCTGTCCTTTTTAGTTGTAGGGGAAGGAGAGAGGAGGCTCTGGGCCAGGGCTGCTGGTTGGGGGCTGCCCCACCTTTCATAGGTGTTGATGTCAAGGGTCTAGACTCCTCTACCCCTGGTTAGGGGACAGTTGGGGCCATGTCCCTGGCACCTTGGCCTCTCTGGCCCTAGGATGCCTCTCCTGGAAACAGCATTGCTCACCACCTGGGAGGGCCTGGTCAGCATCTGGTGCCGGCAGGAGGCTGAAACTAAGCAACTGACTTCTCTCTACAGTAACACAGGGCCCCGCTGTGCTGGTGACCTTCAGGAGGACCTGGACTCAGTGTGCGTGCCCCGCCCACCTTGCCCTCTGTGACAAAGTCTGAGGGTGCTTAGGGGCCACGACCACGCCCATGTGGGTGGGTGGCTTGGGAGGGCTCAGGGGGAAGGGTGGGGGAGGGCTGGCTTTTGAGGGCAGTGGGTTCCCATGCCCAGCCCCATGAAGGACGGGGTTCACGGAAGACCCCAGTATCGCAAGTCTGTAGCCAGCACGGGGGGCCTGCATTCCTTCTGCAGGAGAAGCACGAAAGAGCTATTCTTCTCAATTCGCCAAGGAGGAAACTGAGGCCCAGCAGGGCAGGAGAGCCCGGGTTACAGCGCAGGCGGGAGGCTGAGCTCAGCCTCAAGTCCCATCTGCACGCCCAAGGTGCGGCCCCCCTTAGTAGGAGCCGCGACTAAGGGTGACGCTGTTTCTCGGCCCAGGTATGTCATCTCGCTGAGTCCCCACAAGCTGACCCTATGAGGGGGTTACTATAGTTAGGTCCATTTGACCTGGAGGAAACTGAGGCTCCCACGGGTGAGCTGCCCAGCTCAGTGGCCCTGAGTACCAGACTCCTGCTGGCTGACCCCAGTGCAGGGCTCTGTCTCTGGTGCTGAGGGGCATGGGGAGAGTGCAGCAATTTAGCAGGCCTCAGTTCTGTCCCAGCCTGGGGCAGTGGTTAAGCAGGGCCAGTAGAGACAGCAGATAAGCACAGGCTAGTCGGGAGGTTTGGGCAACACCAGGCCACAGGTATGTCTGGACAGTGTGGGGCAGCAGGTGAGGCCAGCCCAGGACAGGGCACTGGCTTCATGGCAGGCCGTGTAGTCAGCCAGACCTGGGTCTACATCTAGGCTTGGCCCCTCTCCAGCTGCAAGGCCTGGGGGAGGCTCTGGACACTCTGAGCCCCAGGGTTGGTTTCTGCTAAATGCGGAGCAGCGGGAGGCTTCACTGAGGGGATGATGGTCTCTGCTAAGCTCAGCACACACTGACCAGAACGTGCCAGGATGGACGCTCCATCTAATTCTGGGGCCAGGCACCTGGGAGCCATCCCCGTCACCCTGATGGCCACCCAATGGCAGATACGCTTTCCCCTCAACATCTCAGGGAGGTCAAACAAGGGCAGGGTTACAGGGAGCTGGTGACTAAAGGTGCTTTTCTCTCCCCATGGCTGAGGGGGCAAAAGAGCCCGACCGGAAGCTGCTCTTGGAAGACAGAAGCCCATGTGCAGGGAATGTGCCAGTGCCCAGCAGGTGAATGCAGGGTCTCGAGGGGTCGGAGGGCACACCTGCCTGAGTCCCAGGTGCGCCTGAGGGCTTCGGCTATTCCTCCTCATCTCCTCCCCATACTGCCTTCCCCAGTCTCCTCTCCCCCTCCCCCAGGCCTTCCCCAGTCCCTCCTCCTTGCCTTTGCAGACACTGTGTCCCTCCCTGTACGCCCTTTCTGTCCTTCTCAGCCCTTTGTAATTCAACCTGGTTTTCAGGGCACAGGGCAAATCCAGCATCCTCTGGGATCTGAAGGTGGCCAGCCCCTCTGGCCTCTGCAGGTCTCTCTGTGCTGGGACTGCCTCTGAGCCATCTACCCACAAGTTCTTAACTTGCAAATTAGCCCCAAAGCTGGATGGCAGGACCCCGGAGGCCTGGCCAGGGACTGTCTAGAGATGTGTTAGGACAGAGCTCCAACCTGACCTCAGTACACAGGGACTGAGAACCTGGTTGGGGCTCCATAAACACTCCTGGTTGGCAGGGATAATGATAATAGCAAACAAATCCTTAGAGACAGGGAGGAAATTCCACAGGGATCCCTCCAAGCCAGAAAGCAGGGAAATTACACTAAGGAGTGGCCAAAAATCCTCTATCAAGTTGAAACAGGGAAGGCTACCAGGTTCAATACGAACCCCCATCATCTGTCCACTGGGGGCCTATCAAGGGACACACCTACCCTCAGGGGCCTACAGTCTTTGGGAGAGCAGAAACATCATCTAACTTCCCATGCATGGTGGAGGGAGAGACAGCACTGGGGCCTGATCAAGAGTGGGCATCCTCCTACCTGTGTTCAAACACCAGCTCTGCCACTCACCAGCTGTGTGACCCCAGGCACACAGCTTCGTGTTTTTGTCTCTCCATATCCCTAAGACCTACCTCATGTTATATGACCTCCCTCATGGGGTTGCTGGAAGGATGAAACCTGTTAATATATCTTGTAAAGAGTTTCCAACAGGGCCTAGCATAGAGTGAACCTTCAACAGAAGTTTGCTCTAATTGGGAACTGAGACACACGCACATAAAGAACTAGGGGAGGACAGGGGAAAAAAAATCTTGTGGCCAGAGTGGACCACAAGTGAAAGATGGTAGCAGTGCCAAATCCAGACTTTAAAAAGTTACAAAAGGAGCTGGATGTGATGCTGGGACCAGCAGGAGGCAGCACCAAGCACAGGTGTGGGAGTCCCAGCGCCTGACTCTGTCACTGATTTGCTGTGTGACCCTGGATAAGCTGCTTTGTCTGTTTAGGTATTAGTTTTTAAGGTGTGGGCTCTCTCCCGTCTACACTCTAAAAGGCTGGGAGGCTCCTAGGGTCTGGAGAGCAATCCTGAGCTGGGCTTGGAGAGAGTCGGGAGGTGAATGCATAGCAAGGACCAGTGCGTGTGACTTTATGGTGCCCTTCCACGGAGCAGTGGAGTGGGTGCCTTTCTTGTGTAGAACGGGACAAAAAGGCAAAGATGTAATTGCAGTGGGAGGGATGTGGGTGAGACTTTGTGCATAACTTCCAAATTCGAAGGCCTGGGAAAGCTTCAGAACATTTCTGTTTCTGTATTCTTAAGAAAGGGGCAAGCAACCCCTCGGTGCACCTTTGCTGAGGGTAAGGAGTTTCTTATTCATCTTTTCTTTTGAGACGAATTCTTGCTCTGTCGCCTAGGCTGGAGCGCAGTGGTGCGATCTTGGCTCACTGCAACCTCCACCTTTTGGGTTCAAGCAATTCTTGTGCCTCTGCCTCCCAAGTAGCTGGGATTACAGGTGCATACCACCATGCCTGGTTAATGTTCATAATTTTAGTAGAGACTTGGGTTTCACTATGTTGGCCAGGCTGGTCTTGAACTCTTGACCTTAGGTGATCCACCAGCCTCGGCCTCCCAAGGTGCTGGATTTAGAGGTGTGAGCCATGGCACCCAGCCCTCTTATTCATCTTTTTGATGGTTAGCACTGAATATGTGGTTGCTGAATGAATGAATGAATGCAGGCATGTGTGAATGAACAACAGAGGCTGGGTCTTGTATACTGTGGCTGGCTGTGGCCATCAGATCCAAGGATACAGAAGCTGAGACCCAGGCAGGCCAGCAACTTAAACACCACAACCCCCAACTGGGAGCCTCAGTTTTCTCATCTGTGAGATGCCGACAAAGACATCTGGACTTAGGTCACAGGATTCTTGTGGGGATAAAATGTGATCGATGATCTGAAGGTATTTTGAAGACTTCCTTCTGCATAACTGAGGGAGGTACTCCTGGAAGGTGCCTCCCTAAGGAAGATAGGAATATGGTGGAAGAGAAATACTTCCCTGAGGCCACATGGGAAAATGTGAAGGACAAAGGTTCCCTTCACAGCAGGAGTGTCCTGGAAGACCTGTCCCAGGCGCCATGAATGGCAGCCTATATCTGGTCCACACCTGCCTCTATGAACCCCTTCCTCAAACTCCAACAAAAGGGCAGAAGGGGGAAAGCAATCCTATGTCCTTTAACCTTTAATACTGTCCTGGGACTCTGGGCTCTGGTTTCTTCCGCTGGTCTCTGGAGTTGGTACTCCAGGAACTGAATTCATATCCATATGAAATATCTTGATCACTCAAGGGAATCTACAATGTTCACTTTCTCTGAAAATGGGCTAAATGAAATCAGTGGCCTGTAAAATTTCTTTTGGTTTTGAGACTCTTCAAATTATAGTTAAGAAGGGAACATCAGTTTTAAACTTCCTTTGTCTTCTAAAAAAATTTTAAAACCAGGTCACTACATATCAATGTACGATTATGGGGCACGTTCCATAATCTACAAGCAGATCATCTCCCACAGCAGATAAGCCAGGAAATACTGGGCAGATACCAGCAAATCAGGTATCTCTGGAGTGTCTGGGCTTGTTTGGGGCACACAGATCCCAGACCATGGACAACCACCAGTTTCAAGGAAGAAAGTAGAAACACTCAAAGATTAACAGAGGGAAATGGAAACAAATTGCATTCAACCTGGCCTCTGGCTTTCAAGTCATTTCTTCTTATATCTCTGCACAGAAACAATGAAGTCATTTCCACCCTTGAACTTGGGAATGAAGAGAGGCAAAAGTCACAGGCTGGGAACCGCAGCCTGAATTGGATGAACTTATCTTGTGGTTGACTTGTGCATGTATGAGTTTCACACCTGAGAACAGGATAGGAACTTTTGAAATGCAGCCCACGCCCTCTGGCCCTCGTGTGTACAGAGCCGCCTTCGTTGGGTGACTCAGGGTAATGACTGAGCAACAACTGTTGGCTTGAGTGGTGCCGGGGATGCCCTGGGAGGCTCTCCCTGCCATGCTGCCTGCCCTGCACCAACAGGCCCCTGCTCCATGGCTGCAGCCTCCAGCCTGTCTGGCCATCTACCGGCAGATGCTGCTCCCAGGGTCTGCCTCCCACAGCGCGCGCCTCTGATTCAGCCTTCCAAGCTCACAAAACAAAGTATGTGTAACGGAAGTGTTGTGTGGAACCCAGGAGCTGATGGTCTCATCTGGGCCCAGCTGCCTCTTTGCAGACTTTATGGCCTTCACCTGGGTTTGCAGGAGGCAGATAGTTTCTGGGTCTGGATAAGCAATGGGTCCTGGAACAAAAACTCTAGAGACCGGGGGCTATTCATGACAGGCTCCATTTCTTATTGAACATTCAGTTCACCATCAGGTCTTGTCTAGTCTACCCCCAGAGCATCCATTTCTCCATCACCTTGGCCACCACTACCATCCCCTGGCTCCTGGCTGGTACCTCCATGGTCCCACCTTTGGGACTTTGAGTATGCAATGTTTTTGAAAGACTCAGTCCCTACCCATTATGGGTAGAATTAGCTCCTTCTCCAGAATGTTTATTCTTCAGGCAGGCTTTCTGCAGCTACCTGGTCTGTGTCCTGGGCCCTTCCTAACTGTCCTCCCAGCTGATGGGTGACTTGGAGCTGGTCACCTGCCCCTCTGGGCCTCAGTCTCCTTGCCTGTAGCAATAGCACCTACCTCACACGTTGTGAGAGTTCAATGAGCTAAGACACAGCACTGGCCCAGCACTATGGAATAGTCCCTGTCACTGCCGTGGATAACGGGTAACGTTCCATCACCATTTCTTAAGTAAGCTCCAGATGGGCGGAGCCTTCCCTGTCTCATTCTTTGAGGGTGCCCAGGGGCCAGCATGGCCTGGCACATGGCTTTGATCAAATGGCAATCCCTGAGCTCCTCCGGCCAGTCCTGTGAGTCACAGGTAGACTCCCTCTCCATCTACACCTGTTCCCAGTGCTCCTGGCAGCTCTGTGCAATCTCATTTCCTGAAGAGATGCCCCCAGGCCACCCCCCTCCACTGTGACCCAAGGGGTGCAAGGCCTGACCAAGGCCAGAGTCCCTGCTGTCGCTGGAACAGAGACTCAAAGCAGGAGCTTTGCTCCCGCTTCATTCCCTGCCTCTCTGTGAGCTCCAGAGACTAGAGGGACAGGCCAGGGCCATCCTCATCCTGCTTGAAGCAGCCCTGCTGGGCCTGACGCCTGGGGAGGGGCTTTGATGGGGTCTGCATGGGAAGAAGGTAGAAGGGAGCTTCTGTCCTTAGGTCCCACAAATTGCTGCTGAGAGCTTCCCTCACCCCAAGAGGAGATAGCCAGTCCCAGCCCTGTCCTATCCTCTTCCGGCAAACTTTGTCCTTCAAGCCAAACCCTTCCTGGGAGAATTCTGCCCCCCTCTCTAAAACATAGGGTTACCTAGACCTCTGGGTCTGGCCCTGGGGAGGGTGGTGGGGATATTGGGGACCTCAGGATGGGGTCCCCAACTTACATGACTGGCTTCCAACCAGTGCCCCCACCTGAACCAGGCCTGGGCGCCCAGGGGAGACAGGGGCGAGGGTAGAAAGCAATCTCCAATGATTGACACCCTGGGCTTTGAGAGTTTCGGTGCCAATGCCAGGGTACCAGGCCCAGTGCCCTGGGCACAATATGCGTTTCTGGCAAGTGAGGACTCGGGACTCTGGCCCCAGAGGATAGTGAAGCAGTGGGGCCTGGCAGTTACCATCATCGTGGAGTGGCGACCAACTTGGCCTTCACCCAAGACCCCCACCATCACCCTCACCCTGGCTGCCCCAACAGGTACCCCTGGCCGCGAGCCAGGAAGGGAAGGTCCCATCCAGGGCGCCAGCCGTGAGCTCTTGGTTGGGCTCCGAGCTGCAGCCCCGGGTGAGGCGGCTTCGGGGCCGCAGAGCTCCGAGGCCGGGCCATGCCTGGGGGCCCGGCGCTGCGCTGGGCGGAGTGGGCGCCGCGCTCGGAACGCTCAGAGCGCAGGCGGGGCGCACGCACTTGGCCAGGGCCGGCGCGCCCTTCCCGGCACGCACGTGCGCGGGTGGGCGCCGCGAACCCTGCGCGGAGGGTGCGGCCCCCGCCCTGGGGTCCCAGGAGGCCCTGCCGCCGCCCGGTTCCCGCCCTCGCCAAGGCGCAGGTGCGCGGCCCTCCCGCCCGGGTCGCGGCCGCCCGCACTCACCGTGCCCTCGGACGGCAGGTAGCCGATGTCCTCGATGGCGCAGATGTTGATGATGTGGACGCTGCGGTCCTCGGCCGGGAGCGTCGAGTACTTCTCGTTGACCCTCATCGTGGCCGCCTGTGCGCTGGGACCGCCGGGCGGCGCGCCCTCCCCATCCACGGCCCCGGCGGCCTCTGCGGGCGGAGACCGCAGCGTTCGCGGCGCGCTCGCAGGGGGCCGGGCCTCCCCGCGCCCAGGCCCGCCGGGGACGTGGCCGCCTCCCGCTCCGCCCGCCGCCCTGGCCCGCCCGGCCCGCGCGCTCGATGCGGGGGGCGCCTGAGCCTCTCGGGGCCGATCGCGCCGCCACCCGGCTGCTGGTCCCGCGGGCCGGCCCGCGCCTGGTCAGGAACTTGGACGCCAGCCGGCCCGCCTTTGCCTTAAAGATATAAGCGCTCTCCGCCCGCCTATGGCAGGGGCGGTGGCCGCGCCGGTCAGATTTTCCGTAGAAATTTAAACACAGGAAGAAAAAGTATTCCATTCCTGCGGGCCCCTCCAAGTTTTATTTTTATCCAGGGAAAGTGCCCCTTTGGATTTTTGAGGGTTTTCATACCGGGTGTGAAAGGGGGGAACTTTCAATAGCCCCACCTGAAATAAAGTCCCCGAGTGGCAGGCGCTTCTGTGGCGCGTCACCTCCGCCTCCGGGGGGAGTGAAGCTTCTGAGATTGGAGTCTGGATCTCTGCCCCTTTCCCTCCACCCTGGCAAACTCCTGCTGTCACTCAGCACTCACCTCCTCCGGGGAGCTTGCCTGGTTCCTGCCGACCCGCCCCCTCCAGCTGCCCGCGCTCCTGGGGGAGTCTCTCCCGGGGCAGTCATCTCCCTGGAGCCCACTGATGTTACCGGTGCCCCCGAGTTTACGGAGTGCTTAGTGTTCTGTGCCCAGGTGCGTGCAGCGTCCCTGATGTAGGGCGTGAGTGTGTATCATCTCATTTAACCCCGCACCTGCAAGGTTGGAATGCGGGTCCTCATTTTGCAGAGGACACTCAGGCTTAGGAGGGCCAAGGACCAGTCCGCATCCTCTGAGGTGGGGCGGGGCTCCTGCAGAGCTTTCCCCACTGCTGGGCAAGGCTGTCCTGCTTTCTGGAGGGGCGGAGCGGGGGGGATGGTGGCTTTGATCTCTCTTACCCCCGGACCTAGCAGGGGTCTGGCACACTGCAGATCTTCAAGTCTTCTTCCCCTAAGGAGAATAAGGCAGGTCCCCAGGGGACGACCATACTCAGGTTAAGCCCCAGGGGCCATGCTGGCCACCACATCCAGTGGAAATAAAGTGTCCCTCTGCCTCTCACATCCTATGAGTTCTTCACGGTGTGCATCAGATAGCACCTCCTGCAGGAAGTCCTGCTGGATTCTCCCCTACTGTCCCCTTCCCACCCAAATATGCAGGCCTTCCTGTCTATCCAAAGAACCTGCCTGAACCCCAACTAGCACTTCATTTATTCCGTCTCATTTTACAGTGGGTTGTCTACCAGGTTCACACAGCCGATGCTCAATAATTGCTTGTTAAATGGCCACTGGGGAACATTCAAGGCCTACAGAAGTGATTAGAAAATTGTCTTTAAAGGCCACGATGTCGTCAGCGTGCCATGGTTCCAAGCATGGAACCTGGAGTCAGCTAGGATAGGGTTGGAGAGAAGGGGTGGGGTCTAGCTCCAGCTCTGGCACCTTCCAGCCTTGTGACCTTGTGCCAGCCTCCTTGGCCTCAGAGCCTCCTGGGCCTCAGAGCCTCTGCCTTCTCATGGGAGTTTTAAGCGTGCCTGAAGCTGCCAGGCTTAGCAATGGTGACTGTTGTCACTACTAATGTCATCTTGTCATGACCTACCCTTTCCTGGTGCCTCAGTGAGACTCTCCCATTTAGGCACAAGTCTGTGACTTCCTTGAACTTGGGGCGGTGCAGGAAGGCTATTTGGTTCTCAGGCTGGTGGTGCCAACGGGCACTGAGTGGCCCTAAAGGACCCTTTGTCTGCACCTTGGACAGCGAGAGAGGGTTTGGAGAAGTGCCCCAGGCTGGCCAAATCCATGCCAGGAACAGTGCTCCACAGCCTCTGCTCCTTAAAAGTTCAAGTGTCCAGGGCTGGGAGAATCCCACACGCATGTACAGAGGATTATGTAACTCCATCCACTTATCTTTGTTGGTAAACAACCAACATTGTGTAATACTAATGTACTGTCTTTTCAAATTTGTGTTCGAGTGCCAACAGACCTTCCAGAGCTCTATGAGGTGCAGTTTGCATGAAAAAAAAAAAAGAGTAAAAATATACTTGGCCAAATCTGGACACACTGGTGCTCCCAAAGGTTTGGGAAGTGACATTTCTGGCCTGAGAGGGCTCTGGGGCTTGGGGGCTGCCTGCTGGGGGGCCATCTCCTAGGCAAGGTGGCCCCACCTTCTCCCCAACAGCACCCCTTGCGGCTTTACTCAAGAAACAGTGCTTAACCTCTAGTTTCTGTGATTTATACTGTAGCCAGGCTCAGGGCATCTGCTTGCCTGTAAGACTCCACTTTCTTTGCTATTGCCACTATGTTTCTTTTTTTCTCTCCAGTATCCCCACATTCTGTTTCCTCTCGCCCCTTCCCCAAGTCTTCCCAGGTGGACAGTGTGGACATGCCACAGCAAGGGCAGAGGAAATGCAGCGTGGCCTCTGTGCAGCAAGGGCCAGAGAGGACCAGTTCTGCCTCCAGGCCTCTCGTGGCCTTCGCCGGGGGTTCGTGGGTCTAGGGATTTCAGGGACCGACACAAAGTAAAAACAATAGCCCCCCAAAATAGGAGCGGGAAAAGAATTCCTGTAGCTGGAGATATCTCCCAAGCCAGGACAAGTTTACAGGGTCCTTTTTGTTCCATAGATGGTTCTCTTCTCTGGTTCCCTGTCCCCGCCTGTGTCCTATGGGTCACTTTGCTGGGATTCTCTCTCCACTCCAGTCACTAACTGCTTATACGTGGGGGCTCTCCATAAACTGTTGCACCCAGTTTTCTTTTTGTCTCAGTGATTTTTATCACTAAAACCCCACAGGGACAGATTTTGTGGGCAGGATTAATTCCCTGCTCATGAATTAGTAAAACCCTTGTCTAATTCGTCTAGATGGTGCATTTCATTATGGGAAGCTCCGGGCCTCCCAGCTGGCCTGTTTGGCCACAGTGTTGCTCTTCAGTGTCATTTGATGGCATGTGCCAACAGATACAGGTACAGGTGTCTTTGCTGATTTTTTTTTTTTTTTAAATATGGAATGCTTCATGAATTTGCGTGTCATCTTTGCGCAGGGGCCATACTAATCTTCTCTGTATCATTCCAATTTTAGTATACGTGCTGCCGAAGCGAGCACTTTGCGGACATTTTAATAGTCACCGGGGATGCAAGCATCAGGTGACAAGGAGCGCAGACCAACAAGCTGTCAGGAGGGTGGCTTCCTGGTAGGAGGCAGCACAGGGGAGCCCTTTTCAACGATATTTTATTTCCATCCCGTTGGCATTGCCCACAGGGAAGAATACCTCAGAGCACGGGCCAAGCTGTCTGCAACTCAGTGGGAAGTTGAACAAACCAAACTTTACAAAGGGAGGAAGAACGAGGTGCCCCAAATTATGGAGACACAGGGACTGGTTACCAAGACCATGGACCGGAACAAGAACCTCGCTCCCCATTAACCAACCGCATGGCCTTGGTGTGCCTAGATTTCCTCTTTTGTAAAGTGAGGCTGAAGTGTCTCCCTTTGGATGGTAGGCGAGGACCAAGAGGCCCAGCGCCTGGCGGTGGTGAGTCCAGGCCAGGGAGGCAAAGGTCTCTTCTAATAAAGGAGCTCTAGCGTGGGGCACAGTGGATGTCTCAGCACAGTGGATGTGTGGGGCTGGATCATCCTCTGTGGTGGGAGCTGGCTTGTGCAGTGTGGGACATTTTGCAGGCACCCTGGTGACCTCTACCCACCCATGAGATGCCAGCAGCACCCTCTGCCTCCAGCCCCAGTGTGACAACTAAAAATGTTTCTTGATGTTGTCAAATATCCTCCAGGGGACAAAACCAGCCCCAGTTGAGCACCACTGCTCTCAGATTTCTCAGCAGCCCTCACCTGCATGTCAACTGGACCTGGGGGGGCCAGCTTTATCAGTCCCCATTTCACAGGTGCACACACCTGGAGAGGTGATGTACTTGGCTTAAGGTCAGGCAGGAGAGCAAACTAGGCTTTCAGTCTAGCTCTCCTGACCCCCACCCCTCAAACCAGAGCTCACTCCATGAATTCAACACACAATCTAGAATTAGAGAGGTGGCAGAAAGGAGATTGGGTTTCTTTTTACAAAATAGAAATACACAGGTGCCCAGGGTTGCCCTCCATTGGTAGAGGTCGTGGCACCCACACAGCCCGGGTGCACTGAGCTTGCCCTGCCCCTCGGTTGGCCCAGTACAAATCTCTGCATTCAGAGGGGTTTAATAAGTGCTGTTGACTCATGAGCAGCCCAGGGGAGGGAAAGGAGCATGGAAGGAGTGAGCAGTCATGACTCAAGGCCATTGTGAGCGCCAATGGCCACCCGTCCCACTCCCACACCAGCCCCGTGCTGCCCGGCAACCCGCGTAGGACAGAAACAGAGGCCAAACAGGTAAATGATATCACCTCCTAAAAGCAACTTGGGCTATAATTACCCCGGGGAAGACGTGCCTGGAGAATTTACAACTGAGATATGGTGGGCGGGAGACGGGACCACTGTCATTTCCTTCCCTTGCATGATGTCAGTGCCCGAGCAGAGGCCGGCCAACCGCAGCTTGACGGCGGGACTCCATGGGCTCGGAAACTGCCGGCCGAAGCTCAGAAACGCAGCCAAAGCATGAAGTTCTGTCTTGGGGGTGGGGGGCGGGGGGAGGGTGCGGATTTTTTTTTCCTCCAACAGAATCCATGGACATCCAGTTTCCATAGGAGGGTTTTCAGATTCTTAATGTGTTTTGTGAACACAAGGCCTGCCTTCTGAGAATCCCAAGAGCTTTAAAGCTCACCTGGGGTAGCTGAGAGCCTGGCTAGGCCACCTCCTCCTGGTAGCCTTTCTGGTCCAGCTCAGACGGCATCCCTCACCTCTGCTCCTTCCATCCTCGACTCCAGCCACTCACGTTCCCTTCTGCCCACCATCCTCAGTTTTTTGGGCTTCATTTCTGCACTCTTTACTCTCCTTCCCATCCTTGGCACACTATAGATGTTCCCCATTTATGTTTATTTATTTAACAAGCAGCTGCGCAGCGCTTACTATGAGCCAGCACCGTGCTAAGCTCTTTACAAATGTTAAGTCGCGCGGTTAGGGTGATTACAGCCATCTGCAAGTGCATTCACACGGACGGACGCACCCTCCTGGGTCCTTTCTCATGAGGTGTGGGAAGAAGTTTAGACGAAATCTTAAACAGCTGCTTCCTCCCCAGTGACTCTGCAGGAGGTTCAGCCTTCCTCCCCAGGATGGTGGGTGCATTGGTATCGGAAACCCTGCCGAGGGGGACAGGGTCGGACTCCCCGCAGCGGGACAGCACCTGCCCACTCTGCCAAACAGAGCACCTAGCTGCCTGCCACTGGTTCAATTCTTCTTCCTGGGGCTTGAAAGAGTAAAAGTTCCAGATTGCCTGGCAATTTCCTTTCACCAGCATACTTCCTGAGAATAAGGAACTTCCATCTCGCAGAGGCGGGCGGCTTCAGTCTGAGCTTGTGCCACTCCAGGGAGACAAGGGTGACCCTTATGGCTTCCTCTGAGCCCCTGTCCTGATTATGTATTTTCTCCCTAGACATGATACAGCTTCTGATAGAGAAGGACAGGTCCTGGTCCTCCTGTCCTCTGGCCTGAGGGGCTGAAGGTGACTTGAGGTCCCAAGACCGTGGAGCTGGGACATAGGTTGGCACCCCTGCACTGTTGAGAGTACAAGAACCCCATGAGAGCCGCTCTCAGCCACAGACTCATCCCTGTACCTTCCACGGGGTGTACGCCGGGCGTGAGTGCACCAAAGTTGCATCCCTCCCCTGGTGTTGGTGACCGGCCCAAGCCCCTGATTTCCCTAAAGACCGAAGTCTAATGCCTGAGATGGATCCTAACGTTACAGGCACTGGCTGCAGCAAGCCTCTGACTCTGGGGCGAATCCTCTGGGGCCTCATCACACCCTCCCCTCCCCAAAGTCAAGGAAGCCACACCTCCTGGGCCGACTGTGAGGCTCAGTTATCTTTATAGGAAATCCTGACGCTTTCCTGCAAAACCCTGTGGTTGGAATAAAAGATGTTCCAGAATTTTGTTATGCCATGCAAGGCCTTTTCCTTGAACGCTTGCTGTTCACTTCATTGTGCCTTCACGTATGCATCATTTGGTGCAAAACTGTTTTGTGTCAAGGCCTCTGCCAGGTTGGGGGTCTCTGTACTGCAGCCGAGCTGCTGGGCTGCAGGTTTCTCTTGGGGGGATACTGTGTGTGACAACCATTGGCTGTACACTCCGGGCCTCACGTCTGTGGGAGAAATGAATGGGAACATGAGCCAGGAGCATCACCAGCAGTGGAGGAATTGTCCCAACCCTGCGCTGGGGAATCAGAACCTTCAAGGCCCTCTGGGTTTGGCGCCGAAGACCTCGTCCTCCTGATGCAACGTTTCTGTACAATAAAGGTGTGCGTTACTGGGCCCTGCGGAGTGTGTGTCATTGAGATATTCTACTATCCACGCTAACAAGAGTAAAAATAATCAGGGGAAATCAATAATCTATGTTATGTGACCTGTTATATAAAGAATATCATCTCAACATGTCCTCAGTATAAAAGTTCCTGGCCAGGCATGGTGGCTCACACTTGTAATCCCAGCACTTTGGGAGGCTGAAGTGGAGGATCACTTGAGGCTAGGAGTCAGAGACCAGCCTGGACAACACAGTCAGATCCCATTTCTAAAAAAGAAAAAAAAAATTAGCCAGGCATGGTGGTGCGTGCCTATAATCCCAGCTACTTGGGAAATTCAGGTGGGAGGATTGCTTAAGCCCAGAAGTTTGAGGCTGCAGCGAGCTATGATTGCACCAATGCACTTCAGCCTGGGTGACAGAGCGAGACCCTGTCTCAAAAAAAATTAAAAAAAAAAAAGTTATTAATCAGACCTTGGCCATTCTCTTTTTTCCAACTACATATTTGAAATCTGGTATGTGAATTTTACTTTACGGCATATCTTATTTCAGAAAAGCCACGTTTCTAGGGCTCAAAGTCACATGTGGGAAGGAGCGACCAGGCTGGACTGCTTAGCTACAGAGCCTTTTCCTATTATTTAAGGAAAATTATATTGGATGGCTTTTATTTTCTGCTTTGTCATTTCCTCTGTTTTGTAAGATTTCTGCAGTGACATGAAATAGGTTGATAGGTAGGGAAAGGGTGATATTATTTAAGGCACTGACACACTTTGTAACCTGTGGGCTCATATTGGACCCTTTTACTATTTAAGGAAAAATAGTTGAACAGCTTTTTCTCTGTACAGCACACATGTAGAGAAACCCACCTTTGCCTAAAGGCCAATCAC
Source organism: Homo sapiens (assembly GCF_000001405.40). Taxonomy (NCBI): domain Eukaryota; kingdom Metazoa; phylum Chordata; class Mammalia; order Primates; family Hominidae; genus Homo; species Homo sapiens. The sequence goes on along the minus strand of NC_000011.10, from coordinate 70,071,192 downwards.
AGCACATTCCCGAAATATTAGGACAGAGTAGCCTTTAATTACAAAACATATCTGATGACAGAGCTGGTCACACAGGTGTTCAACTGAAGAAGCCAAGAGAGCGCCCTATTTCACACCAGAAAGAGATCCAGGAGGACACCCAGGGGCACCCTCCCAGGGATCCTACCATGTAGTACTCCCAGTACATGGGCCATCTACCTTGCCAAGTGGAAGCGATGCGGTTGGGTAAGAGATCTGAGGCAGGGGCTGGCAGCGCTGGGGAGCAGGGGACTAACGCAGATGCCCTCCACGAGCAGTTCTGGGCAGGGGTTCCAGGACTCCGCCTTGGCAGGTACCCCTGAAGGAGATGCTCAGGCCCCTTCCCCTGGCTTTTCTGGTAGAGTGAGGGGTTCATTCAGCTACATACTCATTCATTCGCTCAAGTGTTTGTCCACTCATCCACCTGCTCACTCGCCCATTGGCTCACCCCATTCCCCACTTACTTACCCACTCACCATGCACTCACAATTCATTTATTCACTTGGAGTTTCACTCTGTCGCCCAGGCTGGAGCGCATTGGCATGATCTTGGCTCACTGCAACCTCTGCCTTCTGGATTCAAGAAATTCTCCTGTCTCAGCCTTCCAAGTAGCTGGGATTACAGGCACCCGTCATGACTAACTTTTATATTATTAGTAGAGACCGGGTTTCACCATGTTGGTCAGGCTGGTCTTGAACTCCTGACCTCAGGTGACCCGCCCACCTTGGCCTCCCAAAGTGCTGGGATTAGTGTGAGCCACTGTGCCCAGCCTCATTCACTCATTCTCTTATACCTCTACCTCCTCAAATCCCTTCCTGACTTTGTATTTCTCCATAGAATCCGCCACCCCTTATCTGCAGAGGAGTTCGCTTCATCATCTTGTTTTCCCTCTGCCTCCCCTCACCCTCCTTGGCTAGAATGGCGGCTCCAGGTGATTTTGTCATAATTTGATCGCTCATTTTCATGCTGAAAATGACGTGAGCCACAGAGACCTAGAAAAATGCACAGAATTGAACCAGCTATCCAACAAAGTTGAGCCCCAAGGCATTGACTCTTAAAACATAAGGAAGAGAGAGCATGAGACAGAGTGGCCTCTGTGACAGACAGTGGCTGCCTGTCTTTGCAAAATGCATTAATGGCCAACAGCAAATTAATTAAGTCATTTCAATCCCTTCGCTTATGTAGACAAAATCCAAAGATCCGTGTCATATAGGGTTAGTAAGTACATGCATGCACATCCTTGCATGCATACACATACGACAACTCATCCCCAAAGGGTTAAAAATGGACCCGACATGGGATCTCCTCCCCAATGGCATGCATAATCAGTGGTTCTAGTGTCCATCCAGAAGCTCTTCCTGAATACAGATATTTAAGATTTTTAAGCTCATCACAGCCCAGATCCTCCAAGACACATAGTCATATAGAGCCCAGGGGCCACAGGGCTGCCTGCCCCGCCTCTAACGTAGATTATCGTTTTCCAAAAGCTGTTCCCAAGACTCAGTGTCCCTGCCTCTTAAGCAGGAATGATTACATCTGAAATCAGGCTTTCTGGAAAATCAAGTCAGCATCCCTGCTTCTTAAACATGAACGATTACGTCTGAAATCAGGCTTTCTGAAAAATCAAGTGTCCTCCTCCCCCTTTAAGCTCATCACAGCCCAGATCCTCTGTGTTAAACAGATCTCAAATCTGTTTAGCTTGGGGACCAAACAGAGTGGGGCTGTTTTCCCTTAAACCCATCGGAAGGAGTTTATTCGTCAATTTTCACTCCACTATTTGACTCTCAGCTCAAGCACCTTGAGACGTGCTTGGCCGTCCACTCCTCTGTTCCTGTTTCCTTCCAGTTTGATGGAGAAGTCTTTCCTCCAACCTTAGAGGGACTCTTTCAAAGCCACAGGTTCCTTCTGGATCTCTCTGCAGAACACACTCCCTGGTTCCTTCAAGCCACATCTCAGAAGAGAAAGCGGACCCTTTCCTTGGTCAGGGAGGATGGTGGGGCTTCCAATTCTTTCCCAAAGGAAACCAGGGTAAAAGCAAAGAACCCCCAGCCCATGCTCAGAGATGGCCCCGGGCCCTCTGTGAGTGGATTCATATGGCTTGTTTCACAAGGCAGGGGGACCCTGTGGAGGGGGATATTCTTTCATCAAGGAGGTCCTGAGGCATGAAGCCCAGCCTTTGTAGATGCACCTAAGAAAATACATGGGCCTGGGCCCCCCTGGTCCTTGGAGCTGGATGAGTCTGCAGCGGCTGGTGACATTGGGGACCATCAGCTTGCAGAGAGCATGGTAACAGCCTTCCTTCCCTACTGCTGCCTGTCACAGCCTTGTTTAGCTTGGGGACCAAACAGAGGGGGACAGTTTTCCCTTAGATGACCACTGGGACTGCCCCTACCCGCCTTCCCACCACTTCAGAACAGTTGGAGGAGTGGGCTAGGGAAAGAGTAGGGGGCGTGCCAGCGAGAGAGCCCCTTACCATGGAGCAGACATAGGCTAATGGCCTCCTCCTCCCAGGAGTTAATTGTATTCTCTTGGGCTGGACTTCATGTTTCCTGGGAGCTGTGACCCTCCTTCCCTCCTGGCTCACGTCTCCAAGCCTTCTGCTAAGAAACCACCTTTCCAGGGTCTGCCCTGGCCCCACTCCCAGCCCCTTCCACTGCTTCCCCGCATCTGTTATCTGACAACTTATTATTCTCCCTGCACCAGGAAAGCAGGGACCTTTGTTTTTTGTTTTCTCTGTATTCTCAGGACCCAGCGGAGCCTGGCACACAGTAGGTATGCAAAGTATCCTTTGAAAGGATGAACAAATGAGCTAATGTCCTTTGTCGGTGTCCACAGATTCTAGCACCCGCCTAGTGGAGGACAATGAAGAGTTTACCCACAGGTCAATTTTTACCCGATTCAACCAACCCCTGCACGGACACTTGCCTCTTAACAGGAGGCTGTGGAATCTAAACAAACAGGTTCTCCCTAGGGGCAAGGATGGAGTTGTTGTCTTAACATTTTCCAGCTGGTGGAGCTGCTGGGGAAAGCTGCTGAGGCCACTGCCACCCACCACAAAAGCCCCATTGAGAGCCCCGCCTTCTCCAATACGAGGGCTCCTGTCCAGGGAGGAGGTGGGCTGGGTTTTTCTGGCAGGAGCGTGTCCCCTCCACAGGGGCAATCAGCCTATTTATTAAGGTCCTTCTACGTGTTAAGCTGTGAGCCCAGGGCACAGACCCGCAGGTGTGAGGCTGATAGTCTGCCAGGAAGTCAGAAATCTGACAGCCACAGAAAAATGCTGAAGGACCAGGGGAGGAAAGGTCATGGTCAATTCCGGAAGACTTTGCACAGGGAGTGGCTTCTCAGCTGAATCCTAAACGGTCACTGGTAACTAGGAAGATGAAAAGGAGGGGTCGACTGCCCAAGCCGGGGCAGGGGGTCGGGAGGTCTGGAGGGACGGGAAGGCTGGGAAGGGCCTTGGGGCTGCCTGTGCATCCACCGGGTGCCTGTGAGCATCTTCTCAAGGTTGCCGGGCACTGGGGAAGAAGCAGCCAGCAAAACACGCACAGGCCGGGTGCGGCGGCTCATGCCTGTAATCCCAACTCTTTGGGAGGCTGAGGCAGACGGATCACTTGAGGTCGGGAGTTCAAGACCAGCCTGGCCAACATGGTGAAACCCCATCTCTACTAAAAATACAAAAATTAGCCAGGCATGATGGCAGGCGCCTGTAATCCAAGCTATTCGGGAGACTGAGGCAGGACAATTGCTTAAACCTAGGGGGTGGAGGTTGCAGTGAGCGGAGATTGCGCCACTGCACTCCAGCCTGGGCACCAGAGGGAGACTCCGTCTCAAAAAAAAAAAAAAAAAAAAAACACCCACGATTCCTTGTCCCCTTGGAGCTGCTGTCCAGCGAGGGAGGGGCAGGCAGACCATCGACAAAACAGAAGCAAATGACACGGCAGGTGGGATGCTCAGAGGTGGTTAAGCCCCACGGGGTAGAGGGGTTTGGACATGGCTGGAAGGTGGGAACAGCAGTTTCTCATGGTGGCCAGTACAGACCTTGCTCTGTGGGGGGCCCTTCATGACTGCTTGATATAAGGAAACTTTGGGAAGACTTAGACAACCAGGCTCCATTTTTATACAAATAAAAGGATTTTTGGTCACATGAGTTAGGAAAACAGCAGTGCCGGTCATGATCCCTGGACACCCCGGACAGACTGGCCTCCCCGCTGGGGGGCTGCTTTTTCAAGTTTGTTTTGGGCCCCTTTGCATGGGCCTGGGAGTGGGGACAGGCACTTCCTTGGCTGGACTAGCAGCATCCATGGGCCTGGCTGGCAGCAACCAGGCCGGGGCAGAGTGTCCCTCCTGGGGCTGACTGGTCTATGACTGTGGTCAGGTTGTGCCAGGACAGCCTCCGGGGTGCTTTGCTCCACCGTGGAGTTACGGTGATGGAGCTGGCAGCATCCCTGCCGCTGAAGGGGGTCTAATCTCCACGGGAGACCAGACGTCTCTGCTGTGCCGTCATTCAGGGAGGCCAAAGTCAGGGCTGCCACCCACCCCGCCCCCGCCACCAAATCACCAAGGAGAGGAGGACTCCATGTGCCCTCAACACATTGCAGACATTTGGCAAATGTTTGTGGGGGTGATTGTCCCAGGAGACTGTTGGGCATGGCTGACTCATCTATCAGAATGGAACTTTCTAGAGACTGATGATGGGTGCCAGGCACAGGCCTCCTCCCCCTCTGTCCCTGCAACCCTGCAGGGTGTCTTTGGACAAGTCATGTGGGCTCTGGGACCCCTGTTTCCAACTCAGTCCCAATAAGAAGACAGGCTGTTGAGATGTTAAGAGTGGGCCCCAAACACCAAGCATGGGGTCCCTTGGGAATGCAAGCTCAGGGCCTGGGACCCTTAGTGCCCACGAGGGCAGCTCGGCATCTGACCCCCTGCTTGTAATCACTGTTTATTATCACAGCTGTCACAGACTTGGCCATCTGCTCCAGTGACCTCCAAACCTGTCACTCTTTCATTCACACAATGGACATTCATTCATTCATTCATTCAGCGACACTTCTATGTGCCAGACACAGAACCGGGGCTGGGTCACGGAATAAACAATGCAAACAAGTCCCTGCTCTACTCCCACAGAGCTTACCTTCCAGCGGGGAGGCAGAGCAAAACCAGGAGCCAGAAAGGCAAACCGATGCATACACAGGAATATCAGATGGTGATGACTGCTGTGGAGGACGGAAGCAGGAAGAGGGGACGGCGGGCTAGCGAGTGTGGGGGCAGGCGTGGGGAGACACGACGTGGGTGGCCGTGGAAGGCCCTTCCGGGGAAGTGACATCTGAGCAGAGATCTTCTCCCCAGGAGCCAGCCCTGACAAGACTGGGGAGGAACATTGCAGGCAGCGGCACAGCCAGGTGAAGGCCTTGAGGCTGGGAAGAGTTGTGTGTGCTGGGGACAAGAACTGAGGTCAGCCAGGCTGGGGCACCCTCCAGCTAGGGGGACGACGGGGGACAAGGGCAGAGAGGAGGTTGGGAGGGCCAGGCCAACTAGGGGGACGACGGGGGACAAGGGCAGAGAGGAAGTTGGGAGGGCCAGGCCAACTAGAGGGACGACGGGGGACAAGGGCAGAGAGGAAGTTGGGAAGGCCAGGCCTGCAGGGCCTTCAGGCCAGGAGGGCACTGGGATCCTCTGCTGGGAGGAGGGGCTGGAAAGGTGGCCCCCACAGGGGACCGATGCTGTCTGAACTGTGAGGTCACAATGATCCCGGGGCTGCTCCTGGATTCAGCGAGCTGGGGGTAGTGCCCAGGAAACACATTTTAGTCAAGGCCCCCAGGTATCTGGCACAACCCCGGCAATATGCAAAGCCTCCTCTAATGATGGTTGAATCCAGGAGACCCCAACCGCTGTGATGGAAACCTCGCCACCTCCAGAGGCAGCCGATGACTCCTGGGGCAGCCCCACCCGGCTCAAAGGCAACCTGCTCCACAGAGCCAGCCCCATCCCTAGGCTTGGAGCCAAACAGGATTGCTCCTTCATAAGAAAAAAAAATCAGAGCTACAGAGTCAGCCGTCTTAAAAAGCTCCCTGCATTCTTGCCTTGCCCAGCCAAGCAGCCTCAGGTCCCCCTGCTCCCTGTACCTGGCTGGGCTCAGAGCCACTCTCAACCACATATTTTTTAAGTCCTTTGTCCCAGACTATGAACGGCATGGAAACCAATTGAGGACTGGGGGTGGCAGCTTGTGTGTGTGACTGCTTGAGCTCTGGAGGGTCCTTCTACTGTCAGCGCCTCCCCATCCCCCACCCCCATTCTTCTGTGATGGCCCCGAGTGTCTGTAATGCATCCCTCAACTTTTCATCTGCCAGTGAGACTCACAGAGCAAATAGCCCAAGGAAAGACAAACTATGGATCAAACTCATACTAAAGTATAAATGACTTTCTTCTCCCAGATCATTTTGATAGTGAACAGGACAATCAGCATCAGGCCCACAGACGGCGAGGGATGGAAGGAGTGGAGGAAGAGAACTTCCCACGGCAAGGGGAAAGGGAAGAAGGAAGAGGCTTGGAGGAAGGGGGACAAGGAAAACTTTTATTTCCTTCTCATCTGGCCTGGACTGAGCCAGCTCTTCCTTACCTGCTGCCCCAAACAGGGAGGCCAGCATAGCCAGAGAGGGGGCCAGCGTGTGTCTGATCCCAGGGGCAATATTAAAGTTTGCCTCAGTCCAGGGCGCCCATCTGAAAAATCAGGGCAAAAACAGGACTAAGAACAAAGGAGAAAAAGGCTAAGAGCAAGGGACCACACAGGAACTGAGAAATGATTTCTCAGCTAAGCGTCTGGCCTTTGGAGATGCCTCCCTGCCCATCTGTGTGGCTGGGGTCAGAGAACCCCCACCAGGAGGGTGAGGGGGAGTGAAGAAGGGTGAAGAAGAGACCTGGGGCTCTTCCCGGAGAGTGTGCGTGAGAGCCAGGGGCTGGCTGAGAGGCCACTGGCTTCCAGATGTCCCAGCCTCCATCAGGCCAGACCTACTCCTGCAGGCCAGGGTTGCAACCCCATCAACATGATATAGGGAGCCCGAGGGAAGCAGGACAAACTCTGCCTGATGTTCCTTCCCTCCATCAGCCATCAATCCCCCAGTACAATGAGACGGTCCTCTCAGCTGTGCCCAGCCACAGAAACAGCCTCTGTGCCTTGGGAAAAAATGATGTTGGCGGGCTACACCCCATTCACACTCATGAATCCACTCCAGAAGTCTGAAGACTTTTTCCCCAGGTAAAAAAGAAAGAGGAATCAAAGAAAACAAAGGAAGGGCAGAAAATAAAAGAAAGAAAAGTGAGAACAAGGAAAAGAGAGAGCAAGATTCAGAGGCAGGGAAGACCTGAGTCTGGGAAGAGGGCAGGAATGTACCCTGTGGGGCTGAGGCGTGTCCCTTCATGTCACATCCTGGTGCTGGTGGTGACCTGATTTTGACTCATCCAAAAAATGATCAAAAGAGAGGGAAACAAAGACTAGGTATGACCAGTTCTTATTTCTCCAGAACAAACGGGGTTCTGAAGAACTGGGTTCGCGGGATTAGGAATCCCCATCTTCAGAGGATCACAGTGGTCCTCTTAGGGGCTTTTGGCATTTTTGCTACCATGTGTAATGAGGCACCAAGAACATCATAGGTGAGGTACATGGGAATGCTCGGCTTCCCAGCAAAGGGCAATGTCCTTGTGGTAAGACTTGGAGTCACATTAATTTAATCTTATCTTTAAGAAAGGCAAAAATTCCTCAGCTAAAATGCTCTTGCCGAAGGGTCACTGGTCTCCAGACCACTGTCAGGGGATTGGGATTGTTCTGATAAGATGACAGGTCTGGGCCCGAGGAGCTGAAATTCTCCCTGATCTTGCCTTTCTCTACCCTCATCCCATTCTTTCCTCCCCTCCCTGCTCTTTATTCAACAAACATCAATTGATGCAGTAAAAATCATTATCGGCTGGGCGCGGTGGCTCACGCCTATAATCCCAGCACTTTGGGAGGTGGATCACGAGGTCAGGAGTTTGAAACCAGCCTGGCCAATATGGTGAAACCCCATCTCTACTAAAAAATACAAAAATTAGCTGGGCGTGGTGGCATGTGCCTGTAGTCCCAGCTACTCAAGAGGCTGAGGGAGGAGAATCGCTTGAACCCGGGAGGCAGAGGTTGCAGTGAGCCGAGATTGCACCACTGTACTCCAGCCTGGGTGACAGAGTGAGACTCTGTCTCAAACAACAACAACAACAACAAACAACAACAACAACAAAAAAACAACATAATAGACACATTCTGGTCTATGGCAGTTTCGTGCCCCAGGGAAGTCCAACGTCTTGCCCAATATTTACAGAGTGCTCGTCTAGATAGTCACTGCTTCACCCAAGGAGCTTTCAAATATCCACATTCTAGTACTTCCCGCTCAGAGATTTTCAACAGTCCCTAGTGGGCCCAGAGGACAGGCAGGTTTGGGAACCTGCCCAGTCTCATGGAGGAGAGACATGCACACAGGTGACGGTGATGCCAGAACCCCCTTGCTGAGACAGGCACGGAGCACATGGTAGTCCAGGGGAGGGGGACACTGGGCAAGGCTCCAGAGGGAAAGCAGCTCCTGAACCCTCCCCCAGCTCACCCCAGCATGGTCCGTTCAAAACATGCGGCCCCCATGCACACAAGTTCTCAGTTGTTCTGCTTCATCTGTGTCTACTGGGGGGTGCAGGATCCTCACACAGCAAATGGTTCTTGTCCTGAATGTGTCCCTATATTTGGAGTCCATTGTATTTTCATCATTTAAAAAAATCACCTCGGCCGGGCGTGGTGGCTCACGCCTGTAATCCCAGCACTGCGGGAGGCCGAAGCGGATGGATCACCTGAGGTCAGGAGTTCGAGACCAGCCTGGCCAACATAGCGAAACCCCCATCTCTACTAAAAATACAAAATTAGCCAGGTGTGGTGGTACGCGTCTGTAATTCCAGCTACTTGGGAGGCTGAGGCAGGAGAATCGCTTGAACCTCAGAGGCAGAGGTTGCAGTGAGCCAAGATTGCACCATTGCACTCCAGCCTGGGCAAAAAGAGTGAAACTCCATCTCAAAAAAAAAAAAAAAAAAAAAAAAAAGAAAGAAGGAAAGAGAAAAAAATCACCTCTCTATTTCCAAAGTACCATTGGTTGCATACTCTATTGCTCATCCTCACACAAAGTCTATGAATTACATGGCCTTTGTATTATTAGACCCATTTTGCAGATGAGGAAACTGAGGCCCTGACACTTCCTGTGGTTTACTCAAGATCTTGCAGTTGGAAGCAACAGAGGTAGAGACCCTCCCCTAATTGGTTGACCCTAAGATCAGACTTTTCCTCTGTTGTCGGTCTGAAGCTCTAGCTGTCACAGTCACTCCTTTATGTGTACAACCATCTAAGGCATAAGGTGCTCCAGTAGGCAACTGTTAAGAAGCATCATGGGGAGCTCTGCTTCTGGCCACAAAAGAGTAGCTGCTGTGTCAAGAACATCTATAAAGGCTGGATTAAAAAACAAACAGAGAAACTCAGCTGCTATAGGTAGCTGCTAGAAGGAATTGGAAGAAAACCAAGGCAGACAGGACTTGAGGGCTAAGAGAAGGGAGCTTCAGAGAAATAAGCTCAACATTCTGGAGGAGAGAGAGAGAAAGGGAGGAGGGGAGAGAGAGAGAAAGAGAGAGGGGGAGGGGGAGGTGGGGAGAGAGAGAGAGAGAAGGAGAGAGAAAAGAGGAGGCAAAAATTGGAGTTCTGGCACCCACCAATCCCAACAACTCACCTGGAATGTTCTGCCCAAGGCTTCAGGGACAGCCCACACTAATTTGGCCAGGCCCTTTCTCATGATCTGCTTTCTTTTCGCCCATCTGCCTCCCACCTTATTCAATATTTTGATGATCTTCCTCTTTGCAGCCCCTCTTACCAATCTTCCCAGCAGGACACTATCCTGCTTCTTCAACATCTCTACTCAAAGGGGTACCGAGTATCCCCCTCCAAGGCACAGATTTCTTCCCCTAGCGTTACCTATCTCGGTATAATCCCCCATCAGCATACATGCACCCTTCCTGCACGTTCAGTTAATGTCCCAGACCCCAATCTCCACCACCAAACAACAACTTCTTTAGTTCTTAGGCGTTGTTGGATATTTCCGACTCTGTATCTGGATACCAGGCTTTGCTATCCTAACCAAACCACTTTACAAACTCACAAAGCGTAACTTAACTGATCTCATAGACCCTAAGTTTTTTCCCCATTCCTCCTTTTGCTCTCTCAGAAAGGCCCTGGAGACAACTCCCACACTAGCACTCCCTGACTCGTCCCATCCTTTTTCCTTACACACAGCTGAAATCCAAGGCTGTGCTGCTGGAGCCCTCACACAGGACCCAGGCCCATGACCTGTTGCCTTTCTATCAGAACAAGTTGACCTCACAGTTCTAGGCTGGCTCTTATGTCTGCGTGTGGTGGCAGCTGCCGCTTTAATACTTCTAGAGGCCTTCAAAATCACAGGCTATGCTCCACTTACCCTTTACAGTTCTCACAACCTTCAAGCATTAATATCCTCCTCACACCTTTCACATTTATTGTCTGCCTCTCGACTCCTCCAGCTCTATTCACTATTTGTTGAAACTCCAACAGTAGCTATTACCATGGGCCCAATTTCAGCCCAGTTTCTCACTTAGCACCCAACACAAGTCCTGAACCACACGACTGTGTTTCCCTAATACATATAGCATCTTCTCCCTTTCTTCAGGGTTCTGTTCTTCCAATTCCAAACCCAGACCACACTTGGTTTATCGATGGCAGTTCTTCTAAACCCAATCAATTTTCACCAGCTAAAGCTGGATATGCTGTCGTGTCCCACACCTCCATTATGGAAGCTGCTGCACTTCCTCCCTCCACCACTTCCCAACAAGCCGAACTGATTGCTTTAACTCGTGTGCTCTCTTTCACTGAAGGAATGCACATTAACATTTATACTGACTCCAAATATGCTTTCCACTTCCTCCATAACCATTTTGCCATCTGGGCCGAAAGAGGCTTCCTTACCACACAAGGCTCTTTCATTGTCAATGCCTCCCTAATAAAGGCTCTCCTTAAGACTGCTCTCCTGCCGCCAAGGCTGGAGTCATTCATTATAAAGGACACCAGAAACCTACTGATCTTATTGCAAAGGAAAATGTCTATGCCAAGAGGACAGCAAAAAAAAAAAAAAAAAAAAAAAAAGGCCAACGCCTCCACACCCGCTAATATCCCAGCCCCCACTCCAGAAGGCCAGTATTTTTCTTTCTCCTTTATCAGTCCCACCTACTCTTCTTCTGAAAACCTGCTCTACCAGTCTTTTCCAACTCAGGGCAAGTGGTCCTTCGATCATGGAAAATTCATTCTTCTTGCCTCACAAGCTCAGTCCATTCTTTCTTTCCTTCATGATCACTTCTACGTGGGATACAAGCCTCTGGCTTACCCACCTCCTCCTTCCCTTCATGGAAATCCATCCGTAAGACCATCACCTCTCAATGTTCTGCCTGCCATGCCACTAGCCCCCAAGGCTTTCTCAGGCCTCCTCCTTTTCCTACGCATCAGGCTTGTGGATTTACTCCAACACAAGATTGGCAGATTGACTTTACTCATATGCCCCGTGTCCGTAAATTTGAGTATCTCCTGATTTGGATCAACACCTTCATCGGATGGGTCAAGGCCTTTCCCACTAGCTCCAAAAAGGCTACTGCAGTCATCCCTTCCCTTCTAACAGATATAATTCCCCGACTTGGCCTCCCTACTTCTATTCAATCTGACAATGGTTCGGCTTTTTTTTTTTTTTTTTTTTTGACAGTGTCTCGCTCTGTCGCCCAGGCTAGAGTGCAGTGGTATGATCTCAGCTCACTACAAGCTCCACCTCCCAGGTTCATGCCATTCTCCTGCCTCAGCCTCCTGAGTAGCTGGGACTACAGGCGCCTGCCACCACACCTGGCTAGTTTTTTTTTTGAAACAGAGTCTGGCTCTGTCGCTCAGGTTGGAGTGCAGTGGCACAATCTCGGCTCACTGCAAGCTCTGCCTCCCTGGTTCACACCATTCTCCTGCCTCAGCCTTCTAAGTAGCTGGGACTGCAGGCGCCCGCCACCACGCCCAGCTAATTTTTTGTGTTTTTTTTTTTTTTAGTAGAGACGGGGTTTCACCGTGTTAGCCAGGATGGTCTTGATCTCCTGACCTCGTGATCTGCCCGCCTCAGCCTCCCAAAGTGCTGGGATTACAGGCGTGAGCCACCGCACTCGGCGGACAATAGTCCAGCTTTTATTAGTCAAATCACCCAAGCCGTCTCTCAGGCTCTCGGTATTCAGTGGAACCTTCATACCCCTTACCGTCTTCAATCTTCAGGAAAGGTAGAATGGACTAATGATCTTTTAAAGACACACCTCACCAAGCTCAGCCTCCAACTTAAAGAGGACTGGACAGTACTTTTACTTCTTGCCCTTCTCAGAATTAGCGCCTGTCCTTGAGATGCTACAGGGTACAGCCCTTTTGAACTTTTATATGGATGTGCTTTCTTGCTTGGCCCCAACCTTGTTCCAGACACCAGCCCTCTGGGCAACTATCTTCCAGTCCTCCAGCAGGCTAGACAGAAAATTCACCAGGCTGCTAATCTTCTCACAACCTTCCGTAGCTTCTCTAATAACTTCTCTGCTAGCATCGCAGACATATCACAAACTTTATTAATCCTTCAGGCCCAGGTTGACTCTTTAGCTGCGGTTGTCCTCCAAAACCGCCAAGGCCTTGACTTACTCACTGCTAAAAAAGGAGGACTCTGTATATTTTTAAATGAAGAGTGTTGTTTTTACCTAAATCAATCTGGCCTAGTATATGACAACATAAAAAAACTCAAGGATAGAGCCCAAAAACTTGCCATCCAAGTAAATAATTATGCTGAACCCCCTTGGGCACTCTCTAATTGGATGTCCTGGGTCCTCCCAATTCTTAGCCCTTTAATACCTGTTTTTCTCCTTCTCTTATTTGTACCTTGTGTCTTCTGTTTAGTTTCTCAATTCATACAAAACCACACCCAGGCCATCACCAATCATTCTATACAACAAATGCTCCTTCCAACAACCCCACAATATCACCCCTTACCCCAAAATCTTTCTTCAGTTTAATCTCTCCCACTCTAATTACCCATGCCACCACAATCCTGCTCAAAGCAGCCCTGAGAAACATCGCCCATTATCTCTCCATACCACAGCCAAAATTTTTTGCTGCCCCAACACTTCTCCACTATTTTGTTTTGTTTTTCCACTATTTTGTTTTGTTTTGTTTTGTTTTGTCAGGCCTCTGAGCCCAGGCTAAGCCATCATATCCCCTGTGACCTGCAGGTATACATCTAGATGGCCTGAAGCAACTGACGAACCACAAAAGAAGTGAAAATAGGCAGTTCCTGCCTTAACTGATGACTTTCCACCATTGTGATTTGTTCCTGCCCCGCCCCAACCAATCAATCGACCTTGTGACATTCCTCCCCTGGACAATGAGTCTCATGATCTCCCCTCTGAGCACCTTGTGACCCCTGCACCTGCCTGCAAGAGAAAACCCCCTTTAACTGTAATTTTCCACTGCCTACCCAAATCCTATAAAACTGCCCCACCCCATCTCCCTTTGCTGACTCCTTTTTCGGACTCAGTCTGCCTCGCCTGCACCCAGGTGATTAAAAAGCTTTATTGCTCACACATCACACACACACACACACACACACAAAATTGGAGTTCAGGGTACTCTAAGGAGGTGGAGTCCTAGTAAACTCTCCAGGCTTTCAATCAAGAACTCAGAAAAAGACCTGCTTTCCATAAGTCCTTAAGGCTAATCTCAAATCATCTCCAACCCTGAGAGAAACCAGCTGGTCTTTCTGCATTCTGCCTGCCAAAAAGACAAGAATCCTCTCGGAAGAAGAGAACATCATCTGGAGCCTCCGCATTGTCCACACGTGATATCCAAGATTCAATTAAAAATCACCACACATGCCAGGAAGCAGAGCTAAATGATTAAGAACCACAGAAACAAAACAAAGTAAAACAAGCAAACAAAAACCAAAGGGCAATAGAAACAGACCAACAGCAGATCCAGATATTGGGGTAATTAGACACATCTGTTAATATGATGAATACAGTAAATGGGAAGATGGACAATTTCACTTGAGAATGAGAATGTACAGATAGAATCCATGGGAATTCCAAAGCCAAAAATGAGAATTCAAAAGGTAGGTATAACTGCAGATTAGACAGAATATAAGAGATTAGTTAAACTGAAAGATGGTTAACAGAAAGCATTGAAATTGAAGCACAGGAAAAAAAAAAAAAAAAAGATGTAAAACACAGAAAAGACCATGAGAGACATCCAAGTCTTTTGAACATACCTAACCTATGTGCAGTTGGAACTCTGAAAAAAACAGAAGGGAGAAAATGGGGCAGAAGCAATATTTGAAGTGTCTGACCAAGAATTTTCCAAAACTGATGAGAGACACCAGGCCATGTTTAGTTAAGAATATGATATGCTCTATGAACCCAAAACAGGGTATATTTGCATAATGCCAGTTTTATTTTTTCCTTTTCAATCCATAGCTTTTTATTTATTTTTCTTGCGTTATTTTTTTTCCTAGGACATCTAGCACAATGTTGAAAAGTATGGCCCAGACCCTATCAGAATAATCCCAGCCCATCATAGCAAAATTGGTGAAAACAAAAAAAAGGGAAAAATGACAAAACAGCCAGAGGAAAAAGACATCTATTTTCAAAAGATTAATAATAAGGCAAATGGCTGACTTTTCAACAGAAGCAATAGAAACCAAAGACAATAGAGTGACATATTGAAATTGCTGAAAGAAAATTACTGCCAATCTAGGGTTCTGTATCTAGAGAAAATATCTTTCAAAAATGAAAACAAAATAAATATGTTTTTGGATGAACAGAAACTAAGAGAATTCATTTCCAGCAGACCTGCACTAAAAGAAATAGTAAAAGGAATTTTTAGACAGAGGGAAAATAATCCCATATGAAAGTATGATAAGGTAGAAGAGAATAAAGAACATTGGAAAGGAAAATATATATGTGAGTAAAGCTAAATGAATATTGATTGTTTAAAATAGCAATAACAATGTCTTGTGGGGATTAAATGTAAGTAATATTAATACATGACAAAAATAAACAAAAGGTGGGGTGGGAGGGAAGGTAAATGAAGTTAAAAGCATTTCTAAAAGTTAAGGTTTTCACATTGTCCAAAGGTGGTGTAAATATTGTTTTAAGAAAGACTCTAAAAAGCCAGGGATGCATGTGGCAATTCTAGTGCAACCAATTGAACAATAATAAAGAAATGTATAACTAACGAAATAATAGAAGAGATATGGCAATTAAAAAAAAGAATTGATTAACCGAAAAGTCGGAGGTGAAAAAGTCCAAAAAACAAATGGTACAGCTATAAAACTTATAGTAATATAGTGGTTGTAAACCCAGACATATATCAGTAATTATAATAAATATAAATGGTCTAAATATTCCAATTAAATGACAAAGTTATCAGACTGAATTTTTTAAAACTTCAACTATATACTATATACAGAAGACACACTTTAATAAAAAGAACCAGAATGATTAAAAGTCAAATGATGGAAAAATACTAATATTCCATGCAAACACTTGAAAGAAACTTGCTGCAGCTATAGAAATATCAAATAAATATATTTCAAAATAAGAAATTTTACTAGAGATAAAAAGGGATGCTTTATAGTGGTACATCTATTCAACAGAAAGATATAATAATTTTAAATTATGTATATATCAAAATACATAAACCCAAAACTGACAGAACTAAAATAAGGAATAAACCATTAATTGTGATTGTATATTTTAACTTAAAATTTAACACAACTCTTTCAGGAAATCATAGAATTTCATACACACACACAAAATCAACAAAAATTACTGAATATACATATTTTTTAAGTGCACAAAAAATCATTTACCACAATAGACCATGTTAAGCCATAAAGCCAGCCTCAACACAGTTCAAAGGACTGAAATCTTGTCCTCTGATAACAACAGAAACAAGTAAAGACCAATAACAAAAGGACAACTATAAAAAAACTCAGCGTTTGGAAATTAAGTGATACTCTTCTAACTTATCTATAAAACAAAATTAAATCACAGTGAAAATTTAGAAACAGTTTGAACTGGATTTCATGAAAATATGATATCCCATATCGTATTATGGTATCATCATATGTAGCTAAATCTGTGTTTGAAAATAATTGTACAGCCCTAAATGCATTTGAGCCTAAAAAGAAGGCTGAAAATTAATGATCTAAATTTATGACTCGGGAAGCTAAAAAAGGACTGTATATTAAATCCAAAGTAGAAGGACACAAATAATAAAGAACAGAAACCAACAATTTAGAAATCAAATTTATAATGGAGAAATCAACAAAACTAAAATTGCTTATTTAAAAGACTAATAAAATTGATAAAACTCAATCAAGACTCAGGCCTGCCCCTCACAAGAGTGGAGACCACATGCCACATGTCTAAATAGTTAAGTTATAAATCAAGCTAGCAAACAATTGAATGACATATTTGCTGTTTCTACTTTGACAAATATACCTTCCTACAACAGAGAAGGCTAGGTTCAAATTTAGGAGTCTCAGACTCCTTGGAGATGTGTGCCAGCAGCTGAGGTGGTGGGGAGCTGGTGCCTGCCACCCACTTTCACTACCCTGGCACCGTCCTGCACTGTGAGGAGCCTGTGCCTCCAAGGTCTGACCACAGCCCCACAACATCTGCCCCTTAGCTACCTTCTTGGCCTACACCATGTTCCCATGGCTTGCCTTTGAAAGGACAAACCCAGTGGGGATGACTTGCAGGCTCTGGGAGCAGGCTGGGGTCCATTAACATCTAGGCATGGTCTGAATATCTAGGCATGGTCTCGGAAGGGGTGTGTGGGCCCTGGGTGTGCAGTTTCCTTAGCTCCATGGACTTTACACCTGTGACGAGGGGTGAGGAGGAGGAGGACCAGAGCAGGGCAGGGGCCCCTCTTGCCTGGGTCTGAGGGCCATACTGGAGACAGAGTATGAAATAGAGAAGACAGACACAAATGATAGATAACAAGAAAGAGAAAGCAGACATTACGACAGTTTCTACAGACAGGAAAAAGATAATGTCAGTACATTATTAATAACTATTCAAATACATTGGAAAATCTAGAGAAAACGGACCATTTTCCAGAAAAGCACCACTTCCCAACACTTGCCTAAGAAGAGGTAAACAATCACAATGTCCTATATCTACAAATAAATTTGATTTCTAATTAAAATTGTTTTTGCAAAGAGAACTCTAGGCACATAGAGCTCCATTGGTAAAATTTTCTAGACATTTCAGGAAGAAATAACACCAATCTTCCAGAAACTCTTCCAGGAATAGGGAGAGAGACCATTTCCCAATGAATTTGAACCTGAAAAGGATATTACAAGATGAGACAATATTTCTTATAAATATACATATATCTTATAAATCCTAAACAAAAATACCAGCAAACCAATTCCATTAACAAGGTTAAAATATTATGACCAAACTGAACTTATTTCAGGGATGTAAGTTTGGTTTAATACTCAAAAATTAACAAAATAAAGGAGAAAAAAACCCAAATGATCATCTTGGTAGGTGCTACAAAAAGCATTTGGTAAAATTTAACACCTGTGTATAAGAACTCTTAGCAAATTAAAGAGAAATGACTAAACCTACAACAAATGGCATGTTAAATAGTAAGGTATTGAAAGCTGTACCCTGATGTTGGAATTGAAACACAGATGTCTGCCACGTCCACTCCTATTCAACATTGCACTGGATGTTCTAGGGATGTAATAAGGCAAGAAAAAGAAATAAAAAGTTATGGATTGGAAAGGAAAAAATAAAACTGACTTTATCCCCAAAAGCATGATTTTGAAAGGAGAAAATCCAGATGAACTATTGGAATTAAAAAGTAAATTTGGCAAACCAGATGAACTATTGGAATCAAAAAGTAAATTTGGCAAAGTCACTGAATACAAGATTAACACTCAAAAGTCAATTGTTCTTCTATATACTAAGAACAAACAAAATCCTAAAAACTCATGCCTTTTTAAACAACATTAAAAAAATTAAATGCATAAGAACAAACAAAAAAGATGCATGACTTCAATAAAGAAAAATCACCAAACATTACTAAGAGAGACAAAAGAAAACTGGAATGAATGGCAGGATGGTCCATGTTCATGGATTGGAAGACTCAATATAGTATAACCATTAATTCTCTCCAAACTGGGGCCGGGCGCAGTGGCTTAAGCCCAGGACTTTGGGAGGCCAAGATGGGTGGATCATCTGAGGTCAGAAGTTTGAGACCAGCCTGGCCAACATGGTGAAACCCTGTCTCTACTAAAAATACAAAAAAATTGGCTGGGTGTGGTGGCAGCTGCCTATAATCCCAGCTACTTGGGAAGCTGAGGCAGGAGAATAGCTTGAACCTGGGAGGCAGAGGTTGAAGTGAGCCAAGATCGCGCCATTGCACTCCAGCCTGGGCGAAAAGAAAAAAACCCTGTCTCAAAAAAAAAAAAAAAAAAAAAAAAAAAAAAAAAAAAAAGAAAAGAAAAAGAAATTCTCCCCAAATTGGTCTTGACCTATAGATTCAATATGATCCCAATTAAATGTCAGAAGGCATGTGTGTATGTGTGTGTGTCTGTGTAAGAGAGGTTGACAAGCTGATATGGAAATTTATGTGGAAATGCCAAAGGCCAACAAGACTCAAGACTCCCTCAAGGGAAAAGTCAGAGGACATATATTATCTGATATTCATATCGACCAACAATAGTTATAACAGTGTGGTATTCAAGGATACATGGATCAAAGCAGAGATTCTAGAAACTGACCTGCATATATTCCACAATTTGATTTACTGCAAAGGTGCTGCTGTAGTGCAGTGTGGGAAAGGACTGTGTTTTCAATAAATAGTGTGTAATCAGTAAGTGGTGTGAAATCAATAAGTGGTGTGGAATCAATAAATGGTGTGGAATCAATAAATGGTGTGGAGAGTCATAGGGAGAAAGCTGGACCTTGACCTTATGTCATACACAAAGCCAATTCCAGATGCAAAAAGGCCAACCATAAAGCTTCTAGAATATACCACAGGAGGCTACCTTCATGACCTTAGGATGCACAAACATCTCTTAAACAGAATACAGAAATCAGTAACCATAAAGGAAAAGACTGATAAATCTTCAATAAAATTAGAAACTCTGTTGATCAAAAGACAACATTAAGTAAGTGAAAAGGGAAGACAGAGTGGGAGAAGATATTTGAAATACATATAAATCTCAAAGGACTTGTCTCCAAAATATGTAAGCCACTCTTACAAAGGAATAGAAAAAGACAAATAACCCAATTTAAAAAAATTCTTGCATGAGCACTTCCTCAAAAGAGGCTCTTCACATGATCCATATGCCTATGATTTGGTGACCACCAGCATTAGTCCTCAAAAGACACAGCGTAAAACCACAATGAGATACCACAACACACACACCAGAATGGCTGAAAGCAAAACAAAACCAGACCCCAAAACAAAACCTGACAATGTCAAGTGGCAGGGAAGATGTGGCGTTTCTAGACATCTCACACACCTGCTGACATAAGTTTTCATTGGTACAACCACTTTGGAAAACTTGGCAGCAACTCCTGAAGGGAAACAAGCTTGTCTTACGACCCTGAAATTTCACTGTTACATAGGAGTCCAAACTGGAAACAACCCAAATGCTCATCAACAGGAAAACTGTGGTGTGTTTATACAACAGAATACTCTAGAACAACAAGAATAAAGGACTTCTACATGTAACTATGTTGAAGAATCTAACATATGAGGTTAGAGCAAAAGCTTGCTTCCACCTGAATTCAAAAACAGGCAAGTTGAATCCACAGTGATGGGTGCAGGGTAATGACTGGGGGTGGGTGGGCATCATAAAGGAGGCTTCAGGGGAGCTGGTAATGTTCTTTAGCTTGATCTGGGTGGTAATCATCAGATACATTCATGTTGTAAAAATTCATCAAACTGTAAAATTATGATCTGTACACTTTCATGAATGTCTACTGCAATAAAAACTGTTTGCTCTGAAATAAAAAAGTGCATATGGCAATGGTAGTTTCTTGAAGCACAAATAAGCCCAGGTAAATGCTGACACTGGTGGTCAGCCATGCATCACGTTGCTTTCCATCCTCAAGAGAATTTCCAAGCATGTCCTCTCCCTTAGTTTTCCTATAACCTTGTTAGTATCCCCATTTGACAGATGAGGAAATTGAGGTCAGAGATGTAAGTGAACTTGCCCTAGGTCACAAAGCTAGAGAATAGCAGAGTAGGATTTGAACCCAGGTCCTATCTTCAAATACCACGTCTTCTGCCTTTTAATTTAACTACTCCTGAGGGGAACTAGAACCATAAGCACTAAACATTTGTGAGGTGCCTTCAGGGAGCACTGTTCCTGATGTTATAGAAGTTAGGAGGAAAAGCTTGAGGGCAGCGCAGGAGAGAGGGTTGGGGCCCCCAACAGTGGTGCAGCAGTTACCTTGAGGATGGTGGAGGTGGGACCAAGCTCAACAAGGAAAGGAAAAGCACAGGGAGCGGGGAAGTTGGAAAAGCCTACAGGGAGGAGGAGCCATAGGGCTGGGCTTGGGAGCTGCCTGGGGAACGAGGAAGGGGGCTCCGGGTGAGAAGCAGCAGGAGCAATGGTGTGACCAGGTACTAAGTAAGTGGGCCGTGGCCTGCACCTGTACTGTGGGGCGGAGGACCTGGCCCTCCAATCCTGCAGCCTGTTCCCAGCACTTCTGTGTCAATAGTCACCGAAATTCAAACCTCACCTGTGACAGGTACTAAACAGCTCTGTTACCACAGCTGCCATGGATTTCAGGGTTTGGCTAGTTTTGTCATTATGTATCTTGCACCCCGAATAGGATACAGGGGTTTCCAGGTGAAGGGACCATGTCAGGAGGAAAAGCTCCAGGCAACATTCAAGAGATTTTCCCAGAATGCAGTCTGTCATCTCCAGGGATGGAAGAGTCATTCCTAAAACAGCCCAGGGTGCCATCTCTATTGCTTAAAACACAGACAGCAGCTGGGCGTGATGGCTCACGCCTGTAATCCCAGCTTTGGGAGGCCAAGGCGGGTGGATCACCTGAGGTCAGGAGTTCTAAACCAGCCTGACCAACATGGTGAAACCCTGTCTCTACTAAAAATACAAAAATTAGCCAGGCGTGGTGGTGGGCACCTGAAATCCTAGCTACTCAGGAGGCTGAGGCAGGAGAGTCGCTTGAACCAGGGAGGTGGAGGTTGCAGTGAGCTGAGATTGCGCCACTGTACTCCAGCCTGCGCAACAGAGTGAGACTCCACCTCAAAAAAACAAAAACAAAACAAACAAACAAACAAACAAACAAACAAAAAAACATAGACCGCATGTAGATTCATAGAAGATTAGGTAGACATATTGCTTACTTATTCGTTCATTCACTCACTTCCTGGAATAGTTATCCCCACCATTACCTTTTAGCATTTATCCTCCATCCCCATTGCCCATAACAGCTCCTGGAACACAGGAGGTGCTCAGAGCATGACCTGCTGAATAAATGAACCAACTGCCACTTATTCCATGCCAGCTATGTGGCAGGCATTGTACTTCATGCTGGTTGTTCTGGTCATCTTCAAGACAACTTTTGAGTCAGGGACAATCATATCCCCGTTTGACAGATGAGGAAACCAAGGCATAGAGAGGCAAAGTCACTTGTCCAAGGTCACCTGGCTGTGAACAGCAGAGTCAGGCTTTGAAACCTGATCTGTCAACTGCAAAGCCAGAGCGGCTGGCCATATGACTACAGGGGCTTCTGCTGTTTCCGGTGGGTGACTTGGGAGCATTGAGAAGCGCTGGTGGTGGGAGCTGAGCTTCCAGCTCCCACTTCATGTCGGGTCATGGTTTAGCCTGCTGAGGTGGGCTTTTGGCATCTTTATGCATCTTAGATTTCCACCTAGGAGATGTCACAGCCAGCTCCTCTCATAAGCCACCAGAAAGCAATCAGGGGCCAGCATCATTGGCAATTGCTGTGAAAAACAGTTGTGGTTCAGGAAGAAAACGCATCCTGCTTGTCCGGGAAGCGTATGCCCAGTTGTTCACAGGACACACACACAGATCCAAAGACACCAGGCGTGGCCCTCGACATTCAAGAAGAACCTGTTTCCACTGGCAAACACACTGTCCAGGATCCTGTCTGTCCACTTTCTGCTGAGGCAAGTAGGCCCCCCCAAGGGATATAATTTCTTGAGGAGCAGAAACCAATCACCAATGTGGAGAGGTCTCCGGCACGCACAAAACAGCACCTAGTGGCCGGAAAAGGTAACTGTGCATCAGTAACCAGGGCTGGGGGGTGGTCAGCGGTGGGGGGTGGAGAAGAGTGGGGAGAGGGGGAGAAGGGGAGGAGGGCGGGAAGTGTGGGAAGACAGAGAGAGAGAAACTGAGACAGAGAGACAGACAGAGTAGAAAAGAGAGAGGGAGGTGGGGGAGAGAGAGGAAGAGAGAGAGACAGAGACATCCCAGGACAAAATTTATTTCAAGGTTTGGATTTTCTGAACTTCAATCTTATGTCTAATCGATAAACCACACCACCCCCCCATTGCCTAATCTCAAAAACTTGATTAAGCGCAAGCAGAGATGACTTCCATAACCATTTTTGAAACAAGTTGGGGGAAAAAAAGAATAGAAACTGATCTGTTAAAAAAAAAATCTATGTGAACCTTAAACTTTATTCAACCTTAAAAGAAGCTAAAACATCTGATAAATATCTGATAGAGTTTATAGAAACTAGATAGATTATTAAATAGGAAAATGTTTACTATGTTTCAAAAATTCAAATCCACCAGTTCAACCATTGGGTAAATGTTTATCTAAAAGTTCAGGGGCAAAGTTAAACAGTTGAAATAAAATGGAATTAAGCCTTAATATTTTGTTTTACTTTGAGTGCAAATGGAAGACAAAAATAATATCTCATAAAACGGAAAGTTTCTATTTTCACCAAAATATTTGGAAAAGCCATTTTATTTTAAATTTGGACACCTAGATTCAATATAACTTTTGCAAGGAAGGTTTCAGCAGAATCCAGGAAGCTGGAGCATTTGGAAGCGGGCTTTGATTATGATTTAAAACATTCTCATTCCACAACGATACAATTTATTTCAAAAAGTGTCCTACCAGCCAGAAACTGCCTGTAACTGCAGTACTTGTAAAACCCTAATGTCTCCAAAGAAAATACCATTCTTCCTTTTTGTCATTTGCCCTGTCTCAGGTAAAAAAGGCAGGACCTATGGGGACTGTTCTAATTGATGCTGATGCCTCCATTTTTGAGATATTTCTGGGTCTTTAAAAAATGATTTTATTATGCAATCATCAAAATTATTTTAGAGTGTCATGAGAAGGCTGAATGGCAAAAAGAATCATTATGATTCAAACCATTGTACAGAAAATGTTGTCTCTGTTTTCAGTTAAGAAGAAACTCTTTAGAGATCCAAAATATAATCAGAAGTTATTCTTGATCAAGAGTCTTTCTTTGGTCTTTTGTTCTCTATCCCCATTGAAGGGAAAGAGTTCTTTAGCCAATTTTTCTATCTTCTTCATAGTTTATGAGAGCTTTGGCCTCTCATGTTAGCTCTCTCTCTCATCATTCAAAGATTGTTATATCTCCAATGTGTTTCAATCTATTGTAGCCATAATTCTTATTTCTCCATATAATTAAAATTATTTTTGTAGAATACTTTTGGGTTTATAGAAAAATAAGATGATAGTAGAGAGCTTCTTCATACCCAACACCCAATTTTCTTTATTGTCAACATCTTACATTAGGATGATGTATTTGTTACAATTAATGAACCAATCCTGATATATTATTATTAAAGCCTTATACTCAATCACAATATATTATTATTAAAGTCTCATACTTCATTCAGATTTTCTTAGTTTTTACTTAATGTCCTTTTTCTTTCTTTCTTTTTCTTTTTTTTTTTTTTTTTGAGACAGAGTCTCGCTCTTGTCACCCAGGCTGGAATACAATGGCGTGATCTTGGCTCACTGCAACCTCCATCTTCTGGGCTCAAGTGATTCTCCTGCCTCAGCCTCCCGAGTAGCTGGAATTACAGGTGCCTGAACCAGGCCTGGCTAATTCTTATTTTTTGTATTTTTAGTAGAGACAGGGTTTCACCGTGTTGGCCAGGCTGGTCTTGAACTCCTGACCTCAGGTGATCCTCCCATCTCAGCCTCCCAAAGTGCTGGGATTATGGGTGTGAACCACCACACCCAGCTTAATGTCCTTTTTCTTTCCAGGATCCCATTTTACATCATTATTCTTTTTGATGCCCAAATTGCATCATTTTTGGCCAAGAAGAGCCCCTCCAAGAGCCCCTGTGTCTTTCTGACCTGACTCATTCAGCTTTGAGGAGTTCTTTGCCACCTGGAAGAGCAAAATCCTCCAGGATCATTAAGTCCTTTCTCGCCCTGGGACCTGGAATTGGCCACTTCTCTCAGTGGCCGGGTAGTCTCATGAATCTCAAATGGCCATATTCCTAGAAAAGCTTGAAATAACAAGCTACATTTTATTTATTTCTTCCAAACACTTTACTGCTTTTGAGATACTCTTAGCCTCTTCTTTTGCCCTGGTAGGTTTTGCTAAGCTGTCTCCCAAGTCCACTGTCACTGGAATACGGGGGTCTCAGAGCTGCAGGTATGTTAACAGCCTCCCACCCCCAGGCGTGAAGTCTTAGATTGACAGCAGTCAATGACCAGCTATGGTGTGTGCCATCTTGCCCTGGCATGCAAATGCTTGAATAAATAAAAAGAGTCCAAGAGTCCTGCAAATCATTTTACAGGGAACCATACAAGCTTTTATTAAAAAGATCAGAAAATTGGCACAATGACATAGACTAACACTGGGCATTTTTGCTGAACCCAATGAGCTCAACCTTTGTTTCATAATTATTCCTGCACCTCTGTCATGCATCGAGTCCTTTTTGCTCATCCCTCTGCAGCCCATGTTAACTTGAATCATGGCCAGACTCAAGGACAGAGTCCCAGTGATCTGGGGACTGAGCTCCACCATCCTCTCCCTCACTTGGTTTTTGAACAGTCGTCTAAGTTGACATGAGTTAGATGTCCAGAGCAAGAAAAGACTGGATGGAGGGGTGAGGCACATTCCTTGTTCTCTAAAGTCCAGTTCCCAAATGAACAAAACCCTCACCATCTTACATTCATATCTTTCTCAATTTTTCTAACATGAGTCCATTCCATCTCACACAACACAGGAGTCCTCCTTTTGGTCTGAAGCCAGTATGGTTCTGGCTCTGCTGAGGAGAGCTCATCTTGAAACATCTTTTCACGTGGATATTGTGGGAAGAGAGCCTTGGAAAGTGAAGATCTTCCCTTAAACACCCTTCCCATATGATACGGAAAAAAAAAAATCAGTTGTATGAGTCATGTCCAGCCTCACATCCAGACAAGCTAGACCCTCCATCGATGAACAGATCAAGCATTTGCCCTGGTGGCCTGGCCTGGAATATTTTCTGATTTTGTTGCTGTTGTTCTTTAATGTCACCAATCATAGAATTTTAGGGCCGAGTGGAAGATTATTGATGATATTTTTTCTCTCAAGAAAACGTATTCTTCAGATTTGTTTTCTTTCTATATAAGCAGAGCTTCTTAACATCCTGGCAGTTCCAGAGATTTTACTTCTAGGGCATCATGGCAGTTTCAGAAATTTTGCTTCTAGAGTACTTGTGAGTTGGACTTCTACCAATGAAAAAGGAAATATTGGATTTTTAAAAATGTGTATGTCACGTATGTTTTTGGTAACTCTTTATATTGATATAATCCCAAACATATAGAAAAATTGCCAAGATCGCACAAGGAATGCCTGTTTAGCCTTTACCTGGATTCACTAGCTGTTGATGCTTTGCCACATTTTCTTTATCAGTTTGTTCTACCTTATATTTCTTACTTGCCTTCTATCTTATGTTTCTGTCTTCTCATATCCCCATTTCTAGTTCTATCTTTATATTTGTATATATCTATGCATTTTCCCCTAAAACATGGGAGTGTAATTTAAAAACTACATACTTTACTGAATATTTCTTTATGTTTGAAGACATTGCAATACTGTAATCTAATCTATAGTCTTTATTCAAATCTCATGCACTGTTCCAATAATGTCTTTAACAGCTTGTTTTTCCAGGTCCAGGATTCAATCTAAGATCAAGTATTACAGGGAGTTGTCATGTCTTCTTAGTCTCTGTTAATCCGGAACAGTTTCAGCCTTTATCATCGTAACAGCCTTTGTGATCATAACAGTTTTAAAGAATATATGCCAGCCACTATTTTGACCTTTGTAATTAATAAGAAATTGATGAGGAGATACTTCATGACTATGTAAATATCCTGTTCCTCATCAAACATTTACTATCAGTACTAGCTTTAGAATCTATTGATTGTTTCCTTCTATATTTATAAGTTGGCATTCTATTGTAAATAATAACTTTCCTTCTTCATTATTTATTTCCATTTGGACTAATAGATTCCTATTTTACTCAGTGGGTTACAATCAAGTACTATCATTATTTATTTTGATGAATAATTTGTTCTATACCTGGCCCATGGTAGCACCTTCCAGCTGACTTCTTTGTCCCTTTGAGGGAAATAGCATACAATTGGGTTTTGCTTTTTGATTCAAACTATAATCTCTGCCTTTTAATTGGAGTGTGTAGACCATTTACATTTAACGTATTAATAAACGTGCATATAAATCTACCATTTTGATATATAATATATATACAGCACATGTGTGCTTTTTTTGTATTAAATGGATATTGTTTGTTATTCCATTTTATCTTTACTGTTGGATTCTTAGCACTTTTTGCTTTATTTTACTTTTATTTAGTGGTCGCTTTTGAGTTTACAACATAGTTGTAAACTTATAATGGTATATTTTCAAATATTATACCCCTTCACATATAGTTTAAAAACCTTTCAACAATATACTTCCATTTCTCTCCTTCCTTTGTGCTACTGTCCTATTACATTTTATTTCTATGTATGTCATAGTGCTATAATACAGTTATTATTTTTGGTATAAACAGCTAATTAACTTTTAAGGAGATTAAAATTGAGAAAACGTTTTATATTAACATGCACATTTATTATTATATACTAATTCTGGTACAATCCATCCTTTTGTGTATATCCCAATTTCATCTGTTATCATTTTCCTTTTGCCTGAATAACTTCCTTTATCATTTGTTGTGGTATAGGTCTGCTAGCAATGAATTTTCTCAGATTTTGTTCTTCTGTAAAAGTCTTTATTTCACCTTTATTTTTGAAATATATTTTTGCTGAGTATAGAATTCTAGGTTGGCGTTCTGTTTCTTTCATGCTTTAAAGATATTGTTCCATTGTCTTCTGACTAGCATATACTTTGATGAGAAGCATGCCAAACTCTTCTTCCCCTACATAATATGTCCTTTTTCTCTGACTGCTCTTAATATTTTTTTATTACTTGTTTTCAGCAGTTTGATTATAATGTGCCTTGGTGTGTTTTCTTCATGTTTCTTCTGATTGAAATGTATTAAGCTTTTTAGATTTGTGGGCTTATACTTCTCATTAACAAAGGAAAGTTTTTTATCACTTTTTCTTCAAATACTTTTTTCTGCACCCCACTTCCATTTCTTGGACTTTTAGCACAGGTATGTTGGACTACTTGGTATTGTTCCACAAATCTATGGTGTTCTGTGTATTTTTCCCAGTGTTTTTTCTCTCTGTGTTTTATTTTGAAGGGTTTCTATTGCTATGTCTTCAATTTTGTTGATCCTTTCTTCTGCCGTACCCTATCTGTTGTTACTCCCATTCTGTGTAGTTTTCAACCATAGGAGTTCCATTTGGATTTTTTCAAAAATAGCTTTCATTCTTTTCCTTATCAGTTCATGATTCCCTCTACTTTTTTGAACAGATGCAGCACACTTTTAATCATTTTAATATTCTTTTCTTCCAGTGTTATCATTTGTCTCATTTCTGGGTCTGTTTCTATTGATTATTTTTTCTTTTAGTTATGTGTCATATTCTCTCACTTCTTTGCTTGCCTGCTAATTTTTTATTAAATGCCAGACATTAAAATTTTATGTTGTTGAGTGCTAGATTTTGTTGCTTGTTCTTTAATTCGTGTTAGAATCTGTATGAGCATGCAGTTAAGTTGCTTAGAATCCATCGAATCCATTCAGGGTTTGCTCCTACACTTTGATAGGGCAGATACAGAGAAGCCTTGAATCCCGATGATACTCTTCTGGGAATCCTGCTCAGTGATGCCCTGTGGATCTTTTCACCTCAGCTGGTGAGACCATGAGCTATTCCCAGCCCTCTGTAAGCCCTCAGAAGTGCTGAATCTACTATCTTCTGGTGGTTCTTTCCCTAGCCCTGGGTAGTTTCCTCTCATGCTTATGTAGATTAGTACTCAGCCAAAGACTTAAGGGCACCTCTCTGCAGATTTCTCTCTCTCTCTCTCTCTCTCAATCTCTCAATCTCTCTCTCTCTCTCTCTCTCTCTGTGTATATGTATGTGTGTGTGTGCGTGCATACGCACGCATGCATGAATGCAACATCCCCCTCTTGGGTATTCTGATTCACACACTTTAACTTTTTGGGCTCCTTGAACTCTAATCTTTTTGTCTTCAATACAGTGAGACTGCTTGGCTGCCTGAGTTCCTCTCCCTGTGCTGCAGCCTGAAAACTACCTCTAGGAAGGAAGATTGGACAATTTTCATGCCTTCAACTTGTTTGCTTCACTTTTCTCAGGAATCAGCCCTGAGCTGCCTCAGGGCTGCTGTCCCACATTTCAAAGCCACTGCTTCCTATATTTTGTCTGTTTGTTGCTTAAGGCTGGGGAAGGGACAGATTAAGTCTGACCCCTGTTACTACATTATGGTCAGAATTGCGAGCCTCTCATGCATCCTTCTGCTGTGTTCTTACGACCATCGAGCTCACCCCTGCTTTCTCATGCACACTGATGCTCAAGCCTCTCCTGTGCTTTTCCTACCTCAGCCCAGGTATCAGTCATTTCTCTGAGGTGCCCTAGTTCCTTTTTATGGAGAATGATAGTTAGAAGCCACAATCCAAGTAAATAGGCATGCTTATTGCTGATGGTATGTTGGTAAATTTTTAAAAATAGAAATTAAAGACATATGCGTTTAACCCACAGCAGGAAAATAACCAGGAACTTGAGGAGAGTTCCCCTGTTCTTTCCTCTTGAAAGAAAACATTGCAGGTTACAGAAAATTTCCTCCAACATCCTCTACTAATAGGGAAGGAAGTACAGCAGGATTACTGTTTTTTCAACATATTTTCACCGAGAACCTCCTTCCCACCAGGGTTTGTTCTAGATGCTGGGGATTACAGCAGCTATCAAAACAGACAAAAATGTCTGCCCCTGTGGTGCTTACACGAATACCTACTGCTATTATGTTGCTGCTGTTGTTGTTATTTGAGCTCACATCTTTTCATGAAAGTCAGTTTAGTTCTTTCTACATAGTTCTGCCAACTGGATGAAATGTGGCAATTTAAACCATCACTTAAATGTGTGTGTGAGTCTAGAGGTCAGTTTTCCCCCAGCCTAAATAGTTGTGCGTGTGTAAATTTAAATCTCCAATCTCAATATTCCATGTATAAATGTCCCCATGCAAAAAATCAATGACACAAACCCAGATGTGAAATATCGAATAAAAAGAGTAAATATTGGTATGAGGGGTAAACCCTTGCTTTGTGATCCAGGGGTCAAGGTTCACAGAAAACATTAATTTACTTGCCCTCTCCTGTTTGCAACTGCCAAATAGCACTCACAAGACCCATTTATTTTTTTGCAGATAAATTGAAATGTGATGTGGTTGCCAATGTTGCTTGTGATTTAGGGGAGCTGAGGTCGGCATCCCCTGCCCCTACTGTCACACATGGGGTGGGGTGGGTGTGCCCCAAAGCATCACAGCCTCATGGAGTCTCAGGGCTGGAGGGCAATGGAGAGTCCCCCTTCTTTAAACCTTAATCAGTGCCTGAACCCTGTCCATCAGGTCCCCACCAAGCTCCCAGAACCTCTCCACTGACAGGGCCCTCGAGCTATGATGCTTAGAAAGTTCTTTGTTCAACTTGACATTTGCTGATGGCTTCTTTAAGACTTACACCTTTTCTTCTAAGTTCTGTTTTCTGACAGCACATGGAATCTGTGCAGCTGTTCATTCATAGCCCTGGCCTTCAGATGGCTTCATAGTCTCCTTTCCAAGGCAGCTCCATCTGCTCTGATTGACCTGTCTTCACAGATCGTGCTGCAGCAGTCAGTGTCCTTCGACCGGGCTCTGAACTGCCTCATCCAATAGTCACATTTTATTTTATTCTATTTGAGACAGAGTCTCGCTCTGTCACCCAGGGTGGAGTGCAGTGGCACAATCTTGGCTCACAGCAAACTCCGCCTCCCAGGCTCAAGCGATTGTCATGTCTCGGCCTCCCAAGTGCTGGGATTGCAGGTGCGTGCCACCATGCCCGACTAATTTTTATGTGTTCAGTAGTGACGGGTTTCACTATGTTGGCCAGGCCACTCTCGAACTCCTTTATCTTTTGTAACTTTTTTGCAATATCTGGCCAATAATTTGTAACAAAATGTAATTTTAACATACCTTGCCCTAGAGGACTATTAGGATCTAAGTCAGCATACCTTCTCGTCTGTTCTCTCAACCTGTCTAAAAAGTGCATGGGCCCTTTGTCTTTCTCTTGCTGCACATCAAAACCTTAGTAAGACACAAAACCTTAGTAAGGTTTTGTGGTCTGGGTGCAGACTCTTTAATCCTTATGATTAGCTCACACAAATCTTCCATATTTTCCCAATGAGCTGCATTATTATTATCCCATTGTGGGTCTTGAGCAGGGAATTTGGTATCCGCTGCCAGATTATCTTGGCTGGCAGGGTGATCACGTTCTTAGGCTGCCATAGCAGCTCTGTGAATCATGTTTCACTCTTCCTTTGAGAAGAGAATACCCAGGATCGACATTAATTTGGTCCAGGAATATAGTTGGGGACCTAAAAACTGATCGATTTGCTCTGCTACTCCTTCTGGGTCATCTAGCAGAGGCTTGAGTTCTTTCTTTAGACCCTGAATTTCAGGAGCAGTTAAGGGGGGATTTATGAATCCAGTTGCACCCCCACCTTGTGGCACTTCCTTTAGAGGAAAGAGCTGAAAAGCTGGCTCTTTGGAAGTGGGAGGAAAGGGAAGATTCTGAATATCCTTTCTGCATTGTTCTATTGCTCTTTGGAGTCCTCATTTTGAAGAGAAATGACAGCGATCATGCTCTTCAGGGACTTCTGGACGCCCTCTTCCAGAATCAGAATAGTCACTTGAGGTGGAGGGGGAGGTGGGACTACTACCTGCGGAAGGGGAGGTAGGACTACCACCTGCAGAAGGGGAGGTAGGACTACCACCTGCGGAAGGGGAGGTAGGACTACCACCTGCGGAAGGGGAGGTGGGACTAGAAAAGGGGGAAGATGGTTTAAAGGGTCCTACTGGATACTTTCTGACTTTTTGCCTGCATCTATTTCTTGTTTTAAGTCCTTCAAGGGATAAAGAGAAACCTGCCCTTGCTGCCAGCATAGGGCATAATTGAGGATGCAGGAGTTTTGCTATTAACATACATTATTAAAAGTTGGCATACCTGGTCTTCATCTGAGCCATATTTCGGCCAGAAGATGGCAGGTTTCAAAATAAGCTCTTGGGTCCAAAGAAAGCAACAGTACTTAATCATTAGTTGCTTTTTCTTATGTTTGGTCCTTTTGTTCTCTTTCCAGTGTTTAAGCATGAGTCCTAAAGGACTATCAGGAAGGATTCGATCACTCTGATCTCCTTTGTTACCTGCCTTACTTCCTATTCCAGACTTACTAGAAGTATTCCCCATGTTGGATGAAAACCTTTCCCAGCAGACTCAATCCCCCAGATCCTCCAGACCAGGGATGTCTTGCCTGTCCTATCCTTAATGGCTTTTTTAAGGCTAAATTTCTTACCCCAGAAATATCTTGCCTGTATCCTTTTTCCCTGAGAGATAACCTTTCTCTCTTCCATTTTTTCTCCTGTATTGCTTTTTCCCTGGGAGATAACCCTTCCCCCTTCTATTTTCTCTCCCGAAGGTTATACACACTCCTCTCACACTCACTCTGTCTTAACTGAAACCATTCACTCATACACACATTCCCTTCGAGAACTGACCATCAAGGAAGTACTTTACTGCTCCTCTGAGGTTTTTCCTACCTTGGCTCATGCACGAGGTCTTCTGGTCCTGCGGTTTTGAAAGTCTCTCCTTCTCCCCTGCATTGCTGAGAATCCAAATGTGTTTCTTGCACCAGGTAAGTCCTGGCTCTCTCCCTGGGGGCCACTGCAATAGGGTGGCAGGGCACCTCCCCACAAGAGAGGACCAAGGACTGTCCCAGAGGGGAAACAGAGTCCCTGTATGGCCCACCAAATTGTTGGAAATGGGTGCTCGGTGTCGCAAAATCAACACTGAGACAAAGGATCTCTCAGCAAGGCTAGTTTACTTTCTGCAGAAAGGGTGCTGCTCACTAGCAGTCTTGCCGTGAGAGCACACCCGAACAAAGGAGATGGGGATGTTTATAATCTTTGTAACCTGATGCAATTGTCCTATGGCTGTGTCACATTTCCATTGGTCGGAATGGGACCTCACATTCTAAGCTTGACCCGATTGGCTAACAGCTTGAAACTTTTCTAAATAGGCAAAGGGGAAAGAGAACAAAGAAAAGAGGAAGCTAGTCATGAGAGGGTCAGGAGGGTTTCCAAATAAGGAATGGCATGCACTATGGTCTGGGTCTTGCTTAACCTTGTCCAAGAATGCCAGGTCAAGTCAGAGCAGCTGCATTGGAACATATATAGATATGCATAGAGCAAAGAAATGACAAGCTCTTTATGGTTTTAAGAAACTTTGAAGAAGAACTTCTCCATTCCTCACACAAACCTCCTGCCTCAGCCTCCCAAAGTGCTGGAATTACAGGCATGAGCCACTGCGACTGGCCACGACAGTCACGTTTTAATCCTCATGCTCACTCACCTTTTCTTTGCAGCAGGAGTAGCAGTTCACTGCTTTCTCCTTGGGTTGTAATTCAAGACCCTGCCATGGAATAAGATGAGTGACCATAGACAAGTTTCTTACCTGCCTCAGTTTCCCCAGCTGCAAATGGCAGTAATTGTGCTCATCCCAGGGGTTGATGTGAGAGTCAAATGACTATGTGGTAAACTACTTGCCCAGAGCCCAGCGCCTAGTGAGTACTCAACAAGCAGAAAAAACCGGGTTTCCTGGCAGCTGTTCCATGAGGTGCTTCGGGTATAGAGTTTCAAGTCTTCAAGCAACCTTTTCAGAAGTCAAAGCTGAGGCTCAGGGAGCGCCTCTCCCAGGGACCCCTCAGCTGTCATGCAGTAGAGGCAGGTTTGCATCCATGCTGGCTTGCCCTTGAAGGTTGTGTTTTCCCACTAGGCCACCTGGGTCCTTCCTTGGCGTCTGTGACCCACCTTCATGCTTGGGCCTCCCTCTGCCCCGCGATGGTCTCCTGCCTTTCCTTTCTCTGCTTGCTTTCTGCGTGTGGTGTCCTCAGAAGGTGAGCTTGGTCCTCCATAGCCCCATTTGTAATCATATCTTGCTCATTTGTTCCAACCACCCCTATACATTAACTATTCCCAAATCCCAATTCTTCTCTTTCTCCACAGTTCCCAACAGCTCCTGAGACCAATTCCAAACCCCCACCTGCCCTGCTCCACTGAGTATTGCCCAGGTCCCTGTCACACCTGTCCTTCCCTGCCTGCAAATCTCAATCAGGAGGAGCAAAACAGGCTGGGCCGCCTAAGCTGGATTTCTCAGGGTGGAGTTCCGAGAGGCACTTCCACCTGGGTGTACCTCTTGAAGGCAGGGACTTCTGTGTTAGGGAAGATGGATGGCACTAAAGGCCGACAGATGAGAGAGGAAGGAACCCTACAAGTCATTCATTTGTTCGTTGCACACATGTTTATTGAGTGACAGTCAGGCACAGCTGCTGCCTGAGATGTTGAGCACACAGACATGCCTGAGACATGGCCCCAGCCTCGGGAGAGAAAGGCAGGCATGTAAAAAACCACATACAGGCTAGGCACGGTGGCTCACGCCTGTAATCCCAACACTTTGGGAGGCTGAGGCGGGCAGATCACGAGGTCAGGAGATTGAGACCATCCTGGCTAACACGGTGAAACCCCATCTCTACTAAAAATACAAAAAATTAGCCGGGTGTGGTGGCGGGTGCCTATAGTCCCAGCTACTTGGGAGGCTGAGGCAGGAGAATGGCATGAACCCGGGAGGTGGAGCTTGCAGTGAGCCGAGATCGTGCTACTGCACTCCAGCCTGGGCGACAAAGCGAGACTCTGTCTTAAAAAAACAAAACAAAACAAAACAAAAACACAAACAAACCACACACAGTCAGACATCAGGGCCAGCATAGAAGAGAGAGGGTCCTCAGCCCTTTTTGTCTTTATTGTCAAGGAGGAAGAGTCACCGAGCAGGCCTTCCTTACCAGTGGGCTGAGCAGTACCCCAGAAAACTGAGCCTATGCCCTAACCTCAGAACCTGTGACCGTGAACTTATTTGAAATGAGGGTTTTATAGAGTAATTAGGAATTTCAAGATGAGATCACCCTGGATTATCCAAGTGACCCCCAAATCCAGGGACAACTGTAAAGGACACACAGAGGAGAGACACAGGTAGAAGAGGAAAAGGCCAGGTAAAGACAGCGGCAGAGATTGGGGTGATGTGCCTTAGCCAAGGGACACCTGGAGTCACCAGGGACTGTACGGGGCAAGGAAGGATTCTACTCCAGATCCTTCCAAGGGAGTGTGGCCTGATTGGCACCTTGATTTTGGACTTCTGGCCTCCTAATGGTGAGGGAATAAATTTCTGTTGCTGAAGGCCCCCAGTTGATGGTGGTTTGTTACAACAGTCTCAGGAGACTCCTACAGCTGGGTATATACCCAAAGGATGATAAATAATTCTGCTATAAAGACACGTGCACATGTATGTTTATTGCAGCACTACTTACAATAGCAAAGACTTGGAATCAACCTAAATGCCTATCAATGATAGATTGGATAAAGAAAATGTGGCACATATACACCATGGAATACTATGCAGCCATAAAAAAGAATGAGTCCATATGCTTTGCAGGGACATGGATGAAGCTGGAAACCATTATTCTCAGCAAACTAACACAGGAACAGAAAACCAAACACCGCATGTTCTTACTCATAAGTGGGAATTGAACAATGAGAACACATGGGCACTCACACACCAGGGCCTGTCAGGGGGTGGGGAGCAAGGGGAGGGAGAGCATTAGGACAA
Organism: Homo sapiens; assembly: GCF_000001405.40. Taxonomy (NCBI): domain Eukaryota; kingdom Metazoa; phylum Chordata; class Mammalia; order Primates; family Hominidae; genus Homo; species Homo sapiens. The sequence continues at coordinate 70,035,662 of NC_000011.10, read as the reverse complement.
ATACCTAATGCATGCAGGGCTTAAAACTTAGATGATGAGTTGATGGGTGCAGCAAACCACCAATGCACCTGTATACCTATGTAACAAACCTGCACGTTCTGCATATGTATCCCAGAACTTAAAGTATATATATATATATATAGCAACAGCTTACTGGGCTACCAGTTAAAATGGTTGAGAATTTGCAAGAATAGGACAAAGGTCAGGTAATATGTATAGAAAGAAGAAATAATCTACAAAGTAATGAATTATTATTTTGGTTTTGCTTAAAGAAAAAAAAAGCAGGGTCATAATAAGTGAAAAGTTCGCCAGCGCAGGGCTTGGCCCCTTCCTTTTCTCTCCACACGCTCAGCTGCTGAGTCTTCTCCCAACACACTCCTAGCTGGCCATCGGCAGCTGATGTCTGCATGGGTGGACACAATCCTCCTGGAGGGCTGGACCTGACACTAGCCCTGGTCCCGCTGCCAGGCAGCTCCACGGGTCATAGCTCTCGGCTGGCTGGAAAGCAGCACCTTGTTTCCCTGTGCACAGCCCCACTGGGGATTTCCAGGAAAGAAAAGGAGGCTTGGCCAAGAGGGGCTGTGGTACCACTGCACCCCTGGTCCTTGGAGTGTCTAACAGCACCGAGTCCCATGGGGTCCCCCAACATAGGAGCCCACTTGGCTGCAGAGAGGAAGGTGTGGCCCACTAGATCCTGTTGTTCTGCCCCTTCCTGGTCTGGGATGCGGCAAGAACAATAGTTTGTCAATACAGCAAATATTGACTAAGCAGAGTCCCTGCTGGGCTCTGTTCAGGCTTTCCTGCCTCTGGCTGCCCCTGTGTGTTCAAATGTTCTTTTTTGTCTTTGTCTTTTGCGTTAAGTGCAAAAGCCCCAATATTTTAAACTATCACTTGTGCAGAACCTTGCGCTTCTTTATGTGGGGGGTTTGGGAAGAGTGCCTTAGCTCTCTGCTCATCCTCACAGGGATTTTCTCCTTCTGATGCCCTTTGCCTATATCCTCTGTATATGCAGTGCCTGCAGCCAGCCCCTCTCCTGCAGTAGAGACCATCCAAGCTTGCGGCTACAACAGCAAAATAAATGCCAGGGCAGGTGGACAGAAATCAATGCATAATTGCTCCTCTTCTCTTCTAGATGAATAATTTTTGTTGGTTTTTTACATACTTTGCTTTGATCATGAAAGAAGAAAGGTTGACTCCCTCTCCTGGCATGGTGGTATCTGAGCTGCCCTTGTGGTCTGTCCATATTTGTGTCTTCCACCCAACCGCCGGATGCCTCAAGGTGCCCAGGGCTGCTGCAGTCATCACGTCTAGAAAGCTTCCTGAGCCCCTCAGCTATGAGGGGTTTCTCTGTCCTGCAGACTCCTGAGACACTGTGCCTGCCCCTCCCGACAGCATGTGGCACTTTCTAGCTTGAATTTGTCATAAGTCAGGGGCCTGTTTGATTTTCTAGGCTAGGTATCGGCTGACTTTTTCTGTAAAGGGCCAGATGGTAAGATTTTTAGGCTTTATGGTTCATATGCAGAGGACCTGCTACGTAATGGGTGGGGCTCCATGCGCAATGAAATTACAGGGTTTGCGTAGTGGGTGGTTGGCAAAGCTTTGTTGAATGGATGGCTGCAAGAGCGCATGGATGGGGGATGCTTGCCCTCAAGGAACTCACAGATGTACGGAGCAGGGGTTGGCAAACTCCCATCCATAGGCCATTTGTATGAATTCTTACTTATTTCAAGATAGTGACAGCAGATGGTCAAGATAGTGACAGCAGATGTTCAAGATGGTGACACAGACCCCATACAACTATACAACTGTACAGGTCACATACCCACGAAGCGAACCTGTATTGGCCTCTTGGCAATGACTCCACTCTAATGCAAAAGCAGACAGACAATATGGAATGAATGAGCATGGCCATGTTTCAATAAAGTCTGATTTATACAAATGGCCTATGGATGGGAGTTTGCCATCCCCTGCTCTATACATCTGTGAGTTCCTTGAAGGCAGGCATCCCCCATCCATGTGCTCCTGCAGCCATCCATCCAACAAAGCTTTGCCGACCACCTACTATGCACCAGGCATGTGCTAACCATAAGGCCACAGGGAGAAGAGAAAGCTATTCTCTGTCCTCATAGACGCCTCAGGCTGGAGGGGACACAGAAGCATCATAGTGCAACACGATATCAGAGACCCAAGGCAGGAGCCTGGAGGGAACTGAGGTGGAATTCATCCTCACATTCCCACAGACCCTCATAGGCAGGAGTGGAACAGATACGCACTCAGTGGCGAAGTGAATCATGAATGAAAGCGGGTTTTGCTGATGTAGACTCTCGATCTTGGAGGGTTTGTTGGAACCACAGAGAAGAGCTGGGTCCAGTCCCACCTGCGCCTTCTATGGCTTTGGGAAAATGACTTCATTTCCCCAAGTCTCAGCTTCCTTGTCAGGAAAACGGGAGCAAGCAGGTCCCTTGGCAGGGTCTGATGAGAAGATCAAGTGAAACCGCCCCGTGAAGGCCCCAAACCCGGAGCCTGACCCCTGGATCTACATCACCGAGCTCTTGTCTTTCCCTGGCTCACACCCATCGAGCTGGAGACACAAGATCACAAGATGTCGTTAAAGGGACCTGTGCAAATTTGTACCACGTGAAAGAGCATCCATAAGGGAACCGGGCACGCCGTGTGCCTGGTCCTCACCCAGGGAGGCTTTCACTCATTCCTTCTGTGGTGGTTCAGTTTCTGTTCATTTATTCCTCCTTCCTCCCTTTCTCCCTTCTCTCTCTCCCTCCTTCTCTTTCTCCCTCCATCCACCCTTCTACTTTCCCTCTTTCCCTCCACTTCTTTCCCTCCTCCTCCTATGTGTTCTGTTTTTTCTTTTACAAAGAACCTGCATCATCTTCCCAATTTGAAGACAAAAAAGGCAGCTCTCCTTCACACCCAGATGAACAGATGAGGTTAAATCAGCGCAAGGACCCTGGAGCTGTTCTTCCTTCTTCCAGATGGGCAGAAGCCACAGTCCGGGGGCCTCGTCTCAGTAAACGGCACCACTGGCCACTCAGACACTGTTGTGGGCTCCTCCCTTGCCCACCCCTTCACAGTGGGTTCTGCGGATTCTACCCTTCAGAGACCCCCCCCCTCTCCCGCCTCCCTCTGCTCACTCTCCCATCTTTTTTGCTCCCTTCCCACTAATCTCCTCTCCCCACCCAGGGAGTCCTCTCCAGACAGAATCACACCAGCTTCTTCAGCTACTTGAAAAGGCTGCCCTGGGCCTTTGAGGTAGATTCCCAGCTTCTCCCAGGGGCACCTGCCTGCACCCGCCTCTCCCCGACGACCATCACTGGGGTCTCTTTTCTGGTCCTCAAACTTGCCAGGCCCTTCCCAGCCCTGGGCCTGCAGTCCGTCCACAATGAGACTGCTTCTCTCCTGACAGAGGAGATGATCAGACCTAATCTGGGGTCATGCTGCCCCAGCCTTCCCAGGACCCACTACCTCATCCTGCATTTCCGTCCTTCACAGCACAGACCACAGTTGGAAATGGTTCTAACAGCCCAGGTCCTTTCCTGCCTCCTCCTTCCTCCCTGGACTGCAAGCTTCATGGGCAGGGGCCACGTCTGTCCTCTCCCTGAGTGTCTGGCACCCTGCAGAGGGCCTATCACAGAGTAGCCACAGTGAATATGTCCAACGAAGCAGTGAGTAAATGATGGACCGTGAGGAGGGGGGGTTGGGTGCCAGTGAGGGGACCGGTGCCACACAGATTCCCTGGGCCCCGGGAGTTCAAGGTGCTTCTGCAGGCAGGAAGGACACTCCCTGATGCCAGAGGAGGCTTGCTGGCCAGTGTGGATGTACGTCGGAAGCATCCAAGGAAATTGATGCCTGAGAGTCGGCTGGCGGCCTGGCCAGTGCTCAGGTGTGCCCTGGTGCCCGGTCAACACCTGTAGTGACAGCGGCAGTGACAGCCACTGCGCCTCAGAGCACTGAAGGGGTCTTTGGAGACTATCCTGCTCATCTCTGTACCCTCATCCCCCTGGCTTGGGCACGAGGTCCCTCCCTCCCACCAGTCTCTTGGTCCCCACTCTGGCCCTCAACGGCTCACCTTGAATGTGTGCAATCTAGTAAGGTTGAACTCACAGAAGTAAAGAGTGGAACCAGGGCAACCAGAGGCAAGGGGATGGGAAAGAGGGAAGGAGAATTGCCAATCAAAGGATACAAAGTTTCAGATAGGCAGGAGGCACGGGGCCTTTCCACTTATAGCACACCAGAGGGACTGCAGTCAATAGTATGCTATTACCCATTTCCAAATAGCAGAGAATTTCAAATGTTTCAAATGTCTCACCCCAAACAATGAAAGGAGGATGAGGTGATAGATATGCTAATTAGCTTGATTTGATGATACCATGTTGTATACATATATGAAAACATCACATTGAGGCCTGGATCAGTGGCTCACACCTGTCATTCCAGCACTTGGGGAGACCAAGGTGGGAGGATCACTCAAGACCATGAATTCGACACCAGCCTGGGCAACATGGTGAAACTCCATCTCTACGAAAAACGCAAAAATTAGCTGGGTATGGTGGCACATGCCTGTAATCCCAGCTACTAAGGAAGCTGAGGCACGAGAATCACTTGAACCCAGGAGGCAGAGGTTGCAGTGAGCTGAGATTGTGCCACTGCACTCCAGCCTGGATGACAGAGTGAGGCTCTGTCTCAAGCCAGAAACAAAACAAAACGAAACCACCACATCACATTGAACCTCGTGAATGCATAAAACCACAGTTTGTCAATTAAAACGGGGGGTGTTTCTCTTCCTTCTGCCTCTGTGGGATCCTTCCAGCTGGTGGAGGGGTGGCCATCGACTGGATATTGGCCTCCAGAGATGTCCATGTTCCCATCCTCAGAACCTGTGACTGTGTGGCCTTACGTGGCAAAAGTGCTTTGTATTAATAGATATGATGACATTAAGGACTTTGAGATGGGGAGATTATTCGGGTGGGTCCTAATGTCACCACAAGAGCCCTTGTAACACAAGAGGCAGAGGAGAGCTGATGACAGAGAGGACATGGCAGAGAGCTGGGTAATGCAGCCACCAGCCCAGCGTCGCTGACACCAGCAGAATCTGGAAGCGGCAGGGACGGAGCCTGTGAAGGGACCAGTCCTGCGGATGACTTGGTTTTACCCCCTAAGATTCACTGTGGACTTCTGACCTCCAGGGCTGAAAAGAATGAATTTCTATTGTTTTCAGCCTCTAAGTGTGTGTTCATTTGTTACAGCAGCCCCAGGAAACCAACATAGCAGCTCCGAGCTACAGTCTGGGCTCAAGGAGTCCGGTTTATGGGCTGAGAAGGGAGAACCCGATACCTTTGCCCAGTCCTCATCCCCGGCAGCCACATCAGCAGCCCTGGCTGGCTCTCGGCTCCAGATGCCAATTTCCCACAGCCGGTGACTTCCAAAGCAATAAGCCTGGGCTGCAGCCCCCAAGGCGTCTTCGGTCATCTCAGGCCAAGTGTTTTTGGAGACTGAGCAACTTTCGCTTCCCTGAGAGGGCCAGGGCCTCCCACAAGCAGGACTTGGTTTTTGCTTTTGTTTCCCTCTGCCCTGAGCAAAGGTACCCTCCCCACCCCTCCTGGTGGCACCACCTAGGAGCCATTTGCCTCCCTCCAAAAAGCTGTGCCAGCCTGCCTTCCCCAGAGGGGAGTGCCCTCTTGACCCACTCCTCCAGTGGCCCTAATCTAATGAGTGGAGTTTTTATAAGAAGAGGGAAATTTGGACACAGGACACAGACACACAGAGGAGAGAGAAGGCCCAGTGAAGACCGAGGAAGAGGCTGGAGTGATGCAGCTCAAGCTGAGGAACGCCTGGAGCCCGGGAAGCTCGAAGAGGCAGGAAGGGCCCTGCCCCAGGGCCTCTAGAGGGAGTGTGGCCTGCTCACACTCTCATTCCAGACTTCTCACCTCCAGAACCGTGGGAGAACACATTTCTGCTGTCTTAAGCCACCAGTTTGTGGAAATTTGTTACAGTCGTTGCAGGAAGCGGGACACACACTGTCCCTCCAGAGCACCTGGGCGCCCTCAGAGGCCTGTGCCGTGGCCGTGACCTTCATGGCTTTGACCCTGATCAGGCTACAGTGACTGGTGGGTTGAAAGTTTGCTGGGAGAAAGGATTGAGGTCATCTGGGGGTGGAGACTCCTCCCTGCCAGCAGCCAGCACCAGTCAATTCAGCTGGCAGCAGCACTTGGCCCCAGGAAACACCCCCTACAAATGGCTCTTGAAGCAAATGAGCCGAGTGGGCTTTTGAGGGCTGTGAATGAGTCAGCTCTCCCCTGGGCAGGGCAACTGCACAGGCCCAGCTCATGGGGGAGGCCTCATCTTTGCGCAGAGCAGGCCTGTGTGCAGAGGGAAGAGGGTGCCCCTTTGCCTGCAAAGGAGGGAAAGCACCACAGGACAACCCCACCACCAGGCATGGAAGGCTCTGCTCGTGCCTCATTTGCTCACCCATCACCCCAGTGAAGCTTGTGCCATTCATGCATCGAGCACCCACAGGGGCTGCCAGGGACCCAGCAGAGCCCTGCCTTCAAGAAACTTAGGATCTGGGCTGGACGCAGTGGCTCATGCCTGTAATCTCAGCACTTTCGGAGGCCGAGGTGGGTGGATCACCTGAGGTCAGGAGTTCGAGAGCAGCCTGGCCAACATGGTGAAATCCCATCTCTACTAAAAATACAAAAATTAGCCAGGCGTGATGGTGGGCGCCTGTCTTCCCAGCTACTTGGAGGGCTGAGGCAGGAGAATCACTTGAACCCAGGAGGCAGAGGTTGCAGTGAGTTGAGGTCGTACCATTGCACTCTAGCCCGGGCAACAAAGCAAGATTTCATCTCAAAAAGCAAAACACCAGAAACTTAGGATCTGGCTTGACAGAGAGGCGGTCCCACCTCCACGATCTGTCAGAGCACGGAGCAGAGGACCCAAGTCTGCCCCTGCTATGCTCGCGCCCTTCAAGACCCAGACAGGGAGGAAGGAGGCCCTATTAGGAGAAGGAGGGGAAGCTTCAGCTCTGGGGTGTGGTGGGGGTTGGGGAGCCTGAAGACTCAGGAGCTGGATTTTGGGGATTCAGACATGATGGAGCTGAGGGAGTGTCTGTCCAGGAGAGACCATCAATTGAGTCATTTTAAAGTCTCAGTGCTGGCCTGTCAGGGATCAGGCAGTAGAACTGGGGGTGGGGGAGGGCAGAAGGAGCCAGTCAGGAGGGGAGTGAAGTCAGCATGTTGTCCCTGGGGTGGCAGAGTGTGGACTTCAGAATTGGACCTCTGGGCTTGACATCCGGACATGGACTGAGGTGCACAGGCACCTGCCCTTACCCTTAGCTCAGCATCAGAGAAAGGCGCCTGGTGGAGCGGGGAGGGGACTGAACCCAGCGGTCCCCCTTGAAATAAACATTAAATCCCCAGGCACTGCCTGCTAATTATCAACAGTTAGTAGGGCCTAAATGTGACAGACTCATCTTTAAAGACACTTCGGGTCACACCTGACAGATTTTAAAATGTATTCATCTCCCTTTGGCAACCAGAATTGGCGCTTATTCGGATCTATTTCTTCTGAGGGAAATCAGTAGTACCTTAACTTTTATTGAAATCGATTTTCTAAGATCACAAAAAGAAAATGCTTCTTAAAAAACCCACGGGTGTACTTTAATTATTTTGAATACCAACAAAAAACCACAGAGACCCAAAACCCAGATGACTTAACACAAATATTGAAATGGCTTTCTACAGACGAAGATCTTTATGATGTGCCTAAAGCTGTGCTCTAAGGATGCGCCTCCGTGGTGGCAGCTTAACCACGTCCAGTGCAGGCAAGCACCACCTCACCTTTCCCCACTAGCAAGAAGGGCGTGTTCCACCCCTAGGAAGCTCACTGTCATCCCTCACCTCCCTGGAATCACCCCTGCCCTGGCACACGTGGCCACAACAGTGCCTCCTGCCCAGACCTGACTGTCACTATTTCCAGGTGACAGAAATGGCAACTGCTGTTGATTCAATTACAGACTGCGGACCTACTGTGTGCGAGATCCTGTTCCACATGCTGGGGGAAAACAGAGTCCCCACCTCCATGTGGCTTAAGTGTTTGCAGTTTGATGAATGAAAAGCCATCCAACCCAGATGGGCCCTGGCTTGCGGTAGTTCCGCTGAGGATTATTCAACTTTACAAATGTGTCAAAGCACGAAAGCGAGACACCTTCAGTAGAAACTGTACCTCGGGTACCCACACAAACATTCTGTTTTTCACTTCCAGTATTCAATAAGTTACATGAGCTAGTCAGCATTTTATTATAATATAGGCTTTGTGTGAGATGATTCTGCCCGGCTGTAGGCTAATGTAAGCATTTGGAGCACGGTAAGGTGGGCTGGGCTAAGCTAGGATGTTTGGTGGGTTAGGCATACTCAATGCATTTTTGACTCAACAATATTTTCAACTTACAATGAGTTTATTGAGCTGTAACCCCATCATAAGTTAAAAAGAATCTACATATGGTTTGTCTGGGAGTGATGAGTACCGTGAAGAGAGACGAAGCAGGCAAAGTGCATAGAAAGTGTCCAGTGGAGTGTGTTGCTGTCATCCTGAGGAGGACTTAGGACACACCTGACTGAGGAGGTCACATTTGAGCAGAGAGACTTGAATGAGGGGAGGCCATGAGTTTCATGGATACAGGGGAAAAGTGTCCCAGGAAGAGGCAGCAGCAAGTGCAAAGGCCCTGGGGTGGAAACACACCTGGTGTTTGAGGACCTGGTGTTAAGGTGGCCAGTGTGGGTGGTGGTGAGTGAAAGGCAAACGCCCTGGGATGTGAGGTCAGCACAGTGGCAGTGCCAGACCAGGCAGGGCCTTTGGAGAGTCGAGAGCTGGGGAGGTGCAGGATCCGCAGCTCAGAAAGGCTCAGCACTTGGTAAGAAGCCTGGAACAGAACTCTGATTCAAGGTCTGTGTGCTCATTGCAACCTCCTGACTACAGTGTGTTTCATCAATTTGAGAAAGTGACCCTGGTCTCTTGAATGATGGCAGCAAGGGTGATATCAGTCGCCACTACCACCACCACCACCATCATCATTACTGTTGTCATCATCATTATTGTCATTTTTATCATCATCATTGTCATCACCACCACCATCACTATCATCATCATCATTGTCACCAGCATCACCACCACCACCATCTTCACCATCATCACCATTGTCATCACCACCACCACCATCATCATTATTACTGTTGTCATCATCATTATTGTTGTCATTTTTATCATCATCATTGTCATCACCACCACCACCATCACCGTCACCACCACCACCACCACCACCACCATCATCAATGCCATCATTACCACTACCACCATCATTATGATCACTGTCATCACCACCTCCATCATCATCATCATTGTCATCACCACCACCATCATTACTGTCATCATCACCATCAGCACCATCACCACCACCATCATCATCATCACCACCACCACCATCATCACCATCATCATCATCACTGTCATCACCACTACCACCAGCACCATCGTCATCATCACCACCACCACCGTCATCATCATCATCATCATCACCACCACCACATCATCATCACCACCACCACCATCATCACCATCATCATCACCATCACCACCACCATCATCATCATCATCATCACCACCACTACCACCATCGTCACCATCATCATCATCACTGTCATCACCACTACCACCAGCACCATCATCATCGTCACCACCACCACCATCATCATCATCATCACCATCATCACCACCACCATCATCATCATCACCATCACCACCACCATCATCATCATCACCACCACCATCATCATCACCATCATCATCATCACTGTCAACACCACTACCACCAGCACCATCATCATCGTCACCACCACCACCATCATCATCATCATCACCATCACCACCACCATCATCATCACCATCACCACCACCATCATCATCGTCACCACCACCACCATCATTATTGTCATCATCACAATCACCACCACCACCATCATCAACACCATCATCACCACCATCATTATCATCATCATCACTGTCATCACTACCTCCATCATCATCATCATCATTGTCATCACCATCACCACTATCATTACTGTCATCATCACAATCACCACCACCATCATCGCCATCATTGTCATCACCTCCATCACCACCATCACCATCATCATCATCATCTTCACTGTCATCACCATTACCATCAGCACCATCGTCATCATTGTCACCACCACCACCATCATTATTCTCATCATCACAATCACCACCACCACCATCATTATCATGATCATGATTGCAGCAGACACCAGTTCTTCCTTCATAACAGGCATAGTGCTAAGGTGTTGGATGCTACTGTCTAACCCTCACTACCACCTTATAAGTTGTACATTCTGTCACATGCCCTTGTTTGGATGAGAAGTCTGAGGACCAGAGAGGTGAAGTAACTTGCCCAACGTCATCCAGCTGGCAAGGAGAAGAGCTGGGCATGGAATTCAGATCTGAGGCCAAAGCTGTGTTCTGAGGCACAGCTCCAGCCCATGTGGTTTCCTGAACAGCCATGGAAGGCTTTTATTTTCATTTTCTTGTCCATCTTTTTTCCTCCAACTGAGACCCTCAGATGCTCAGATGTCACTGGAGCCCAGCATTTCAGCACCAAGTCCTTGCAGCTGTCTGTCCCACCCCACAACTCCCTGGCTCAACAGAGCTTCCCTGCTGCCCTTGGAGTGTGCCTGTGTGGTCCCTGTCTCACAAGCTCATAGTCAATAGGAGAAGCAGACAAGTCTATCTATGTGCCCCCCTGCTAGGCCCAGGTCCTCCTTTCAGGGGAGGCAGCTCGGGCGGTGGGATCCGCCTATGTCTGTCCAGGCTGTCAGCGGGGCTTTGTGCCTGGTGACCATCCAGACAGAGGCAGCTCTGCAAGCTGCTGAGAGTGGTGGTGGTGGCGAAGAACTTGGGAGCCCGAGTCAAAATCAAGGTCTCTGAGCCCGAGTTTCCCCATCTGTGAACTGGGGAGAGGGCCACAAACTCCAGCTTCCCAGGGGTATTGCAAGGATGAAAGCAGACGGTGCCCAGGGAGCCCTTGGCACAGTGCCAAGCCCATCACTGGCATAAGAAACCTTAGCTGGGACCACTCTTTGGGCCACTGTCTGAAGCTCCGTTGAGAAGAGCTATTCTCTGCAGGGGAAGCAGGTCTAGCGGGCGAATGTCTTCTGCCCGGCACTCACTCCCTCCCTTGTGCCGTTCTTGTCCTGGTTTTCCTTAAGGAAACACCACTGCCCCCTTTCAGCCCATGTGGTTTATGGGCTATGTGTCCCCCCGCTCCAGATGGTCTCAGGGATCTGCTAGTGGGTACACACAGCTAAGCATCCCCCAGGCCATTGCGACTCATTTAGGGAGGGTCAAAGACCTCAGGCAGGACCGTCAGAGATAGCCTTGGGCTCCCTGCTGGAGTGCCCAGGGGCAAGCTCTCTGTCCACTGGGGCTGCCCAAGGTGAAAGCCAGGAGCTGTGCCTGCCATCTGGACACTAAGAGAGTAGTCCTGAGGGTGGACCCAACCCAAAGAACAGCAGAGCCAAGAGGAGGAGAGAGATGGAGATTTGGAAACATTAGACCCCCGGATTCAGCTATGTCTGAAGCTGGTCTTGGGTTTTCTGTCTTTTACAACCCAAGCAATCCTGGATAGTATTGGTAGGTTGCAGTGAACCACCTGCATTTTCTCGACAAGACTTTGGTAAACTTGAAATCCCTGAAATGTAAAGCACAGAGCAACTACAGGCCAGTCTTCTTCCCCATCCTCTTCTCACCACTCTTTTCTTTCTTTGATTCTTGGCCCACACATGGCTGGGATAAAGACACACACTCCTATGCAGATGCTGGGAAGGAAAGGTACATTAACATGGCCTTTATTGTTTAACCATCTACTGATGGTTTAAATATTTGGCATTTCTTAAAAGAAACAGATCTTCCCCAATGGGCAGCCTTGCAGTGTGAGCATGAGGCTACAACTCCTAAACCAGGACAGAACAAAAGCCAACTTCCCTAAGCCCTGATGTTGGCAGCGACTAGACCATCTCAGTACTGGGCCGAATCTCACCCCTAGAAGTAAAGAAAGTGCCCCTACTCCCACCCAAAATGCTCCATGGTCATCTACATTTGGGGAAGGCTATATTCTGCACTGTTGGACATTCATTGTGTTGGCATCTAAGAAGCCTCTGACAAGACGTGCCATGAACAAATCCACTAGACATGGTTTAGCCTGGGATCTCCCAAATGGCGAGCTCTGGAGGGCAGAGACTGAGTCTGACTTATACATGGCCATGCTCCTGCTAAATGGAGTCAATGCGGAAAGGTGCAGGCACTAACACATGCCGGTCCAACAATGATTAAGCCTCAGAGCCATGGCATGCATTTCCCCTCATCTCCCAGCGCACGAGTTTCCCACTGTGCAGCGGGAGATCAACAAAGCTTAGTGGCTTAAAACAGCACATGATTATTATCTTAAATTCCAGAAGTCCGGCATGGATCTCACTGGGCTAAAGCTAAGGTGTCAGCAGGGCTGTTCCTTCTGGAGGTTCCAGGGAGAGCTTGTTTCCTTGCCTTCTCCAGCTTCTAGAGGCCACCTGCAGTCCTTGCCTTGTGGCCCCTGCCTCCATCTCAAGCTGGCAGTGCATCCCTCTGACCTCTGTTTCTGTCCTCATGTCTTCCCCGACTCTGCTTCCCCTGCCTCCTCTTACTTATAAGCTCCCTGTGATGATGTTGGGCCCACCAGATAGTCTGGGGCTATCTCCCTGCCTCAAGGTCAGCTGATTAGCAGCCTTGATTCCATCTACAGCCTTAACTCCTCCTTGAAGTGTAATAAAAGAGATTCACGGGTTCTGGGGATCAGGACACAGACATCTTTGGGGGTCGTGATTCTGCTTGCCACACCCACTAAGTGAACACACTCAAATTTGGGGGAAAGCAAGCTAGGTGAGGCTGGCTCTATGGGGCCATCAGTGGCTTCACTCTTGCATTCTTTTTTTTTTTTGAGATGGAGTCTCACTCTGTTGCCAAGGCTGGAGTACAGTGGCATGATCTCGGCTCACTGCAACCTCCATCTCCCGTCTCCCAGGCTTGAGCAATTCATCTGCCTCAGCCTCCCAAGTAGCTGGGACTAGAGGCACCTGCCACCACGTCCGGCTAATTTTTGTATTTTTGGTAGAGACGGGGTTTCACCATGTTGGCCAGGTTGGTCTTGAACTCCTGACCTCACGTGATCCACTTGCCTCGGCCTCCCAAAGTGCTGGGATGACAGGCGTGAGCCACCACACCCGGCTTCCATTCAGTAAGTCCTTATTGAGCACCTACTGTGTGCCAGAACCTTGATGTGTGCTGAGGTCCAGAGTCGTGAAGAGGCCATACCAAGACCCTACCTTCATGGGGTCTTTTGGTTAAAATAGAGGCAAAAGCAGACAGATGAATCCAAGTTGAATAAGTCCCAGAGGGTGAGTTGGGCCTTCCATGGGCCTGTCTCGGAAAGCATTTTTTCCTCTGGGATTTCTGCCCAACGTGAGATGTCAAAGCGGCAGGAAGTGGAGCAAGGAGGGAAGGGGCCCAACCCCAGGGAGAAGCAGGACTCTCTCAGTTTGGGTCTGATCTGAGCACACAGCAGCACACCTTATGCTTGGTTTCGTCTGCTCCTTTTTTTGGACATTCTGGTCTTTGGGGGAACAAGTTCTTGTGTGACAGCAGCTCAGTTTTAAAATACTCTGCGCACTCTTTGGGATTCAGTTCGCACGCTCCTGCCTGTGAATGTCACAGGCAGTGGGATGTGAAGGGGCTCCTGGCAGGGCAGTGGACACAGAGGGATGAGTTTACAGGGCTCTGGCTTCAGTCTCTGGAGCCTTCCTGGGCAAGAGCCTGGCTCCCGAGGCCTTGCCCAGCCTTGGGCTGATGTTTAACAAATGTCACCGCTGGAATTTCTCAGACGATCGACATGGGAAAAACCGAGGAAGAGAGGGACCAGGAAGTGGATGCATTAAAAATAATGAGGCCGCTTTAAATGGACCAGGTTCCGGGGGACAATGGGAACCACGTCCTCAGTTTATTTAAAAATACACTTTATTTTCCATTCTGTTTCTGTTTAATTTCTTCTGATAGAGCTAAAAAAAAAAAAGAAACAACAACAACAAAAAGCACTCTCCTTATTCTAAAAACTGAAGTTGGTATATAGCTTTACAAAGAAAAAGAAGGGGTGGGAGTGAAAAGTATAGGTCACGACAGCCCCCTGCAACCACCACGCTCCCTCGCATGCACGAGGCCTAACCAACGTTCGTCAAGTCAGTGAGCACGTTGGCATTTGGAGTTTAGGATGAAACAGAGCTTTAGTCTTAAGCGGGATGACAATGTTTGGCATATTAGGAAGTTCTATCATTTTTCTTTCTCTTTTTGCTGATCAATATTTTTTCTCCACTAGATAATTCCATGGGGACAGGAGGATTATGGGCATGCGTTTGGGAGCGTAGAAGATGGGGGTTCGAATCCCTCCTCCCCCTTGGCAGCTGAGTGAGTTTGGATATGAGTCATTCTTCCTTGCAGAAGAAATATGAATTCCCACAGCGAGTCCACGTGCTCACTTATGGCCTGTCTGTAAAGGACGCACCCAGCCCGACGCCCGCAGCGAAGCACCTCTCGGTAAGTAGCAGTTACGACCGCGAACGATGACTACGAATGAGAGGCTGAATGGTCACTGGGCCTGTTTTTCTAAAAAGGTTAGCTCTTTGTTTGTTTTGAATAGTCCAGCCTTTTGATGCTTGGAGAATGGGAATGCGTTTCGGGCTTGTTTCTGGGTTTAGTTCTCTGCTGAGACACCTCTGGGAGGCTTCCTCTAAGTCTGCCCCCTGGGTCTAAACTGGCACCCACACCCAGCACTCTGTCCCCCTCTGGGGAACCCATGTCATCCCAGGCTGTCGAGATGGACTCTGTGGGATTGGGTTAGGCTGAAGCTTCACACCGCAGCAGCGAAGAGGGGTGTGGAGTGTGTTCTTGGGGTTGGTAGGGAGGTGGGGACAAATACCCGTCTGGTGACCCTTGGCCGGACCCACTGAGCTGGGAAGGAAGAGGGCCTTTCCAGCTGTCTGAGGGAGGTGCTGCTTTTCCTCCTCCTGCCAAGGCTGGAGAGAGGCTCAAGGAGCCCCAGGGGCTGGGGGAGGGTGGACCAGTCTGACTCTTTCTTCAAAGGCATCTGGCAAGAGGGTGGCATAAGTGTCCTGTGCAGTGGAGTGCGGCTGTCCTGAGTGAGAACTGACCCCACCACCAGCAGAGATGATGAGGGTGGGTGGTGAGGATGGAAGAAGGGTGTGGGGGATTTCCTGTGGATAGGAAGTGGGCTGTTGGGCAGGAACTGGCAGGAGTGAGGGGTCCCAAGCTTTCGCTATCAGACACATGTGCTCATGGGGTCCAATTTGGATGTTTTCATTACCCCATGGACTAAACAATCCACAAGAGTACCCTCAAATGAGTCAGCTTTAAACATCTGCCCCAGCTGGGGGGATAGAAGCCCACCAGATCACCTAGCGCCCGCCCACCAAGCCTGACCTCCCTGCCCTGCTGGCCTCTCCCCAACCTTGGAGGGTCCGGGGGAAGCCTAGAGATTGGGGAGGGGAGAGGGAAGAGAAGCAGAAGCAGAGAGACCCAGAGCCAGGGGCCCTCGGCCCCCTTCCCACTCCGAGGCCTCAGCCTGGGGCTGGCTGGGCCGGTGAAGCCAGGAAGATGACGGTTTTCAGTGAAGACGTGCGTGGGACTGGACATTTCAGTGATCCACATGAGACCATGTTTTTGTGATTAAAAGTGGCTGGGAAAGCTTTCATTATGAGACGACCAGGAAGTCATGAGGCCTGCCCTAGAATTACCCAAGGGGCTGAGAAGAGCCAGCCCCAGACAGTGGTGGGTGGGTAAACTGGCCCTTGGAAAGAAAACACATGAAAGCTGACTTAGAGTGTTTGCCAATTGCGGAGGTGTAAACCTTCCCATCATGGCCCATTTTAAGCTCCCAGGGTGATGTCACTGAATGCATACTTGGGAAGATACAATTGGCTCGGGTGAGCTGAGTCCTGGTGAGCCCGTGTGAATTGGGTGAGCCGGCTCCTGCACACCCAGAGGGCAGGTCTGAAGGGGCACTGGGGGAAAACCTGGACCATTTCCTGCGGCACCCTCTCGAGTCCTGTTCCTTAATGTAACGGTTTCCTTGCTTTCTTTCCCTTTAGAACATCCCTTTCCTCCTCACATTTTATGTTTGCATGCGTGTGTGCATGTGTGTGTGCGTGCGTGTGTGTGCATGTGCATGGCATGTGTGTAGCGTGGGTTGTGAGTCCATAGACGGGGGAGTGAATGTGTGTGTGTGTGTGTGTGGGGGGGTTCTTCTTTCCCTCCCCTGCATCCCAAGGTGCAGGAGAACAGCACACTATTTTGATCACTGCTAAACCCCTTCCACAGAGGCCTGCTTAGGTCTGGCTCAGAACAGGCTCTCAACATTTGTTGAACGAATGAATAAATGAATGAATGGGGCACCTCCTCCAAGAAGCCCTCCCTGGCACCCAGGTGAGGACAGGCCCCCCTCCGCCACATGGCTGCACAATGCCATGGACTTTGCGTACTTATTGCCGCAGGATTTTCTCCCTTCCATGGACTCTAACTGTGTGTGAACGGCTGGGAGGAAGCTCCTCTGCAGCTGAGACTGAGGCTGCCTATTTTTGGCCATGTCCCCGGTACTGAGCTCCATGCCCAGCACTTAGCAGGTCCTCAGTAAATATTCCCACCAGATGAACAGATGCATAATGAATGTGTGGTCTCTTGCTGGCACAGACTCAGGGGATGGGCTTCAGCCTGAGGCCCAGGTTTGTTCTTCAGTCTTTCCGTTGCCTTGGAGTATCTGTCCGATGGGCTACATCCTGCTGCAGCAACAGTCATGCCCTGGTCCTCAGAACTTCCAAAAACACTTTATTTTCTGCTTGTGCTTCCAATGTCCAAGCCAGGTTGGGAGGGGGTTCTGCTCAGTGTAGTCTGGAAGGGTCTGGGCAGGTGGTGCAGCTACGGTCCCAAACACTGTCAGGCACAGAGAGTGCAGTGGAGTCTAGAAGCAGCGGAGAACTGCTCCAGCTCAGAAGCGAGCCATGTCACCTCCACTCACGGCTTGAGAGCTAGGACCAGCTCACAGCCCACCTGCCCACAAAGGGCCAGGAAGCACCATCCATCCATGATGCTGGAAGGGTCTTGAAATTCTTTATTTTTTTTTCATAGAGACAAGGTCTCATTCTGTTGCCCAAGCTGGAGTGCAGTGGTGTGATCACAGCTCACTGCAGCCTCGACCTCCTGGACTCAAGAGATCCTTCCACCTCAGCCTCCTGAGTAGCTGGGACTGCAGGTGTGTGCCCCCATGCACAGCTAAATTTAAAATTTTTTTTGTAGATATGGGGTCTTGCTCTGTTGCCCAGACTGATCTCTTACTCCTGGGCTCAAGAGACCCTCCTACCTCAGCCTCCCAAAGTGCTGGAATTATAGGCATGAGCCACCATGCCTGGCCTCTTCATAAGTTTTGAGCAAAGCCTGCATTTTTGTTTTGGACTGGGCCCCACAAACTATGTAACTGGTTCTGATGGGATGGATGGTTGGGGAAGCTGATCTTTCTTGGAGGGGATTGAGGAAAACTCTCAGAGACCATCAGGGAAAGGGGGCTGGAGTTGCAGGCAGGGGGTAGCTAGAACCTGCCCATGAGCCACTGAGGATAGGCATATGGGTTTGTTTGTGTAAAAGGCTTCATTAAAAATGGGAAAATAGGCCAGGTACTGTGGCTCATGCCTGTAATTCCAGAGCTTTGGGTGGCTGAGGTGGGAGGATTGCTTGAGCCCAGGGAGTTCAAGACCAGCCTGGACAATATAGTGAGACCCTGTCTCCACACAAAAATAATTTAAAAATTAGCTGGGTGTGGTGGTGCACACCCGTAATCCCAGCTACTCGGAAGGCTGAGGTGGGAGGCTCCCTTGAGCTTGGGAGTCAAGGCTGCAGTGAGACATGACCATGCCACTGTACTCCAGCCTGGGTGACAGAGTAAGACAAAAAAGAAAGAAAGAAAGGAAGGAAGGAGGGAGGGAGGGAGGGAAGTAAAGGAGGAAGGGAGGGAGGGAAGGAGGGAAGGAAGGAAGGAAGGAATGAAGGAAGGAAGGAAGGAAGAAAACTGTTGCCCAGGCTGGTCTTGAACTCCTGGCCTTAAGTGAAAAAAATAAAAATGAAAATCAAAATGGGAAACACGCTCTGGGCTGAAAAAGAATTTCATTTGATCCCCAAAGAGTTTCCTTTATGATTCATTGTGTAGACTTTTTGCAGTTCCGTTGGGGTAGGGGAAAAAGAAACCACAAAAACTGTAAGTTCACAAGAAAAGCATTATTAGGGCGTCTGGCCTTTGTTCGGACCGCTAAGCCTCATCCTCCTCCGGATGGGGAGAGAAGACACACCTTGGCCCGCGTGGGATTTTGTTCATTCATCAAACAAGTATTTGGCTGAGCCCTGCTCTGTGCCAGGCATCTTTCTAAGGAAGTGGGCAGTGAGCCCTGCAGACAGGAATCCTTGCCCCCGGCAGCCTGGATTCTAGAGGGGAAGAAAGACCGGGAAAAGAAAGAAAGTAAACTAAGTAGAATCTCTAGTACGAAGCACAGTGACACTTGGTAGAAGAGTTAAGCAGGGGCAGGATGTCTGAGGGACAGAGGGCTGCAGTGTGAGACAAGCAGCTGGGAAATGGCCTGGTTTAGTCACAGATCTTGGTAGAAGCCCTGTATCGATAGCAGATTCCCTATCTCCTTTGCCCACAATGTCTAGAGTGCAGCCAGATTAAGGGTGAGCCCCACAGCCCTACTTTGGGGCCTGGCTTGAGCCGTGACCCTCTGCAACTCTTTTGCAGACCCTGAGGTCCCTGGCGGGATTGTGCAGGAAGACAAATGAGGCTGCCACTGAAATGCATGCCCCGCGCTCCCAGGAGCTCCCAAGCCTGACGGTGGCAGAGCGGAGCCCCTACAGCGTCCTAGTTTTAGCTCTCTCTGTGGAATTCCCCATCCGCAGCATCCCAGGCTGGCCACTGTCCTGTGACCACAATCACATGACCCCAGAGGGGCTGAGGAATGGTGCTTGGACCACCTCATCTTCTCTTCACTTCCAGATCCAGGTTCAACAGCATAGGTAAGCCGCCACCATATCCGATTGCTGGTTTTCACTCCCATCACGCATTCTCAAATTCCATTACTTTTGCCAAAATGCACATAGAAATTGCAAGGACGTCAGGCCTGGCACGGTGGCTTATGCCTGTAATCCCAGCACTCTGGGAGGCTGAGGTGGGTGGACCATGAGGTCAGCAGTTTGAGACCAGCCTGGCCAACATAGTGAAACCCTGTCTCTACTAAAAATACAAAAATTAGCTGGGCGTGGTGGCGTGCACCTGTAGTCCCAGCTACTTAGGAGGCCGAAGCAGGAGAATTCATTGAACCAAGGAGGCAGAGGTTGCGGTGAACCGAGATTGCACCACTGCACTCCAGCCTGGGCAACAGAGTGAGACTCCGTTTCAAAAAAAAAGAAAAAAAAAAAGAAAGAAAGGAAAAGAAATCCCAAGGAAGCCAAGCAGTTCATCGTCTGCACCCCTGTTGCTGTAAGGTCTACCAGCGCAGATGGCAGGGAGGCAGGATAGTGTGTCCGGGAATGGAGTGCATTGCTCACGGCTGTGTGGCTGTGGACATGTCTCAGCATCTCTCCTTGTGGAGTCGCGTGGACCCTGCCCAGCACCCTCTCCCAGGCCCTTCTGGGTCCCTTGTGGGGCTGCAGGATGACGTATCCGAGGACCTGGGGACCACAGCTGCTGCAGTCCCTGGGTGCTCCCATCTTTCCCAGTGATGAGCCAGGAGCCGAGGAGGTGATCTCCGACCACTCGGCACAGTGCCCTAGACAGAGGTGAGAAGACAGCTTGGGCAAAAGTAGCTCTCCAGATGGCCCAGTGAGCCACGTGGAAGTGGTGACACCAGCAGGAGCCCGTATCAGAGTGAGCTCCAAGGCAGGGCCAAAGGAAAGTGCAGTCCCACCACCCTCAGACACATCAAGAACAGGGTCTCCTCTGCCCCACCCGCCCAGGGCTGGGCTGCCTCCGGGTCAGTGAGTGAGCACGCCGGGTGACACTTCTTGCGATGAGGCTGAACCTGCGCTGGGCCATATCCCGGTGCCTTCTGGATCATATCCCCCTGAGGGCAGGGAGCACCTGGATTGTTTAAAAAAAAATTGCCCTGCACAGAGTAGGTCATCAATACATAAATATCTAGTCACTGGGCCCAAAGAGGAGGGAAAACATTTCCTGAGAAATTAACTCTCTGGTATTTAACCTGCCTTTCTCTGTGGCTTGGGGATTTTCAGGTTTTTCAGCAGACAATCACAACCATGAAAACGCCCAAAATGGCTCCATGAATGGAACGATAAAAAGACCAAAGAGATGGACACTAGCACAAAAACTTACGAGCCAAAAGGGACAGTGGCCTGCCGAGCCCTGGGCACAATTATTGAGAATTGCTATTGGTCCACGTGTCTCCATCCCCCCGGCCTCCACCCTAGACCTGGCCACCTCTTCTCTCCCCTGGATTCCCTGAAGCACCCTCAGTCTGGCCTTCCCACTCCTGTTGCCCACTCTCCATGCCATAGCCAAAGCGATCTTTTATAAAGGCAAGATTGTGCCACTGCATTCCAACCTGAGCGACAGCAAGACCCAGCCTCTAAAAAAAAAAAAAAGAAAAAAAAAAAACAAAAACAAAAATAAAAAAGGACAAACAAGTACTGAGGATGCAGAGCATCCGGAACTCCCTTGCAGGGCTGTGGGAGCATCAGCTGGAACCGCTGCTTTGGAAAACGGCGAGGTATCATTTCTTAGAGCCGAAACTGTATGAACCCACAACCCAGCAATCCTGCTCCCAGCATACTCTCAACAGGAGTGTTCCCAGACGTTCCCCAAGAGACCTTCACAAGACCACCAGATAGAGCAGCACTGCTCCCAGTCACCCCAAACACCCACAGACCAGCAGCAGCAGCCTGGGCAGGCCACGTGTGGTGGACTCCCAAGTGCAAGAGGACTCGGCAGTGACGGTGAGTGAACTAGAACTGCACAGAGCAGCACGGAGGAATCTCGGGAGCAGAGGGCTTGCGGGAAAGGAGTCGGGCACACAAGGATAAGCTCTGCAACGGCATTGATGTTGACATCAAAACCAGGCAAAACTGCTCTATGGTGTTGGAGGCAAAGGAGCGGCTCAGGGGCGGGGAGTGGGGTGCCCTGAAGAGCTCCTGCACGTTGTCCTTGGTGGGGGGGTGGGGGGGTTGCAATCTTTTCCTTTATCTTAGTGCTAGTCACATGAGTGAGTTCACATTGTGAAAATACGCTGAGCTCCTAAGGAGTGAATTGTGCTTCCCCCCCAGTTGATATGTTAAAACTCTCACCCGCAATGGAACTGTATTTGGAGAAAGGGCCTTTAAGGGGGAAACTGAGGTTAAACTACGGCCCCATGGGACCCTGATCAGATAGGACTGTGTTCTTATAAGAAGAGGAAGAGACACCAGAGATCTCTCTCTCTCTCTCTCTGTCCGTGCACAGAGAAGAGGCCAAGTGAAGACCCAAGGAGGAGGTGGCCATCTAGAAGCCAGGGAGACAGGCCTCAGCAGGAACCAGGCTTGGCAGCGCCCTGACCTCAGACTTCCAGCCTTTAGAGCTGTAAGACAACACATTCATGCTGTTGAAGCCTAGTCAGTGACACTTTTTCTTTTCTTTTCTTTTCTTTTTTTTAGATGGAGGCTCACTCTGTCACCCAGGCTGGAGTGCAGTGGCGCGATCTCGGTTCATGGCAACCTCCGCTTCCCGAGTTTGGACGATTCTCCTGCCTCAGCCTCCTGAGTAGCTGGGACTTGAGGCATGCGTCACCACACCTGGCTAATTTTTTGTTTTGTTTTGTTTTGTTTTGTTTTGTTTTAGTGGAGACGGGGTTTCACCATGTTGGCCAGGCTGGTCTCAAACTCCTGGCCTCAGGTGATCCCCCTGCCTCTGCCTTGGCCTCCCAAAGTGCTGGGATTACAAGTGTAAGTCACCACGCCCAGCTGACACTTTGTTATGGCAGCCCTCGATGACCAATAATGTATGCCTGGGACATGTGTGCTTTTCTCTATGTATGATAGATTCAATCAAAACCTCCTTTTTTAAAAAAAAGGCAAGCCTGGTGTGGCCCTGCTGTTTGCAATCTTCCCCTAGCTTCTTGTCTTCTCTTAAGATCAAGTCCAAATTTGCAACGTGATCTTGAAGGCCAGTATGATCTGGCCCCTGTTGGCCTCTCTAGCCTTGGCCACTGCTGTGGCTACACTGACCTCATTTCAGTTGCTTGAACATGCCAGGCACTTCCTGCCTCAGGACTTTTGCACTGCTGGCCTCTCTGCCTAACACACTTTCTCCATGTTTTTGCCCGGCAAGTTTCTACTCATCCTTCAGGTCCCGGATTAAATGTGGTTTTTTGTTAGGGAGGTTTTCCTGATCCCACATTGGGTCAGATCCCTCTGGTGTAAATTCTCAAAGCACCTGCCCTTTTCCTTCATTGCGCCCCTCTCAGTTGGAAATAAATGAAATATTGTTGCCTATTGTCTGCCTTCCCCACTACACAGTGAACTTTCTGAGGGCATGGTTGGTCTTGTTGTCCAGTGGGACCGCCCTGCTCACTGTGAATGAAAGGATGGATGGATGAAAAAGCAAATGAATGGATGGACGTGTGGATGAATAGATGAAATAATAATAGATGTATGGATGGATGAATAGATGGGCAAATGGATGGATGAATGTGTGGACGAATAGATAGATGAAAGAATGGATGGATGGATGGATGGAATAATGGATGGATGGATGGATGGATGAAGGAAAGGACGGATAGATGGAATAATGGATGGATAGATAGATGGAACAATGGATGGATGGATGACTAGACAAAGGGGATGGATGAATGTGTGAATGAATAGATTGCCAGATGAATGAATGGATAGATAGATACAACAATGGATGGATAGATAGATGGAACAATGGATGGATGGATGGATGAAAGAATGGATGAGTGAATAGATGTACAAATGGATAGATGAATTTGTGGACAAATAGATAGATGAATGAATGGATAGATGGATGGAGTAATGGGTGGATGGATGGATGAATGGATGAAGGAAAGGATGGATAGATGGAATAATGGATGGATGGATGGATGAAGGAAAGGATGGATAGATGGAATAACGGATGGATAGATAGATGGAACAATGGATGGATGGATGGGTGAAAGGATGGATGGATGAATAGATGGACAAATGGATGGATGAATGTGTGAATGAATAGATAGATTGCTGGATGGATGAATGGATAGATAGATACAACAATGGATGGATAGATAGATGGAACAATGGATGGATGGATGGATGAAAGAATGGATGAGTGAATAGATGGACAAATGGATATGTGGATGTCTGCATGAATAGACAGATTGATAGATGAATGAATGGTTAGATCCAACAATGGATGGATAGATAGATGGAACAATGGATGGATGGATGGATGGATGGAAAGATGGATGGATGGATGGATAGATGGGTGGATGAATAGATGGAAAAATGGATGAATGGCTGGTTGGTTGGATGAATGGATGGAGGAATGAACTTATGGAAAAATGGCTGGATTGGTGGCTATCAATTCTCAGTAAATAGATCTTCCACAAGTAACAATTCTTATTTACAACGACTTTGCTATTACAGCCATCTATTGATCCTTTGAGGTGCGTGGATGCTGCAAGAATGAGTCAACACTCAGCACTCTGCAGATTTTCAGGGGATGATCTAAGAATACACTTCCAAGCTTTCATCGATGAGGCAAATAGTGGACCTCTTCAAATATTTATGTTCTTAAACTGCTAATGTTTGGAAACACCTAGAAAATACTCCTAACTGAGATGCTTCATCTTAGAATCCCTACATGAGGCCTTCCAGCTATATAGAAGTTGTAGAGGTGGGGGGTTGTGGGAGAGTGGAATTTATTGAAAATGGATGAAGGATATGTCCCCAGTACCAGAGTGGGTGATGTGAAAAGATTCTGGTCTGAGTACCTGGGTGTGTGGGAAGCTGGCACATACTGGCAGCATGGCTGCTGTGGGTACCAGAAGCCCAAAGGGTGCTCCTGTGTGAGCTGCAAGGTCAGACAGGCAGAGATGGGGTAGGTCCTAAACTCACCTGGCTGACAGGCACTAAATGTCCTGACACCCACTTAACTGCTGAAGGACACTTCCCATCCTTCCCTCCCCTGCTCACTCCAGCCAAACTCCATGTCTCTGAGTTCCTCCACCCTGCTCTCCACTCCCCGACCCCAGGCCATTGCACACGCTGTTCCCTCTGCCTCGACACCCTTCCTGCACCTTTCTGCCTAACTCCTACTCATTCTGCATGTTGTGAGAGTAAAGGTCACTCCCTCCAGGAGGCCCTCCTGTACTCTTCTACATATCATGTCAGACTCTCCCCCAACCAAATCATGGCACTGGGCACATCCCTTGTATATTCTATCTGCATTCACAGAGCAGTGTAGACATCTGTTCAGGCACTGGGTGTGCAGTAGTGAGCGAGACAGGCAGTCCCTGCCCCAGGGAGCACACATGGTTGTGGAGGAAACAGTAGCCACTATAAATATGTGGTAAGTCTTATGGACAACAGAGAAGGGGAGGAGAATCCTCAGAAGATGTGGGAGGTTGAGGAAGGCATCTCTGAGGCTGTGCCAAGTGAGATGGGCTGTGCCCCTCTCCAGAGGAGCACATCCCAGGCAGGAGGAATAGCAGGGACCAGGACCCCTGGTGGGAGCGGGGGCTTTGAGTGTTTGAGGGACAGTGATGAGGCTACTGATTCCATTGCTGTTTGAGTCACTGTCTGTCCATCTCTCCCATGATGCCCCAGGCCTCTCTGCAGCCCCTGTCTTTGTGCAGCTTCCTGTATACCACTGAGCCCCTCATCTGCCTAGGATGCAAGCCCTCAGGCCTTGCTATGGTTAGTCCCTCAAGCCTCATGTTTAAATGTGATCCCCAGTGTTGCAGGTGGGGTCTAATGGGAGGTGTCCCGGTCACAGGAGTGGATTCCTCATGAATATATCTGTGCCCTCCCTAGGGGTGAGGGAGCTTTCACTCTAGTCATTTCCACAAGAGCCACTGGTTGTTAAAAAGAGCCAGTACTGGGTATCTACCCAGAGGAAAAGAAGTCATTATGTGAAAAAGGCACTTGCACACCTGTGTTTATATGTTTCCATGTGTGCAATTGAGCACAATTCTCAATTGCAAAAATATGAAACCAGCCTAAATGCCCATCAACTGATGAGTGGATAAAGAAAATGTGATATATATATATATATATACACACACACACGCGCACACACACACACACACACACACACACACACCATGGAATACTACTCCGCCATAAAAAGAAATGAAATAAGGATATTCACAGCAACCTGGATGGAGTTGGAGATCATTATTCTAAGGGAAGTAACTCAGGAATGGAAAACCAAACATTGTATGTTCTCACCTATAAGTGGGAGCTAAACTATGAGGATGCAAAGGCATAGGAATGACATCATAGACTCTAGGGACTTGGGGGAAGGGTGGGAGGAGGGTGAGGGATAAAAGACTACACATTGGGTGCAGTGTACACTGCTCAGGTGATGGCTGTACCAAAATATCAGAAATCACCACTAAAGAACATATCCATGTAACCAAACACCACCTGTTCCCCCAAAATATTGAAATAATAATTTAAAAAGAGCCCAACACCTCTCCCCTCTCTGCCTTTCTCTCTCATATTTATCTGCACAGGCTCATCCCCTTTGCCTTCCACCATGAGTAGAAGCTTCCTGAGGTCTCACCAAATGTCCAGTCTTGACCTTCCCAACCATTGAAACCATGAGCCAAATAAACCTTTTTATTTGTGAATTACCCAGCCTCATGCATTCCTTTATAGCAACGCAAAATGCACCAAGACAGGCCTTTTCAAAAAGCTTCTCAAAATCCTCTTTCCTCCCACTGCCCTGCAGTGTGGCTGGACCCACATGAGGATGGAGAACTCAGGTCCAGGGAAAGAAGAAGTCACTTGGTACAGTCAGACATGACAGCAGCAGATGTCAGAGGCCCCAGGTGATGCCACCAGGGACTCCAGTCATGGAGCACTGTTCACCTGCCTCCTCTGAGAGTTTCAAGGAACTACTCTGGCAGAGCTGCTATCCTCCCTCCCCGAGAAAGAGATGCTTGACCTCACACAACCACATTCGTAGACTGTCCCTGATCTGTGGGCTCCCAGCTAGTCTTGGCTCGTGCTCGGTGACATAGGGAGAGACCACTCCACTGTGTCCCTTTGTCCTTTGATTTCCAAATTGGCATAAATTCTGCTGGGTGTTAAGAGAAGGAAATAATAAAAACCTGCTAAGGACACTCCATTGTCTCCAGATGACCAGGAATGCGGGAAATGTCTGTGGAGGTCCTAAAAGGACTCTCCGGGGGCCAATGTTAACCTCATGTGGAACAGGCCTTAGTCTGCCTGGAAACTCTGAGGCTGGGCCACGCTCATCCCACTGATTCCTCGACATTTTCCCATTCAGATGTGTGGGACACAGGCTGCATCCATGTGGGTCTCCTGGACAGGTACCTGTGCTCCTGGAGTGTCTGTGAAGGTCCCCACTCAACAAGAGGGAAGGGAGAGCCGGCCTTCCCTATGGCCAGTGACCTGGACAGCATTCTGGATGGCACAATCACTCTTTGTAAGGTGTCCATGGTCATCATGTGCCACAAAATCTAAAGGGCACTTGTTTCATTAAAAGTTGGGCAAAAATTGAAGCAGTTTGAGGTGCATGTTGCCAAAGATGAAGGCAAATATCACGCCTTAAAAAAAAAAAAGAGCTAAAGGAGTAAAACAGTTGGCACTGGCAGAAAGAAAGACGCATAGGCCAATGGAACAGAACAGAGAGCCCAGAAATAAACCCTCCTGGACATGGTCAAATGATCTTCCACAAATGTGCCAAGACCACTCAATGGGAAAAGGACAATCTCTTTGCCAAAGGTCGCTGGGAAACTGGATATTCACATGCAAAAGAATGAAGCTGGATCCTTACCTTACGCCATATACAAAAGTGAACTCAAAATGGATTAAAGACCTAAACATAAGACCTGCAAATACAGAACTGCTAGAAGAAAACACAGGGCAGAAACTTATGACATGACTTGGCATTGTTTCTTGGATATGAGACCACAGGCACAGGCAACCAAAGCAAAATGAGACTGTATCGAGCTCAAAAACTTCTGCACAGCAAAGGAAATAAACAGAGTGAAACGGCAATTTACTGAGTAGAAGAAATATTTGTAAGGCATATATTTGATAAGGGATTAATATCTAATATATATAAAGAGCTCCTGTAACTCAACAACAACAAAATCAAATACTCTGATTTTAAAATGAGCAAGAGAATTAATAGACATTTCTCTAAAGAAAACACAAATGGTCAAGAAGCACATGGTAAGATGCTCCACATCACTAGTCATCAGGGAAATGCAAAGCCAAACCACAAGGAGATACCACCTCACACCCACTGGGATGGCCGCTATTAAAAAAAGTAATAATAACCCGAAGCATAAAATAACACGTTTGGATGAGGATGTGGACAAACTGAAACATTTGTGTACTAGAGGTGGGAATGTAAAGTAATGTCACTGCAGTGGAAACAGCATGGAAGTTCCTAAAAAAATGAAAAATTGATCCAGTAATCCCATTGCTGGGTGTCTCCCCAAAGGAATTTAAAGCAGGATCCCAAAGAGGCATCTGCACACCTAGGTTCGTTGCAGCGTTATTGGAAATAGCCAGGCAAGGGGTGGAAACAACCTAACTAGTCATCAGCTGATCAATAGAGAAGTAAAATGTGGTCTACCATACAATGAGATATTGTTAAGCCTTAAAAAGAAAGGAGGTGGCCGGGCGCGGTGGCTCACGCCTGTAATCCCAGCACTTTGGGAGGCCAAGATGGGCCGGCGGATCACGAGGTCAGGAGATCGAGACCATCCTGGCTAACATGGTGAAACCCCGTCTCTAATAAAAATACTAAAAATTAGCCAGTTGTGGTGGCAGGCACTTGTAGTCCCAGCTACTCGGGAGGCTGAGGCAGGAGAATGGCGTGAACCCGGGAGGCGGAGCTTGCCGTGAGCTGAGATCGCGCCACTGCACTCCAGCCTGGGTGACTAAGCGAGACTCTGTCTCAAGAAAAAAAAAAAAAAAAAAGAAAGAAAGGAGGTTCTGCAATATGCTACCAGTTGAATGAACTTTGAGGATATTATGCGAAGTGAAGTAAGTCAGATACAGAAAGACAGTTACTGTTGGATTCCACTCATATGGGGTATCTAAAACAACCAAACTCTCAGAAACAGAAAGTAAAATGATGGTTGCCAGGGGCTCAGGGAGGGGGAAGTTGCTGTTCAATGGGTACAGAGTTTCAGTATGCACAGCATCATGTGCATACAGTTAATGCACAGCAATGTGCATACAGTTAATACTATTGTACTGTACATTTAAAATGATTAAAATGGGCCGGGTGTGATGGCTCACCCCCGTCATCCCAGCACTTTGGGAGGCCGAGGCGGGCGGATCACCTGAAGTCAGGAGTTCGAGACCAGCCTGGCCAACGTGGCGAAACCCCTTCCCTACTAAAAATAGAAAAATTAGCCAGACTTGGTGGTAGGCACTTGTGATCCCAGCTACTTGGGAGGTCGAGGCAGGAGAATTACTTGAACCAGAGAGGTGAAGGTTGCAGTGAGCCAAGATCGCAACACTGCACTCCAGTCTGGGTCACAGAGTGAGACTCCATCTCAAAAAAAAAAAAAAAAAAAAAAAAGAAAGAAGAAAGAAAGAAAGAAGAAAGAAAAGAAAGAAGAAAGAAAGAAAGAGAAAGAAAGAAGGAAAGAAAGAAAGTAAGTAAGAAAGAAAGAAAGAAAAGAAAGAAAGAAAGGAAGAAAGAAAGAGTGAAATACAGGCTGTTTGAGAGATCAGCATTTGTAGGCCAGGGTCTGTGTGTGGGGTTCAGGGCAGAGAGCAGAGGTAGGGGAGGTGGGTGGGCAAGCATCATGTCAGCCTGGGCGCGCCCACCCCAGGCAGTCCCTGGACTTGCAAATTTGCTTACAGGGCTGGGGTCAAGTTCAGATAAGGAAGAGCTGTAGGCAGGAAGAAGCCATGAGGGATAAAATGTCATGATGGGAGGGGGAAAACCAGGTTGACAATGGGAACACACGCTTGGGTGGAAGAAAGTTTTAGCATCAAATTGGATGTGAAAGTCCTGGACTAGTTCCTGCTCACTGGACAACATGCCCAGTGGGGAAATTGGCTTGCAGGTGGAGATGGGCATCCTCACTCCTGAGATGGCACATAAGACAGCTGGGTAGGTGTGTTTAGGGACCGGAGCGTGTCTCCACGTAGGTAAGAGCTGAAGATGTCTCTTCCCACAAACGTGGTCATTGGTTGCCTAGCTGGTTACACCTGCCACCCCAGAGTTTGCAAAGCTTGTATGTGTTGGTGTTTATTTCCCCAGACTGGTGCAAAGTGTTTTACAGACTGAAAAGTGGAAATGGATTTATCACTTGGTCCACAACTGTTCTATTGCTGTCAGTTAAAAGAGGAAGAGTCTTCACGTAATTACTACTAAAAATGATCAGAATCCATCCCCAGACAGGACAGACGTCTGCTCTTAACAAGGAGTCAAAAGCCACAGCTTTGGTGGTCGAGATGGAGAGACACTTTAAAGGCTGGACTGTCCCTTCTCGGTCAGTCCCAGGAATTTTTCCATTTTGAATTCTTTGGAGCTGGTAAACTCATTGGATTGGTCAACTCACTTGTGAATCGTGCACAGGAAATAAAATGAGGGGGAGAAAGACATGGCTTTATTTATAGAAACCTCATTTTGCTATTCATCGAATAAATAAACACAACCCACCTCACACTAAAAATATGCCTCTGAAGATCAACAATGAGGCCATGTTTGGCTGACTCCACAGAGGAGCGGAGATTGCAAACCCTAGGAATTTCTCACAGATGTGTCCTAGAATAATTCAGGACAGTGTGCCAACAAGAACGTTTTATTTCCATTGACATTTTAAGCAACATGCCATCTCCTCCCTGGTTCTGAAGCTGGCAGAGAAAAGCCTTATGCTCTGATATATCAGTTTGGGCTGTGTGACTTCTGCCATGTTACTTCACCTCTCTGAACCCCAGCTTCTTCACTTGTAAAATAATGAAAATGATATCAATCTGTGAGGGGATTTGGGTGGAGTAAATGAGAACATAAACACATAATAAAGTTCTAAAGACTAAAGAGATGTTCAGTAGCCAGTGGTGACATTTGTAATGCACCCATGATAAGAATGTTTCTGTCACCAATTTTTTTTTTTTTTTTGAGTTGGAATCTCGCTCTGTCACCCAGGCTGGAGTGCAGTGGCACGATCTCGGCTCACTGCAGCCTGCGCCTCCCAGGTTCTAGCAATTCTCCTGCCTCAGCCTCCTGAGTAGCTGGGATTTCAAGCACCTGCAACCACACCTGGCTAATTTTTGTAGTTTTAGTAGAGACGGGGTTTTGCAATGTTGGCCAGGCTGGTCTCGAACTCCTGACCTCAGGTGATCCACCCACCTGGGACTCCCAAAGTGTTGGGATTACAGGTGTGAGCCACAGCGCCCGGCCTCTGTCACCAATTCTAATTCCCCAAGTCAAGGACTGTTCAAAGGTGCGCTAGTGTAAATCAACCTCACTTGTGCCCACTGTGTTAAATCTCTCCCAGTAGCACTGAAAGCTTATTTGCCAAGTCTAGAAGAAAGCAGGGCAGCCACACAAAAGATATCTCCATTGCTCCACGATATTTTTTGAGGGCAGTGTGATGGAGAAGCCTGTGGCTGCAAGCTCTGAGAGCCAGGAGATGCTGCGTAACGTCGCGACACGCTTTATTCTCATAGCCCCCATCTGACAGTGGCCTGGAACCCTGTGTTCCCACTGTGTGGATTTGAGCACTGGCTCCACCACATCACAACCATGTGAGAGGTTGCCTCACCTTAAATTGGGGAAGGAGCAGTACCTCCCTCGAAGGGCACAATGACTAGTCATGAGATGGTCCCTGTAAAAGTGCACATATAAGCATCCGGCGTGTGGTCACACACAGCAAATATTAGCCATTGTAATTTCTAATAGCTGTATCTTTTTGTAACCTGTTCTTTTTGCACACACTCTCTCTCATGTAACTGTGTTCTGGACTACATCTCACTACTCTAAAGCTCACGTCTAGCACAGACCAGATGCTTGAAAAACATCCAGCCAACAAGATGGGAACACAGCGCTGCCCTTGTGAAGACAAAGTCAGGTGGGGTGCAGGGTGGTGAGACCACTGTGTGAGGACCTGGGGCTTTGGGGGCCGCTGAAGGAGCCCCTGGTGGGCTCCTGGGGACTGGGAAGAGGTTATGAGGGAGGTCCAAAGGGTCGGAGCAGGAGGAAAAGTGCCTCAGGCTGAAGGAGGAGCTCGTGGGTGGTCTGGACGGGACAGTGTGCCTGGATTCTTCCAGAAGTGGGGAGAGGCTGTATGGTTGGCACGTGGAGGCTGGGAGAACATGGCAGGAGCTGAGGGCCAGGATATAGCAGCCTCACACTATTCCCTGTGGGGTGTCCACAGGTAGCCATCCAGTCCCTACTTAGGGTCATTTCTTTTTCACTGTTCTATGTGAAACAGTCTTTATCCACCTGCTCAATCAATTCTGTAGGATATGTTTCTAGGATTGGAGTGATTTGATCAAGTGGTAAACATCTGTTTTATTTACTCCATCCTCTCCATCAATACAATTACCTATCCATCCACCCATTCCATTCATCTACCCATTTATCCATCCATCCATCCATCCATCCATCCATCCATCCATCCATCCATCCATCCACCCATCCATCCACCAACAATTTATTAAGCCCCAGCTCTGTGCTAAGCACTGGACATAAAGGGTGATATGCCCTCCCAGCACAGAGTAAGCTTCCTGCAGCCTGAAGAGGGCTGTGGAAGGGAACACTTTCCATACAAGAATGCCCTGCATACAGGAGGTACACAGTAAGTCTGTGGGAGAATTGGTGACGACATGCTGCCAAGCTGTCCTGAGACCAGTGGGACCATATCAGAGTCAGGAGACAGCTTGTTTTCCACAGGCTGAACCATTGTAATATTGACCGATTTTGCCTGTTTGATGAGCATCTCAGATCCTATAATGTGGATTTCTCTGATTATGAGTAAAGCTGTCTTTTCTAAATAGTTAGCCATTTTGGTGGTAAGTTGCCTATTGTGGTCATGCCGATTTTCCCATTGGTGTGTTGGTCTTTCATTTTAAATTGGTCTGTAAATATGTGTATTTTAGAGTGATAAAAACAATTCTTTATTGGATACTCAGCAAATAGTTACCCCCAGCTTGATATTTTTCTTTCTATTTTGTTTACGGTGTTGTTTCTTTTTTTCTAATCTGTGGAAGTTAAAAATTTTTCCTCGACAGTTTTTGGGTTTAGTATTGTGCTCAGAAAATCCTTCCTGAAGATAATGTAAGTGTCCATCTTATTTTCTTCTAGAATATTTATAATTTTATTTTTATACTTAATGATTTTGTTTTTTGCACTCAGATCTTTACTTTGCCTGGAACTCACTTTGGGGTATTAGGGGTATAGAATCAGACAGGAACCAGAGTTTGCTTTACCCTCAATGGTTGTTGGCCGTTTCCAACAGAGGAAGTGCTCGACGGCACCCATGACTTCTTTAAAGCTGTTTCCTGACCTATATCTTCTAACTGAATTAGAAAATGCAGTCATGCACCACTTAACCACAGGGACTCTGAGAAATGTGTCATTAGGTGTTTTCATCATAGTGTGAACATAGAGTGTTCTTACACAAACTGAGATGACGTAGCCACCGCACAGCTAGGCTGTATGGCGTGGCCCATTGCTCCTAGGCTACAAACCTTCACAGCATGTTACTGCACTGAATACTGTAGGCAACATAATCGTAAGTGTTTTTTTGGTGTTTTTTTTTTTTTTTTGGTGGAGTCTCGCTTTGTTGCCCAGGCTGGAGTGCAATGGCTCTATCTCGGCTCACTGCAACCTCTGCCTCTCGGGTTCAAGCAATTCTCCTGCCTCAGCCTCCTGAGTAGCTGGGACTACAGGCACATGCCACCATGCCTGGCTAATTTTTGTATTTTTAGTAGAGATGGGGTTTCACCATATTGGGCAGGCTGGTCCCATATTGGGCAGGTTTGGGATCCTGACCTCATGATCCACCTGCCTTGGTCTCCCAAAGTGCTGGGATTATAGGTGTGAGCCACTGCGCTCAGCTGGTAAGTATTTTTATATCTACACATAGAAAAGGTACATTAAAAATATGGTATTACAATCTTACGGGACCACCTAAGATTGTAATAGCACAGATTGAGGCCATCCAATCTTATGGGACGGTTTGGGACCACCGTTGCTCTGTATGTGGTTCGTCATTGACCAAAACATCATTACAGCACATGGCTGTAATTTAAACACTCCTTCCAAAATGGTGTGGTGGTGGGCACCTGTAATCCGAGCTACTGGAGAGGCTGAGGCAGGAGACTTGCTTGAACTCGAGAAGCAGAGGTTGCAGCGAGCTGAGATTGCACCACTGCACTCCAGCCTGGGTGACAAGAGTGAGAATCTGTCTCAAAAAAACAAAAAACAAAACACACACACACACACACACACACATCTTATTGAAGTGTCACAGATATATACAGAAAAGCACCTGCAATACGTGTGCAACTCAGCATGTTTTGCTAACACATGCCCATGCACCCAGCACCTGGCAGCACCTTCCTTTCCCTCAGGGCACTCTTCTGGTTTCTATCCCCATGGATTCATTTGCCTGCTTTTGTGTGCGATAGAAACGGGATCATGTACCCTTTTGTGTCTGGCCTTTTTTGTTCAACGTCAGATTTGTGAGAGTCACTGTGGTTGCTGGGAGCAGTTGCAGGTGGTTCCTTCTGTTGCTGTAGAGGGCAGCATGGTGGGAAGGGAGCATGGGATAGTCATCCATCCTCGTGTCTGAGTGTGGACAGGCCCTGCGGAGCTTCCAGTTGCGGGCTTTCATGAACAATGCTGCTGGGGACACTTTCACTCATGGCTTTGGATGTGTGTGCATTTCTGTTGAACTTAAGGGTCTGGTACAGTTTTCTCATCTCAACTACCCATGAGTAGAGGCCTCTGCCTCTTTGTTTACTGAGCATTCTATTTAGAATGTAGGCCAGCTAGCTGCCTGACCAAGCAGCAAGCTGGGGTTTCTCAGACTACAGCTGTATGTGAGGAGCAGGTGGCCTCTGGCCATGGCTCTGCCATAGAACATCCCAGGAGCAGCCTCCAGAAGTGTCCAACATTTGCTGCAACTGCCCTAATGCTGGCCTTTTACCCTTGTGCAGGGATTGGGGTGGCTTTGCTGGGCCACAGACTATGTGTTTGTTAATAGTAAATCTGCCTATCAGTCTTCCAGAATATCAGTCTCCACACCCATGAGCAGTAGGCAAGGGTTCCAGTTGCTCCATGTTCTTGCCAAAGCTGGGTATCTCATGTACCCTTTTGTGCTGGCCTTTTTTGTTCAACGTGTGATTTGTGAGAGTCACTGCGGTTGCTGGGAGCAGTTGCAGGTTGTTCCTCCTGTTGCTGTAGAGGGCAACATGGTGGGAAGGGAGCGTGGGATAGTCATCCATCCTAGTGTCTGAGTGTGGACAGTCTCTGCAGGAGCTTCCAGTTGCGGGCTATCATGAACAATGCTACTGGGGACACTTTCACTCATGGCTTTGGATGTGTGTGCATTTCTGTTGAGTAACTGCTCAGGGGTGGCTTTGCTGGGCCACAGACTATGTGTTTGTTCAATAGTAAATCTGCCTATCAGTCTTCCAGAGTATCAGTCTCCACACCCATGAGCAGTAGGCAAGGGTTCCAGTTGCTCCATGTTCTTGCCAAAGCTCGGTATCTCATGCGCTTTGAAATTTCAGCCCCTCAGGTGGGTGTATGATGGTAATCTCAGGGTGGTTTTGCTTTGCATTTCCTGATGACTAATGAACTTGAGTGCCTTTTCTTATGCTTATCAGGCCTTTTCCTTTAAAATGCTTTTTAGTGACCTGACATGACTTTTAGATTGGTGGGGAGTGTGCATCCCCCCCCGGCCCATCTCTATCTTTCACTAACAAGCTTTCCCTTATAAAGCAGATGTCACATTCCATTTTCTTCCTCTGTGAGTGCCTCAAACACACAAATGAAACATCTAGCTAATTACAGGCAAAAAGAAAACCTCTCCGTTCATTTTTTTTCCCAAGGGCTCATTTTGGGTAGCTATGTCCCCACTTTATTATCTCCATCCAAAAAGTGACCTCACTTGGTTGCAGTTACAAAGGTTTTCTTATGGGAATTCCCCTGGGAGTCCTCTGTAAGTTCCTTCCTGAGACTTTATCTTGGCAGCAGCGAGCATTTGGTTACACCTGGCTCAGAAACTTTCACAATAAAGCAGTATGGGCCGTGCTCTGAATAGAACTCTTTGGGGCCTCCCTTCCCTTTTTCCCAGTGCTAGGGAAACCCCTAGTACTCTCATCAGACACTCCCCAGGGTGGCCATGTGATAGCCCTCCCTCCTGCCTCCAATGCCTCCACATTCACAAAAGGATAGGAACCCCAGCCTGTTTGATCCTCAGTAAGGCACGTGGGTCCCTGGCCAATTTGCAGCAGAAAGAAAAGCTGCAGTACAAATGCCTCATTCATTCAGCAAATGTTTATTGAGCACTTAGTAAGTGACAGTCCCTGTGCTAGGCATTGATTCAGAGATGAGCCCAAGAGACATGGCCCTTTTCCCCTGGCGTTTATGTTAGCGGGTGAGGAGGGCCAGATGGTGCGTAAAGCCAACACATTAGAATCCTGTTATGTTCTCAGATGCTGCTGGTGAGCACGGAACCTAGCAAAGCACTCTGGCAAATTGTTTGGGAGTTTCTTAAATCATTAAAGGCGCTTTCATCCTATGTCATAACACAGTGATATAGTTTGGACATTGTCCCCGCCCAAATCTCATATCGAAATGTCGTCCCCACTGTTGGAGGTGGGACCTGGTGGGAGGTGATAGGATCATGGGGACAGTTTCTCAAGCGTGGTTAATAGTGTGTCCTTGGTACTGTCCTCATGAGAGTAAGTGAGTTCTCATGAGATTCAGTTATTTAAAAGTGTGTGGCACCTCCATGCTGTCTCTCTTGCTCCTGCTCTGGCCATATGATATGCCTGCTTCCCCTTCGCCTTCCTCCATGATTGTAAGCTTCCTGAGTCCTACCCAGAAGCTGAGCAGATGCCGCCATGCTTCCTGTACAGCCTGCAGAACCGTGAGCCAATTCAACCTCTTTTCTTTGTAAATTGCCCAGACTCAGGTCTCTCTTTCTTTCTTTCTTTTTAAAAAATCTCTTTTTTTTTTTTTTTTGAGACAGTCTCACTCTGTCACCCAGGCTGGAGTGCAGTAGTACAATCTTGGCTCACCAGGCTCAGGTATTCCTTTTATTCTTTCAAACAGAGTTTTGCTCTTGTTGCCCAGGCTGCAGTGCAATGGTGCTATCTCGGCTCACTGCAACCTCCACCTCCTGGGTTCAAGCGAGTCTCCTGCCTCAGTCTTCCAAGTAGCTGGGATTACAGGCACCTGACACCACGCCCAGCCAATTTTTGTATTTTTAGTAGAGATGGGGTTTTGCCATGTTGGTCAGGATGGTCTCGAACTCCTGACCTCAGGTGAACCACCTGCCTCAGCCACCCAAGTGCTGAGATTGCAGGTGTGAGCCACTGCGCCTGGCCAGGTATTTCTTTTTGGCAATGGGAGAATGGCCTAATACACCCAATGATTCCAGTTGAATATATTTATCAGAGATATAAAAACACACATCCATAAAAATATTTCTTCCTTGCAGCTTTATTAATAATGGCTTCGAACTGGAAACAGCCCCAGGATCTTCCTAGAAGAATGGATACCCCATGAGGACGCCCACACAATGGGGCACTGGGGGACATACTACTCATGAACACCAAAACATTTCCCCTGAACCGAGGACGCTGGACACAGGAGAATCTGCACTCATGCTTTTATTTATAGGAAGAGCTAGAATAGGCAGAATTATGCCATGGGGCAATGGGGCGGGGGGATTGGTGGGGAAGGGGCAAGAGGCCACGTTCTGGGGTGATGGAGCTATTTTATATCTTAATGGGGTGTAGATGTTTAGATTTGTGTTACAATTGATCCAATTGTTCACTTAAGATCTGGACATTTTACTGTATGTAAATTACAGCTCAGTCTAAAACACCTAGTTACAAAGTCCTATACAGGAGAGAAACCCGTGTGAGGAGTGTGCTGAATGCATGCTCACAGCTGGATGGAGTGGTCCAGGAGGGTCTCTGTCCAGGTGACTTTTAAGCCAAGAGAATGAGGAGGAGGCGTGGAGAAAGATGCTCTGGGAAGGATGTATTAGGCCATTCTCGCACTGCTATAAAGAAATATTGAAGCCTGGGTAATTTATAAAGAAAAGAGGTTTAATTTGGCTGATGGCTCCGCAGGCTGTACAGGAAACATGGCAGCATCTGCTTCTGGGGAGGCCTCAGGGAGCTTTTACTCACGGCGGAAGGCAAAGGGGGAGCAGACGTCTCACAGGCAGGAGCAGGAGCAAGAGAGAGAGAAAGGGTGAAGTATGACACACTTTTAAAACAACCCGATGAAAACTGGTTCGTGAGAACTCACTATCACTATCGCTAAGGGGAACGGTTGCCAAACCATTCATGAGAAACGGCCCCCATGATCCAGTCACCTCCCACCAGGCCCCTCCTCCAGCACTGGGGATTACATTTCAACGTGAGATTTGGGCGGGACACAGCTCCAAACCATATCAGAGGAGAATGCTTGTGCAAAGGCCCTGTGGCTGCCGTTGGGACGGGGGGAGAGTGGCTGGGGGAGAGCTTTTCCTGAGCCATGGGTTGATTTTCATGTCTGGCCCTGTGGCCTGGGGGACCAGTAGGTCTGGCCTCTCAGAGCCATGGTCCTGGGGCTCACTCCTGGCATGCTCCCTTCCTGCCCCCATCCTTGACTTCTTTTATTTTTGTCTTTCATCCTGATGTAATTTATAAGCAATTTTCTTATATTTTACCCGCCTATATAAACTGACTGTAATATTTTATGCAGTGGAGGTGGGGGTGGGGGTAATGGCAGGACAGGGCAAGGTAATGTTTAAAATGCAGAATGAAGTGTAAAATGTAAACCAGCTCAGAGTATGCTTTGGAGCCATCCTTATTCTTCCTGTGGATGCAGTGAATATATTCAGATTTAACTAGAATGGATGCTTTCCCCCAAAAGAACAGTGATAAAAGCAAAAATTTAAGCACTGCAAGTTGTTCCACCCACCACCCACAACCCAGGGAGCAGACTCCTCAGAGGGTGCCTGAGTTGCAGGAGGTGACCCCACTGTTCCACATTAAGGTCTCATGGCCTGGTGACTCTCAGCATGCAGACATCACCCCACACCCTGGGATCTTTGTGTTCCAGGTGACCTGTGCATTTTCCGTACAAGCTTCCCTCTAAACCCAAGCTTAGAACTTCATCTGGCATTCTGTTACAGAGACAGGCAGGAGGAAACACTTAGGTGCTAGATCTGTGTTAGAGATGGGTCTCCAAGATGGCCTTCCTGAGAGGTTTTCAGGGATTATTGTCCTCAGACTCTAACCTCCTCATCTGACTTGGTATTTGGGGAGAGAGAATGCTGGACTTGGAGCCAGTACACCCATTCCTGCCACCAAACTGCTGTGTGACCTGAGGAATATCACTCAACCTCTCTGAGCTCTACTTTCCACCTGTTACCAGTTCAAGGACGAGGTTGGACCTGGCTATCTCATTCAGGGGTCTCTGGATGAAATGCAGGCCATTCATTAGCCTCTTTAAGGGCAGAAAAACACCTGTTCCAATGACTGTTTATTAAAATCAATAACATGATCATTTAAACATTTCTCCCTTTGAAATGGAAGTTGGAGAGCCTCTGTGGGTATCATGAGGTGGTCAGTAGAAGTCAGGGCACAACTTACTGTTCAGCCGAACACTTCTAACCACCTGCAGAGATTTGGCCAAGGGAGCATTTTAAATTGTTTTTCTTCTTACTCACCTATTGTTTAATTGATAACTCTAATGAGTTAGGAATGAGGAATGCTGATGTGAACATACTAGTTAAGGAGGATCCCAGTGTGATCAATGTTCAGCAAATTCAGCTCAGGATGGTCTCATAAGTTTCATAGATTGATGGTTCCAATCTAAATCCTTCTATATAGTCTATTAAGAAATCTCCAGTACTTCATTTTTTATTGGTTGGTTGGTTTGTTTTGAGACAAAGTCTTGCTGTCGCCCAGGGTGGAGTGCAATGATGCAATATCGGCTCACTGCAACCTCTACCTCCTGGGTTCAAGCGATTCTCCTGTCTCAGCATCCCAAATAGCTGGGATTACAAGCACATGTCACCATGCCTGGCTAATTGTTTATTTTTAGTAGATACAGGGTTTCGCTCTATTAGCCAGCTGGTCTCAAACTCCTGACCTCAGGTGATCCACCCGCCTCCACCTCTGCCTCCCAAAGTGCTGGGATTACAGACGTGAGCCACTGCGCCCGGCCTGAAATCTCCAGTACTTCAAACACCAGTGCTAGTAACCTGACGGTGGAGAAGCAGCCAGGTGATCGGGGTCCATACCAGCAGTGATAAGTCATGGTGACAGTATGTACCCTTGATATGATGCCATGAGAATGGCTCTTTACCTCGGTGGTCTTCCTCCCTCAAACTAATAATCCCAGCTGAATAATGAGAAGAAAGTTCCAGTTGAGGGACAGTCTACAAAAGACCTGACCAGCACTTCTCAAAAGTATCAGAGTCAACAGAAAACAAGGAAAATCTGTGAAACTGTCATGGCCAAGAGGAGCCTAAAGAGTCATGAGGACTAAATGCACTGTGGTGTTCTGGAGGGGATCCTAGGACAGAAACAGATGTTAGATAAAAGCCAAGGACATCTGCATACACTATGGGCTTTAGATAAAAACGTGCCAGTGGCCGGGCATGGTGGCTCATGCCTGTAATCCTAGCACTTTGAGAGGCTGAGGTGGGTAGATCACAAGGTCAGGAGTTCAAGACCAGCCTGGCCAACATGGTGAAAGCCCATCTCTACTAAAAATACAAAATTAGCTGGGTGTGGTGGCACGCGCCTGTAGTCCCAGCTGCTTGGGAGGCTGAGGCAGGAGAATTGCTTGAACTGGGGAGGTGGAGGTTGCAGTGGGCCAAGATCACGCCATTGCACTCCAGCCTGGGTGACACAGCAAGATTCCATCTCAAAAAAAAAAAAAAAAAAAAAAAACAGTGCCAGCATTTGTGCATTAGTGGTGATACATATACCACACTAACATAAAATGTTAAAAACAGGGGAAACGGTGTGCAGTATGTGGGAATTTTCTGTACTATCTTTGCAATAATTCTGTAGAGCTAAAACTGTTCTAAAAGCAAAAGTTTATTTAAACAAAAACAAAGGAATGATGGTGATGATTACAATCTGATGTGAATATACCTGGCTGGAAGTGAGCCCGTCTCATGCCTACTGTGTGTGTCTGGTGGGGAAGAGATTGTGAAAAGCAGTCTGAACTCACACCACTTGTGTCATTATGTAGAAACAAGTCATGAAAAAGACAAAACCCAGTTGGCTGACTTTGGAAATGTAACATGCAAGCTGATGGAAGCAGTTTGGGTCTATTTTTGATGTGACAGCATCACCTCAAACCAGTTATAAAATGAACTTTCTTGTTTGCATTTGACAAATCATGCTTCCTGTTTACCAAGTATTGAAGAGAGTTAGCACTGAGCTTTTCTTGCTAAATGAGTGAAAATTAAAAATTGCCATCATATATATATAGATGATGTCTATAGAGATTATCTATATTATTCAAAATATATAGAAATCTCTCTCTTCCTCCCTCCTTTTATCTGTCTATCTCCATTCCTCCATTCTTCCATCTCTCTATCCATTCATTTATTCATCCATCCGTCCATCTATCCATCCACCCACCCATCCATCCATTCATCCACCCATCCATCCACCCATCCACCCAGGGAGAG
Source organism: Homo sapiens (assembly GCF_000001405.40). NCBI lineage: Eukaryota > Metazoa > Chordata > Mammalia > Primates > Hominidae > Homo > Homo sapiens. The sequence continues at coordinate 69,994,341 of NC_000011.10, read as the reverse complement.
GCGAATGAACACACCAATTCACACCTTTCAATAATAGATCAGCATCCAAAATGAAATATTTATGCTTAAAATCACTTCTTTATCATATAGCACAAAAATGAAACAAAATGGTGGGTTTAATTCCCAGGAGTCTTCTGAGACCAAGAACACGGTGCAAGGGTTTCCTGAACCCCAGAGGTGATGCTCAGCTAGCCCATGCACCGCTTAGGTCCCTTCCAGCTGTGACTGTGGGGGGGGGTTAACGACAAATTGGGGGTGTAAAATCAAATTGGCAAAAACAAGCCTGGACCTGCCTTTTGGAACTTGATCAAGTGCAGGGGGAGTGACACTGACCAACTCCTCATGAAAATGAATGTGGGGCAGATGCGTGAGTGCCCAGGGAGAGGGGCCTGTGCCGCATTGCAGAGGGAGAGATGGAGCTACAGGCCGAGGGGCTATATGTGCCCAGGCCCCAGGAGCAGGGAAGAGGGGATGAAGGGCTATAGGAAGGCCAGTGAGGCCAGATGGAGAGGGCAGCTGGGGGAGAAAAAGGAATCTGGAGAGGCAGGTGAGCCCCGCCTGCAGGCAGGCCATGAAGACAGAAAGAGTGAAGTCATCTTGTTTGTCTGTAGATATGGAAAGCAGTGGACAGATTCGAAAAATGCACAGGAAGGGGCGCCAGCTGCACCAGGTGGTGGGCTGGAAGTGGGGACACAAACCAAGGGGCAAGGATACAGTGGTGCCCACAGTTTTGTGACTTGAATAAGGGATGGAGGCTGGGGAGATCTGAAGACCGAGCTGGGACTAGGAAGCAAACGCTACCTTTGGCCTAGCACACACCTTGATCAATTTGGCAAGCAGGAACTGGAATATAGCCCGAGGCTCTCTCCCTTTTCCCCTGAATTCCCAGTCTGTCCCAATATCCAGCTGTTGATGGTCCAGGAAACACAATGCAATAAACATTATGCCAGATTATGCCTCCTTTCTAATTGCTCACATCAATAGCTCCATTTCCACCATGTTCAGACTTTTGTGTTGAAGTGCCATGTAAATGCATTAAAAAATCATTACACACCAGAGGCCATATGTGGGCAGAAATAATTCTGATTAAGTGTAAAAGGGAAAGAATTAAGTCTTGGGTATCAAGGGTAGTGTTTGCACACCACACCCAGGGGCAAACAAGGGTGCAGCTGAAGACAGGGCGCTGTCTCAGGAGGGGGTGGCTGGCCCCATTGGGGTGGGGCTGGCATTCCCAGGGTTGTGTGGGTTTGGCTGCATGTGGGGACCCAGAGCCCAGACGAATCATGGCAAAAGGCCCAGAGGAGGCAAAATGTCCCCATGAGCTGCCATGAGAAAGGAAGCTGAAATTACCAGGAGGGCATCTACTGTATGTGTGGGTCCCCTTCCAGGGCTAAATAGATGAAACTAGTAATTTGTCTACCTAATGGCCATGTGACCATTGTCAAATGGATCTCTGAGGGCTGGGAAGGCTTTTAATGCTTCATTACACAGCATGAAAACCCTGGCATGTGTGCCCAGTGCTGAAGGCTGAGGGCCATGATAGACGTTGACGAGGGGAACAATGCCAGGCAGAGGCAGGCACGGGGAGAGACGAAGGCCTCACCAAACAGTCCAGCCTCTCCAGTGTGGCTCCTGCAGCAACAAGGCAATCACAGAGACATATCTTCTCTCCAGAGAGCTAGGGAGGCAGCAGCTGAATTAGTGAGGACCTAGGTTGGAGCCAGGAGAGAGAGTGGCAGTCCTTATCCTGCCATACCTAACTGGTAGGCCTTTTCTCTCAGCATCTGAGTCTCAGGGTCCTCCCCTGCCCAGCCAGGTGTGGCTGGCCCATCCTGATGGATTCACCAAGAGAACACTCTTGGAGGTGGGAAATTAGGCACATTCCTTGCTCTTTGAGTTCCTCAGTTTCCTTGTCTGGAGTTCAAAGTGGCTCCTAATATAACTTAACGTGAGTATTAAAGGGAATGACATGAGTAAAGGGCTTGCAATAGTGCCTAGAACAAAATGAGTTGTCAACAACTATCAATTACCATCCATCCATCCATCCATTCATCTATCCAGCTGTCCATCCATCCATTTATCCATCATCCATCCATCCATCCATCCATCCATCCATCCATCCATCTATCCATTCGTCCATCCATCCATTCACCTACTATCCATCCATCATCCATTCATCTACCCACCCATCACTCATCCATCCATCCATTCATCCACCTGACTTTCACCAGGCCTGCCATGGCCAGGCCCTGGGCTAGGGCTAGAGAAATGAACGAGACTTTTTTCTTGCCACCAAGTAAACCAAGTCCATCAAGGGAGACAGAAGTGGTGGACGAAATTAACTGAGACCCAAGCTGCTGCATGCTCTAAGAGAAGTGGGAGCTGAGCTCGCATGGCATCAGCACAGAGGGAGGGGGCCTGGGATATTGGGGTGGACCCACTATTGGCACACAGAGCTTACTTAGCCAGAATTAGAACCCTTCTACAACACAGATCATAATATAAAGCTGCATAGACTGCACTCCATGAGAGCAAGGGCTATAGCTACACTGTATCCCCACCTTCTGGTCCTATGGCTACATTATATCCCAGCTCCTGGAATTGTGGATACACTGTATCCCTCATTTCTGGTACTGTAACTGTCCTAAAGGAGATGCATCTATGTCTGTTTAGTTTGATTTGAATGATGCATCCAATTGCAGAGACAGAAGTTTCCTCAGTTATTTACATCACAATATGGAAGAGAAACTCACTGTGTGAACTATTTCCACAGAACATCGGGTTCTGTTCACAACTGGTACTTGCCCATCACTGCAGGTGGCATGGTGGTCCCCTGGGCTATGCTTCCTCCAGCCTTTGCATTTGGTCACAGAGGACAGGGGGGCAGGCTCCTCTCTAGATGGGTCATTCCTACCCCTGCTGTCAATGGAGGAATCTGTCTCTGGGCTTGGGGTTAACATTGAGTCTGTCTCCTCGTGAATGTCCACAGGGCATCCCAAACCTACCCCAAGTTCAAATACACCAAGTGCTCTGAATGACAGCTGGTGTGCAGGAAGTGTGCCAAATGTCAGCTTTTGTGATTGTTGTAATTATTAACATGCTCAAAAGCAAACCCCTACAGAACAGTCTTTTCAACAAATTGTGCTGAAACAAATGGATATTCACATGCAGAGGAATGAATTTGGCTCTCTAGCGTACTCCACATACAAAAATTAACTAAAAATGGACTGACCTAAATATAAAAACTAAAAGCATAAAACTCTTAGAGGAAAACATCGGGGTAGATCATTGCAACCTTGAATTTGGCAATGGATTCTTAGAGATGACTCCAAAAGCATGAGCAACAAAAGAAAACGTAGGTAAGTTGGGCTTCATGAAAATTAAAAATTTTGTACATCAAAGGACATTATGGAGAAAGTGAAAAGACAACCTACAGAATGGGAGAAGATATTTGCAAATCATTCAGCTGATAAAAGTTTAATATCCAAGCTCTATAAAAACTCCTACAATCCAACCAAAAAGACAAACAACTCAATTAGAAAATAGACAAAGGAATTGAGTAGATATTTCTCCAAAGAAGATAAACAAATGATCTATAAATGACATAGTGATTAGGCAGTGAAAATCAAAGCCACAATGATATACCACTTCGCACCCACAGGATTGCTGTAATTAAACAGTATATATATCAAGTGCTGCTAAGGATGTGGAGATACTAGAACCCGCATACACTAGTAGGGGGCCTGTAAAATGGTGCAGCCATTGTGTAAAACAGTTTGGCAGTTCCTTAAAAAGTTAAAGATAAAACTATGTGATCCAGCAATTTTACTTCTAGGTATATACCTCAGAAATTTGACAATAGGAACTCAAACAGACACTCACATGCAAATGCTCATTGCAGCATTTTCAAAATAGCCAAAAGGTGGAAATAACCCATGTCTGTCGATAGATGAATGGACAAACGCAATGTGGTATATCCATTCAATGGAACATTATTCCTCCATAAAACTAATGATTACTGATATATGCTACAACACGGATGCCTTAAAAACATACCAAGTGAAAGAAGCCAGACACAAAAGGACAAATATTTTGTGATACCATTTATATGAAGTATCTAGAATAGACAAATTTATAGAGGCAGAAATTAGAATAGATAGAGGTTACCAGGGGTTAGGAGAGGCAGGGCGGGGTGGGGAATGGGAAGTGACTGTTTAATGGATACAGAATTCCTACTTGGGGTGATGAAAAAGTTTTGAAAATAGATAGTGATGATAGTTGTATGACATCGTGAATGTATTTAATGCCACTGAATTCTACACTTAAAATGATTAAAATGTTATGGTATATATAATATCTAACACAATTTTAAACAAAACAAAACAACAAGTAGTAAACCTCTCACTTATCCCCACCCAAACCTCTCCTTGTGGTCTTTTCCTTCTTCCAGCCACTCAATCTGGAAATCTCAGAACCATTTTTGACTACTCTCCTGCTCTCAGCCCCTACATTCCATGTGCTGGCAATTCCTGTGGGCCCTACTTTCAAAATAGACCCAGGGTCACCCTCCCCTACCTGCCTCGTGCACCTGGATTATTGCAAGAGCCTCTGAGCAGGCTTCTGCCCCTGGCCCATCAGCCTTTTCTCTGTAGGACAGCCAGAGGGACCTGTTAGAACCCAAGTCAGCTCAGGTCCCTTCCCTGCTCCAAACCCTACTGCAGTAGCAGGTGGTGGGGAGGGGGTGGGGAGTGTTATTTAGCTCCCATGGTTCCAGTGGCCCTGGAGACCCCCACACTGGCTCCACACCTTCCATACCTCTTGGGTTGCCCCTCCTGCTCCCTCTTTCCCTCCCTCTCCTGGCTGGTTCTGGAATCCATCCAGCACACTCAAGAAGAAGACGCACGTGCTGGGGCTTCTGCACTGGCTGTTCCTTCTGCCTGGAATGTTCTTCCCCCATCTCTTTCAGGTGTTTTCCCACACCACCCACTCAATGGCACAGAGTAGGTGCTCAATAGCTCTGTGGGTGAAAGCTTCAGGAGGGACAACTCTTTCTATCCTCCCTGAATGGTAAGATAGCACCATGATTAAATGAACAGCTTGCTTGCTTGGAGTTCAAATCCTGCCTCTGCCACTTACCAGCTACAGGACCTTAAATAATCTCTCTGTGCCATAGTTTCCTCAACATAAATGGGGGGAAACAATGGGACCCACCTCATACAGTGAGTGGGGATTGTACATGATGATGCAGGTACCAGGGCTTCCATGGGTGACTGGCACGCAGTCACCTGCTCAACCAACATTAGCTAACATCACCTTCCTTCCCTCCCTCCCTCCGTCCCTCCCTACCTCCCTCCCTACTTCCCTCCTTCCCTGTCTATTTCCTTCCTTCCTTCCTTCTTTCCTTCCTTCCTCATTCCTTCCTTCCTCATTCCCTCCCTCCTTCACTTGGTGCCCAGGATACTATTAGTGCAGAGAGGCATGTGGGTTGATTTCCAAGAGAAGGGGATATACCAGCTGAGTTTTGAGGGTTGTGCAGGAGTGAGTTGGGCAGACATGTCCCAGTGGAGGGATGCCGCAGACCTCACCCTAACTCCACCTGCCCTTGTGGGAGGTTCAGACCACAAGCGTATAAATAAGTAGCTTATTAAAGAATAACTAAGGAGCTGCTAAGTAGGCAGAATGGGAGGGGGCATCTGTACCAATCAATTGCTCCCTGGGAGAGTGGGCTTGTGGTTTTGCAGGGGAGCGAGAATGAGCAGGTTATAGGATCAGTCACAGAGCACTCGGTGTGACTTCACACCTGGGTCATATGGATGAAGCTTGCAGTGATGACATTGATGACAATGATGATAATCCTCACTCATGCACAGAACAGAGCCAGGCACTTTGGAAAGGCTATGAACTCAAGTCCTTTTCACAGCCACCCTCCGGACTTTACAGATAAGGCATAGAGTGGTTAAGTAAGTTGGCCGAGGGCACAGGGCTGCAGGCGGCAAAGCTGGGATTGAGACCTGGGAGGCTGGCTCTAGAATTGGGGCTCTCTGTACTTCACAAGATAAGTGCTTCCTCTCTCTGGGTCTGGGTGCCGGTGGCAGGAAAAAGTGGGAACCCAGACCTCTTTCTGTTCTCCAACTCTGTGGCTTTTTAAATTTCCTATTTACGGGCGAAGCCACTGACGGCCTCCAGGTGTAAATGACATGGACAGAGCGAAAGTGGCGTGGTGCTGTGAGGCTTCCCATGGAATTTCTTCATGCCTACTGCGGTGGAATGGTGCATCTGGCAGCAAACCCAAGAACCGAGGCTGGGACACCCGTCCTGGGGTCTTACTCCTGACACGGCTGCTACCCACAGCAGGGGGCACGATTCCACCCCACACACAGCCGAGGTGCAGCGGGGTGGACAGGAAAGGCCTGCTCTCCGGGAGTGGAGGCTGTGGCCGTCATCCATCCATGATTACAGCTCAGATCTGATGAGCTGAATCCTCCAGTAAGGAACACTCCAGGTCCTCACATCTGAGACATGACCCATGCCCAAATGTAAAGCCTATAAAGACCAAAGCACAGGCCTCCAGAGTACACCCTCATGCACAGGGAACGGTTTCCTCAAGATGTCCTAGAAGCATTGCTGGGTGATTCTGCCTGGGGTGGGGAAAGGGAGAGGCAGTGGCCTCACAGCAACTGGACTCAGACACCCTGGGTTCTAGTCTTTTTTTTTTTTTTTTTTTTTTTTTTTTTTTTGAGACATGGTCTTGCTCTGTTACCCAGGCTGGAGTGCAGTGGCAAGATCTAGGCACACTGCGGGCTCAAGCGATCCTCCTGCCTCAGCCCCTCAGGTAGCCCCGGGACAACAGGCCTCCGTTCTAATCTTGGTGCCATCAGTTACTGGCTGTGTGGCCTCAGTTTCTTTGTCTGCACAATGGGGAGGATTATACACCCCTTTACAGGGTAGCACTGAGGATAAATGTGTGAAGCATTTGAATCAGTGCCTGAAGCTTGGTGGGCTGGTCATACACAGTGAGCTGGGGCTGTGTTTCCAGTGGATCACAGAACGGATCATTTCTACACGTGAGCTTGAGGAAGCCGCTCAGGAAGGCAGGACAGCCTGGCCGCACAAGAGTAGGCCCTGGTGGCCCACTTCAGCGCCCAGGTTTTTTGCCTGCTCTGGCTGGAGGGGCCCCTTTCTCTTTCTTCTGGGCCTTTAATTTGATGAGTATACAGTGTCACTTCTAGAAAGAAGCCAGACCCGGCTGTTTGAAAGGCACGCATCAGAATAAGTTTCTCCATGGGAATTCGAAAAGAAGAAAAGTCGGGGGAGGGAGGGGGGAAGAATAAAAGGAGGGCTTCCCATGCTATAGTTAGCAGTCCCGGGTTGGCGGTGGCATCCTGATTGCAGGGCACTGCCTCCTAACCAGGGCTTCAGAAGGGCAGAGCTCAGCGTGTAATTAAATAAAACCCACTGCACACTGCGGCCCCCTTGTCACTATCCCACTCTTAGGTTTATTTAATAACCTCTGAACTGGGAGGGGAGAATCATCCAGGAAACAGGGCTTGGGTCATTTATTTTAAAATTATTGGTACAAAAATATCCTGGGTGGTGATTTATGTGCAGCCAGGGGGGAGGAAGTCAGGGACTCCCCCTCCGGCCTAGCGTCCAGGCCTCATTTGTCTCCGGCTCTCTAAGTTCCTCTCAGTTTCCATTATGATTTCGAGTCATAGTAGTGACTTTATATCACAAATAAATCTCCAGAATAGCACGGAAATATTATGTGTATTAATAGCGCCTGTAAAAACATCCGAAAACCTCGTATCCGCTGCAAGACGCTCCCCCGGGATTGGGAACAGCCTGGGCCGGCCTAGCAGATGTCTCCCCAGGGGCCGCGCAGGGGCCCCTGCCCGGCGGCGCCCCCAGCCCCAGCCCAGCCCCGGGGCTCTGTCTGTCGTCTGTTTGTCTGTCAGTGCCCCAGCGACCTGTGACCGACACAGTCCCTCCCCTCTCGCCTTCACCGGGAGCAGCGCGGAGGGGGGAGGACTGTCCCCGCCACCAGAGGTGGGGGTCCCTGCCTCCTGCTCCTCGTGCGCCCCTGAGTCCTCCGCAAGCCACTGCCCCTGGGGCGTCCCAGATCCACTGCGGCCGCGCTCGCGGTCCCTCACCCCCCGTGCCGCCCTGGATACTCACCGACTGTGGGGACTTCCCTGGGGGGCAGCCCCTCCAGGCCGATGTCGCCCTCCTGCATGGCGCGTTCGCTGCGCGACTCCGGTGCACCCGGGACCTAGCGAGTCCAGACTAGGGAGCGACGAAGTCACCCCTGGAGGTCTGCGGCGGCTCTGGGGGCCAAGGTCCGAGCCTAGCTCGGGAGGGGACTGTCCCCTCTCTCCTCCCCAGAGGCAGGAGCGAAGCCGCGCGTGCTGTAGCCAAACTTGGCTGCCCTCGCTCACGGCCGCGCCGCTCCTCCCCCTCGGCTTTTTGGTCTGGGGGTCCCGGGCAGACCTCCCCACCCCCCGGGGGTTACCTGCGGACACCGCCCTCGCCCCGCCCCGCGCTCCCCGGACTCCCAGCGAGCGGCGCGGGACGCTGCAGAGGAGCAGCGGCTGGTCCCCAGGTCCCGGCCCGCCCCCGGCCTCCCGCTGCGCGGGGCGCGTCTCCACCGCTCCCAGACCGTCTTATCAGTTGGGGCGGGCAGTGGGGCCCCGAGCGGCCCTGCGAGGTGCACCCCCAGCCAGGGCCCCAGGGAAGGGGTGTTGACTACAGGAGGGGGCCTTGAGCCAGCCCCCGAGAGACGGGCGCAGCCCTGGGCGCGGGGCGGTTCCGTGAGTGGCCCTGGTTCCCGCATCAGAAGAGCGCCCTGGCCCCCTCCCCCAGGCGGCAGGACCCCGACGAATCACTGTCAATTTGTCACACGAGGAGGCTGAAGCCCAGGGATGGAAAGGAGAGCTGGAGGTTACAGGTCACTGGGGTCCTGAACTTGAATCCAGAAATTCGCCTCTGCCCACCCCCCTCCCCTCCCCGGGTTCCCTCCCGCAAGCCACAGCCTGTGCAGAATGTAGAAATCTGGATAAAGTGAGAAGGGTTTCAAAGTGGGGGAATGTCCTGTTATGTGAAGATTCCAGTTAACTGCGGCTAAGAGGACTGGACCCGGGGGTGCATCCAGGGACGAGGCAGGGACTCTGATGCACAGCCTGTCCCCGACCCTTCCTCTTCCCCGCCTCATGGGCTCAGGGCAGGAAGCCGGGATTGCCCCTCTCCAGCCCTGTGGGGTTTAGAAACCAAGGTCTGGACAATTCAGCATCCTCAGAGACAGCAGCAATGTGGGCCCTACGGAGGGCGGGCGTGGGGAACTGCAGTGCCGGCGCCTCCTTGTGTACCCACAAACCTCACACCCCTGACATCTCCAGATAAATACCATAAATTCTCAGGCAGAACTACCATAAACAGAATGCTAAGTGGCTCCGTGACCACAGGAGAGGCCGTGGGGGACAGGGCAGCCGCCTCATCTTTTGAAAGGTCATCTGACAACTTCTGCACCCCAAGGGAGGAGCTGGTTTGGTGCTGAGGACCAGCCCATGCCAGGGACCCTTGGATCACTTGCCAAGGTAACACTTCACCTAGTGCCCAGCTTTGGCTGGGCCCTGAGGGAGACAGACCCGGCTACCCCTGGAGGACAGACCACATCCCCGCGGAAGGCATCTGGATGGAGGAGGAGCTGTCCTCCTCCCCACCAGGCCTGCTGGGATTGGTACCTGAGGACACTGCCCCAGGAGGAAAGCGCTTGCTCTTGAAGCGGCAAACCCACAAAGACATGTTTCCTGCCGGGTCTCCTTCCCCGCCCCCACCTCAGCGCTGTACTGTAAAAGGAGACGAGAGGCAAGATTCCTTCCTCGCATTGAGTCTGAAAGAAAGGTGACCTGCCATTTTCCTTAGCAATGATCTCGTTTCAGTCCGGACTCAGAAATGATCTCGTTTCAGTCCGGACTCAAAATCCCACACAGGCACTCAAGTGGGATTTTATTCTCCGTGGGCGGCAGGCTCACCCTCAGGAGAGCATGCCAAGAAGCCCCGGGACGTGTGCCCCAGGAGGGCAAAAGAGGATGGATGGAAATCAGAGCCTTCCTGGACCCTTGCAGGGGCTACATTCATTTCACAGAACTTTTCCATCTGACCATTGTGCAGAAGTCGAGATAAAAACTCATTTTTCTTGGAAGGGTCTGATAGCCAATGTGATACATGGCAATTGCTCAGTTATGTAAATACACAGAGAAAATTTTAGAATTCTTACCCTTGGAATGATGAACTATAAACCAAAAAGGCTCAGGGGGAAAAAAAAATGTAAATACGTCCTGGGACTATTTTTAACTGTCATTATTTACCTTTTTGGGGCAGGGATGGACTATTGTATATTTAGCCAGATTTAAAATGCACACATTATTTAATGCATGATTATTAGCAGAAATATGTTAAACAGCCATTAATAGATGTTGATTCATTCCGATTGAAGCCGCTTTTTCTTCTTTTCATTTTCTTGGCTCCAATTAAGTTGCGTTCGGATGAAACCCTTCAGCTGTGGCCAACATATGCAAAAATGCCAGTCGAAGACCCAGACGTTTAAAAGTGATATTTTAGTAAATACCTGAACCAGCTCATTTTTAAAAAGATTGCTCTCGGCTGCTATTTTGGTAAGTGGCATCACGTGATAGTGATGCCAGGCTGGGGAAGGCTGGGCTGCCCATGTGGCCCGCAGGAGAGGGTGGCCTGGAAGAGGAGCACCCGGAGCACCCTGCTTATTTTCTGGGGAACCCCACGCTGCAGACCCTCTGAAGCTGAGGGCCTCCCCGACACCCTGGGCATGGCAGGAAGATATTTATGTCAACAGCAGAGTGGGGCCAGTGCACTGGCTCGGGGAGGTGGCGTGCCTGTCATTACAACACACAGCCGTCATTACGGAATACAGTAATCACACAGCACAATGCTTGTAATTACAGAAAAATGGTTTCCCTTTTTGGCGAGGCGGCGAGGGAGGGAGAGAAGGCAGCTCTTGGTGAGGCCAGCACTGGTACTCATCCCCTGAATTGGGCGGGGTTTAAAATAGGTTTCGTAGGGTGAGGCCTTGGGCCTGGCTTGGGGGTAGGCACAGACCTACCCCAAGCCGGAGCATGATCAGATGCTGGGGACTTGCAGGGACTCTGATCTTGCTGTGGTTTCATCAAGGCCACCAGCACCATCATGCAGGTCTCCTCTGCTCCCCAATGCTGCTGGGTCTCAGCAGATGTCAGCTCAGAGCTGACTCGGCCCACAGGCGCACCACCTGCAATCACGCCTCCCTCTGTGCATTTCTCCTTTCCTCATTGACCTTCTCTGGACCCTCAGATGACTCAGGACAGGATAGATTGTCACGTACACCCTGCCCCCACTGTCACTCATCATCAGAACACATACAAGGCCACAGGTCATTTAAATGCTGATTTCGCATGATCTCAGGAAGTCTGTTTTCAGTTCGGCTTGGCTCTTTGAATGCCTGCCATGGGTAGAGCCCTTTCTCAGGTTGGAAGGGGAATGGGAGGCGCAAAGGGAGCAAAACAAAGCCCCAGCCCTCCAGGTCCAGCCTCCAGCCTGGAGGAGTGAGCAAGCTGGTGCAGAAGCCGGGCCTATGGCCTCTGCAGCCTAACAGAGTCAGTCCCGTCTGGAACAAGCTTCTTCTCAGCACCCGGGTTTGTGCATCTGTAAAATGGGTCTTGGCAACAGGTTGGAATTCTGTAGGGATAGGACAAGAATTCAGCTTCCAGCCCAAAACCTGACATGCTGTAGGGATTAGAGGGCATTATTATTTGCATCATATTCATCCTAGTCAGACAGGGAAACATGGTAGAACACTGAAATGCAGGTGGAGGCTGCTCCCAGAAGAGCCGATTGGAGCTCTTGGTGGCCCCTGCCCTGGGGCAACCGGAGAGTGGGTGGGTTTTTCAAGGTGGACGGTGACTTTTAGGGGGTTCTGGCAGAGGCTGGGTGGAAGCACCAAGGTGGAGAAGTGGGCACCCAGACAGGGATGGGAGCAGCCCAGTGTAGCAGGTTCAGGTGGGGCATCTGGCGAGTAACGGGGGCCCCTGGTGGCTATACTCAACAGGGTTAAGGGGGTCTTATTGTAATTAAACAATTCACTGGGGTGACATTCACATAAGATAAAATTGATCATTTTTAAGTGTTCAACTCGGTGGCATTTAGTGCATTCACAGTGTTGAGCACCCACATTTCTATCCAGAATATTCCCATTCCCGCAGAGTACAGCTCGAACCCGCTAGCAGTCACTCCCCATCTCCCCCCTCCCCCAGTCCCTGGCAACCATTGGCCTGCCTTCTGTCTCTATGGATTTATCCATTCTGGACATTTCATATAAATGGAATCATACATTACATGGTCTTTCGTGTCTGGCTTCTTTCATTATGTTTGGAGTTTGCTCCACATTATAGCATGTATCAGAATCGCATTTCTTTTTATGGCTGAATAATATTCCATGGTCTGGGTGTACTACAATTTGTTTATCCATTTCTTCTTGGATAGCCATTTGGACTGTTTCCAAAGGGTCTTTGGAAGGGACTAGAGAGAGCCCACAAAGGCGCCTGCAGGGGCTGGGGTGGGGCTGGGCAGAGAGCTCAGTGGCTGCGCAGGGCTAGCGGGAGAGGAGGGCTGGAGGCAGCTGCTGTCAGCCCAGCCTCCGAGGCAGCTGCTCACCACTGATACCAGGGGCTCCCAGCAGCAAAGCGCTGTTGCTGGAGTGACAGTCCTCCGCTCTGATACAGAGGACCTGCAGCTGAAGCAGGCTAAACTTGCAGAGGGGCCCTTGGACAGAAGAGGCAAGATCTCTGCCTGGGCTTCTCCTTAGGCAAGTCTGTTTATTTAACAAACACTTAGAGAGCACTTATTGTGTGCCAGGCCCCGTTCCAAGCGCTTAATAAATATCGGCTCATCGAATCCGTGCAGCAAGTCTACGTAGTACGTGCTCCTATCATTCCTACTTTACAGATAAGGAATCAGAGGCTCAGAGAGGTGAAGTGACTTGCCCAAGGTCACACAGCAGTAAGTGGGAGAGTGGGGCTTGCACATAAGCAGCCCAGCTCCAGAGTTTGTGCTCTGCTACCGTAAGGTAGAAACACAGCGTTTCCCAAAATGCCAGTCTTCCAAGCTCCATGTCCCTGGTTTGAGCCAGATTCATGGTCTTCCTGTGCCATAACTGCCTTCATATTTTTCTTTAACCCAGCTCACTAGGTCACTCTTTATTTATTTTTGATTTTTTATTTTTTTGTAAAGGAGTCTCGCTCCTGTCACCAGGCTGGAGTGCAATGACATGACCTTGGCTCACTGCAACCTCCACCTCCCGGGTTCAAGCGATTCTCCTGCCTCAGCCTCCCAAGTAGCTGGGATTACAGGCATGTGCCACCACACCCAGCTAATTTTTATATTTTTAGTAGAGACGGGGTTTCACCATGTTGGCCAGGATGGTCTCGATCTCTTGACCTTGTGATCTGCCCGCCTTGGCCTCCCAAAGTGCTGGGATTACAGGCGTGAGCCACCGTGCCCAGCCCATACTTTATTTTTTAATTGTGATAAAATGTGCATGACATAAAGTTGATCATTTTCACCATTTTTAAGTGTGCGGCTCAGTGGCATTAAGACCACTCACATTGTTATGCAATCCTCACAGCCATCAATCTCTACAGTTTTTTGTTTTTTTTTTGAGACAGTCTTACTCTGTCACCCAGGCTGGAGTGCAGTGGTATAATCTCAGCTCACTGCAAGCTCTGCCTCCTGGGTTCACGCCATTCTCCTGCCTCAGCCTCCCAAGTAGCTGGGACTACAGGCGCCCACCACCACGCCCGGCTAATTTTTTGTATTTTTTAGTAGAGACGGGGTTTCACCGTGTTAGCCAGGATGGTCTCGATCTGACCTCATGACCCACCCGCCTTGACCTCCCAAAGTGCTGGGATTACAGGTGTGAGCCACCATGCCTGGCCCCTACAACTTTTTTATCTTCCAAAACCTAAGCTCTGCACCCGTGGAATGCTCACTCCCATTCCCCACTTCCCTAACCCCAGCGCTGGCACCACCATTCTAGTTTCTGTCTCTGTGAATGTGGCTGCTCTAGGGACCTCAGATGAATTGGAACATGTGGTGTTTATCTTTTTGGGACTGGCCTCTTTCAGTGGGTGTAATGTCCTCAAGGTTCACCCATGTTGTAGCCTGTGACAAAATTTCCTCCCTTTTTAGGGCTTATCGAACTTTATTTTTAAAGAACCCAATATCACTACTGAAAGTGGAGAGGAAGAAGCACTGGCCATGAACGGAAGTTTCATAAAGCACCATAAAAATGAGCTAATGTTATTCAATTCCCTGGGATACCCTGGGGAGGCCCTGAACCACGGCACGGCACAGTTGGCCAGGGAGACGGGTGTGCTATGGAGGCATGATGGACCTCCTGGCACCAAGCTGAGACTTTCTCCATGACATCCCCGAAAGACAGAAAGAGAAGGGCAAGTGAACTACGTTCTCACCACGTGTTGCAATTCTCCTGTTGGCCAAGTTCTTGTGCCACTTCACGTTGGCTCCCTTTGCCCCTAAAAGTGTTTTGCAGGACACTCATGGCTGGGCTGCTGCATTTGGAGGAAAAGGAAGAATGAGGATTGCTTCTGTGTGTTACGCAGGCTTTGTGAGCTGACCCTGAGTCCCGCATACTTGATATCTTCCTTTTAAGATGTAGGGAGGAGTCCCCAGGCTCAGAGAGCCTGGGCAATGCCATACAGCTAGAATTAAATATCCACTTTATTATTTTTATCTCTGTTGTCTCATTCGTATGAAGTATGAATTATTGTCCCCATTTATAGCTCAGGAAACTGACGCAGAGAGGAAGAATGGCTTGCTCAAGTCCATGCAGCTGGTAAGCGGCAGAATTTGGATTAAAATCCGGGTCCAACTGATTCTAGAGATTTCTAGTCAACTCCAAAGCTCTTTCCAGAGCACCATGCCAACCTTCTGCTTATCTCTCTGGAATTTGGAATTGGCATGGGTGAACTCAATACACCAGTTGCAAAATGTTATTACCAGGAGCAAAAAGAAGGGTATGGAAATAATAGGAAAAAGCTCATCTTTAGTCCCTGTCATTCACTACGTTCAAAATCTGTCTCCGGACCCTTGGCCTCTCTTCAACCTTTGTTTGTTTGTAGGGCTGAGACAGGTGAAAGGCTCAAGGGAGGCCTCTCAGCATGGAATCTTGCAGGTATGACTAACATCTAGAGGCCTGTTTACCATTAGAGGTTGCCCGCATCGCTCGAGTTTTTGGAATTAAACTGACTCTAATTAATGGTGCAAATATTTACACTCAATATATGATCAAAGAAAACACAGCCTGGTTGTTTCAGCATAAATAGCACCAATGCCAAGACTCTTGGCAATAAGACAGAGTTGAGATTACGAACTCTAAATAGGCTTGTAAGTCATTATTTGAGGATGGTAGCTTCATATAGAAAGTGCTTTCTGTAATTGAACACACTTGAGGGGTTTTCTCCTCACATGGTTGCAGGAATAATTCAATTCGTCCTGAATAGAGAGATTAGGCTTCCATCTAGGAGTCCATGGGAGAATGACTCAAGAGAGGGGACACCTCACATGGAGATTAGTTTACAAATAGGACAATCAAGAAGGAGGCCTGGGCAGGGTGCGGTAGCTTACACGTGTAATCCCAGCACTTTGGGAGGCCAGGGTAGAAGGATTGCTTAAGGTCAGGATTTGGAGACCAGCCTGGGAAACATGGCAAGACCCTGCCTCTAAAAACAATGCAAAAATTAGCTGGGTGTGTTGGCGCACACCTGTAGTCCCAGCTACCTGGGAGGCTGAGCTAGGAGGATCACCTGAGCCCTGGAGGTCAAGGCTGTAGTGAGCCAAGATCGTGCCACTGCACTCCAGCCTGCACTACCGGGAGTGAGGCCTGTCTCAAGAAAACCAAAAACCAAAAAACAAGAAAAAACACAGAAGGTAGCCTGCAGGCACCCAGTCCATCCGCTTCTAGGGCTGGGCCCTCTCGGAGGTGCTCTGCCAACAAAAACACTTGCTGTTTTCGTCGGACCCGAGGTGGCAGCCTGGTGAAAAGGCCCACGGAGTGGCTCCAAATGCCACCCCCTTCCAGAAACCAGGACAGCACAGCTCAGAGTTACGTGGGTTCTTTGCACAGGGAGCAGCGTTTGTCCCCAGGGTCCCGGCCTCTGGTTTAATGTGGGTTTAGGGGATGCCAGTTCCCAGGGAAAGAAAACACCGGGCCAAGCTGCCCTGGGGACACCGGCCCCGCCTCTGCTCTCAGAAACCCTCCTCAAGTGTCCCTTTGGGAAGCTTTCCTTGACCCCCTCTCAGCCACAGTATGCAAATGACAGCCCCTCAAGAGAGGACCATTCACAAAACCCCGCTTTGGAGAGGGGAGATAATTCATTCCCAGACATCTGAAGGGAATCTGAGAAGGAGAAGCTAAACCCGACCTCAGATCACTCCAAAGTGCTCAGAGCAGCCACAGCCTCTGCCCCTGTCTTCAGAGCGCTGGGTCTCAGCACACAAAGCCTCGGGGCTGCAGTCATCTGGGGGACTCCCCTGGTGAGGAGCTGGCTGCATTGTCCTTGAAATCAGAGGGTAAGTCCGTGTCCCCAGGCCACCCTGGCAGGGATGGGCACTGTCCCCCTTAGGACGCATTGGATCTCTCACTCAGGGAAGGAGCCAGGCAATGCCCAGTCCTCAGACCTAAGGGCCACACTTCCACCATGGCTGATGGTTGCTCATTGTCAGCTCTGCAGGCTGGGAGGGCTGGGGGCCATCTCATTTTGAAAGGGTCACCCTGCCCCCCACCCACTCACACCAGGATCTGTCAGCCCACTGCTCTGTCGGCAGCACGCCCAGGTGCTCAGGCCCTCGCTGCAAGCAGGGAGCTTGGGGTTGTGGGTGGGACTTGTCCATTCGTGACCACGTTTCATGGTTTAGAACATCTGAGTGCTTACAGCATATGGACTACTTCCGTGGTCTTTGAGTGTGGTGGCTGGGACCACTGGGGATGGACTGGAACCTTCTGACTGACCGTGCACACAGAACCGGACTCGCTAGGGTCACGCAAGCCAGGGTTGGTATGACAACTTGGGTGACACCTGGGGGGCTACACCTGTCCCCCCCTCTTTTAATTTCACCCTAAAGGACTTCACACCATTTCTGGCAAGCTGGTTGGCCGCCTCCCTGCTCTGCAAGATGAGCTCCCTCACGCTTAGAGAAGCAGAAGAGAGTGAGTGTGCATCAGACCGCCTGGGGCTGGCCTCATCACTCACTGCGAGACCCTCAGCAGAATTCTCATCCATCTTCCAGGATTAACAGCAGCCCCTGGAGCAGCCATCTCCCGGGGGGATGAACATGACGTTCACCCCTGCCAGGGACCCGGCAAACACCAGGCCTGACCCATTTCAAGCCCCTGATATTCTTAGCCGTCATGTAATTGTCATGGCCCGGGCCGGTCAGGGCCTGGCAGCCAAGGTGACTCTCTCTGCAGGGGCTCTGCATTCCTCTTATCCAGCTGCCATAGCAGATGCTACAGATAGAGTGGCTGAAACCATAGACATTGTCTTAGAGGCTGGAAGTTGGAGTTCAAGATCAAGGCGTCGCAGGGCTGGTTCCTCCTGAGGCCTCTCTCCTTGGCTTGCAGATGGCCACCTTCTCCCTGTGTCCCCACATGATCATTCCTCTATTCCTCTGTGTGTGTGTCCTAATCTCTCTCTCTCTCTCTTTTTTTTTTTTTTTTTTTTTTTTTTTTTTTTTTTTTTTTTTTTTTTAGAGACGGAGTTTTGCTCTTTCGCCCAGGCTGGACTGTAGTGGCGCTATCTCGGCTCACTGCGAGCTCCGCCTCCCGGGTTCACGCCATTCTCCTGCCTCAGCCTCCCGAGTAGCTGCGACTACAGGCGCCCACCACCGTGCACCGCTAATTTTTTGTATTTTTAGTAGACGGGGTTTCACCGTGTTAGCCAGGATGGTCTCGAACTCCTGACCTCATGATCCGCCCGCCCTGGCCTCCCAAAGTGCTGGGATTACAGGCGTGAGCCTTCTTAGAAGGGGCCAGTCAGACTGAATTAGAACCCACCTAACAGCCTCATTTTAACTTGATACAGTTGCATGCTGAGGTCCTGGAGGTTAGGCCTTTAACAGGAATGTAAGGGGACAGATTTCAACTCATGACAGGATTTATTAAAAGGACCATTTACAGAGACACGGCCCAGGTGAAGGGCAACCAGCAGTGCATCCAAGGCCCAGAGCATGGTGGGGACAGGCGGGCACGGTCCCTAAGGGCCAGTCCTTCCCGCACCCCAGGGCGCAGAGGACAGCAAGGCCAAGGGCAGGGCTGGGGGCACCGAGGGTCTCAACACAGCATGGTACATGAGTGTTTTGTCCCCACCTATGTGTGCAACACCATCAACCAAAACAAAATCATGCAAAGTTCAACTGCCGTGCTCCTACCAGTCAATGGGATTCTGGACCAGCTGCGCTAAAATGTGGGTTATACTACCTGCCAGGTGGTGACAGGTTTCGCTGGCTGGTGAGCTCTGGTTTCAAGACCAGGGGGCTGCTTTGTGGAAGTTTGTCCTGGAGAGCGGATCCCGGAGCCAGAGTCCCACAGCTGCCAGTGGAGGGAGGGATAAACCCCATAAGGATGGTTTGCACATTTCCTAGGACCAAGTGAGGGGGTGTCCCTCTGGCACCCCAACTGCCCACAAGCTTCTGTGCTAGAAGGAGCCCAAATCACCCCTGAAGGGGGCTCCAGGGGTGGTCCTCAGGGGCTTGCTCAGCTCCCTCAGTTTAGAATCCTCCTTTGTACAGATAGGTGCCAGCTCCCTCATCCCCCGCTTCAAAGACAGTGAGAGCCTGTGGCTGTTAGTGGGTCCACGGGCAGCTCTCCTCTGGGGACTCACAGGGAGGGCGTAGTAGGCATTTGCCATTTTGGGGAGGGGGGCTGTCCAGCACCAAACTCTCCTTCCATCTGGGGGATCCCCCACTGGTGTCAGATTGATGGGTACAGAGCCCACTGTGGGGAGGGGGTAGGGAGGCCACTGCTCCATCTCCCTGGCAGCTGGGCCAACTGGACAACATGGACATGGGACCCAGGCTTGGCCTGTCGGGTGCACCTGTGAGAGGCTCAGCCTCTGACCCGGAGAGAGCAGGTTAGGATTCCCTTGGTGCCGTCAGTGGCCATGGTAGCCACGTGCGGTTGTGGGGTTGTCCTGCAGCAGCGTGGGGTGGGACGCCAGCCCCTCCAGCTCCAGCCCCTCCCAGGCTGCCTCCGTAGCTGCCTCTCAGGGCAGTTTAGTCTTTTTGCAGACGGCCACCTTCTCCCTGTGTCCCCACATGGTCATTCCTCTGTGTGTGTGTCCTAATCTCTTCTTTTTTTTTTTTTTTTTTTTAGAGACGGAGGCATCCTAGTCTTTTTCAGATAAGAACCGGACTCCGATCCTGTTGCTTGCAGCCAGGAATCCTGATCCACAGAGAGCAGAGCTCTCCTGCCCGGAAGGCTGCTGGTCTTGGCATCTTCCTTCTGAGCCACAGGTGTGGCCAGATTTCACAGGCACCATAAATTGTAGAACAGCTTGTGTTTCTCTCCTAGAACTGGCTGCTGGGAGGCTCAGAGACAATGTGGGGAGGTACACTGAGCAGGTGCTTAGGGCTCCAGGTCATCCACAGGTGGGTCCCCCATCCCTGGGTCCAGGGGTCAGGGCCAAGAGCATGAGGTTCTGCTGGCCAAGAGACTACTGCTGCACACCTTGAACCAGCTCAGCCGTCTTGGGCAGACGCCCTTTCCTTTCTGTGCCTCAGTTTCCTCATCTGTAAAGCGGTCGTTCATGATAGTACCTAGCCCAAGGTTTGTCATGGAGAACATGTGACCAAAACCAGGTGGAACAGCCTGTGTCTTGCCCATAGTAACCATCTCTAAGTGTTAATTAAATATTGTTATTATTGTTATTATTTTGAGACAGAGCCTGGCTCTGTCTTCCAGGCTGGAGTGCAGTGGCATGATCTTGGCTCACTTCCTCTGCTTCCTCTGCTTCCCAGGTTCAAGCGTTTCTCCCACCTCAGCCTCCCGAGTAGCTGGGATTACAGGTGCCCACCACCACACCTGGCTAATTTTTGTATTTTTAGTAGAGATGGAGTTTCACCATGTTGGCCAGGCTGGTCTCGAACTCCTGTCCTCAGGTGATCCACCCACCTCGGCCTCTCAAAGTGCTGGAATTACAGGTATGAACCACTGTGCCTGGCCTTAAATATTATTTTTAATATCTGACTTTCTGAACCCTATCTTCCCTGTGCCTCATTTTTTCCTGTGAACTTCCAGATTGTCTTATTTTTTGAGGAATTAAAAATATGTTGGTAAGCTATCTTACAACCTTTTTGAAACCAGAAGGAATCCAATTTTTTTTTTTTTTAGACGGAGTCTTGCTCTGTCACTCAGGCTGGAGTGCAGTGGCATGATCTCGACTCACTGCAACCTCCACCTCCCGGGTTCAAGCCATTCTCCTGCCTTAGCCTCCCGAGTAGCTGGGATTACAGGCACGCACCACCACGCCCGGCTAATTTTTGTATTTTTAGTAGAGATGGGGTTTCACCATGTTGGCCAGGTTGGTCTTGAACTCCTGACCTTGTGATCCACCCGCTTCGGCCTCCCAAAGTGCGGGGATTACAGACATGAGCCACCGCGCCCGGCTAAGGAACCAGAAGGAATCTAAAGGCCTGCAATAAAGTAGAAGATGCTCTATGATGCCTCGCACCGCCTAGCAAGGATAACTCCCTAGAGCCCGAGACAGGAGGAGCCAAAGCATTTTTCCTGTTTAATAGAGTCTTTCAGGGCCAGTGGAAAATATTTAGAAAAGTGGAAGATGTCAGCCAATCAGCATTTCCTGGAGCACCTCCGATCCCTCGGACGCAGGTCGAAGTGCTGAGGATACAGTGATTTTTTGAAAAAGTCTCTGCTTTTAAGAAAATTATATTTTTATGGGGGAGAAAGAGAATAAGCAAATATATCATGCCAGATCACGAGGGAGTTTTGAAGAAAAATGAAGCAGGGTGAGGGGACAGAGTGAGATGCCAGAGCTGGGCGCGGTGGCTCACGCCTGTAATCCCAGCACCTTGGGAGGCTGAGGTGGGTGGATCACCTGAGGTCAGGAGTTCAAGACCAGCCTGACCAACATGGAAAACCCCATCTCTACTAAAAATACAAAAATTATCTGGGTGTGGTGGCACACGCCTGTAATTCTAGCTACTCAGGAGGCTGAGGCAGGAGAATTGCTTGAACCCGGGAGGTGGAGGTTGCAGTGGGCTGAGATCTTGTCATTGCACTCCAGCCTGGGCAACAAGAGCGAAACTCTGTCTCAAAAAAAAAAGAAAGAAAAAGAAAAGTAAAAAGAAAAAAAAATGCCAGATAGGGGCCAGGCCAGGGAGGGTCCCACTGAGTATGGGTGTGTGTAGAGGCCTGAATGGAGGCCGGCAGGTAGATCTGCAGGCATCTGGGGAAGAACATCTCGACCACGCAGAGGCCCTGAGTGCAGCTGGCTGTTGCCTTACAACATGCCGAACTCTCTGAGGCGTGCTGTCAGGGTAAGGACCTGAGTCTTCTTAGGGTTGTGAACTACGTCTCCAGGCAAATGTTGATACAGCGTCTTTACACAGGACCGTCTTATCAAAATACAGTGAAAGCACTAACAACAAAACCCAGTGGGTCATGAATTGTTTCACAGCTCCAGGAAGACGATACATATCATGTTAATTATAGCACTTTACAGTTTTCAAAGGAAATACGTACACAGCAGGTGCGTGCCTGTACACCCCTCCCAGGAAACGAGGCGTTGCATTGTCTGCAAGGCGGTTGTCTCATCATTGAGTTGATGCCGGCTGCTTGTGTGTTTGCAGTGGCACTCCTGACTTTCAGGACTGAAAAGTGTGTCCTCGAGTGACTGGGCACTCATTTCAAAGACAGTCTAGCCACACACGGCTCATACTGTACATTTTAGGCTGAGATAACGCCGGCATTTTCAACAGTAGCCTGTTGGTCAATGCCCTGGCATACTGGTTTCTCTGATTTCACCTTCACTTTTTTTTTTTTTTTTTTTTTTTGAGACGGAGTCTTGCTCTGTCATGAAGGCTAGAGTGCAGTAGCATGATCTTGGCTCACTACAACCTCTGCCTCCTGGGTTCAAGCGATTTCCGGCTAATTTTTGTATTATTTATTTATTTATTTTTTTAGTAGAGCCGGGGTTTCGCCATATTGGGCAGGCTGGTCTCAAACTTTTGACCTCAAGGGATCCACCCGCCTGGGCCTCTCAAAGTGCTGAGATTACAGGTGTGAGCCACCGCGCCCAGCCTCGCTTTCACTTTTCTTTG
Source organism: Homo sapiens (assembly GCF_000001405.40). Lineage (NCBI taxonomy): Eukaryota > Metazoa > Chordata > Mammalia > Primates > Hominidae > Homo > Homo sapiens. The sequence continues at coordinate 69,971,919 of NC_000011.10, read as the reverse complement.
CAATGGGAGTCATTTCTGTCATCTCACAGACTGAAGCAGTCAGTGTCTGTTTTGTTCTCTGCAAAGTAGGTAAGGATGGGATAAGAGTCACCTTTCCGGCAGTCGTGAAGGTGAGAGTTACATAAACACACGGGGAGGACACCCCTACTGGGTGTCAAAGCTCATCCAGCATTAGCCACAGGCCTCCCCGGGCCTGGAGCTCTGAAAGTGAGGGTGAGCTTTGATTCTCTCACTTGGCCTCCTCCGACAGCCCCAGTCCATGGTCTGGGAAGGAAGACAGGGAGGCAGCCAGTGAGGAAAAGTCTGAGTATCTAAAAAACAAAAACAAAACAAACAAGAAGGAAGGGAGGAGGAGGAGGAGTAAAAAGAAAAAGAAAAAATGAAAAGTTTTTTTCTTAGAAACTTTTTAGAAGTTTCTCTTTTTTAAAGAAGAGAGCAAAAGCAAGTGGCCTCTATACAAATTCAACCTGTTAAAACACCAGCCATCATTCAGCTGCTCAGCAAACACACAGACCACGTGCCAGGCACAGTTCTAGGATACAGCAGAGAACAGAACACACAAAACTCTCTGTCCTAGCAGAGCTTCAAATCTAGAAAGCTCCATGAGGCAAATTGTGTGGAACATAGAATCACACGTGGTCTAGGCTGGAGAGGACCCAGAGACCATGGGGACCAACTCTCCCCTTTTACAGATGAGGAAACTGAGACTCAGAGGGAAGAAGTGAAACCCCAGGTCTCCAGCTAGTTGGTGCCCCCCCAGCACAGGGACTAGGAATTCTGTCCTGAACCTGTGTCACAGACTGACAGTTCTCCTCCCCACCCCCAATATTTATTCTTGGCCTTTTTCTCAGTAAGAGATTGCCTAGTTTTTACCTGACATGTGACAACCCAGAACAAAAACTGCATGTCCTGTTCTCTGCAGCCAGGTGTGGCCATGGACTAAGTTCAGGCCAGGGGGCAGCTTCCAAGAAGGGAGAGTGCCTCTCTTTGCCCTTTCTGTTTCCTGCTGGCTGGAACGCATATGTGATGACTTGAGCCCAAGCAGCCATCTTGGGCCACAAGGTGGATATCCGTGCTGAGCATGGGAGGGCGGCCTGAGAGAACACAGGGTGTCCGATGACTGCATGAGGCCCCTACCAGCCTTGGGATCCTGGAATGCCCACCTCTTGACTTGTTTTCTGTTAGAGAAATTAACTTCCACCCTTTTAAAGGTGGCATTTCTGCCTCTCACTGCAGAATCAATGGAGGCCTTCCCTGGGTCCCCACTCCCTGCGAGGCCACATTTGAACTCCTCCCTTATCATGACAGACATGAAAAAACAGCCCCAGAGAAGGGGAGTGACCTTCCCGAGGTCACAGAGTTCCCCTTATGTAAACATTTCGCTTCAGACCTGTGTGAAGTTGTTGCTAAAGCAAACAGCCCCTGCCTCCCGCGTGCTGGTCGGGACCACAGTTCACGAACCTTTCCTAACATGACATTCCCAGGAGGACTGATCGATGGGGCTGGTGGCACTTGGAAAGTGAACACCACGGTGCTGTCAGCTCAGCTCTGGGCTCCGGGGGCTGCTGTTCCCCGTGGGTCTGAGAAAACCCTTCCCTTGAGGCCAAGGCTGGGGCTGGGACCGAAGCACAGTGCCTGGGCTCTCTGCAGCCGTGCGCACTGTGGCCGCGGGGTTCTGCTCGGGCTTCTGATGTGGAGCCTCACCTCTTTGGGGTCTCCTCGGGAGAAAGAACTTCCCCCAGCCTTCCCTCCTTTGCCCTCCCCTTCCTCTCTTCCTGTTTGTCTGCATTTCCTGTTAGCAGGGATTCTCTCTGAAGCTCTGAGAACACGTCACCCTCACCCCTGCAATTGCATGGCAATTCCCCTCTCACACCGGGGAACCCCCTTTCTGATTGATGGGGAGGGACACAGTTCATCCTGGCCATGCTCCTGCATCCAGGTCTCTCTTTCGTTTTGTTTGTTTGTTTGTTTTTTGAGATGAGTCTCACTCTGTTGTCCAGGCTGGAGTGCAGTGGCATGATCTCAGCTCACTGCAACCTCTGCCCCCCAGGTTCAAGCGATTCTCCTGCCTCAGCCTCCTAAGTAGCTGGGACTACAGGTGCCCACCACCACGCCTGGCTAATTTTTGTATTTTTAGTAAAGACGGGGTTTCACCATATTGGCCAGGCTGTTCTCGAACTCCTGACCTTGTGATCCACCCGCCTCGGCCTCCCAAAGTGCTGGGATTACAGGTGTGAGCCACCGTGCCTGGCCGCATCCGGGTCTCTTGAGGCTCCCAGACTGCCTCTTTCTCTTTACCCTGCGACCCGGCAGCCGCATTTCACAACTTCTCTTGGCAGGAGAGATGCACTTTCCCAGGAGAGCTGGATGCTCAGGTTCCTAGTCTAAAGAGAGACGGGGGCAGTAGCCAGAGATAGAAGCCTCTTCCATCTCCAGCGTCAGACCGTGAACATCACCAGAGAAAGCACAGCCGCTTGACTCCAGTCCTTCCAGGAGTCTCATTCCCATTTTTCCAGAAGAGAGAGCTGAGTGCAGAGAGACTCCCCAGATTTGCCCCAGGTCAGTCCCAGCACCAGGATCCAGCCACACCTCAGACCAGATCATGTAGTTCTCCTACCACCCTTCTCAGCCTCTGCCCTAGGAGGAAGGCTACCCATGGCTCCGAAGGAGATTCCCTGGGGCTTTGGGGACAGCAGGAGAAGGGGCACGGCTTTCCACCGGCAGCTGTGCACCCCGGCCCCTATGAGGGACCCTCCCGTGGCCCTGCAGCCCTTGCAGTCCCGTGGCTGTCTAACATCCTGAAGGGGATCCCACTTCCATTCAGGCAGCAGCCACCAAGAAAGACCACGGCTGGCTTCATTTACACTAGAGTGTGACTGACTGCCACATATCTAACTGCTCCTCTCTGGAGAGGCTGGAGCTGTAATCCAGGCTCTGAGAACCTAGAGGTTAGTGACAAAGGAGTGAAGACTGGAGGGTGCAGCTTCCAACAGTGCAACAAAGGGTCCTGCCAGGGCTCCCTCAAGGGACAACCCTGTGCTGCCAGCACATACTGAAGGCTAGGTCCAAAGTCCGCGGGCTGTGTAGTTGGCATAAGAGTACCATTCCCTGCTGCTCCTGGACAGAAATCCTGTCCACGAAAGAGAGGTGGAGGCTGGCCTCTGAGCCCCCTCTGCCCTTGGAGGTCCAAGTGCTCATGCCCTCTAGGTGTGAGTGGCTCAGACCAGCTGGGAAGGGACCCTGCCTGAGGAATGACAGAGCGATGCCACCGCATCCCTGCATCTCAGCAGGGCCATCGGGGGCCACCGAGGAAGAAACGGGTCCTCGAACAATCTCAGTTCAGGGATCACAGAACTTTGGCAGCACGCCGGAGTCATTCGAGGGCTCCTTGGTAAACATTTTATTGCTTAATTCACATTCCTCCTCCCTCTGTCTTGACTCTCCGACACGTCGAGAACAAACCAAAAATAAAAATCCGTTCTTTTCCAGCGAATTTGCTCATTTTTGCAAATGCTCACCCTGTCTGCCTCTGCCTTTGGAACTTGCTTCCAAAGGAGGCCAGAGGGCCCCAGAGGCAGAGGGTCATCCCTGGGGGTCGTTCCTGCTTTGGCCCAAGGGGTCTCTGGGAAGGCAGCTCCCCACCCACCACCACCCCTGGCTCAGGCCTCTCTCAGGGAGGCACCAAGAATGGCCTCCTCCTCCTGCTTTGTACTACAGGAGAGGACGTTCCAGCCAGTGTTCCCGAGTTCCCACAGGGCCAGGGGAAGGTGGTCAGCTTCCTCACTTGCTCATCCATTCATTCATTCACTCGATAAACCTTGGGATGAAGGATGGGGCTGGTCGGATAGATATAGTGGACCCCAAAGTCTCCCTGCCCACCCCTGATGCCAGGAAGGCCCTCAGACACCCCACCTCCACTGAGCAGGAGTCCCTGTAAGACAAGATCAATGCGAGACACAGCAGGCCCAGCAGCCACTCCATGAGTGTTGCTGAAAATGGAATCTCTCATCCAACAGGGACCCAGGCCCAGAGAGGGGAGTGAACTACCCAAGGCCACACAGGTAGAACAGGGCAGGCCTCGGGCTAGGACTCTGAATTCTCAGCCCCTCTTTTCAATGTCTCCTTTCTCTGCACAGAAGACTCTGCAGAGGGACATCCAGGGTTACTCACAGCCCTCACCGGACCAGTTGTGTGGCCCTCGGGCAGGTGACTGGATTTCTCCAGGCCTCAGCTTTACTCTTGTGTAAACGGGGGCCGTGACAGCATTTAGCAGGTGCCAGGCCCTGTGCTCAGAGCCCTTGACATGTTTTCATTTATGCACTTTCCCTACTCCAGAGTCCTCTGGGGTGGATGGCATTATCAGCCCCGCTTACTGATGGGTAAACTAAGGCAGAGACAGGCCAGGCAACTGGCTCTGGGTGGCCCAGCTCATGAAGAAGAAGTCTGAGATGGAATGCGGGGGCCTGGCCCCAAAGCCTTGAGTCACCACCAGCATCGGACCAACCTCCTAGGACCTGATGAAGCTCAGGTGCATCATGGCTGAAGGCTACGCTCAGAGCCTGATGCTAGCTAACGTGCGATACCGGCGCTCAGAGCCTGATGCTAGCTAATGTGCGATACAGGCGCTCGGAGCCTGATGCTAGCTAACGTGCAATACAGGCGCTCGGAACCTGATGCTAGCTAACGTGTGATACGGGCGCTCGGAGCCTGATGCTAGCTAACGTGCGATACGGGCGCTCAGAGCCTGATGCTAGCTAACGTGCGATACAGACAGCGTGTGGTTCTCCAGGGAGCTGGTGGACTGTGCCCTCAGGGGACATTGGGCAATGTCTGGAGACATTTTTAGGTTGTCACAACAGAGGGTAGGGGTGCACTGGCCTCTACTGCGTGGAGGCCAGGGATGCTGTAAACATTTCCCAGTGCCCAGAACACCCCTAAGATGAAGAATTGTCCCCCTGCAGGGTCACCAGTACTGAGGCTGAGCAGCTCTAGGGTTTGTGATCATTGTTCTCAGGAGGGGTTGTTTGCCACCCTAGAAGGTGCTTGCATCAACTCACCCACTGTCAGGCCCTGCCCACCTTGGGGGCACCTCTCTTGCCCTCAATCAACTGGGCAGGGTGGGACACTGCTTAGAAGTCTGCTCTCTGGGTCCTCCCCATGCTCTCTGCAGGGTCCCAGGGGGCAGGCTGGGTGTTCTGCCTAGGCAGGGTTGACAGCAAGTGATGCTCTCCTTGTCCCCTGCCTCTCACCCCAACGCCCCAACCCCATCCTTACCTGCCAGCAGAGGGTCCAGCGCTGTCTCCTCCATCGCCAGCTCTTCCATCGCTCTTTCCTCCATCCCACTCGCCTCCCACATGCCGGCCTCGGGCTTCCCAGTGGCAGGTCCGAATGCCAGGGCCACCCCACCCGGCGACGCAGCACCTCCACTGCTGGAATCTCAGGTGAGGTGGCGTGGCGGGGGCTGGACCCAGGCTGCTCCCAAATTTTGCAAGTGGGATTTGCAAAATGAGTCAGCAGGGCAAGAAGGCTGAAAACCAGGTGGCAGGTGTGGGTTAATCATTACCCCGTAGACACTTCCCCTGGATGCCAATAGACCCCTGAGGGCAGGGCCTCCTCCAGCCACGCCCATGGTCATGGGTGTCCCATGATCATTTAGCTGTGGACAGCCAGGGTCAGTGCCCAAGGATCCTCTCTCCCTCCAGGGTATGGCTTCAGCTTTGAAAAGCCACGGTTGCAGGTGGCCCTGTTTCACAGCCTGCATTAACCCCCTGAGCAGCGACTTCCATTGCGGGGCCACCCTGAGTGCCTCCTTTGTTTCCCAAGCAGTGTCAGGTGCTTAACCTCCTTTTTTTTTGGATATTCTCACCAACCCTGCCCTGAGGAGCTGTATATCTCCATCTCATGAAGCAGCGTGGCAGGGCCTGGGGAGGGGCCTGGGGAGGGGCCTGGGGTAGGGCCCCGGGAGGGGCTGTGTGTAGCAGCAGAGCTGGTTAGGAGCGAGGAAGAAAACACGTCAGGGCAAGTTCTTTCTTTCCTTGGGGTCTCTGTTTCCTCAACGGATACACGGGGGTCACAGCTGCACATGCTTTGCAGGGCTGTCTTGAGGATTAAATGAGGTAACGAGAGTAGAATGCTGAGCATGGGGTCCCAGCACACAGTAGGTGCTCAAAAAATGTTGGCTGATTTTCATGTCATGGGGTTGTGTCCAGCAGGCCAGGAATCCTGGCCTGGTTTGCTTGCTGATGGTCAGCACGTGGCCGGTACTGGGTGAATTTCTGTTGGATGAATGATGATGCCCAAGGTCTGTGCAGGCCAGAGGCTTGCCCCGGGTGGGTCTCACGTCCAGTGATGTGCTCCTTTAAGAAGTCACACTGGGGGCTGGGCGCAGTGGCTCACACCTGTAATCCCAGCACTTTGAGAGGCCGACGCTGGGGGATCACCTGAGGTTTGAGACCAGCCTGACCAACATGGTGAAATCCCGTCTCTACCAAAAATGCAAAGTTGACCAGTTGTGGTAGTGCGTGCCTGTAATCCCAGCTACTGGGGAGGCTGAGGTAGGAATCACTTGAACCTGGGAGGTGGAGGTTGCAGTGAGTGGAGATGCTGCCACTGCACTCCAGCCTGGGTGAAAAGAGCGAAACTCCATCTCAAAAAAAAAAAAAAAAAGTCACACTGGGTCCCTGGTATTATTGGTCATCTGGGAAGGTACATTGCCCTTCTTTCGGGCGGTGGGTTTAAGGCAGCAGTAGCTAGGTGTGGCCAAGGGGCTGTGCCCTTCATTGTCCCCATGGGCCACTTGTTCTGCCTGACAGTCACCATCATCACAGACTCAGGGATGGCAGAGCCCTAGCAGCAGTGACGGCGGTGACAGCACGGTCACCCTGCACACATGCTGCTCACCTGGTGGGGAAGCTGTGCACATCTGGTGGGGCCGTGAGAGAGGAGGTGGGAGACCCCTCCAGGGGCTGGGGGCAGCTCTCAGCTGGAAGGGTGACTGCCAGGGGGTAGCAGGCAGAACAGCTGAGGACACATTTGCTGCTGGCCTCCCCAGAGGTCCACTCTGGGCTCAAGAATTTTATTCTGCTTGGCTACCTCAGCCACTGCGGATCCATCCTACATGACCTCAGAGATTCGAGGAAGGTAAATTAGAAGCTGTCATTGGCAAAAGATGCAATAATACATTTCACTCATTCCCTCATTCGTCCATTCTCCTTTTCAGAGAAAACCTCTGCTGAGCACCCACGGGTTCTGGAAAGGGTGTCCGGGTATGGAGAGAAGGGATCAAAGTAGACGCAGTTCCCAACCTCATGCAGTGCCTGAGGAAGTGCCCGGGGTCTCACCGGACAGGTAAAAATCCTATTTTGAAGGTAAGATTGATGCTGTTCCATTTTGTAAATCTATGCCCTCACCGCGGCTCTGTAAATGTGGTCTATGCAGACAGTACAGAGTTTTGCTGGAGCTGCTAGAAATCCCCTTAGAATTTTCTTAGCTGGAGGTTAGGCTAGGCCCCATCCAGGGTGCAAATGCCAGCAAGTTGAAGCTTTGTTTAGCATTTAAAGCCTCCTAATGGGTTTTAAACATTTACACTTGTCTTATTATTAATACCAATTACTAAAACTCCACCCTGCCAACTGTGTCTCTCATTTTATAAATACTGTCGGGACAGAAATGTTGCCCAAGGCTATTAGCTGCAGCAGCAACAGGTCTTATTTGCAAAAGAAAGTTTGCAATAAATTCTCAGGGGAGAAAAAGGCACCTCACAAATGGAGCTCTGAAATTTGCCCTTTAAGAAATGCCTCTGTTTTCACTCAAGCCCTGAAATAAATTTTCAGGGGCTCTCCCCACCTTTAAATCATGAATGTGGAAGTTCAAAGCCAGGTGCTGCCACTCAAGGGAACCGACGGCCTGGGGCTGAGACTGGGTCACCTCTCGGGTTTTAGTGTGTATTTAAAAAGTGACACATGGTTGTTTCTGTAAAGAAATTATAACTGGCCTTGGACAGAGTTATTGGATGTTGGGAATGGAGCCCCAGTGAGAACTGCATTTCTTCCCAGTGCCTTCCAAGCTGCCCTGTCCAGGGTCTGCTATAAACAGTGAAATGTAATATTGCCTTATTTGGTCACAGAGCCAACCTATCGCTTGCAGAGGCCTCTTTGCCTTTGACTTTGTGAGAAACGATTAATTCTGTGTCCTTGTTGGCCAGGCAGTGGGAGTGTGCGTGCTGCCCAGGCTTCAGGCCCCCCATTTGGATGGAGTTCCAAGGGTCTGATGGGCTTTTAGTGCATTTTTCATGCACGCAGCGGGGGGTGCTGCCTGCACTGGGGAAGCAAAGGACCCAGATCCCAGGACCTGGAGGATTTTGCAGAACCAGATCAGGTGTCAGAAGAGCCTTGTGGGGTTTTTTTTTTTTTTTTTTTTTGGTGCAATGTATAGGTAACTTACACAGATTTTTCCCTCCCCCTCCCCCCTTCCCCCTCCCCCCTTCCCCCTCCTCCTCCTCCTTCTCCTTCTTCTTATTCTTCCTCCTCCTCCTTCTTCTTCCTCTTCCTCCTCCTCCTTCTTCTTCCTCATCGTCTTCTTCCTCCTCTTCCTCTTCCTCTTCTTCTTTTGAGACAGGGTCTTGCTCTTTCCCAGCCTGGAGTGCAGTGGGGCCATCATAGCTCCCTGCAGCCTCAATCTGCTGAGCTCAAGGGGTCTTCCCACCTCAGCCTCCCCAGTAGCTGGGACTACAGGAGTGCGCCATGACACTTGGCTAATTTTTAAAATTCTTTATAGAGATGCGGTCTCACTATGCCACCCAGGCTGGTCTGGATCTCCTAGGGTCAAGCGATCCACCTGCCTTGGTCTTCCAAAGTGCTGGGATTACAGGCGTGAGCCACCATGGCTGGCCAGTTTACACAGATTTTATAAAGCCAAGCTGAGTGTCTCAGAGCAGAGCAGGGCTCAGGGATGGAAGGTGTCCCTGGGGTTTTGTGGTGTTTAGGGAATGCACAACCCGGGCAGGGCAAGCGAGAGTAAGACCATCAGGCTCAGGGCTTGCCACTTACCATGCACCCTGGACAGAGCTCATTACGTAGAGGAGGGGATGATGGGTTTCCATTGGAGGGGCTGTTGTGCTGAGCCCCTGGGGCTTGAACTTGGGCCCTGTTGGGAACCAAGCAGAGGACTCTCCTTCCCCACCAGGAGTAGCTATCTGCTGAGGAGGCTGCCCAGAGAGGGCCCCGTGCAAGTTCCCTGTGGGGCCAGCTGCCTGATCCCCTTGGTGCAGGCATAGGACAGTCCCTTGTGCCTCTCTGGAAAAGCGGTCTTCCCTGGTGGCCATCTCTTGAGGGGTGGTCTATTGCTGGGGGCCCTTCTCCTCAGGTCGGAGCCATCATGGGGGTCTCTGTAGGCTCAGTTGCTGTTCCCATCCCTGGGTGTTTCCTCTAAGGGACAATCTGGGATGGACTGAACCACTGCCCCAGGGGCGGGGGACAGTGTGATTCACGGAAGGGAAGAGGAAGTACAAAGGGGCCATGACTCATTGGGTGGCCTGGATGCGGGAGGACATCACAAAGCAATGGGCGGGGTGGAGCTGGGGTCTGCATCCGCCAGCCCTGGGCTCAGCCTTCAGTCTGGCCATGTCCCCGAGTGGGGGCCACGTCCCCCGGTGGGGGCCACAGGCAAGTCAGCTCTTCCTTAGCCTCTGTTTCCTCATCTGTAAAGTAGGCTTGCTGGGACCTGCCTGGGAGGGCTGCAGTGAGAAATTCCTAAGATGAATCGGTATTGCAGAGAGGCCAGTAGTGCGAAATTGATGGTGGGATTAATTAATACATTAAATGACAAAAGGCCACCTAAATTTTCCAGAATTCCCTATTATTTCACTTACAGTTCATTTTAATGGCACAGGAGAGTGCAGCTTCCAGGAAGTATCCTAAAGAAAGGGGCATTCTCTTCCCCTTTCCTCTCCCAGTGCCTTCTGGCTGAGGCAGGGCTGTGATGGCCGGAGCCACAGCAGCCATTTGGGATCATGAAGCCATGAAGTGGCTTTGAGCATGGAGACTTCGCAACGCAGAGCGGCAAAACGTGAGAAGCCTGTGTCTGAAACCGGGCGCACCCATCCTCATTCGTGCATCCTAGGATTTTTTTTTTTTTTTTCGAGACAGAGTCTTGCTCTGTCGCCCAAGCTGGAGTGCAGTGGTGCGATCTTGGCTCACTGCAACCTCTGCCTCCTGGGTTCAAGTGATTCTCCTGTTCAGCCTACGGAGTAGCTGGGATTAGAGGTGTGTGCCACCACACCTGGCTGATTTTTGTATTTTTAGTATAGATGGGGTTTCACCACATTGGCCAGGCTGATCTCGAACTCCTGATCTCAGGTGATCCACCTGCCTCAGCCTCCCAATGTGCTGGGATTACAGGCGTAAGCCACCGGGCCAGGCCTACCCTGGGATTTTTACATGGAAAATGAACAAGTTTCCTTTGCCTAGGACAGTGCATAAAAGTACTTTGGGAACTATGAGGAGCTCTGCAAAAGTGAGGTAAGGACCCCAGATCCAATTTCCAGGGTAAAGGACAAGTGAGTTTACCCTCTGCTGCTGGTTTTTCACCTTCACAGTGGGTCCAGCTTGAACTATTATTCAGCTTCCCGTCTTTGGCCCCTCCCAGCAGTGATGCCTTTGAACCCACTGTCACCATTTGGCATCCTCACTCTGTCCTCTCTGGACACCCAGCCCTCCCCATGACCCCCTGCACTGTGCTCCCTGCCCCAGGCCAATTGTCCTCCCCTGTTTTCAGCATTCAGAGTGGGACTCTTACATAATCCTGGGATCTGAGGGGGACTTCAGAGAGCATTGGTTGCAGCTCTCCCCAGCATGGGCTGTGCCACGTGACATCTCCCAGCCTCTACTGAAATGCTTTCAGGGACGTGGCGCTCACCACCTCCCTCACAGCTTGATCATCTTCGGCCAGCTCCCCATACTGTGAAACATTTCCCACAGCTGAGCACCAACTGTATGCCTTGGGGCATCCTCCTCCACCCTGTGTCTGCCCCTTGGCATCCAGGAGATCCAGTCTCCTCATTATTTCATTCTGGTAAAGCTTCCCAGAGCACCTGAGCTCTGCAGTGCTATACTAGGCAGTGGGGGGACAGGAACAGGCAAGGGCCTTGCTTCGAGGAGCTCACTTTCTAGTGAGGACCACTACAGTGTGAATAATTATGAAAGCAATGAGCTAATTAATTGTAACGACCACAAGCACCACAAAGACGCCCACAGAGCTGCGGGTGTGTGAAATGGGGGCTATCATAAACTTGGTGGCCAGAAAGGAGTGGTAAGGGCAGGCTATGGGGACCAACCATTCCGCTCTGCCTGGGACCATCCTGGTTTTAGCCCTGAGAGTTCCACATCTCAGAGAACCCCCTTCATCCTGGAAAACCGGCTGATTGGTCACTGTAGGGCAGTCTCCAAGTGTGTTCATGTCTTGTGGCTGCCATAACAAATCACAACAAACTGGGCAGTTTAAACAGTTCTGAAGACTGGAAGCTCAAAATCAAGGTGCCGGCAGGGTGGGTTCCTTCTAGAAGCTCTGTTCCAGGCCACGCTCCAACTTCTGGGGGTAGCCGGCAATCCTCGGCCATCCAGGTTTGCAGACATGTGGGTCTGATCTGCCTCCAGCATCACACAGCCTTCCCCGCATGTCTCTCCAAGTCTTATTCTTTTCTGTCCCTTACAAGGGCAGCCATTATTGGATGTAGGGGGTCACCCTAATCCCGGATTATCTCATTTCGTAGTCCTTACCTCAATGACATCTGCAAAGACCTTATTTCCAAATAAGGTGATATTCACAGGGACAAGGAGCTAGGACTTGAACGTGTCTTTTGGGGGGCCACTATTGGACTTGCTATACCAGAGAAGGAAGTTGTTGCTGCAAATGGAAGGACACAATGACTTAGCGAGGCAAAGAGGCGATGGGAATTCCAGGCAGAAGAAACAGCAGGCACAAAGGCCCTGTGGATGGAAGGAGACTGATCCATTAGAGAACTGAAGGAAGCCTCCCAGTGTGGCTGCAGTAAGAGGGAGAGGAAGCAGGCATGGGGGCACCCATGCAGGACCCTACAGGCCACAGGGAGGAGTTTGGCATTTTTCCTGGGAGAAAAGGGAGCCCCCAGTGAATGACAAGCTGGCAGGGCCTGGAGCAGCCCTCCAAGTGCCACCCTGGCTGCTCCAGTGCCCGAGCCTTGCTCACTTCCCTAGAACCCCATCTGCCGGGCCACAGTTGGCAATGGCCGGGTAAGCAGACAGAGCTACCTGCACCACCTGCTCTGGGACAGTGAAACGTCAGCTGCAGAGGCTCGCCCCAGAGCAGCCTCGCAGCTGGGGATGAAGCCTGCCAGGGCCTGACCTCCAGGCCAGGAGTGCCTCCTGGGGGCTCGGCTGCTGGCTCCAGCCCCCGGTGAGGCCAGCCTTGCCTCTTCCTCCTCTCTGGATGGAGCTGGGCTGACCCACGTGTGTCAGGGGCAGGGAGGAGAAATGCCCAGCTCCCATCCTTGCTCTGTCCCTTGTGAGCCGTGTGATTCTGGAGACGTTATTTACTTCCTTACTCTGGTTTCCTCATCTGTGGAATAAGGTGATGCTCGGGTCCATATTCTGGGGTGTGTTGTCACGACAAAACAAGTGAAAAACCTGGGGCAGAGCTGAGACCAGGTGAGCAGTGTGGGAGAGCAGAGGGTTCTGGAGGCAGCCCCACCCTGGCATGCAGAGCTGCCTTATCTCCACCATGACCTGAGATGTTGCCTGAGCCATCACATGCCACTGAGCCTGTGCCCCAACATCTGTCAAATGAAGGAGGTGACCTTGATGATGATAAAGATGCTGGACAGTGGACACTTCCTAAAGCTTCAAAGGATGCCTGGCCCTTTTACAAACCTCAATTTCTCATTTGACATTTAAACCCACTTACACCCATTTAGCTGGTAAGAAAACTGACACCTGAAGAAATTAAGCAACTGACCAAAATCGCCTCTTGGTGAAGGGGTGGCACTAGGACCTGGATTTGGATATTCCAGGCTAGTCTCAGTGTTGAGAGGCTGTGGGGTGTCTGAGTCTGAGGAGGCCAGAAACCCCCCACCCCCACCAGTCCCGACATCCCTGCCTCCCTGAGGACAGTGGAGCTTGCACCTGGCTGGGCTGGGCTCATTCTTGGTTGAGATGAGGTTGTTGGGTTTCCAGAAACATCTCTTTAGAAACTTAAAAAAATCCTGGTCATTAAGTGATTAAGTAGAGAGGCTCTCATGGTACAAACATCTGATCTGAGAGTTGCTCCTTTTCCAAAAACCCTTCCCATAACTAAGAACAGTGGATTTCATTCTGCCCATTAAACTTGAACCCTGCTTATCATTTTCCTACACATTATGTGGTTATTTTGAATTGTCTGCAAGAATGCCTGAAGCTAGCAGGGTTTGGCAGGCATCCCATTAGATGCTTTTGTTTGGACCTAGAGATACCATCATAGCTGTCTTACACTGAGAGACTTGAGAAAAATTGAAGTGTAGTGTTTTTCCCCTTCTAAGACCGTCCCGGGTTCTGCCTTCTGGGCTGGGATCCTGGGGGAATGCATAGGAGACCTTATTTGGGATTATTGAGTTCCTTGGATTTTATGGGCATTAAACAGTCACTCTAAGCACCATGTCGGAGCTCCGGTTTCTGCTGCGGTAATGGCTTAGGAGGCTGAGCTCAGAAGGGAAAGGAGGTAGCAGCGGATCTGGTCACAGTTTGGGGCTGCAGTGTGGCCTGGGTGAGCCACATGACCTCTCTGAACTGTCTCCTTCTCTGCAAGGTGCTGGTGCTGGTCACCAGAGGTGCAGGACAAGATAAGAGGCTGTGAAAGAGAGAGAGGAAGTCCCTGGTGCTGAGCATCTTGGGAAGAGTACAGAGAGCCAAGGCTTGGGGAACACTGGCCATGGGCCGGAGCTGATGCAGGCACTTCGCATGCTCATTCAGTCCTGACAACAGCCCTATTGAACAGACAAGGAAACCGAGGCTCGGAGAGGTTGGGTAACTTGCTTGAGGGCACACAGCTTGGGAGTGCTGGAGCTAGAGCTTGAGCGTAGATGGGTGCCTGCACAGCTGGTCCTACCACCCCCCAGCCACTCTCCACCATTTGTTAGATGCAAAGTGCAGAGGCTTTGACCTGTTGCTAATAGTCTCCCCAGCAGCTCTGCAAGGGAAGCTTTTCAGATACCTTTTCTGTGGGGTGGGTGGCGGGGGAATATAAGATGGTGCATCCACTGTGGAAGACAGATTGGTGCTTCCTCAATAAGTCAAACATAGAGTTACCTTATGACCCAGAAATTCCACTCCTAGGTGTATACCCCAAAGAATCAAAGACAGGCAGGCGTCCCGTTAGATGCCTTGTTAGACATTCAAACCAAAGCTGCTACATGAATGCTCATGGCGGCACCACTCACAGCGGGCAAAAGGTGAAAGCAACCCAAGTGTGCATTGATGGATGGATGGAGAAACAAAATGTGGCCCATCCACACAGTCGGGTGTTATTCAGCCACAAAAAAGGAATAATGCACTGGCATGGGGCACAGCATGGATGAACCTATAAGACACTGTGCAACTCAAAGAAGCCAGTCGCAAAAGACCATCCAATGCATGACTCCATTTATATGACATGCCCAGAATAGGCAAATCCATAGAGACAGAAGGTAGGTTTGTGTTTGTCAGAGGCAGGGGGAGGGAAATCTGAGCTGCCCCTGCAGGCTGGGGTGGGAGCCATTGGAACCAGCAGCAGCTGAAGGGCCAGGGCACCCTCCCACTGCCATGCTGGGCTGGATGAAGGAAGGGGAGCTTGGGGCCTGGCCTGCTGGGAAAGAGTGGAGGGGAGTGTGCGGTCACCCCTTCCTCACTGTGATCTTAGGGGCCATGCCTCCTTGGCCATCTGGTTTGGGGGAAGGAGTCCTGACTTTGGTGCCAGACCCAGGTTTGGCTCCTCCCCAGCCACTGTCAGCTGTGTGCCCCTGGGCCTGTAAGTGGGGGACTGAGAGGCCCAACACCCGGAGGAGGCTTCTGCTCCCACTGACTGGGCTGGCAGCCTGGCTCGCATCCTGCTTTCCTCACTGACTAGCCTCGGTTTCCCCATCTGTAAAATAGGGGCAATAAGGGCGCCTCCTTCCCAGGGCTGCTGCACAGCAGAGAGAAGTTTGTGAGTGTAAATGTGCCAAAAGGTGGCCGGGCATCCCTCGGTGAACGCCAGCTGTCCCTGGTCCTTCCTAGGGCCATGATGAAAACAAAGGAGACAGTCTGGGAAACGTCTGGGGAGGAAGAGAAAGGAGGCCGTGGTGCTGGGCACAGAGGCGCTTCTACATTCGGGTCTTCCCTCTGCACACCGCTCCACCCCTGAGCCGTTCCAGGAGTCAGAGGTGGCAGAGCTGGCTGCCTCCGGAGTAGACTGATTTGTCTCCTGGTGACAGCTGTGCCTGCAACCCTTGCCCGGTCCTCAGCTGTGATGCCAGCGTCCAGGAATGCACCATCCCACAGCCTTCAGTCTCTTCTCAGGAAGCTCATGCATTAAAGCTGAAAGGATAAATAAATGCCGCAAGCTGTGCTCAGGCTGCCTGCCCCGCCGATGCAGGCATCTGCAAACACCAGGGTGCACGAGCCACACGCTGGTGCTGTGCAACAGCTTTGACTTCTCCCTGTTAAAAATGGGGTGCGAAGGAGGCCCTGCAGAGGACCTGGCAGCTCCCTCATTCGTCCTGGTGGGTATGGACTGGCCTCACCCGGCCTGACCTTGGCCCAAGTGTGTCTGGGCTTCTGCAGACCCTCCCCACCACACCTCTGCCAGGACCTCCTTCCCTGCACAGACCAGCCTGTGCTTGCCCCCTGCTCTCTCTCTTACCAAGTGCCTGCCTCTGCCCACGAGTTATTTGGTATGTCCTTCTATTCTTGCTTTCTTTCTTTTCTTTTTCTTTCTTTCTTTCCTTTCTTTCTTTCTTTCTTTCTTTCTTTCTTTCTTTCTTTCTTTCTTTCTTTCTTTCTTTCTTTTTTTTTTTTTTGAGACAGAGTCTTGCTCTGTCGCCCAGGCTAGAGTGCAGTGGTGCAATCTTGGCTCATTACAACTTCTGCCTCCTGGGTTCAAGCGATTCTCCTGGCTTAGCCTCCCGGGTAGCTGGGATTACACCATGTCCGGCTAATTTTTGTATTTTTAGTAGAGATGGAGCTTCACCATGTTGGCCAGGCTGGTCTTGAACTCCTGACCTCAGGTGATCCACCCGCCTCGGCCTCCCAAAGTGCTGGAATTACAGGCGTGAGCCACCGCTCCCGGTCCACGCTTTCTCTTTTCCTCCTCTCTCTCTCTCGCATATCTCCGCCTTCCACCCCATACCAAAGCTTGTTGGAGATGTGGGCCGGCTCTCCTCCTGGTCTTCAGGGATTTGGATAAAAGCAGATTGAAATTAAAATAAGAACCTACTAGGTCTAGAAACCTTGATGTTAAAAAAAAAAGAAAGAAAGATATTAAATTAAATCTGTGCTCCTAATTTTACCCAATGGGAAGTAACTGTACTCATTAACGGAGGAGCGTATCGTTTATAGGATTTTTGACCTAGATAGGCTCCAAAGGCACACGGATCTCAGGTAAGCCCATTGGCCTTGCACACAGACCAGGGGGTCCCAAGAGGTAAGGAGAAGAATGCCTCATTTCAGAGCCGGCCTCACAGGCGTGGGACCCCTGCAGTCCCAGAGAGCCCTGCCTCAGGCAGGCCCTACGCTTGGTTTCATGCTCAGCAAGCTCTTAATTACTTTGTCATTGACCTTGTGGTTTTGAGTGAGAGCTGATGGAGGGTGCACGAGAGCAAAGGATACAGGTGTGCAAAGATGTTCACCCTTCACTGCCACCCATTTGCAGACAGCGTCCCTGGTACAAATACTCATAAAGCACAGAGTCCGAGGCACCCGCGATGCCTGGGCGTTCAGTGGAGCCCAAAGTGAGGACAAGGTCAGTGTGCGAAGGCTGAGTGCCCGGGACCCTAACAGCCCCTCGGGCCACGTATTCCACTCAAGCCAGAATTCACAGAAGAAGGCAAGAGAGTTCTAAGAAACACAGACGACCAAGCAGGCCATCCTGTCATTTCTTACTGCTAGCCGGCCCCTGACACTGGAAATGGTGACCTAGAGGGGACGGAAAAGAAGTGAAATAAAAACAGCTGAGATGATTTTCTGCTGTGCTTCCACTACTCTTGCAGAATCTAAAATACACAGGTAGGCCGGGCATAGTGGCTTGCACCTGAAATCCCAGTACTTTGGGAGGCTGAGGTGCGCGGATCACTTGAGGTCAGGAGTTCGAGACCAGCCTGGCCAATATGATGGGACCCTGTCTCTACTAAAAACACGAAATAAGTTAGGTGGGCTTGGTGGCGGGTGCTGTAGTCCCAGCTACTTGGGAGGCTGAAGCAGGGGAATTGTTTGAATCCTGGAGGTGGAGGTTACAGTGAGCCAAGATCACGCCACTGCACTCCAGCCTGGGAGACAGAGTGAGACCCTGTCTAAAAAAAAAAAAACCAAAAAAACAGGTTGGGCGTGGTGGCTCACGTCAGTAATCCCAGCACTTTGGGAGGCCGAGGCGGGTGGATCACCTAAGGTCGGGGTTCGAGACCAGCCTGATCAACATGGAGAAACCCCATCTCTACTAAAAATACAAAATTAGCTGGGCGTGGTGGCGCATGCCTGTAATCCCAGCTACTCGGGAGGCTGAGGCAAGAGAATCGCTTGAACCCAGGAGGCAAATGTTGCGGTGAGCCGAGATCGTGCCACTGCACTCCAGCCTGGGCAATAAGAGTGAAACTCGGTCTCAAAATAAATAAATAAAATATATAGGTATGTATGAGCTATGAGATCCGAATGGTGTAATTTCCATGATTCTACACGTGTGTTAAATGCTCTTCTAGTTGCATCTTGCAAGGTAAACATGAGCATGCTGAGATGCATGCCAATCATTTAACATTTTAACTTTGCTCTATGACAACAGGAAAGGCAAACAAAAAAACATCATAAGAAGCCAAGAAAGGGGCTGCAGATGAGAGGAAAAAGCTGTCTACTTTTGTGCCTTGAGTCATGTTTCTTTTCTCTGTTTTGTGAACAAGGGGCCCCACATTTTCATTTTGCACTGGGCCCTGCAAACCATGTAGCCAGGCTGGCCCGATTTTCATCTGCCTTCTTACAGGGCTCTTTGCTTATGAATGTCTCTCCAGTAAATGCATCCATTCATTCGCGCCACAACACAGGAGACCACTTTGCTACCTGGGTGCCCTGTGACAGGTGGGGCACCGAGGTGTCTGCTCCCTCCCGCCTCTCCTCTGCCCCGGAGAGTGGAGCAGCCTGGGCCTTCCCTCCACCAGGATTCAGGTCCCTCAGCACAGCGTTCATTCCTGCACCACCTGCTTTGCCCAGCTGCGCTGTGATTGCGGACTTCACTCAGCCTCCATCCCTCCTCCAGTCTTGCCAGCAAAGCTCCAGCTCTAAACTGGATTGTTCCATCCAAAGGTGCTGCTGGCTCATGATTTCAGGGACTCCTCATCCCCACAGGATAAAATACATTCTGCTCCTGCATGGGCTCCTGCCCATCCACATTTCCCTCACCCTAACCATGGCTCTCTTTTGCTGGGGAACCCCTGGCCACCAAGACAAACCATGTGGGCTTCAACATGCCTCTCCCACAGTTCAGAAGTCCCCGCTTCCTCTTCAAGCTGGTCTTTTCCAGCGCCGAATTGTCTGTGAAGATGATGCCGTCCCTCTCCCCCTTCCCCATCTGGGAGACCCTCCTTGTAAGGGTTCTGGGCTTCCCTGGCTAGCTTGCTCTGTCCCTGTCTCTTTCTCGATCTCAGTCTCTGTCTCTCACCTGTCTCTCCTTTTCTCTGTCCCTGTCTCTCTATGCCTGTATTTCTGTTTCTCTCTCTCTCTCGCTATCTCTGTCTCTGTTTCTTTTTCTGTCTCTCTGTCTCCCTCTGTGTGTGTCTCTCTCTGTCTGCTTCTGTCTCTCTCTCTCTTCTCAAATCTTTCCTTGTTTTTTAGAGCTGCCTGTTCATCTGCCTGCTCCACAACAGGGAAACCATAATGACCACACTCATCGTCTTCTTATCATAAACTGTGTGTATGGTACACGGGCCCAGTGCTTGGCTGTGCTCACGGCGCACCAGCTCTTCTCACCCCATAAACTGTGTATGGCACACGGGCCCAGTGCTTGGCTGTGCTCACGGCCCACCAGCTCTTCTCACCCCATAAACTGTGTATGGTACATGGGCCCAGTGCTTGGCTGTGCTCATGGCCCACCAGCTCTTCTCACCCCATAAACTGTGTATGGCACACGGGCCCAGTGCTTGGCTGTGCTCACGGCCCACCAGCTCTTCTCACCCCATAAACTGTGTATGGTACATGGGCCCAGTGCTTGGCTGTGCTCACAGCCCACCAGCTCTTCTCACCCCGTAAACCGTATATGGTACATGAGCTCGGTGCTTGGCTGTGCTCACGGCGCGCGGGCTCTCGCCCCGTCTGCCTGCTGGGCTGCAGACCTCACTCACCCTCCCTTGCTCCTGTGAATCCCTTTGGCTATTGGGTTCTGGCGTGGATCCTCAGAGAGGTGCTCTCATTCTCCCTGTTCTCCAGATGAGGCACCTGGAGCTCTGAGAATCTGAGTGACTGATTCAGTGAGCCTGGCTCTGCCCACCCCTGCCCTGGCCCAGGCAGACCAGGTGCTTCCTAGACATCTGTGGGGCCTTCACCTGCCTGACCTGACCCTGAGTCAGGAGATGCCAGGACACTGGGCTCAGCTGACAGAGGGGCCCTCTGCCCACCTCCCAGCTGACAGGAGACAGGGGTGCCGAGTGGTGGGGAGCTGGTGGTCGTGTCCCTGACCCCCGAAGGCAGGGTCCTGTGAGAAGGAGCCCACGTTGGTCAGGGAGCCCTTCACGGACGCCACCATGGTGAGTCATGGGCTTCTGTAAGCAAGGCTGGCCCTGCGTCACTCGAGTGACCCCCATGTCTCTGAAACTGT
The DNA here is from genome assembly GCF_000001405.40 of Homo sapiens. Classification (NCBI taxonomy): domain Eukaryota; kingdom Metazoa; phylum Chordata; class Mammalia; order Primates; family Hominidae; genus Homo; species Homo sapiens. Next base: position 69,951,888 of record NC_000011.10, on the reverse strand, counting down.
CCAAGGGAGGCTGAGAAGGGCTTGAGCTCCTGGGGCCCAGGGAGGTATGAGCCCTGTGGTTTTCCCTATGGGTAAAGGCAGGCTCTGTCCACTTTGGATCCACCACTGAGGATGGGTGGGGCATTGGGAATTCAAATTAGTCTCCGGATGCTACTCCTGGGCAGCTTAACTCTGGCCAAGTTCACTTCGGTGAAAACGGAGGGTCTTCTGGGGGCAGCGAGGATCTCAGGATGGTGCTGCGGAGTTCAGGGTCCACAGAAGGCAGTCCTTTTAGGGTCTCTGGTGTGGAGGCCAGCATCCCCTTGACCTGCCCAGAGCTCAGTCCCTCGAGGCCTCAGTCCAGGGCCACCTGTCCACCATCCTACCTGGGCCCCCTATCCTCATGGGGGGCCAGGACAGAAACATTCGGTGCAGAGGCGAGAGGAGGAAGGAACTCACAAAGAGCAGGAGTGATGTTGAGGCTGTGGCTCCAGGGGTGACCTGCTCCACCCACCCCCTCCAGGTATCCCCCCAACACTGCCCATGTTTCCTTTGACTTGGGTGTGAAGCCCACCAATTAGTGAATAATTAGGCTCTGAAACCACTTCTGTAGAGAATGCTCCTAGCTCTTAGAGGGGTCACTATCTATCAGCCACTCTCACTTTAGTGTGAATTTGTTTGTGCAGTGTGCTTTCCTGCTAACACCCAAATGAAGATGCCCTGCACTGCTGGGACAGGCTCTCTTGGGGTGTGTCTGGGATCCCAGGACACGGAGGAAGGTGAGTGCTACCCGTGGGAGCTTGAGCAAGCAGCACTGGGACAAACAAAACTGCCAAATAAAGGAGGAAGGAGGACAAAGTCCCATTTCTTCTGTTTCAAAATGTTCCTAATAGTGCGGTCCTGAGTTGAGGAAAGGAGAACTTGTTCTTCCTCCTCTTTCTCTTCCCTTCCCCCGGTGCCTCTCCCTGCCCAGCTTCCCCTACTCCTCCTCCACCTCCAACCCAGGGTCCTACTCCCAGAACTCAGGATCCAGGCCGTTATCATCAGCGTCAGACTTCAGTTCCAACTGGCAGGGTGTCAGGTGGAGTGAAATGTCACTTTTTTTTATTGTGGTGAAGGGTGGGAAGGTGCTATCTGCTTTTCTGACTGGAGGGATAAAGAGAGTGGTGGCGTGGAGAAAGGCTAGGTCTGTGGGGTCTGGAGAGGATGAGAGCAGAACCTTCTGTGCCTGACAATCTCCTTCTCTCCAGGACCCCTGTTGAGCTGGTTGCTGGGAAGGACGTGGCCAGATCTGTCCAGGGAGCAAGGAGCCTCTTGGTGGGATGGGAGTAGGAGCCCTGGCCCCCTTAAGAGACTCTTGGATGGACTAGAATGGTTCCAACTGAGGTTCACGGACAGTAGAGGGCCCTGAGAACCCACAGTGCTCAACGGGACCCCACCCACCGGCTTCCCAGCTGAGCACAAGGTTGCAGGGAGTTGGTCCTGCCTATGTAGCGATGGGGGCTCCTGATGGGGAACAGTGGCGAGCCTTGAATCCACAGCCCTTTGGAGCCAAGCATGGGGCACCAGGAGGGCCTGAGCAGGTCCCCCCATGGCAGGGAGCCTGGATGCACAACCCAGTGTTCAACAGCGACACCCTGTGGTGGCAACAGAAACAACCTCGGTCAAACCAGGGGCTCTGTGGATTGATGGTCTAGTGCCCTCTGTCTTTGGCTTGGAAATCAGAGTGAATCCTATGGGCTGTGTAAGTCCTAATGTTCTTGGACGGTCTACATCAGTGGGTGAGTCTTCAGGAGGAAGAGTCTAGGCTTCCAGCTAAGATGGGCAATGATGGTACAATGAATTGGAAAATGAATCGATTGTTTAGGAAGCGACTGCACCCATATCTAGGTGGGTCCTAGTCATTCTGCTAGTCGTATCCCCATGGGCTGCACGTGTGTGGGTGCTGGACCCGGCACTTTGTTTTCCTGGGATGCATTTTCCTGCTGAAGCAAACAGCTCTCTCTCTCTTCCCCCATGACCTGTGGAACTTGGTCAGCCGCATCCAGTTCTTGTGACTTTCCAAAGTGTTCGACAAGGTCCCTCGGTCACTCTCAGGGTCTCCTGGCTCCATGGGCTGAATGGTGAGCCAATAAGCCAGCCTCCCTGCCTCCTTCCAGCCCTTCTGGGGGCCAGTGTGGGCACCTGCCACACTGCAGCACCCAGAGGCAGAGTAGGGTCATGGGTGAGGCCAGCACAGGACAGCCTTGCACTTGGAAGGGAAATCCCTTCATTCTCAGGAATGCAGGCCCACACTGTCTCATTGTTCCTGCCCAGTTTGTCATCCAAAGAGCTGCCTCACCACTCCGGGAGAGGGCTGGCCTGTGTGAGTCACCAAGAAGTCCCCGGTGGGGAGCCTGATTCTTTGCACTGGGGGTGACATCACCCAGCAAGTCCAACTTGACCCATAAGCCCCGATGGCCAATTCCAAAGCAGTGCATGTGCCCGGGAAGATGGCCACATCCGTGAGCTTCTGCTCCGCATCCTGATCCTGCTAGGAGCCAGGGCCTGGTTTACCCCAAATTCTTCCCAGCAGTGGACTTAATGGGCCACCCCAGGTCCCTAAGAGCCACCCTCCACCCTCCTCCCCAGCCCTGTGCCCTGGGCGCTGACCTACAGGGCTGTGCATGCCCCCACATCCTCCTTGCCCTGTGTCCTCTGTTCAGTTTGGCTGATGGGAGAATAATTTTCAGGGGAGAGAGAAGTTGAGGAATGTGTCCCTGGCTCCCTGTCTGCCATGGCCTGGTTCCTTTGCTAAAGGAGGTGGCTTCTCCTGGGTGGTCCTTCCTCCAGCCTGGCTCCAGCCTGTTCGGCCCCCTTTGGGATGAAAGACTCCACAGCTCCCACCTGCTGCTGCCAGTGGGGGGGCTCTGGGCACGCCCCCTTCCTTGGGTTTCCCCTTTCTCTGCTCACACCTTTTATAATAGTCCCTTCATTACACTCTCTCAGATCCCCCTTTCGGGTGGGTCACCGTCACCCCTCCTTATTGGCACGCTTCTAGGGATGGGGCCTCATTCCTCCAGGAGGCCGGGCAGCACAGGCTGCCAGAGGGCTCTTTCTCTAATCGTTTAAAATCTGTCCCTTATCACGGCCACTCCTGCTCATGAGGACAGCACAGCCGGCTGCTCCCTCCACCGTGAGTCAGCCTCGCAGATATCAGGAGGCCTCCAGCCCAGCGCTCCTGGAAGTTTGAGCCACCCTGTCCTGTCCTGCCCCTCCCCTGCCCGGTCTTTGTTCTCTGGACACACCCTGGTGACTCAGGGTCCCCTTGACGAAGTGAGCCCAGTGTGAAGTTGTGCCCCCTTCGCTGGTGTCAGGCAATGGAGGGGCTCAGATCAGCAGGGAAGACCCAGGACCTGGAGGCCGGTGGGGAGCAGGGCTGGGGAAGCTACTCCGCACTCACTCGTGGGCACGTCTAGGAGAGCAGTAGGGTGGGGGCTCGCTGAGGCTGTCTGTGGACTCAGCATTGCCCACCCAGCACAGGCTCTGGGACGCCACGTGCACGCTCACTGTGAGGGGCAAAGGCTGCCCTGGCAACCAGGAGGAACCGCAGCTCCACCTGGCTGTGAGTCAAAAATACCAGGGAGTTTTAAAAAAGCACCAGTACCCAGGGCCTTTCATAGACCCACAGAACCAGACTCTCCAGGGATTTCAAGAAAGTTCTCGAAGGATCCTGAAGTACAGGAGGTTGGGGCGTGTGGCCTGGATATGGCCATCGCTGGCTGCAGGGCCGAGCCGGTCAGCTCAGGTGGGTGCCATGGGATGGGGCGAGGCCGGCCATTTTCCCTGTGCCAAGGAACACCCAGGTGAACTGGGATGGGTGTCACTCAGAGCTGAGGCCCTTGGGAGATTTCCATGAGCTGTAATGCTCAGAGCCTTGGGGTTGCCCCAATGTTTCAGAGTATTCAATGGGCCTGAACGGGACCACTGACCTCTCCGGGTTTTCATCTCTTTGTTTCACAATGTAGAACATTTGGGAAGGATGGAATCTGGACGCGTGGGTTTCCCTGCCTCTAGGCTTCTGAATTCTGTCTTGAGCTCACACGAAAGGTGGCTTTGCCTCTAGATTGCTTCTAGAGTTGTGGCAACTTTATGCAAGTCAGATCAAAGTGCTCCTTCTACAAGACACACCATTTCCACCCAGCAGAAAATCATGCAAAGATGCAGAGGTGCAGTGCCTGTGCTGAGAACAGTGCTCCTAAGGTGCCGCACTCTCCTGCAAGGCAAAATGCATACCGATGTGGGGGCGCGGCTTCCACTGAAATCCAGGCAAACTCTGAACTTGGAGGTTTTATATTTAGGTTGTATTAGTAATTTTCAATTCATAATTCATAATAAATACTTGTATTATTAATTATTATAATTAATACTTGTATTATTAATTATTATAGTTAATAATAACTAATTATTATAATTAATTATATATTAAAATATATTAAAAATATATTAAAATATATTGTATATAAAATATAATATAATTAATTATATATTTAAAAATATAATTAATAATAACTAATTATATTATAATTAATAGATAATTAATATTATGATTATTAATAACTAATAATTAACTATGATAATTAATAATAACTCATAATTAATAATTAATAATTAATAAAGGAACAGAGGGGAAGAGTTGCTATGGACTGAATGTTCGTGTACCCCCAACATTCATATGTGGAAACCCTAATCTTCAATGAGATGGGTTTGGGAGGTGGGGCCTTTGGGAGGTGATGAGGTCATGAGCTTGTGGTCCTCATGATGGGATTAGAGTCCTTACCAGAAGAGAGGCAAAGAAATGCTTTCTCTGTGTGTCTCCGTCTCTGTGTGTCTCTGTCTCTCTGTCTCTGTCTCTGTGTCTCTCTGTGTGTCCCTGTGTGTCTCTGTCTCTGTGTCTCTCTGTGTGTCTGTGTGTCTCTGTGTCTCTCTCTGTGTGTGTCTCTGTGTCTCTGTATGTCCCTGTGTCTCTGTGTCTCTGTCTCTGTTTCTCTCCCCACCGTGTGGGCACACAGTGAGAAAACAGCTGTATTAGTCATGCTGCCTATAAAGACATACCCAAGACTGGGCAATTTACAAAAGAAAGAGGTTTAATTGGACTTAAGTTCCATATGGCTGGGGAAGCCTCACAATCTTGGCGGAAGGCAAGGAGGACCAAGTCCTGTCTTACACGGATGGCAGCAGACAAACAGAGAATTTGCCACTCCAAGGCAAATGGCCTCAAACACCCCCATAAACGCGTCTTTTCTCTACCACAGGTGTCTGTTTTTGTTTGCTTCCCTCTTTGTGGCCATCAGAGCTCCACCTTCTCTGCCCGCCTCCTGCCAAGTGCCTCTTCTCTAAGTCCTAAGCTCCCCCACACGATGTCAGATCCCCTTCAGCCAAAGCCAAAACCCCTGATAAAACCCTCAGATCTCATGAGACTTATGTTCACTACCACGAGAACAGTATGGGGGAAACTGCCCCATGATTCAATTATCCCCCAGCGACTCCCTCCCACAACACGTGGGAATTATGGGAGTAAAATTCCAAGATGAGATTTGGGTGGGGACACAGCCAATCCATATCAACGGCTATCTGCAAACTAGGAATGGAGTAAGTGAGCCCTCACCAGACACTGTGTCTGCCAGAACCTTGGTGCTGGACTTCCAGCTTCCAGAAATGTAAGTAATAAATGCCTGCTGTTGCTAAGCCCCTCAGCAACAAGACATCAAGCTAAAAAGACAGACGAGCACATAGCACTCCATGGCAAATGGCCTCAAACATTCCCATAAACACATCTTTTCTCTACCACAGGTAGAGTCCTTACTCTTGTTTCCCTCTTGTGGCCATCAGAGCTCCACCTTCTCTGCCCACCTCCTGCCAAGTGCCTCTTCTCTAAGTCCTCAGCTCCCCCACATGATATCAAATCTCCTTCAGCAAAGATAAGCCTGCTTCCTTGAGAGGCCTCCCTATTAACAGAGCAGGGGTACCACCATGTTAAAGCTTAAGCCTCAGCTTGGAGGGGTCATGTCCCTCCCACCTCTGCCCCCGTGGCTTACCATAGTATGCCTTCTAATTACATCTGCACTCCCCGGCAGGCATTCTGGTAAGTAGAGTTTCCCCATTTTGTTTCATACAGAGGAGCACAAAGAAGAAAATTAAAACCATAAGCAATCTTGCTGTTGGAAGGTATCTTTTATTAGTCTTTAGTCCACTGTGAAGCACCTTTCTATGATGTTGGGTTTCCCTGATTTGGAGCATCCCTGAAACATATAACTCACTCACTCACCTACCCAGCCTTTCACCTACCCATCTACCCACATATCTATCCATCCATCCATCCATCCATCCATCCATCCACCCACCCATCCATCCATCCATCCAGTTACCCACATATCCACCCATCCATTTATCCATCATTCATTCACACATCAACCCATCCACCCATCTATCCATTCATCATCTGTTCATCCATCCACTCACATAGCTATCCATTAATCCATCCAGCCAGCCATCTATCATCCATCCACATATCCATCCACCCACTCATCCATCCATTACTCTCATTTCCTTCCTCTTTTCCTTCCTTCCTTCCTTCCTCCCTCCTTCCCTCTCTCCCTTCCCTTCCCCTCCCTCATTTCCCTTCCCTTGCCTTCCTTCCCTCTCTCCTTTCTTCCTTCCTTCTACCCATCCAGCAAATACTTGCTAGGCACCTGTCATCTCTACTGTTCGTGCTTATTGTTGACTGTAAAATGAATCTTTCTTTATTGAGGTCCCTCAATAAAGGTGGGAGCCAGGGGAGGGCCCTCTGGGTTCTTCCAGCTCAGCAAAGGGTGGGGTGACAGCATGGAAACGTGGTGTTCTTTTTGCATGACCGGGTGGAAGATTAAAATCGCCCCTGGTAGAAAGGAGTCTAGTCTTGCCAGTGCTGCAGATTCTTGGTAAGATCACTTCAAATGCTTAACGTGATACATGGTTCCACCAAGTGACAGAAATGTGAAAGCAGGTGGGGCAGTGGAGCCAGCCCTGTCTTATAGGAGATGATGAGGCCTGGAGGAAGGAGGGAGGCGGGGATTCAACGGAAGGTGCAGAGGACACTGAGAAAGACTTCCCACTGCTGCTACCATTTTGCTCCAGGGAGTCCTGACATCTGACCAGAGAGAAGGAAGGCCCACAGACAGCAGGCGTGGGGTCCTGAGAGTGCTTTCCTCCATGGTGTGGGGGATAAGGTCTTCTCCCAGCCCCGGCCTTCTCTGACCTGGAGCCCAGAGCCCAGAGCCCCTGGCACTGGCAGGTGGTGGATCGGCTGGTGCTGCCAAGGGTTGGTCTAGTGAGGACCTTGGCCTCCGGAGCCCTAGAGAACAGCAGCCTTTGTGAACTCCCCTGTGTGTGCTCATTCTGCTCACGGGGCTTCTGTCTCAGTTCCTCTAGTGTTCCAGCCCCTTCTGCACCCCGGCTAGGAGCCTCTTCCAAAACCCTGTGCAGCTTGGCTGGGGTCTGGGGGCCTGACTCTTTGCCAGCCCTTTCCATTCCCTAGACACTAAGCATGCGGCACCACATGGTCGGGAGGTGACCCTCCTGCCCTGTCCGCACCCTGCAGGCTCCTGAGCAGGCACAGTTCCAGAGTGAGTAAAAAGGAGGGACCCCATTGTCATGTGAGGTGCTGATGGCTTTATCAGTGGGAGTCTGCATTTCCAGGGAGATGTGTGTTTGTCGGGAGACTTGGTGGCAGAAGCATTTGAAGTTATCTTACCGAGAATCTGCAGCACTGGCAAGACTAGACTCCTTTCTACCAGGGGCGATTTTAATCTTCCACCTGGTCATGCAAAAAGAACACCACGTTTCTATGCTGTTACCCCACCCTTTGCTGAGCTGGAAGAACCCAGAGGGCCCTCCCCTGGCTCCCACCTTCAAACAACACCCTCAGCACCCCCAGCACCTCCAGCACACCCATGGAGAACGGGCTTCTTCTCTTTCAATGACTGGAGCCCAAGGGTTGAAGTTGGGAAGGGCTTTCCAGGATCCTGGGACCAAGATCTGAAGCCAGCCCGGGGGCCAGCCTGGGACAGGGCCTTGTTCTGGGGCCAGTGCCCGGCAGACACAGAGTGGGCACTGAGGCAGTCTCTTAAGCCTCTCAGCGGGGAGTCTTTACGGTTGTTCTCACAGGGCTGGTCCTCGGAGACTCCCGGCACTGGCTTCCGGGTTTGCCTGGGTCAAGCCCTGTAATAGCCTCCCTCCTGGGACCTGGTCTCTCCATTGCAGCTGAGGACGAGGCGTGGGAAACAGCAGCAGGCTGAGGCGGCCTCAGGGCCCCTTGGATGTGGCCCCCACCTCGCTCAGGTCAGCTTCCCCAGGAGGCAGGAGGGACCCTGGGCAGAGCAAGCTTCCTGTCCTCTGTGTCTCCTCCCTGTGCAGTGGGAACATCCACTCCCCCCACGCCACTTCCCATTTTCACACAGGCCACTGGGAGACTCCTCAGGCCTCAGGCTCTGAAGGAATTCCACTCACAAAGCTCAACTTTCACGGATCCCTTTGTGTTCCCTGCTTCCTGCCTGCCAGACTAGTTTCACCCAACCTCTGCCAGGTCTCAGCAGTGGACTGAATTCACGGCAGTAGCCTTGGTGACCCCTAGTGGCCTTCCCTTCTCTGGAGTAGACCTGATCTAGCCTCAACACCAAACTGAGACCTCAGCCTCAACACCTGGCTCAGCCTCAACACCTAACTGAGACCTCAGGCTCCCCACTGTCCTACAGATGGTCCCCCAGTGCCATCGCCGGCCTTCAAAGGTTTCCACCATCTAGAGGAGAAGCCGCTTGGGGCACCAGTGTCTGGGCTGCATGGTGCCCTCAAGAGCTGACTGCAGTCTGGAATCTTGCCCTCTGCAGCCAGGAGAGACAGCCCTTGTCCACGCCTATTTAATCCATTCATTTACCCACCCAATGACTGTGGAGCCCAGCCTATGGTACAGTTACTATTTGGTGCTGGAGATAGACAGTTTAGCAAACCACAGCCCAGCCTACCTTCCTGGAGATTAAAATCCAATGGGAAATCAGACATTGATCAAAAATGTACACAAACGTGGAAAACAACATCTGGAGTTGATGGAGACAGAGTGGTCCCCAACACCTGCACGCATTTGTCCTTGCTGGGGAGGGCAGGGCACACTTGAGTTGAGGCCTGAAGGCTGCAGAGGACAGGAGGTGAGCCTCCAAAAGGCATAGCAGGGTTTGCTTTTGGGGTGGGGCATGCATCGGAGGGGGCAGGATGGAGGTGGGGTGAGCAGCTAGGGAGTCATGGCAGGTGTAGGGCGGGAAGTGATGCTGCGGGGCAGTGTGGCGCAGGTGGGGGAGAGCAGACACATTTGCCATCTCTGCAGAGCCACTTTCCCTCCTGAGATGAGCCAGGTGGCAGCAGGCTCTGGTCCTGACCTCCAGCATGAATGCGGCCTGAGCTCTGCCATGGCCCCCCTTCGCCGGTTTTCCCTGGCTTTTGCTCTGCTTATTTTTCCAGGGTCACCACCTGTGTCTGAGCTCTGCCATGGCTCCCCCTCACTGGCTGTCCCTGGCCTTTGCTCTGCTGATTTTTCCAAGGTCACCGCCTGTGGACGGGGGTACCCTGAGCTGACGATGCTGCCCAGGCAGTGGTCCTGGGCCATGGGGCCCTGCCATGGCTTCCCCCAATGAGTCAGCCCTCCTTCGGCCGACTCCTATGCACCCCTTTGCCGTAAAGGCCTTTTGCTTTTCTGCCCGGCTCCAGACAGGCACTGTGCACTCAGCCCTGCCGTTCCCACTCAACCCTAACCACTTGGCCTGAGAAGGAGCCTCCGGCTCCTGTGTTGAGTGGGTGGGGAGGTAGCAGCCCAGCCAGGGCCTCGGTAGGCAGAGCTTGACATCCGGACAGGACCCTTGCTCTCTCCCTCCCTCCTTCCTGCTATCTGGGGTCTGCGGAGCTTCCCAGGGATTGGGTGGGCTGCTCAGGTCAGGGGTTCTTCATCAGGAAGAAGTTGCCCCCTGGGGACTTTGGCTATGTCTGGAGATACTTTTGGTTGTCACAACTTGGGTGGTACCATTGGCATGTAGTGGGGAGAGGCCGGGACAGCCCCCTACAACTAAGATGGTTCCAGCCCCAAGTGTTAGTAGTGCTAAGGGTGAGAAGCCCCACCCCCAGGGAGCCCAGCCCAGTCTCGGGCGGCTTGGTCTTGGGATTCCTGTGATTCCCCTGCACTCACATTGGCCCCTCTGGGGCTGAGAGCAGGAGTCCACTATTTTTCCATCTTTTGTAAAAATTTGCTGTGGAAAACAGTGTGGAGATTCCTTAAAGAACTAGAAGTAGAAAGACCATTTGACCCAGCAATCCCACTGCTGGGTATCTACCCAGAGGAAAAGAAGTCATTATATGAGAAAGATACCTGCACACGCATGTTTACAGCAGCACAATTCACAATTGCAAAAATGTGCAAGCAGCCCAAATGCCCGTCAATCAATGAGCGGATAAAGAAACTGTGGGATATATATACGATGGAATACTACTGAGCCATGAAAAGGAATGAAGCAATGGCATTTATAGCAACCTGGATGAGACTGGAGACTATTATTCTAAGTGAAGTAACTCAGGAATGGAAAACTAAACATCGTGTGTTCTCACTCATGAGTGGGAGCTAAGCTATGAGGATGCAAAGGCATAAGAATGATACAATGGACTTTGGGGACTCGGGGGAAAGGGTAGGAAGGGGGTGAGGGATAAAAGACTACAAGTTGGGTGCAGTGTATACTGCTTGGGTGATGGGTGCACCAAAAACTCACAAATCATCGCTAAGGAACTTACTCATGTAAGCAAACACCACCTGTTCCCCAATAACCTATGGAAATAAAAAAATTAAAAACAAAACAAAACGATACGAAGATGTATTGTTTTTACCGATCACACAACCAGGAAATAAAAACTAAAAAAACAAAAAATACCAGCATCACCTAGGACTGGTGGGAGTATAAGGGAAACAGATACTGCTCGATATTGCTTGGGCTACATAATCCTTGGAATCTAATTTGGCCACGCCTAATAAAAATAAGCACGTTTTAAAATCTCAAATCCCACTTTGGAGAAATACATATTGAAGCATTTTATGTAGTGACAAAAAACAACCTCAACATTCACAAACAGGAGAAATGATTGAATAGATTCTGGACATCCATAAACAAAAAATTTGTGGTGGGCAGTGGCTGAGCTTTAGGAATACTAAGGAGAATATAAATTGAAGCGTGCAGGAAGAGCTCATGTCAGGGGGACAGAGTCAAGACCAGGGGCAGCTGCAGCCTAGTGTGGTCCCTGCTGTCATGGGGGCGACAGGGGGCAGCTTCCTCCCACTTTGGGCAGGTTCCTAAGCAGAAGTTCCACCTGCCCAGTGGACACAGGCTTTGGGGTGGATGGAAGACAACCCAGGGAGAAGGGCCAGGTGCGTGTGCAGGCTCCGAGGAAGCACCTGCGGAGAATGGGAAAGATTTGCCCTGGAGCCCCTCAGACCAGGCACAGCCAGGGAGGGGATGGGCAGTGACCGCTCTTCTGAGTTCCCTTGTCCTTCCTTGGGTGCTCTGGGTCCCCAGCTCACATTCATCCGGCTTTTGTACTTCATTATCTCTGGGGGAAGAATGTTGGTGGCAGCCAGACCATCAACGCAAGCTTTAAACATAAGAAATGGCAAATCCTGGGGTCACTGCCCATGAAAGAGAACATTCCCCATTCTCGCACTGTGGCCGGAAATACGCCAGGGATGGCCACGCTAACGAGCCTGGGAGTCTGCCCAGCGCCCAGGCCTCGGCTATCCACGGGCTCTCCCAGAACTGAGTGACCCCTTCTCACAGCACACAGGCCAGGGGGTGTGGGTGGTGCCAGGGGAGGTGGGGAGCCACGCGCTGCCTCGGACCCTGGGCACCCAAGGGTCCGGCGAACCCCCAGAGGGCCTGGCTGGAGGATGGGCGCTTTGCAGCTGTGTCCCCTCCCTCTGCTGTGCAGCCTCTCCAAACTTGGTTCCTGCATTTCCCAAAGCGATAATATCCTAGCAACCTCTCCAAGCGGCTGAGTGCAGAGTTGTTTACGCTGGGTTGCAGGGAGTTGGGGAATGCAGCGAAGCTGGGGCTGTTCAGAACTTCCCAAAGTCCAGCCTGGGGCGGCGTGGGCTGGAAACAGACAGGCTGACGTTTTAGGGACGTGACATCTAAACTTTCAGCACACCCTGGGTGCTTGGGCCGGGGAGTCTGACTGTCTCTGCAGAGCCTGAAAATTCCCTGAGTCCATGAACACGGCTTTGAGGTTCCGCCTCCGCGGGCTCTAGGCCCTGAGAACCTCTACGGCTTTGAGCTCTGAGCTGCCACTGCCTCCCTGGGAAATGTGTGTGTTGAGGGATGCTTAAGGTAGCTCAGAAAAAGAAGCAAAAGCTCAGGAATATCCTTATGTGCAGTCTTTAAATCGGGGCCTGGCACATAGGAGGTGCTCCGTATTGGTTGAAGGAAAAGGAATGTGTGTGTTTAATAATGATGGTGATCAGAATTCTGACATGGTTCTTTTCTGTTGTTTTACTGTCATTACTATTTTGAAAAGATCCGGGGATAATGTCAAAAAAAAAAAAAAAGGAGCAAAAAAATCTGAAACCATCAGTCATCTGAAAGTCACATCCATCCTTGAAAGTTAAAATAAAGCAGAGATAGGACAGAGGCCGGGTGGAGACCAGGTCCCTAGGGAACGCCACAGCATGATGACATCACCCACCCCACCCCATGGGGGACTCTAACGTCCAATTAGCTCCATAATATATTCAGTGTTTTACATTTGTTTTTGAATAGGTAGTGCCCATGCTTGAAATTCAAAAGATATAAAAGAGCAATTTAAGGCCGGGCGCGGTGGCTCACGCCTGTAATCCCAGCACTTTGGGAGGCCGAAGCGGGCGGATCACGAGGTCAGGAGTTTGAGACCAGCCTGACCAACATGGTGAAACCCCGTCTCTACTAAAAATACAAAAATTAGCCAGGTGTGATGGCGCTTGCCTGTAATCCCAGCTGCTTGGGAGGCTGAGGCAGGAGAATCATTTCAACCTGGGAGGCAGAGGTTGCAGTGAGCCGAGATCATGCCACTGCACTCCAGGCTGGGCGACAGAGCGAGACTCTGTCTCAGAAAAAAAAAAAAAAAAGAAAAGCAATTTAATAGAAAAGGGGAACAGAAGAAGGTGACCAGGGATCTCTGAGAAGGGTACGCCTGGGTGGCCGGTCAGCAGGTGAAATGCTCATTAGTAATTAGGGGAGGCGAATTCACACGACAAAGGCATTCCATTTTGTACCAAAAAGACGGACCAAAAAGACGGCTGAAAGGTCACGAGTCTGCCTTTATCAATGCCTGACAATAGTGCTGGGAAGCACCTGGAGATCCTACCTGCAGAGCGGGGTGGAGGGATCTGGGTCCATTGGAATCACACTTTGGAAGACAAATAGGTACCACTGGGCTGTAAGTAGCCACGTGGGCTGCGACCCAGTGAGTCCCCGGAGCACGCTGTCATGGCAAGGCTGTTCTCTGCTTGTAACAGCAAAATCTTGGGATTAACCAAGTGGGAGAAGGCTGGATACACAGCCGTGGTCATGCCGTTGGGGGTACTATGCAGCCAGGACGATGAGTGAATTACTGGTGCAGCCACAACTGGAATGAATGTCGGTAACAGGGGGTTAGGTTAAACAAAGCAAAACAAAAAACTAAACAACAGAAAAAAACACTTGGTAGGCCGGGCATGGTGGTTCATGCCTGTAATCCCAGCACTTTGGGAGGCCAAGGCCGGTGGATCACCTGAAGTCAGGAGTTCGAGACCAGCCTGGCCAACATGGTGAAACCCCATCTCTACTAAAAATACAAAAATTAGCCAGGTGTGGTGACATGCACCTGTAGTCCCAGCTACTCAGGAGGCTGAGGCAGGAGAATCGCTTGAACCTGGGAGGCGGAGACTCCAGTGTGCTGAGGGTGCCACTGCACTCCAGCCTGGGCAACAGGGCAAGACTTTGTCTCAAAAGAAATAAAATAAGAAGAAAGCACATGGTATATTTCCATGTATATACAATTCAAAAGTTTGCAATTAACTTTGCTGCCTAGGGATACAGATATACATGGGGTAACTACAAATGTTTCACTACCAGGTTGAACATTTAATGGACGGTTGGAGGCCCTTGGAGCTCTTTCTTTTCTACCTGGTGTGGTGGACTGGCAACGTTTGATGGGGTCCCTGAGTACCTGACGAGCAGAGAATGTCCACAAACCCTAGACAGACACGTACCCCAAGCCAGAAAAAACCCTTGCAGTTCTAAGCCACTGCAATTTGCGGGCTGTTTTGTGAGTGCTGCATAACCTACCCCAGATTCACTGGCGCTTGGTTTCATCAATTCATAAAAGCTCTTATTCATTAGAGAAATTAGCCCTCAATCTATGCTACGAGTGGCTTGTATTTTATATAGTTATTTTCTTTTGACATTGCAGAATCCCTTGCCATTAATATATGACAATTTTTGTATAGTCAAATTTATCCATTTTTGTGTCATGGATTTTATATATATATATATATATATGAAAAATTGACCCTTTTTTTCCTTTTCTTTCTATGGCTTTATTGAGTGATAACTTAAATATTATAAAATTAACCCATTTAAAGTACACATTCACAGAGTTGTAGAAAGTGACCAAAGTCTAATTTTAGGCAATTTCATCACCCCAAAAACACACCCCATAGCCCTTATAGTCACTCCCCATCTTCCCCTTTCTCTACCCCTAGGCAATCATTTATGCAATCTATTTTCTGCCTCTACAGATTTGCCTATTCTGCAATAAAGGGAATTACACCATTTGTGCTCTTCAGTAACTGGCTTCTTTTTGCTTAGCCAGTGATTTTGAGCTTCATCCGTGTTGCAACGTGTCATCAGTACTCCAGCTTTTTTCATGGCTGAATAATATTCCACTTTATTAGTTGACAGACATCTGGGTTGTTTCTGCTTTTGGAGTATTATGAATAATGCTGTTATGCATATTCATGTAAAGGTTTTTGTGTAGTCATATGTTTTCATTTCTCTTGGGTATCAAAATTATTGGATCATATAGTAACTCTACATTTACCATTTTGAGGAATTGCCAAACTGTTTTAAAAAGTGGCTGCATCATTTTCCATTCCCACCAGCAATGAATGGGGGTTCTAATATCTCTACATCTTTGCCAACACTTGCTATTGTCTGTCTTTTTAATTTAAGCCATCCTAGTGGGTGTGAAGTGGTATCATCTCATTGCGGTTTTGACTTGCATTTCTGTAAAAACTCATGATGTTAGACATCTATAATGTGCTTACTGGCATTTTGTATATCTTCTTAGGAGAAATGTCTATTCAAATATAATGTCTCTTCAATTGCCCATTTCTAGGTTGGATGATTTATCTTTTTATTGTTGAGGTGTAAGAGATCTTTGTATATTCTAGAAATGACTCCCTTATCAGATATATGACTTAACATTTTGTTCTCCCACTCTGTAGGGTGTGTTTTCACTTTCTTGATGATATTGTTTGCAGCACAAAAGTTTTTAATTTTGATGAAGTCCAATTTATCTGTTTGTGTTTTCCTACTTGTGCTTTTGCTGTTGTATCTAAGAAGGCTTTCCTAGATCAAGATTTACTCTTAGATTTTCCCTTTCTTTCTCTTTTTTTCTTTCTTTTCTTTCTCTTTCTTCCTTCCTCCTTTCTTTCTTTTCTTTCTCTCTTTCTTTCTTTCTCTTTCTTTCTTCTCTCTTTCTTTCTCCCTCCCTCTTTCTTTCTTTCTTTCTTTTCTTTCTTTCTTTCTTTCTTTCTTTCTTTTTCTTTCTTTCTTTCCTTCCTTCCTTGCTTCCTTCCTTCCTTCCTTCCTTCCTTCCTTCCTTCCTTCCTTCTTTCTTTCTTTCTTTCTTTCTTTCTCTTTCTTTTTTGACACAGAGTCTTGCTCTGTCACCCAGGCTGGAATGCAGTGGCATGATCTCAGCTCACTGCAAACTCCACCTCCCGAATTCAAGCAATTCTTGTGCCTCAGCCTCCAGAGTAGCTGGGATTACAGGTATGCGCCACCACGCCTGGCTAATTTTTGTATTTTTAGTAGAGACAGGGTTTCACCATGTTGCCCAGGCTGGTCTCGAACTCCTGACCTCAAGTGATCCTCCCAAAGTGCTGGGATTACAGGCGTGGCCACCCCGCCTAGCCTACTCTTAGATTTTCTTATAGGAGTTTTGTAATTTCAACCTTTATATTTAGGTCTGTGATCTAAGGAAGGGGTCCAGCTTCCTTCTTTTGCACGTGGATGTCCGATTGTTGAGCATCATTTGTTGGAGAGCCGTCCCTCCCTCATTACATCGTGTCAGGAAGGCAGTCTCTGCATGCAGTCTGACCAGGCCCAGCCACCTAAGAAAGGGCTGTGGGCCTGGCACACTTTCTCATCAAGTAGTCGAGTCCTCACAGTCAGCGCTGGCCTTGCCGCTTGTGTGGGAATAGATTCCTCATTCCAGAATCAATGCGTCCTCCTTTGTCCTGCTAACTGTGTGAATCATCTGGCACCTGGCCAACCCCTTCTGTCCCCTGTGGAGAGGGAACCAGGTCCTTCTACCCCAGCACAAGAAAGGTGCCTGCAGGCCGACTGCCCTGCATTGGCTGCTGAGAGGGACCCACTGGGCCACGAGGGGCCAATGCCTACCACTGACCGGTCTTGTTCCATCCCTTTTCCATGTGAGTGAAATGTTTTCCCTCCAGTGCCTGACTGCCTTGTGATTTTCTTGGTGACTCTGATACCAAGATGCAGCCAGCAGCAGCGCTCCGACCTCTGCACCTGGTGACGAACAACAGCTCCCACCTGCTTGACGAACGGCCTTGGTGCCCTTGTCAGAAATCAACTGGCTGTCAATCTGAGGGTTTATTTCTGACTCTATTTTGTTCTATTCCTCTATGTCCATCTTCATGCCGGTGCCAGTCTTGGTTACTGCAGCTTGTAGCAAGTTCAATGTTCTAGTCAAGTCCTCACAGTCAGCCCTGGGCTTGCTGCCTTGTGTGGGAATAGATTCCCCATTCCAGAATCAATGCGTCCTCCTTTGTCCTGTTAACTGTGGGCATCATCCAGCACCTGGCCAACCCCACTGCTATATCTGTCCCCTGTGGAGAGGGAACCGTTGGAAGTGTGGCCCCCCAACATTTTCTTTTTCAAGATCACTTTGGTTACTCTGGGTCCATATGACTATTAGAATCATGGCCGGGTGCAGTGGCTCACGCCTGTAATCCCAGCACTTTGGGAGGCCGAGGTGGATGGATCACATGAGGTCAGGAGTTCGAGACCAGCCTGGCCAACATGGTGAAACTCCATCTCTACTAAAAATACAAAAATTAGCTGGGTGTGGTGGCAGGTACCTGTAATCCCAGCTACTCGGGAGGCTGAAGCAGGATAATCGCTTGAACCCGGGTGGTGGAGGTTGCAGTGAGCTGAGATCATGCCACTGTAATTCAGCCTGGGTGACAGAGTGAAACTCTGTCTCAAAAAAAAAAAAAAAAGAAAGAAAGAAAGAAAGAAAGAAAAGATCACCTTGGCAATTTCTGCAACAACAAAAAACTCAACTTGGATTTTGATAGAGATTGCTTTGAATTTGAAGATCAATTTGAGGAGTATCGCCTTCTCAGCAATGATATTTTATGAGCAGGAACAAGCAATATCTTTTCATTCATTGTAATCTTTTATTTCTTTCATTTCAATAATGTTTTGCAGTTTTTAATGTACAAGTACTGTATTTGTTTAAGTTTATTCTTGAGTGTTTTATTCTTTTTGCTGCTATTACAAATGGGGTTGTTTTCTTTTTCTTTTTTTCCATTGGATTTTTTTATTATTGTGTAAGTTGACAAACAAAATTGTGTATATTTATGGTACACAACAAGATGTTTTGAAATATGGATACATTGTGGAATGGCTAAATCAAGCTAATTTGCCTATACCTTGCCTCACATGCTGGGATTTTTTTAATGTTATTTTTAGATAGATAGTTCACTGCCAGTGTGTAGAAATACAATTAATTTTTGTACATTGATCTTGCTTCCAGCTACATTGATGGACTCATTTATTAGTTTGAAGAGTTTTTTCAGTGGGTTTCTTAGGATTTTCTGCATAAAAGATCATGTCATCTGCAAATACAGACAGTTTTTACTTCCTTTCCAATCTGGATGTCTTTTATTTCATTGTCTTGCCTAATCGCCCTGGCTAGAACTTCCAGTACAATGTTGAATGGAAGGGTGAGAGCAGACATCCTTGTCTTGTTCTTGATTTTAGGAGGAAGGCGTTTGTTCTTTTTTCATTAAGTACGATGTTAGATACGAATTTCATAGATGGCTCTTATCAGGTTGAGGAAGTTCTCTTCTGCTCCTGGTTTATTGATTCTGAATATCTTATCATGAAAGCATGTTAGATTATGTTCAATGCTTTTCCTACATCTATCGATCACTCTGTAGTATTTAGTAATATTTTATTTTAGAAATTTGTAATTTTCTTAAGAGATTGGTTGGTCCTTTTAAAACTTTTTGTCCTCTCTTTATTGAATTTGGTATCAGTGTTACACTAGCTTTTTCTAAAGACTTTTGAAACTCTTCTACTTTTTCCATGCCTTGAAACAGCTTACATGGTATTAAAATCTCCTGTTCTCTCAAATGACAATGGAACTCCCATGTGAAATTACTGGCCTGGTGATGTTTCGGCCTGGGATAGGGGGATTAAGAACTTTTTTTTTTTTTTAATGGTGATGGAGTTGTTCTTTTTTCTGTCTCTTCTAGAGTTAAGTTTTATGACTTACTTCTTTTTTTTTCCAGGAAGAACTGGTTTCATCTGAGTTTACAAACTTATTTGCATAGAGCCGATCAAAGCATTCTCTTGTGATGCTCTTATCTCTCTGTGTCTGTTGCTATCTCTCTATTTGTATTCTCTTACTCTGTGTATGCCTGTGTATGCATTTATCCCCTTTTCCTCTTGATTACTTCAGCCAGTTTAGCTGCTTTTTTTTCCCCCTTGAAAGAGTCAGCAGGGCTGAACCTTAGTGGAACAGCACTGCAGTTTGAGACTCCTCCTGTCCACTTCTGTTTCCTTCCTTCTCTCCTTCCATGCGGGTCGCCTCTTCATTGTGGCCTGAAGCCTCTTTCATGTTCTCCTGCTTCCTCCCCCAAAATCCTCTTCTCTGTCAGAGCCTGTCTTTGCATCCAGCCCTTGGCAGGCCCAGGCGAGGCCCTAATGCTTCCAGCTGCAGGTGGAGAATGGACTGGAAGGGGTGGGAATGCAGGTGGCGGGCACCGGCCTGGCTGCAGCGGCCTGGGAGGTAGAGAAGCTGGGGCTGGGAGGGGTGTACCGTGGAGGAATGAGTTGAAGAGCTGCTTAGAGTCAGCAGGGCTTTGGGATCAAATTGCATGGCTTGCATTTTGCCATTTATTGCCTTAAACACCCCTTCCCAGGATCACAGGGATCAGGTGAAGTTACAAAACTGAAGACAGGTTGAAATGTTGATTCAGTCTCTCAACTCTGCCCTAAAACCCCAGATCAGACCTCAACAAGATCTTACATGAGAGAGAAAGGAATGGGGCTCTAAGAGCTGCAGGCAAATGTTACTGAAAGAGCCTCGAAGGGCCAGGACCCCCGCTGGCCCTGCTGGCAGAGGCTAGGGAGCAGCAGTCTGCTGCTGGGAAAGCCACTGGAGGGTCTGGCTGGCTCTGATATGGCCTGGACAAGGTGCCTGGACCCAGGGTGCTCACCTGGGGAGACCGGTGGCCGGTAGCCCTCCTTCCCCTAAAATTCTAAGAGAAGAAAAAATCCAGCAGAAACAACACATTTCTGATTTTGTGGTTGTTTGTCTTCTTTGGCTGTCGTGCACATTGTTTCTTCTAGGAAATAGAATCAGATGGAAATGGGGGGGACCCCAGTGGGCACCCCAGTCACTTGGACTTCAAGCCACTTGGGAGAGGAGGGACCTGGCCACCACAGCCTCATCAGGGTCCTTTCCACAAGTGAGTGAGGCCCTAAACACACATGGAGTTGTGACGTGAGAAGCCAAGAGGTGGATGGGGAGGGGGCATCTCCACCAGGTGACCTTGATCCCTAGGATCCCACCCTGTGCAGATGGGTGGGGGGCATTGTGGGCAGAGGGCCCCACGGCTCAGGCCAGGTGTGCCAGCTGAGAGCACAACTGGTCTGGAAGTCAAGGATGAAGGACTTGACTAACTGGGGTCAAGTCCTTCATCCAGGGACAGGGAGCAGGACAGGAAGGCTGCGGCTAGGGCTGTCAGATGGGCTCCCAGAGGACATGGCAGTGACCGGGGATACTGGGCCACAAGGAAGGGCGACTCCAGGGACCATGTCCTGGGCTACCTTAGTTGGCCCATGTCCTTGGGACCCTGGAGACCCTGCTCTGCCTGGGCACTGATCCCTGAGCCTCCTTCCTGCTGAATGCCAGGACCAGAGGAAGCAGGGACTGCAGGAGAGTCAGACAGCCCCATTCCCAGCGGCTGGGACCTGGCAGGCATCTCTGTCCCAGGCAGCTGCCCCAGTCCTGAGATGCACATAAAACAATGCATGAAGCCAGGCAGGCTTCATGCAACGGGCATTTGATGAGCCCCAGGCCAGTCACAAGCCATCGCCAGAGGCTCAGCCACCTGCACTGGGTGGCCCAAGATAGCCCCGTGCAGGGGCCAGGGTTGGGGGGTGGGGGTAGGCCACACCCAGGGAGGAGGAGGAGGGAACCCAGAGTGTTCCCTCCTGCGGCCCCACCTCCCCACCCCACCCTAACCACTGGGCAGGTGAGGCCTGGCTCTGTCTGTAGTGTGCGCAGATCCCTGCTCCAGGGCTTTGGACCACAGAAGGAGGTGATAACAAGGGTCATAAAGTCATGGCGGGTTTGCTCTTCCAGACCATGCAGTGCACGCCAATCCCCTGCCCCTCGGTGCTGGGACGAGGCGCTGTGGGCATCAGGGCCTCTGATGCACAGGGTCTCTGCCCTTGGAAGGCTCCCATGTGGCAGGGGCAAGGTTGGGGGAGACAGCAGCAAATAGATGGATAATAGGATGGGGCTATGCAGGAGGACCAGGGGGCTCCTGGGGGAAGGGGCTGTATCCCAGGGGCTTTTCAGAGCTGGCGCTGGAGCCGAGGCCTGCAGGGGTCTGGGGGATGTCAGGGAAGAGGAGACCGCAGTGCCATGAGCCCGAGGCAGGTGTGTGTGCAGCTGCCACCGTGGAGGCGGTGGTGGCCTACAGAGAGAAGCCGAGACTAGAGGTCAGGGAGACTCCTGCCGGGGGACCTGGATCTAGGCTCCTGAGAGGCCCACAGGCTGCCAAGTTGGCATCTGAAAAATGCCGTTGTTGTTTAAGCTGGTCGCAGCTGGTGTCTGAGAAGGGCAATAAGGAGAATGTTGATGGGGATGAGGGGCCGGGGTCCCTGGGAGTTTGGTGGCCAAGATGGCCAGGTAAGTCCTCATCTCTTCTGGCCAGCCCATGGACTCAGGAAGACACTGGCCTGGGACTCGGCCTGTGCTGGCTGGTTGCCTGCCAGAGTGCCTGAAGGGAAGGGCCTGCTGGCCTTGGGCGAAGGGCTGTGTGTGCTGCAGGTAAGGTGAGGCCACTGCTGATGGGGCTGTCACTGGAGAGGGCTCTCTGGAACCCCCACCCCCATCCCAGCTTGGAGTACGATTGTCCCCAATGAGAACCCAGGCTGGCCCAGAGGAGGGTGGGAAGGGGCTGCCTCCACTCTGAGACTCCCCTCAGTGGGCACACTGGGGCCTCTGTGCAGGTTCACGCTGCTCCTCCTGGCTCCCTCCTTCGCAGAACAGCAAAGTGGTCACGGAGCATGAGCTTTGGAGGCACTGGAGCCAGGGGTTCAAATCCTGCACCCCCAGAACTACCAGCTGGTACCCTGGGAATATGCCTTTGACCATTCTGAGTCTCATTTGTCTCCTCTGCAAAAGGGGGCTCTAGGGATAGGCTACCTAGGTCCAACCTCAGGACTGTCCCTTCCTGGCTGGGTGACCTTGGATCAGAGAAAGCAGGGGTTGCATTGTCCCCTCCCCTCCTGTGAGCATTAAGTGCGTCAATACACAAAAAATGCTCAGGGCTGTGTCTGGCTCATGGTAAGAGTGCAGTTGATTGTAGCTAAGATCATTAGTTCATGGAGTGAGATGCCTACTGTGATCAATAACTCTAAAATGGCAATGGCTTTCACACAGAAAGATTCTTTGTCTCTCATGTCACAATCCAATGGAGGCAGGTGGTAAGGAGGGGACTCTGCTCCACACAGTCATTCAGGGATCCAGCTCCCTTCCAGCTTCTGGCTCTCTTAGGTGGCTGAGTCCTCCCTGAGTCCTCTGTAGATGAGGGAAGAGGCAGACGTGGAGAATGACAGGGGGCTTCCTGTGGGCCATACCTGAATCATTTCCACCCACATGCTACAGCCACACTAACTGCCAGGGGCTGGGACACGCAGGTTAGTGTGTGCCCAAGAGGAAAGAGGCCGGAGTTTGTGGAACAAACAAACTACAGATGGTGTCTTTCATAGCTACTTTCACTCTTCTTAGCTCCTACAGCTGCTGGGAACACTGAGAAGGAGGATGGGTGTGCAGTACACAGGAGAGCCTGGAACAGGTGAGTTATGGTCACAGTTGTGTCAATGCTGACTTTGACATCCCCGAGCGCAGTTACAAGGGTGACCTCAGACCTCACAGAGCTCTTCATGCTGGCTCTTCTCATGAGTAATAGCAGAATTTTCTCCTGGGGCAGCAATGTGCATGTCACTAATCAATTCTTTTAAATCCCTTAATCTTATTGTTCCTTAGTGGGAAGGCTCCAAACATTTTTTTTTCATATTAAAAAAAAAAAAAAGCTAGGCTGGGTATGGTAGCTCATGCCTGTAAACCCAGCACTTTGGCAGGCTAAGGCGGGAGGATTGCTTGAGTCCAGGAGTTCAAGATCAGCCTGGCCAGCATGGCGAAAGCCCATCTCTACAAAAACTACAAAAATTAGCTGGATGTAGTGGCATGCGCCTGTGGTCCCAGCTACTTGGGAGGCTGAGGCAGGAAGATCACCTGAGCCCAGGAGGTTGAGGCTGCAGTGAGCCATGATGTCACTACTGCACTCCAGCTCAGGTGACAGAATGAGACCCAGTCTCATTTAAAAAAAAAAGGCTGACAAGTTTCTTCAGTAGCCTAACAGGCTTCTTTTTATACCTCTGAGTTTCCAACAGATCATTCCCTGTTGGGACGAAGGGCAGGATCCTGCTGCGTGTTGAGGAAGTGAAGGCAAACAATGTCTCCTGGGGCCTGGTGCCTGTTGCAGCCACCCCTGATGACAGGTGTGAGCTCTCTGCATGACCAAAACCCAACCAAGCCAACGGTCTTGCCCTCCTTCCCCCTCCTTCCCACCTCACTACAGGAGGGAGGGGAGCAGGTTCCTGAACCGGGCTCTGCATTCACGTCACTAGAGGCACTTGTTAAAATGCCGATCTCCAGCCCCCACACCCACGCACAGGTGCACTGAGGCTGAATGTCTGGCGGGAGAGCCGAGGGATCTGACTTTGCAGAAGGGGCTCCCAGGAGATGCTGACAGCCTGTCCTGCCTGGCATTTGGGAATCCTGGCTGCAGGGGTCAGCAAAGCAGGACAGGCACATCTCTGTCTCTGAGAAACTGGCAGTGTGAAAGGATGTGAGAAAGATGGACCCAAATCAGAACCATCGCTTGGAACAAGGCGATAAAAATGGCCCTGTGCCTCTACCATGGTGTGGTGCTGGGGCTGGGCTACGTGCTTTCCAGACGTTGCATCTGTGGCTTCCGTTTTAC
This sequence comes from Homo sapiens, assembly GCF_000001405.40. NCBI lineage: Eukaryota > Metazoa > Chordata > Mammalia > Primates > Hominidae > Homo > Homo sapiens. Next base: position 69,928,031 of record NC_000011.10, on the reverse strand, counting down.
AGATGGGGAGACTGAGGCTCCTGAAGTTTAGTCATTCAACCCAGTAACCCACAGCGGTGGAGCTGAGTGTGAGTCCAGAAGTCCCTGGAGGTCCCGTGTCCTGAGCTTAGGATACTGATGCTAGGATTTGCCGAAGGAGGGGCTGACGTCGAAGGCTTGGCCGTCCGTGCCTCTCTCCTAACATACCTGTACGCGTAGGTTACCTGCCCGAGCCGAGGAGCCAGATGCCCCACACAGGTCCTCCTGAGAGGCCCTGCTGATCCCAGATGCAGTTTTCTAAAACATGGAAGTGGAATTCACGTGACAAAATTAATCAGTTTACAGTGCACAGTTCCACGGCACTCAGCACATCCACAGTGCTGTGCAAACACCACCTCTATCTAAGTTCCAAAACATCTTCACCACCCTAAAGGAAACCCCTTCCCGATCAAGTAATCACTTCCCATCCCACCCCTTAACCCCACACACTGACAACCAACACTGTGAGTCCTGTCTCTGTGGATTTGCCTGTTCTGGACTTTTTTTTTTTCTTTTTTTCTGTTTCTGAGATGGAGTCTCACTCTGTCACCCAGTCTGGAGTGCAATGATGCAATCTTGCCTCATTGCAACCTCCACCTCCTGAGTTCAAGCAATTCTCCTGCCTCAGCCTCCCAAGTAGCTGGGAATACAGGCATGTGCCACCATGCCCGGCTAATTTTTGTATTTTTTTTAGTAGAGACGGGGTTTCACCATGTTGGTCAGGCTGGTCTCAAACTCCTGACCTCGTGATCCACCCATCTGGGCCTCCCAAAATGCTGAGATTACAGGCGTGAGCCACCTCGCCCGGCCTCTTTTTTTTTCTTTTTTTGAGATGGAGTCTCGCTCTGTCACCCAGGCTGGAGTGCAGTGGCATGATCTCGGTTTACTGCAACCTCCACATCCCAGGTTCAAGTGATTCTCCTGCCTCAGCCTCCTGAGTAGCTGGGATTACAGGCACGTGCCACCATGCCCGGCTAATTTTTTGTACATTTCATACAAATGAAAGCATGCAATATGTGGCGTTTTGTGTCTGGCTCCTTTCTGCACACTAGTTCCAGGGGCATCCATCGTACAGCAGCTATCAGGGCTTCATTCCTTTTCGTAGTTTCCCACATACACTCTCTACAGAGTGGGAAGCCACACTGAGAGGACACCTCTTAGTGGGGAGTGAAGACTCTGCAGCCTGAATGCTGGCCCCCGGGAAGGGACCTCGGCTTTCCTTAGGACTTCTCTTCTGCGGTCCTGCGTCTACTCTCCTGCGTCCTCCTGCCCGCCCCCAGGTGAGTATTGGGCACAGGAAACCACAAATGTATCTCGGATGTTGAGGACGGACAGAAGCAGCAAATGGATCACTGCAAGCCGCAAGCTGGGGCTCCATCTCCTTCCTCCCCTCCAGCCCCAGGAGTCAGTGCAGATGCCAGCAATTTGGCTTTTTATAAATAGCTTTGTTTGGACTTTGTTTGAGAGTACTGCCGGGGTGGACTGCTCCAGGCTCCGGTTATCCTTAAGACCAATTTCCTCCTGAAACAGCCCTGGGGCTGGGCAGTGATGCTTGTCTTATGTGGGGTGACCATCTTCCCACCAGCCAGAGGATGCAGATTTCAACCAAAGCCTGTCCATGTTCCTGGGGAGCAGGAAGGCTAAAGATGGGGCTAGGTCCTGACTTCCAGAAAAAGGGGCTGGCACCATATCTTTGCACCCCATGGGAGTGAACAGGCCGCCCCCTCTCCTGCCTTTGGCTCCTTCCCTCCTAGAAACCAGCTTGTGGTGGGAGGTCCTTAAATCCCACAGCCCTGGGAAGAGCAGGAGGCCATAGCTACATCCCCCAGTTCATTCTGTGTCTTCATGTATTTTGATAGTTGTGGGGGCCCTGGGATGAGATAAGCAGCATTCTGGTGCTGGAGGACAGGCCGGGATTGTGGGAATTCCAACGTGGGCGCATCTCCCCACGGCTGCCTTTCTCCTGCCTTTGATGGCCACAGGCTCCAACCAGCCATGAGGTGTGACCTGCCCCCCCACAACCCCACTGATGGCAGGAGGAAGCCATTTATCATCACAGAGAGATCTGGCTGCTAGTGTGTTTATCTGGAGGAAGGAAATGAACTCTTTTCATCTCCTCGAACCGGCGTCTGGCCCGCTATGCTGTCCGATCTGTCAGCCCGGGGAATTTTAAATAACGCGTTCCACATTTGTCGGTACCTGTTTTGTGTCTGTCTCGGAGCTCTCTGTTCATTGCTCCCTGGGTGTCACGCTTTATTGCTGCTTCCTCCTTCAGATAAACTCTGTCATAAGTTTATTTTTTCTCAGAGCCGAGTCTAGAAATCTGTCCCAGAGCCATGGGCCGGTGAGGCAAAGCTCCCTTCTCAGGCTGGCACATCTGGAGTGGGCTCCCCAGGACACCTGGGGGCACATGACGATGCTGTCTGGGATGCCTGCTGTGGTCTGGGAGGCCGCTGTCTTGCACGGTCGGGGATGACTCCATTGCTTTTCAGGATATCTAAGTCAGGGGACAAGTAGTGAAAAAAAATCCCACACTGTGCAGCTGGCAGGGAAATTGCTGGAGTATGACTGAACAAACGCAGCAGCCAGTGCCAGTCTGGATACTTCTGGCCAAAAGGGTCATTCAGATGAGAGTATCTCCTGAATTAGTAATCATGGCAATTGTACCTCCAGCATCTTCCAGATGAGGTGATCAGGAGTGAGACCAGAGGGGGAATTACCCTCCATGCATCCACACATCCACCCACTTAAATCATCCATCCATCCATCCATCCATCCATCCATCCATCCATCCATCCATTCATCCATCCATCCATCCATCCATCCACTTATCCATCCATCCATCCATTCATCCATCCATTCATCCATCTATCTACCCATCCATCCACCCACCCACCCACCCATCCATCCACCTACTCAACCATACATCCACCCTCCCATCCTACCATCCTCCCATTCATCCATCCATCCACCCACCCTTATATCCACCTACCTGCCCATATATTCTTCCATCCAACCATCCATCTATCCACCTATTCATCTATCTACCCATCCATCCACTCACCAACCCACCCATTTATCCATTCACCCACCCATCTATCCATCCATCCATCCATCCATCCACCTATCCATCCATTCATCTACCCATCTATCCACCCATTCATTCATACAACCATCCACTCATCCATCCATCAATTCATTAAAGATTTACTGCAGCCCAGCATGTACCAGACCCTTTGGGTCTCATTTGGGTACCAGACCCTTTTGGGTCTGCTGCTGTGGACCCAATGACAAGAAGGACAGACTCTGCCAACAGTGGGGCTGACAGAAGGCGAGGGGAGCATTGAGAAATTGCAGGTGTGGAACATGAAGAAGGAGAAGCAGAGGGAGCATGTGACAGGGAATTGGGAGACCCTCTCTGAGGAAGTGACATGCAAGCTGAGAATGAAGGATGGGGCAGTGTCGGCAAAGCCTATAACAGGTGGGGTGGGAAATCTCAGGCAGAGGAAGGAAGCAGGTCTGTGAGTCTGGAGTATGGGAGGAGCAGAGGGGCATTCTGGCCCACTGGAGCAGAGCTCTGAGCTTAGCATGTGGTGTTGGGAGGCCAGGAAGTTCAGCAGGCTGGGATGGAGGGTCTCATGGGCTCTACTGAAGGCAGGAGCTGGACACATCTCCATCCCTCCCAGCTTGGTCCTCTTCCCTCTGCCTACCCCCCATGCCAGGAGCTGGCCTTGTGGCTGCAGGTGTCGGTGAGGGGCTGGGTGATGAAACGTGGTCCCAGGGGGAGCCATGAGGAGGGATGGTGCTTGCCTCTCACTTTCCTCTCCCCAAGCCAGTTGCCCGCTGCCGAGCCCCAGACAATCTCTTCTGTTGCTGCCGGACAGGCCTGCTTGGCTGCCCTGTGGAAACCTCCAACCCAAGGTGGCTAGAGCCAGTGTGGCCTCATCCTCCAGCTGCCTGCTGTCCACACCAACCTGGGGCATGGCACAGGGGCATAAGAAGGGGCCTCTCCTGGATCTGCTTGGATTCACTGAGGGCGTGAGAAAAAGAGGGCAATGGTGAACCGCAGATTCTCGGTTGCAGCCACTGATGGCCCAAGCTTCAGTCCTCAGGAAGGGAGACAGTCAGGGGCAGCTCTGGCAGGGACCTCAGGGCTCCGTATCAGGGGGCTGGGCTGGAGAGGCCTCTGAGGCATCCAGACGGAGCTGTGGAGTAGACACTGGAGGCTGGGCCGGTGATCAGGGGAGAGGGTAGAGTTATGAGTTTGGAGACCATGAAGGTCTAGACGTGTTCAACCCACAGGACCCATGAGTCCACCTAGAGAGGGCCTGTTGGAGGAGGGAAATCTGAGGCCCGGAGCAGTTGGAGAGAAAGGGAGATCAGGAGGGTGTGGGTTTCCCGAATCCAGACCCATCCTGCTGGAGCATGAGCCTGGTCAGTTCAGCGTCTCCATGGAACCTGTATTCTGAACTCAAATCTTTCCTCCCTGTCCTAGCTCCAGCTGCATTTCATGAACCCAGATCTGGCATATTCCTCTGCTGGGGCCGCATCATCCCAGGAATAAGTCAAAACTCTGCCTTTGGGGACCTTCGCAGCTGGGCTGCTGGTGATCCCTTCAGTCATTTAATGTCCCTGCCTCCTCCCTCACGGGTTCCATCCAGCCACGCAGAGCCCTCCCAGTGACTCAAACATGCATTTCCAGACCCACCACCCGCCAGTGACTGGAGCAGGTCACGCTCTGCCTCACAACCCTATGCTGTTCCCACTGTGCACAATGTTCTTCCCTGCATTCTTCCCCTGGCACACTCCACTGCATCCTTCATGGCCCCTTTGTGTTGATCCATCTGGTTCTCAGGCAGTATAGCAAAGAGTGAAGGGTGCAAACTCTGGAGCCAGACTGCATTCTAGGACTCCTGCAACTAAGTCCCATCCATAGAGGGGCGCAAACCACAGAAACACACGCACACTCAGCGCTGGAAGCTGAGGGCCCAGGATTCGGGTGGAGGCAGGGTCAGTGTCCAGCAGCTCTGCGGGCTTCTGCAGGCTCCTTGGCCTGCCGCAGTAGAACCCTAGTCTCCCTGCCATGTTCGCCTGTGTACATGCCTGCAGTTCCCCCTTCTAGAAGAAGAACCCCAGACAGATCGGATCAGGGGCCACCCTGCTCCCTCATCTTCACTAATCACATCCGCAACGCTCCTGTGTCCCAACAGGGTCACGTTCTGAGTCCTGGCGTTAGGACTTCAGCATATGAACATGGGGCTTGGGTGGGTGAAATTCAGCCTGTAACACCTGCCCAGCCTAAATTCCCACAGAGCACCCCCAGGACCTCCGTCCTCCTCAGCACTTGCTAGTGTGGGGCAAGGGGAGCTGGGTCCCAGCTGGAGGAACCCTAGCTCCTGTGGGTTTCCTTCCCGCTTGCCCGGCATTGAAGGCCAGTGGGCTTCAAAGGCCCGCCCAGAACACCCAGCTCCACCCCTGACCCACCTCGTGGCCTCCCCCAGGCCATTCCCAGCAGCCCCACTCCCCTGGGCCTTCCTGGTGTCCCCAGTTCCCAGAACCAACCCAAGGACGCTGTTCCGGGAATGGGCTTCCTGGGACACTCACTGCCCTGCTCCTTCTCACCTCTTCCAACCCCTGCCTGCTGCAGCCTGGAAGCTCTGAGGGGCCAGCCCTGCTGGAGCTGTGCCCTGGGCTCCCCCCGCTGGCCTGAGATCCCCACTCCTTAGCCACGTAGAGAAAGTGGGGAGGGGTATGGTGACAGCGGGAGGTGCCTGAGTCCCTGGAAGGGGCAGCTGCGGAGCCACCCATCATGAGTCACTTTCCCATCTTCTCCTAAAGGCACATACCCCACGCCGACCCCGCAGACAGCAGGGCCCCACTTTCCGCACCCCATGATCCAGAAGGCGTGGCTCAAGCCGAGTCCTGCCCTGGGCGGGTGTAGAGATGCCAACACCCACTTCACACCATCCCTGCCTGCTCCCCAGTCCCGGGGCACACCCCGAACTTTCCAGCCTCCAGGCCTTGTCTGTGCTGGGCCCCTCACTACCCAGAAACGCACTGTCTCTTCCTCCCATAGCTGAAATCCAGCCACCAGGGAGCCCCAGGGTCCTCGTGCCGCCAGCCCTGAACCTTGATTTTCATTTTTCTTGTCTCCCAGTTGGACTGTGAAGCCAGCGAGAGCATGGGGGCCTGGCTGTCCTGCCCCAGCCTTCCTCGGGGTGTCCTGGCTCTGTCCCGTGAGCTGCGTGACACAGGCCCACCCACAAGTGGCGTGACGCAGGCCCAGAGCCACAGGCTGGACAGCTCCACTCCCCAGGACTCACGCCGTGGATGTCACGAAGCTTCACTTGTCTCCACAGAATAAAATCCAGCCCGAGGTCTGGTTCCTCCTGGGGTTCAAGGGACATCCAATCTCTCCCCAGCAGGGGATCAAAGGCCTTGGGTAGGGTTTTTTAACCTGTGGTGCTCTCGGCAGGATGCCCAGAGCCTCCCCCTTGGTCCTGCTGCCTCTCGGTGACTCCCGGTGGCCCCCTCCGGAGAGGCCACAGCCCTTTACCCTCCTCCTTCTCTTGGGACACCCCCTTTCCCAGGCTGAGCCCAGCCTCTCTGGGTCACCCCAGCTTTATTTCTTGTAGGGCAAGCAGATCATTTTATTTTTGACCGAAGGGCTCCTGAAAAGCCAGGATGCCATGAGCAGCCAGGACTTGGCCCTCCCCACCTTCCTAGGGGTGGCAGGGGGTTGGTGTCTCACTGATTACCCGACCTGACCCTAACCTCATGTATTGGAGTGAACAGTGAGTAGGAACTTCAGAGGCAGCTCCGAGTCCTCAGAACACCCTCAGGGAGGCTGTCCTGCCACACTGCACCTTGAGAAGTCTGGAGCCCTGAGTGGCCCGGCCTGCCTGTGTCATGCTGCTGATGGGCAGAGCCAGGGAGCAGCCCCAAACCCCAGCCCAGGCCCTCGCTGAGGAGCACCGGGCTCCCAGGGACTCATCTGAGGGCTGTCCCCAAGCAGAAGGCAGCTTGGGCACTGATAGCCTCTGACAGCCTCCCCCACCCTCCTGCACCTGTGGCTGCTGCAGGCCGCGGTGGGCCCCGCTCCTGGGGCAGCAGGAGGACCCCACCTGGTACCCGCCACATTACCCTATTGATGCCACAGGGCTTCGAATTCATGTCCCCCCGCCCCATGGCTGCAGGTTGGGGCTTCGGAGCTCAGTGGTTGCAGGCCCTGTGTGGCCACATCTACACTGAGGCTGCAGCACTGGGGCAGGGGCAGGTGCACAGACGTTTGTGGGAGGTGGGATCAGGCAATGCCACCCCGTCCATGCAGCTGGTGCATCCCCTGCAGCCCCAGCAGCTGAGGAAAATGTCGAGAAAGGACCTGGACCTCCTGGGGGACTGGCACACGCCAGCTGGAACCACTGAAGAAGCCCCATGGAAGCCGGCTGGGGAGAGGAGGTGGACCTGAGGGAGGACTCACCCCAGGAGGGAGGACTCAGCCTGAAAAGGGAGGACTCACCCAGAAGCGGGAGGGCTTACCCCAGGAGGGAAACTCACCTCAGGAGGGGAACTCACCCTAAGGAGGGGGACTCACCCAGAGGAGGGGGAACTCATCTAGAGGGGGGGGCACTCACCCAGGAGGGGAACTCACCCTGAGGAGGCAGGACTCACCTCAGGAGGGGAACTCACCCAGAGAAGGGAGGACTCACCTCAGGAGGGGAACTCACCCTGAGGAGGGGGAACTCACCCAGAGGTGAGAGGACTCACCCCAGGAGGGGAACTCCGGGTTGAGGAAGGAGGGGTCACCCTAGGAGGGGGAACTCACCCTGAGGAGGACTCACCCTGAGAAGGATGGACTTACCTCAGGAGGGAGGACGCATCCCAGGAGGGGGACTCACCCAGAGGAGGCAGGACTCACTCTAGGAGGGGAACTCACCGTGAGAAGGGAGCATTCACCCAAGGAGGGGGAACTCACCCTGAGGAGGACTCACCCTGAGGAGGGGGAACTCACTCAGAGGCAGGAGGACTAACCCCAGGAGGGAAACTCACCCTGAGGAGAGAGGACTCACCCTGAGAAGGGAGGACTTACCTCAGGAAGGAGGACTCACCCCAGGAGGGGAACTCACCCCAAGGAGGAAGGACTCACCCTGAGGAGGGAGGACTCACTCCAGGCAAGAGCTGGATGGCTGGTGACAGGCCCTGGAGCCAGCAGGGAGGGGCAGCTTTCCTGGGAGCTTGGTGACAAAACAGAGGACTATTCCCAAGAGCCCTGGAGGAGTGTGTACCTGTCTGTGTGTATGCATGTGTGGTGGAGTGTGTGCATGTGGGTGTCTGTGAACTGGTGTGTAAGAGTGTTCCCATTGCACTCATGTTCATGTGAGGACACATTGCACTTATGTGCATGTGAGCAGTAGTGTGTGCCTGTGTGCGTGTATACACGAGTGTGCGGGCACGTGTGTTACTTTGTGCCTGTGTGAGCTGCAGGGAAAGGCGCCTGTGAGTGAAGTGAAGGAGCCCTGGGGCCGAACATAGCACTGGGACTTGGTCACCCCAAGGTGGTGGCACCTCTGGGTCCCTCTCTGCGGGGAGGAAGCATGGGAACCGGGGGGTGGGAGCCGGCCCAGGAGGCCAAGATAGAGTGGCAGGGGAGGAGGGATGCCAAGATGGCCAGCCAGGGAAGAGGGGCGTGAAAGGAGGTGGGCACAGACTCGAGGCCACTGCTCGCTCCAGGGGCTCACAGGAGTTCGCGGTGGGGCCACTCAGATGTCCTTGGCCTGACCCAGGCTGAGAGGTCCGTCCCTCAGGGCCAGGGTTTCGTGACGCCGAGTTAATCCCAGGAGCCCACTCTTCCTTAGGTTTGTAAGAACAAGGAAGTGGGGCCTGGGAGGGCCAGGCAGGCTTTCTCGGCACCCCGTTCCCCATGAACCCGGAGCTCTGTCCTTTGGGGAGCAGCCCCCGCGGGACTCCCAGGAAGGCTCGGCCGGGAGAGGCGATGCTGCCCCCTGGCGGCGGGCCTGGCCCTGTCCCGCTTAGTGGAGTGACTGCCGCGTCTCTCACATTTTCTGTTGCGCAACTTTGCAGCAAGACCCCGGCGAGCTGAAATAGACGGTGCATTATATGCGAAGCCTTCCGGGCGCGAGCTGCCTGATCCCCCGGCCTCGCCTGAGGAGGCTTCTCCATGTGCAGGGGACATTGCTACATTTCATCCCCCACTCCCTCTAAGGCAGGGGCCGTCCGGACGTTTAGAGTGAGGACCCCGTTTCTCAGACTGGTCCTGGTCGCTCTGCCCGTGGATGCCAGAATCCAGATGTGAACCCCAATCTCTCCGCCTGACCCTACAGCCCAACTCTTCACATTGTATCGAGGGCGACAGAGGCTTCCAGGGGGAAAGGCCGTGTCAAACGCCCAGCACCGCAGGGTCACCCTGCCCCTAAGGCACAGTCCCTGGTGGTCCAAGGCCCTGGGGCATCCGGAGCCCGGGCAGACGTCCTCACGGGGTGGGGGTGGGGCGTGCTGAGGGCACCCAGGAAAGGGCCTGGCGTCTGGGACGTCTGGGCTGAGTCTTGGCTCTCCGCTGGGTGGCTGTGTTCCTCTGGCCGAGCGCCGTGGCCTTGCTGAGGCTCTGGGCCGGAGAGCTAAATGCCACGGCCTACCTGGCACCAAGGCTGGCTAGACGCTCCCGCGAGGGTCAGGCTCCTGCTGCAGCCAGTGCTCCCTGCTACAACAAATCCCAGGGGCACCCACTGTGTACCAGGTCGGTGGTCAACCAAATAATGGAACCCCCCACCAGTAATGGAATCCCCCACATCTTAGTGCCCAGGACCTATGAACATGTTCCCTTCCGTGGCCAAAGACATTCTACCGATGTCACGGAGCAAGGATTCTGAGGTGGAGATGATCCCAGACGGTCGTGGGTAACCTCCAGCTTCCTGTAAGAGGGAGGCAGGAGGGAGTCACAGAAAAGATGTGACAAGAAGAAGCGGGGGGGGGGGGGAGAAAGAGAGGAATAGAGGAGAGAGGGAGAGAGAGAGAAGAGAAGGGGGAGAGAGGGAGAGAGAGGGATAGAGGAGAGAGGGAGAGAGAGGGATAGAGGAGAGAGGGAGAGAGAGGGATAGAGGAGAGAGGGAGAGAGAGAAGAGAGGGGGAAGAGAGAGAGGGAGAGAGAGAGGAGAGAGGGAGAGAGAGAGGAGAGAGGGAGAGAGAGAGAGGGAGAGAGAGAAAGAGGAGAGAGGGAGAAAGAGAAAACAGAGAGAGGGAGATAGAGAAGAGAGGCAGAGAAGAGAGAGAGGGAGAGAGAGAAGAGAGGAGAGAGAGGGAGAGAGTGAGAGGAGAGAGGGAGAGGAGAGAGGGAGAGAGAGAAGAGAGGGAGAGACGGGGGAGAGAGAGAGGGAAACGGAGAGAGAGAGGAGAGAGGGAGAGAGAAGAGAAGAGAGAAGGGGAGGGGGCCAGAGAGGGAGAGAGAGAGGAGAGAGGGAGAGAGAGAGAGAGGAGAGAGGGAGAGAGAGGGAGAGGAGAGAGGGAGAGAGAGAGAAATAGAGAGGAGAAAGGGAGAGAGAGGAGGGAGAAGAGAGTGGGAGAGAGAAGAGAAGAGAGAGAAAGAGAGGAGGGGAGAGGGGGAGAGAGAGAGAAGCGGGGGAGAAGAGAAGAGAGGGAGAGAGAGAGAGGGAGGGGAGAGGGAGAGAGAGAGAAGAGAGGGAGAGAGAGAGGGAGAGGAGAAAGAGGAGAGGGAGGGAGAGAGGGAGAGGAGAGAGAGAGGAGAGAGGGAGAGGAGAGAGAGAGAAGAGAGGGAGAGAGAAAAAGAGAGAGGGAGAGAGTGAAGAGAGAGGGAGAGAGGCAGGGCGGAGCAGGGCAGGGCCAGGGCATGGCTCAGGAGAGAGAGGGAGAGGAGAGAAGGAGAGAGAGAGAGAGAGGGAGGGGAGAGAGGGAGAGATAGAAGAGAGGGAGAGAGGGAGAGGGAGAGAGAGGAAAATCTTCCCAGGAGGGGCAGTGCTGCTGACTTTGAAGATGGAGGAAGGGGCCACAAGCCAAGGAGCACAAGCTGCCTCTGGAAGCTGGAAAAGACAAGGCTTGGGTTCTCCTAGACTCTCCAGGAGAAATGTAGCCCTGCAGACACCTTGATTCTAGACTAGTGGCATTCCTTTTTTCTTCTTTTTTTTCTTTTTCTTTTTTTGAGACAGAGTCTTGCTCTGTCACCAGGGCTGGGGTGCTGTGGTGTAATCTCAGCTCACTGCAATCTCTGCCTACCAGGTTCAAGTGATTCTCCTGCCTCAGCCTCCTGAGCAGCTGGGATTACAGGTGCCAGCCACCATGCCCAGCCAATTTTTTGTATTTTTAGTAGAGACGGGTTTCACCATGTTGGCCAGGCTGGTCTTGAACTCTTGACCTCGTGATCCACCTGCCTTGGCCTCCCAAAGTGGTGGGATTACAGGCGTGAGCCACTGCACCTGGCTGAGATGAGGTTTTGCCATGTTTGCCAGGCTGGTCTTGAGCTCCTGACCTCAAGTGACCTGCCTGCCTCGGCCTCCCAAAGTGCAAGGATTACAGGTGTGAGCCACCATGCCCGGCTGATGAGCGGCATTTCTGACTTCCAGAACTGTCAGGAGAATCCACTTGTGCCATTTCCAGCCTGTAAGTTTGCAGGCATTGATTGCAGCAGCCGTTGGAAACAAACACATATCCCGTTCTAGGAAGGGATTCTGTGCCTTCTCAGTGAAAGAGGTCCCTTGGGACTGTTTCCTGTACTCCCAATGCCCGGAAGGTGGACTCCAGCCTCACTCTGCCCAGACCCCAAAGCTGGGGGAAAGAGGGGAGGGGGCCAGCTGGAGGCCTCTGGATGCCTTTCGGGGGGAAGTTGAAGGAGCCAGCGTTCTCCCAGGGGAAGCGAGGCAGCTGTGCCTGCTCCTGGCTGCCTGAGGACAAGGCGGAGGCTGGGGCTGGGGTCTTAGGGAGAGCGCTCCCCCATTCCCTGAGCCATGCCCCGGCCCTGCCCTGCTCCTCCCTGCTGGAGCCTGCCAAGAGTGACCCAGCCGGAAATCATAGAACATTCTTTTGGGATACGTTTTCTCCTATTTTTAAACTGTTGCTTTATTTTCTCATAATTTGTTGAATGTTTAACTTCAACATCAGAGGTGAAAAGGGGCCAGGAGCGAGGACACTGACCCGTCTGTCCTGCCCTCCCCACCCCCACCTCACTGGAAGCCTGGCTCAGAACACTCTTAGTCCCACTCTATAGGGGGTGGAGGGGTGCAGGGAGACACTGAGGCTTGGGGCGGAAGTGACTTGGCCCCCATCACTCCACTGCTGAAGCGGCAGGGGCTGGATCCTGGATCCAAGCCCAGGTCCCCGAAGCCACGTCCGGCTTTTCCCGGTGACACTGTGCTGCCCCCTAGAGGCGGTTGCTTTTCCAGAAAGTGCTAAGTGGACCTGAGCTGCAGGGCTCCCAGGGCAACCATGCCCTGCAGCCCCTGTGGTCAGCCCTAGGGCTCCAGCAGACCCCACGGGTCAATTGGGAATAAGTTTGCACCATGTGGAACACAGCCAGTCACAATGCGGGGCGACAGGGAAGAGCCAGCATCCCGTCCGTGGGGCAGGGTGAAAGCCCAGGAGACTGGGAACGAGGCTGTGATTCACTTCAACGAGGGGCCTTAAAAATATAGCAATGAGTGTCTAGTGCCTTGTTTGTTCAATGAATGTACTGAGTCCTGCTATGTCCAAAGGATGACTCAGACAACTTCTGGGGAGCATCCTGGGGTCCATGCCTCAGACCAACCTCTTACACCACCTCCACCTTCCTTCAACTTCTTTCCTCTTTGCTTTGGCTGCTAGGAAGCTCCCACCCAGTTTGTGTAAGTGAGGTCCAAAGCCTCTCCCCTTGGGCCCTGGAGGATGCCCTGTTCTGCTTTGGGCTTCTCTTTTGGGCTTCCTAGTACACTGCCTGTGCCTCCCAGCAGGCAGCAAGGAGCAGGGCAAGGGGAAGTCATGGTTGAGAAGCAGTCTCGGGGGCAGGGGGGTCCCGGGTTGGGTCCCAAGATGGAGGGCCCCCCCCCCACAGGCCACTTCTTGGCACCCGTGATTACCCACCTGGGCCTCCTGGTACCTCCAGGAGCCTGCTCCAGAGTCTGTCAAGGACACACAGATAAGATCTTGCCAGATAAGGATCCATTGACCCCGGGCATGGAAGGAGACAGCAGGGCCTCGAGCTTAACCACATCCTCCTGGCATCAGACCCACCTGGGAACAAAAATACCAGGTGTGGGTGGGTGTGGAGCCTCCGGAGACACTTCCCAGCCTGGCACAGCCCAGCCAGGACACCTCTCAAAGGTGAGGAGGAACAGGAAATTCCAAACCCGTCCCCACCCCGGAGTCAGCCTTTGAGTCCTTGCACCTTCAGCCGCAGCCTGACCTTCTGGGCCCTCAGTTTCTCCCCCTGTAAAGCAGAACCACAGCAAGCCCCCCACACAGGGGTGGAGAGGCTTAGGCGAGAGGGCCGTGGAGGTGCCGCGGAAACTGGAGGTGCTGCGCTGTCGGTGAAGGCCCTGGCCTCTTCTCCCAGGACTCTGCTAGAGAGAGCCGGCCCTCCTTAAGATGCCCAGCCCCCTCCCTGGCTGCAGCCTTCTGGGGCCTAGACAGGTAGAGGGAAGACAAGGCGCTGGCTCCAGCAGCTCCCAGTGCTGCCCAAGGGCTCCTGAGCTCGGCTGAGGGGCTCCACCTATTTTAGCCTGAGACCCTGTGTTCCCAGTGAGAGCCTTGGGGCTGCAGGGCTGGGCCCAGCCTGGACGCTGCTCCCTGCTTCTGGCCAGGGAGAGCCTGATGGTCACAGAGAGGTGGGTCTCAGAGTTTCTACAGGGTGGACCCCCGGAGTGTGGGTGCCTTATCATCTCCTGTCCCCACAACCCCCTCCCTGGCAACGTCATGCTCCAAAGGGCTTATTTCCCATCGGTGGATCTGGCTTCAGATCCAAGGAGGAGCCTGGGGGAGCCCAGGCCTGGGTCCCAGCCACACCTGCCCCATCATGTTGGCCCATGTTCCCACTTAGGTGGGAGATCATAAAAACTAGGGTCCCTGGGGGTCAGCCCCAAAGAGTCCCATTTGGCAGGGGTGGGGTGGGGCAGGACTGTGGGGCCGTAAGGAGGAGGGACTCAGGGAGGCTCCTGCCTTCTCTGCCTAGCCCAGTACCTGGGCACTCAGGGGCGGTGGGCCGTCACCATCTGCCCAGTGAACCGATGATGCTACTGGCTATCCCACGGCCCCTGGGGAGTCCCTGCCCCAGAGATGGGGCTCTTGGGGGTCCTCGAGTCCCAAGTGGGAGTCTCGGGCAGCAGTTGGCCCACAATTCAGGCACTGCAACAGGGCCCGGGATCTGGGTTCCAGCCTGGCTCCTGGCAAGTGCCCCCCAGGTGCAGAACCTCTGGGACATAACAGAGATGTAAATAGACAACTAACAAGATAGCTGAGATTGTTTCTTTATCCAGACATTGGGGATAGGAAAGCCTGAGGTTTACCTCCTGGCAGGAAGCAAGAGGTTGGGGTGGAGTCCCAGGGACCTGCTGGGTTTCTTAGAGGGGTCCCTTTCTAGCCCCGAGATGCAGGATCTGGGATCTCACCCCGAAAGGTGTGACTTGGGGCTTCTGTGAGGGCAGGAGCAGGGCCCAGCTGGCAGCAAGATGGCCGGTGGCCCACCCGCTCCCTGCAGTCCCTTGAGCCCACCAGCCGAAGGGGCCACCCAGCAGGGCCCTGGAAGTTGTTATCACTAAGGGAAGGGAGCAGTCACCTCCTCCCAGAGCCCAAATTCAAAGTTTGTGAACCCAGGAGCTGCATCTGAATCAGGTCCTACCACGTGGTGCCTGGGAGTGTGCGCCCCATTGCATGGGCAGCAGATGGCAGTGTGCACCCCGTCTTCTCCTCACAAGCCCTGCCCGGAGGCCAGAGTCCTCCCGGGGGCCACCGGGTTGGTGAGAGCCACAGCGGGTCCCCTAATGCTGCAGCAGCCTCCTCTGGGATTGCCCCGGCCTCGGTTTCCATCATGGGAGGCAGGGAGCTGCTCTCCAGCACAGCACCCTCCTCGGCACAGCACTGCCCTGCTCTAGAGTCCACACCGGCTCCCCCGTGTGCCTTGGTGCCATCCGAGTCCCTCAACGCATAACTCCATTTAGAGACCACATCCGGTTCTCCCTCTGCTGCGTGACCCACTCGTGCACCGGCCTGGGCCCACGGCAGGGCTGTGGCTCGGCCTCTTTCACCTGCCCTGGGCTCACAGCTCTGGACAAACAGGAGATGCTTGATGGAGACAACCAGGGTGGACTTTAGGGTCTTGGGTCTGTGGCCCTGGAATGCCAGCTGGTTTTGGCTCTGGGCCAGGCCTGGGGTCAAGTCAGGTGGACACCAGGGCAAGTGATCCACGCCCCACCTGGGCCCTTGTTCCAGCCAGGGGATGGCTCGGTATGTGCTGCCTCTGCCGCATGTCCACGGAGCGGCTCTCATTCATCGGACATGTACTGAGCGCCAACTGTGTGCCAGGCATCCCTGAGGGTGACCAAGTGCAGGTTCCGTCCTCAGGAGACACTGCCCTACATGGCGTCCTAGCCAGGCCAGCTGGGCCAAGGCCAGGGGACTCAGGGCCAGTGCTGGGGCTGGGACGATGTGGCTCCACATAGTAGGGGATGAGGGGGAAGGGCCAGAGTGGGCCACTGTTAGGTGGGCAGCAGATGGCAATGTGCACACTGTGGCCCCAGCAGGGCCACAGCAGGGAGAGCAGATGTGAAGGTCGCTCCCCCGGCTGGGGTCCGCTGGTCTAACTGCCCACTGGGAGGTCCCACCTGTGTGTCCTCTGGAACCTGAGTTCTGTGTCTTCCCAAAGCGGAACCAGCACCCTCCCTCCAAACCCACTTCACCTTCTGGGCCACCTTCACCCAAGGCCCCCATTCCTTATGGAATATCCTGTTTGTTGTCATCGCCACACGTTTTACTTAATTATCTTGTTAGTTGTCTGTTTACATCTCTATCGCATCCCAGCAGAAGACACTGCCGGCCCCCGCTTCACTGGAGCCAGAAAACTGTGCCTCTCTGCCTGGCCTCCCCCTGCAGGAATGCCAGGTGGGGCATGGGACTCTTGTCCTGGGTCCACCCCCCTCGGCCCCTGGCCTGGCCCAGAGCCAAAACCAGCTGGCATTTCAGGGCCACATCCCCCAACACCCCCACCCTGGGCACTCAACCTCCTAAATCTAAATGCTCGCTTCCCACCATCCCCGCGCCCAGCCCCAGGTCCGGGTGCCAGCACCTCCACTGGAGCTCACGCTGGCCTCCCCATTGGCCTCCCTGGGGCCGATGCATCCTCCCACTGTGGTCAAAGTGAGTCCTGCGAGGCGCGGTGCCTGCAGCTCCCGAGTGAAACCCACCCTTCCTGCTTGGGCCCAGCACTCTGCTCTGCCCTGCTCTCTGGGGCCGCTGCAGCCTCCGCCACCTCCTGTCCCCCCACTTGGGAGGAGAGAATCAGGGATCTCCAGGCTGCCAGCTCTGCTTCAGTCAGGTGTGACCTTCTCTCCCGTCGGCCTCCTCAGTGCTGTCCAGCCGGTGGCGATGTCCCGTCCTTCTGGACCTGCTCCCTCTGGCTCCCCTCCCAGGCACCGTCTGCGGAAGGGGCTGTTTTCAGATTTGGGGAAAACCCCTCATGGCCCCGTGTGCCCTCGCTGCAGACACCCAGTACTGCCGAGCTCAGATCCAGGCGGACCTGCCCGGAGCCTGCGGGCTGGCTCACGCAGCACACGCTGCTTCTGACCTCTCAGGGGAAGGGAAGGAGTGGCCCCTGGTGGCTTCTGCTGGCCAGGGGGAAGGACAGACCTGGGAGGGAGGTTCAGGATCCCAAGTGAATGTGCATGGCACGTCAGCATTCCTGGCCGAGTGGTCTTGAGGTGTCCTGGGGAGGGGACTCATAAGGCCCTGTCCTCATCATGTCTGCTGCCCAAACGTCATTTTTAGGAGGTGCCTCCCACCCAAATCTTCCGTCCGGGAGAAGGAATGAGTGGCCTCCCCAAGCTCATGTCCCTTGACACCACGCAAGCCAGGGCTGGCAGAAGGATTGCAGGTGAGGGACTGTCCCTTTCTCTGCCAAGGTTGGGGGAGCTGCTCTCCTGACTGCCTCAGTGACAATGATTCTACTTCCCTTACCAGGAGGGATCAGAGAGGTAAAGGACCCTGTCAGGAGGGAGACAGTGGCAGAGAGGTAAAGGACCCGGTCGGGAGAAAGTGGCCTCTCCTGGGACTGGTCAAGACTCCCAGGGGTGGGGAAGGACCCAACCCTATGGAAGGTGTCTTTGCTGGAGTCCTGCTAGGATGGGCCTGTGGTTAGACACTGACCCCCACCCTCCGTCCCACCACAAGCTCCACTGGGCCAGGGCTTCTCAGTGACCGTCAGCACCCACACTGAGGATGTCTTGTGGGCCCATGTCTGGTGGACACCCAGCCCTCACTGTGTCACCGTAAGAGTCCTGAGCTTCAGCCTCCTTGTCAGTAAACGAGGGCACAGCACCCGCTCCACAGAGCTGGAGGGGAAGACGTGGGCCCGTGGGACTTCCTGGCAACATTGAGGGGCCTGTCCCGGGCCTCAGGAGCACTTGGGGATCCCCAGGACCCCTCGGCTGGGACTGCTGCTGAGGTCTCACCCCCACCTACTTATGATAGTCACAGCCCACCTTAAAATAGAAATTAAAGCCAGAGAGGGTGTCCCCTGGAGAGGGGTCGAGGTCCCCAGGGCCATGCGCCCTCTGCTGGCCATCATGTCATTGTGGAGACTTTCAGGCCCTTTGGGTGGGGGCCTGTTGCAGGGACCCCGGGGTGTGGGGAGTGGGCAAGAGGAGGGCGGCAGCCCCTAACAGAAGGGCCATGGCCCCTGGGGACCGAGCAGAAGCTCTTAGTTCAGGGCAGGCTGGGCCACCATGCCTGGCCACACTGTGTGAGTGGGAGGGCGAGAGGCTCCTGTGGGAGGGACTGTGGGGAGCCACGGCCTCATCCTGGGGCCAGGGGATGTGGGCGGGCACTGACTCTCCCGAAACCTCGGTGGATCTCCCTACAGGCTTCCAGACAGCCCTGGTTGGCTCCAGGAGGAGCCCAGATGTGGGGATCGACTCCAGCTCCCAGGGCCCTGGCTGCTCCGGGAAGTGTTTCCTCAGTGTTCACAGCCATGGCTGGCCAGGTCTTCCTGCCAGTCCTGGGTCCCGGCCCTGTCTGGCTGGAGGGAGAGCAGAACAGGCCACCTGCTGTGCACATCTGTGCGCTCCGTGTCCCTTCCAGGAAGCTGTGCACGCTGGCTCAGAGAAGGGGCCCGTGGTGGGTGGGCGCCTGCTGCTGGCTGAGCCGGCTGAGCACACGTGTGATGGGAGGGTCTGGAGGAGGTCCAGCCAGTCACCCCACAGCCCGCCTTTGGATGGGAGGCTGGGGTCACCCAGCAGCCGCCTCTCTGTTCCCAGACAAAACCTCTTTTAATATTCACCAAGCTCCTCTCCCCCATCTAGGTGCACTGCTGGACAACTGCACCCGGTCCCACTCTGTCACTGACCAGCAGCGTGACGTGGGCAGTGTCTTCATCTCTCGTGCCTCAGTTTCCTCCTCTGTTAGATGGGGGTAGTGCTGCTACCTCCCTCCCTCCTGGAAGGGCGCTGACAAGGGAGCTGAGGTTCAGGAATCTCTCATGGTGACCCAGAGAGGAGCTGGCGTCCAACAGCACGTGTGTCCACTTTTTGTGACACTTACCTGTGCCACTGCAGGTCAGGGGCTTGGCCCCGTGCACAGTAAGTGCTTACAGTTAGCATCATTATTCAGGGTGGACTATGAGTGCTCTGGAGCACTAATTTTGGGCCAGCCCCCGGCGGGGGCGCAGCCATGATTCCTTCCTTGCAACTTCCCCACCGTCTCCGGGGCTAGCCCTATTTTTCAGATGAATAAGTGGCCACCTGGGGAGATGAAGAGACCTGCCCAGGGCTGAGGGATTCCAAAGTCCAGGTCACCCTCGCCTCACCCTGGCACCAGCCTTGGCCACATCAGAGCTGACCAGCATGGTGGCGCTTGCAAGGTGCTGGTTTTCTATAGACCTCGGTTTCCTGCACCTGTAAAACATATTCACCTCACCCAGAGCTGGGTTAAGACTTCACAGACTCAAATTGCTGGGTGCACACCCCCCGTATGAGTTTCCCGTGATGTGTAACGAATGACCACGTGCTTGGTGGCTTAGAACAGAAATCCATTCCCTTGTAGCCTGGGAGCCAGAAGTCTGAGATCACGGTGTCGGCAGGGCCACGCTCCATCCAAGGGTTCTAGGGGAGGGACATTCCTGCCTCTTCCAGCTCCTGGGGCTACAGACGTTTCTTGGCCGTGGCTGAGATGCTCCAGCCTCTGCCTTCTCCTGTGCCCTGTCTCTGTGTCTCTTCTCCTGTTCGCCTATAAGGACACACATCATTGCATTTAGGGCCACCCTAATCCAGACGAATCTCAGCTAGGGATCCTCACCTTCATTACATCTGCAAGATCCTGATTCCAAACAAAGCCAGCTTCTGAGGTTCCAGGGGTTAAGAGGTGGATGTATCTTTTGGGGGATGTAGTTGAACCCACTATACCTCCCATACAAAATTCATGATAAAAATATTGTTACATGATAATGTCAGTTCCGGCTACATTGGTGTTTGTGTGTTTTATGAATTTTTTAAAAAACAACATTTTTTAATACTTCTCATGTTTTGGTGTCCGCCTCTGGGCTTACTGAGCGGCCCTGCAGATCACAGAGTGGGGATGAAGGTGAAACAAGAAAAGGTCTGTATGAGACACACCCCAGTGCCCCACATACGGTATGTGCTCAGCAGTGTTTTAAAGGAAAACCACCTCCCAGGAGCTCCTTGTCAGGGACAGGAGCCCTGAGGGGCATGAATGCTGGGCCCAACCTAAAGTTGAAGCTCTGTGGCCGCTCCCTGCCTCAGTTTCCCCACCCTGAAAGTGTGGTAAGAGTACCTTCTTGGTAGAAAGGATTCTGAGTCTAGGACATGTGAAATGCATAGAATGGTGCCTGGTCCCCCATGCAGGCTCGACGCTGTGTCCCCTCTGGGTTGCAGCCCCAGCATGGACGTCCATCCGCCAACCTGCTCTGGCCTCCATGGAGGCCCAGTGTGCAGCCGCTGGGCCCCACCTCCTTCTTTGCTGCCTCTAGTCTCTGAGCTCCAACTGTGGCCCGAGTGGCTGCAGGGGCCTCCTGCCTGCTTCCTCTGCTTCTGGCCCGCCCCTTCAGTCTACTCTACCCAGCGGTGAATTCATCTCTCAAGCAAGATGCTAGGCACGGCGTGGTGGCTCACACCTGTAATCCCAGCAGTTTGGGAGGCCGAGGTGGGTGAATCATCTGAGCTCAGGAGTTTGAAACCAACCTGGGCAACATGGCAAAAACCCGTCTTTACAAAAAGTGCAAAAAAATTAGCTGGGCATGGTGGTGTGCACCTGTGGTCTCAGCCACTCAGGAGGCTGAGGTGGGAGGAAGGCTTAGCCTGGGAGGTGGAGGTTGCAGTGAGCTGGGATTCCTCCACTGCACTCCAACTTGGGTGACAGAATGTTGTCACCTGTGTGAAAAAAAAAAAAAGCAAGATGCCTAGCCCATAAACCCATCCTGTTTTTCTTGGGCTCAGAATCCCCCAGGCTCCATCCCACTGGCTTCACAGCCAAAGACATACCATGACCAGTTACCTGCCCCTTCCACCTCCTCTCTGGACCTGGTACTGATCCCTCACCTTCTGTCCCTCTGGCCTCCTTGCCATTCTCTGCACACACCAGCTCCTGTCCCAGGGCCTTAGCTCATGCCGTGATTGTGTCTGGA
This sequence comes from Homo sapiens, assembly GCF_000001405.40. NCBI lineage: Eukaryota > Metazoa > Chordata > Mammalia > Primates > Hominidae > Homo > Homo sapiens. The sequence continues at coordinate 69,907,171 of NC_000011.10, read as the reverse complement.
CCCCAGAATCTCCACATCTCACTCTCCCATCTCTTTTGGGTCTTGACTCAGTTGTCGCCTGCCTTGGAGAGGCCTTTCCTAGCCACACGATTGAAAATTGAGTTTCCACCTCCACCCCAGACGTGCCTGTCTCCATTCCCTACTGAACCTTCCTGCTTTGTGTCATCACCATACATTTTACTTATGTGTTAGGTTGGTGCGAAAATAATTGCAGTTTCTGCCATTAAAAGTAATGGCTGTTAAAAGTTTTTGCCATTAAAATGAATGGCAAAACAGTTTTGTCATTAAAAGTAATATCTTGTTTGTTGTCTGTTTAGATCTCTATTGTGTCCCCAGCACACATGCCTGGCACATAGTAGATGCTCAGCAAATATTTGTTGAATGAATGAATCTAATGGTTGCAGCCTGTTTCAAGGACTCTCCCCGCTTGGAAGATGAGAAAGCTGTGACTCAGAGAGGTGCAGTGACCTGCCTGTGGTCACAGGGCAGTAAGTGACAGGACAGGACAGGAGCCAGGCTCTTGGCCTTCAGCTCTGCTCCTTCTGGGAGGTCCTGAGGCCACAAATCCAGAAACTGACCCAGGCTCCCATTATAATCTGATTCTCAAAAGCAGACAGAGCAAACAGACCCCCGGGGGCCCTAGGGAGGAGGTGGAGGTCTTGGCAGCTCACAGGGGCCTGGAGTTAGAAACCGCTCTCCAGACCCCAGGGCTTAACCAGGCACCTGCCGGTTGCCTCACCCTACAAACATCCTGGGGGGAGGGGGAGGGGGAGGGACCAGGCTCCTAAGACCTTCTATGAACTGTGACACATGGGTTGGCCCATGCTGGCTGGCCATGGGACCCTCGACGCTGCCCCCTCCCCTCCTGTGGTTCCCCATGGCCATCCTGCCAGGCGAGGTGGCTGCAAACTTTCTGCTCATGTTACAGGTGAGGAAACTGAGGCTCAGAGGACAGTGGAGGCACAGTGTGAAGATCTGATTCCAGCCTCCCAGCTTCCAGTGCAGGACTTGGCCCACCCTCTCAGGCAGGACCTTAGAGACTGGGCTGGTGAGATCAAAGTGTGTCCGGTGTGGGGCAGATCAAATGGGCAAACAAAAGAAGGTGTGGGGGCCACCTGGGGTTTCCCTCCTGAAGGCTCCTCTTCTGATCACTTCTGGCAAAAGCCCCTTGAGACCACCACAGCCTCCACTCAGGCACCCACCCATGCAAGATACCCACAGCAGCTGCAGAGCCAGGGCTGGCATGGGACCAGCGCTTTAGGAGGAAGGAACCCTGTGCCCCCATGGCCAGGCACCTTCAGAGATCGCTCAGTGCTTCCCTAGAAGGAGCAAACTGCACTCATAAAAGCATAAACCAGTGACTGGCAATGAGAAGCTGTGGGAGATAAGGCGGCCCTGCAGGCCCAGATAAGCCCGCCGTAGCAGCCAGCCCCATTTCTACACGCGTGCTCCAGAACCAGGCCTGGGGTGGAGCAGAGGCCAGCTAGGCTTGCAAAAGATAAGAGGACAGACCCGAGGGCTTTCTGTGCCCACCACTCCCCTAGGGAACAGGGTTGTGGGACGCACAGCAGAAGGTGGTGGGATGGGGGCTGGATGGGGGAGGAGGACCCTTGAACACTGGTGACATTTGCAGTGCTTTCTCCAGGTGGAGGACTCAGCCCAGTGGGCTTTGTATGTATTTTTATTTGTTTTTTCTTGGTAGCCAGTGAAGAAATCACCTCAAACAGACTATGTGCATCTGGCTCACAGCTGAGTGAGTGGCTGGTCTCTGTTGTTCTGTGAGTCTGGTCTCTGCTGGCCTCACTCTGGGGCAGGCACCCTCTCCCCGTCACCCGGTAGGAAGCCTCTGGCTGCTCTAGGCCAGCATCTCCCACCTTTGAGTCCTGCAGAAGGAGAGCAAGTTGCCCCCACGTTTCTGCAAAAGCTCAGGGAGAGAGAGTTCCACACCTCAGGGTCAGGAATGCAGCCTGACCCAGGCCTGCCCAGAGGACACTGTGGGGATGGGGGAGGCCACACCATCCACTGGGACCTGGGGACACTGTGGAAATGGGGAGGCCACACCGTCCACCGGGATCTGGGGACACTGTGGAAATGGGGAGGCCACATCATCCACCAGGAACTGGGGACACTGTGGGGATGGGGGAGGCCACGCTGTCCACTGGGACCTGGGGACACTGTGGAAATGGGGAGGCCACACCATCCACCGGGACCTGGGGACACTGTGGAAATGGGGAGGCCACACCGTCCACCGGGACCTGGGGACACTGTGGAAATGGGGAGGCCACACTATCCACTGGGACTTGGGGACACTGGAAATGGGGAGGCCACACCATCCAGCAGGAAGTGGGGACACTGTGGGGATGGGGGAGGCCACACTGTCCACTGGGACCTGGGGACACTGTGGGAATTGGGGAGATCACACCGTCCACTGGAACCTGGGGACACTGTGTGGATGGGGGGGCCCATACTGCCCACCAGCACCTGGGGAGGGACAGTGGTCTCCATGAAAAATTGGGACGAGGTTGTGGGCAGCACCCTTGGATGCTGAGAGCAGACTCCAGCCAAAGCTACAAAGGTGAGAGATCCCCATGGAAGCCAGAGGCTGTGGGAGCAGCTTGGTGTGGGGAGCGGGGCTGATGTTGCTGCTCCACTGGGACCCCAAGCCCTGGGTTCTAGAGGGTTCTAGAGGGTGCTGGGTCAGTTCTTGCCAGGCAGCATGGGGCAAGGGTCGTGGCTCTGCCTGGTGTGGGTTATCACCCACCATGTCCCGTGTGCGCTTTGTGGTTTGACCATACATCCTGGGAGGAAGCTTCTCAAATCAATATGCCTAGGAAGATTGCCGGCTCCCAGCCCTAGAGATTCAGATGAGTGGGATGACGTGCGGTCCTGAGCTCACAGCCCCTGTGAGACTCTTTGCCTGGCTCTTGTCTTTATATTTTTTTTTCAAAGGTAGGGGGACAAGGCGAGAGGGAGTGAGGTGATTGGGGACGTGAAGTCCCCCAAAGGACAAGCCTGGCAATCACCACCAGTGACGAGTCCTAGGTCCTTTTTGTGTCCTGTGAGGTGGTTACTGTCCCCATTTTGCAGAGGAGGAAATTGAGGCTAGAGACTTGCCCCAGGCCCCTCATTAATACAGGGTGGAGCTGGGCTGCTCCCCAAGCTCCTCGGAATTCAGAGATCTGCTTCAGCATTAACTCTTTGTTATTTTGTTGTTGTTGTTGTTGTTGTTGTTTTGTTGTTGTTGTTGTTTTCTGAGACAGTGTCTCGCTCTGTCTCCCAGGCTGGAGTGCAGTGGTGCATCTCCACTCACTGCAAGCTCCGCCTCCTGGGTTCACGCCATTCTCCTGCCTCAGCCTCCCATGTAACTGGGACTACAGGCACCCATCACCATGCCCAGCTAATTTTTTTTGTATTTTTTAAGTAGAGACGGGGTTTCACGGTGTTAGCCAGGATGGTCTCGATCTCCTGGCCTCCTGATCCGCCCGCCTCAGCCTCCCAAAGTGCTGGGATTACAGGCGTGAGCCTCTGCGCCTGGCCGAGCATTAACTCTTGCACATTCTACTTCCTTGTCCATCAGAGGAAAAGAGAAAAAGAAGCCCCTTCCGGGGGCTGCCCACGGGTCACCTGGGCCTGACCTCCTGGGCTTCCCTGGAGGAGGCCTGAGGATATAGCATGTCTGGAGGCTGGGCTTTCTGGAGCAGCCGGACTGAGCCTGGAGCTGGCATGTGGCCTCCACATGTCCACATTCAAATTGTCATGGCCAACCGCCCTGGCAGTGAGCAGGGCCTCGAGGGGCCTCTGGGCTGCCAGTTCTGTTCCTAGGGTGAAGCCAGAGACCATGAAGGCCACCCCATCCAGACTCCCGTGCCCAGCCCTGGGGCTGGCGGCATTCCTCAGAGATGTGCTTAGTTGTCCTTAAGTAAAAGCAAACCATTCCTGTGTGGTTAGACGGAAGAAAATCACATGCTTCGGGAAGTGTGAAATTCTCCCTTCCTTGCACCTGAACCCCCGGACCACATTTCCAGAGACAAGGTCCTCCCTCCCTTCCTTTTTTCCTTCCTTCTTTCTGACAGACTCGCTCTGTTGCCCAGGCTGGAGTGCAGTGACATGATCTCAGCTCACTGCAACCTCTGCCTCCCAGGTTCAAGTGATTCTCGTGCCTCAGACTCCCGAGTAGCAGGGACGACAGGTGCACACCAGCATACACAGGTAATTTTTGGTATTTTTAGTAGAGACGGAGTTTCACTATGTTGGCCAGGCTGGTCTTCAACTCCTGGCCTCAAGTGATCTGCCCGCCTCAGCCTCTCAAGCTGTTGGGATTACAGGCGTGAGCCACCACAACTGGCCTGCTTTGTTCTTTTCTGAAGTAGTCAAAATTAAAAATATATTGTGAAAGACACCCCCTCCAACACACACCCTTTTCTGGCAGTGGAGGTAATCCAGGCATCTGTGACAGCTTCCAAGTCTGGGTTTCCTGGGGACGTGACCAACCGGTGACCTATTGACCACTGTCAAAATAGGGACACAAGCCATGGGGAAGTAGTTTCCCTTCACACCACTTCCTCAAGGGTCCATGTTCAGCGCTCTCACGGGTCCTCAAACACGCTCCAGGCACAGCCATCCCGGGGAGCACACAGCCAGGCCTGGCGCGCCCAGCTGTGCCCTCTCTCTGTCTTGCCTGACTTATCGAGAGATCTCTGGCTCTGCTCAGATAGATTTTGCTTGTTCTTTTTCATGGTTTCGTGAAAGTCTGTTCCATCAGTTGTCATAATTTGTCACATTCGTTGCTATTGTTTTTCTATCAACAACGTGGCAGCAGCACCCTTGAGCCTCTGCCTCTGCGCAGAGGTGGGAAGGTATTAGTGGGGTTAACTCCAAGACCATGAAGGCCAGCTCAGAGGGTGTGCTCATTTAAACACTGGTAGACACAGCTTCGTTGCCCTCTGAAAAGCTTGTCCCAGACGACTGTCCGGAGCAGCGATGGGGTGGGGGTGGGAGGAGTGTGACCTCAGGGTACACCAGGCCCATTGCCTCAAGAAGAACAAGCTGAAAACAATACACACGATGTGATGCTGTCTTATAAATGAAAAGAAAAGGCCGGGCGCGGTGGCTCATGCCTGGAATCCCAGCACTTTAGGAGGCTAAGCTGGGCGACCACCTGAGGTCAGGCATTCAAGACCAGCTTGGCCCTCATGGCAAAGCATGGCTGTCTCTACTAAAAATACAAAAAATTAGCCAGGTGTGGTGGCACATGCCTGTAATCCCAGCTACTTGGGAGGCTGAGGCAGGAGAATCGCTTGAACCCAGGAGACGGAGGTTGCAGTGAGCTGAGGTCATGCCACTGCACTCCAGCCTGGATGTTATGGCAAGACCTGGTCTCAAATAAAAAAAAAAAAAGAAAGAAAGAAAGCAAGAAAGAAAGAGAGAAAGAAAGAAACAAAGAAAGAGAAAGAAAGAAGGAAAGAAAGAAAAGAAAAGAAAAGAAAGAAAAGAAAGAAAGAAAGAAAGAAAGAAAGAAAGAAAGAGAAAGAAAGAAAGAAAGAAAGAAAGAACCTGACCCCCAAACAAGTCAGGTGCCAATAGCTATGTTTAAAGGAATGAAGCGCATTGCCTGGAATACACAGAGGGGATTTCCCTGGGAAGGGGGAGTGGATGAGAGTTGGGGGAAGGCGGAAGGAGCTTTAGCGTGATTAGTAATACCATTTTCTCTTCGTTTTTTTTTTCAGGGCAACATATTCTTATCTATTCATTCTATGGTTTCAAGATAATAAATACATATTTTAAAAGACTAAGGAAGTAAGTAAGCTATTAAAATATTAGCTTAAAAATGATTAATTCTGGGTGAGGAATATAGATGATTCCTACTTTTTGCCCCTCCCTCCCTCCCTCCCTTCCTTTTTTCCTTCCTTCTTTCTGACAGACTCTTGCTCTGTTGCCCAGGCTGGAGTGCAGTGACACGATCTCATCTCACTGCAACCTCTGCCTCTCAGGTTCAAGTGATTCTCGTGCCTCAGACTCCTGAGGAGCTGGGACGACAGGTGCACACCACCATACCCAGCTAATTTTTGGTATTTTTAGTACAGATGGAGTTTCACTGTGTTGGCCAGGCTGGTCTTCAACTCCTGGCCTCAAGTGATCTGCCTGCCTCAGCCTCTCAAATTGTTGGGATTACAGGCATGAGCCACCACAACTGGCCTGCTTTGTTCTTTTCTGAGGTAGTCAAAATTAAAAATATATTGTGAAAGACACCCCCTCCAACACACACCCTTTTCTGGCAGTGGAGGTAATCCAGGCATCTGTGACAGCTTCCAAGTCTGGGTTTCCTGGGGACGTGACCGGCAGGTGACCTATTGACCACTGTCAAAATAGGGACACCAGCCGTGGGGAAGCAGTTTCCTTGTAGTTTGGCCAAGAAATTTCTTGTTCCTATGACTCAGCAGCAGCTAGCAGGCACCCCAGTGGTGGCCGGGGCCATACACTGCTGGTCACTGACCCCGGCTGGCCAGCTGGGCACTCATTCTGCTTCCGCAGCCCTGGGGAGCTGGCCTGTAGTCTAATCCCAGCCCTCGGTGGTCACTCCAGCATTTGTGTTTGCCGTCTGGGTGCAGGATGGTAGGGGTGTGCTGGTGGCCGCAACTCAGGCAGGATAGCAAAGGTTGGTTGGGGTTAGACCAGGGCAAGGGGGCCTTTCAAACCTTCCCCTTCCTGGGGCTGGTCACATAGGTAATTTAAAAATTTCTACTAGCCACAATAAAAAAGTAAAAGGAAACAGGTGAACTTAATTTTAACCCTATATTTTGTTTAACCCAATAAACCCAATATATTAACATTTCAACATGAAATCGATATCTAAGTATTTGTGAGATATTGTCCATGTTTATTATTTTCTTTCTTTCCTTTTCTTTCTCTCTTTCTTTCTTCTTTCTTCCTTCTTTTCTTTTCTTCTTTCTCTTTCTTTCTTTCTCTCCCTCCCTCCCTTTCTCTTTCTTTCTTTCTTCCTTTCTCTTTCTTTCTTTTTCTTTCTTTCTCTCCCTCCCTCCCTTTCTCTTTCTTTCTTCCTTTCTCTTTCTTTCTTTCTTTTTCTTTCTTTCTCTCTCTCCCTCCCTCCTTTTCTCTTTCTTTCTTCCTTTCTCTTTCTTTCTTTTTCTTTCTCTTTCTTTTCTTTCTTTCTTTTCCTCCCTCCCTTTCTCTTTCTTCCTCTTTCTCTCTTTCTCGTTCTCTCCTTCTCTTTCTTTCTCTCTCTCTCTCTCTCTCTCTCTCTCTCTCTTTCTTTCTTTCTCATTCTTTCAACAGAGTCTCACTCTGTCACCCAGGCTGGAGTGCAGTGCTGTGATCTTGGTTCACTGCAACCTCTACCTCCCGGGTTCCAGTGATTCTCCTGCCTCAGCTTCCTAAGTAGCTGGGACTACAGGCATGTGCCACCACGCCAGGCTAATTTTTTGTATTTTTAAGTAGAGACAGGGTTTCGCCATGTTGGTCAAGCTGGTCTTGAACTCCTGGCCTCAAGTGATCCACCCGCCTCAGCCTGCCACAGTGTTGGTACTACAGGCGTGAGCCGCCATGCCCGGCCTTATTTTCATACAAAGTCTTCAAGATCCCATGTGCATGTTACACTCACAGCATGTCTTCAACTGGACTTGCCACAGTTCAAGCCACGTGGCCACAGATGGCCTGGGGCTGTCCTGGTGGAACTGCATCCACCGGCCAGTCTAGGCTATCATGGCCTTAGAGGTCATTAACACCTTTCAGAAAAGAGCAGTGGGAAATCAATATAGCAAAAAGATATCTAGGCCACTTCCCCTGCTCTCTCCTCGGCTGGAAGGCAGGCGAAGCTCTAATGTGTCAGCTCTGTAACCAGAATGGGGAGGGGGCCTCAGCCAGTGTCCACCCCCAGCAGAGTGAGCAGGCACTGCATAGCAGGTGCACAGTCAGGGGCCCCATGCCTGTAACATGGATGCATCTTTAGAATGCAGCCCTCGGGAATAAAGTCTGGAATTCAGCTACAGCATTGTACTGATGTTGGTCTCTTCATTTTCTAAATGTTTATATGGCTATGTAAGAGGTTAATATGGAGGCAAAGAGCACGTGGGGACTGTTAGCACTATCCTAGCAACTTTTTAATAATTCTACAGTCATTCCAAAGGTATAAGTTTATGTAAAAACAACACTCGATTGAAAGTGAAGAATGGATTGAAATCTATAACAAAGTCCTATTCACTTCAATTAAAAATATACAGACTGGGCACAGTGGCTCACGTCTGTAGTCCCAGCACCTTGAGAGGCCGAGGTGGCGGATCACCTGAGGTCAGGAGTTCAAGACCAGCCTGGCCAACATGGTGAAACCCCTTCTCTGCAAAAAATAGAAAAATTAGCCAGGCATGATGGCAGGTGCCTGTAATCCCAGATACTTGGGAGGCTGAGGCAGGAGAATCACTTGAACCCGGGAGGCAGAGGTTGCAGTGAGCTGAGAGTGTGTCATTGCACTCCAGCCTGGGTGACAGAGTGAGATTCTGTCCCCACCTCCCACCAAGAAAAAGAAAAAAAAAAAAAAAATATATATATATATATATATATATATATATATATTAGGGTGTTATCTTACCACTCAAATACCTCTGCAGAATTTGACCTTAGTTTTCAAATCAGACTCAAGAATGATCTTTTGTGTGTGTGTGTGTGTGTGTGTGAGTGTGTGTGTGTGTGAGAGAGACTTGGTCATGGACACAATAGCTTCTGGAAGACTTTTTCACGGAGAGTATGGGGGCTTCTTTGGCCAAATTGGGCAGGTGCAGGTTCCATCTGCTTGGCAGCTGCCACCTGGTCCACAGCATGTCTGCGGTGTCGTGCTCCTCTCCAGAGGTTTCTGCCACAGAATCTACTCCTTTGCTGAGCTCTGGCCCTGCGCTTTCCAAGAAAGGCCACAGGGACTGCCAGGATCCCACTCCCTCAGACCCTGCAAGTCATACAAAGCATGCCTTTTGAGCAAAGGAAATTAAAAGAAATTAATAAGAGAAAAACAACTGAAAAATCCCTACCAGATTTAGGACACAGATACACTTTTAGCTAATGCATGGGTCAGAGAAGAAATCATAAAGGAAATTAGAAAGTAGTTGAAACTGAACAAAAATGAAAAAAAGAACGGCATGCCAAAAATTGTGGGATGCCGTTTAAGCAGTATTTAGGGGGAAATCTAGATAACACTAATGGTCTATATTAGAAAAGAAGAAAGGTCTCCAATCAATGACCCAAGTTTCTACTTTGAGAAACTAGAAAAAAGAAAAGCAAATTAAATCGATAGTCGAGGTGTGTATGGACATAAATACAGACAAATACATCAATGAGCAGAATGGAGAGTCCAGAACCAGACTGAAACACTTGGAGAACTTATTTTAAACAATTGATGCTACCGCAGTTTGGTAGAGAAAGAATAGTCTTTTCAACAAACGGTGCTAGAACCATTGGATATCCATGTGCTAAAATGAAGCAAAGCAAAAAAACAAAAAGAAGCTAAATGCATACTTTGCATCACATACAGAGATTAACTCAAATGGATCATAGACCTAAATATAAAACCTACAACATAAAACTTCAAGAAGAAAATAAGAGAACATTTTTATGACTTTGGGTTAGGCAAATATGACTGCGCTATGGCACTGCCGTGACTTGAATGTGTCCCCTGAAGTTCATGTGCTGGAAACTAGATCCCAGTGCAGCAGTATTGGGAAGTGGGGCTTAATGGGAGGTGTTGGGGTCATGGGGTCACCACCCTCATTAATAGATTAATGCCAGTATCATGGCAGTGGGTTTGTTATCAGCAGGGTGTGTTCCTTATAAAGAATGAGTTTAGCCCCCTCTTGAGCTCTCTCTCTCTCCTTCCCCTTGTTCTTCCTTTATGTTATAATGCAGCAAGAAGACCCTCACCAGATGCAGCCCCTCAGTCTTGGACTTCCCAGCCTTCAGAACCATGAGAAATAAATGTCTTTTCTTTATAAATTACCCAGTCTGTGGTATTCTGGTATAGCAGCACAAAACAGACTATGACAGACATCAAAAGCATGACCCATACAAGAAAATAATTACTGAACTGAACTTAGGCAAAACTGTAAATGCTTGCTCGTTCAAAGACATTGTTCTGTTAAGAGAATATAAAGATAAACCTCAGACGGGGAGAAAATATTTACAAGTCATATATCTGATGAAGAGCTTGTATCCGGAATGCATCAAGAACTCTCAATTCTCAAAAACAGGGAAACAAACAATCTAATTTTTTAAATGGGCGAAGGATTTGAGACAAATTCAACAAAGAAGATATGTATGGCAAATAAGCCCATGAAAAGATGCTCAATGTCATTAGGCATTAGGGAAATACATGCTAAGACCACAACGAGATATTACACTAGTAGAATTTTAGCCAGTAGAATGACTAGAATTCAGAAGCAAGCATGTTGAGGAGAAACTGAAACTCCATTTACTGCTTATGGAAATGCAAAATGGTTCAACCACTTTGCAACCTAGTTGGGCAGTTTCTTGGAAAGTTAAGCACACATCTACCATACAATCTAGCCATTCCACTCCTGGGCATTTACTCAAGAGAAATAAAACCATATGTCAAAAAAATGTTTATAACAGCTTTGCTGATAATAGCTAAAAACTGGAAGCAACTCAAATGGCAGGAAAATGCATAAACAAATGGTGGTTTCACATCCACATCATGAAATACTACTTAGCAACAAAAAGGAATGAATGACTGCTACAAGCAACCACATAGAAGAGTCTCAGGATAATAAGCTGAATGCAAAAGCTGGACAAAAAAGAGCACATGTGGTATGAGTCAATTATATAAAAATCTAGAAAATGCAAACTTACAGTGGTAGAAAGCAGACCAGTGGTTGACTGGTGGGGTGGGGAGGGGTGGGAGGGAGGAACTACAAAGGGGCATGAGGAGGCTTTTTGGGGTGATGGATATGTTCATTATTTTGATCATGGTGGTGGCTTTGTAGGTATATTCATGTAACAACTGATGGAATTGAGCACTTTAAGAACGTGCAGTTGATTGCATATCAGTTGCACCACACTAAATCTACCAACAAAAAATCCATGCCTCCCAAACAACAATGTTCAATTTTTTTTTTTTTTTTGAGACAGAGTTTCGCTCTTGTTGCCCAGGCTGGAGTGCAATGGCGCGATCTCAGCTCACCGCAACCTCCGTCTCCCGGGTTCAAGCGATTCTCCTGCCTCAGCCTCCCGAGTAGCTGGGATTACAGGTATGCACCGCCACACCTGGCTAATTGTTGTATTTTTAGTGGAAATGGGATTTCTCCATGTTGGTCAGGCTGGTCTCAAACCCCCGACCTCAGGTGATCCACCTGCCTTGGCCTCCCAAAGTGCTGGGATTACAGGCGTGAGCCACTGCGCCCGGCCAATAATGTTCATTTAGCAAGACCGCATGCCCACTAAAAGGCATACAATTCCCATTAGAAGGGCTGTTATGGGAGGCAAGGAACTGGATTAGGGTGTAGGGATTAAATAAGTAAAACAAGCAAGACAAAGGCTGAGAAGGGAGTGTTACTGACCCAAGCCAGCTTCTCTGCCAGTCTGTGTGAGACTCACCCATTCAAGTCCCTAGACTCCTTAAGGGTCTATTAGACCCCTGAGCCCCCTGTTTGGAGGCATGAGGTTACCCACAGCCAGGTGACTGTTGGCTGGCTACATCATTGGTCAGAAAACACTTGCTTGGGATAACCAAAGAAATGAACGGATATTTAGAATATGTATTTTTTAGATGTCTGAGTACCCTATGCTAATGGATTTGTCATTCAACAGATATTGATATTGACTACATGCCTCAGTGCCAGGCAGTGATGGAAGGGAGGTGTGGGAGGAAAAGGGTGCCCAGACCCCGGCTGGGTGGGTGTCTGGGTGCTGATGGCAGGAAGACCCCACAGATGGTGTGTTCCTGGGGACAGGGACCAGGTCTGTGTTATTCACCAACAGGGCTCCCTGGCTGGCACAGACAGGGCCCTGGAGTCAAGTGAAGCCTGGCAGTTGAGGACAAGCCAGCTTAGGAAGGCACCACGTAACAGAAGGTTCTTTCTTACAAGGTTTAAAGCAACCCAAAGATTTTCACACCCAAAGGCCTGTGTTTCCGGTGGCATTCGCTTTAGGTAAGCATATCAGTCCAGATTCCCCAGAGGAAAGAATCAATAAACAGAAGCAATAGACTCATAGGGGATGAGAGACAGAGAGAGAGAGAGAGAGACTGATTTTAAGGGATTGACTCACCGCCATGGGGACTGGCAAATTCCTAATCTGTAAGGCCGGCCAGCAGGGTGGAAACCCAGCAGAGTTTCTACGTTACTGACCTGAGGCACAATTCCTTCTTCTCCAGAAAACCTGTTTGTTTGCTTGTAAGGCCTTCAACTGGTGGGACGAGGCCCACCTACATGATAGAGAATAATCTCTTTGACTTAAAGTGAATGGACTGCAGATGTCAGCCACGTCGACCAAATACCCTCCCAGCAGCACCTAGACTAGTGTTTGACCAAACTCCAGGCACTACAGCCTGGCCAAGCTGACACGGAATGTTAACAAGTGAACCACATCCAAATCCTGAAACTGCAGGTGTCAACTGTCCAGGAACAAGTTCCACCTGACTGGCTCCACGGGGCCCGGCCGGATCTTTGGGGGCAGTGCAATTTTTGACAACTCTGCTGACGGCAGCTCCGAGGCTGTCCACACTGGCACCCAGAGCTGTAAAGCCACACATAAATGCCCAGTGCTTGCTGCAAGAATGCACAATTCAAGTGACACTTTAGCTGAGCCCCGAGGGATGGCTTGGCCGGGCGAGGGATTGGAGATGGTAGGCAGAGCCACAGTGTCTGCTTGAGCCGGCAGGGGCAGGGAGCATGCCAGCTATCACGCTGCATCCGTAGGTCTGAACTTTCCCAGACAGTGAGATGGCCTCTGCGGGTAACGAGGGGCCCCCACGTGGTAAAGGGCTGCAGGGTTTGCAGCACGAAGGGACAAGCTGAGTCTGGTGCTCAGGAAGAGTCCCTCTTACTGCCATGAAGATGATAGATTTGGGGTGGGGGCCCTGGGGGTGGTCACAGCAGGTGGAGGGACTAGTTAGAGGCTGGTTTAATAACCCAAGTGAGATGGCGAGTGGGGACAGGAGTGCAGAGCCACCTGATATTCAGGAGCTTGGATCTATAGGACGTGGCAATTTTTGGTGGTGGGCGGTGAAGACAGAGGAAGGCACACTGATGTCTCACTCTCGCAGAGCCCAGAGGGCCTTCCTCCGGCCCCACCCAGGCCTGGGCTCAGAACCTGAGGTCGGCAGACCCTTGAAATGATAGCAAATGCAGCGTGTCTGCACACAACCTCATTTCCCTGTTTGGAGTAGAGATTTTGTAGCTTTCAACGGATTCCCAAAGAGACCCCCAAGGCTGAGAGGGTGAGGACCATGGCCCCCAGGGAAGGAGCCCCTGGCCTGGATTCCTGTCAGAGTGTCTAGCTCCAAGACCGATCCGTGTGTCCCTGAAATGAAGTATGGGTGGGGAATCATTCTTCGATTTGCAAAAATGCAATTTGTACCCAGCTCTGACAGCCTAAAGCACTCCTGGATTATTAGCACAAAAGCAAGGACACAGCCCCAGTCCTGCAAAAAGGGAAGGCCGGGCGGCTCTTCCTGTTGGAAAGAGGCCAGGAGGACATTTGGGGATTTGATTCCTAATTGTTGTTCAGCATCACTGAGGGATGTCTGGCTGAAAGGCAGTCAGTGCTTCTGGTTTCCGAGGGAGGGGTGCAGCCCTGTCTGGCCTCATCGTCCATGTGACTGTCCCAGAGGCTGCCTCCTGCTTTGGCCAGATGGCACCGCCAGCCGCTTGATGACATACGTTCCTGCTCTTGGATTTATTGACACAAGGTGCACAAAGCCTTGCTTAGGCAGGTCAGGGAGGCTCCCCACCTTCAGCCCAGCCCTGCTTCCCTTCAGGGGATAATGACCCAGCCTGGCCACAGGTGCCAGGCTCGGGCCTCTCCAGACCCCAACTCAGAGCCTTTCTTCCCTGCAGAACCTGGAGTGTGGCTGACAGAAAGGCACCCGGACAGGGAGGGACTGGACACTCACTCTGCTAGTCACTCTCCGCCTGCCCCTCCAGGTCCAGCCCCGACTCCTCACCCTGTTTCTCTGCCGCAGGAGACCAGCTGGTTCCCCAGCTTCCTGGCTTTGGAGTCCCCACTTGAAGCGGCCAGTGGGGGTTGCCAGCAACCGATCAGAGCTGGGAAGGAGAGAGGGGCTGGCTTCCTTCCTGCCCAGCCGCAGGGGGCAGTGTGTGCCTCCCCTACGCACAGCCACGACAGCTCCCATCCGGCTCCATGGACAGCTCCCTCTCTTGCTGGGTTCTGTAACTGCCTCCTTCTGGCCTCAGACAATAACAAGGGGCTTCACCAACCATCCTTTCCTGGCTTCCTGATCTCGCCCACCCCTGGGGGTGGGTCATCTGCTTCCTGGGGGCCCTTGACAGATGCATGTGGCGGGAACTGATGGGAACAGCGATGGTAGCAACAATCACCACCACTTACCACGCACAGGCGCGCTCCACCGCACACATGAGCGCTCCACCGCGGACAGGTGCGCTCCACCGCGGACAGGCGCGCTTCACTGCACACAGGCGCACTTCGCCCCACTCACCTCTCTGGACAAACTTATGGAGTAGACGCTCTTGTTAGCCCCCACTTTAGAGATGGGAAAACTGAGGCATGAGGGTGGTAGATGGCAGAGCCAGTAGTCAAGGACACCAGAACTGGGAGGAAACCGGAGCGACCTGGGAATCTTCTCTGGAATACACTTGATCTCTCACAGGATGTGGGGGATCACCTCTGGAGCTCTTGCAGGGGGGCCAATGGGTTCCATAGACCCTGCGGTCAGCGCTGCGGGGCGAGACTGTGGTGCTGACCGCTTGCCCCTCTGGGGTCTGGACTCTCGGTGAATCCCTGCACGGACACCGCGACCCTCTTCTCTGGCCAGGCCCGGGGTCGGCTCACACACTGGTGCCCTCGAGGGCTGGCTGAGTGAGATTTGCTGGCTGTGGCAGTGTCGTCCCTGACGTGAGTGTGACCTCGGTGGCGTATGCACTGCCCCAGACTTACCCCAGCGTTCGAGTGACAGGCACCTTACTGTCCATTTCCTTTCTATTCAAAGAGAAGATTAAAAAGGAAAATTGGTGACCCCGGGGGTAACCGCGGGCGAGCTAAAAATACTCTCAATAAATAAACAAACCGGGTCAGTGATCCAAACACCATGAGGCAGCGATTCCGGGTGTGCAAAGGCCACCATTTATGGCTGTGGGCTTGTTTGCCCAGAGAATGCCCTGCCGGAGATATAGGATAGCAGTATCCCGTGGGGTACGCCGGGGCAAAATGACCCATGTCAAGTCAATAACCTCCGCGCTGCTTCACCTTCTCGTGCTGGAATGCCTTCTGCGTGCCTTCCTGGAAAGCGCCCTGTGGCCCCGTGACCCAGCCTGGGCCGGCACCTTGAGTTGGGCACAAATTCAAGATGACAACTCTTGGAGCCCGTTGGCTGGCGGCAGAATGATGAGGAGACATTCTGCCCGGGCGGTTTATTGTCCGTTCTAGACTGAGAACAATTCCGGGCTGTTACGATGTGATTGCCCTTGGGCGCGTTATCAGCGTGAACTCAGGGCAGAGCAATACCCCTGCCAAGCGGCCGACGCTGTTTCACAGGGAGGGCCCTCCTGCTCTTTCACCCACAGTGGGGCTCGGGGCCATGGGTGCAGGGCTGGAGGAGGATGTGAGGGGCAGCTATTTCAGTCTGGAATATCAGGATTTTAACCCCAAATAAATGTCTTGGTTATTATTTCAGCAAGCGTGCCCTAAATCACCTTGGGAAGACTTGAGCCTTTCAGAGCCTTGGTTTGCATAAAATAGGGGCTGTGTCAGAGCCCCCTTTGTGGGGCTATTGAGAAGATTCCAGAAGATTTCATAGAATGAAGTGCTTAGCACTGAGCCTGGCACAGCATAGGTGGTTGAACATTGATGCTTTTTTTTGTTATTAGTACAGCTGTGTTGCTGATTTTATAGTCGAGATTCCACAAGAGGAAATCGGGTTGGAACATAAAGATATTTGCCCCGTGGATTCTCCAGGGGGTTCCCACACAGTCCCATTCTCACATTCATTTCTCGAGCTGTCCCTCTTATTAGCCTACAGAATGAGCTAGAGCTGCTTCTCGCTGGCAATGGGGAGAGCTCCTTTCTGGGGGACCCCAGCTCCCAGGAGCTGAACTTAGAGGTTGCCAGGCCTGAGGAGAGGGAAATGACCCAGAGATGCTAGGAGGGGCTGGGCCCTCTCAGCACAGGCCTCAGGCTTCTCTTGGAAGCAGGGGTTTGCCATGCAGGAAGCAGGCATGGCCCATGCCCATTGTGGGAGAGGGTGAGGCTGCACCGCCTGCCTGCTTTCTGCCAGCACCCCTTGGCAGGCAGGCGAAGGTAGGCAGGGGCCCTTTGGGACTCTGCTGGAGGAGGTTTGGACGTAGGGCTCTAAGGCCCCTAAAATTTGCTCCATGCATCCTTACACAAGGGAGAGCTCCAGCAGAAGCCAGGGTCTGCGGTCAGGGAAAGGCAGAGGACGGCAAGGGCCATGGCCCTCATCGCACAGACACTGAGGAAGAGCAGGGTCTCACCCTTGGTGGCTCAGCTGGTTTTTGGCAGTGATGGCTTCAGAACCTGGGCCCCCCATCCCCAGCCAATGCTCTCTGGTTTTCCAAAAGGAAATTTCCCTATTATTTCCCTCCTTAGATCCATGAAGGGTATTTATCAATGGCAAAGGATGATGCCCTGCAGGTGTATCAGTGGCCCGTGAGCCAGCTCCATCCAGCCTCAGCAGGAAGAAGCATTTTTCCAAGCATCTCAATGCTCACATTAGTGCTCGATTGGCAATTAGCAAATGTCACAACCCCCTCCTCCCTGAGCGACAGTTGTTTCAGATGTCAAATTCCTGCCAAGCGCCACGTCTTGTTCTAAAACCTCTTTCCAGGGGTACTCGAGGGAAATTAGCATGATGCCAGCCGAGAAGAAAACCCCTCAGAGCTTGAGAATGGCGAGTCCTCCCGGGGAGGGAATTCAGCCGCAGGTTCCTATCGACAGTGAAAGATTAATTGATGCAGAGTGAATTATGGAAATGCGTGAGGCCGTTTCTACCGATGATGCCTTTAAAACCGCGGTCCCCCGCTGCAGCGTCATCGCACACCAGGTCTGCAGAGGGCAGCGGAAGCCCCAGCCTCCTTCTTTTGTCCTCCCCAAGAGGCCCCTCCCCAAAGTTAAATGTGTTTAGAAGTGGGCAGGGGATTGAACAGCCCTGCAAAGCAAACATCACCTCCAACACTGACAATGCGAAAGCGCTTCCTGTGGACCAGGCACTTTGCATGGATTATATTTCCTTTGTTCCCTAAAACAACTCGGAGATAAATTCTATTGTAATTCCCATTTTACAGAGAAGGACACTGAGAGGGGAGGTGACTTGCCTCAGGGGACCCATTCAGGGAGTGCAGAACCAGGATCTGGCCCCAGTGGCCTGTCTCAGAGCTGGGTCCTTACCTGTGCCCTGCCAGGCGAGTGATCTGAATGGGCAGGTGGGGAGAAATCCCGTGCCTCGATTTCCACTAGGAAAGTGTCTTGGTTTTCTGTTCACTGAATGGTTACGAGCCCTTGTCCCTGCAGGCTGGGGGCCAGGGAGGAAGGCTGAGGACCAGGTGGGGAACAGTCTATGTCTCAGAGCTGAGGCTTTCATAGGGGAAGGGGATTCTCGGGGAGGTGAGGGGTGCTGGGTGCTGATGGGAGCTCTGGGGGCACTGCCCAGATCCCCTGGGCTCTTAAGATAAAGTTGAGGGGTCAGAAGGTCCAAGCAGGGCCTGAGATCTCATGTCACTCCGAAGCTTCCAGCAAGGGAGACCCTGGTGGCAATTTCCCAGCGGGTCTCTAAGCCAGAGATACCCAGGAGGCTTTGCTTTCCGGTTTGATATGGGGGCAGCCCAGTCTATTCATGGATGCCCCAGGCTAAGGGGCGTGGCTCTAGACACACATGGATCTGGGCTCTCGAGCATCAGTGTAATAACCTCATTTCTTGAATGAGGTGAGTAAAGCCCAGGACAGAAGGAGGCTCCCAGAGTCCCCAGCAGAGCCAGACTCAGGGCCCTGGTCACCCTTGGCTGGCCAGGACCCAGCACAGGGGCCGTGGAGGTAGGGAAAGCCGCTGGTCCAGAGCATCCCGACCTCCCCCGAATAAAAGGGGTGGCTTTGGTACTGCCTGAGAGTTACAGTTGACTCAGCCCACCTTGGAAGCCAGGTTCTAGGAAAAACCCCTCCCTAAGGAAGAAGGATGCCAGCTGCCTTCAGCCTGGTCCCACTGCCACCACAAGATGGCGCTGTTTTGCGGGGTTTTTGTTTCTGTTTACAACCTGAGCACACTGACCTGGTCTTTCCCACCTTTGATGTTCTTGGGTTTATGGCACTGAAGGTAATTCTGTCGTCCTGGTGCAGAGGGCAGAAGATGCCTTCTTGTAGGGTGCATGCACATGTGTGATCATGTGTCCACGTGTGTGATCATGCGTGCAGGTGCATGTGTGTGCATATGTACCTGTGTGAATCTTGGTATGCATGGCATATGCTCTTGTGTGTTTGTGTATGTCTTTGCCTTGTGTGTGCATGTGTGCATACATGTGAATATGTGTGTTATATGCTCCCATGTGTGCAGGAGTGTGTATATTTGTAGCACTGTGTATGCTCATGTGTGAGCCTGTGCTCATGGACATATGTGTACCTTTGTGTCAGTAGGTATTGTATGCGTGTGTATGTATATGTACATGTGTGTTTGCCTGCAAGGTACATGTGTGCGCCAGTGTGTGCACATGTGTATATTTTGGGCTGTGTGGGGATGTGTGCAGAGGCACATGTGTATGCCTTTTTGCGTGCATGGTGTGCACGTATGTCTGTGTGTGTGTCTGCTGGACAGCAAGAAGGAGCAAGGTCCATCTCCTGTCCTCAGTGGTCCCTCCCCTCCTCTCTTTCTTGGCTAATGTGGCTCAGAGCCTGCATCGGCAGGCGAAAGCTGGGCCTGGCTGGGGGCACCTCCGGGCGCTGCTCCATGCCGCCCTATGGCCACTTGCACCTGGATGCAGGAGCACTGTCTGCTATTTGTCTCCCTTACTGTACTCTGAGCTCCTGGAGGCCAGGTCTGGGTGGTGCTCAACCAGGGCTCCCCAGGTTTGGGCACAGGACCTGGCCTAGAGTAAGAAGTTCGCTAGAGACCAATCAGGTTTCTAGGCCGAATACCGAGGGTCCAGTTGTCAGAAATATCTGAGAGTTCATTTAATTCGCTCGACAGTCCTCTGAGGCAGGCTGCATAATTATTCCATCTTGTGATGAAGAAACAAAGGCACAGAGAAGTTAAGTGACTCACCCAAAACCACCAGCTATGAACAGGCAGAACCAGCGTCCAGCCCAGGTTTGAATCGATGTTTGTGGGTTGAGATGAATAAATTATTCCATTGGCCTGAATATATATTTTTAGCAGGAGGTGCTTTATCTGCATTTTGTTACAGGGATCATAAACCCTCTGTGCCCAGAGCAGGAGGCCATAGGCAGTCCTGCTCAAATGCCTCTTCCTCCAGGAAGCCTACCTGACCTCTCTCAGAGAAAATTTCTGATTCTCTGTGTTCCTGCAGACTTCAGGTTTCCACTTGGAGGTCCTAAGGTGCATAAATTCTTTCCAACCCTGTGAGCAAGAAGCCAGGGTTTTGGGGAGCCACTGAGGATCTGAAGAAATCTGATAAAAGCTCCAGATGCTGGGATCATGTAGGTGTGCACAGAAATCATCCCCAGTTTGAGAGGGTTCACTGACAATGCAGCTCAATGTTGGGCCTCGGCTAGAGCCCTGAAATGATAGAGACACCTGCCTAACTTGAGACGCAGCTGGCGACGGCCAGTGGAGCCCCTGTTTCCGAGAGGGGAGCGTGGCACTAGACACTTCTTCTTCAGCCATTTCACAAATATTCTTTTTTTTTTTTTTTTTTTGAGACAGAGTCTCGCTCTGTTGCCCAGGCTGGAGTGCAGTGGCGGGATCTCGGCTCACTGCAAGCTCCGCCTCCCGGGTTCACGCCATTCTCCTGCCTCAGCCTCCCAAGTAGCTGGGACTACAGGCGCCCGCCACTACGCCCGGCTAATTTTTTGTATTTTTAGTAGAGACGGGGTTTCACCGTTTTAGCCGGGATGGTCTCGATCTCCTGACCTCGTGATCCGCCCGCCTCGGCCTCCCAAAGTGCTGGGATTACAGGCGTGAGCCACCACCCCAGCCGAATTTGATTGAATTTTGAATTCAGACTCTGAATAGTATCCCCAAATCCCCAGGCAAAGGGCCGACAGTGGAGCCTCCTGCAAGTGGGGGGGCAGTACACTGGCTTGGGAAGAGTCGGGACTTTTCGTTCAGGGCCGCAGGGACCAGCTGCCCACTCCCCGAGCACCTACAGCCCCACAATTGGGGACGTCGCCAGCCACTGAGGTCTTTCTTCTCGGCACTGCCTCCACCCCCACCCCGGCTGTCCTGTCCAGTCTTCAAGCAAATGTTTTTGATTTTACAGGAAGTAGAGCAAGGACCTAATCTGAGTTTAATTTTTGAGTACATTAATTATATTAATTAAGTATATTAATTAATTAATATATTAATTAAGTATATTGATTAATTTCTGAGTATATTAATATGGCAGAGAAGGCTGCACAGTCGTGTTCAGTAACTGCTCCAGGCCTTGGAATGTCCCCGTTGGTATAAATTAATGGTTTGGAGATACCAAGTGATGTGAGGTCTGCTTTTGCGTGTAAGGAAAGAGATGGGCTAAACTCAGGGAACCCACATCCATCTAGGGACAGCCCTGTCTCCAGGACTCAGTTTACCCATTTATAAAATAAGAGGTGCAATTGCTATCACATACCCCACGCTGTACACAGACTATCAAACCAGGGGCTCTGAGGGGCCAGAGTCACGGCCCTGTTTGCCTGCCCTACACAGGATGAGAGTAGAGTGAACACGAGTATAACACGATGAAGGAGAGGAGAGCTTCCCAGAGGAGACAGGCACATCCATCCTGTGTTCTGAAAAAGAAAAAGAAAAAAAGAAAAACAAACTTCCCCCAGTAACTCAATAAGAAAAGCTCTCTGGAATCCCACCGTCCACCTCGACACCCCTCTTTCTTCCTGGCTGTTGCCTTCTGCCCGCACCTCTGTATCACCCTTCCCTCCCGATCACTCTCCATCTCCCCACTCTTCAAGGTCCCCACAGAACATCTTCCCACTATGTGGCAGTGACCATCCCTGTCCCGGAGTGGCCTCCCCCCTCAGCCCTCCCCACTCTGCCCTCCCCCTTCTGCCCTCCCCCCTCAGCCCTCCCCACTCTGCCCTCCCCATTCTGCCTTCCCCACTCTGCCCTCCCCACTCTGCCCTCCCCACTCTGCCCTCCCCATTCTGCCTTCCCCACTCTGCCCTCCCCACTCTGTCCTCCCCACTCTGCCCTCATTCCTACAGATTTGCTGCCTGTGTGTTTTCTCTTTGGGGATAAGAGTTGCTTCTCCAGGGTGCACCTAGTGCATGGGAGACAGCACTTCATATATGTTTATTGACTGAATGCATCAAGTCTGGGTTCAAAAACATGTCTCATAACCCAGAATATTCTATACCCACAAGAGGACCGGGCTTGTGAGCAGAGTCCTTGCTAAGTAGGCAGCCACTCCTGTCCCAGGTCTTTGGGGACAAGAGTACATTAATATGGCAGAGAAGGCTGCACAGTCGTGTTCAGTAACTGCTCCAGGCCTTGGAATGTCCCCGTTGGTATAAATTAATGGTTTGGAGGTACCAAGTGCTGTGAGGTCTGCTTTTGCGTGTAAGGAAAGAGAGGGGCTAAACTGAGATGGCTTCTGACTCTGGACTCGGAGGCATTAATTACTTAAATGAATAAGTATTAAATCAAAGGCCTTGCTTCAAAAATTAAACTCAGATTAGGTCCTTGCTCTACTTCCTGTAAAATCAAAAACATTTGCTTGAAGACTGGACAGCCAGGGTGGGGGTGGGGGCAGTGCCGAGAAGAAAGACCTCGGTGGCTGGCGAGGTCCCCAATTGTGGGGCTGTAGGTGCCCGGGGAGGGGGCAGCTGGTCCCTGCGGCCCTGAACAACAAGTCCCGACTCTGCCCAAGCCAATGCACTGCAATGACCTCTCACCTCTGCGCTCCTGCACAGCCAAGCCTGGAGGTGAGAGTAACTGCAATACCAGAGAGCAGGGGCCCTGGTTAGAGGGGTCCAGGAGACCAAGGTGGGGACTCTCAAGCCAGGAGGATTTGGAGCAGGAGCAGCAAAGGCTGGTGAGAAGACCAATATGAAAAGACCAGGGATGCTGCCTGGGGCCGTGCAGGGACCTTGAGGGAGAATTTGGATGCGACCTTACACCCAGACTCAGGGGTCCCTGTAATTCTCCTATTTTATCTTAATCAGACTCGCTCTGTTCACAGAATCGCCTGTGGCATTTCCAAGTGCCAGTCTAATCTTGCTTCCCACCCTAAACATTTCTTCCTGCAGTACGAAGGTCCGAACTCCTCTGTGAACGTCAAAGCCCCAGTGGGGCCGCCCCCAGGCAAGCTGGTCTCCTAAGGAATTTGCAGTTGGGCCTCTGCTCTCTCTGTTCACTGGCACCGCCCGATACCCTGGCATGTCGCTCACCCTTCAGCTGTCCCTGATTTCTTCTCCACCCTCCTTATTCCCTCCCCAACAAATGCAGGCATTTACTCCTTCTCTGGGGATCCCAGGAATTCTTTTAGTGCCTCCTTGATAACAGCAGCCAAGGATGGTTACTGAACACAGACTCTGCCCAGCGCTGTTCCAGTCACGGCCCCACGCTGGTGCAGGCAGTGCTGGTGACAGCCCGTGTGGCGTGTGCAGCCTACGTGCAGTGCCCTGCATTCTATCAGACCACCAGCTCCAGCTTCAGATATGACTGGACGCAGAGGCACAGAGAGAGGAAGCCGCCGGCCTCCGGCCACTTAGCAAGTGCTGGCCAAGCAGGGCTCAGGCCCTGGCCCCTGGCTCTCTGAAGGATGGACCCTGGTCTCGTTCGTTCTGTTCCCTTTGTCTCTGCACCTGGAATGGGGGTGGTGACGTGCTTCTCTGTCTCCAGGCTCCTTCCCCTCCAGAGGGGCCACGGCGTGCTGGCCTTTGCCACCCAGTCCCTTGACCAACTCCCAGGGCCCTGTGGGTGGCAGCATCCCCGCCAGCTCCCTGCTCCTGTGTCTGGCCCGAGCTAGGCACTCAGCATCACTGGAAAGGAGCTGGGCTGCCTGAGCTTCCTTCCTTGGGCTCCCCCGGCCAGAGGCAGCTATTGTCCCCCACCGTGGGTGCACCAGGTTCCTGCCTCAGAGCCCCTCCGATGCCAAGGCTGCTCCCCAAGATGTAGCCAGAATGCCAATCTGTCTCGGGGCCGTGTGCCCTCTGAGCTGGCTCCGTGGTGGCGGGACAGCCCTGGCGGCCACAGCTCATGGGAACAGATGATTTCTTTGGGCCACCAAGCATCCCGCAGAGACCACACCCAGCATCCCGTGGTGGCTGGAATTCCACACTGGGTCCATAGGCAAGTCTGCCCTGAGACAGTCAGCCTGGGGTGCCAGCCAGGGGAGCGCAGCTCACAGGGCTGTGTGGACACCTCTCGGCATGATGAAAATCTGTGTCTGCCAGGATCACCCATAGACCCCCCCAGACCTGAGCTAGAGACGCCCCTGCCCTAGCCCCATGCCTCAGCGGCCTGGTAGAGGGTTGATTGGCGGCCCCTAAGCCACAGCTACCTCAGAAGATGGCTTTATTGGAAATAAGGGTCTGTGCAGATATAATTAAGGTAAGGATCTTGAGACGAGATCATCCTGGGTTACCCAGGTGGGCCCTAAATCCAATGATGGGATCCTTATAAGAGGCAAAAAAAAAAAAAAAAAGAGAAGACATAGAGGGGAGGTGACCGTGTGACCACGGAGGCAGGGGCTGGTGGGAGGCGGCCACAGCGAAGGAGCAGCTGGAGCCCCAGAAGCTGGAAGAGGTAGAGTGGGTCCTCCCCTAGCGACTTCAGAGGGCATGTGGCACTGCCAACCCCTCGATCTTAGACTTGAGGCCGGCAGAACTGCGAGGGATAAATGCCTGCTGTTCATACTGCCTGGTCTGTGGGATTTCAGTGCAGCAGCTGCGGGGCACTGAGGGCACCTTGCCCTCAGGCTGTCGGGGCTGGAGCTGGGGCTCAGAGAGTGGAGGCATGGCCGTGACCAACACACTTCTCCCCACGCCTCCATTTCCTTTTCCCTACCACTCAGGAGGCAACAGGACCTACCCTGTAGGGTTTGGGGATGACTAAACAGTCTTATCACTCAGGGGGCTGGAGCAGCACGTACACCTGGTTGATGTGGCATCCATTTTCACTGACACTGTCGTGCAACTTTATAACTTGCCCAGTCCCTCAGCTTGTAGTGGGGAGCTCAGCTTGTAGTGGGGAGCTCATCTTTCAACCCAGGTCTGTCAGCAGGCAAGGCTCATGCTCATGAGGTCTTTGTGGCACCCTGAAAATGGGCACATACGGATGGCCCCCTGAAGGACCTGTAGTGTTGTCACTAAAGGTGACACTGGTTAAGCTAAACAGCTCCGCGTGGAGTTCAGGAAATGCCTGATCCAGGAGCACAGGAGCTTTGTCCAATGACCGCCTGCATCTCCGGCACTTCTGACTGGGGCTGGCACATAGTCAGTGCTCAGTGCCTTGGGTCAGTGGATGGAAGCAGGGATGGGGGTCTCTAGCCCGGTCATGCTTGCGGCAGGGGTGGAATGTCTTTGAAGACACACACAAGTCAGGGAGGGGAAGTGAGACCCTGGAAGCCCGTCCGACACGGGGGCCTGAGGTTAACGTGAGGGTCCAAGGTGTCCAGCAGAGGGGGCTGTAGGTGGGTGATGGTTTAGGGGATTCCTGAGCAGAGGCCTGTGAGGTACAGAGGTCTTCGTGTGGGAGGGTGGACAGGCAGCTGGCAGGCACTAGAGGAAGCCAGCTTGGCCATCTTCTCCTGTCCCGTCCCCAGCAGCAGCCTGGCCAGGGGCGGCTCTGATGGGCTTGGAAGGGTGGGCACCAAGCATGGGCCCGGCTGGCACTGACGGCCATGACCACAAGCACCTGAGAAGAACTTCCCGCTGCCAGTCCCCCAGTGGGGCTGTGGGGTGAATGCTGGTGAGCAGGGCTGAGCCCAGGAAACGGACTTGGAGAGGAGCTGGGAGGCCTCGCCTGGCCACACAGAGGCTGAGCGCTGAGCAGGCTTGGTCCTGTGCCCCAGGCCACATTGCCTGGATCCAGTGGCAGGTGAGACCAGAGCACTTTCCAGAGCCCTGTGCTGCTAACCTACTCAGCCAAGCGGGGGCAGCTCTGGCCTAGAGGTGGTGTGGGACCTGGGGCCTCTTCTCCTGGGGCACCCAGGGCTCTGTCCCAGACGGCTGGGTCCAGGGAAATTCTAATTGGAATAAAGAACTCCTTCACGTGTCAGCGTCTTCCCATCTCATCAGGGTGGACAGAGCCCAGCGTTTCCCACACACGTGACCGGTGGTCACCCATGGTGATCTTCCCTGCCAATCCCTCCTGGCCTTGGAACCAGCACTGGTCCCAGGATGGCCGTATCATTTGTCTGAGCCTCTCAGCTTCTGGGTGGTGGTGTGGGTTTGAGTGGGCTGTGGGGCTCAGGAACTGCACTGGTGCACCCCACAGCCAAGAGGGCCATGGCCAGTGGCACCCAGATGGGGTGGGGCATCGGCTCCTGATGGTACTCAGGCAGGGGGCCTGGTGGGAACAGAGTGTGGTCAGGACACCAGGCCAAGGGCAGCCTGCAAGGAGCTGGTGTTAGGGTAGCCTTCCCTGAAAACCCTAAATGGCAGTCCTCTGTCATCACCCTGGGACCCCGACGTTGTCATACAGCCCATGAGAGCGTCTGAGCACTTTCAAATCCAGAGTCCGTCTCAATCTGGTGAGGTGAGCAGGTATATGGCATCACCTCACTGGACAGAGCAGGGAAGGGCAGTGCTGGGTGCGAGACCCCACAGGGGCGGGTGGTGGGGCCAGCCAGGCCACCTCCCGGGCAGAGCCTCCTGGCAGGTTCTCCTGACGTGCAGTGCAGCTGGGAACTGAAGCTCAGTGCATCCTGTCTCTCACTTTACCTTGCTGCTGGGCTCTGCCCAGGGTTCCCTCATCCAATCCTTAGAGGGATATTTACTGAGCACCTACTATGTGCCTCACAGAGCTCGCCATTCATAGAAACATAAGTAAATAAGCGCACGCCCGAGCAAGAGGGGGTGACCAAGGCAGGGAGGGTCGCAAAGCGGGGGCACCCGGACAGTGACTGGGGGTCTTTTGGAGTGGGGGTTCAGAGAAGGCCTGGGGGCTCTCCGGCCTGAGCCCTGCTGAGCTGTGTAAGGTCTACAGGCCCAGGGCAGCGCCTGCACAGAGCAGGAGCTTGTCAGTCCCTGAGGACAATTGGGGAGGAGGCAGGAGCCCGGCCAGACAGGCAGCCTGGAGGCTGGTGGGGCTGTCATTTCAGGTGGAACCACCCAGTGTAGCCCACCCTGCTCTCTGTAGGAGCCATGAGGTCGATGGGAATTCCTCAAGAAAGGGAAGGAGCAGGTCTGATAAGGGGGCAGGGAAAGACCCAGGGTTTCCCAGCTTCTGTCCCCAGTGGCTGGAGACTCAGCTTCCCCAGCTGTGAAGTGAGGAAGAGCTGGTCCTGCCCCCCGCTCACAGAATCCGTGGCTGGGGGATGCCTGGGAAAGGACTTGGCCATCCCGGCTGCCACTGAATAAAGTGTCTGTTGGGAGCGGGAACCAGGTACTGGGACCTGACCTTCCCCACTAGCTGCCCATGAGTCTGTGTGCGTGAACAAGGGACTGGGGGCTGACGGGCAGCCACTGCCCCCCTGAGCATGGGCAGCTGACCCTGGGCAGGGCCATCCCTGCCCCTGGCAAGGGGCCCAGCATTCTCCACTCCCCGCTTCTCTTAAGGCTTCCAAAAAGGCCTTGAGATGCATAGGGTTCGTTTGTTATTTTAAAAAACAACCATTTTAGTCCCTTTGAAAGCGTCTGTCCCTTTTTTCTCAAAGGCCTGCCCTCCAGGAAAGTGACGTGGGCTGGCATGGCAGATGCTCATCTCTGTGCCCAGGAAGGGGCCAGGCCTGGGGCAGCCCAGCCTCCTTGCTCTCCAAAGAGGCCTGGCCAGCAGTGGGGGCAGCTGCCCGGGGAGGAGGGAGGCTCGTAAAAGAAATCTTCCCGGCCCCTTCTTGGGTCTCTGCAGGACACCATGCCTGGGTGAACTGTGGAGATTCCAAAGCCCCTCCCCCCAACAAAAAGGGTCCCACCATTTGGCTCATCAAAGCCATTTTGTCCCTGGCCAGGCCCAATTCACACCTGGTTGCAGGTCAGTGAACGGGCCAAGAGGAGCTGAGATGCGTTTATGATGGGGGCAGGGGAGGCGGCACAGCCTGGGGTCCTGGCCCCGGGAAGCTGGAGCCTACAGAGCTGGCACCTTTTGGAGCTGCTAGTGGGCTCTTTCTCCCCCTGAACGTCCCACCCCCACCTCCCCCTGGGCCAGCAGGAGGGTGGTCTCTCAGAGCCAGCTCCCAGAATGCAGCTAGGGTCACAGGCCTGGGATGTGGCCACAGGTGGGTGTGCCAGGTCCTGCTTCCTGCAAGAAGCGGCAGCTGCTGGGGATGCATGGCAGCCACCCGCCCTGGGGCCGCCACTGCCACTGGCCCAGCCAGTCTCCACAGGGCAGCCAGAGTGGTCTTTACGAAAGTGGATGGGATCCCCAGTCCCTCTGCTTACAGCCTTCCAGAGCCTTCCACTGGGTTCAGAGTCCTGGCTGCCCTGCCACTGTGGCCTCTTCCCCCAGGCCCCCTCCCACGGGTCTCAAGGCCCTGCTCAACCTCCTCCATCATCATGCCTGCACATCCCCACTGCCAATATCAGTGCAATTAGCATCTCCTCGGGTAGGTCTTTCCAGATCTTCCTGACCCCCTTTGGCCCCCAGGTGCCTCTCCTTGAACTGACATTGCTTTACAGATGTGATGATTGGATGAACATCTGTCTTTCCTGCTGAACTCTGGGTTCTCTGGGGGAGAGACCCTGTTGAAGTTTGCTCACCTCTGTTCCCCCAACCCCATAGCACAGGCTGGGCATGGCAGGTGTGTTGGTGGAGTGAGGATGGGGTAGGGTGTTTGCAAGTGTCCTGGTCAACTCTGCCTATAGGGCTGAGGCTGTGCCCTTCTGTGTTCAGACAGGCTGAGGGGGCCCAATGGGGACCTTTCCAGACAGGAACCAGCCTTTCCTCCCTCTGTGGGAGGGATGTGCCCGGGGCTAGAGCAGCTGAGGCCTCAGGTGACTCCTTGGGCAGAGCCCTGGGGCTTCCAGCTTGAAACCTCCTCCAGCCCTCCCTCCACTGGTGGGCACCTGCCCAGCCAGAGACAAAAGTGGGGGCTTTGCACTTTGCCCAGCACCTCAAAGGTCCACGAGGAGATTGGGGCTTGGGAGAGGGGGCCAGAGGTAGAGGACACAGCTCTAGGCTATGTCTGAGGCCTGCACTGGCAGGATGAGAGACCCATCGTATGTGTTTACTGTGGCTGCTATAATAAATGACCCCAAATGGACTGGCCGAAGACAGCACAAGTGCCTTCTCATGATGTGGAGATCAGAAGTTTGAAATGGGCTCACGGGGCTAAAATCAGCGTGTCGGCAGGACTGGGTCCTCTTCCTGCTGTGTCGGGCCCTGGCTTCCCTCTTACCGGCAGGACTTCCCTCGGTCCCCAGAATAGCCCTCTCAGGCAGGTGTTAATATCATCCCTGTTGCACAGGTGAGAATTGTAACCAAACCAAAGTCAGCCAGGAGAGCCGGGGCTTCAATCTGGCCGAGGGAGTGGGGAACATTTGACCCCACAACCCACATACTACTATGCCCCAACCCTGCAGCCCTCTGTGCTTTTTTTTTTAGCCTTAACTAAAAAAAAATTATTGGCATATGATGTACATACAGGAAAGTGTGCAGCTTTTTCTCGAATAAGCCCACCCACATAGCCAGCATTCGGATCAATAGGACTCACCAAGCTACTCATAGGTCATTGTTAGGGATCAAGACACAAACACAGGCCGGGCGCGGTGGCTCATGCCTGTAATTCCAGCACTTTGGGAAGCCGAGGTGGTTGGATCACCTGAGGTCAGGAGTTTGAGACCAGCCTGGCCAACATGGTGAAACCCTGTCTCTACTGAAAATACAAAAATTAGCTGGGTGTGATCCAGTCACCTGTAATCCCAGCTACTTGGAAGGCTGAGGCAAGAGAATCACTTAAACCCAGGAGGCGGAGGTTGCAGTAAGCCGAGATCACACCACTGCACTCCAGCCTGGGTGACAAGGGTGAAACTCTGTCTCAAAAAAAAAAAAAGACACAAACGCCATCAACACCCAAGAGATGTCATCACCACCCAGCACCTTCTTCCAGGGCTAGCCACAATCCTGCTTCTAACACCCTCTGGATCTTGCCTGGTTCTGTGCTTCGTAGACAGGAATTGCTTGCCTGTGTGTCATGTGTGGCTTGTTCACCCAGGTGTGTCGGATGCAGCCCTGTTCTCCGGGGTGGGTGCGGGCTGCATGCTCTCGTTGCTGTTCGACACTCCACTATGTGAAGACCCCACAGTCTCCTCACTTGTTCAAACCATCCAAAGGCATTTGTGTAGAGTCCAGCTCAGAGCCCTGATTGAAGCTACAGTGACCATCTCAGCACAGCCCTTTGATGTGGGAGGCTAAACACCTCTGCTGGATACCTATTGGGAGCAGACGGGCTGGGAGAGGCTCATTCTCTTCTGGTAACAGTTTTATTGAGATATAATCCACACACCATACAGTTCGCCCATCTAAAGTACACAACGTACTGGTTTTGGTCCATTTAAAAGAGTTGTGCAACCATCATCACAGCCAATTTGAGAAGGTTTCTTTTTTTATGTTTTTTATTTATTTATTTATTTTTGAGATAGAGTTTTGCTCTTGTTGCCCAGGCTGGAGTGCAATAGTGCAATCTTGGCTCACCGCAACCTCTGCCTCCCGAGTTCAAGCCATTCTCCTACCTCAGCCTCCTGAGTAGCTGGGATTACAGGCAGGCGCCACCACACCCGGCTAAATTTTTGTATTTTTAGTAGAGATGGGGTTTCTCCATGTTGGTCATGGTCAGGCTGGTCTCAAACTCCCAACCTCAGGTGATCCACCCGCCTCGGCCTCTCAGAGTGCTGGGATTGCAGGTTTGAGCCACCGCACCCAGAGAACATTTTTGTCACTTCAAAAAGAAGCCCTTTAGCTATGAACCTCCCCCCTTTCTTCCATCTCTCTTGGCTCTAAGTAACCATTAATCTACCTTCTGTCTCTATATATTTGCCTATTCTGGACATTTTATTTATCCCTCTGTCAGTTGATGAACATTTGGCTCATTTCTGCTTCTTGGCTATTACGAATAATGCTGCCATGAGCATTCCTTTACACATTTTTGTGTGGACACGTGTTTTTGTTTCTCTTGGGTATACGGTTGGGAGCAGAATTGCTGGGTCCTATGGTAGGTCCAGGTTTAACCTTTTGAGGAAAAGAGAGACCGTTTTCTAAAGCAGCCACATCATGCAGCCTTCCCACCGGCCAGATAAGAGGGCTCCGATTTCTCCACATTGGCACGAACACTTGACATTATCTGACTTTCTGGCCATCATCATCCTGGGGCCGTGCAGTGGCGAGGCTGTCATTCTTGCCTGGATGTGCAGGTGACAACACTGCCCAACAGGCTTCCTTGGGGGACAGGAGTGCCCATGCCTCTTCCCGTTTCTCTTCAGCTTGGGAGGCTCTGGGATCTGGGGTCATCCCTAACGTCAAGCCTCAGTAGAGACCCCTGCAGCCCCCAGGCTGGATCCGGAGCCATCAAGCAGTGGAACCACCAGGCAGTGTCTCTCTAATTTCCACTGTGCGTTGCTCTTCAGGGCTGAGGCTCCCCCGGGGCTGGCCTCTGAAGCCTTCTGTTTTCAAACAAGAATGAGAAACTCAGCATCTCCTGATGGAGCACCTGCCGTATATCTGGCCATGTTCTAGAAGCTGGAGCTTCGGGGTGAATGGAGGGGTGAGGACCTGCCGTGCATCTGGCCATGTTCTAGAAGCTGGAGCTTCGGGGTGAATGGAGGGGTGAGGACCTGCCGTGCATCTGGCCATGTTCTAGAAGCTGGAGCTTCGGGGTGAATGGAGGGGTGAGGGACCTAGCCTCCTGGACCTTATATTCTGGTGGAGCAGGCAAATAGATACATGAGATTGAGATTATTCAAATTGCAGAAACTGCCTAAAGGAGCAGGCAAATAGATACATGAGATTATTCAAATTGCAGAAACTGCCTAAAGTCACCAGTGGGGTGACGCCAAGAGGGATCTGGGGCCAGGGGACCCAGAGCAGGGTGCAAGGGTCTGGGGCCGCCTTTCTGGGGTGGATGGCCAAGGCTGGTGCCCCTGGACAGGCTCAGCAACATGCTTGTGCGGGTGGAAGCCCAGGGTGTGGATTTGAGGCAAAAACAACTCTTCCCTGCAGCCGGGCCTGCGAGCTGTGGGCCGCGCATTCCTGAGCTGGGGGCTTCGAGCTGTGTGTGTGAGTGGGGAGGGGGGTTGGCGGAGCCTTTAATCAGGCCCAAATTGCTGTGGCTGCCCTGAACAGGCACATGAGGAGCCGCGAGGCTGGCACAGCCATTAATTCTAGTTTGAGCCAGTTTAATAAATAGCTAAATAAAGAAACTGAGAACAGCTTCACAATTAACCCGGATTCCTCGCTAAGTGGTAGGTAGCTTCTCGTTTTCCTAAAAATAAGTTCTTTCCATTGCCTGGTGGTGAAGCCGCCGGAGCCCTCTGCAGGACGAAGGGCCCTCCTGGCTGCTGGGACACGGTTGTGGTGGATGTAAAAGTTCCCTGCAGTTGAAGCAAAATAACCGAGTTAACTCAAAATAACTGGTGAGTCCTTTGTAGTTCCAAGGCAAACAAAACCAGACACACGCACGGAGACTCCAAATGCCGGCAACTCCTCAGGCACCGCAAAGAAACCATTTGCACCTCAGCCTGCCGGGCTGTGGACCTGAAACTGTCCCCAGGGAGCCAGGGAGACTCATGAGCGGTCCCCATGGGCCACTCCGGGGAGTCCTCCCTCCCATCCAAGATCTTCCTGGCAAATCACAGTGGAGCCCGACATCTGGGTTCTGATCCCAGCGCAGGGTGAGCCCGGGAGGGACATTTAACCTCTGAGCCTCACTTCTCCTCCATAAAAGTGGGTGCTTGGGGGGGCCTCTCCCACAGGGTTGTGGGGTTCAAAGGCGGGAGTGTGGGAAGCATCCCATGGCTGCTGTCCTGATACCAGCGTTGGTTCTCAGAACTGCCTCGGCAGGAGGGAGGTTTGGAAGCAGGTAGGCTTGTCTGCGACGGGAACTCAGGTCTCCTGCCTCTCTGTTGTGGGGTTTCTCAGATGCCAGTTATATAAAGGATCCCACCTCCTCTCAGGGTTCCAGGAGCTGCCCATGTCCTCGGCCTCATGTACCCTTAAAAAACCAATGGGGTCTGGAGGAGCGTTCACCCATTCTACAGATGCAGACGCAGGGCCAGAAAGCCATCAGGGCCGCGTGGAAGCTGGGGCAGCCCAGGGCTGGACCTAGGATACAGCTGCATCATCCTTTCTTCTCTGCAGCAGCCCCCACTCCACCCCAGGACGAAGCCTCACAGGAGACCCTCCTCCACCCGCCTTTACCAGCTCCCGAGTTCACGTCTCAGCTGCGCCTGGCCATCTTCATGGTGGGACCAGGTCTGTGGGTGTTTTAGAAATTTGCTGAGGTTATGAGCTGAATCGTGTCCCCCCAAAAGTTTGTTGGGATTCTGACCCACAGTGCCTCTGAATGTGATTGTATTTGGAGATGGGTTTATAAAGAGGTAATTAAGCTAAAATGAGGCCTCTGGGGTGGGTCCTAATGCTGTAGGACTGATGTCCTTGTAAGAGGAGGAGATGAGGACACAGACACACACAGGGGGCCTGTAAGCCAAAGAGAGAGAGGTCTCAGGAGGAGCCAGTCCTGCCACACCTTGAGCTGGGCCTGCAGCCTCCAGGACTGTTGGGGAATCCATTTGTGTTGTGGAAGCTGCACTCTGTTCCAGCGGCCCAAGCTGATGAATACAGCTGGGAATATGCTGGCCCCTTCTGATCTCTCTGAGAAGGTTCTCCACCCTCTACCTTCCCTCCCTCAGCCAGGGCACAGGAGCTGCTAAGAAAAAGGAAACCTATCATGAAGTTTTCCCAATGTGCTGGCCACACTCTCTCCTGTGATCTGGGGGCTGTTTTTAAGTGTAACTTTCAAAATCAACGTGAGCACAGGCAAGCTGAGTAACTGGCCCAACCTCACACAGCATCCGAGCCCTGCGTTTAACCTCTTGCCTCCTGTCTTTGGGGGACTGGAGCCCAGGGCCTGGTGAAATGGGGCCTGGAGCTGCTGTCTATTGTGGGACTGGAAGGTTCTGGAAGCTCAATCCAGCCATGAAGCTTTATTGGACTCCCAAGTTGTTTGTTGATAAGCTACGTGTAAATAGGGAGGAGTTGTGATAATTAATGCTATTAAGTGATAAGTGTTGAAGTACGTGGGGCAGCCGAAGGAGAACTTGGCGAAGAATCAGAAAACCGGCAGCTCCAGCAGGTGGAACACGCGCCTGTCACCTACCAGAACGCTGCCTCTGCTCTCGTCTTCCAGGTCAAGCTACAGCCTCTTCCGCTTCTTGGACGCCTTGCACCACTTCCTTTTGGTTGGTCAGTTGGTTTTTTAATAATTAATAGGCTATTTTTAGTACAATTTTTGATTTACAGAATAACTGATGAGCTATTACATAGGGTTCCACCCACAGTTTCTCCTGTCGTTAACATCTTGCCTTGGTGTGGCACATTTGCTACAATTGATGATCCAATATCAACACATTGTTATTCTCTAAAGTCCACGGTTGACATTAGGGTTTACTCTTGGTGTTGCACAGTTCCATGCATTTTGCCAAATGTGTAATTTCAAATCCAGCATCATATAGAAGAGTTTCATCACCCTAGAAATCCCCTGCACTGCACCATTTAAAAAATGGGCAAAAAGCCTGGCTCTGGTTGACATGTGAGCCAGGTAGGCGTATTTCAACATGCGTTCCAAACAAACCTGATACACAAAGACTGGGGTTCAGGTGAGTGTGATGGGTACAGGTGGGCAGGATGGCCCCAGGTAAGTGTGATGGGTCCAGGTGGATGTGATGGGTCCATGCGGGTGTGATGGGTCCAGGTGGATGTGGTGAGTCCAGGTGGGTGTGATAGGTCCAGGTGAGTATGATGGGCCCAGATAAATGTGATAGGTCCAGGTGGATGTGATGGGTCCAGGTGGGTTTGATGGATCCAGGTGGATGTGATGGGTCCAGGTGGGTTTGATGGATCCAGGTGGGTGTGATGGGTCCAGGTGGGTGTGATGGGTCTAGGTGGGCGTGATGGGTCCAGGTGGGCGTGATGGGTCCAGGTGGGCGTGATGGGTCCAGGTGGGCGTGATGGGTCCAGGTGGGCATGATGGGTTCAGGTGGGTGTGATGGGTTCAGGTGGGTGTGATGGGTCCCGGTGGGTGTAATTGATCCAGATGGGCGTGATGGGTCCAGGTGGGCGTGATGAGTTCAGGTGGGCATGATGGGTTCAGGTGGGTGTGATGGGTCCCGGTGGGTGTAATTGATCCAGGTGGGCATGATGGGTCCAGGTGGGTGCGATGGATCCAGGTGGGCATGATGGGTCCAGGTGGGCGTGATGGATCCAGGTGGGCGTGATGGGTTCAGGTGGGCATGATGGGTCCAGGTGGGCGTGATGGGTCCAGGTGGGCGTGATGGATCCAGGTGGGCGTGAGGGGTCCAGGTGAGTGTGATGGATCCAGGTGAGCGTGATGGGTCCAGGTGGGCGTGATGGATCCAGGTGGGCGTGATGGATCCAGGTGGGCATGATGGGTCCAGGTGAGTGTGTTGGTCTGGGTAGGCATGATGGGCCTAGTTGGGAATGATGGTTCCAGGAGGGTATGGTGAGTCCAGGGGGGTATGGTGGGTCCAGGTGGGTGTGATGGGTCCAGGTGGGTGTGATGGGTCCAGGTGGGTGTGATGGGTCTAGGTGGGTGAGATAGGTTTAGGTAGATGTGACGGGCCCAGGAGGATATAATGGGTTCAGTGAATAAGACGGGACCAGGTAGGCATAATGGGCCAGGTGGATGTGATAGGTTCAGGTGAATGTGATGGACTTAGGTAGATGTGATGGGCCTAGGTAGAAACGATTGGTTCAGGTGGACGTGATGCATTGGTTCAGGTAGGTGAGACGGGTCCAGGTGGATGTGGTGGGCCCAGATAGGTGGGGCATGGCATATAATTTTCCCTCTCTGTGCTTTTCACCTCTCTGTCTCCATATTTAAGGTGGATTAGCTACAGGCTACGTGTGATTGGGCCTCACCTTTTCACCCCCTGTCTGTTTCTGCCTTGTACCTGGGCCATTCCATTAGATGTGGTTCCTGCCGTGGCTGAGCCAGCATCTCCCATGGTGCTCTCCATTTCTCTCTGTCTTGCATTCTTGGTCCCTGTCTTTCCTCTTTCTCTGCATTCTTTTGGATCAATTGAGTATGACTCCATTTCATCTCCTCCATTTGCTGATTGGCTTTACCTCCTGGCTTTCTTTCTCTGGTTATTTGTTGAGTACAATGTTGTCCAATTCATGGCCCTTGGGCTGCATGTGGCCCAGGACAGCTTTGAATGTGGCCTAACACAAATTCATAAACTTTCTTAAAAGATTATTAGATTTGTTTGCATTTTTTAAGCTTATCAGCTATTGTTAGTGTTAGTGTATTCTATGTGTGGCCCAAGACAATTCTTCTTCCAATGTGGCTGAGGGAAGTCAAAAGATTAGACACCCCTCATTTAGCATTTGCTTTGAAGTTTCTGTGTTACCATCTACCATTCCAGAATGCCGTGCAGTTTCACACATGGCGGGAGAATTATGTAACATATTTACTCTCTCAGCTTTTGTGCAATAGTTGTCATCTATTTCCTTCCACAGATTTTACAAACTCCAGAACACTCTACTCTGACCTTGGCTTTAAACAGCCAATTATATATAAAGGAGGCTTTGCAAATAAAAGGTAAACGTTGTTTCATTTATTTCACTGCCTCTAAGAAGCAGCACATGAGAGAGCCTGTTTCCCTGATTTTTTGCTAATTCTGGACATTATGATTTTTCAAAAAATATCTGTCATTTAGGGAGGCAAAAAAATGTAGTGGCTTTTTTTTTCTTTTTCTCTCTTTTTTTTTTTTTTTTTTTTTTTTTGAGATGGAGTTTTGCTCTTGTCGCCCAGGCTGGAGTGCAATGGCACAATCTCGGCCCACTGCAACCTCCACCTCCTGGGTTCAAGTGATTCTCCTGCCTCAGCCTCCTAAGTAGCTGGGATTACAGGCGGTAGCCACCACACCCAGATAATTTTTGCATTTTTAGTAGAGACGGGGTTTCCCCACATTGGCCAAGCTGATCTCAAACTCCTGACCTCAGATGATCCACCCGCTTTGGCCTCCCAAAGTGCTGGGATTACAGGCATGAGCCACCACCCCCAGCCAAAATGTAGTGGTTTAAAGCTCTTTTTTTTTTTCTGCATTTTTTTACTGACACATAATTGATGAGTACAAATTGTCCATATTTATGACGCACAGTGTGATGTTTTGATACATGTATACATCATGGAAAGATTGCCACAATCTAGCTGATTAACATCCCCATCGTCTCAAGTTATCACTTGTGAGTGTGGTGATTTTCAATTATATGACACGTTATTATTAACTAACTTTGTACAGTCACCATGCTGTACAAAGACCTCCAGAATTTATTCTATGTAACTAAAACTTTGTACCCTTTGGCAAAAAAATGTGGTTGTAGTGGGCATTCCTTTGATTCTAGCGCATTGATTGTTTTTGTATTGTATAGAGTAATAATATTTAACATTTATTGAGCACTTGCTGTGTGATAGGCCCTGCTGCGCCGTGTGTGTCAATGAAGTCACTGATTCTCTAAAACAATTCTGCGAGATGACTCCTATTATTATGTGTATTTCTACATATGAGAAAACTGAGGCACCCAGAGATTGTCCCTGCCTTGCTCCGACTGCTGACAGGCAGCATGAGGGCCCCCCATGTGTTCCTCCCCAGGCAGCCCAGGCCAGCCAGGGCACGGCAGAGG
The DNA here is from genome assembly GCF_000001405.40 of Homo sapiens. NCBI lineage: Eukaryota > Metazoa > Chordata > Mammalia > Primates > Hominidae > Homo > Homo sapiens. Next base: position 69,869,766 of record NC_000011.10, on the reverse strand, counting down.
CCACCTGCATGAGCGGCTACTCAGAAAACGTCTGCTGGAGGCAGAAAATGCCACCGCTGCTGTAGCCCATTCACAGCCTCGTCCCCATCCTCTGCGGCTGCAGGCCCCACTCTGCTGCCATGGCACCTTGGCACACCCTGGCTTCCTGGCCTTCCTCCCTCCACCCCTGACCTGGCTAACACCTGCTCTCCTTCAGAGGGGCCGGGTGGCTCTGTTTCGTGTCCTGTGCTCCAGGGATCCCATCGTACCCATTTCTGTCGTTTTATCATCTCCCATCATGCTGAGAGTTGGTGAGTGAGGACTGAGGCAGGTGTTGCCTGTCATTGGATGCCAGGTGGGTATGAAGCTGGCCTGGGGGTAGTCAGGGCCACCCCAGTGGGTAATCTATGCTAGGCCTCAGGAGGTGGCCAGCCTGGGACAGGGCCACTGGGGGCCGTGTGCTCCTCAGGAGCAGTGGCCGCACAACCCTGAAATCACCCAGGTGGTGGTAGGGCAGGATTAGTTTTCACCACTGAGTGACCAGGGTCTCTCCCCTGCCTGCCCAAGAGCAACCAGAGAGCACAGGTGGGGAGCATGTCCTGGGGTCCTGGGGTGAGACACTTGACCTCCCCAAGGCTCAGTTTTTCCTCTATTAAATGGGGTAATGACTGATGGAGTTGAACAAGGCAACAGGTGTGAAGGGTTCGGCCAGCACGGGGAGCGCGCAGAGAAGTGCATCCCCGGATTGATAAAGGAGCCGGGCCCACTGGGTGCCTGTTACAGGCGTGGGACAGTGAGGGGTGCTGACCAGTGGGTGTCCACGTCTTCCCACCAGGCAGGGACAACAAAGAGACCAAAGAAACTGTGTGCTTGGATGCTTTTGGTGTGTATGGGCACAAGGTGACCTCAGCTCTGTGATAGTTTCCTTGAAGGTGCGGAGGCTGGGGCTGAGCGGGGACCCTGTCCCGAAGCGTGGCCACAGAGAGAAGACCTCCCTCTACCGCGGGGGACTTCGTGCGGCTGGCCTGTGTGCTGGCTCTGGCGGCCAGAGACAAAGGGGGCTGCGGCCGGGCTGGGGGCTGGCATAGCGAGCCGGCAGCCAAGCAGAACAAATCCTCGGAGGCCTTCCTGTGCCTCCCCCGCGTGCAACCCGAGCTGGTGCGCGGGGCGGCTGCCCGGGGTGGGGGCTCCGCGGCGGCCTTGAGGCAGCAGTGAGTATTCACGGTAATTTGAGGGCTTCCACTGGGGGGTTCCCGATCATTTGATGTGGCAATTAGCAAGGGGACTTTTGTCGTCCGGAAAGACACAACCGCCTACTTCAATCACCCTGTTTATGCCCCCACAGAAGCCAAACAGCCCCAGCGGCAGATAACGGGTGGACTTCAAACGGCTCCAGGTCGGGCGTCCCTGGAACCCAGGCCGTGCTGCACCCCCCCACCTTTCATGCAGCCAAAATGCTCCTTTTCCCATGAGAAATTCCGGCCTTAATGGCACTGGATGACAAAGGCAGGCGCTCGCCCACCTCAAGCCCTTTTTTATGTGGGACCTAGCTCTGCCGGTGGACGGAAGAAGGGGCAAGGCACAAGGGATTCCAAAGGTGCACGGCCCCCATGAGTGGGGTGGGCCAGAGACTCCCTGGGTGCCCACAAGGGCCTGGGTCCCTGTCCCCATACAAGGGGTGGCAGCTCAGGACCTGGGCTTTGCTCTTCTGTTCCCCGTAAACAGCTCCCGCTTCCAGAGGGCGAGTTCGACTTTGAGTCAGATGCAAACTCCCCAGTTGAGGATGGTGACGATGACGATGATGATGTCACCACGCTGCTGCTGGCGGAGCACATGCTGGTGTCAGGCCCTGTGCCAGGCACATCAAACTGGCCTCAGCCGTGAGGGAAGCCTGTTTACACACCAGGCTGGACAAGGTTTTGGGACCAGGTCACGCATGGGGCAGCTGGAGCAGTGGGGCCCGGGCAAAGAGCCAGTGGGAGTCACTGGCCCGGATGCCATCCAGCTGAGTCCCTGGCCTGGCGGCTGAGGACAAGCCTTGAGGTCTCGCTGAGTCTCATCCGATAAATGGAACTCATGAAACCACCAGCCACTGCTGCAGCACAAGGCTGTTGCGAGGAACCACGGAAAAGGCCAAAGTGTTACACAGGGCAAGGCCTCAGCCCGTGCTCAGTGCTTAGAAAAGCTCAGGAAACATCTCCTCTCAGCCTCTGCTTCCCTGCCATGGAAATGCTGATGGAGCATCAGAATGGGGAAGGGGGCCGAACGTGAATGCCTGGTACAGCCGCCTGTGGCTAAGCCTGTGTTGATCTATTCCTCGCTCCCTGTTACTCAGACACGCTCGGGACCTGGCTAGGACCACACCTGATCATCTGACCCCATGGGCTGTGGCAGCAGGAACAAGCAGAGGGAAGAAAACGGTGGTGGGATGTCCAAGCTCATCCCCTTCGCAGCCAGCTGCTACCCACGTGATCATAAAATAGACACACACATGCCCTGTGGGAGGAATAAGCCCATCCGTTGATTGATTGACTCATTTCAAAGCCCTCTCTGTGGCATGCGCTGTGCATAGACTGGTGAACAGGATAGCCCCATCCTGAGTGAATCTGTGCTTGGTGAGAGGCAGGTAATGACGACACAGACAACAGGATGGTTTCGGATTGTGGTCGGTGTGTTAAAGACAGTGAAGCTGGGCGATGGTGGGAGGCGAAGGCGAGGGACATTGAGCCTGGGGAGACCTGTGGGAAGAACACATTTGTCAGCTCAGGAACAGAGAAAGTGTCAGTGTGGCTAAAGCAGTGTGTGGGGGAAGGCATGGGGTGGAGGGCACTGGTGGGGTGACTGACAAAGGCCTGGTTGTAGCAGGCCTTGCATGCCGGCCAAAGGAGCTTGGTTTTAGGCTGAATGCATAGAGGCTATGCAGACATTGCTCCAGCCTTGCAATGCTCCTACTCTAAAGCCTTCAATGGCTCCCTATTGCCTCCCAAAGGACCTCTTTCTTGCACAGGGATTCAAAGCCCTGTACAATCTGGGCCTAACACCCCTGATGATCAAAACTCCAGACATTCCGTTTAAGCTTCAGCCCACCGAGAGCCTCCCTGGCTCCTAAATGTCTCCCTTGTCCTGCCTCTGCACTGTTGCTAAGCCACGCTTCTGTCCAGAATGTCACAGGGAGCAAATGTCTTTCCACCAGAAACTGCACCATTCATTAAGGCCCTGTGAAAACCTCGACATCCCAGGAGGCTGCCCCAGCACCTTGCCCAGGCTGTCTGACACTGTCCAGTCTCCGTGGGTAAATTGCTGTGTGGCCTTAGGTGAGGCGTTGACTTCTCTTATCCTTCTCTGTAAAATGGGATAATAATAGTAACTACCTCCTGGGGTTGTTGCTAGGATTAAATGAAGATAAGGCACTATTAGAAATGGGAAACGGTTGGCATCACCATATTTTATAGAATATAAGGTATCACCAATTGTTGTAAGATACAACATTATTTTATACTCCACTAAGGGTGGAAAAAAGCTGATAGACCACGACACACTCCAGAAAGGCCCTTTAAGTGAGCAGAGGAGTTTGAGAACTGTCAGAATGTTAAGCTAAAGAAGCACAAGGACATATGTAGGCCCCAAGGAGCCTCTGGTGGCCATCTTTCTGAAATTCTGCCCTTGGAATTCTGAAGCTCGGAAAGACTGGCAAAAGCTACCCGTTTTTCCAGATGGAGAAACTGAGGCACAAAGAGGAGGAGGTCAAGCTTGTGATCACATGATGCGTTGAGCCTTTGAGCTGCAGATGGAATTGTGAGCATGGGGTGAGGGGCCTCCCTGGGGCATTGCCTGTTCCCAGAGGTGCCAGAGGCCACCGTGCTCCATGCTTTTCCTCCCCCACAGCCTGGCCACTGCAAGCCCCTACTCCTGCCATTTCTCCTGCTGCACCTCCGCCCCCACCCGCCATTGCATGCTCAGTGGCAGTCCTGGCAAATGTCTAGGAAATAGAGTTTTCAGGGGTCAGTTCTCATGGTAAACATAAGAATCAGGGGGTCAGGGTTGACCTCAGGGATCCTGGGGTGAGCCCTTTTGTGACACCCCCGCCTTCCACACATCCACTTACTTAGTTCGAAGTCACATCTCCTGGGTGCAGCCAAAGGGAAATGGAGATAAAACACCGAGAGTTGTGGGCCAGCAGGGGAGATGGGCAGGTAAACAGCAGGAGCTTACTGGGACACCAGCAGGGGAGGGGGGATCTGGGCAGACTTCCTGGAGGAGGTGGCTGTGGTGGAGTCGAGCCCCGCAGGTGGACAGAAAGGTGGGCTGCAGCAGGCCAGGTGCTGGCAGGAAGCACGGCCCGGCTTGTCTCTTGCAGGCCCGTGGGATTCCACTCCAGGGTGCTGCTCTCAGGACGGAGGCTTGAGTCGGTTCTGGCCCCTGGTTTCTTCTCTTCAATACGCCCACCTTGTCGGGTGCCTTGGGTTCTCCCTCCACGGGAGCCTGTTGTATGCGGGGCTCCCACAGCTGTCTCATGACTGGGCCCAAGCCAAAGAGAGGGGCTGAGAACCCAGCTTTGTGACTCACCGGCTGTGTGACCGTGAGTAGGAAGCCACCCCTCTCTGGGCTGACAGCACCTTGCTCCTGATGTCCAGAGCTCAGGCCATCACCCCGTCCTTGCCAGTATCTCCACCCCAGTGAGAGAGGAAACGGATGCCAACCCGGGGCTCTGACCCCCAAAGGCCAGGCTCTTTTCAGTCCCTGTGCACCCGCCACCCACTCACATCCATGCCCCAGCGGCTGCCTCTGCAGTCCCAGGGACCCTCCTGGCTGAGCCTCCCCCCATCACCCCATCCACCATTCTGTGCTGGGCACGAGCTCGGTCTCCACCATGGGAAGGTGCCCAGCCAGCCCTGGGCTTCACCTCCAGCAGCTGCCTCTGCCTACAGTCTCTCCTGCATCCCCACTCCCGGGCATGGCTGGGCTCTTCTCCACCCTCTGCTCAGAGGTCACCCTCCCGCCCTAACGCTGCTTCCACGTCCCCCTCCTACGCTGCTCCAGCTGCCTCCTGCTCACCTCTGCTTTACTTTCTTCCTCTCGCTTCTCCCCTCCCCAGAAACCAGACTGGGCACTGGTTCCCTCCCTCCCTGTGGTGTGAGCTCAGGGAAGGAGAGACCACGTGGATGGGTCCCACGGCACCTCCAGCCCTCAGAACGCACCTAGCATGGCCTTCTCTCTATTTCCTTGTATTTTCAATGATTTCACCCAAGACCAGAGATGCGGAGGGGCCTTCCCGAGGTCACACTGCAGGTCAAAGGGGCCTCCCTGGGGCTCTCTGCCCATTCCTAGAGGTGGCAGAGGCCACCGTGCTCCCTGCCTTTCCTCCCCCACAGCCTGGCCACTGCACGGCCCCTACTCCTGCCATTTCTGTCCCCCACTGCACCCACCCCACCCCCCCAAATGTTCAGTGGCAATCCTGGCAAATGTCTACAAAATCGAGTTTTCCCAGCAGGATGCAACGCATCTGCTTGGCCTGAGTCACCTGCCCCACAGCCCACAGAGCTGAAAACTTGGAGCAAAAGGAACAGTGGCCTCCAGGGCACCATAGCCTGGCCCACCATTTAAGGGGGTGGTGGGATGAAAGGAGGGGTGGGGGAAAGAAGGCAGCATTGACCTAAATCAAGGTGGACACTTGAGGCCCCGGCCGTGTGCGGCTACTTGTGGCTCTGCAGGTGGCGGGAGGCCCTCTGCACCCACCTGCCCTGTGAACCCAGGTCCAAAGCCGCAGTGAGGGCCTGGAAGCCGGAGGGAGCCAGGATGGAAGCTGCTTCTTTGAGGGCCAAAGGGTTTCCGCGTGTGCAAAGGCAGGGCGCTGCATTGGGTGGGTCCCAGAGGCTGTCCTGCCGTGGCTGCACCTCTCTGTGCCCCACCCCACCCCACCAAACCTCACTGGGGAAGGAGGAAGCCTCAGGGGGCTCTTGGGGGCTCAGAAGGCCCAACTGCAGCAGGTGCTCACCAGTGCCTGGGCCTCAGAGCTGGGAGCCCTTCCTGGCCTTGAGAAATGACAGGGCCGTGGACTTGGAAGCATCCATGCTGGGACATATGACACAGCAGTGGGCCTAGTAAAGTGTCAAACCACGCGGCAGCTCAGATAGACCTTCCCGAATGGCCTGGATGGAGAGAAGCCACAGAGCGGCCACAGAGGAGCACATCCAGCGGGATCCCACGTACAGAGAGCTGCAAAGAGCCCAAATGAACCTGCTGGGGGACACAGGTGGGCGGTCACACCACACAGACGAGCAGGGAAGTGAGTCCCCGAGGGTCAGGGCTGGGGAGCGAGTGGTCTGGCGGGACACTGGTCTCTTCGTGGCCTGGGTGGATGTTGTCTGAGAGCGAGTGTGCGGCTGCCTGGGCTCTGGAGTGGGCTGGCTCTCCCACTGGTGCGGTGATGTGGGGAGCTCACATGACCTCTCCCTTTCTTATCTGTGAAATGGGGGCACAGGTCTACATCCCTCCTGGGTGGTCATGAGGGCTAATAGAGTGTGGAAGCCTCAGTTATGAGTGAAGGAAGCTGCTGCCCACCCTGTAGCCACCACCACCACCACCATCATCATCATCATCATAGATGTCTTCAGGTCAAAGGCCAGGGAAGGCGCTGCTGCTGCTCTCCTTGGCTGTCCCTGAGGCCTGGAACTTGGGGGAGGAGGAAGAGGAGGTCTTCTCAGCTGACTCTGAAGCCAACAAGGATTCAGGGTTATGGGGATCCCAGGGGTGGGGACAGATGTCAGCCTCTGGCTGCAATGGGCAGTAAGTGGGGCCAGGGCAGCCTGACCCCCAGGGGACCAGGGAGTTGCTGGTGGGTGCTGCAACTTCTTTAGTGATCAGTAAAACTCCCACCTCTGCCCCCATAGAAGGCCTCCTGGAGGGAGCTATCTCCTGGGGCCCGGCCGTTGACACCTCCATGGACAGGCTGAAGTAGTTGGCTTTTGAGTGTCTCTCCAAGACAGCAATTTGCCACCTCATTATGAGCTTGATGGATGAGCACTGACCGGGACAGCCGTCCCCTTGGGTGGGGGAGTGGCCCTGGGCCACCCAAGGCCCAGAGAAAGGCAGCTGATGTGCATGACAAAATGTTTTCTTACCGCCCGGTGCCAGTGACAGCCCCTCAAAGGAAATGCAGTCTCTGCAGAAGTGATTCATGCGCCCGTCTTTGTGGGGCCGAGATTGGCTGTTGTTTGGCGGTTGAAGAAAGGGCCACCGGCTCCTTGTAGTCTCTGGGAATGCCGTCTCCGTGGGCCACCAGCCCCCCGGTCAGCACGCACGAGGCCACTCTTCATTTTGATGAGGTTTCCAAAGGCCCTGGCTGCAGCCGGGGCCACTGCTTGGTCGGGGCCACTGCAGGCCGGCTCAGTAGCAACCTTTGCGGGCCGTGCTTGATTCCATAAGAGAGAAAGGGCCCCTGCCAGCCCATCTGTAATCTTCGATAGCACCAGGTCCCCAGCAACCTGCACCCACCAAGGGGTCATCAAATATGCACTATGTCATCAGCTGATTGACACCTTGCTCCCCTCCACGAGGGCCATTCTTACAACCCCAATATTCCCCGACCATTCCCTCCACGGGTCTCTGTTTGCCTGTTGCCATGCTCCAGGCCTTGGATACAGCTGTGAGCGGGACAGACTGGGCTCATGTGGCTGTGTGTCCCACAAGGGAAAGCCGGACAGTAAACCAATGCGTGGGTGAGATGTCCAATGTGACCAGTGCTCAGGGGCAGGCAGTGGTGGGGCTTGTGTCCTTGCTAGGGTGGTCAGGGAAGCTTCTCCAAGGGGGTGATCCAGTGTGATGATGGACAATTTCTGCATTTCTCTGAGTTTCTTCCCCGTAAAACAGGGATAATAGTAGTTGTATCATACAGTTGTTGCATGCATGAAATGACACACAGCATGAGACACACTCAGCTCCATCGGGGATGCAGTAAGACCTCAATAAACCACACAGCTATTACATTGCGGCTGCCATTGTCATTAATTTTTAGTTTCAGATCATTCCAGTTAGAAGCCTTTCCAGATCCTATGAACCTCTGTTCATTAATCTTTCACTTAGCCAATGCTTCTGGGGCAATGAGTCCTCAGAAACTAGGTTTGCCCAGAGTGTCGGAGGCCCCTCCAAAAGCGGGGGCTGGCAGGACCACGGCCGTTTCCTGCAGGAGAAAGATGAGAGAGAGGTAGAGGTGGCCACTATCCAGGTGAAGCAAGAGGAGCCCTCGTTTTTGACACCTGTCCCAGATGGGCAGGAGTTCTGGATTGCCAAGGTCAGCCTTGGGTCTGTGCAGGTGAGCCCAAGGATTTGGAGCTACTTGGTCTGAGGAGTGAGAGCTGAGCTCTGGGGAAGAAGTTGTCAAAGTAAAAGCAGAAAGGGTCCTGGAAAAAGCACTCGACTAGGAAGCTGGAGTCCAGGGTTCTAGCCCCACAATATGCCTGTACCTTGCTGCCTCCCTTTGGGCAGGTCACCTGATCCCTCTTGGTGTCATCCCTCCTATAATGGGCTGGACCAAGCGAATGCTCCGTGCACTGCATCCCAAGAGTCCTGGGGATCTGCTGGAGGTGTTGCGGGATCTGGGTTTAGAGTGAGAGTGGCTCAGGAAGGACAGTACCAAGTAGTTATCACTGCACAGCAAACCACTCCAAACTCGGTGACTTCACATGAGGAGTGCTTCTTCTATTCACAAGCCCAGGGGTCAGCCGGGCAGTCCTGCTTATCTGGATGAAGCTCGGGGGATCTTGGCTGGACTCATCGTATGTCTGCAGACAGCAGGTGGGCTGGCTGGTTTAGGATGCCCTCACTTCCATGCCTGAAGATTGGGCAGCTCTCAGCTGGAGTCACGGTGGACCACTGGGCCACTGTCTCTCTTCCTCCAGCAGGCCAGCCCCTGGTAAGAGTCCTGGGTCCTCTTAGGGCCTAGGCTCAGAATTGGTGGCTGGTCTCTGCTGCCACAATTCTATTTTTTTTTTCTTTTTTGAGACAGAGTCTCTCTCTGTTGCTCAGGCTGGAGTGCAGTGGTGTAATCATGGCTCACTGCAACCTTCGCCTTCCCAGCTCAAGCAATCCTCTCACCTTAGCCTTCTGAGTAGGTGGGACTGCAGGTGCATGCTACCATGGCAACACAAACTAATTTTTTGTGTTTTTTTGTAGAGACAGGGTTTCACTGTGTTGTCCAGGCTGGTCTCGAACTCTTGGACTCAAGCAATCTTCCCTCCTCCGCCTCTCAAAGTGCTGTGATTACAGGCATGAGCCACTGCACCCAGCCACTGCAGTCACATTTTTTTGGCCAAAGCAAGTTACAAAACCAACCCTGATTCAAGGGACAGGGAAATAGACTTTGCCTCTTGCTAGGAATTGCTGCAACCAGGAGTGTTGAGTTGGGGAGGAAAATAATTAGGGGCATTTCTGCAGTCATTTAACCACGAGGACCAACAAACAAGACTTGAAGCGGGGTGGGGCCAGAAGCAGGAGAGACGCACTGTAAACAGGATCCTCTCCAGAGGGCAACATGGAGTCCAGCTCAGAGGTAGAGCTCACATTTTCCTCCAAAACTACACGTGGCTATTTTTTCTTCCTGGTATTACCCCATCCCCTTGTGTGTATATTTTTTAAAGAAGAAAACATTCTCTCAGATTAAACAAAATTGTACTTGTGATCACAGTCTCAGCTTTTACACCGTGAGAACATCGGAGGATTTGTGTAGGAAGCCTGAAGGTGTGTCGCTGTGGGTGACCCGTGGGCCAGTCTGTAGAAAAGACAAGAACTGCAAGTTCGTATAATACAAAAGCCTCCCCTGCTGCATGGGAAGAAATGGATCTGGTACCTTAGAACTGGGGAGTAAAGGGATAAATGAGAAGAAGCGACAGCTCTTCCTTACCAAAGAATCCAATTAATAAATGTAGAAAGAATTTGGAAAATAGAAAATCACCATTAGAACAACAAAGTCATCACAGTCATAATGTGTCCAGAGTTGGTTCCCGCTGGTGGGTTCGTGGTCTCGCTGACTTCAAGAATGAAGCAGCAGACCTTCGTGGTGGGTGCTACAGCTCTTAAAGATGTCCCGGACCCAAAGAGTAAGTAGCAGCAAGGTTTATTGTGAAGAGCAAAAGGACAAAGCTTCCACCACATCCAAGGGGACCCGAGTGAGTTGCCCCTGCTGGCTGAGGTGGCCAGCTTTTATTTCCCTATTGGCCCCGCCCATGTTCTGTTTCTGTCCTATCAGAATGCCCTTTTTTCAGTCCTCCCAGTGATTGGCTACTTTTAGAATCCTGCTGATTGGTGCATTTTGCAGAGCACTGATTGGTGTGTTTTACAGAGCGCTGACTGGTGAGTTTTACAGAGCGCTGACTGGTGCGTTTTACAGAGGGCTAATTGGTGCATTTTACAATCCTCTTTTAAGACAGGAAAGTTCCCTAAGTCCCCACTCGACCCAGAAAGTCCAGCTGGCCTCACTTCTCAATAATTGTTACAGGTAATATCTGCTGGTTGAGGCTAAAATTAGTGGGTACAAGTTTGAGGAGAAAGAGGATATTTGCATAGTCTGAAAGTATTGCTCCTAAAGTTATTAATTACAACAGGAAAAGTAGTAAGGAAGACACCACCTTAACCAAGTGATCTAGGTTAACTTTGCCACTAATGAGATACAGTGACATGGGCATTGCTTCTAGGGTATTCTTGCAAAAATGCATAACCTCCACCTTATCATGAGATAACATCAGATAAACCCAAATTGAGGAAAATTCTGCTAAATAACTTACCATCACTCTTCAAAAGCGTCAAAGTCACGAAAGATAAGACAAGGCTGAGGAAGTGTCTCAGACTGAGGAGGCTAGGAGGATATGACAAGTAAATACAATATGATGTCCTGGACTGGATCCTGGAACGGGAAAAGGACATAGCGATGAAATTTATGAAACCTGAATCAGGTCTGTAGTTTAGTTGATAGTGTTGAACCCATGTTAATTTCTTAGTTTCGACAATTATATTTGGCTGCTTGAGATACTAACATTAAAGGAAGCTGGGTAAGGAAGTCTTGGGACTATTTACTGCCACTTTTCTTTCAGTTGAAAATTATTTCAAAATAAAAAGCTAAAAAAAAAACTATGTGAAGCAAAGTAATTTTGGTTCCAACCATATTGTACTGAGTATTAAGATCACCCTTTCATCATAAACAACTATTCAACTGGGTGCAATATTTAAAATAACTTTTGAAGGCATCAGACAACAGAAAATACAGGGCTGTTTTCCTTCATGGGGAAAGACATATGGGAATAAGCCCCGCCTTCATTCTGGCTTTATACTTGAGGGAAATTTCTAAACTGAGGCACAAGGCAGCCAAACCCAACCTAAAGCAGCATTCTTGCCATTGCAGCTCTAGAACAAGGGCTCTTCTAGGCCCACAATAACAAGGAATGAAAATAATCTTCAATCAAACTGTTTCACCAATAAATTAACAGCCTGTTAAGGGGAGAAAAATTCTCAAGATTCTTTAAAGGAAGACAATAAAATCCAGACTAAAACAACATAGCATTTGCAATGTCTAACGTACAGTAGAAAAATTACTAGACATTCAAAGAGGCAGAAAAAATGTGACCCATACTCAGAAGAGAAAAAGTAATTAATAGAAACAAACGCAGAGATGACACAGATGATTTAGCAGACTTTAAAACAACGTGAGCGTTAGAGGTGCCAACACCCCATACAGTCAAAAATCCATGTTTAACTTTTGAATCCCTCAAAACTTAACTGCCTGTTGTTGACCAGAAGCTTACCAATAACAAATAGTTGATTAACACATATTTTGTAAGTTTTACGTGTTATACACTGTATTCTTACAATAAAGTAAGCTAGAGAAAAGAAAATGTTATTAAGAAAACCATAAGGCAGCCTGGTCAACATAACAAGACCCTATCTCTATAAAAAATTTAGAAATTAGTCGGGTGTGGTGGCACACACCTGTAGTCAGGAGGCTGAGATGGGAGGATAGCTTGAGTGCAGGAGTTTGAGGCTGCAGTGAACTATGATAGGGCCACTGCACTCCAGCCTGGGGGACAGAGTGAGACTCCATCTCAAAAGAAAGAAAGAGAGAGAAAGAGAAAGAGAGAAGGAGGGAGGGAGGGAGAGAGGTAAGCAGGCAGGCAAGCATGAGGAAGAAAAAATATGTTGATTATTCATTAAGTGGAAGTGGATCATCATAGAGGTCTTCATCGTCATTGTCTTCATGTTGAGTAAGCTGAGGAGAAGGAGGAAGAGGAAGAGGAAGAGTTGGTCTTGCTCTCTCAAGGGTGACAGAAGTAGAAGTAGTGGACGAGGTAGAAGGGGGAGCAGGAGAGGCAGGTGCACTTGCTGTAACTTTTATTTTTAAAAATCCACTTATAAATGGACCTGCACAGGTAAAACCTGAGTTGTTCAAGGGTCAACTGTATTATAAATATGCTCCAGGCCTTAAAGAAGAAAATGCACATAATGAATACAGAGATGAAGAATCACAGCAGATATATGAAAACTAAAAAAGAAGTAAATGGAAATTCCCAGATCTGAAAAGTACAATGTCTGAAATGACAAGATCAAAAATTCACTGGATGGTCCTAAAAACAGATTTAACAGTGTAGAAGAAAATGTCATGAACTTGAAATCAGCTCAACGGAAATTACCCAAACAAGAACAAGATAATTGATGGTATCTCTGATATGAAGCAAAAATAATCACAGTATATTATGGGTTTATAACATACACAGAAATAAAATGTATTATATAATGGCACAAAGGGCAAGGTGAATGAATAAATAGAAGTATATTGTTAATAGCCAGGCGTGGTGGCACACTCCTGTAATCCCAACCACTTGGGAGGCTGAGGCACCAGAATTGCTTGAACCTGGGAAGCAGAGGTTGCAAGTGAGCTGAGATCGTGCCACTGCACTCCAGCCTGGGTGACAGAGTGAGACTCTGTCAAAAAAAAAAAAAAAGCATAATTGTTGTAAAGGTCTTACAATACATGTGAAGTGGTATAATATTAATTCAAGGTGTATCGTGAAAAGTTAACAATACACACTATAATACCTACAGCAACCAGAGAAACTAAAACAAAGTTTTATAGCTAAAAAAAATGCACAAAGACAAAATAGAATACTAATAAAATTCAATTAATTTAAAATAAAGGAAAGGAGAAAAAAGTAAAAAGAACAGATAGGGTAAATGGAAACAACTAGAAAGATGGTAGATTTAAAATCAACCATATTAATAACTACATTAAATTCAGTTGGTCTAACTACTCATATTAATGGGGAAAGGTTGTCAGCCTGGATATAAGAATGAGAATCAATTATGTGTTCTTTATAAGAGATGTACTTTAAATATAAAGACAGGTCAAAAATGAAATAATGGAAAAAGACATAAGCAAATGATAAACACAGGAAAGCTAGTATTACTATATTGATATAGTCGACATCAAGGCAAGGAGTATTATCAGAGGCATAAGGGGTTATTTCTTCAGAAATTGTTATAAGGATTGTCATGAGGAAACCATAACAATCCTAAAATTGTATACATCGAACAACACAGCTTCAAAATACATAAAGCAAGATCTGAGAAAACCAAAGAGAGAAACATATAAATTTACACTGTAGTTGAGAAACTGAAACTTCACTAAATCATTAACAAAAATCAATAAAAACTAGGAAAAAATAGTGTACAAGATTTAAACAATGCTATCAACCAACTTCACCTAAGTGGCATTTATAGGACATGCTATTGAAATTGACGAGAACACACACTTCTTTCAGGGGCACAGGGAACATTCACTAACATAGCTCATAGCTCATATTCTGGGCAATAAAACAAGTCTTAATGTATATCAAAGGACTGAAATCATATAGAGTATGTTTTCTCCCCACAGTGGAATGAAATTTAAAATTGGTAATAAAAAGATATCAAAAAATTATCAACTATTTATTTTATTAATTAATTATTTTTAATTAACTAAATATTAGTTAACTAGTTATTAGTCAACTAATTATTTTTAAGTGTACAACTTAGTGGCTTTCAGTACATTCGCAGTGTTGTACAACCATCACCACTGCCCATTTCCAGAACTTTTTCATCATCCCAAAGAGTAACTCTGTAAACCACTAGTCAATGATTTCCATTCCCTCCTCCTCCCTCAAGCCCTTAGTAACCTAATAGTGTGTATTTCACTTTCTGTCTGAATAAATTTGCATATTCTAGGTACCTCACATAAATGAAATCATACAATTTGTCCTTTTGTGTTTGGCGTATTGGACTTAGCATCATATATATATATACAAATATATGGGTTTAAAAAAAATTTTTTTTTAGACGGAGTCTCACTCTCTCACCAGGCTGGAGTGCAGTGGCGCGATCTCGGCTCACTGCAGCCTCCATCTCCTGGGTTCAAGCGATTCTCCTGCCTCAGCCTCCGGAGTAGCTGGGACCACAGGCACGTGCCAACACGTCCAGCTAATTTTTATAGTTTTAGTAGAGACGGAGTTTCACCATGTTGGGCAGGATGGTCTCGATCTCTTGACCTCATGATCCGCCCACCTCGGCGTCCCAAAGTGCTGGGATTACAGGTGTGAGCCACTGCACCCGGCCAGCATCATATTTTTAAGTTTCATCCATATGGTAGCATGTATCAGAGTTTCATTCCTTTTTAAGGCTGAATAATATTCCATTGTAGGTAGATACAGTAGTCCCATTTTACCTATGGGGGATACATTTCAAGATCCCCAGTGGGATGCCTGAAACCACAGATACTATCATACCCTATATATATTACATTTTTCCATCTCATAACAGAGTCAGATACTAAGTGACTAAGGGGCAGGCAATGAGGATATGATGGACAAAGAGATGACTCATGTCCCGGGTGGGATGGGGCAGAATGGTGTGAGATTTTATCAGACTACTCAGAATGGCGTGCAATTTAAAACTTATGAAAGGTTTGTTTCTGGAGTTCTCCATTTAATATTTTTGTACCTGAGTTGAACACAGGGAGCTGAAACCATGGAAAGCAAAACCATGGATAAGGGAGGACTACTGTAGTACATTTTGTTTATCTGTTCAGCTGCTGATGGATACTTGAGTTGTTTCCACCTTTTGGCTACTGTGAATAATTTTGTTATGAACACTGGCATGCAAATATCTGTTTGAGTCCCTGCTTCTAATTTTTTTTTTTTGAGACAGGGTCTTGCTCTGTTGCCCAGCTTGGAGTGCAGTGGCACAGCCATAGCTCACTGTAGACTTGACTTCCAGACTCAAGTGATCCTCCCACCTCAGCCACCTGAGTGCTGTAATCCCAACACTTTGAGAGGCTGAGGCAGGCAGATTTCATGAGCCCAGGAGCTCAAGACCAGCCTAGGCAACATGGTGAAAACTCATCTCTACAAAAAATACAAAAATTAGCCAGGCATGATGGTGCATGCTTGTAGTCCCGGCTACCTGGGAGGCTGAGGTGGGAGGATCACCAGAGCCCAGAAGGTTAAGGCTGCAGTGAGCTGTGGCTATTTTTTTTTTTTACTTTTTAAAGAGATGGGGTCTCACTATGTTGCCAGGCTGGTCTCAAACTCCTGGGCTCAAGTGATCCTCCCCCTTCAGCCTCCCAGAGTGCTGGGAGAGTGCTGGGATTACAGGGGTGAGCCACCACACCTGGCCTCAATTCTTTTGGGCATATACCTAGGAATAAAATTTCTGGATCATATGGCTATTCTGTGTTTAACTTTCTAAGGAACCATCAAATTGTTTTCTTCAGTGGCTGCATCATTTTACATTTCTACCAGCAACATACAAGGGTTCCAGTTTCTACCAGGAATGTACCAGGGTTCCAACTTCTCCACATCCTTGTCAACACACCTTTTCTGTTTCTTTTCTAAAAATAACAGCCATCCTGAGGGCATGAAGGAGTATCTCACGGTGGCTTTGATTTTCATCTCCCTATTGATGAAAGATGTTGAACAGATTCCCATGTACTTTCTGACAATTTGTGTATCTTCTTTGGAAAAATGCCTATTCAAGTCTTTCACCCATTTTTGAATTGGGTTGTTTGGTGGCTTTTTTGATTGCTGAATTAAGCAAAAAACTTTTAACTAATATGTAGATCAAAGAAGAAATTGCAAAGGAAATTATAAAATATTTTTAGTTGAATGATAATGAAAACACAAAAACTTCTGGAAGGAGCTATAGTTTTAAATACTTACATTAGAAAAAAGCAAATATATAAATTTAATTATTTATACTTCTACCATAAGAAACTAGAAAAAGATGAATAATTAAGCTTAAAATAAGTTTAAAAAGAAAGAAATCATGAAGATTGGAATAAAATTTAAAAAATAGAGGATAATGACAAAAGAAAAATAGGTTCTGTAAAGAGTTTTTTAAAATTACAATCTCCTATCTAGATTTATCAAGAAAGAGAAATAATACAGATTACAAAGAATGAAAGAAGGGGCATCATATAGATCCTACAAATATTAAAAGAATAATAAGGGCACATTGTAGACAACTTTAGGCCAATAAACTTGACAACATAAACATACACATTCTTTGAAGGACATAAATTACTAAAATAGACTCAAGAAGAGAAATAGAAAATACAAAATAGCCTTGTATCTATTAAAGAAATGCATTTGTTATTAAAGTCTCCTCCACAATATATTTGTACTGGTGCAGTCTATCAAAAATTGAAGGAAGAATTAATATTAATCCTATGTAAACACTCTCAGAAAATAAAGGAGGAGAAACAATTCTCAATTCATTTTATGTGGCAAGCATAACTCTGGAAATGCATTACAGGAAAAGGTTAGTACAAAACACTGTCCCTTATGAACATAAATGCAATAATCCTGAAGAAAATAATAATACATCAAGCCTAGCAATATAGACAAAATGATGATACATCATGACCTAATGGAATTTATTCTAGGAATGCAAGGTTGGCTTAATATTTGAAAACCAATTAAAGTAACTTACTATATTAATAAAAATAAATGAGAAAAATCATGTGATCAACTCATTAGATGCAGTAGAAAAATTTAACAAAATTCAGTATTCATATATAATAAGGGGCTTCTACAAAAACCCCACAGATAACAGCATACTTAATAGTGAAAAACTGAGCACTTCTTTTAAGATTAGGCACAAGGCATGGATGCCTGCTCTCACTGGTTCTGTTCAAATCACACTGAAGATATAAGCCACTGCAATGAAGCAAGGAAAGGCACATAAAATGGAAATGTTTGGGATTGCCAAAATCCTGCATGTTCCAAAGAAAGGGCTGGTCCTGGGCTAGAAGGAACTCTGAGTTCTTGAAATATACTGCCTGGTGACAATGTCTTTGTTTACCTGAGACCTTCAGCCTCTTGGATCTGTTTGAGCTCTGGAGAGGCTGGAGGATGAATGGCTAAGATCAGTCATGTGGACTCTGCATGTCTGTGAGATGGACCCCCATGAAGCCCTGCACTCCGTGGCTCTGGAGAACTTCCTGGTTGGCAGTTCTCCATCTGTGTTGCCACACATTGTTGCCAGCAGGATTAAATACTGTTCATGCGACTTCACAGCAAGAGACCAACCAGGAGCTGATGCCTGCTCCTTCCAGGATGCTGCCCCATGTCCCTCTTACTTTTGTTGATTTCAGTGTGTAGCCCTTCACAGTAATAAGCCACAAATGTAACACCTTTTGTTTTAGTTCTGTGAGCCCTTCTAGTGAATTATTGAAACTGAGGGTGATCTTGGGGACCCCCTGACCCTTCACAGAGGCAAGGGAGCCAGCTCCTGAAGGTTGAGAAGGAGTCCTCCAGGCAGAAAGGAAGGCGGGGTTCCCAGGTAGAGGGGCCGGGTGCCCAAAAGCCTGGAGGCAGGAAATGGAATACAGCCTCAGCCTCATTGCCTCTTTGACTCCAACAGAAGACAAAAAGGTAAGTTTTGACTTTAGTTAGTGTGCAAAAGGGAGGTTCCCCTTTTAACAGGCAGCATGACCAGTGCAGGCTTTGATGCCGTGTCTCTTAGAGGTGCACAAAGTAGCAAGGATTAGAGCTGTTGTAGAACCACAAACCCCAGATGTCCACCTGGCTGGACGTCTGGAGGACTCCATGGGGCATGGAGGGTGGAGAGCAGGAAGCAGTTTGGAGTCTCTCCACCCTCTGGCTCCCTTCAGGCACTCCTGTGACCTGCCAAGGAGGGGATTTCTAGTTTCTAGAACCATCCACTAGCATTAGGACCGTCTCTTTTCTGACCAAGGTGGTTGTTGTCTGCTTAGACCCCCTTGGAGACTGAGGCTTTCAGGAGGGAGAGCAGGCTGGTGAGGAACCTGCCAAGAGTTGGAGAACCTGCTGCAAGTCAGCCTCAAATGATGTGTGCTGCTTACACTCAGCCACAAATGTACAGTGCCCCAACTGTGCTGAAGATTCAGCAAAAGTTGATCTGAAGACCACCATATGCCCTGAGGATGGCTCTCCTTTGAATTTCTATTCTTATGAGGACTTTGGAGGATACAGCTCCCAGGGAGCTTGGAAAACAGGAGACAAAAGATTAACAATGCTTGGAAAACAGGAGAGGCTATGCTTAGCCACTACCAGGTTCACCCTAATTCTTGGATTCTGTTCTTTCCTCAGTCTTCTAATGGATAACTGGGTTCTCTCCTCTGCATGAATCTCTGCTGCCTCCTCCGCTGTCCTCATCCTCAGCTGATCACCTTGTCCTCTGCTTCACTGAGAATTGCAGGTGCCATCAGAAAGAACGATCACAAGCCACCACCACCACTCTGATCCCCAAGCTCCTACACCTGTCCCCACATGCATCCCTTTCTTGGTTACTCTGCACAGACGTCAGGCTCTCATCTCTGCACTTGATGTCAAATACTAGCCTGCCTCCTACCCAGGATCACAAATCCACTAGTGCTCCCCGCTCTCTAGAATCCTCTATTTGTCCATCTTAATTGGATTTTATTTTATTTTGTTTTGTTTTTTTTGAGACAGGGTCTTGCTCTGTCACCCAGGCTGAAGAGCAGTGGCATGATCATGGCTCACTGCAGCCTCGGCTTCCTGGACTCAAGTGATTTTCCCACCTCAGCCTCCCAAAGTGCTGGGATTACAAGCATAAGCCACTGTACCCCCAGCCTCTTTTTAAAATATACATTATTATTTATCTCATTTGAGAGAAACCTGAAAGTCAGTTAAAAAAAACTGTATGATTCCACTTATATGATGTACCCAGAGTAGTCAAATTTATAGAGACAGAAAGTTGAATGGTGGGTGCCCAGGACTCGGGGAGGGGATGGGGAGTTGGTGTTTAAGGGGACAGACTTTCAGTTTGGGAAGATGAGAAAGTTCTAGAGATGGATGGTGGTGATGGTTGCACAATATTGTGAATGTACTTAATGCCACTGAACTGTGCACTTAAAAATGATGAGGATGGTAAATTTTAAGCTATGAGTATTTTACCACAATTAAAAAACTGTCAGAATTTTTCTCTTCACTCGAGCTGTGGTTCCCCTCTATCTTGTTCAGCTCCTTCCTTTGAAAGGGTGACCTAAACTCACACTCGACCTGCCTCCCAATCTTTCTTTTTTTTAATCTCTAACTTTCTATTTTGAATTTTTTTTTTTTGAGACAGAGTCTCACTGGCCCAGGCTGGAGTGCAGTGGTGCAATCTTTGCTCACTGCAGCCTCCACCTCCTGGGTTCAAATGATTCTCATGCCTCAGCCTCCTGAGTAGCTAGGATTACGGGTGCTCACCACCATGCCCAGCTAACTTTTGTATTTTTAATAGAGGCGGGGTTTCACCATGTTAGCCAGGCTGGTCTTGAATTCCTGACCTCAAGTGATTTGCCCGCCTTGACCTCTCAAAGAGCTGGGATTACAGGCATGAGCCACCAAGCCTGGCCCATGAAAATTTTTATGCAGTAAAAAAGTTGGCTGGGTGTGGTGGCTCACACCTGTAATCCCAGCACTTTGGGAGACCGAGGCGGGTGGATCACGAGGTCAAGAGATTGAGACCATCCTGGCCAACATGATGAAACCCCATCTCTACTAAAAATACAAAAATTAGCTGGGCATGGTGGTGTGCCCCTGTAGTCCCAGCTACATGAGAGGTTGAAGCAGGAGAATTGCTTAAACCCAGGAGGCAGAGATTGCAGTGAGCCGAGATCATGCCACTGTATTCCAGCCTGGCGACAGAATAAGACTCTGTCAAAAAAAATAAAAAAATAAATAAAAATAAATTGACAGAACAGAACCATGAGAAACGAATGTGACCAAGATAATATGTAATGCTGTGTAATGTATTTAATTAACTTGTGTATTAGCTTCTTGTTGCTGCTGTACCAAATTACCACAAATTTGGTTGTTGGCTTAAAACAGTACAGATTCATTGTCTTCAAGTTCTGGAGGCCAGAAGTCTGAAGTTGGTCTCCCTGGGCTAAAGCCAAGGTGTGCACAGGACTGGTTTCTTCTGCAGGTTCCAGGTGAAAACCTGTTTCTCTGCCTCCTCCAGCTTTTGGAGGCCACCCCAGTTCCTTGGCTTGTGGCCTCTTCCCCACATCACTCCAATCTCTTGCTTCCATCATCCCACCTTCTACTTCCTGTTGTGTAGTCAAATTTCTCTCTGCCTCCCTCTTATAAGGAAATGTGTGGTCCCATTTAGGGCCCACTGACTAATCCAGGATAATCTCCCCCATCTCCATACGTTTGATTTCACCACATCTGCAAAGTTTCCTTTGCCATATAAGATCACTTTCACAGGCTCTATAGAAGAGGACCTGGGTATCTTTGAGGGTCATGATTCAGTTTACCACATACTGGTTATTGTTCTCCCAAACCCCCCAATTCTTCCACCAAACATAACCTCCATGAAGGCAGGGATTTAAAAAAATTTTTAAGTACAACATATATACAATAAATACACAGATCATGAGGGTGCAGTTTGATGATTTTCAAACTGAACACACTTGTGCTGAAGAATCAGGATGTTAGGTTGGGCATGGTGGTGCATGCCTGTGGTCTCAGCTACTCAGGAGGCTGAGGCAGGAGAATCACTTGAGCTCAGGAGTTCGAGGCCAGCCTGAGCAACTTAGAGAGAGCCCATCTGAAAGAAAGGAAGAAAGAAAAAGAAAGAAAGAAAGAAAGAAAGAAAGAAAGAAAGAAAGAAAGAAAGGAAGGAAGGAAGGAAGGAAGGAAGGAAGGAAGGAAGGAAGGAAGGAAGGAAGGAAGGAAAAGAAAAGAAAAGAAAAGAAATCTGGATGTTTCCAGCATCCAGAAACCTCCCTCAGGAGGCAGGGGTTTGTGTCTGTTCTGTTCACTAAGATATACACTATACACTGTGTTTGGAACAGTGCCAGGCATCAAGCAGCATTCAACAAATACTTGGAGAATAAGTGGATGAATTCCAAGACTGTAAGAACAGACTTATGTGAGTCTGGACAAGTTTTTACTTCTCTAAGCTTCAGTTTCTTCATCTGCAAAAGGAGGATCACAATAGTTCCTATATGACAAAGGTACAGTGAGAATTAAGTGATATAAAACACATAAAACCCCTGGCACAGAGCCTGGCACATAATAGATGCTCAGCATGTGTGACAGCTCTCTGCTTTTGCCTTCTGGGAGCTAAAGGAGCATAAGAAGAGGGAAGTTATGCATTATAGAAGTGGTGATCTTGGATGCATAGGGCTTGGAGCAAAGCTGAGAGAAATCTGGGTGACGTGGCAGCGTTTTGGTGCCCTTAAAAGTTCCCCCAACTATAGTGAGCACAGTATCATATTTCTGAGGTACAGTAGAGGCCTCCAGGTTCAGTCTTATACT
Organism: Homo sapiens; assembly: GCF_000001405.40. NCBI lineage: Eukaryota > Metazoa > Chordata > Mammalia > Primates > Hominidae > Homo > Homo sapiens. The sequence continues at coordinate 69,847,960 of NC_000011.10, read as the reverse complement.
GTGATATGGTTAGGCTTTATGTCTCCACCCAAATCTCATCTTGAATTATAATCGCCATAATCCCCATGTGTCAAAGGAGAGACTAGGTGGAGGTAATTGGCTCATGGGGCAGTTCCCCCATGCTGTTCTTGTGATAGTGAGTTCTCACAAGATCTATTCCACCTATGGTTGGCACTTCTCCTTCCTGTTGCCTTGTGAAAAAGGTGCCTTGCTTCCCCTTCACCTTCTGCCATGATTGGAAGTTTCCTGAGGCCTCCCCAGCCATGCTGAACTGTGAGTCAGTTAAACCTGTTTCCTTTATAAATTACCCAGTCTTGGACAGTTTTTTATAGCAGTATGAAAACAGACTAATACACACTGGAATGAGATATCCTGCTCTGTCTGGAACTATTTTCCAAGTTCCTGTCCTGCTGCTTATTCCTGAGTCCCCCTGCTCTGCTCAACCCCTTAGATAGATAACCCAGTTGCCTTGATGGGTTTTTATTTTACTGCTCCTCTTGGGTGGCCCAAAGGAAAGTCTTCTTTCACCTTAAAGTCCAAGGTCTTCTGGATACTCTGCTCTCCTTGGGTATATGCTCACCTGAAGCCAGGAATTAGTTAAAGAGCAGAGAAGAGGCAATGTGGTGTATACAACAGTGTAGAGGGAGAAGGGGCAGGGATTTTGAGAATAAATGGTCTTTTATCCAAACTCATTTCAATTGTGGTAGATTTGCCTTCTCACCCAGCTACAAAGGCCTTTGATAAAATAATGGACTAGAGTATTTACCTGCTGGGCTTTTGTGTCCTAAGAGCTGGGCTTTGTACCTGTGGAGCTCTTGTTGGTGCCCATACCTTGTGTATTTCCTCGGATTTAAGCTACAGGGTCAGCTGAGCCAGATTCTTTTGTTGCCCTATGGTAGACTGTGGGTTGAATTTTCCTAGGCTTACCTCTTCTTTTCTTCTCCTCTGCCTCAACTTACTACAGCTTACTGACCTCTCTGTAAATTTGTGTAAAAACAACTTGGGGGTTCCACTTTGTCATTCAAAAAAATCATTGACTGAAAAGGAAGTGAAATGTTTAAAAATATGAACATATCACACCCAGTTTTCTAAGTATTTACAAACAACTGTGTCTCTGCCCCAGAGGCCACATGGCCTCTTACTTCCCACTGAAATCATGTCTGGTCAGTTTAGCTTATTAGAAGGACCCAACCATGCTCATCTCTTTCCAAAACCACTCATAACACTGAATGTAACTGACCAATTGTGCATGGGGTGACCCCTGAATAGGACTGCTCTAAGCCAGGCATCACCTTCTTATAACTGGATGACCACAGACATTTCCTAGCTGGTTTCTTAGCACCCTTCCAGAAACCCAGCAGCCAGACCTGTCCTTTAAAATGCACATCAGATGCCATCATGCTCTTCTCTTGGTCCTCCAGTGATTTCTCCTCACATCCAGAATAAGGTCCAGAGTCCCCAGGGCACCTTAGGAAGCCCTGCCTGACTGAACCCCTCCCAGCCTCTGGCCCCCATGCCACAACTTGCCTCCGTATTAGCTTCCAAGGACTGCTGTAACAAATGATTTCAAACTGGGTGTGCAAAACAGCAGGAATTTATTCCCTCACAATGCTGAGAGAGAATCCAAAATGCAGAAATCCAAAATCAAGATGTCTACAGGGCCACACTCCTTCTGAAGGCTCCAAAAGAGAATCCTTGTTTTTTGCAGCTTAGGGTGGCTGTGTGTGTCACTCCAATCTCTGCTTCTGTCTTCTGGCCTCCTTCTCCCCTCTGTGTCTTCTCCTTTGTGTGTCTCTCTTATAAGAATACATGTGAGGCTGGGCATGGTGACTCATCCCTGTAATCCCAGCACTTTGGGAGCTTGAGGCAGGTGGATCACTTGAGGCCAGGAGTTTGAGACCAGCCTGGCCAACATGGTAAAACCCATCTCTACTAAAGACACAAAAATTAGCCAGGCATGGTGGCACTCGCCTGTAGTCCCAGCTACTTGGGAGGCTGAGGCACGAGAATCGCTTGAACCTGGGAGGCGGAGTTTTCAGTGAGCCGAGATGGCACCACTGCACTCCAGCCTGGGCGACAGAGTGAGTGAGACTGTGTTTCAAAAAAAATTAAAAAAAGAATACATGTGATTTCATTTAGGGCCCGCCTGGGTACTTCAGGATAAGCCTCTCTCAAGGTTCTTAACTTATCCTGAATTTCCCCAGTGAGGTAGTATTCACTCTTTTGCCATATGAAGTAATACTCACAGGTTTCAGGAATTGGGGCATGGATGTGTCTTTTGGGAAGCTACTATCCTGCCCACTGTAGACCCCAATGTTCACATGACCCCAGATCCCTGACCCCTCGCTGTTCCTCAGACACATTTCCAAGGCCCTTCTTCCCTCTGCATGGACTGCCTCCCCACTCCCCATCAAAAGCAGAACAATCTGATCATTCTCCATCCTTGTACTTGGCTTTACAATGCCTGACTTGACTACATTTGCTTACCTATTGTTTTATGTCCTGTCTCTCTCAACCAGTGCAAATGCTCCACAGGGCAGAGGCTTTGTTTCTGCAGCACAGGTGAGCACTCAGCACTGGTGTGATGTTCTATGGTCATCTGGCCCTTTCTACCTGTCTGCTCCCAAGGAAGCATGTGACTTCCTTTCTCATGGCTGCATGATCCAAGGTAGCTGCTCCAGCTCCAGCCGTCCTATTGGCATCCCAGGCAGGGGGAAGGAAGCTGGAGTGAAGGCAAAAAGGGATTCTCTTAAAAATCCCATCCAAGAACTTCTGCTCCTATCTCATTGGCCAGATTTCAGTCATATGGTCACACCAAAGTACAAGAGCTGCTGTTACTAAAGAAGGAAGGGGGAGACAGATATGGGGAAGGAGGCAACTGACAGATTAGACACATCTGAGGTGTTATGCCTGAGTCATCTAATTCTGGGCACCCATGAATCCCAGGAGTTCATGCAAGGACTAGACCAGTTGCTTCAATTCAAGGTGGTAACAAGGGCAGAGGAGAGAGCACTGTAATGAGCATAAGGAGCCTCGGGTGCCAGGTCTGTCTCTCCCCTAATTGCGTTGTTACTTTCTCCATTTTCTGCACCTCTAAAGAGAGAATTGGATTAGATCTTCAGCAGCAGCACCATCATCACCATCATCTTCATCTTCTTCACTATTATCATCACCGTCTTCATCATCACCATCTTCACCGTCATCATCATCATTTTCACTATCTTCATCATCTTCACCATCTTTATCTTCTTCACTAACATCCTCATCGCCATCATCTTCACCATATTTATAATCATCTTCATTAACTTCTTAATCATCTTCATCATCACCACCACCATCTTCGTCTTCTTCACTATCATCGTCATCACCATCTTCATCCTCACCATCTTCACCATCATCATCACCATTTTTACCAACTTCACCATCTTTTTCTTCTCCACTAACATCCTCATCACCATCATCTTCACCATATCTATAAGCATCTTCACCAACTTCTTCATCATCATCACCACCACCACCACTGTCTTCATCTTCTTCACTATAACCGTCATCACCATCTTCATCATCACCATCTTCACCATCATCATCACCATTTTCACCATCTTTATCTTATTCATCACCATCATCTTCACCATATTTATAATCGTCTTCATCAACTTCTTCATCATCTTTATCATCGCCACCACCACCATCTTCATCTTCTTCACTATAATCACCATCTTCATTATCACCATCTTCACCATCATCATCATCATCACCATTTTCACCATCTTTATCTTCTTCACTAACATCCTCATCACCATCATCTTCACCATATTTATAATCATCTTCATCAACTTCTTCATCATCTTTATCATCACTAATCACCTTTATCACTTTCATTGATATAATCTTCATCATCTCATATCATCCAGCACTGTCACCCTCTTCTTCACATAATAACATCATCCTCACATCACAAGGGAGCATAAACTCTTCACTATCTTCACTGACATCATTATCTTCATCATCACACCATCTTCACCACACCATCAGCATCTTCATTATCTTCTTCTTTGTCACCTTCATTGACATTATCATCTTCATTATAATCACTACCACCATCATCATCTTCTTTGACAACACTGTCTCCATGATCATCATCTTCATCATCATAATCATCATCACACATCATTATCATTATCATCATCACCATCTTTCCAGCTCATTCTGAGCACCTGCTGTGTACCTGGCACTGTGCCAAACTGTCATGTGCATCATCTCATTAAATCTTCACTACAATGGTGCCATTTTCCTCCCCCACCCCCCTCCTCATTTTTAAAATGGGGAAACTGAGGCTCATGAAGAATGAGGGACCAGCCATGGGCATATAGCTGAAAAGTGCCAGAGCTGAAATGCAAACCAAACCTTCACATCTCCAAAGGCCTCGGCTGGATTTCCTCTGTAAGGTTCCATCCTCAGCCACCACCCACTCCATGACCTGGGAACGTCAGAGCCCTGGCCTCACCCAAGTGCTGACAGAGTCACTGTGTAAATTGCTTCATAGCCAGTTAACCCCTTCCCCTGCCCACTCCTTTGCTCCCCCTACGCTTGAGACAGGAGCCCCTGCCTTTCCTGCCTTGGGAGAAGGCTCCCTCTTCAAAGTCAGCCTTCCTGGGCAGGGCCTGCCTATTGATGAGGCTAAATTATCAAAGGGCCACATCAAAGCCTGCCAGGGTGGCTTTCTGAAAGGCAATTTACAAAACAAAAAAAGATGCCTGGGCTGTGGGGAGTGGTGGGGCTGAGTTGGTGAAGTCTGCCTGAAAGTGTCGGATAAAAAGCTGGTTTTGCTGCTAAAAGAGGTCACGGAGCCGCCCCCACCCCAGCAAAATCTGCACATTGAGATGGGGAGACCTGGGCTCTAGGCTGTACCTGCCCATGCAAGAGTCAGAACATAGGGATGGAGGCACCCCTAGCTCAGTGGAAGCAGGTAAACTGAGGAAGGTGCCAAGCTCATACCTCCTCAGAAGCCAGGAAGAGTGGACTGTGGGGCCCTTGGCCCATCTGCAAGTGCCCTCAGGGGCACGGGGTCTGGGGTCCCTAGGACAAAAGCCCTGGAGCTACGGCTCCTTGTGCTGACATCTGTCCTGTTAAGCCTTAGGTTACCTTTAAATGTCAATATCCCCATTCTGCAGATTGAGGAACTGAGGCACAGAAGTTTCATTTCTGGCACCTGGCAGAGCTGGGATCTAGACCAGGGCAGCCTGGCTCTGGGCCCTGGGTTCTGTCCTTGTTTCATTGGAAGTCCCAGACTGAAGTCCCCAAGCCAGCTGTAGCCCTCAGACCGGCTTTATTTGGCCAGCATTGGGTTTTCAGCGTTTTCAAGTTAACAGCCAATGGATGAACAATTTCCCAGTGCAGATTTCTTTGTGGCTTCTTTCTGCACCACAGGTCAAATTGGAATGCCCTATTAAAAGTCCAGGCAGATATTTCCTGTTGGTCCCGGGAGTGCAGCACTGGTGTGCACTGGGCAGAGACTCAGGGTCTGCCTGTGAGCACAGCCTCACAGCCTCCTTTGCACACTGCACTCTCCTGGTTCATCAGCTTGGGAGGCAGCCTGGCCACTTGGTTCCAGGTGCAGGTTCTGAAATCAAATTGCCTGTGGTTCGGATTTTGACTGCCCGACTCTCCAGCAGAGGGCAGTCTCCTGCACCTCTCCAGGTTTCAGTGCCCTCATCTGTGAAATGGGAGAGATGACAATCATATCCCTCTCTGAAGGAAGCAGCTCGAGTTCGGTGTTTAAAATAGAACCTGGGGCACGGTGAAAGCTTCCTAAGTGCTGGCTGCTCTCTGCCCTCACTCATCCAAGAGCTCTATGTGAATTAACACATTTAACCTTGACAACAGCCTTGCAGGGCCAGGACCACTGTGAGCACGCTTATTTCATGGACGAGGAACCTGGGTTGTTGCCGTGGCTGCTGCTGGTGGGAGTGGGGGTGCCGCTATGACTGCTGTTTTCAGGGTGCTGCTGTCCCTGCTGGTGTTACTGTCACTGCTGCTTTTGTTATTGCTGCTAATGTTGTCACTTCTGTTGCTGTTATTGCTGCTGTCGTTGTTGCTGTTGTTTTTGAGGTGGTTGTGGTTGTTGCTGTTGATGTGGTTGTTGCTGTTGTTGAATATGCTGTTGCTATTATTGTTGCTGCCGTTGTTGTTGTTGCTGTTGCTGTTGATGATGCTGTTGCTGTTGTGGTTGTTGCTGTTGTTTTGTGGTGGTTGTTGCTGTTGCTGATGATGCTGTTGCTGTTGGTGGTAGTTGTTGCTGTTGTGGTGGTTGTTGCTGTTGTGGTGGTTGTTGCTGTTGTGGTGGTGGTGGTTGTTGCCGTTTCTGTTGTGGTGGTTGTTGCTGTTGTAGTAGTTGTTGCTCTTGTTGTGGTAGTGGTGGTGGTTGTTGCTGTTGCTGTTGTTGTGGTTGCTGCTGATGCTGTTGATGATACTGTTGTGGTTGTTGCTGCTTTTGTGGTTGCTACTGTTGTGGTTGTTACTCTTGTTGTTGACGCTGTTGTTGATGCTGCTGTTGTTGATGATGCTGTTGATGATGCTGTTGTTGATGCTGCTGTTGTTGATGATGCTGTCGTTGTGGTAGTTATTGCTGCTTTTGTGGTTGTTGCTGCTGTCATGGTGGTGGTTGTTTCTGTTGCTCTTGTTGATGATGCTGTTGTGTTGTGGTGGTGCTGGTGGTTGTTGCTGCTGCTGTTGCTGGGAGGGTGCTGGCTGTGGTCAGCCTGTGGGTCCCAGGCTCTGCTACTTGGCTCCATGTGTGACCCCAACCTTGTCCCTCCCTTCCTCCTGCAGCAGGGGTTCTGGAAAAAGCCCAGGGCTGCCAGGGAGGTGGTGGAGGAGGGGCTGCTTTGCCAGCCAGGAGAGGTGGGCCGACCTGGCACACCGAGCCATTCAAGGTGCGCCAGACTGCAGCTGCCCCCCACCCAGCCCCAGCCCTTTCTTCTCTCTGCTCTTTGTTCAGGCCCTTTTGATTTCGGAACAAGGCCCCTTTATGTGGCACCGGCCCCGCCAGGCCTCCCTGTCCCACCCGTGGCTGGGGATTTCCTTTTCATCTGGCACTAGGAGCCCTGGGCTCAGAGCGAGACAGCAGGAGGGATTTGGTGGTGTCACAAAACCTGGGTGACTCAGCTTTCAGTGGGGCATTGTGGCCCCGCAGCTTTGATATCTTAAGCGGGAGTCACAGCAAAGCAGAGCTGGGGCAGTGGCAAGGCGATGCTGCCCGCGAGGGCTGCTGGGGGCGTGGTGTGCATGCTGAAAGGGGGCCTCTCTCCCAGGAGGACTATTCCATTTCGGCGGGAGGACTGGCCTGTGCCCCTGGACTCTTAAGGATGACATTGAGCAGGGTGGCTGCCTCAGGGCTTGGGGGTCGGCCGCTGGCTCCCACCTGCCGTTAGTTCCTGAGGCTTCCCAGGGTATGCGCTTGCAGGCTGCTCTGGCCAGAAGTTTCTAGGCAGAGAGAGACTTGGCCCCAAGCCCAGGGCCAGGTGAGTCAGCCTGGAGGGGTCTGGGCAACCCAGGGAGCTGGTCAGGAGGCAGAAGCTGGAGGGAGGCCAGCAGTGAAGCAGGACAGCTGGGGACCACAGCTCCCTTCACTGCCACTCTTGCCTCTAAGAGGTGTGAGGCCCACGTGGAAACAGAGATGGACTCCCTTTGCCATGGGCTCTTAAGTCAACTATCCTGATTCTCGGTGCCTCAGTTTCCCCATCTGTAGAATGGAGCACCAATCTCAACCGGGCACCATGAGGGTGAACATTGGATGCTCATACAGTGCTTAGAGAAACACCTATGTAGCACGAGTGGAGAGGTTTTATAGCGGTTACCCTCTGGAATTTTTTTTTTTTTTTGAGACAGTCTTGCTCCATCACCCAGGCTGGAGTGCAGTGGTGTGATCTCGGCTCACTGCAACCTCTGCCTCCTCGGTTCAAGGGATTCTCGTGCCTCAGCCTCCAGAGTACCTGGGATTACAGGTGTGTGTCACCACCCCGGCTAATTTTTGTATTTTTAGTAGAGACAGGGTTTCACCATGTTGGCCAGGCTTGTCTCGAACTCCTGACCTCAAGAGATCTGCCCACTTCGGCTTCCCAAAGTGGTGGGATTACAGGCGTGAGCTACCATGCCTGGCCCAACCTGTGTTTTGAAGTCACCTCCTCACCTGCTTGCTGTTCATTGGTGTGGGACGAGGGCCCAGTGATGAACACGAGATGCAGGCTCAGGCAGTCCTGGTGCAGCCTTGGACTAGGGACCTCGGACCACGTGCTCAGCCTCCCTCTATCTTAAAGTAGATAACGTGGCCAAGCCAGCCTGCCTGGGCTGTTTAGGGATTGAATGAGATATTCCACAGAGAGGGCCTGGTTCTGGCCCAGCCCATTCAAGACTTGTCCCCCAGGTCTGTTTCTGTGACGAAGATTTTTTTTTTTTTTTGAGATGGAGTCTTGCTCTGGTGCCCAGGCTGGCATGCAGTGGCACAATCTGAGCTCACTGCAACCTCCACCTCCTGGGTTCAAGTGATTATCCCGCCTCAGCCTCCGGAGTAGCTGGGATTACAGGCGTGCACCACCATGCCCGGCTAATTTTTGTATTTTTAGTAGAGACAAGGTTTCACCATATTGCCCAGGCTGGTTTCAAACTCCTGACCTCAAGTGATCCACCTGCCTCAGCCTCCCAAAGTGCTGGGATTGTAGGCGTGAGCCACTGCGCCCCACTTGTGACAAGGATTTCTTTTTTTCTGAGACAGAGTCTCACTCTGTCGCCCAGGCTGGAGTGCAGTGGCACGATCTCAGCTCACTGCAAGCTCCGCCCCCCGGGTTCATGCCCTTCTCCTGCCTCAGCCTCCCGAGTAGCTGGGACTACAGGCGCCCGCCACCATGCCTGGCTAATTTTTTGTATTTTTAGTAGAGATGGGGTTTCACCGTGTTAGCCAGGATGGTCTCCATCTCCTGACCTCGTGATCCGCCCGCCTCAGCCTCCCAAAGTGCTGGGATTTCAGGCGTGAGCCACCGTGTCCGGCCCACTTGATTGTTTTTTAACAAGAGGCCCCACAATTTCATTTTGCATTGAGCCATGAAAATGTAGCTAGTTATGTAGCTAGTTCTGGATACAGGCATCCTTACCATGCCAAAGACTGGGCATGTCTGCTGCTCCACTGATCTCCCTCATTCCATCAATCTTTCTATCACTCTCCAGTTCCTTTTTCTCTACTCAGACAGATCAAAAACTCTGACATACCAACTCACCTCCAATGAGAACATCCAAGGCCAGGCTCTTGTAGGCACTACCGCTTTTTACAAATTTCCTTCTGAAACATCCTCTAAGAAGACAAGGAGAAATCTCTACTACTCCTCACTAGGCCCCAAATGGACAACTCTGCTAAGTCACCATAATCAATCTGTATTCAGTGTGGAGAGTTTCGTGAATTTGCTCTCTAATAAATATACATTAATCATGTATTAAAAAAAGAAAGTCTGTTCATGCTCAGTAGAGATGCAATCATCCTTTTTTAAAAAAATATTTTTGATCCAAGTTGGTTGAGTCCATGGATACAGAACCCATGGATACAGAAAGCCAACTGTAAATAGTTTTGCTTTGGTTTGGTTTTCTAAATGCTAAATTGTGGTTTGTTAGCCACTCTCCTTTGGGGTGGTTTGTTATGCAGCAAGAGATAACTGAGACCATGAACCATGTTCTTTGTCACAATGGTTCAAAGAATTGAGTCATTTCTGGAGGACATCAGGTGGGAGTGGGGTCCAAGACTGCTCCCGCTGGGGTGGGGACATAGTGGTTGTGGTTTGATGGCTGACATGGCTTAGTCACAGAGGACCTTACATCCTGGTCTGCTCAGGAGAGCCCCAGTCAGTGCATGGGCTCCTCGCACCCTCTTCCACTGTCCTGGGTTGGGTGATAAATCATTTAGTGACCCCGCTAAACACACTCTGGAAACACAAGTACAGGTGTTGTTGGGCCGGGTGAGAAGAGCAGCACTGCCTGGACCTGACCACGGCATCACCCCCTCCAACCTCCTGCAGACAGCCACCAGAGCTCTCTCTGAGAATTGCTGGATGCCTACTGTATGCACCTGGAAGACAGGATACACCTACTGTGTGCACCAGGCTGCAAAAGCCTGCCTGGAAAACACAATAAATCCTTAACTCCTGCAACATCTGAAATGCAAATCATGGATCTAGACCATTCCAATTAGAATATGTCATTTCTCCATTTTCTAAAAACCACATTTAAATAAGTGAAAAGAAATAGGTGAAATTAATTTGAATAATATTTTAATTAACCCAATACATGCAAAACGCGATCATTTCAGAATGTCATCAATAAAAAAACCCTAATGAGCTATTTTACATTCTTTTTTGGGTACTAAGTCTTCGAAATCCAGTGCTATAAAACATCCCAATTCAGATGCTAAATTTTCTTCAGATATATCTGCTCAGATATATATCCTAGATCTCAGATATAAATTTCATAAATCTGTGGTTGAAAAAGTAGATTCACAAACCCAAGTTGTTCCAAACCTACATAAAAATTTTCCAGTAACTAAATTGAGCATCCGTTTTTATTATATATATATATATATATATATATATATATATATATATTTATTTAGAGACAGGGTCTCACTCTGTTATCCAGGCTGGGGTGCAGGGATGTGATCACAGCTCGGCTCACTGCAGCCTTGACTTCCCAGGTTTGGGTGATCCTCCCACCTCAGCCTCCTGAGTAGCTGGGACCACAGGCCCACATCACCACACTCGGCTAATGTTTTTGTATTTTTTCTAGAGACAGGGTTTCAGGCTGGTCTCAAACTCCTGGGCTCAAAAGATCCTGTCGCCTCAGCCTCCGAAAGCGAAGGAATTACAGGTGTGAGCCACCATGCCCACCTAGAGCATCTGTTTTTAAAACTAAAATTTAGTTCATTAAGATATGGTAAAATGAAAGATTCAGTTCCTCAGTCACACCAGCCAAATTTCAAGTCCTCAATCACCACACACAGCCATGGTTATTGAACAGTGCTGACCTAGAGGCTCCCTACTTTTCCAGTTGGGTAAACTGAGGCCCAGAGAGGGGAAGTGTCTTGTCCAAGGCTCCGTATCAGGTTCTGCCTGACTGAAGACCAGATCACATATTTTGGCCCCTGGTCCCTGTTGTTATACCTCATGAATTCACAACTCAGCCTAACTCAGGCACTAAACACCCCCACGTCTGTCCAGTCTACAATCCGCTGAAGCCACGAGCCTTCCTGGGGTGGGGCAGTCGCGTGGGGTGGTGGGCAGTGCCCAGGCTTGGAGCCCGACAGCCGTGGCTGCTGGACAGCGGGTTCCTGAAGCCCCCAGTGATTCATTGTCCCCATCTGTGGAAGGGGATCCTCGTCCCTTCTCATATAGCCGAGCTGCCTGTGCTAGCGGCTGACAGCAGGGCCTCTGTGCCTTGGTTTCTCCATCTGTAAAAGGAAAACTGTGCCGACGAGGCTCGCGAGCCTCCTCTGCAGGGCCGTTGTGTGGGAGAGAATCACCGCCACAATTTGGGGGAGGAGACGGGCACCATGGGAGCCAGATGAGAGAATGCAGGTCTAATCGTCTCCCCACAAAACCCATGTCCCAGTCCCAACTCCCAGTACCTGGGAATGGGACCTTATTTGGAAGGAAGGGATTTGTGGATGTTATGAATTAAGATGAGGGCATGCTGGGGGAGGGCGGTCTCTGCTCCAGTGACCAGTGCCTATGGGAAGGAAAAATAGAGACACTGGCGTGCAAGGGGAAAAGGCCACGGGTAGACAGAGACAGAGATTGGAGTGATGCGGCCTAGAGCCAAGAAACCCCGTGGCCGGGCGCGGTGGCTCACGTCTGTAATCCCAGCACTTTGGGAGGTCGAGGCGGGCGGATCACGAGTTCAGGAGATTGAGACCATCCTGGCCAACAGGGTGAAACCCCATCTCTACTAAAAATACAAAAATTAGCTGGGTGCGGTAGCGCGTGCCTGTAATCCCAGCTACTAGGGAGGCTGAGGCAGGAGAATCGCTTGAACCAGGGAGTAGGATGTTGCAGTGAGCTGAGATTGCACCACTGCACTCCAGCGTGGGCGACAGAGCGAGACTCTATCTCAAAAAATAATAATAATAAAAAAAACCCTTGGAAATTTCTTGGAAGGAGTCTCCCCAGTGTGCGGCCCTGCTGGCACCCGAGTCTCAGACTTGCAGCCCCCAGCACAGTGGGTGGATGCATTTCTGCTGTTTTAGGCCCCTCACTTTGTGGGACTTAGTGACAGCAGCCCCAGGACAGTGAGACAAAATTGATCTGATTCTAATCTCCATCCCAGCAGGGCCGGCCGGAGAGCCCAGCCCAGTGGGCCGGACCCAGGGGTTCTCTCCGTTTCTCAAACCAAAGCCAGGAAGCGGGACTTGGGGCTGTAAACACCACTCAGCAGGGCTGTGGGGCCCTCGGCCGTGCCAGATCGGGCTTCCCCAGCCTGGGAAGAGGATGCGGTTCCGACCGCCACCCCGACCGCCCTCCCCTAACCGCGACCGCGTCGGCATCCTCCGCCTGCCGAGCTCACAATGCAGCTCCACTTGGCCCCTTGAAAGTAGCCGCCCGGGTTCCAATTAGTCGTCATTTAAGGGCCTTAAGTGATGTCCTCCCAGCCGCTCACAACACACACTCGGCCCCTCTGGAGCCTTTTCTCTACCCCAGCTTTGAAGATAAACGGTTTCTTGAAGACCGCAGCATCTTTTTAAAGCCAGAAAAATGGGGGTGGGAAGGCTGGAATGCAGAGTGCTCTGAGGTGGGAAGCAGTGGGCTCCACTGATCCCCCTCCTGCCCAGCAGCCCAGGGTGGGTGGCTGTGATGCTTTGGTGTGGATGCCAGCAAAAGGCTGACGGATGGGGGTGAGCCCACGGGTGGAGGACAGAGGTGTGAGAGCAGGCCTGAGTTCGAATCCTACACCCACTTCCTGCCCATGAGACTGAGCGTGTTGTTCAGCCGTCTGTGGCCAACTCCACCTCTGAACCTGGTGTTGGGGGATCCAGTGTGATCTCCCCACAGTCCAGATCATTGGAGCTGTGATCGTTAAATCTAAAGAACCCAGCCTGGAGGTGAGGGGTTGAGCCTCTTGGGTCTTATTGCCTGCTGTGTGAACTTTCCAAGTCTCCTGACCTCTCTGGGCCTCTGATGTCTACTATAAATAAGGAACCGGGTAAGGGGGTGAGGGAGAAAACTCCTGAGAAGGGAGGTGGGAGCAGCTGCAGGAGGCCCCAGCCCAGCTCAAGTGCCCCCTCACCCTTTGCTTTGCAGCAGGGCAGCAGCAGAACCCAGGCTCATGTCCTCAGGGATCCCAGCCCGCAGCTCGGACGCTTGTCTGGCTTTCTACTCTCCCAATCCCAGCCTGTAGGCCCAGGGCCTGGCACATTGCCGCCAGAAGGCGAAGCTGACTGGGCCGGGGGCCTGCAGGCAGCTTGGCCGAGAGAGCAGAGATCCTCTGTCAGAGAGGGAAGGGTGGCCCGGGTCCCCTCACACCCCAGAAGATCCAAAGTCCAAGAGAAGCAGATGTCCCCAGCACCGGAGGCCTGAGCCAACTGGCATCTGCTGGTGCGATGAGGCCCTCTCCCACTACTCTAAATGGGATGAGAGGCCCAGCCTGCAGCCACACGGGCCCACGGGGACCAAAGACTGATCTGCGTGCAGGGGAGCCAAGGGGTGTGGGTGAGGCATCGTGCAGCCAGGGCACCCCAGTCTCTTCTTTTTCAAGTTTTTTTTTTTTTTGACATGGAGTCTCGCTCTGTCGTCCAGGCTGGAGTGCAGTGGCATGATCTCAGCTCACTGCAACCTCAGCCTCCTGGGTTCAAGCGATTCTCCTGCCTCAGCATCCCTAGTAGCTGGGATTACAGGTGCACACCACCATGCCCGGCTAATTTTTGTATTTTTAGTAGAGACGGGGATTCACCATGTTGGCCAGGCTGGTCTCGAACTCCTGACCTCAGGTAATCCGCCCTCCTCATCCTCCCGAAGCGCTAGAATTGCAGGTATGAGCCACCGCACCCGGCCTCTTTCAAGTTTTCTAACCAAGGTCCACCTGTGACCCCTCCCCAACACCTGCTGCTCGCCCCTTACCCGAACAAGAGCAGGTGCCCGTGTCTCAGCCTGGCATTTAGTTGGCATTTGAAAATACTATTTGGTCAAATTTATTTTTACAGTTACATTTGAATTAGAGTAAGTAATGCTGGTCTTTACTGACGATGAAGGTTCAGAGTTGGCTTTCAAATAAATTTGAGTAAAAAATAGCAATGAATCCATGTATTCTTCGCAGATATTTTCTTACTGGCAAGATGTGTGCTGGGACGTTTTTAGCTGCCATGAGCTCTCTGGGGGAGCTCCTGCTGCAGCCCAGTAACTGGGGGTCCAGTGTTGCTCACTCTTGCTGGGACACCGAATCAATGAATGGCCCACACAGATACAGAGCTACAACTGATAACCTGGGCCGGTGGCTCAGCCTCTCTGCCCTTTGAGTTCCAGTCTACGTTGAGTTATTTGAATATTTAATACATGCTTGAGCAGTTCTAAAGATTTTATCATCACAAAAACCCATGAAGTAAGTGTGGTGGGGAAACTGAGGCACAGAGAGGTCACAGGACAGGTCAGGGTGAGGCCGGGGTGGGACTTCTGAAGCTCTGTGCCATGGTCACCTTGTCAAGGACTGTGCGGGTACTCATTCAGGGGGGCAAGGCCGCCTTCAAATCTTCCTTTCTGCACCGTGCACCAGCAGCTGGGACAGAAGTGTCCCCAGACTCTTCAAACCCGTTGTAAACAGTGCTGGTGGCTGCAGCATCCTTTGTAGGTTGGATCTGCTAGAATATCTGTTTGATTTCCCATCTGTAGGGACCGTTGCCTTAATCCCCTTCACGTCCTGAAGCTGCCAGCCCATCAGGAAGCATTTTCATACGCATTCGCTTAGCAGGGTGTGGAGTCATCCCTGTCTTGGTGCAAGGTCAGTTGCCCCATGGCCCGGGTCCCAGGAGCCTTGGTGCTTCAGGAGTTTCTGAGGCTCCGGGAAATGCCTAGACAGAATTACCCAGGGCCGACCAGGAGCTGGCCTGAGCCGCTGAGCTCCCGCCTGCCTTGTCACATGGAGGCCACAGCATTTCTTTACACGGGTCTGGTTACCCTCCGGACGTTCCAGCCTGCCCAGAGAAATGCCGTTTTTCTTTCAGGTGATGCATTCTGAGCATCAAAGCACAGGACAGGCGGGAATGCTGTCCCTCTGTCCCTGGATAATGGGCTGCCTTCACTCCCATGGCAAGCACCTGAGTAAGCCTGGAGAATCCGAAAGGAATTGTGAAGTGACACTTTTAGGAAACCCATTCATGGGGAAATGAGTTATTTTTGTTGTCAGACAATGGGGTCAGTCACTGCCCGCCCCATTCCTCCACGCTAATCACTCTGGTGTCTTATGCTGTGTGTCTGCTCCCCACCAGGACATGCCCCAGGTGATATATGCATGTCATCTTTTTTTATATAAAAATATGTGTATACTTTGTCTCCTGTTTATATATACAATGTCCACTGCTACTTTTTTCCCTTATCTTATCATGACCTCTTCCCCATCCAACACACAGTCTTCGTAATTGTCCTTAAAGCTGGGTGATAAGTAGTTCAGAGAGAGGTGGCAGAGCCTGGTGGTCAGGAACTCAGCTCCCTGCTGTCAATCCTGGCTCTGCCCCTCAGCTGCTGAGAATTGCAGGCAAGTTGCTCTGCCTCTCTGTGCCTTTGTTTTCTCATCTCTGAAATGGGGCTATTAAAAGTCCTTACCCCTGGGTTATAAGGATTAAATGAGTCAATATTTATAAAATGCCTAGAAGGATGTGCTGTGCATTGCATCCTCGTGACCTCAGTTCATGGCTGGGTGTGAAATGGGAACACAAAATATTGCTGAATGAATGAATGAGTGAATGAATGAATGGACGACACATGTTAGTGGAGGAGACGGGACGCGGCGGCTCACGCCTGTAATCCCAGTACTTTGGGAGGCTGAGGCAGGCGTTCTTTGAGAGGCTGCACTTTGGGAGGCTGAGGTTAGGAGTTCGAGACCAGCTTGGCCAAGATGGTGCAACCTATTCTCTACTAAAAATACAAAAATTAGCCAGGTGTGATGGTGCATGCCTGTAATCTCAGCTACTCGGGAGGCTGAGGCAGGAGAATCGCCTGAACCTGGGAGGTAGAGGTTACAGTGAGCTGAGGTCATGCCACTGCACTCCAGCCCGGGCAACAAGACCGAAGCTCCATCTCAAAAAAAAAGTTAGTGGAGGAGTTATGAGACTGTACTTTCGTCTCACAGATGGCCTAAGGCAGTAATTTCCATAGTTGGCAGACCACGGGCTTGCCTGGAGAATCTTGACAGACATTTGGATGCCACTGGAGCCTGGGGTGCTCATCATGAAGAAGGCAGGGTCCCTTGGTGCTCACACCATGCACCTTCTGAGGAGGTGGCCAGGCGGCAGCCTGGGGGAGCCCTACTGCAAGTGGGGTCTCCAGGTGGGCATCAGTGGCCCCAGGTGGGTCTAAGTGGCCTCCAGGTAGGTGTCAGTGGCTCCATGTGAACATCAGTGGTCCCCAAGTGGGCATCAGTGGCCTCCAGGTGGGTGTCAGTGGCCTCTATGTAGGTATCGGTGGCCCTAGGTGGGCGTCAGTGGCCCTGGGTGTGTGTAAGAGCCGCGGGGCTATCTGTCAGACTTCGGTCATACAGTGGACCTCCAGGGGCTTGAACACATTCTCCTGAGGCCACCTTGAGAGGGTGGCACCCTGCACAGCCATCCCAGTGGAAGATTTATAGACACAGATGCTCAACGGCTCTCAACGAACTCTCTTTTGGGAAGGAAAGTAGGTTCTGACATTTTTAGGGCATTTTTGCAAGAGGTTTGTGGTGAGGAAACTCCCCTCCTGGGGCATCTTCCCAGATGGACTGGCACCTCTGGGTACATGGGACTCCAGGGTGGGTCCCTGGGGCTCTGGCTTCTGTGGCTTTCCTGTTCTTTCCCCATTCCAGGGGCCAAAGATGGGGTTACATCCCGGGACAAAGATGGACAGTTCCAGTTCCAAGTCTGGGGTTCTGGCCCTTTTGAGGGCGTTTTGAGGTGGCATCCTCCTCCTCCTCCTCCTGAGCACTAGATGTCCTCTCTCAGGCTGCTCAGCTCCTTCAGAGCCCACTGCTCATCTAGGAGGGCCGGAAAATGACGCAGGGCTCGTGCAGCCCCCAGCTCGTGGTCCCAGGCAGAAAAGGATCCTGGGAAGCTGCAGCTGCTGTACATGGGGGGCTGGGGGAAAGGAAGAGAGGGAAAGGGGGAGACAGAAGGCAGGGAGAGGGAAAGGAAAGGGGGGGAAGATAATATGTTGGAGTGTATATGGGATCTGCCTCCTGCCCTCTCTGGCACTTTCCAAGTGCACACACATAAGAGAACAAGAATATTCAGTGCCACCCTAGTTTGCACTGATATTAAATAGAATCCATGCGGCAACCCCCACAGGAGTCACTGAATTAACTGGAGGACAGTGGAGTCCCACTTTAGCTGTGAAAGGGATGGAGCAGTGGCCTGGGCACTGTCGCACAAAGTGTCCACGACGTTCTGCTCCCGACAGAGCAAATGGCGGAGCAGCCTGTGTGTTAGATGCAGGTGTGTGCTTGCAACGCGTCGGGGAATGGGCTGAAGGAATCCACACTGGAAATTGTTAGGCCCTGCTAGCCTGCTACATAATGGCCTAATGTATAATATTTATTGTCCACCTCCCCACGCTGGAACTGAAGCCCCACGAGGCAGGGACTTTTGTCTGTTTTTTGTTGTTGTTGTTGATGTTTCCAAAGCGCCTAGGGCAGACCCTGGCATATAGTAGGTGCTTAAGAAACAGATAATGAGGCTGGGCGCAGTGACTCATGCCTGTAATCCCAGCACTTTGGGAGGCCGAGGTGGGTGGATCACCTGAGATCAGGAGTTTGAGACCACCCTGGCCAACATGGTAAAACCCTGTCTCTACTAAAAATACAAAAGTTAGCTGGATGTGGTGGCGGGCGCCTGTAATCCCGCTACTCAGGAGGCTGAGGCAGGAGAATTGCTTGAACCCAGGAGGTGGAGGCTGCAGTGAGATCACACCATTGCACTTTAGCCTGGGCGACAAGATTGAGACTCTGTCTCAAAAAAAAAAAAAAAAAAGAAAGAAAGAAGAAAAAAAGAAACAGTTTCTGAATAAATGGATTAACAGGATGTGCACTTTTCATGGTATATTTTCTGAATTGTTTGTATTTTCCACAGTGAACATAGATTACCCTTATATTTAAAAAAATGGCCTTGGGAAATAGAGAATTCATACAACTCTATGAATAAAACCTTCTAAATTGCATGCCTTCAACGGGTGAATTTCATGGTATGTAAATTACATTTCAACAAAGCTACCGTAAAAACAAAGAGACTTGCGTCTTGGCCTGGAGGAAAGCTCCCAGGTTTTGGCCCTAGGGAAGTGCCCCTGCATGCCCAGCACACGCTGGGCAAGGTGGGCACCCCAGACACTGGGCCGGGCACCAGGACTGAGCAGCAAGGACCCCATGTCTTTCTTTGCTGTAGTGCCAAGTTATGAAAACATGGCTCTGTCTCAATACAAGAAAGAGTGTATTGAAAAGCTCATCAGCAGCGGTAGAGGTGCAGCTGAGAAAATGTCAGTTTCACAAAAGCACCTGCCTAGCCAGTGGGCGGGGACCTTGCCGTGGGGCGAAGTCCAGGCCCAGTGGCCTGGGGCTTTCTCTTTGGCTTTTCCTGGGAGCTCCATTCTAGGGGACTCATGCTCTCCAAACTCCTTTGTCAGTCCCACACTCACAGTAGGGGCGGTAGGACGAGGCCTTGGACCCTCAGAAGAATTCTTTTCTAGTCCTGTTCTGGTTTGGCCAAAGCCTGAGGCCCCAGCACCCTGGAGACAGGTAGGTGCAGGCCCTGCAGGTCAGGCAGAGAAAGGGTTAAGGCTGCTGCAGTGGGGCTGGGGGAGCCATGGCTGTCAGTTTGCAGGCAGGTGTGGGACAGGGCCTAGGCAGGCTCTTTCCCTGGGTGACAGGCAGGCAAGATCAAAAGCTGTTGGGACAAAAGGGGCTGAGGTGAATTGTCCTGGCCAAAGGCAGGGCACTCTGGGACAGTGTGCAGCCCAGTCAGGCCTCAGACATGCACCCCAGAAGAACCCCCACCCTGACAGCAAGCACCATGTGGGGGTCAAAGGTCGGGGTGTTTGGCTTGGATTACGGTGCCTGCCTTTCACCCAGAGCAAGAAAGCCAGAGAGCAGGATAAGAACCTTCCGGATTGGAACTGCCAGGAAAGGCTCCTCTGTGAGCCACGGCTAATGAAAATGTCATTGTGGCTCAGAGACATTCTTTACATTTGTGTGCATGTCCCCAAGAGAGACACACGGCACCTCTAAATAACCCGGTAAGGAGATTCGCCAAGGAACAGCCAAGCCAGCGTTTTCCGCCAGCCTAATGACGGCCCCAATGAGTTCAGCCTTTGTTGTATAATCTGTTGCTAAAAGGATTTAAAATTCAAGAAAGAAAAATGTTAGGGCCAATTAGCTACGTTGTGCAGGCCTCGATGTCTATGTGGGCCCCAAGCTCCTCTCTTGAAGTCAAGTGGGGGCTTTGCTTAAGCCCGTCTGCCCATCAGACCCCAAGCTGGACCCAATTGATCTTTCAGAGTCAGATTTTGTTGTGTAACATGGCGTGGGAGAGAAGGTCTAGGAGCTCAGGGCAGGGGCCCCGAGAAATCCTTCCCAGTTCACTACTTACGCTACCGACACACAGGGAAAAGGAAGGCTTTTATTTCTCCCAAGATGTCAGTTTAAAATACATCTCCAGGCCGGGCGCGGTGGCTTAGGTCTGTAATCCCAACACTCTGAGGCCAAGACAGGAGGATTGCTTGAGCCCAGAAGTTCAAGATCAACCTGTGCAACATAGCAAGACCCCGTCTCTTAAAAACAATTTTAATTTAATTTAAAAAATAAATAAAATAAATCTCCAGGGTGGCCCCACATTGTTCTGGCATTTCTGCTCAGAGGTCTGTGCTGATGACGGCAAAACATGATGATGACGGCCATGGTGTCAAATTCCACTGGACATGAATCCAGCTGCACGGTCCCCACACTATGAGCCCTTGCCTGGGCTTCAGCCTTCACATCCGTTCCTGGGTAGAGCTGACGCCAGAGGAGAGAGAGATCACATACTGAGGACAGTCCTGGTCTCTTGTAGTCCTGTCTGGGCCTTGCAGTGAACACCCTGCACACCAACTGGCTTATTCGTCACCAAAGGAATCCCTATTTGCAGTAAAAATCAAGTCAATAGCAAAATTAGTACCAAAGGCTCAAAGAGAAAAGTTCTCCCTCTCACCTCTTTGTATCCTTACTTCCCAGAGGTGGTCATTCCTACCACTGCTTGCCTATCTTGCAGAAGGGCCCTGTGTATAAATCACATGTGTGGGCTGGGCACAGTGGCTTACACCTGTAATCCCAGAACTTTGGGAGGCTGAGGCGGGTGGATCACCTGGGGTAAGGAGTTCGAGACCAGCCTGACCAACATGGAGAAACCCATCCTCTACTAAAAATACAAAAATTATCTAGGCGTGGTGGTGCATGCCTGTAATCCCAGCTACTCGGGAGACTGAGGCAGAAGAACTGCTCTAATCTGGGAGGCGGAGGTTGCAGTGAGCAGAGATCATGCCACTGCACTCCAGCCTGGGCAACAGAGCTATACTCTGTCTAAAAAAAAAAAAATCACATGTGTGAATACCAACAACAGCAGCAAGCACTGATCTGGTGTGTCCTGCTCGCCGGACACTGTCCCAGCTCTTCACCCATATGGATTCATGTTGGCCTTCTGAGAGCACTGTGGCACGTTCCCATTTTACAGATGAGGACATCGAGGCCCAGAGAGGTTACTATGCCCAAGTCCTCACAGGTCATACATGGCAGAATCTGGATTCTAACCCAGCAACTCACACATGGGAGGGCACTCTGGTTGCTACCGTGTTGTTTCCCTTCCTGGCCACCCTGATCACGACTCCGGCTGTCTGCTGTCTCGAAAGCTTCACAGCGCACCCTTGTATGGCCACCAGTCTCTGACGGGAGGGTTCTTTCTGGTCTGAAATCCTGCTGAATGATGCTGCTTGTGCATATTTCTTTATAGACTCTGTAAGATAAAGTGTCAGAGTGTCAGGTGTGGCATTCCTCAAGCAAAAGGCATTGTGATGGACACTGTCATAGTCACGGCCCAGTGCCCCCTGTGATGATGGCCCTGGTTTGCACGTCCCCTCACCCCCATCTCTGCAGAGACAGGCTCAAGGCCCATTCTCGGTCTTTTTAGTTGCCCTGATGGTTTTATCTATTGGTTGAACTCGTTCAAGTTTGAGAAGTGCCTGGAATTAGCTCTGTGCTTCCGAGGAGTTCTTTCATGGGCGATTTTCTAGTCTATCATTTTTCTGGAGTTCACCAAATCAAATTTTGCAGAAAGCCTCCGGCATCCCTACTGAAAGGTCTCCAAGTGGGTCATGCCACCCTGCCAGGGGGTGAGAGGGGATGAGGCTGCTTGTCCCCGGCCACCCTCTCCCTCTTTGTCGGGATCTATGTAAGGACCTTTCTCTCTCCATGTTTTCACTCAAATGACGGACATTTTCAGGTCAGGGATGCCACAGAGGTTTCATGCAATTGTTCCTGAAGCATCTCAGGGACTCTGGGCCAAGCCCTGGGGAGGGGCCAGGAGGAAAGCAGACTCCGTCCACCTGCTCCAGAGCTCACAGCCGAGGGCTGGGGGTGGCCTCACAGACGCCTCTTGATGAGGAAGGTGACTGTGCAGTGCAGGAGGCTGAGGGAGCCGGGAGGAGGACCCTGGCCCAGCCAGGGCAAGGGGGTTTAAGGACCCCTCCAACCCCGAGGAGAGACTCTCTTAGCTGCATCTGGAAGGACAGGAGGAATCTAAACAAGCCAAAGGTTTGGAGGAGGAGAGGGAGCAGTAGCTGCAGGCAGTGGTAACAGTCCGTGCAGAGACCCCAGAGTGGGGAGGAGCCGGTGCTCACTGGGAATGTCCGGGTCACAGCAGCTGCTCAAGGCCAAGGGTGGGCCAGGAGGAGCTGAAGAGATGGACAGGGCCCAGACCATGCCCAAATCCAAGCAAAGAGCATGGGCTTCACCCCAGAGATGAGGGGCTGCAGCCCTGCCTCAGAAAACAGAAGGACGCAGCACACTCACGGTGACTCACCCCCATGTGGCTGGAGGCGAGGGAGCCTCCTGAGGCAGGGCCAGGGCAGCCGTCAGGTGGGTGACGGCAGGGGTCTTGCCATGGTGGGCACAGGGGCTGCATACAGCTTACTCAGTGACAATCGAGTCCCTGGTGCCAGCCTCTGGAAGTCTGGAAGTGAGCAATGTTTCCCATTAAGGAAAGTGTGTGGCCGGCCATGCCCCCCAACGTTGCACACTCACTGCCTTTGCAGGGTTGGGGCTTCCAGTCACAGGGTCCCATCCACGTACCAGCCCAGGTGGCTGCAGAAGGTCCCTCGCAGTCATGAAACCAAGGGAGGCTTGGGAAACCACATCTGAAGGGCATGGCTTTGATTTAGTGAGAGGGTGGGGCTGGGCTGGGCAAGGCCACCAGGTCTGAGTCAGAGCCAGAGGCAGGAAGCTGGTCCCCAGGCACTGCCCGCCGCCTCTGCGATGCAGTCCTCCTGGCCACCTGAGAACAGCCTGTAGAGAGGCAGTGGCGTCTTTCGGACTTCCTCGAGAGTCCCTGCAGCTTGGGCATTGATGGCCAGTCACCGGGGCTGCAGGACCCTGAGCTCACACAGGCCCGGCCGGGCCAGGCCAGGACTTGGCCCCAGAAAATCCCTCCCTGGAAATTTCTTGGGAGTTATCTCAGCTCTTCGGCCCCTTCCTCAGCTCAGGGAAACAGGTCAGAGCACGCTCAGTCCTGATGCTAGAAGTGGGGTGCACGCTCAGTCCTGGTGTTGGGACTGGGGTGCGCTACTCTGGGACTTGAGAAAAAGTCCTGCTTGTCCTTTAAACTTAGAATAGGGGTTGGGCACAGTGGCTCATGCTGGTTGTCCTAGTGCTTTGGGAGGCTGAGATGGGAGGATCGCTTGAGCTCAGGAGTTTGAGACCAGTCTGGGAAACATAGTGAGACCCCATCTCTACAAAAAATACAAAAATCAGCTGGATATGGTGGCACATGCCTGTAGTCTCAGCTACTTGGGAGGCTGAGGCAGGAGGATCACTTGAGCCTGGGAGGTGGAGGTTGTAGTGAGCCAAACTCTAGCCACTGCACTCCACCCTGGATGACAGAGTGAGACCCGGCCTCAAAAAAAATCCAGTAACTTGGAATTGATATCAGAGGCTGACAGCTGTAGGAGCGCTTATGCAGGGTAAGGAATAGAGCAGAAAATGGAATCTGGGTGGTCCTGGACCCATGTGCCACCACCCCCAAGATAGACCATGCATACCAGGGCCCATCAGTCCATCGATGCTGGCTCCTGTGATTGTATTTGTAGCACTCCTCAGCCTCCCCCAGTTGTAGGCGGCTGAATGAAGGCCCCAGCAGCGCAGCCCCTTTTTCCTAGCAGACACAGGAGCCTCAAAGCAGCACCGTGATGGTTTAAGGAGAACACAGAACATGCAGGTGTGGAGGAGGAACATCCTAGACTGGGAGTGGGTAGCCCGGCACTCCTCCCTCTATCCCCACCTCACCATCCCTGCCTCCTGCCCACTGTCCAAGTGTCCTGGCCACATCTCGCACAGGTCAGCACAGGGGAGAGGTAAACAAAGCCTGCCTGCCCTCTAGAGCAAGCTGCCCTGCCTGAGCTGCTGCTGACGAGAAACAGGCCTAGGTATCAGGGCAGCATGGAAGGAGCAAAGGCCAGGGAGGCCAGAGGAAGAGACTCGCTCTGCCTGGGGTGTGGGCCCCTCCAGGGGCCGGGGCCAGGTCTGCAGGAATGGCAGGAGCTTCTAGATGGAAAGGGTGAAAGGGCCCCCAGGTGGAGGGACTGGCCTGGGCAAAGGGTGGAGAGGGGTAGGGGGGTGCAAGGCAGGGACACAGGGTGATTGCTTGAGTGTGGGTTTGCCACCACAGCTCCCCATCAAAGCTGCCACAGCTCCCCATCAAGCCTGGCCTCGCCCAGCTGCAGTTGACTTCATGGTGGGAGGAGGTGGGGATGTGAATTTCTTCCCTTCCCTCCACCCCACCTCATCCACAGGACTGGGGGTGTACCTCATCATTTGCACTTGTTTTGGGCGGAACTGTGTCCCCCAAGATTTGTATGTTGGAACCCTACTCACTAGGACCTCAGAATGTGGCTGCAATTGGAGCTAGGGTCTTTCAAAGGCGATTAAAGTAAAGCGAGGTCTGTGGAATGGCCCCAGTCCAATCTGACTGGGGTCCTTATAAGAAGAGGTAATGAGGACACAGGCACACACAGAGGGACGAACCTGTGAGGACACAGGGAGAAGATGGCATCTACAAGCCCTGTTGGCTGCTCTGCCTGGAGCCCGATGCCAGGCACTGACAGGCACAGGCTGCCCTCGGTGTTGTGGGGAAGAAAAAGAGCAGCTGGAGGTGTCTGTCCCTGGGCCAGGGGGCCCTCTGCTCCCTCCTCTCCTCTACCCAGAGAGAATCCTCCTTTATGTCTCAGCTTGGGGCTCCAAAATAGCCAAGTAGCCAGGAAATAAGGCGAACATCCATCCATGGATGAAAAATAAACAGCATGTGGTCTGTGCACACGACGGAATGCCACTAGGGCAGAAAAGGGGAGGACACACTGGCACACGCCACACCGTGGATGAGCCTCAAAGTGCTGCGCAGGCCCCACTGCGGGGAGATGTGCCTTCCATCCCACCCCTGCCTGCGGGGGCTCCTAACTTTGCCAGAAGCAAAGTGCCAGCTTTGCCCCAGAGGGACTTAGAGGGGCAATGGTTTCCCTCTCCCCACTGCTCGGGTCCTGGGTCCCGTAGCCAGAAGGGGCATTCCAGTCTTCTCGCCTCATCTCCTGGCTGTGTGACCCCGGGCAAGTCACTTCACCTCTCTGAGCCTCCCTTTCTCATCTGTAATGTGGGGCTGATCAGGGCTGCTCCCAGAATTTCAGGGACCCATGGTCTCCCAGTGACACAGGCAGGCTGGGTCTCTCTCCCACTGCTCTTGGGGACAAGGATGGGGTAAGAGGATGGGGGGGCAGGCAACATAATTAGAGTGAGTTTGGGGCTGGGAGTCAGCATCACATCTGACAGTCCCTGGCCAGCCACCTGCGGCCACACCATAGGACCCTGTTCTCTGCCCTCTCTCCACCCCAGCTCTCTCTCCAGGGGAAGAGGCTAGGGGCAGACTCAGGTACCAGATAGGGCTGGGGGTGCTCTGGGGGACAGGGTCCCAGTGCAGAGGTTCGGGGGATGCTGGTAGGAGCACTTCTGCTGGGCCTGGGGTGTCCAGCCTGGGCTCTGGAAGAGACCAATTAGTCAAATGACTACAGTTGACCATTTGGAAGCAATTAACAGGGTCGCTATTAGCGCATGGTGCACCCCCCGCCTGGCTCCGAATGGGAGGGAGAGGGGCGAGGTTGCCATTATGTGGGTGCCTCTGCCCCACCCCACACACAAGACTTTGTGGCCCAGCCCCCTGCCCCTGCCGGGCAGATGTGGAGGAATCAGGTTCCCCTCCCTTGGCTGGGCCTGAGGGTCCCAGAGTCCCAGGGTGGGGGTCTGGGGGGCTTCCTGGGCTGGAAAGATCAACAGGTTTAGATGAGGAGGAAGAACTCAATAGGTGGGTGAGCAAGGGCCTGGAGGCGCAGCCCAGAAGATGTGGGAAGTGAACTAGAGGTCCACGCGGGTGGGTGAGCATCCCCAGGGTTCCCCCAACACTACGGCATTTGTCAGAGGGGCTGGGGCAGCTGGAGAAGGCAGCTTTGGGCTCCAGACCACTTCCCGTGACTGCAGGGTGGACCGCAGATGGAAGGACCGGGCTGAAGGCTGTCGCCAGCGACCGGAGGAGAGAGGAAAACTTGGCCCAGAGAGCTTGGCTGCCTCGGAAAAGTCATGCTTACCAGAACAGCAGACAGTGAGCCAGGGCCACCAGGAGGGACCTCAGGCAGGGCACCGGCTGTCCTGGTATAACTGCAAATTGCGCCCTCTTTCACTCTCAAAGGCAGCAGGGTTTGCGTCATAAACTGTGGTCCCCTGCGGCTGGAGCATGCCCTGCGCTGATGGGAGGCCAGAGGCTTTGCAGAGGTAATGCCACTCAGTTTCCGGCCCTACCTTTGGGGCATCACACACATGAGAAACCAGTATCTCAGGAGCGACACTACACAGCCAAGGCCTCGTGGCAGGAAGTGGCCGAACCATTCATTCATTTTAGGAGTATGCACTGAGTGGCTGGTGTGTCAGGTTCTCCCTAG
This sequence comes from Homo sapiens, assembly GCF_000001405.40. Classification (NCBI taxonomy): domain Eukaryota; kingdom Metazoa; phylum Chordata; class Mammalia; order Primates; family Hominidae; genus Homo; species Homo sapiens. The sequence continues at coordinate 69,821,486 of NC_000011.10, read as the reverse complement.
GAGCTGGAAACCTCTTGCCCATCCCCTGAGCTTCCCTCCTATAGAGGGGTCACCTTTGGACTCCTGCTTCAGGGCAGCAGCCCCTGCCCTCATCTTGGGTTCTCGGGCACACGGCAACCTGGCAGTGGGCAGGGCTGGAGACCAGAGCCCGGGAGTTTCCCTGGGAACTGCTGGGGGCCCCAGGTGTAGAGCAGGAGGGGCATGGACACCCAGATTGCCTTGGTCAGATTTTTCTGGCTCCTCCCAGTCCTCCAGAGGGGGTCCTGCCAAGGAGGCAGCCGGAGCCTTGACAGGAAAGGGCATCGGAAGTCCCCTGGCCCCAGCAGGCTGCTCTTGCTCTCTCTCTCTTAAAACATTATTGTGTCCTCTCTCCTCTCTCTGTCAGACTGTGCCCCCTGACTGCACCCCTCTCTGAATTTCTTGTGCACCCCCCACCCCCGCCACTACATCTCCTCTCTTCTTGGCCAGGTGTCAGGAGGTAGCAGAGCTAAGGCATTTAGAGCAGCGACCTCCTTCCTGTGCCTCTTCCATGCCTCTTAGGGAGCCCAGGTGACCACACATCCCAGCCCAGGCCTGCACAGGGCTGCACTGGACAAGCTCTCCTCTTGCTGCTGTCCTTTGGGGCTTTCCTGTCACCAGCCTCTGACCCCTGTAACACAGTCTCCATCAAGAGTCTGAGGCTCCAGTAGTTCAGTGGCTGGCCTCTGGCCTGTTCAAGGACTCTCACAAGCTGGCCCTGGGGCAGCGGCTAGGAGACCCTGACTAAGACTGAGGTGCTCGGGGATGGCTTGGGGGCGCCCTCCTTCAGGATGGCCACCTGGACCCTGTGCACGCTGGAGTGGGCTCACAGAGGACACACTGCCCTGTGTGTATTGGGCCATGGGAGCTGGACACGTCCCAGGGGTGTGTGCTCACTGCCACAGCTCATGGTGCCCTGCACACTTGCCTGACCCCAAACCCTGATGCAGATGGCAGGCTGGGGAATGTCAGCCCACCCAACTCACCCCAGAGCCCCTGGTCAACTTGGAGCCAAAGCTGTGGCCTAGACCCCTGGACTCCACAGCGTGCCCTCCTCTGGGGCAGGGTTGAGAGAAGCAAATCCCCTGTGCTGGCCCCTGCTTCCTGCTGGCCCCAGGACCCTGGGGGACAGAGGACCAGGAAGCAAGAGAAATGGGTGGGGACATGGCTTTTCCCGATACTTTTTGAAGCCCCTCTTCACTGGGCCCCCTGAGATACACCTTGACCCCCACACAGTCCAGGGGACCACCTGGGCATCTGCACTGATTCAGATCCTCCAGGCCAGGACTCCCCCACACCCATTCCCAGCTTCTACCGGGTTCCTCTTGTCATCACCCACCCGCTGTGGCTACCAGACTCCCTGTGCTTTTCTCTGGGTGTTCTCCGCGGCTCTGTCTTCTTTCCATCTCCCCTGCCTCCTCTTTTTGGCGATCTCTGTCATTCACATTTTCCATGTCTTTCCCGTCCTTTCCTCCTCCGTTTCTGTCTGTCTCTATCTGCATCTCTTTCTCTCTAGGGCTCTCTGTCGGCGCCCACTTCTCTGGCTCTCGCGTCCCTCCTCCCGCCTCCCCAGGCCCCTCTCTGGACCGTCACTGGGACGGGATCCTCCGAGGCCTGCCAGACGAGAGCTAACCCCACCACTCCGGGTGCCCAGTTGGTGTGCGCAAAAGGAGATAGCATCTCCAGACCCGGCCTGCCCCGCGCCTTGCAAGGCTGAGGACAGCGCCACTGCTCCTGCAGGAAGCGCCGGGCGCAGACACAAACCCGGAGCTCCCCACGCGTGCCCGCGCCCCGGAGCCTCCCTGCCGCCGCCCTCCGCGGTCCCCTTCATTATGCGCCGCCTTTAATGGGCGTTTGTCAGCTCGACTTCCCCGCAAGTTGTTTTCACGGACATCAGTCATCGGCGGCGGCCCCATTGTGCAGGGGGATTGATGGGGAGCGGGAGGGGGTGACAGGGCCTGGGGCGGCCTCCTCAAGGCCTCGGTCTATAATTTTCGGAGGCATAATTGGTCTGGGGGAGGGGGCGGGGGAGGGGCGGGTAGGGGACCTTTCAGAGCCAGGAGGGCTTTCGGGGGCGTGGGGCGCGCTGCGGAGCGGAGCCGCGGCTCGACGGCGGTGCGCTGGCGGCGAGTGTATGCAGACGGCGCCCGGCCCGAACCCCGAGCCCCGCGGGGCTCCCCACCCGCCGGCCTCCCGCCCCTCCCGCGCCTCCGCCTGGGGACCACGTCGGCCTTTTGTTGGCGAACCGTCCTTTCTTTCAGCGCTTTGCGCAGCAACGGAAATTTCATTGCTCCTGGGTGGAAATTAAAGGGACTCGCGTTCCCTCTCTCCCTCTCCCTCTCCCACTCTCCCTCTCTTTCTCTCTCTCGCCCACCCTTCCCCCTTCTTCCCCCACCTTTCCCGCGAAGCCGGAGTCAGCATCTCCAGGCGCGGGATCCCGCTCCGAGCACCTCGCAGCTGTCCGGCTGCCGCCCCTTCCATGGGCGCCGCGCTCGCCTGCAGCCGCCGCCGCCGCGGGGCGGGCGCGATGCCACGATGGGCCTAATCTGGCTGCTACTGCTCAGCCTGCTGGAGCCCGGCTGGCCCGCAGCGGGCCCTGGGGCGCGGTTGCGGCGCGATGCGGGCGGCCGTGGCGGCGTCTACGAGCACCTTGGCGGGGCGCCCCGGCGCCGCAAGCTCTACTGCGCCACGAAGTACCACCTCCAGCTGCACCCGAGCGGCCGCGTCAACGGCAGCCTGGAGAACAGCGCCTACAGTGAGTGCCGGACGCTGCGGGGCCCCGGGGGAAGCGGCGCCGGGAGGGGTCGGGCCCGGGAGAAGGCGCGCTGCGGGGCCCCGCGGGGGAGGCGGCGCCGGGGAGGGGTCTGGCCCGGGAGAAGGCATGGTGCGCCCGGGGTGTCCGGGAAAAGACCGTCTGCCTCCCGCTGCCAGAAGGGGAATGCCAGGGTGCCCTCCTCAACCTACACGTCCGGGAGAAGAGCGCGCGCTGGGGTTCGAGCAGAACTCGGGGGCATGGGCGTTCACGTCCGAAGAGGGCGCCGGCGGCTGTCAGAGTCCGTCCCCGGTCCGGCCCGCTGGTCTGAGGGGACGCGAGCTAGGCGACCCCGGGGCTCCAGGCTCTGCTGCTTTGGGCAGCTCTGACAAGTTTAAGCCCTTTGAATGTGTCGGAGAAAAGGAGCCGGACAAGGCATTTATCATCCTCTTTATTATTTTGACGACTTCTCCTCCTCCTGCCGACCCCTGGACGCCCCGCCGTCCCCTCCGCCCTCCCCGCTCGCGGCTGCCCAGGTGGCCGCCCCCGCTGCTGCCTCTGCGCGGAGGACTCTTGCCCTGCGGAGCTCGGTTCCCTGGCCGCGGCCGCCACCGACAGTTATTCCCCGCGCTGGAATCTGCACCTCCCCCGCCTCCGCCCTGGCCGCACAGCGACAGGAGGGTGGAGGCCCTCGCCGTCGGGACGTGCGGATCACGAGCGCGGAACGGTGTCCGCCCGGGCCTGGGGGTGCAGACACACACACTCCGGCCCCCGCACGCAGGACCCGCGGCCCGGGCTGCGCTCACCGCGGGAGTCTGCCGGACTACACGGTTGGGCTCCTCTGGTCACAGGGACCTGAGGCCCGCGCCGAGCCCTTTGAGGAGCAGGATAGCGGAGCTCAGGGCCCGGGAGGACCGCGTGGGGAGCGTGGGAGGGCAGTCAAGACCACAGCTGTCCTCGGGTGCTCCGCGCGGCGCTCGGCTCCGGCCCCGGGCGCAGGAAGCGGTTCCGCCGCTTGAAGGTGGCGGCGGCGGCCTCAGCAAACCGCGGCTTCCTCCAGGAAAGCCGCAGCCCTGAGAGGGCGTCCTGGGGACATGCGCCTCCGGAGCCGCACGGTGGGCACCAGCTGTCACCAGGGGGTCCGAGTGCGCGGAATTCGTCTCACTAAGACACTCCGGTTCTCTCCAAAGCCAGGCTCCCCCTCGGAGTCGCACAGCATCCAAACTTCTTGGTGTAGGCTGCTCACGGGGAGGGGAGGGCGCGCGCCCGCAGCCGCCCCTGTCCTGCGTCGAGACTCGTGCTTCGCTGGTCCCCGGTCAGGCACCGCCGATGCCGCCCAGCCTGCGCACTGGGAAGGCGGGAGGCTCGCAGCCTGCACCACAGCACCCCTGGGCTGGAGCAAAAGCCCGGTGGTGACCGCGTCTGTGCTCGGACCGCGTGCCAGGAGGGCGCTCCTGAGAGGCATGCCTTGGAGAGGGTGCAGGCAGTCGCCCCAATCCCCTCGCAGCCTCTATTGGGAGACAATGACCCCAACCCGTCCTTTGATGTAGTCCCCCGCCCCCAGCCCCCACCACAGCACTCGTGTATCCAGAAGGAAAGGCGGGAGGGGAGATTTAAACTTTCTTATCCCTGGGGAGTGGGTGAGACCCGTCCAGCTTCCCTCTGCGGGCTCCAGGGTCTAAACTGGCTTCCTGCCCTTCCAGGTCCCCCGGCGAGTACAATGATCTCCCGCCAGGTCTATTGCCAGCATGATCTGGGTGGCAGGCACCCTGGCTGTGTTATTGCCAGTGGTTTATATTATCAGCCTGGCTCATCAGGGCCCAGCTTTCCCGCTGGCAGGCACAGGCATTGGGGACCGTGCAGTCCCAGAGCTCAGACTCCCATGGCTGCCGCCAGGGCTTGATTTCCCGCTCAAGCACATGTGCAGGGGCCTGACAGTCACCCAGCCATAGTGGTCCCCACTTGCTTGTCTGTCGGATGATGATGGCAGCTGGCAAGGTGTTGTGAGGCTCGAATGAAAGCCAGGGTGCAGGCAGCGTCAGCAGGTGGGAATGTTAATTTCATTGTTACCCTCCCAAGTTTGAATGAAGAGAAGCCTTCCCTGATGTTCCCTTCTCTACCTCCTGTCCGGTGACTTCTCCCTTCCTGAACTTCCACTCACTCCCCGACCTGTGGGGTGTGTGCTACCCTCCCCAGCCCTGAGCCCGGGGTGTGGCTTTGGGCAGGGCCAGCTGGGCCTCAGCCGCCCCCTCCGTGGGGGCGGCGGGAGTGAGGCACCTCTCATTTCTTCTAGGTATTTTGGAGATAACGGCAGTGGAGGTGGGCATTGTGGCCATCAGGGGTCTCTTCTCCGGGCGGTACCTGGCCATGAACAAGAGGGGACGACTCTATGCTTCGGTGAGTCCAGGCTGTCACGTGGGTGGGCGCTGACGGAGTAGCGGTCTGGCCTGCACATCAAGCCAGGGGACGGGGGATGTGGGCAGTAGAATGCTTTGCCAAGGGTACACGGGACCCAAGCTAGGACCAGACCCTGGCCCAGGGCTCCACGCCCAGTGATCTTTGGCTGTGTCTGTTAGAGGCTGCTCCGCGAGTGACCTGGAGCCTGGCCCTGGGGGACCTGGGATCTGGAGAATGCCAGGTTAGCAAAGGTTTCCCCCATCCTTGTCATCACTACCACCCTCCCTTGAGAGTAGCTGAGAGCAGGGAAGTGATTGTTCTCCAAATTTCCACCAAAATAAATGGACCCAAGACAACCTGGGAGTGTTCCTTGGGGCAGCCAGAGCTCTCCTGGGAGCATGGAGAGGAGGACGCTGGCCCAGCTCCACCGGCTCTCTCCAAGGGTGGAAAGGCGAGAGCTGAAGCCTAGGAGGGGAAGGGGGATGGCGCCCATGTCCCGGGCACACAGGAGCCTTGGAGCCCTGGCTTGGGACCCAGTCTATCTACTGCCTGGGCCTCCGTGTAACCAAAAAGGGTCTCCTTACTCTGTGGGTATGGCAGCGCCCCTCTTCATAAGGGGTAGGGGTGGGGAATACACAGAGTAAAATACATGTCACAGGGAAATTTGCTACCTCCAACTAGTCATTACATGCAATTTGGCTGATACTTCCTTGGGCAATGAGAGGTTTTCCATCCATGAGTAGCCTGGCTGACGCGGCCCAAGGACAATCTCCCTGCAGTGAGCTCTCTGCTCAGTCCTGCTCACAGAGGACACATCCCGCAGCTCCCTCTCGCAGAAGCTGATGATTTCATCACAGATTTTTAGCCGTTTTGCTAAAGGAAGGTCCAGAAAGCCGGGATGCGCCCCTTCATTTTCTCTGGTCCAGAGGCTACTCCCTCCTTCCTCCCATCCACTCACCCATCCACCCATCCACCCATTCACCCATCCACTCATCCACCCATCCACCCATCCATCCATCCACTCATCCACCCATCCACCCATCCATCCATCCACCTATCCATCCATCCATCCACCCATCCACCCATCCTTCCATTTACCCATCCACCATCCACCTATCCATCCATCCATCCACCCATCCACCCATCCACCCATTTACCCATCCACCCATCCACCCATCCACCTATCCATCCATCCATCCATCCATCCATCCACCTATCCACCCATCCACTCATCCACTCACCCATCCACCTATCCACCCACCCACTCACCCATCCATCCACCCACCCACTCACCCATCCATCCATACACCTATCCATCTGACATTCAGTCCATTCATCAGTCAGTGTCCTGGAAGCTGTGTCTGGGAGCAGGGGCCCTCATGGTGCCAGCTTCTGCCATAGGGGAGCCAGGATTTGGAGAGACAGAATAAAGCATGACATGAGGGGGTCCCAGTGGTTCAGAGCCCACCTGGGGCTTCCGTGCCTGAGAACTCACAGCCTGGCTTTGAGAAGGGTGGACAGAGGCTCCTAGCCCCACCAGGGATGCTTAGCCAAGCAGTCTGGCTGGAGGGTGTGGAACTTTCCAGAGTGCCCAGTGGAGAAGTTCCCATTGCCCTGCAGACAACCTGGGAGGCATAGTAGCCTGGATGCCAACTCCGTCACCTGCCACCTGCCACCTGATACCACAGTCCTGCGTGCGGCCAGCTTGCCTAGGAGTGCTGTCCCACCACGGGGCTCCCTGGACTTTGCCGGCAGCATGCTTGCCCTCAGGCCAGCTCATCTCACTGTGGGCCAGTGAGCACTGCACCCTGACACTCCTGGTCTGGCCCTGACCTCCCTTCTGAGGTATAGACCACCCTCCCCCAACATCCTGCTGACTCAGACACTCGAACCGAACTCAGCAGCTCCCCGACTCCCCATCTTAATCATCGCCCCACCAGCCACTCACTCTCACCCAGAGTGGGCTGGGAGTCATGGTAGACCCCTCCTGCTATTCAGTCCATCCCTAGTCCTCAGACCACGCCCCTGCATCTCTTCAGCCCACACACCTCACCTCCCTCTGCCTCATCCCTGAGAGCACGCCTTAAAAGGCAGGCTCATCACTTCCCACCTGGATCACTGCTCCAGCCTCTCCTACCTCCAGTCCATCTGTTTGTCAAGCCATCCATCCATCTTCCTTCCTTCTTTCCCCTTCCTTTATTCTCTTCACCCATCTGTCCATACACCTCTCCTTCCTTCCTTCTTTCCTTTCTCTCATCCTTCTTTCCATCCATCCTTCCAACCGTTCATCTGTCCATCTGCCCATTCACATGTCCATCCGTCCATGCTCCCTCCTTCCTTCCATCCTTTCACCCATCCACCCATCCACCCATCCACCCATCAACCCATCCACCAATCCATCCAGCAATCCACCCATCCATCCAGCCATCCACCCATCCATCCATCCACCTATCCATCCATCCACCCATCCATCCAACCAGCCATCCACCCATCCACCCATCCACCCATCCACCCATCCATCCATCCATCCATCCATCCATCCATCCATCCACCCATCCACCCATCCATCCATCCAGCCATCCACCCATCCATCCATCCACCTATCCATCCATCCACCTATCCATCCATCCACCCATCCATCCATCCAGCCATCCACCCATCCATCCATCCACCCATCCACCCATCCATCCATCCATCCATCCACCCATCCATCCATCCATCCACCCACCCATCTATCCATCCATCCATCCACCCATCCATCCATCCATCCACCCACCCATCTGACATTCAGTCCTTCGTTCACCAGTCAGTGTCCTGGGCACTTACCATGTGTTGCACTCTGCTAGTGCATGTTAAAGGGGCTTCCTAAAAAAGCAAATCAGCCCAGTTCATGGCTTCTGAGGACTCCCATGATGCGCAGGCATCCCCCAGGCACCTTAGCTCCACCCACAGAGCAGCAGCCCAGGTGCCATCTGCTCCCAGGGGGGCTGTCATCCAGAGGTTGAGCCTCCTCCGGCTTCCGGAAGCCCCCTCAACTCTCCAAGCCATCTGTACTGCTCAGGCCACACCTTCACTGCCTGGAACGCCCTCCTCCAGAAAATGCCCATGAGAAAGTGCCCGCCCCGCCCTTACAGCTCCCTTTAGAAGTCACCTCCTCAACAAAGCAGCTTCGGAGTCGGCTTCCTCCCCACCCTTCATGGGGTGGAAGCGGCCCTGGGGGAGGGGCCTGTGGAACCAGGTCTGGTGGGGCGGCAGTGTCAGGACACACATTGGAAAGTGTTGTCACAGCGAGTCCCAACTGCAGTAGCTCTGGAGTCTATGGCCCTGGCCCCTGAGCCAACACCTTCTGCCCTGGTCATCTTGGCCACCCCAGGTGCCCTACCACGTGTCAGCAATTGATCTACACTGCCCCCAATCTCCCACCTTGGGAGAGCCTGAGCCCCCTGCCACCTGAGGCTCACAGGCACCTGTCCTTCAGTGACCCACCCCTCAAGTGGCCCCCCAAAGAGAAAGCCTATTTCCTGGCCTCTCTGGCCCTGAGAGGACTCACCTGCTGCAGGATCGAGGGACCTGGGAGAAGCTTGGGTCCTGCCCTGAGCTTCTCACAGTCTGCCATGGGAGCCAGACACTAACATGGTGTACCCAGTGTGTGGGGTGGGGAAGTCGGCCCTGAGCCCACCCGCTCATTCCCAGATAGTCGCTGAGCCCCAGGCTATGTGGGGGTCAGGCACAGATCAGACACTGTTCTATCCCCTGTAATGTAGGGCCTGGCACCACCCCTGGGCCTCAGTTTCCCCATCTATAAACATGGAGACCGGTCTTGGATAGTAACATCCAGACTGTGGCCCAGGGGGCACTGGGCCTCCAAGAGGGCTGGAGAGCAGGGGGGCTTGGGGTTATGGGGAGAGGCAGCCCCTACCACCAGGTCAAGCCTTCCACCCTTCCCTGCTCTGGGCTTTCATGTCGCTGAAAAACAGGATGGGGTGCTTGAAGCATCTTGTTCCCTGAGGTCCTGCGAGGTCAGATGCTGCTCGGTCCAGTCTGGGAGCCTCTGGAGGCCATTTCCACTCTCTCTCTCTGCCACGGGACACCACACCCCAGATGGGGACAGACCATGAGGGCCTCCGACTCCTCCCTGCGGCCAGTCCCCAGGAGGAAAGAGAGATCCTGCTGTCTGCCTTGCACCTGCTGCTTCCACCTCCCACCACCCTTTCTGGTTTGGAGGGAGCAGCTCCTGTCAGTCATCCCCTGAGGGAGGTGGCCCTAGGCATTACCACTTGCCTGTAGCTGGGACTGAAGCCTAGTGGGTCTGCATAAGGCATACCCACCTCTTCCCTACGCCACAGACTAAGAAGACCCCATGAGGCAGCCCTTGAGGGAAACTCCCACGGCCAAGTCTTGGGGATGTTGGTGTAAGCTCCTTCAGTTCAGAGCTTCACTGTGCCTTTGAGAGGGCAGGGTCCCTTCTGCCCTTCCCCCACTGCACCCTGGGCCTGACAAGGGTCCCATTAATCTCTGATGACAAAGAGGTGTCCTCTCTGTCCTGCTTGTGGTGGGACACCCCAGCTTCTGCTCTCATCCTAAGAACAGCAGTATCTGTGGCACTGATTGATCATGTGCCTCATGCCAGGCCCCAGCCCCTGCTCTGTGTTGTAACCTCTTCAACCTGCAAGGCGAGATCCTCCAGCTTAAGAGAGTGTTGCTCAGGGGTCAATGACCCCAGCTGGGGCCCCTGAGCGCAGCGTTTAATGGAGAGTCTGGGCTCATCAAACCTGGCTGTGTCCCCTTCCCTTCCTGCTTTTTGTGTTCTTTCTTCTTTTTTCTTTTCTGCAATTTCTTTTTTTTTCTTTTCTTTTTTTTTTTTTTTTTGAGTCAGAGTTTTGCTCTTGTCGCCCAGACTGGAGTGCAGTGGCACAATCTCTGCTCACTGCAACCTCTGCCTCCCGGGTTCAAGTGATTCTCCTGCCTAAGCCTCCCAAGTAGCTGGGATTGTGGGCGCACGCCACCACACCCGGCTAATTTTTTTGTATTTTTAGTAGAGACGGGGTTTTGCCATGTTGCCCAGGCTGGTCTCGAACTCCTGACCTCAGGTGATTCACCTGCCTCGGCCTCCCAAACTGCTGGGATTACAGGCATGAGCCACCGTGCCCAGCCTCTGCAATTTCTTTAAAAGAGATCTGGGTGTTGTCATCTTCCTTTGTCCAAATGCCCAGTCCTTGCTGACCTCCACACTGCCAGCAGACTGCCAGGGCACCTGGGTTGGCCGGCCTGGTCTCTGCTCCACAGACAACCCTACACATCCCTTTGCTGTGTCAGCGCCCTCAGATGGGGGACAGAGGCTGGTGGAACCCAGAGAGCAGGAGCTGGGAGTTGTCTGGCACAGCTTTGAGTGAAGGTGACCTTTAGGCAGAAGGCCAAGTTCACCAGGCACACAGGGGAGGAAGGACATGCTGGGCAGAGGGCAGGGCCTAGGCAAAGGTGTGACTGGCTGAGAGTGCGCTGGGGTTTGGCACTGGACCGAACAGCCTCACAGGAGGGGAGGGAGGCATCAGGCAACCCTGGGCCCTGACGCTGCCACAGTCTCCCCGGGGCACTGACCATGATATCTCATCCCCGCAGGAGCACTACAGCGCCGAGTGCGAGTTTGTGGAGCGGATCCACGAGCTGGGCTATAATACGTATGCCTCCCGGCTGTACCGGACGGTGTCTAGTACGCCTGGGGCCCGCCGGCAGCCCAGCGCCGAGAGACTGTGGTACGTGTCTGTGAACGGCAAGGGCCGGCCCCGCAGGGGCTTCAAGACCCGCCGCACACAGAAGTCCTCCCTGTTCCTGCCCCGCGTGCTGGACCACAGGGACCACGAGATGGTGCGGCAGCTACAGAGTGGGCTGCCCAGACCCCCTGGTAAGGGGGTCCAGCCCCGACGGCGGCGGCAGAAGCAGAGCCCGGATAACCTGGAGCCCTCTCACGTTCAGGCTTCGAGACTGGGCTCCCAGCTGGAGGCCAGTGCGCACTAGCTGGGCCTGGTGGCCACCGCCAGAGCTCCTGGCGACATCTTGGCGTGGCAGCCTCTTGACTCTGACTCTCCTCCTTGAGCCCTTGCCCCTGCGTCCCGCGTCTGGGTTCTCAGCTATTTCCAGAGCCAGCTCAAATCAGGGTCCAGTGGGAACTGAAGAGGGCCCAAGTCGGAGCTCGGAGGGGGCTGCCTGCAATGCAGGGCATTTGTGGGTCTGTGTGGCAGGAAGCCGGCAGGGAAGGGCCTGAGTGCCAGCCCTGGCAGACTGAGGAGCCTCCCAGGAGCAGCGGGGCAGTGTGGGGCTTTGTGTCATCACAACATTAAAGTATTTTATTCTACTCTGTCGTTTGGTAGACCGTGATGCAGGCTGAGGAGCGCTTGCCGCCTTTACTGGAACGTGCTTGCTTCCAGCACAGCAGAATCCGCGCTGGCATCAGCCTGCGTCAGCTGCTGCTTTAAGAGGAAGACGGCATTCCCAGAAATCGGGCTAAAGGTGCATTTCAGTTCCCTGGTTTTAGAAAGTTACGTTTTTTTGGATGGTTGGAAACAAGCAAAGGCATGTTTGTGCATGTGTGTGCATCGTGTGTGTGTGCGTGGAGAGAAGGATCGTGTATTTCTGAAAGCGTGAGTGTGCATGTGGGTATGTGTGATCTTGTGTTAGTGGTACCTGTGTGAGGACATGTATGTGTGTGTGTGTTTCTGGGTGTGTCTGAATGTGTGATGTGTGTGTGTCTGTGTGTGTGTGTGTGTGTGTGTGTGTGTGTGTGTGTGTGGAGAGAGAGAGAGAGAGTTTACTTTCTTTGAAAACTCTAAAAAGCCTCTCCCTCTGGAAGCTGTGTGCTTCTCCAGGGACCCTTTAGAGCAACTGTGTCAGGTCAGGCAGCACAGAAACTTCCTTTATCCTTACAACCTGCTCTTGGGGCCCGTGCACCCTGTCTTTACCTAAGAAGGTGAGGCTCAGAGAAGCAATTACTCAGTGGCCGGGCCCTGCCTTGGACTAGGTGCCTCCTCACACCTGTTCCCCAACAATGGCATGGGTGGAATCACCTGGGCCGGCCCAGGTGAGAGCCAGCATGGGCAGTGTACTAACCTCTCCTGGCACTTGGCAGGATGGGCAGGGTCCAGGTGAGGAGGCTCTCCTGAGCCTGGGACTGTGAGGACCATCGCTCTCTGTTCCCATGCCCTCCCAGGGGTCAGAGAGCCCAGACTCAGAGAGCCCAGGGTCAGAGAACTTAGGGTCAGAGAGGCCAGAGTCAGAGAGCTGAGACTCAGAGAGCCCAGGGTCAGAGTGTCCAGGGCCAGAGAGCTTGTGGTCACAGAGCCCAGACTCAGAGAGCCCAGACTCAGAGCCACCTGATTGGTTAGTGCAGACTCGCCAAACCCACAGGGAGGCTGGGCTCCTCCCTGGCACGTGTGCAACACAAGTGAAAATCTCGGTGCCTCCTTCAGCCCCCAGCGCATGTCAGATTTCCCGGAATGGCTCCCCTGCAGCTGCGAACATTCCTGGCAGTCAACAGGAGCAGCACGCAGCTGAGCTCTGCTGTGGGTTTTGTTGTTTCTCTAGAGTGAGATGGGGCAGGGGCTGCCATCACTCCCTCCTTGCAGATGATGACCCTGAGTCCTGGCAAGGGGAACTTGCCCGGGGCTGTGTCAACACAGGGGAAGCAGCAGTACTCAGTGCTGCAGGATCAACAGATGGTCCCTGATGAAGGCGTAGGAGACACTGGGGGCTCTTGTTTAACATGTAAAACAGCTTTGACAAGAGAATGTGGATTTTTCGCAGCTGATGGCTGTGCCATGGTCACCTTCTTCCCCACACCAGAGTCCAAGGGACTTCATTTTGTGTGTGTGTTTGGGGGGTCATGGGCTGAATTATGTCTCCTCCCCAGAGTTCATCTGTTGAAGTCCTAACCCCTAGTAACTCAGCATGTGACCTTATTTGGAATAGGGTCATTACAGATGCAACTGGTGAAGATGAGGTAACATAGGAGTAGAATGACCCCTGAATCCATTGTGACCAGGATCCTCCTTAAGAGACACATGGGCACAGCCGTGCACACAGGAGGACGCCATGAGAGCGTAAAGGTGGGGACAAGGGTGATGCTGCTACAAGCCAAGGAGTGCCAAAGTTTGCCAGCAAACACCAGCAGCTAAAGGACAAGAAAGGAACAGACTCTGCCCTATAGCCCTGAGAAGGAGCCAACTCTGCCGACACCCCAGTCTTGGACATCCAGCCCAGAGTCCTGCAGATGATAAATGTCTGTTTGAGCCACCTACCCTGTGTGGGGCTGTGTTACCACAGCTTGAGCATCAGGCACAGAGGGCAAGGGGCCTGCTGGCCTCCAAAAGGAGAGCGACCCCGCTTCTGCTGGATGAGGGGAAGGGGAGAGAAGGCGGGCCCCAGGCTGAGAGCGTGGGCTCCCTGGGAGGGGTCAGAGGGTGCCCGCTGCTTCCGGTGCCACGGTGGGAACTCCTGCTTCCTTACACACAGGAGGGGCTGGGGGCAGGTAGAATTCTCCTGAAAAAGAAAAGGGTATGGGGGTGAGAGGGTCCTGGGACCCAGCACCCATCACTGTTAGATGGTTCACCTGCTCCACGTGTGCTCAGGGCGGGCAGTGCCTGGAGACCGCACACCTGTGGCTCTGTGGGAAGATGCCCTCTGAGTCAGGAAAGGCCGCCCCAGGGGCTCCAGGGACAGTGGCCTCCCTACTTGCATTTGCGTCACCCAGAGGGAATCGGAAGGGAGAGAAAGAGGCTGAGCAGGTGGGGCAGGTCTTTGCCTATTGAGTCTCTGGGATTTTGGGTCCAGAACCTGTCAGGAGTAGGAATGGAAAAATTATGCAGTCTATGAAAAATGGTACGGTGGCTCCTCAAAGCACTAAACAGAGAGCTACCATGTGATCCAGCAATTCCATTTCCGGGCATATCCCCAAAGAAATGAAAGCAGGATCATGGATAGATGTGTGCACACTCATGTACATAACAGCACCATTCGCAGTTGCCTGGGGGTGGAAACAAGCCAAGTGTATTAGTCAGGGCTCTCTAGAGGGATAGAACTAATAGGAGATATATATATATATATCCTATTATATATATATATCATATATATTATATATATATCTCCTATATATATATAAAAAATATGTGTGTGTGTATATATATATGTATATATATATAAAGGGGAGTTGATTAAGTACTAACTTACACAATCACAAGGTCCCACAGTAGGCCGTCTGCAAGCTTGAGGAGAAAGGAGAGCCAGTCTGAGTCCCAAAACTGAAGATCTTGGAGTCAGATGTTTGATGGCAGGAAGCATCCAACATGGGAGAAAGATGTAGGCTGGGAGGCTAGGCCAATCTCGCCATTTCACGTTCTTCTGCCTGCTTTGTATTCACTGGCAACTGGTTAGGTTGTGCCCACTAGATTAAGGGTGGATCTGCCTTCCCCAGCCCACTGACTCAAATGTTAATCTCTTTTGGCAACACCCTCACAGACAAACCCAGGATCAATACTTTGTATCCTTCAACCCAATCAAGTTGACAGTATTAACCATCACACCAAGAATCCATCAGCAGAGGGATGGATGTATAGAATGTGCTCCATCGATGCAATGGAATGCCATTCAGCCTTAAAAAGGACAGACATGGCTGGGCGCGGTGGCTCGCGCCTGGAATCCCAGCACTTTGGGAGGCCGAGGCAGGCAGATCACCTGAGGTTACCCGAGGCAGGCAGATCACCGAGGTGGGCAGATCACCTGGCCAACGTGGCAAAACCCCGTCTCTACTAAAAATACAAAAATTAGCTGGGCGTGGTGGCAAGTACCCGTAGTCCCAGCTACTCAAGAAGGCTGAGGCAGGAGAATCACTTGAACCCAGGAGGCAGAGGTTGCCGTGAGCTGAGATCACACCACTGCACTCCAGCCTGGGCGACAGAGGGAGACTCCATCTCAAAACAAAACAAAACAAAACCCACAGGCCAGGTGTTGTGGCTCACGCCTGTAATCCCAGCACTTTCAGAGGCTGAGGCAGGTGGATCACCTGAGGTCAGGAGTTTGAGACCAGCCTGGTCAACATGGTAAAACCCCGTCTCTACTAAAAATAAAAAATTAGCCGAGTGTGGTGGTGGGTGCCTATAATCCCAGCTACTCGAGAGGCTGAGGCAGGAGAATCGCTAGAACCAGGGGGGCAGAGGATGCAGTGAGCCAAGATCACGCCATTGGACTGCAGCCTGGGCAACAAGAGCGAAACTCCATCTCAAAAAAACAAAAACAAAAACAAAAAACAAACAAAGAACCCACAAAAATTAGCCGGGGTGGTGGCGTGCATCTGTAGTCTCAGCTACTTGGGAGGCTGAAGCACGAGAATTGCTTGAACCCAGGAGGCAGAGGTTGCAGTAAGCCGAGATCATGCCATTGCCCTCCAGCCTGGGCAACAGAATTAGACTCTGCCTCAGAAAAAAAAAAAAAAAAAGGAAGGACATTGACACATGCTACAACATGGGTGAACCTTGAGGACATTGTGTTGAGTGAAAAAATATGATACAATTTTACTTAGATGAGATTCCTGAAGTAGTCAAATCCAGAGAGACTCAAAGTAGAACGGTGGGTGCTGGGAGCTGGGGGAGGGGAATGGGGAGTTAGTGTTTGATGGTGAGACAGTCTCAGTTTGGGAAGATGGAAAGGTACTGAAAGTAGATAATGGTGATGGTTACAGGTTGTGGAAGTCCTCAACGCACTCAATTGCACACTTAAAATGGTGACACTCTTGCAGCACCTTGATTGCAGTGGTTCTGTCCTTCATCTTCGTGCCCTCCCCATGGAAAGTGCTCGTTGAGAGCACTGGCAGCATCCAATCACCATTGCTGGATGAAGGAAAAAAAGGAAGAAAAGGTCCTCTTGGAGTGGCCAGTAGGTCCCCTGCCTGCCCAGTCGGCCTGCACAGTGCTCTCCAGGGTGGACATGGGCAGAGGGAGCGCTTGACCGGGGTCTGGTCCACTCCCCGCTTGCCCCACAGGGGAAGACAGCCTTGCCTGGGTGAAGCCAAGAGACTAAGGACCCACACTACCCGGCCCCCTGCATCCCAGCCCTGGAGCCCGCTTGACCTTCTCTGCGTCGGATGGAGTCAGTACTTCAATGGGGAGGGTAGGACGGCTGTGGGTGCCCGAGCTTCAGCTGCTCGGAGCGGGTCTTTGAACTCCTCAGTGGGTTCAGAGGCCTCCTGCCTCCCAGGGGTGGAAGGACTCAGAAAGGTGAACCAGCAGGCCTATAATTAGCGCCCACCCATCGGAGGGCCACCGTGCCTCAGCATTCCAGGGCTGTGACAGATATAGCCCCTGGAGCTGACCTCTGTCCCCACTTGGCTGCAACGGCTGGAATACCAGGGGCAGCCTACACTTGTGCCTGAGTGCCTGGCCGGCTGTGTGTCCACACAAGGAAGGGGACCATGGGAGAAGAGGCTTCTGGGTGGGTAAAAAGCCAGCACATGTGCTGTTTTCAGACCTGCTGATTCAGATGTGGCCTTAGTCACTTCTGTTATTTGATCATGACAGCATTTTCAGCCACGTGGCCCAGAACTGGCCGCTGCCCCTCCCCAGCCTCAGTGTCCCCATCTGTCAAGTGGGGCTCCCACAGTGGTCATTGAGAGCTGCTGAGGCCACATAGATGGTAAAAGGTCTGTAAATAATAGCTGCATACACAGCCATGAGAGGATGCAAGAGAAAGCCTGGCCCTGCTCTCTAGCCAGCAGCAGGGGAGGCACAGTGCAGAGAAACAGAACACACTTCCACTAGGTGCCCTTTCTGCAGCACTCTTGCTGGAGGGGCTGCTGACCTGGGCCCAGAAGGTGGGGAATGATTGGAAAAGTTTAGAGGACACAGGGAGTGTTGGTGGTGGGCTGGGAGATCCTGGGAGCTCTCATGCCTTGAGCAGGCTGGTTTGAAGACAGAAATTTTAAAAATTCATTTATTATCACTGATAAACAAATACATTTATCTGTGTTTTGTACAGTTCAAGAGAAAGGCACTGTAATTCATCATCCCTCCATCCACTTATCTTTTATCCATCCATCATCCATCTATCCATCCATCCATCCATCCATCCATCCATCTTCCATCTTTTCAACCATCCATCTTCAATCCATCCTTCTATCCTTCCTTCCATCCATCATTCATTCATCCATCCATCCATCTGTCCACCATTTATCTACTCATCTACTATGCCTTCATCCATCCATCCATCTTCCATCTTTTCATCCATTCCATCCATCCATCCATCCTTTTATCCTTCCATCCATCCTTCATTCATCCATCCATCTGTCCACCCATTCATCTACTCACCTACTGTCCATCCATCCATCCATCCTTCTATCTTTCCATCCATCCTTCATTCATCCATCCATCCATCATCCATCCATCCATCCATCTGTCCACCCATTCACCTACTCATCTACTATCCATTCATCTATCAATCCATCTTCCATCTTTTCATCCATCCATCCTTCTGTCCTTCCATCCATCATCCATCCATCCATCCATCCATCCATCTGTTCACCCATTCATCCTCTCATCTACTGTCCATCCATCCATCCATCCACATCCATCCATCCATCCATCCACATCCATCCATCCATCCACCCATCCATCCATTCTCCCATCCTTCCATCCATCCATTCTCCCATCCTTCCATCCATCTATGCATCTTTCCATCCATTCATCCCCCCATCCATCCACTCATCTACCATCCATCCAGCAAGCATATGGGCATCCATCAGTGGGTCTGGAGCCTGGGTAGAGAATGCAGCAGGCACCCATACAGCTAGCTAAATGCCAGATACTCTGCTGGGCAGGATGGACAGAGGTGGAGCTACCTCTCCTTGTGCATCAGAATCTTTCAGTTTCACAGGGGACAGGCTGGCCCTGGGATATGGAAAGGCTCAGATTGCAGGGCTGAAGGAAGGGCAGAGAAGACAGGACAGAGAAATAACTGGCTGCCTCATGAGGAGTGTTTAGGATCTCAGGCCCTGGAGTCAGGTCAACCTGGGCCCCAGGCTAAAAGCTCCCTTCACAGGCTGTGAGGCCAGATAAAGCGCTCTGATATCTCTGTCAATCCCAAACTCTCCCCTGCCCCAGGACCTTTGCACATGCTGTCTGTTGAGACTAATCTTCCCTCCACTCTTCACTAGTTGAGTCCCTTCATAATCTTTACTTCTAAAGGTGTCACCTCTTCAGAGAGACCTACCACGACCACCCTACTCCAACTGGGGCCCCTTCTCATTTTGTTCTTACAGTGCCTTGTTATTTTCCTTCAAAGAACCCAACATAATCTGTAATTATCTAGTTAATTGTCCACTCACTGCTGTCCCCATCAGTCTCCCACATGCAGGTGAGGCACCTGGGCTATTTATTTCCACCAACTCAAGTCTGCCTTTGGTTGAGGACTACTCCCAGGGACAGACACTCCCTGAACTTCTGGCCTGCTCCCCTCAGACAAGAAATCCAAGGGCTTGTGATGGGAAGCCCTGGGGCCTCTTTGTGCAGAAGGGTGAGGCCTGAAGGGTTATGGGTGGAACAACGCCAGTGTCTGCTACATTCTGTCATGATTCACCTTTTGCAGATGAGAAAACTGAGGCTTAGAGATATGAAGCAATTGTCTCAAGGTCACACAGCCAGTGAAGGACATGTCAGGGCTGATTCCAAGATCTCTCAGGCTCCAAAGTTTATATTACATGGAGCCCAAGGAGGGGAGCAAGAACAGGAAGTCGCCAAGAAGTGAGAAGTGGGAAAATAGTGTGGCAGTTCTGAAACTGCAGAACAGAGAGTTACACATGACCCAGCAATTCCACTCCTAGGTATATGCCCCAGAGAAGTGCAAACTCACGTCCACACAAAAACCCGTATACTAATGTTTCTAGCAGCATTATTCATCATAGCCAATGCGTGGCAACAACCCAAATGCCCACCAAGTGATTAATGGATAAATACAACGTATCCACTGTCTACTGTAGATAGCATATACGATGCTATATGTATACAGTGCTATGGCCTAGGATGAAACGGTGTTCACAGACAAAAGGAATGAAGTGCTGAAACGTCTTACACCCCCTCAAGGCATGAACTTGGAGGGCCAGGTGCTAAGTGAAGGAAGCCAGACCAAAGGGACACACTTACGATTCCATTCCTATGAAATGTCCAGAATAGGCAAACCCATAGAGATGGGAAGTAGATTAGTGGCTTCCAGGGGCTGATGGGGAAAGTGGAGAGACTGCTCATTGGTATGGGGTTTCTTTTGGGATGATGAAAATGTTCTGGAATAGATGGTGGTGATGGTCACCATCACACTGTGAATACAAATAATGAATTGTACTCCTTAAACAGGTGGATTGTATGGTATGTGAATGATATCACATATGAATGATACCTCAATGAATCTGCTGGCACAGCCACGTGGTCTGCAGGTCTTTCTAGGAGAATGGGGTTGGGCAGGCCCTCCCCACCCTTGGGGACAATTTGGGGTATAGGAGGTGGGGGCTGGGTGGTCCCAGGTGGTCTGGGAGGGCACCCCTGCATGCAGTACTGAGGCCTACCAGCAGATGGCAGCGACCTCAGGGACAAGCTTCAGGTGTAGCAGAGTTGGCTGAGGACACCTCGCCGGGTCTTTCCATTCATCCATCTTTCCACCTGGTGGGCAATGGCGCCTCTCTGCCGGTGACATGCTTGTGGCGACTGCTGATTCACCCTGGTCAGGCGGTCAGGGAGGAGTCAGGACAGACCGTGCCTGGGCATCCCGGCATGCCCCAATGGCACACGGAAGGCAGAGGGCCCCCTCCCCAGGCACAAGGGCCAGGCTTGGCACGGAAGAGGAGGCAGTGGGCCTGGGGCCTGGGTAGGGTATGCAGCAGGCGCTCATCCTTGCCACTGGAGGAAGGATGGACAGCAGAGCTATACAAAATGATGATGATGATGATGATGACAATGTTGGGGGGAGAGGGAGAAGGGGAGCATTTAGTGGGTGCCTTTCCCACCTGGCGCCATGTTGCTTTGACTCCACCTCAGCTCTCTGAGTTGAGTTCTAATTCTCCCCATATGATAGGTGAGTCAGAGAAGAAAGGCTTTCCCGAGGCCACACAGCTTCCAAGAACTGGAGCCAAATTCAAACCCAGCTGCCCGGCTGGTCTTGGGCCCAGGTGGTCTTAACGGGATCTTGATTCCTTGATTCCATGTTTTTCGTCTTAGGGTGTGTGTGTGTGTGTGTGTGTGTGTGTGTGTGTGTGTGTGTGTGAGACATAGAGCGAGACTGTCACTCAGGCTGGAGTGCAGTGGCACCATCTCACTTCACTGCAGCCTCCGCCTCCTGGGTTCAAGCGATTCTCATGCCTCAGCCTCCCGAGTAGCTGGGATTACAGGCCCATGGTAGAGACGGGGTTTCGCCATGTTGTCCAGGCTGGTCTCGAACTCCTGACTTCAAGTCATCCACCCGCCTCGGCATCCCAAAGTGCTGGGATTACAGGCGTGAACCACTGCGCTCGGCTTGTCTTAGGGTTCTTGATTTAAACCAGTGGTTCTTGAAATTTGCATTTCAGGCCCCACCCCAGATCTGCTGAACCAGAACCCTGATGATGATGCCCAGTAATCAGTGTGTTTCAAGCCCTCCAGGTAGTTTGGATGCCCTAGAATTTAGGAACCCCCGATTTAAAGGGGCATCCCCATGGGTTGCTAATGCCGACTGAGTTAGCGTACAAAGTGCTCTGCAATGGCTGGGTGCTTTTCACCCATCATCCACTGAATTCACCCAGTGACCCTGCAAGGATGGCCATTATGATTCCCATTTTACAGGTCGGGAGACTGAGGCCCAGGGGTAAAGCCTGAAGTCCCTAGCTGGGAGAGATGAGCTTAGACAGGAGGCTGGGTCTGAGAGGCCACTGTGCACCAGGCATAGTGACTGTCACCCCCAACATACACACATTCTCTACAGAGTGGGGGTTCCGGGGAAGGCATTGCCACTGAAATATGGGCATCACTGTCTGGGGACACCTCAGGCCTTGTGTATGAGAAAGACAGGCCAGAGTGGGAGTGGAGGGTCACGGTCCGCTTGAGGCTCGCCAAGGCCTCATCTGGGGCATCCCGGACCCCACAGCAGCAGGGTGGGTCCTCTCAATGCTCACCCGACCTGCAGCCCACCTCAAGGTGCACAGGAAAGGCTTGCTTTCAGAACCCAGTGGGTTTGAGTCCACAGTTTGTCTTGGTCCCAGTTGAACCTCCCAGAGTATCTGTTTTCCCTCTATGAGTTATAGTGGAATTCAGCCTAGCTATGCAGGCCAGCAAACTTAAGATACATGCACCCTGAACAAGATAAAAACTGGTGTTTCTCATGTAAAGGAAGTCCAGGGTGATGAGGTTGCTCAGATTCATCAAGGACCCAGGTCCCTCCATCTTTTTCCTTCATATGTGTCATGTAGCTTTGACTTCATGGTACAAAATGGCTGCTTAGGCTCCAGCTATCCCACCCACATTCCACTCAGCAGTAGCAAAAACGATGGGTTGGTTTCCTTCCTCCAACGTCATCTCCTAGAAGCCACACCCACTACTGTTGCATACCTTCCATTGGCCAGCCTTCAGTCACATGGCCACTCCAAGCTGCAGGGAAGTCTGGGAAATGTAGTTTTTACTCCAGACAGCCAGTGCCAGACAAAACGCAGGGCTTCTATTCCTGAGGAGAAAAGAGAAAAGGGATACTGTCAGTGCCACAGCTCTCCTTAGAGGGGGCATCACAATTCCTCATCCACCCACCTGTGTGCCTCCCGGGGCTGTCAAGTGGTTTTTTTGTTTGTTTCATTTTTGTTTGTTTTTTTGCTGGCAGCTTCTTCAAATATCAAGAATACAGGAGAATGCTTGGTGAATTGGATGTCCTCCGACCCCACTGTGGGAGTGATGTTATTTACTGCCAGTTCAGCCAGAGACCACCTGCTGGAGGTCAGACTGCTGCTGGTCCCACTCCAGGCCCAGCCATGAGAGCTTCCCCAGCCCAAGCCTTTTGGCCTCCGCCAGAGGCTTTTCCAGCATGACACTGAGTGGCTGTCATCAGAGGCTCCTCCCTGGGTGGCGGCAGGTTTTTTGGGCTGGTGCCCTCACCTGTCACTCCCAACCTCCCCCCAGGGTGGGGCCATGTAAGGGGCATTGGCCAGGCCAGCATCTCCCTCAGAAGCACAGCCCTGACCTGGCGCAGTGGCTCACACCTATAATCCCAGCACTTTGGGAGGCCAAGGCAGGTGGATCACCCGAGGTCAGGAGTTTGAGACCAGCCTGGTCAACATGGTAAAACCCTGTCTCTACTAAAAATACAAAAAATTGGCCAGGAGCAGCGGCAAGCACCTGTAATCCTAGCTACTTGGGAGGCTGAGGCAGGAGAATCGCTTGAACCTGGGAAGCGGAGGTTGCAGTGAGCTGAGATCACACCATTACACTCCAGCCTGGACAACAAGAGCGAAACTCCGTCTCAAATAATAATAAAAAAAAAGAACCACAGTCCTGAGGGTGAGGGAAGCCTGTAGGGCTAGCAGTCTCTGAGAGTAGCTGTGCACCAGGCTCTGTGCTCGGGCCACACATGCTTGGCCAAGCTAACCCAGCCCTGGATACTGGAAGTGGTGGTCGACGCCCGAATGCTAGTGCTCAGTCCCCCTGCCTGGGCCCTCAGCTCCTCCCATAGTGTTGGCAGGCACAGTGGGTGCAATGTGTTGCTGATCTGCCGCCTTCCTGGAGGTCTGATCTCTAGTAGCCTTTCCTGGGGCACTCGGTTAAGGAGGCTCATCCAGGGGCCCTCACCGGGCACATGGCAGGACTTTCATCTGAGCCAGGCCCTGTGTAGACTTCGGCTCCAGCCATGCAGCTTCTCCCTGGCAGAGGGGACCGGGCAGTTCTCCTTCCCCAGAGCATGACTTCAAACCCAGCCCGGCACAGGTGTGAGACTCTAAACCCTGCTGGCCAGGTGCCAGCTATGCTCCACCCACCTGGAGACCCCACAGGGATGGTGATCGGGTTTTGGGGCCCAGAGCTGAGGCCCTGGATTCCTATGCCTGAACAAAGACAGGGATCAGCCTTTCAGAAATCAGCTTCCCTCCATGATCTTAGGGATGCAGTTCCCCCAGGGGCAGCCTTGTCATGACCCAGGAGGGGTTGGGTAGAGGGGGGAGAGCACTGGATGAGGAGCACGGTCCTAGTCCCGCAGGCCAGAGCTAAAAGCCACAGTGTGATGTGACGCTTGCCTCACTGGGTCCTGGAAGTGTGCTCTCTCACTCAGGCCTCAGGATTATCCCAGGAGATGTGTGCAGTCACTATCATCCCCATTTTACCAATGAGGGAACAGCTCAGAGAGGTGAAGCCATCTGCCCCAGGTCACACAGCACTTAGTCTCCATGGTTAAAGCAGCTGTCGAACAGTCAGACAGACCCAGTTTCCAACCTGGCTCTTACCTTTTCATGAGCGGGACAGTGCTTTGCCCTTGTGAGCCTCGTTCCTCCCATAAAATGGGCGGTGCCCCTCCCAGCCCCACACCCCTCATACGGAGCATTGCAGAGCTGGCAGTGTGAGAGACTCAGGTGAGAAGGTCTTAGGGTCTCTGTGCAGGCAGGACATTGGCAGCAACCCCTGGTCTGGTGTCTACTCTAGACCGACCAGGTGGGCCTCTCGGAGAGCCGGCCACCCTGATAGCTGGGTCCTGCAGGAGAGGCTGCTGAGTAGGGATGAAGCTAGGACTTGAGTCCTGGTCCAAGGGGAGTGTGACCCCCTGGTCCTTGGGGAGTGACATGGCCCAGCTCCAGGCCACCCTTCCATGCCCCACCCCATCCGCAGCTCCCCTGTCCATGAGGATGGAGCCGGGCAGTGGCCACGCAGCGCGGCTGCCTCCAGCAGCAGATGGTGCTATCCCACTGATCTTGAGGAAGACCTGCATGGTGCCATCCACTCTTCCGGCCCAGCGTCCTTCTCTGCTCACTGACCTCATCTCTGTGCCAGCCTGGCACCGGCCCCTGCAGGGAGAGGACGTGGGATGGGCCGGCCCTTGGGTCTGTGCGGCTGACACCAGTGAGGCACTCACACAATGTAAGCAACAAAGAGCCAGCCTGGCGCCGTGGCTCACGCCTGTAATCCCAGCACTTTGGGAGGCCGAGGCGGGCGGATCACGACGTCAGGAGATCGAGACCATCCTGGCTAACACGGTGAAACCCCGTCTCTACTACAAATATAAAAAATTAGCCGGGCGCGGTGGCGGGCGCCAGTAGTCCTAGCTACTCGGGAGGCTGAGGCAGGAGAATGGCGTGAACCTGGGAGGCGGAGCTTGCAGTGAGCCGAGATCGCGCCACTGCACTCCGGCCTGGGGGACAGAGCAAGACTCCACCTCAAAAAAAACCAAAAAAACAAAAAAAAAAAAAACAGAGCCACTCCAGGTGGTGGCGAGTGTGTCACATGTCTACATGTCTAAAACCTGAGCAGACAAGAGGGACACAGCAGGGGAGACAGGTGGCAATTTGACCAGGAAAACCTGCCTAGAGAGGTGACATCAAGCGAAGACCCCAGTGGCAAGAAGGAGCCTCCCTGCAGGGAGGGTGTCCGTCATTTGCAAAGGCCCTGGGGCGCAGGAGTTCTAGCCCAGGCCCTGGGCAGCCAGGCCAGCAGGGAGGCTGCCTCGGACCTGCAGAGGGGCTGGGATGACGGAGGCAGGCAGGGCAGCCTTTGCAGGGCTGAGCCAGGCACTCTGCATTTTGTTCTGAGTGTAGTCAGGGGCTAACTCTGGGGCTGTGGCTCTATGGGCAGGTACAGAAGCCACGCTACTTTTCGTTGGGATCTTGCTTGTGGCCCACCCTGAAAAAGAGGCCCTCGCTGCTCTCAATGGGTTTGTCTGAGATGCTCCTGCAGCTACTACCTCCCTGCCTCAAGGTTCCTCCACTCCCTGCTCCCCTCAGGCCCTCCCTGACTCCCACAGAACCAAGGAATAGAAATATCCCCAGGGCTTGGCCCACGAGACCGCCAGCACCCGTCTCCTGGAAAGGTCATCAGCAAGTACCGTGGAGTGACAGGTGACAGGCCCAAAGTGAAAGGACCACAGACCGGCATGAACTGTGTGAGCTGCTCAGGACAGGAAAGGGCTCATGTTGACAACCTCTACAGCCGCTCACATTTCTAGGAAAGCTACCAAGACCCCCAGGAGATAAAGGGACACGGAGGAGAAAACCCGAACATCAAAGCAACTCATGGAGCCGCATTCAGCCCCACAGTTACCTTCAGCGCAGGAACGGAAACCAAGTACTGTCTCAAAACTGCCATCCAGGCTGGGCGCAGTAGCTTACGCCTGTAATCCCAGCACTTTAGGAGGCTGAGGTGGGCGGATCCCTTGAGGTCAGGAGTTCGAGATCAGCCTGGCCATCACAGCAAAATTTCATCTCTACTAAAAATACAACAATTAGCTGGGCATGGTGGCACATGCCTGTAATCCCAGCTACTCGGGAGGCTGAGGCGAGAAGATGACTTAAACCCAGGAGGTGGAGGTTGCAGTGAGCCGAGATCACGCCACTGCATTCCAGCCTGGGTGACAGAATGAGACACTGTCTCAAAAAAACAAAAAACAAACAAACAAAACAAACCTGCCATCCAGCCTGGACAACATGGAGAGGACCCATCTCTACAGAAAATTTAAAAATTAAAAATTGGCAGGGCGTGGTGGTGCATGTCTGTAATCCCACCTACTCTGGAGGCTGAGGTGAAAGGATTGCTTCAGCCCGGGAGTTCAAGGCTGCAGTGAGCTGAGATCGCACCACTGCACTCCAGCCTGGGTGACAGAGTGAAACCCCCATCTCCAAAAGAAAGAAGAAAGAAAGAAAGAAGGAAGGAAGGAAGGAAAAAAGGAAGGAAGGAAGGAAAAAAAGAAAGAGAAAAAGAAAGAAAGAAAGAAAGAAAGAAAGAAAGAAAGAAAGAAAGAAAGAAAGAAAGAAAGAAAGAAAGAAAGAAAGAAAGCTGTCATCCAAGCCAGGCAAGTCCGATAAACTGTCACAGCCAAGAAGAGCCCATGAAGATGAGAGAGCTACACGCGATTGGTGTCCTGGCTGGATCCTGGAATAGAAAGAGGACATTAAGGAAAAACTGAGGCGCTCTGTGTAAAGCATGGACTTTAGTTAATAATGATGGATCAATATTGGTTCATTAATTATAATAAGTGCACCACACTAACACAAGGTGTTAATAATGGGACACTCAGCATGGGATATACAGGAACTCTGCACTGTCTTTGTAACTTTTCTAGAAATCTAAAATTATTCTAAAATAGATGTTTTTGTTTTGTTTTGTTTTGTTTTTGAGACGGAGTCTCGCTCTGTTGCCCAGGCTGGAGTGCAATGGTGTGATCTCAGCTCACTGCAACCTCTGACTCCCCGGTTCAAGCGATTCTTCTGCATCAGCCTCCTGAGTAGCTGGGATTACAGGCACGCACCACCACACCCAGCTACTTTTTGTATTTTTAGTAGAGATGGGGTTTCACCATGTTGGCTAGGATGGTCTCGATCTCCTGACCTCCTGATCCGCTCACCTCGGCCTCCCAGAGTGCTGGGATTACAGGTGTGAGCCACCACACCTGGCCTAAAATAAATGTTTATTAAAACTTATTAAAAACTAAAAGTTAAGTATCATTGCCTGCTTGCCAATTAATAAAGACAAAACAAAGTAGGAAAAACACACACACACACATAAAATGTATCCAATGCTGGTGAGGATTGGTTAAACAGGCAGCCTCCTGTGTGCTCCAAACAGCATCAGCTGACACTTTTAAATTGATACATAATATTTTACTATTTATGGGGTACATGTGATATTTTGTTATATGCATAGGATGTGTTTGTGGGTTTTTTTGTGGCACACACCTGTGTGTGAGAATGTGGGTGTGTGTTTTGAGACAGGGTCTTGCTCTGTCACACAGGCTGGAGTGCATTGGTGTAATCATAGCTCACTGAGGCCTCAAACTCCTGGGCTCAAGTGATCCTTCTCTCTCAGCCTCCTGAGTAGCTGGGACCACAGGAGTGTGCTACCATGCCCAGCTAATTTTTTTTTTCTATAGAGACAAGGTCTCACTATGTTGTCCAGGCTGGTGTTGAAATCTTGAGCTCGTGATCCTCCTGCCTCCACCTCCCATCTGCTGGGATTACAGGCATGAGCCACTGTGCCTGGCCCTGTGCATAGAACACGTGATGCTCAGGTCAGGGTGTTTGGGGTGCTGACCACCTTGAGTACTGGTCATTTCTATGTGTTAGAAACATTTCGGCCAGGCGCGGTGGCTCACGCCTGTAATTCCAGCACTTTGGGAGGCCGAGGCAAGCGGATCACCTGAGGTCAGGAGTTCGAGACCAGCCTGGCCAATGTAGCGAAACCCCGTCTCTACTAAAAATACAAAAATTAGCTGGGCGTGGTGGCAGGCGCCTGTAATCCCAGCTACTTGGGAAGCTGAGGCAGGAGAATCGCTTGAACCTGGGAGGCGGAGGTTGCAGTGAGCTGAGATCTCACCATTGCACTCCAGCCTGGGTGGCAAAAGTGAAACTCTCTCTCAAAAAAAAAAAAAAAAAAGAAACATTTCAAGTCCCCTCTTCTAGCTACTTTGAAATATAAAACACATTATTGTTTACTTTTGAGGACTTTAAATTTATAGCCCCCAAATCCAGAGATTCTGCTTCAGAAAATCACATCCAAAATACAGAAAAACAAACTTACACACAAAGATGTTCATCACAGCATTGTTTATAATAGAAATAAACTCGGAAATCATCTAATATTAGAAACAGAGCAGTGTGGTTAAATAAGCCATGGCCTATTATATCCGCTCTCTTGACAGAAGTCACAATGTTTACAAAGATCATCTAATATTGTGGGAAAATGGTAGAATATATTTATTAAGTGGGAAAAAGTTGTATTTGCAGGATGATTCATTCATCCAGCTGTCAATTCAGCAAATAAACATTTATGGAGGGCTTGGCTATGCCAGACAGGCCCTACACTGAAGAGTTGGGATGTCATGGGAGAAGCAGACCATGGACCAGCAGTTATCACCTGCTGGAGTAGAGCGCTGATGGGGGTGGTGCTGATGGGGGTGGCCCTGCTGGGCCCTGGAGGACGAGAGCCAGGCAGCTTTTCAAAGATGAGATGCCTTTGAAATGGTGGCATCAGAGAAGGTGGGGACAGCCTTTGCAGGGGGTGCAGAGAAGAAATGGAATCTGAGGAGTGCAGTGTGGCCAGATGGTCGTGGTGGGTGGGGAACTATGCAGAGGCAGCCAGAGTCCAGCCAAACCCATCAGACCTTCTTATCCAGCACTGGGGAGCCACGGAGGGTGAAGGAGGCAGCAACAGGATCGGATTGCCTCAGGACCATCTCTCAGGAGCCACCTCGAGTTGCTTGTCCTCCCACATTGTGGCAAGACCACTCACCGTGACCCACATCCTTTGTAAGAGGAAGATCCCCTGCCCCCGCCCCAGGACCTATCAGGGCCTTCATCTCGACGGCCTTTCTGCCACCACATTCCTGGCCTGGGTGATCAAGATGGACAGAGTCTGGGCCCCTTCGGAGTGCCACGGTCACTGCTTCTGGCGTGTCCACATCCCCAGAGCCCAACAGCCCCTCCCCTGGGACTACAATGGCTCGTGAGAAACCAAACATCCTCTGGCTCTGGCCCCCGCACCCCTGACAACAGGCTGACCTGATGGCTGTCCTAGGTCCCTCCCGCCTCCACCCAGGCCCTGGGTCCTGGGAAGCAGAGTTGCACAATTAGGGGCCGGGGGCAAGACAGAGGATATCAAAGAGCGTGCTTACCCCCAATCCAAAGCACATGCGTCTGTGCTGAAGAGGGACCACCATGGGTCCTGGGGGGCCCCCTCTGCTGTGACCCAGGGCAGGACCTGCTGCCTGCAAATGCCCACCGGCTCCAAAAGGTGCCAGGTAGATAGAGATCAGACCATGCCACCAGCCCATGCACAGGACCCTGCCTCCCTTGTCCACATTCTTGTTGAGGCCTCACTGCAAGGGTAGGAGGAAGTGAGGCTCAGAGAAGGTGGGTAACTTGCCTATGGTCACACAGCAAGCGATGAGCAAAGTGGAGCCCCTCAGAGGTCTCCCACCAAGGAGGCCATGTGTTTGCTTCTAAAAATGCAGCAAGCCAGCTCACAATGTGTGTACAGCACCCGGCGTGGCCTCAGCCAGTCAACCGAGGTTCCACTGACTTCCGCCACACAGACTCACCAGGCTAGTGACCCTCACTCCTGCTGACGTGCTGGCCCACGTCCTTGGCCACTAAAGGCCAGGGCCCAGATGCTCACACTCATTCCTGGGCCAGCAGCAGTCGGTCTGATTTGTTCCCAATTCGGCCCGGGCCCACTCTACTTGTAACAGCAACGAGGAAATTCAATGAATCCTAAAACTCACTGATGAAATACGAACCTCCAAGAGAGAGATGATGTTCTCATGGAAACGTTGTCTGCTTTGGAAAGATTCTGTGAAAATGAGTTACCAAAAAGTCATGCCGGCCAACTGGGATGGGTGGGACTACAGGAAAAGATGAGAGGAGAAATTCACAAGCGCGTCCAGATCCTGCTCCCAGGTTGTTTGTGAGCCTCTTAAAATGGCTTTTGCCCTGAACTACCAGGTTCACTTCCCTGTGGCTCACTGTACCCGGGTCTCCGCTGTCTTTCTGGTTGATGTGCAACGTGATTCTCTATTTCTTGGCACCAGTGACTAGTTTCAAGGAGAATTTTTGCTAGCGACTCATGCCTCTGCCTCGCCTGGGAGGTGTTTGCAGCAACCAGAAATCTCTGCTTTTGACACAAAGCTGACTGGGCCCCAACCCAAGGCCAGCCGAGCCAGGCTTTTTAAAGCCCTGCTAGCTCGCAGCCTCTTGGATTCAGCTCCCAAGGCTGCTGCCTGGGCTTCCCTAAGCAAGGCTGCTCGTGTCTCCTCTAGGCCTTTGCCCATGCTGTGCTTCCTGCCTGGAAGCACTGTCACCGCTCAAGCCCGGCTGTAGGTCCACCAGATGCCACTTCTTGGAGGACACCTCCCTGGCCCTTAGACTAGGTCAGTGGCTACTGGTCTCCTTCAGACCCTACCTGTAGAGCCCTCTCTTCCTCTTTCTTAATCCTCACCCTACAGGTAATTCCTAGCTCTGTGTCTGCTTCTCCCCTGGGATGTCAGCTTCCCCACGGTGGACATGGTGGCATTTCTGCTTTGTCCACACTGCCTGGAGCCAAACTTGCATCCACAGAAGTACAGCCAACATTTGTTGAATGACTCGCCAGGATTCAAAGTGGGCAAGGTACTCCCTAGACTCTAGACCTGATGCCATCACAAGGCCAGTAAGAGAGGGAGGCGACGCAGTCTCGAGCTCACAGACCCAGAGTGGCTTTGCAGGTTGGCGTGTTCCCACTCCAGGCTGGCTCCTAGGCCTCACACACCCACTAGGCTTCCGCTCCCATCGCTCTGGAGGGTTCATGGCTGCCACTTATTGTCGTCCTGATGCTGGGACCCACCCGAGGCATTGAGGAGCACTTGTCCAGAGACTGGCTTCCCAAGGTGGGAATGTGGAGGGGGGCAGCCCAGAGCGAGGCGTAAGACAGTAAAACCACCTAAGCACTTCATCTTCCAGGCAGTAAGGACACACACCTGAGTCACTTGGCAATATGCTATCTTTGGACCATGGTGCCATCTCTTTAGTAGAATTTGAAGTGGCATCACTTTATCCATGGGAGTCCTTTCTGCTCGCTTTTTTTTTGTTTTTAGACGGATTCTTACTCTATTGCCCACGCTGGAATGCCGCAGTGTGATCTCGGCTCACAGCAACCTCCACCTCTAGGGTTCAAGTGATTCTCGTGCCCTCAGCCTCCCAAATAACTGGGACCACAGGCGCATGCCACCATGCTCAGCTAATTCTTGTATTTTTAGTAGAGACAGGGTTTCACTATGTTGGTCAGGCTGGTCTCGAACTCCTGACGTCAAGTAATCTGCCCACCTTGGCCTCCCAAAGCGTGGGGATGACAGGCGTGAGCCACCACACCCGGCTCTGCTTGCTTTTTTTCAAAAAAGTTTCCTCCAGCTGAGTGCGGCAGCTCACGCCTGTCATCCTAGCACTTTGGGAGGCTGAGACTGGCGGATCACCTGAGGTCAGGAGTTCGAGACCAGACTGGCTAACATGGTGAAACCCCTTTTCTACTAAAAATACAAAAAATTAGCCGGGTGTGATGGCAGATGCCTGTAATCCCAGCTACTAGGGAGGCTGAGGCAGGAGAATCGCTTGAATCCGGGAGGTGGAGGTTGCAGTGAGCCGAGATTGTGCCATTGCAGTCCAGCTTGGGCAACAAGATCAACACTCCATCTCAAAAAAAAAAAAAAAGTTTCCTCAGTTATTATGTGTATATTCTATTAAAGGACCCCCCCCGCCCACCCCAATTTAGGTGAGCAAAGCCAGCAGCCATCTGGTCCTGGAAATCAAGGGGAGGTGAACTCATTTATCCGGGAGCTGCAGCCTCCCAGAGAATTCGGCTGCAGTGAGGGGCTCCTGGGTTCCCACATTTCCAAGTAGACTTCATGGAGTGACCCACCGTGGGGCCGGGGGACTGGCCACTGCTCCTCATTGACTTAGGCACTCCCACCACCTCCTGCGACTAGCCCTGTGATTTCATGAAAAACGTAAGCACGTCTGTGAAACTGAGAAGCCACAGGCACCTCGGAGGGCCAGCCAGGTTTTATTTTGGTGTCCGCCCCGTGTTTGCCCGTCGGAATTTCAGCTGAGCCCTCCTCGAAGCTGCAGATGCCAGGGGCCGTATTTAACTTGAATGGGCTGCTAGGAAGAAGTGCGGGCCTGGCCTGACCTGGTTCTCAGGGAACGACCCCTGGGCCTGCAGCAGCTATTTTAAAGGAGGCTGCCATTTGGTCTTCGCCAAAATAGTTGAAAGAAGACCCCAGAATAGCAGGCTGGGTCTGCCCCGGCTTAGAAGCCGCATCTCAGGCTTAGAGGCAGGCGCGTGGGATGTCAGGGAGCAGGCGGCAGAGGCAGAAAAAAGCCTCTTGTCACTGAGGCCGGAGGCCCAGGAATGGCCCTTGGCTGCCTGCGAGGACCCTGCATCCCTGGCCTCAAAGAGGCGGGAAGCCCCGCAGGCTGATGGAGAGAGGCAGGACTGGCTTGGGAGAGCAGACCAGAATAGATGCCTGCTCTTTTAGGCGTGAGTTCACCTAACATCAGCCGCCACCTCACTGCCCTAAGATGTGAGTGAGTGCTAAGATTTCCCACAAATGAGAAGACTGAGGGTCAGAATCTGCCCAAGGTCTCACCCAGAGTGAGGGAGAGCCAGGCGGTCCTTACAGGCCTTGGAGGCTGCAATGAACCCGTGAACTCCCCCCATGCAACGGCAGCAATCATGATGACCATGGCAGGTGGGGAAATAATAATTTACTAACACGAGTGACTCCCCCTGCTGTTCCCTGAGCCCTGGAGCGGGGATAGGAGAGGGGGTGAGGGAGCCCTTACTCCACCAGGCAGGGCTCAGCTTGGCCTCCCCACAATAGATGAGTGCACAGTGCAGAGAGTACTTTTTATCCAGCGTGGTCCCTAAGGGCAAGCTGCCTGCTTCATCCCATCCAGAAAAATAGCCAACCCTGGAGGGCAAAATGCCTCTGGGACCTGCTGGGAATTGGCTTCTGGAAGGAATTTTCCAGGACACTGACTCAGTGAGGTCTTCCTTTGCCCACGCTGACTTTAAGACACCACTTGGTACCTGTCACGTATGCTTGGGGAAGTCACCTCCTCTCTGGGCCTCAGTTTCTTTACTGGTGAACTGAGATGGATCATCCCCGCCCACCTCTTGGGGTTCGTGAGTGAATGGGAAACGGGGCTCCCACTGGCAGGCTGATGGGGGGCATGTGTCCAAGGACTGGGCCGTCTTCCCTGCACCCTCGCCCTCTACCCAGCATTGCTGGATCCTGCTGCTATCCGCCCCATCCTGTGGGCCCCTCAGGGTCAAATGCAGTCCTTTACGCCACCAGCCTCGGAGACAGAACATCAGCCTTTTCATGCACAGCTGATCACTGGGTGAATCGAGGCCCTAGTGCTGCAGGTGTCCAGGCACAGGTGAGTTCCCCGAGCCCTCCTGGTGCGCTCCGAGAGCATGAGCTGGCCATGCAGGCTGCTCTCGGGCTCAGGGTGCGTGGTGGTGAGAGTGGAACAGGTCAGGTGGCCCCAGTCCTGCTTGCCTGGAACTGTGCAGGGGTGCACCCCTCGTCCCAGGGTAATAGTGAGGGGCACTTCCTTTCTTTCTGAAAAGGCCCAGTTTGGACTGTCCTGTGATCACCTTGTGATAGGCGACTGGACTTGAGAAGTCAGGCAAAGCTTCCCAGAAAGGTCAAGGTTGAGCTGAGGTCTGATGGGCACATAGGGGAAGGAATAGTTCTCCAAAGAGTCTCTGCTCCATCCCAAGGCCACACCCGCAGCTGGAGCCCCCACTTCCTCCTGCCTGGTGAATGGGAGGAACAGAGCACCCAGCCACGGTTCCCTTTCCCCACCTTCCCTTTCACAGGCTCTTTCTCCCACTTTACAAAAGAAAGGAGTGCTCCTTAGGTGCTAGAGCCTCAGGGCACCAAACAAAGCTGCAATGTGGACCAGGAGCCGACACTCCTTCCAGCTCTCTCAGGCCTGGAAGCAGCCCAGGGAGGGTGCAGGGTGGCGGCAGAAGTGGCCACCCATTTGGCCTGCCCTGGAGAGCTCCTAACAGATGCCTTGGGAGTGGAGGGCCAGGGACCTGCCTATTTCTTTCAGTGACCTGTGCCTCCCAAACCCATGCCCTTGACAAAGATGCATTAGAGCAGAGATGTCCAATCTTTTTTTTTAACTTTATTTATTTATTTACTTGTTTGTTTATTTTTGAGATGAAGTTTTGCTCTTTTTGCCCTGGCCGGAGTGCAATGGCGTGATCTCAGCTCACTGCAACCTCCGCCTCCCGGGTTCAAGCGATTCTCCTGCCTCAGCCTGCCGAGTACTTGGGATTACAGGCATGTGCCATCACCCCCGGCTAATTTTGTATTTTCAATAAAGACTGGGTTTCTCCATGTTGGTCAGGCTGTCCTTGAACTCCAGACCTCAGGTGTTCCGCCTGCCTGGGCCTCCCAAAGTGCTGGGATTACAGGTGTGAGCCTATTTATTTATTTTTCGAGACAGAGTTTCGTTCTTGTCGCCCAGGCTGGAGTGCAATGGCACGATCTCAGCTCACTGAAACCTCTGCTTCCTGGGTTCAAGCGATTCTCCCTGCCTCAGCCTCCTGAGTAACTGGGATTACAGGCACTTGCCACCACACCCAGCTAAGTTTTGTATTTTTAGTAAAGACAGGGTTTCACCATGTTGCCCAGGCTAGTTTCGAACTCCTGACCTCAGGTGATCCGCCCACCTCCCAAAGTGCTGGGATTACAGACGTGAGCCACCAATCCCGGCTGGGTGTCCAATCTTTTGGATTCCCTGGGCCACACTGGAAGAAGAATTGGCTTGGGCCACACATCAAATGCACTAACAACAATGATAACTGATAAACTAAAAAAAAAAAAAAATTGCAAAAAGATAATCTCAAAATGTTTTAAGAAAGTTTATGAATTTGTGTTGGGCCACATTCAAAGCCGTCCTGGGCTACTTGTGGTCTCAAGGCCACAGTTTGGAGAGAGAGGCCCAGGAAAGGAGGCAAAAATCCTGGTGAGCCTAGAAGTCGCCAGGTGCCCAGCTCCAGGCAGGGATCTGGCCTTTTCTCTTCATGTCTGCATCTCCTCCTACTTCATAGAGTCAGAAATCAGAAGCAGGGGGTATACTCTGGAGACGCAGATTAACTCACTTGTTTGAATTGGAAAATACAATCCGAGGTCTTCCAATGGTAAGTGGCACATGGCTGTCACTGAGAAAACTGGCTTTACTGATTCTGTGGCTATACGGGGAAAGCTGTCTAAGTGTTGCCTAGGTTGTGTCTGCAGCTGCAAGGTTCGGAAAGAAATAGATATAAACCCGCAATGCATTGGAAGCTTTGTATCACTATAGTACTGGCGAAGCCATGTTGAAATTAGCAACAGTTTCATTCCCAGTCTTCCCCATTTTCATTATATCAGGTTTAATAAGTCTCCTCCAAGTAAAAAAGTAACTGGTATAATTAATTGTTCTTGGCAAAAAAGACCTTTGGGCTGGGCATGGTGGCTCACGCCTGTAATCCCAGCATTTTGGGAGTCCGAGGCTGGTGGATCACAAGGTCAGGATTTCGAGACTGGCCTGGCCAAGATGGTGAAACCCTATCTCTATAAAACTACAAAAATTAGCTGTGCAGGGTTGCAGGTGCCTGTAATCCCAGCTACTTGGGAGGCTGAGGCAGGAGAATCCCTTGAACCTGGGCGGCAGAGGTTGCAGTGAGCTGAGATTGCACCACTGCACTCCAGCCTGGGTGACAGAGTGAGACTCTGTCTCAAAGCAAACAAACAAGCAAACAAACAAATAAAACCTTTGGATAAAATTTCCCGAAGTTGAGAAAGTGCAGCTCCAATGACTGGTGAGTCTTTGCTATCAAGGAATTAAGAGAGGAGCTGCCGACCAGCCTGGGCAACACAGTGAGATCCCAACTCTACCAAAAACAAAAAAAATTTAGCTGGGCATAGTGGCACATGCCTATAGTCCCAGCTTCTTGGGAGGCTGAGGTGGGAGGATTGCTTGAGCCAGGGAAGTTGAGGCTGAAGTGAGGGGAGATTGTGCCACCGTACTCCAGCCTGGGTTCGGAGGGAGACCCTGTCTCAAAGAATTAAAAAAAAAAAAAAAGAGCTGTTGATGGTGTCAGCAGATC
This sequence comes from Homo sapiens, assembly GCF_000001405.40. Lineage (NCBI taxonomy): Eukaryota > Metazoa > Chordata > Mammalia > Primates > Hominidae > Homo > Homo sapiens. The sequence continues at coordinate 69,785,447 of NC_000011.10, read as the reverse complement.
AAGCAGGAGACACCATTTTTTATATAAACCAGGTGATTGAGTGTATACCTTGGCGAGTGTTCAAATCCTTGAGTGACATCACCATAACGAAACTTCAATTCTGTGTCTTCCACCTGAGGACAAGGCTTCTTGGCTTTGCCATCAACAGAAATAGAAAATGGGAATGAAATTGAGGCCAAACGCCATATTATTCTAGCAATAAGTAGTGGTCATATGAAATTTTTTTTTAAAGCCCTGTCCTAGGTCACATTAAAAGATTCATTTCGGCCAGGTGCGGTGGCTCACGCCTGTAATCCCAGCACTTTGGGAGGCCGAGGCAGGCGGATCACGAGGTCAGGAGATCAAGACATCCTGGCTAACATGGTGAAACCCCGTCTCTACTAAAAATACGAAAAATTAGCCAGGTGTGGTGGCGGGTGCTTGTAGTCCCAGCTCCTCGGGAGGCTGAGGCAGGAGAATGGCGTGAACCTGGGAGGCAGAGCTTGCAGTGAGCCGAGATCGCACCACTGCACTCCATCCTGGGCGACAGTGAGACTCCATCTCAGGAAAAAAAAAAAAGATTCATTTCTACCAGAATTTTATTTGTGCTCTTTACTTATCAATTATGTGATATTACATTCATGGCATTTTGATTAACTATGTATTAGTAAAAGTTGTTTAAAGTAAAATCCAGAACAAAACCATTTAATGCTAACAGTCATAAGAAATTCATTTGTTTGTTTGTTTGTTTTGAGATTAAGTCTCGCTCTGTCACCCAAGCTGGAGTGCAGTGGTGCGATCTCGGCTCACTGCAACCTCCGCCTCCTGGGTTCAAGCGATTCTCCTGCCTCAGCCTCTGAGTAGCTGGGATTACAGGGGCACACCACCATGACTGGCTAATTTTTATATTTTTAGTAGAGACAGGGTTTCACCATGTTGGCCAGGCTGGTCTTGAACTCCTGACCTCAGGCAATCTGCCTGCCTTGGCCTCCCAAAGTGCTGGGATTACAGGCATGAGCCACTGCGCCCAGCCTAGGAAATTAGTTTTTTAAATATTTCATTTATTGCAGTGAATAATGATAGAGTGAACAGCCAGGTGCTGTGGCTCACGCCTGTAGTCCCAGCACTTTGGGAGGCCGAGGCGGGTGGATCACTTGAGGTCAGAAGTTCGAGATCAGCCTGGCCAACATGGTGAAACCCCATCTCTACTAAAAATACAAAAATTAGCCCCGCGTGTTGGTGCAAGTCTGTAATCCCAGTTACTCGGGAGGCTGAGGCAGGAGAATCACTTGAACCTGGAAGCCAGAGGTTGCAGTGAGCCGAGATCGTGCCACTGCACTCCAGCCTAGGCCACAGAGCAAAACTCCATCTCAAAAAGAAAAAAGAAAAAAAAAAGAATAATAATAAAATGATCAATGAAAGACTTTCGAGGTTAAAATACAAAGATAATGGGTGAGGGTTTATAATATTTGTCTGCTGGAGTAAAGCTTATTCATGTATTTTTTCTAAAATAAAAGATGGCAGCTGTCAAACTGGTATTGTTATAGACTCCACTGGACACATTTTTAAAAGTAACAGAAGAGGCTGGGCGTGGTGGCTTACGCCAGTAATCCCAACATTTTGGGAGGCCAAGGCGGGTGGATCACTTGAGGCCAGGAGTTCGAGACAAGCCTGACCAACATGGCGAAACCCTCTCTCTACTAAAAGTACAAAAATTAGCCAGACGTGGTGGTGCACACCTGTGATCCCAGCCACTCAGGAGGCTGAGGCAGGAGAATTGCTTGAATCTGAAAGGCGGAGGTTGCAGTGAGCCAAGATCACAGCCCTGCACTCCAGCCTGGGGGGGCACAGTAAAACTGTGTCTCCCCCAAAAGTCAATTAATAAATTAATTAGAAGTAACAGAAGGCCCAGCGCAGTGACTCATGCCTGTAATCCCAGCACTTTGGGAAGACGAGGTGGAGGATCGCTTGTATCCAGGAGTTCCACGCTAGCCTGGGCAACACAGTGAGACACCATCTCTACAAAAAACAAAAAGAAATTAGCCAGGCATGGTGGCGTGCACCTGCAGCCCCAGCTGCTTGGGAGACTGAGGTGGGAGGAACCCTTGAGCCCAGGAGTTTGAGGCTTCAGTGAGCGATGATTGCCTCACTGCACTCCAGCCTGTAACAGAGTGGGACCCTGTCTCAAAAGAAAAAAAAAAAAAAAACCAAGAACAAGAACAACAAAAAAGAGTAAGAGTATTTTAAATCATTCATAGTTAAAATGTACCAGAGATTATCCTTATCCCTCTGAGCCCTTGTCCCTGCTGAAGTCCTCTCATCTGATCTCCTATCTTCTTGGACAAAGAAACACACATATGTCCCAAGAATCAAGTAATGCTTTTCAGACCAAGGTCAATCTAAATCCAAATTTGAGTGAAGGGGTGGGTGCATCCTGCCTTCAGTGATCCAGATTTACAAACCCACATGTTATAACACCAAGTTCAGAACTACCCGAGAGCAAAGGAGACGTGACTTCTGTGTGAACAAGGGACTCCTCCCTGATAGGGGAGGGTGGGCCCCAAAGCTTCATTCTAGTTTTTGTCCTATGATCACTTGAGCATCCCTCTCAATCCCAATGGCAAGACTCCAGAATGTTCCCATCCAGGTGCCACCATAGACACCTTTCTTAGGGTCCCCCCTAGATCTAGTCCTCAGGCAACACCTCTTCCAGGGGGTGGGATGGAACCTGGCTTTGCTGTCCTGGAGGGAGACAGGGGGAAAGAGAAGGAACCCGCCTGAGGCATGGATGTCTCACACAGCCAGGGCCGGGTGGTCAGGCCTTCCCCAGGCCTCGAGTCCATCCAGGGAGAGGGAGGGGGGAGGGAGGGTACAGTTGCCAAGACTGACTTTGAATAGAACTTTTCTTCCACCTCCTCCCTACCAGGATGCTTCCCTTGAGGGGCCTGTGGTCTGAAATCTGGAGAATGGGGAGCCTCTCTGCTTCCCCACTGGTATTTCCCATCTTCTCTCATGGAGACAGGTGGAATCCCATGCCCAGTGGTGGTGTCAGGGAGGAAAGTGGGCTTCTCTTCCATGTTGCTGGGAGACCCTGAGGAGGAGGGAAGGGAAGAAGCAAGTGGGGAGGAGGCACAACCCCACCACCCTGAGGGTCAGCCCACCAGGCCTGTGGGGTGCTCCTTCTGCTGGGGAAGGTTGTGACCTCAAGGATTCCCTGGCATGCCCCATGGGGTGAGCTGAGCCCATGGCACCCTGGCTTTCAGCACCCCTCAAAGGGAGCTGAAACCCTTCCTGGGTCCACAAAGTCCTGCCCATCCCTCTGACCTCATGCACCCACCCAGCTTCCACACACTGGCTTCCTGAAGCTCCCACTCTTCCACCTTGGCTGGCTCCTACTCACCCTTTCTTTAGGTCTCGGCTGAAATGACCCTGTCCCTAGATCCCATGACTCTCCTGAGCAGGCACTCCATAAAGGCTCACTCAGCTGACGGGGTGCCAGACCCCTGAGCGGGAAAGGTGGGTCCTTAGGTAACATGGAGGAGCCCTTTCCTTCTTGGCCTTCCACTGGCTTCTGTGCAAGGAATGGGTCACTTTAGCAGCCCTTAGGTGAGTCCCTTCTGGCTCTGACCATTTTTTATTTGAAATATTAAAGAGACTGCCGGGAGTTGGAGGCTTGGTGGTCTGTTTTGTGATCCTCCAAATGAACAAATCAACTGGGGTTATGATATCAATTCATGGAGCTTAAGCCCCACTCTGATGCTGACAGAAGAGTTCACCTGCACAGTTTGAGCCCCTGACATCCCTCTGAGGCAGACAAGGTCCAGACCACCAGCTCCATTTTGCTGCAGGGGAAACTGAGGCAGACAGCAGCATGGTCAGGGGCCTGACTTTGGCGTACACAGCAGGAGTTTGAGTTTTGGCTTAGCTCTTTGCTAGTTCCATGACCTTGAGTGAGCTGCTCAGAGGCTTTGAGTCTGGGTTAATTCTTCTGTAAAATGGTGATGACCAGCAGGGCCACACCCTGCAGGGCTGGGTGAGAAGAAAAGACGATCAGCCTTGCAAAGCAGCCCCACCCTGCACCAAACCCGCTCCTGCCAGCACCTAATGAACGTGGCAGCGATGACTTTTATCTGGAGAGGTACTGGCGATCCTGCCAGCTCACAGCCCGTGGATAAGACACCGGGCACTTTACATGTCTAATTCTTCTAATTCCCTAGCAAGCAATGAAGGCAGACATCGGGTCCTGAGAGGCTCAGCAAATCACCCACATTCCCTCAGTGGTGAGAGACGCCAGGACCTGGCTCCCTAGCCCTGCACTCAAGCTGGGTAGTCACACCACTCAGCCAGCGATGGCTGTGGGCACACATCACCGTGTGCCTGCCCGTTCTAAGGGCTGAACGCACATTCTCTCATGTAACTATTCCAGAAGCCCTCTGAGGTGAGAACGCTGATTTTCCACATTTTACAGATGAGGAAACTGAGGCATGGCTTGTCTTCCATCTTCCCAGGGTTGAGTATCTGATATGTGCAAAAGATCTGCACGCGTGTGCACAGGGAGGCAGGTGGTTTTATTGATTCGCAGTCATTGAAACCGCCCCCAAAGCCTGTCGCCCAGACCTGGCTGGGCCACCTTCAGAGTAGAAGAGAAACAGGGCAGAATAACGGGAGAGGGGAAACTCTCCTGGACGCAGAACTGGGTAAGACATCGCTATAAGCCAAGGAGTGACCTGCTGTCTCTTTAATGCCCCAGGATCAAGGTAACTTGAAAACAACAACAACAACAACAAAAAACAAACAAACAAACAACAACAAAAAAAAAAACATGGAAAACAGTATGGCAGTTTCTCAAAAACTTAAACATAGAATTATCACCTCATCCAGCAATTCCATTTCTGGGCATATTCCCACAAGAAATGAAAGCAGGAACTCAAACAGATATTTGCACACCGAGGTTCACAGCAGCATCGTCCACAGTAGCCAAAAGGTGGGAGCAGCTCAGGGACCGCTGACAGATAAGTAAATAAATAAAACGTGGCCCATCCATACCTGGAATATTATTCAGCCTCTAAAAAAGAAAAAAAGAAAGCAAACTCCCACACATGCTACATCGTGGATGAATCTTGATGATGTTATGCTAAGTGAAATCAGCCAGATACAAAAAGGACAAACATTGTGTGATTCCACTCATGAGGTCCCTAAGTAGTCAAATTCGTAGACACAGAAAGCGAAGATGGTGGGTGCCGGGGCTGGGGGAGCCGAATGGGGAGCAAGTGTTTAATGGGCAGGGAGTTTCAGTTTGGGAAGATGAAAACCATCTGGAGATGGATGGTGGTGATGGTTGCACTAGAATGTGAGTGTCCTTAATGCCACTTACCCGTGCACTTAACAATGGCTAAAATGAGAGAGGCTGTGAGTGTGTGGGGACAGAGGGTGTAAGGGAACTCTCTGTACCTTCCTCTCCATTTTGCTGTGAACTTAAAACTGCTCTGAAAAAAGTCTTTTAAAAAATAGTTAACATCAGGCCAGACACGGTGGCTCATGCCTGTAATCCTAGCACTTTGGGAGGCCGAGGTGGGTGGATCACGAGGTCAGGAGACCGAGACCATCCTGGCTAACACGGTAAAACCCCATCTCTACTAAAAATACAAAAAAAAAAAAAAAATTAGCCGGGCGTGGTGGCGGGCGCTTGTAGTCCCAGCTACTCAGGAGGCTGAGGCAGGAGAATGGCGTGAACCTGGGAGGCGGAGCTTGCAGTGAGCCACGATCGCGCCACTGCACTCCAGCCTGGGTGACAGAGCAAGACTCCACCTCAAAAAAAAAATAGGTTAACATCAATTTTATGTTATGTATCATGTATATTTTACCACCTTTTTTTTTCTTTTTTGAGACGGAGACTCGCTCTGTAGCGCCCAGGCTGGAGTGCACTGGCGCGATCTCAGCTCACTGCAACCTCCACCTCCCAGGTTCAAGCGATTCTCCTGCCTCAGCCTCCTGAGTAGCTGGGATTACAGGCATGCACCACTACGCCCAGCTAATTTTGTATTTTTAGTAGAAATGGGGTTTCACAATGTTGGCCAGGCTGGTCTCGAACTCCTGACCTCAAGTGATCTGCCTGCCTCGGCCTCCCAAAGTGCTGGGATTACAGGGGTGAGCCACCGCACCCAATTAACACCATTTTTTAAAAAGCTAAAAAAAAAAATTGGCTCAATCTCCCCTTATTCTGAAGGTCCTAAAGAAAAACATGCCACTTGCTTTGGGGTGCTTCGGCTCAGTGTAGACCAGTCTATCCCACCGGCCTTATCATCCTCCTGGACTTTTGCAGAAAGACATCATTGTGAGGGTGTCTTGCTGAAGCCAAGAAAGGGAAGTTGAATTGAGAAAGCAGTTGAGCTATTTACAAAGTTTACACAGCCTGGGCCCTTGCCCCGGGCTGAGCTCAGTCATTTTGCCCTGAGGACTATAAGTGGACTATTATGCAGCACTTTCTTTTTTATTATTATTACTATTAAGCCAAGTAAGTTCTTAACAGCTAACACCTGAGCTGGTGGCTCTGAGAAGCCTCTTCACTCCTTCACGGGAGACGGGACCATTCACATGAAGATCCTACATTGTTGTTTTTTTTTTTTTGGAGGTCGAAAAAGGTCACTGTTAGGAGGCTTTCTGGGCCTTTGCTCCTCTCCCTCAATTTATTACCCCTCCAGTGGCTGATGACGTACAGGGAGACTTCCACCCGATAATGACATGGCTTTGTTTATTTCACAAATTCCCAGCATTTACTGTTAATCAGACCCAGTTTGAACCACCCCCAAGGGGCTTGCAGTCTAAACAGCTCACTTTGCTCAGCCTCTTCCTGAGGTCAGGCACTGTCTTGCTAAGGCCGACATCAGCTCATGCCCATTTTACAGATGGGGAAACTGAGAATGCTAAGAAGTGAAATAGCGTAAGGTTATACAACTAACAGGGAGACAGCCTAAACTTGAACCCAACCGGAAGCCCAACATGGCCCCAAGCCTTCCTCGAACCCCAGGACTTGGCAAAGCGGGCGTCCTGGGGTAAAGCATGGCAGAAGGGCTTTGGGTCCAAGCTAAGTGAGGGTCCTGTTTCTAGATCACCTGGCCAGGTGCAGTGGCTCATGCCTGTAATCCCAGCACTTTGGGAGGCTGAGGCGGGAGGATTGCTTGAGGTCAAAAGTTTGAGTCCAGCCCGGGCAATACAGCGAGACCTCGTCTCTACTAAAAAAGAAAACAAAAAATTAGCTGAGTGTGTAGTCCCAGCTACTCAGGAGACTGAGGCTGGAGGATTGCTTAAGCCTGGAAGTTTGAGGCTGTAGAGCTATGATAGAGCCACTGCACTTTAGCCTGGGCAATGGAGCAAGATACTATCTCAAAAAAAAAAAAAAAATTATATATAGGTCCCCTTGTCTCTCTGCTGAGAAGTAACCAGATCTGGAAAAGATTTAGTCACCTTGGTCCAACTATTTCTTTCACATAAAGAAAAAAAAAGGCAATGCAGACCTTCCCATAGGGGCAGCTCTGCCTGAGGCCTTTGCAGGTACCTCTGTTTGTCTGCCCCGGGGCACAGTGGCAGATTGGGCAGGGCAGCTTGCAGTGAGGATTGCTGATGGATGAGCTCCTAGTGTACCTAGCCAGCCATTTACTCACAAACAGCTATTGAGCACCTACTATGTGCCCAGCACTGGAGGTACAACTGGCAACAACACAAATCCGGGCTTGCTCCATGGAGATGACAATCTAAATGCGGTGGAGGGTCAGCTAACAAGTGCAGAAGGTTCTCTTAAGAGCTCAAAGAAGCTCCAACCAGAAGGACTGGGCAGGGGATCCAGAAGGCATCCCCGAGTGGCTACTCCAATGGAGTGGCTTCTCCATTCAGGCAAACCTGAATGGGATAAGTCATTGGCAGGAAGATCTGGGGCCGGGGGTCATCCAGTGGGAAGGGGAGAGATGACGCGGTCAGCATGGCGGGAACACAGGAGCAGAAAGGAAGCAGGTGGGAAGCCAGGTCAAGGGCCAGGGGCACGGAAAGGGGTCAGATGCAGATAAGTGAGTGCTTCCTGGTGCATCCTTCATCCGCAATTCTTCCTTACCTGTGCTTTTGTTGCCTCCATTGCACAGCTGAGGAGGCCAGGGCCTGCGGAGGTTGAGAGTGTGCTCAGGGAGCACCCGGAGCAAAGTGGAAGCCAGATTCCAGATCAGTTCTGCTGGGAATTCCCAGCTCCCAAAAGCCCTGCTGGCTGTCAGTCCCCAGTCACCACAAGCACCTATCCTGTGTGGGTGGGCCTGCAGTTCTGGGAGATATATCAGCTGCCTGCAGCGTCCTTTGCTGAACTCACAGCAAATAGGAGAGACAGGGAGGGGTCCTTGGGAAGCCCTAAATTGAGCTTGCTGTGGGAGTCCTGGGAAGAAAGGAGCCTCATCCTATCAAAAGCCGGGGGAAGACATCAGAGTCCCTCTGCTCAGGTCAGCTGGCACAGGTGGGTCTCCAGGCCTGGGTCTCACTTCCCCAGAGGGTGTGTTCGGTTGGCCCCAGGCTGAGGGAGGAAAGCCCACCTCCCATGTCATTTTGCAAATGGGGAGTCAGGGACCTAGAGATGGAAAGACAACACAGCAAGTGAGGGATGGGTTCTAGGTCCCCTGCACCCTGCACCCTGCACCCTGGCCAACGATGTCTATTTGGCACCAGATCTGCAGGCTCATCTGGGGGACCCCAGGACCCAGAGGCAGCCGGGTTGCATCTCGAAGCTGTGAGCTGCAGCCCAGGAAGGTCCAGGTCTGGGTGGCGCTGCCCAAGCAGGCTGCAGGCCCAAGGAGGAACAAAGATCCTCTCAAGGGGTGCGGAGCTGAGGTTCCGGTCCTGCCAAAGCCACTTGATGACCCCCAAGTGCCCCCCTTTCTGCACCTCAGAGAAGAGCCCTCAAGCCTCCCAGGTCCCCTCCAGGGGCACGAATAAGCCCCAGCAGGGTTCTGAAGGGGTCCCAGGAATCTCCCTGTGGGGATGCGGTGGAGGTGGAGGAGGCTGCGGTGGCCTGGGGACATCTCTGGTCACAGGTGCTGGTGGTATGAGAGATGGGGTAGGCACCAAGCCCCCTGCAGCTGTGGCTAGGCGGGCCTGCAGGAAGGGCCAGGCAGGCTCCTCAGGGACCACAAAGAACAGGGGTTTTCACACCTAGGTGGGCCTGCATCTAGCTAGGACAGTCCCCATCAGGCCATAATGGGCACAGTGGGAGGTAGAACCATGAGTGAGAGAGGGGAGGCTTCCAGAGGCCTGGCCTGGGTCCCTGCTAGATTGAGGGCTCTGGCTATGGTACATGGATATTTCTGCTGTGGAATCAAAGGAGCAGGGGATGCTGAATATCCCCTCTGGCCCTATGCCCTGCTACCTGTCCTTTCACGGAAGGGTGTGTGTGTAGGGGGTGCAGGACCAGGCCTCCCTGGGTGCATCTCTGCCACCTTGCCCTTTGGCTCAGGTGGACCTCCACCAGGTATTCAGAACTCCAGCCCAGAAACGCGCCAAGCCTGTGGGGCCAAGACCTAGGGGGTGGGGGTGGCCTCCCTCCCGCCTGTAGCCAAAGGGTCCTCCCTTGCCCAGCCAGGCCCCGGTGTCGCTTACTGCTCTTATCCACCCCTCCTTCCCAGGCCGGTCCTCAAGGCCCCAGCAAAGGAACCAAGTTCCCGTGAGCCTCCGAAAGGCGAAGGGCAGGCAGCAGCCGCTGGCTTCTGCGCCCACTAGGAGCTTCGGATGCCCGAGTTAGGGCTGCGCCAAGGCGGCCGGAGCAGAGAGGGAGACGGGGACGGGGACAGGCAGGGACAAAGTGCAAGAGGCAAAACTGGCTGAAAAGCAGAAGTGTAGGAGCCGCCAAGGGGCGGGACGAACAGGTCCGTGGGCCGGGCGGAGCCAAGGGTGGGGGCCGGGGTCCCTCCAGGTGGCACTCGCGGCGCTAGTCCCCAGCCTCCTCCCTTCCCCCGGCCCTGATTGGCAGGCGGCCTGCGACCAGCCGCGAACGCCACAGCGCCCCGGGCGCCCAGGAGAACGCGAACGGCCCCCCGCGGGAGCGGGCGAGTAGGAGGGGGCGCCGGGCTATATATATAGCGGCTCGGCCTCGGGCGGGCCTGGCGCTCAGGGAGGCGCGCACTGCTCCTCAGAGTCCCAGCTCCAGCCGCGCGCTTTCCGCCCGGCTCGCCGCTCCATGCAGCCGGGGTAGAGCCCGGCGCCCGGGGGCCCCGTCGCTTGCCTCCCGCACCTCCTCGGTTGCGCACTCCTGCCCGAGGTCGGCCGTGCGCTCCCGCGGGACGCCACAGGCGCAGCTCTGCCCCCCAGCTTCCCGGGCGCACTGACCGCCTGACCGACGCACGGCCCTCGGGCCGGGATGTCGGGGCCCGGGACGGCCGCGGTAGCGCTGCTCCCGGCGGTCCTGCTGGCCTTGCTGGCGCCCTGGGCGGGCCGAGGGGGCGCCGCCGCACCCACTGCACCCAACGGCACGCTGGAGGCCGAGCTGGAGCGCCGCTGGGAGAGCCTGGTGGCGCTCTCGTTGGCGCGCCTGCCGGTGGCAGCGCAGCCCAAGGAGGCGGCCGTCCAGAGCGGCGCCGGCGACTACCTGCTGGGCATCAAGCGGCTGCGGCGGCTCTACTGCAACGTGGGCATCGGCTTCCACCTCCAGGCGCTCCCCGACGGCCGCATCGGCGGCGCGCACGCGGACACCCGCGACAGTGAGTGGCGCGGCCAGGCGCGAAGGGGCGGGGGCGGGGGGCAACGGCCGCCGGGCCAACCCGCTCAGTCACACTCTGAGACCCTCGGCGGGCACCTGCTCGGGGGCCCCGGGAACCGGGGCGGACTCGGGCTCCGGTCCCTTCTGACGCGGGGCTGGGGACGCAGACACTCTTGGCTCCGGCAGCCCAGCGCAACCCCTGAGGTCGGGCGCCGCCTCCCGCCTTCAGAAACTCGGGCTCCGAGCGCCGAATTCCAGCGCCTTCGCCCGTGGGCACAGGGCGCGCGGTGCAGCCACAGGGGGCCCGAGACACGCGCCCCGGCCTGGCCCAGGCTGGGGAACCGCTGGGGTCGGGCTCGCGTCTGAAGGTCCGGGACTGGGTGCGGCCGCCGGGGGTCCCCTACACAGGCAAGCTAATCTGAGCTAGCGCAGGCTTGGGCTCCGGAGGCCCTAGAGGGCAGCTTGGGCTCTGGAGGCCCTTGGGGGCGGCTGCGCCGGGAACCCTGGCCCTTTATCCCCAACCCCACCCCAGAAATAGGGTCCCCGGAGGCGAACAAGCCGAGGGGCGGAGTGGGCCAGGGATCACCTGCCCCGCAATGACCTGCGCCCCGCCCCCAGGCCTGCTGGAGCTCTCGCCCGTGGAGCGGGGCGTGGTGAGCATCTTCGGCGTGGCCAGCCGGTTCTTCGTGGCCATGAGCAGCAAGGGCAAGCTCTATGGCTCGGTGAGTACCGCAGGGGTCTGGCTAGGCACCTAGTTGGGAACAGCGGACATGGCTAGCAGGCTCGTGGCTTCTCCAGCCCCACCTGTGCCTGGGTCTTGGAGGGGTGGCAGGGTCACCAGGTCACGGGACCGGCAGGCCTCCCCAGACAAAGGAAGCAGCCCCAAGGCAGGAACAATGAGGTTCCTGCCATCCCTGAGTGGGCCCCTCCCAGACCGAGGAAAGGGCGCTATTGAGAGCCCTTCCCTTCTCTAGTCCAGAGGGGTAGGTCTCAGTGTTGGAACTGCGGGCTTGAGGCTGGACACGGAGGGAATGAATTCTCTGGCTGCTAGGTGCAGGGCAGGTGGTGAGAGCACCAGCTGTTGTGGGCTGGCCATGTCCCCTTCTCACCCTGTGTGGGTCTTGACACCTTAACTGCTCAGCAGAGACATCTCAGCCCAGGGTGGGGGGTGGGACAGAAGGGGGTTCTGACCCCTGGCTTCAGGCTGGGTACCTTGCCCAAGAGGTGCCCCAGCCCTGACACTGCCCTGCTTTGCTGCAGCCCTTCTTCACCGATGAGTGCACGTTCAAGGAGATTCTCCTTCCCAACAACTACAACGCCTACGAGTCCTACAAGTACCCCGGCATGTTCATCGCCCTGAGCAAGAATGGGAAGACCAAGAAGGGGAACCGAGTGTCGCCCACCATGAAGGTCACCCACTTCCTCCCCAGGCTGTGACCCTCCAGAGGACCCTTGCCTCAGCCTCGGGAAGCCCCTGGGAGGGCAGTGCCGAGGGTCACCTTGGTGCACTTTCTTCGGATGAAGAGTTTAATGCAAGAGTAGGTGTAAGATATTTAAATTAATTATTTAAATGTGTATATATTGCCACCAAATTATTTATAGTTCTGCGGGTGTGTTTTTTAATTTTCTGGGGGGAAAAAAAGACAAAACAAAAAACCAACTCTGACTTTTCTGGTGCAACAGTGGAGAATCTTACCATTGGATTTCTTTAACTTGTCAAAAGTTGTCACGAGTGTGCTGCTATTCTGTGTTTTAAAAAAAGGTGACATTGGATTCCGATGTCATCCCCTGTAGTATGGCGTGGAGCATCTCTGTCTGGAAAGGCCCGCCTGAGGCTTGGGCAGCCAGTTCAGGGAGCTCCCAGGCTTGGCTCTCGGCTAGCATCCTCAGAGGCCCACTCCCTTTGTGCCCTGTTGCTATTAATCGGGACATATCGGTTTACTTCGGGTACAGAAAGTGCGGTGTTGAAGTCCTCGCTGCCACTCTGTTTTTAGATCTGCCAAGACTGACCTTTGAACTTTCCTGTAGTCAATCTTCCTCGATCTACCAGATGGGAGAGACCCTTGGACAACTTTATAAACTCCTGTTTGCCTTTTTTGGATCAGCGACAGCCCCCATCGCTGTGACTATTGGGGAAAAGACGAAGCTCTTTCATAAATTCCATGGAGAGGAATCAATATCCCACTGGAAGGCTAGAAATGGACAAGATAGTGTATTTGCAATCACAAACAAAACCCTAGTGATGAAAAATAATTTGTGATGGCAGATGCTTCTGATGGTGTGATAGAATATGTTTTTGAAAACAAACCATCGAACCCCCCGCCCCACCCCCAAAACGGGCTTCCCTGTGTTTAGGGAGCTTTGGGCTAGAACTAGCTACGATTTTTAGGTGAAATGTCCTTGTAATTGTACAAAGCACTTGGTGCAGTGTTTGCGTGGAGCAGCCTGCTGCTTTCTGATGCATTCCCTGTTTAAGTGCGTTTAACATCTACCTCACAAGCCCTGAAACCCCAGGCAAAACCCACAGAAAGCTCATACCCGGTGCAGGAGTTTGCCATCCCAAGTGGCTTTTTTTCCATATGTAGCCAAAAAGGATTGCAGATAGCGTCGGTGCGTCCCATTCGAACCTTGTCACGTTTGAGCTATCTTTACCCTGTGATTTACTTTTAGTAAGGGTGATCATGGTGAAAATATTTGCAGACAGCTGTTACAGTACACTATATGGTCACCAAGTAACCTTATATTTTTCTTTATATATTTTACAAATGTAACCCCTGTCATTGAAGCAACCGTGGAAGAGGCAGGGTCGGTGATGTTTAAAAAAAGTTCCGAGGTGATGGCAAACATTTAATTTTAATGAATGACTTTTTAGAGTTTATACAAAATGACCTTAGCTTGCTACCAGAAATGCTCCGAATGTTTCGTCAAGACTTTAATACTCTCCTAGGATGTTTCTGAACTGTCTCCCGAATTAACTTTATGGGAGTCTACAGACAGCAAGACTGGAAAATCTGATTGGAGTTTTTGTCTTTCACATTCCTTTTGAAAACTCTTTGTTCGAATGCAAATCATCGACTTAAAATACTATTCTTAACCAAGGCCTGGAAGAAAGAAGACACTTGCAAAGCCGCTAAGACAGGACCACACATCTTAAACTGCTGTTCCTACCATGCACTAAACTGTTTTTAAGTTTTAAACCACACCCTAGGCTCCAGGAGTGTTCAGGAAAGATGGTGTTTGTAGGTCTCCATGCTGTTTGGCGTTGGGGGGTGTGGAGGGATCATCCGTCGACTTTCTGAATTTTAATGTATTCACTTAGTAACAAACCATGATTGTCTTAAATGCCTTAAATTATTATGAGATTTCTTGTCTCAGAGCCCAATCAGATTGTCAGGAATTAACATGTGTTAGGTTTGATCACCCTTGACCACTTCTTATAGATATTTCTTCAACAAATCATGTGTGATGCCTGTAGGAACACAACTGTACCTTTAAAATATTGTTTTCATATTGCTGTGATGGGGATTCGAGGTTCCTGTATGTGCCACTGTTTTCAGAATCTGTAGTTTTATACAGGTGCCGACCCTCGTTGTGATGTATGTGCTGTGCACATTGACATGCTGACCGACAATGATAAGCGTTTATCGTGTATAAAAAGACACCACTGGACTGGATGTACACAACTGGGAAAGGAATTAAAAGCTATTAAAATTGTGCCTTGAAATGCCAAGACCTGGTTCCCTCCCCCTGTCTTCCAGGGGTCTTTCTATTTGAGGCCTGAGCCTCACATGGCTGGGGGTTGGGGTGGGGGCAGGAGAGACGAATTTTAGCCAGCTGTGTCCACACAAATGTAGCCTTGAAAACAGGAGCCTGGGGGGTGTGAGTGTCACAAAGTTTTGCCATGACAGAGTCTTGCAGTTTATTCTCATTCTCCTGATGGGGCTAATTCACGCCATTCCCGCACTGTAACTGGCCCTAAACTCTGTGCCCCTCCCATTGGCCTCCTGTTCTCTAAAGCAATTTGCACTTCCCTAGGGGGAGCCGTGAAGCTCCAGAGCTGGTCATTAGGAGGCAGACTCGAGAATATTTTTCAAAATCTGAGTAGACACCATCCATGGGTATTGAACTCAATATAATGAACTGCAGCTAGTCTTTTATTTTTAATTAACTAATTTTTTTATATTTTTTGAGATGGAGTCTCACTCTTGTCGCCCAGGCTGGAGTGCAATGGCACAATCTCAGCTCACTGCAACCTCTGCTTCCCGGGTTCAAGCGATTCTCCTGCCTCAGCCTCTCAAGTAGCTGGAATTACAGGCATCCGCCACCATGCCCAGCTAATTTTTGTATTTTTAGTAGAGACGGGGTTTTTCTATATTGGCCAGGCTGGTCTCAAACCTCAGGTGATCTGTCCTCCTCGGCCTCCCAAAGTGCTGGGATTATAGGCGTGAGCCACCATGCCTGGCCAGCAGTTACTGTTTTATAAGGAGGAAATGGAACTAAATCTTATAGAATTAAAATCATCTGAGTGTATCAATCACAGTAAGGGTGCAAACTGTTTTGTGAAAATTTGGGTTCAATTATATACAATTATAGTATTTATAACTAGTCTTTCCTAGGAAGTACTCATGAGTGCAGTGGATTGCTTTTAAGAAAGCTAAATGCTGGCCTAATGTACCTAGAATCTGGGGTTCCCCTCTCCCTGTAAGACATATCCAGTTGCTTTGCAAAAAGGCAATCAGGGTTGGAAAATCCTTAATTGTACGTAATTTGCTTTCCAAGGCATTATGTTCTTCTACCCTTAAAAAAAAATCATTATAGAGATGGGTTTTCACTTTATTGCTCAGGCTGGTCTTGAACTTCTGAGCTCAAGTGATCCTCCTACCTCGGCCTCCCAAAGTGTTGAGATTACAGGCGTAGGCCACCAAGCCCAGCCCTTTTCTGTCCTTATTTCTTGACAGCCATGATCTAGGTACGACAAAGAAATACGTAGGTGATGTTAGAGGGTGAATTATGTCCAAAAGATCTCTTCCAAAAGATATGTTGAAGTCCTAACCCCTAGGACCTCAGTATGTGAGTTTGTTTGGAAATAGGGTCTTTATAGGGGTAAAATGAGACTACTGGGGGTGGGCCCTAATCCACTATGACTGGTGCCCTCCTACAAAGGAGGCCATGTAAAGAGACACAGGGAGAAGGCGGCGTGAAGATGGAGGCAGATGGGTGATGCTTCCACAAGCCAAGGGCTGCTGAGGGGTGCCAGCAAATGCCCAACAGCTAGGTGAGAGGCCTGGGACAGGGGCTCCCTCCCAGCCTCAGAAGGAACCAATTGTGCGGACACCTTGACCTCGGACTTGTAGCCTCCAGGGCTGTGAGATAATCAATTACTGTTGTTTAAGCCCACAGTGTGTGGTACTTTGCTGCCACCGGCGGCCTTTCACACTGGGGTGGGGAGGGGACTGCAACCCGGACGATCCAGCCATCTGGATCTGCAACCCCTCATGCATGCAGACCCTGTAGGTCTCTGTCCACATCTGTCCTGGCCAAACAAGGAATGGCTCATCCAGCTTCTGGGGTGGAAATGTACCCATCGTTGGCAAAATCGATCAGCTGAACTGAGCTTTCGTCTTGGCTTTCCAGCTCCTAGCATAGGGGGACAATGGGGAGTCAAGGACAGGTCCCAAGAGAGATTAAAAAGTCACTCATTCACTTAACATACTTGTTGAGTGCCTCCTTTGTGCCAGGCACAATTAGCGAAGGAAACAAGGATCCCTGCTCACCTAGAGCCTCATCGTAATGAGGGAGATGACAGTGAATGAGGAACACGGGCCACCTGGGAAGGTGGATGGTGCCAAGACAGAGAGAGAGCAGGATGGGGAGGTGTGGGGGTGGGGGTGGGGGTGGGTTGCTATGAAGGTGATGACGTCTAAGCAAAGACTTCAAGGTGCTGAGGGAGGAAGCCGTGCGAGGAACAGTGTCCAGGCAGAGGGAACAGCCCATGAGAAGGTGTGGGGCTGGCAGCAGGCCTGGGATGTTTAAGGCACTGTGGGATGGGCAGGGAGGAGGCAGAGTCAGAGAGGCCAGCTCCTGGAGCCTTGGAGGCCATGGTGTGGACTGGGCTTTTCCTTACAGTGAGTTTGTGCCATCTCATAGCCCTGGGATGGAGCAGAGGAAGGTTGAGATGAGATGGTCGGAAGCTGAGGAGTCCCAGGAGGAAGCGATTATGGGGATTCAGGTTGGGTATAAGGTTGCTTAAGGCTGGTGTGGTGGGGAGTGAAAAGTCAAATTAACAAAAGAGGAGATGGGGTTTCTCAGAATCAGCCTGCTGCCTAGGGGACCAACATCTTCGTGGATGAGTGCAGGGTTTGGGGCCAGCCCCACAGCTTCGTAGGTGGGTGACCCACAGCTTCCTTGCTGAATGACCGTGGGTGAGCCAGGGGACCCCGCCTCACCTCTCCTCATGATTCCCACCACCTGTGTCTGGAGTGAGGCTGGAGAAGACGATGCATGTAAAGTGCCTGTCACAGTAAGCAGTGACTGTCGTCTGTTAGATTACACCCTACTTATCCAAAGTTTCACTTTCCATAGTTCGGTTACCTGTAGTCACCCTCGGTCTCAAAATATTAAATTCCAGGGGATACACAGTTTGTACGTTTTTTGTTTTTTGTTTTTCGGTTTTTTTTTGAGATGGAGTCATGCTCTGTTGCCAGGCTGGAGTGCAGTGGTGTGATCTTGGCTCACTGCAACCTCAGCCTCCTGGATTCAAGCTATGATTCTCCTGCCTCAGCCTCTCGAGTAGCTGGGACTACAGGCGCATGCCACCACACCCAGCTAATTTTTGTATTTTTAGTAGAGACGGGGTTTCACCATGTTGGCCTGGCTGGTCTAGAATTCTAGACCTCAAGTGATTCTCCCGCTTTGGCCTCCCAAAGTGCTGGGATTACAGGTGTGAGCCACCACACCCAGCCCCCTAATGGGCTGTCTTCAGAAACACAGTGAGTGGCCCTGTGCTGGTTCCACCAGACTCAGCCTCTCAAGGGAAGACCCTGGCCACACCCTAAGGAAGGGCCTTTTCTCGGCATGACGGTGGCCCCTAGCACTGGGCTAGAAAATCATCCCATTAACGGGAAGATAGAAAAGACTGGGACATTAAGACCATAATTAAATCTTTTAAGGGAATGACAGTAATACAGTAGTCCCTCCTTATCCACAGGGGACAGGTTCCAAAACCCCACTGGATGCCTGAAACTGCAGATAGTACTGAACCCTATACAGGCATCCCTTGGTATCTGAGGGGACTGGTTCCAGGACCTCCCCTGGATACCAAAATCTGGGAATGCTCAAGTGCCCGATATGAAATGGCATGGTATTTGCAAATAACCTACGCACGTCCTCCCATGTCCTCTAAATCATCTCTAGATTACTTACAATACCTAATACAATGTAAATGCTATGTAAATAGTTGTCATACTGTGCTGTTTAGGGAATAATTACAAGGAAAAATAATCTGTACATGTTCAATACAGACCCAGCTTTTTTCCCAAACGTTTTCTTTTTTTTTTTTTTTTTTTTTTTTTTTTGAGACGGAGTCTTGCTCTGTTGCCCAGGCTGGAGTGCAGTGGCACGAACTCGGCTCACTGAAAGCTCCTCCTCCCGGGTTCACGCCATTCTCCTGCCTCAGCCTCCCGAGCAGCTGGGACTACAGGTGCCCACCACCATGCCTGACTAACTTTTTTGTATTTTTAGTAGAGACAGGGTTTCACTGTGCTAGCCAGGATGGTTTTGATCTCCTGACCTTGTGATCCACGCCTTGGCCTCCCAAAGTGCTGGGATTACAGGCATAAGCCCCAATGCCCGGCCTCTTTTCTTTTTTCTTTCTTTTACTTTCTTTCTTTCTTTCTTTCTTTTTTTTTTTTGAGGCGGAGTCTTGCGCTGTCACCCAGGCTGGAGTGCAGTGGCGCGATCTCGGCTCACTGCAAGCTCCGCCTCCCGGGTTCACGCCATTCTCCTGCCTCAGCCTCACGAGTAGCTGGGACTACAGGCGCCCACCACCGCGCCCGGCTAATTTTTTGTATTTTTAGTAAAGACTAGGGTTTCACCGTGTTAGCCAGGATGGTCTCGATCTCCTGACCTCGTGATCCGCCTGCCTCAGCCTCCCAAAGTGCTGGGATTACAGGTGTGAGCCACTGCGCCCAGCCTCTCTCTCTCTTTCCTTCTTTCTTTCTTTCTCTTTCTTTCTTTCTTTCTTTCTTTCTTTCTTTCTTTCTTTCTTTCTTTCTTTTCTTTCTTTTTCTTTCTTTCTTTCTTTCTTTCTCTTTCTCCTTCCTTCCTTCTTTCCTTACTTTTTTCTTTTTTTTTTTTCTTTTTTTTTTTTGTCAGAGTCTCGCTGTTGCCTGGCACAACAGCACCTCTGCCTCACTGCAACCTCTGCCTCCCAGGTTCAAGAGATTCTCCTGCCTCAGCCTCCTGAGTAGCTGGGACTACAGGCGCCCACCACCAGGCCCAGCTGATTTTTGTATTTTCAGTAGAGATGGGGTTTCTCCATGTTGTCCAGGGTGGTCTCGAACCCCTGACCTCTGGTGATCCACCCACCTCAGCCTCCCAAAGTGCTGGAATTACAGGCATGATCCACTGCACCTGGCCCTCCAAATGTTTTCAATCTGAGGGATGCAAAACCCACAGATATGAGCGCCGGCTGTATACACTCTTTTTTTTTTCCTATACATACCTATAATGAAGTTTAATTTCTAAATTAGGCACAGTAAGAGATTAACAGTAACTATCAAATTCAATTATAACAATATGTCAGCATCACTACTCCTATTTTGGGATCATTATCAAGTAAAATCCGGGTGACTTGAACTACTGACTCATAAGCAGGACCGTCTACAGTGTGGAGACGCTGGACACAGGCACGATTCCGTCCCGGGTGGGACAGAGCCTGGGCGGCACAGGATTCCATCACTCCACTCAGAATAGTGCATGATTTAAAACATACAAACGTACATACAAACTGGCCGGGCATGACAGAGCAAGACTCAGTCTCAAAAAAAAAGACAGCCCTTTAGGAAGACTGCTCCTCTCAAATGCAGCCTGCACTGGCTTACTCTGGTCTACATTAAAATAAGATCAAGGGCTCATGAGCTCAGAGTGTTTCTTCAATGTGAATAATTTTAAGTGTCCTCAATTCATCATTCAAGTTCTTTCTTTCTTTCTTTCTTTCTCTTTTTTTTTTTTTCTTTTTTGAGACGGAGTTTCACTCTTGTTGCCCAGGCTGGAGTGCAATGGCGCCATCTCTGCTCACCGCAACCTCGCCTCCCGGGTTCAAGCGATTCTCCTGCCTCAGTCTCCTGAGTAGCTGGGACTACAGGCGCCCACCACCAGGCCCAGCTAATTTTGTAGTTTTAGTAGAGACAGGGTTTCTCCATGTTGGTTTGGCTGGTCGCAAACTCCCGACCTCAGGTGATCCACCCACCCGCCTCAGCCTCCCAAAGTGCTAGGATTACAGGCGTGAGCCACCGCGCCCAGCCCATCATTCAAATTCTATATGCTTCTTATGAAAGGAAGGAGGGAGGCTGGACACAGTGGCTCAGGCCTGTAATTACAACACTTTGGGAGGACAAGGTGGGAGGATCACTTGAGCCCAGGAGTTCAAGGCTAGGCTGGGCAGCATAGTGAGACCCCATCTCTACAAAAAAATTTAAAAATTAGCTGGGTGTGGTGGTGCATACCTGTAGTCCTAGCTACTTGGGAGGCTGAGGTGAGAGGATCCTTTAAGCCTGGGAGTTCAAGGCTGCAGTGAGCTGTGATTGAGGAAAGTGACATCCGTGCTGGTCCATGTCCTGTGGTGGGGAAGGGGGACAGCAACCCAGCACAGACCCACCCTCCCCCAGGACCCCATGTAGGAGGGGTCCTGGATCGAGCTAGAAGAACTGGGGCCCCTGTAATGAATCAAACTGCCCAGGAGACCCAGGGACTGGAACACCCTTGCTAGGCAACACAACATCATTTTCACGCCCACCCCTGCCCCCAGCAAGACTCCTCTGCTGGGTCTCAGATCTTCCCCACTGGGAGGCTGCCAGGGTTCCTCAGCCTCCGTGGGTCCACACCCAATCACAGCCATCCCCAGCCTGTCCTTTCTTCCGTCCAGGAGGACAAGGCAAGCCCTTCCCCCCACCCACCCCTCCCCCAGCAGCCTCTCACTCCATCTAGTTGGTTTCACCTCATCGACTCTGCAGTCTAAAGACCTCTCCATCTGCACAGGACCTCTGTGCAGGCCGCCTCTCCCTGGACCTGGGTGGCTGCAGCAGCCCCTTGACTGGCCCCCCCAACTTCTTCCTCTACCCTGACAGGCCCTTCTCTAGGGGCCTTCTCACCGTGCAAGCTCCATCCTGCTCCCTGGGCTGGGATGCTTTCCACAGCCCTGCGACGCTCTTAGACTGAGATCACAGCCGTCAGCCAGGCCGTTCTGATCACTCACTACTGCCTAATGAGCTGCCCCAAACAGTGACAAAACCGCCACCATCTTATAACTCCCAGTGTGGCAGGTCAGGGATGTGGACAGGGTCTGGCTGGGTGATTTTTCTGCTTTTTATGGCTTTGAAGATCTTGGCATTGGATGGGCTCATCTGGGGGTCTGAGGCCGGCACCCTGATGGGCAAGGCTGGAGGGCTGGGCTCAGCTGGGCATCGGCCAGAGCACCCACACAGGGTCTCTCCAGCATGGGAGCCTCTCCTGGGGCTGGAGGCCTTACGAGGCGGCTCAGAGGGCTCCAGGACGCCCAAGGCTTCTTAGGGCCAGGCCCAGAAAGTTCCAGAACCTCATTCCTGCCATTGGTCATGAAATCAGACCAGCTCTGATTCAAGGGGAGAAAACAGGCCTCTGCTCACAGTGGGAGGACTAGCACGGAATGTGTGGTCATCTTTCATCCGCTGCAGAGGCTCCATTTGCCCTTCCCGGTGCCCATCCTGCCAGCTCCCTCCCCACATCCCTGTGCTCGGCCGGCTCCCGGCACATTGACGTTCTCTCAGAGCACACAGGTACCATCCGCTTGGCCACAGGGCCTTTGCACACACCAACCTCCTGCCTGGAAGGATCTTCCCCACCCCTGCACTTCACCCAGCTGGTTTTCCCAGGGCAGCTGTGACAAATGACCACAAACCAGGCAGCCTTAAACAACAGAAATGTATTGTCTTGCAGTTCTGGAGGGCAGAAGGCAGAAATCAAGGTGTCAGCAGGGCCCTGCTCCCTCAGAAGGCTCTGGGGGGTGGTCCTTCCTTGCCTCTTCTGGCTGCTGCTGGCTGCCAGCATTCCTTGGCTTGCAGCTGCATCACTCGATTCTGCCTCCATCACCACATGGCCTTCTCCTCTGTGTGTCTGTGTGTCCAGATTTCCCTCTTCTTATGAGGACACCAGTCACTGGATTTAGCCTCGTCCCAGAATTCCAGCAGGACCTCATCTTAGCTTTCATTGCCTCTGCCAAGCCCCTATTTCCAAATGAGGTTCCATTCACGGGCTCTAGGGAGACAGGACATTGGGAAGACACCCATCAGCCCACACACCAGTTACTCAGATTCATTATTAAAGTCATGATTCAAAGGTCCTTTACTCTAAGGATGAAAGAAGTGAGGCATTTGGAAGATAAAGGGCCTGGCATACAGTAGGTGCTTATTCCAGCCAGCTAGTGCTGTCATGTCCCCAGAGCCTTCTCTGGCCACTCCCAGCCCACACTGGGCCATGCGTTGTCTTATCACATACTCTCTGGCATCCTAGGTTAGGTTCCCCAGCAACAAAACCCAAGACTGGGATCCCTGAGCAAAGAGTTTGTCAAGGGAGGAGCTCCCAGGAAGAACTGGCAAGGAAAGGAGAGCAGCAGGACAGGCCAAAGAAGCGGCAATCACAACTCAGCCTGGTCTGGCCTGATTCCTCACTCCCCGGGGTGCTCTGGGGTACCAACAGCATCCTAGAGCTGTCCCACCTTGGGGCAAGGGGCTGAGCATCTGTACCCCCTTGTCAATCAGTCCCTGGCTGCAGGCTGCCCTGGGGATCGGGGAGAGTGGACCCTCCAGGCCTTTCCAGGCAATGTGGTCCCTTTCAGGAGCAGGGAAGCTCCAAGCCATCAGCAGCTGGGGGGTGAAGACACCATCCTGGGAAACAAACCACACCCCGCAGCCCTTCCTAACCCCTACACAGAGTAATTGACTTGTGAGTTACGCACCTGTTGGGGCTTGCTTTCCCTCCCTCCCCAGGACTGGAATCTTTGCAGGCAGGGGCTGGGCCCATTTGGTTCACCACCTATATAGATATAGATCCCCAGTGTGCTGCTGGGCACCTGGGAGCTGCTCCGTGCCTTTCCTGATGTCCTCAGGTGTGCACGCCCACTGGTGAGCATCTGATCCATGCTCTGGCCCCAGCCAAAGAGGAGACCCCAAGCCAGTTCCAGCCATCCAGTCAGTGACCCAGCACACGTAGCAGCCACATCCGGTTGGCCGATGGGAAGCAGAACAACACCGGCTCAGGAGGTTGGTGCCTTTTTGTTTTTTTTTTGAGACGGAGTCTTACTCTATCACCCTCCAACAGTCGGGATTACAATTGGACATGAGATTCGGGTGGGGACACAGATCCAAACCCTATTAGCCTTCTTCCAGACTGCAGATTGCCAGCTTCTCCCTGTGTCCCCAAATGACAAAGGGGCAAGGGGGCTCTCTGGGGTCCTTTTTTTTTTTAAGATGGAATCTCGCTCAATTGCCCAGGCTGGAGTGCAGTGGCATGATCTCAGTTCAATGCAATCTCCACCTCCCAGGTTCAAGATATTCTCTGCCTCAGCCTCCTGAGTATCTGGGATTACAGGTGCCCACCACCATGCCTGGCTAGTTTTTTGTTTGTTTGTTTGAGATGGAGTCTCACTCTATTGACCAGGCTGGAGTGCAATGGTGTGATCTCGGCTCACTGCAACCTCTGCCTCCTGGGTTCAAGCGATTCTCCTGCCTCAGCCTCCTGAGTAGCTGGGATTACAGGTGCCTGCCACCACCACTGGCTAATTTTTGTATTTTTAGTAGAGACAGAGTTTTATCATGTTGGCCAGGCTGATCTCGAACTCCTGACCTCGTGATCCGCCCGCCTCTTCCTCCCAATGTGCTGCAACCTCTGCCTCCTGGGTTCAAGCGATTCTCCTGCCCAGCCTGTTTTGTTTTGTTTGTATTTTTAGTAGAGATGGGGATTTCACCATCTTGGCGAGGCTGGTCTTGAACTCCTGATCTCGTGATCCACCCGCCTTAGCCTCCCAAAGTGCTGGGATTACAGGCATGAGCCACTGTGCCTGGCCATGGGGTCCCTTTTTTAAAGGCACTAATTCTCACTTATGAAGGCTCCATCTAATGACCTAATCGCCTCCCAAAGTCCCCACCTCCTAACACCCATCACATTAAGGATTGGGGCTCAACATATGAATTTGGGGGGGACACAGACATCAGACCATAGCAGGTGGGACAGGATGTCAGGGCGTCCATTGGAATCAGGAGGGAAGGAGGCAGCACCACCCCTTCCTGGTCTCACCCACCATCGGGGTCACCCCCAGTGGCTCTTGAGCAGAGGCCTAGATGCCTTGGGGACTCCTTTCCTGAAGTCACATCCAAAGTCAGGTGACACACTTCGCTTCTTCAGGCAACTCTTACTCCACTCTGCCCAGCTTCGCACACCAGTCCATGGTGTGTGTACTGGGGGAACAGGGGGCTCTGGCTGGAGCAGTTCCCTGGGCCCCAGGCCTTGGGAGGCCTCATGCACTGAGCTGCCGTCCACATTTCTGGTGCCTGGGACTGGCTGGAGCTAGCAGGTTCCATCCTGTGGGATGTCCTAACCCTGGACTTGGGGCCTATGTGAGCTTCAGTCCTCATTTCTTCCCTTGGGGGATACTCTGCGATCTCTACCCACCACCCTCCCCCTGACACACTCACAGGGTGGACCTGATGACTAGAAGAGCTTCAGGACTTACTCCTGTGGGTCATCGTGGGACCAAGTGGCTTAGTGACCCCTGGTTACCACTCAGTGCTGGTTTCTTTGGACCCCAAGCCCCAGTGCCCACATCTTTGCCTCTGGACTGGCCTCGGTCAGTTGCCCTCTCTGGAACTTCCCCATGTTTGGTCCTGAAATGTCCCTCTGTGTGGAGAGCCCCTGACTCTCCAGCTCAGAGTGGACCTCGATCCTGGGAGTGGAGCTGGGCAGCAAGCCCAGTGGGGACAGCCTGGGTTCAGGGGGCAGGACCTCTGGCACTGCCTGCATTTGCTGTGAGCTTTGAGCAAGGAGACTGAACGCCTCTGAGTCCTGTTCCTTCAACCACGGGATGGAAATAACAATAACAAACCCTTCTCACAGTCATTATGAGGGAACCAAGGCAGAGCTTCTAAAAACTCAGACATCCAAGTGTCTCCAGGGCTGCCTTGGTTCCACTGGGCCCTGGTTCCCACACCTGCCTACCATGTGTACTTTTGTCTACCTGAATTTTTGTTTTGATCTATTCGTTTGTTACTTAAATAATTTTCTTTTAAAATTTTACAGGACAAGCTTCAGTGGAAAAACATTGTCCCTTGTCATACACAGAAGGTAGCCCATGATAAGAAACACAAAATGATGTTGAGAATTTCTTGCAAGATGCAGGTGTCTGCCAAAAGCTCTGAGCCTCGGGCTTGCTGTCTCTTTTTCTCCCCCCACAAGAGAGATTTGCAAGTGTTAGAGGGGTGTTAAGGACTTACTGTCACCAAACAGAGACATTCTCCTGGGAGTGAGAATGGCTGAAAGGGAATAGCTTTCTCACTGGGCGATCCAATGTGACTTAATGTAACCAACCCATGTTCCACCTAGAAATGCCTCTCCTGCTACAGGCCAGTGTGGCACCTGGGGCAGCACCCTGTTAATCCATAGAAAGGGTTCAGCACAACCCCAGGCCGGCGAGTGCTCACAAGGGTGAGCTGTGATTTCAGTGACTCCTATGGCTCGTTGGACGCCACTGTGGACACAGTGAGGCAGCGGAGGCTATCTTCCCAGACAAAGCAGTGGCAGGTCCCTGCAGGACCTCCCAAGGCATCTGACCCAGGAGATAAATTGCATTTGGCAAGAGACCTCATATCTTCAAAGGGCTCCCTGTCACCAGGGCCACTCACAGCACCTCAGTCGACCAGAGACCCTGCAGCCCTGGGCCGTCCCAGAGCACCCCACTTAGGACTTGCTTGCACGTGGCTCTCTGCAAATGTCAGACTCCTGACAAAATGATAGACAAAGCTAAGTGGTGGTGACGTCTTTGACTGTCCTCTCACTGAGAGGTGGGTGCCTATGTCCCTTCCTCTTCAGTCTGAGTGGGCTTCTAACTGCTTCCACCAGTAGCATTGGCAGAAGTGCCACAGTGTGATTTCTGAGGCTGGGTCACCACAGGTGATGCTTGGAGCCCTGAGCCACTGTGTCAGGTTCATACCTGAGGAGGCCATACTGGGAGGAAGCCCAAGCCACACAGAGATCAGAAGTCCAACCACCTGAAGACGCCATACTGGGAGGAAGCCCAAGCTGCACAGAGAGGCCAAGTGTAGGTGTTCCGGCCAGTCCTAGCTAGATCTGGACTTCAAATTGTCCCGACCCAGACATCATACATGTGAAGAGGCCTCCAGGATGGTCCCAGTTCCCATCCATTTGAGTCTTCCCAGCTGAAATTCCAGATGTCATGGAAGAGACAAGCCATCCTGCTGTGTCCTGTCCAAGCTCCTTGTAACAGAACCAGCGAGCTCAATAAAATGGTGGTTGCCACGTGCCACTGAGGTTTGCATCGGTTTGTTACTCAGTAAGAGATGACGGGACAGGTGCTAATGGAGAGGTGGGGAAGAGAGTGGTGAGGCACGCACCCCATTCTCTCTGCAGCCCGCTTCCTCTCCGGGGCCGTGGGACATCCAAGGCAAGATGGTTGCTTGGGTATCTGGCTTCTTTGGGCTGGAAGGAGAGCTGGGACCCGTGGTGGCGAACAAAGCTTGCCTGTCTTTGTGGCTCCTGGCAGAAGCCAGGATTTTCATGTCCTGAAGGGACTCCAGTATCAAGGGCCAGTGCAAACCCTCGTTGGTGTCCCCAGATGGCTAATAGTGCCTGCTGAGCCCTGAGGACCTGGAGGGGTCCCTTAGAGCAGGATGAATTGTTCCCAGCCCCTAGAATTGGCAGAGGGCCTTCATCTATACCTGGGGCCCCAAGCACTGAAAGCTTCTCACCCAAGAGCCAGCAGAGAGGGGATGGCTGATCCCTTCCCTCTACCTTCCTGAGCTTCCCAGACTCAGGGCAGAGGCTGCTGGACCATCCACTGTCTGTCTCCCTCGACCTTCAGCCAGAACGGATGGGGCCTGGGAGAAGACAAAGTCATGATAGATCAAAGACAACAACAACTTATCCAAGGACCCTCAGCTGCCTGGGGAAGGAAGGCCCAGGCCAAAGTGTGATGGAGACTCAGCTGAGAATTCTAGCCAATAAGGGAAAGGAAGGGCATTTCAAGAAGAGATGGAATTAGAAACGACAGAGCAATTAAACTTCTAAAATAAAGTGTAGATGTTTACAATAACTTTTAAATGTTCAATAGATGGGTTTAAAAAAGAAAAAGGATGATGGCTGAGTCTGAGAACTACGAGATCATCCGGCAAAGATATCTCCCAACCCCCCACCCAGTTTCCCTCTGTCTGCGCCCAGCCTCACACGCCTTCTTTCTGTCCTGCCCCCGGGCCTTTGCACACAGCCCCTGCTAGACCTTCCATGCCTGGTGGCTTCTTTTCATCACGCGGCACTCAGCTCCGGCTCAGGGGCACTTCTGAGGACCTCGTAAGATGTCCTCTCTCCCCCGTCACTCCCCCCTTGTGGCACTTAGAATTATTCATATGATCATATTCATTTATTACACATTTTTAAGTTCTGCCCCCTTAGCAGGGGTTGTTTTATGCCAAGTGTTGGCCTTGCCATCCTTGGTCATTGCTGTACCCCAGCAGGGGAGCCGTGCTCACGGTGGCCCAACAGTGTGAGCTTGTTGAGTAAATGAGCAAATGGGATCTGAACATCTTGTGATAACTGGACTAGAATTTGTCATATGTGGTTAAGGACAGATCTTTGGTTTTTTGTTTGTTTGTTTGTTGTTTTGAGATGGAGTCTCGCTTTGTCACCCAGGCTGGAGTGCAATGGTGCAATCTTGGCTCACTGGAACCTCCACCTCCCAGGTTCAAGCAATTCTCCTGACTCAGCCTCCCAAGTAGCTGCAGCTACAGGTGCACACCACCACACCTGGCTAATTTTGTATTTTTAGTAGAGATGGGGTGCCACCATGTTGGCCAGGCTGGTCTTGAACTCCTGATCTCAGATGATCCGCCCACCTCAGCCTCCCATAGTTCTGGGAGTGTCTCCCAGGGCGGGCACATACTTCTGGTGGCTGAGGAAATGGCTATGGATGGCTGGCAGACACAGCACAGTCTTGTTAAACTATGGAGTGGCATGATGGTTCCCTTTTCCTTCTCCTTCATCCTTCTGATTGGGAATGGAAAACTCTCAACTCATGCCAGTGTCCCCCTCACAACCTGCTAGTACTTGCTGATTCTCACATTTTAACACTGAGAGTGCAAAGACACAGGCTGGTGCTCTTGGAAGGACCAGTATTCATTTGGAATACCACCATGAAAGTGCCCAGAGAGATGAGCCAAGCCAGCCCACGGCGGAAGAACTACCTAGCCAACTTGTGGACACTGAGTTAAAGAAATAGCTGGGCTTTAGGCAGGGCGTAGTGGCTGAGGCCTGCAATCCCAGCACTTTGGGAGGCTGAGGCGGGCGGATCACAAGGTAGGAGACTGAGAGCAGCCTGGCCAACACGGTGAAACCCGTCTCTACTAAAAATACAAAAAATTAGCTGGGCGTGGTGGCATGCACCTATAGTCCCAGCTACTTGGGAGGCTGAGGCAGGAGAATTGCCTGAACCCAGGAGGCAGAGGTTGCAGTGAGCTGAAATTGCACCACTGCACTCCAGCCTGGGTGACAGAGCCAGACTCCGTCTAAAATATCCAGAAAGCTAGAAAGAGAACACTTCATAACAAAACGTAGGTATGCAGCAATAGCTGTAATTAGGGGGGATTTTCGCAGCCCAGGATGGTTTTGTTATAAGAGCCTAAAGATAAAATCTATCAAATATTCAAGGTAAGAAAGAAGAAGAGGAAAGTAAACTAAAAGAAATTAGAATGAGGGGATTTGATAGCATTAAAGCTGAAATTAGTTAAGTCGAAAATAAAAAACAGCAGAAAGCATGAAGAAAATCAGAAGTTGGTTCATTGAAAAGGCCAGTACAACGGGAAAAGAACAATTCCTGGCAATCCCAGTTAAGAAAAGAAAAAAGAGAAAGAGAATGAAAGTTACAAATGTAGGAATGAGGAAGAGGTTACAGCCCCCAATAAAGAAGGAATCCATTGATTATGAGAGAAGAAAGCATAGACACCCTACCACTGCAGCCACACAGGTGAAAATACAAGGGAACTGGGCAATACCTTGGTGAAATTCAAACACTAGAATTGATCCCTGAAGAGACAGAAACCCTAAGCACACCATGAAACCACCGGAGAAAGGGAAAACGGGTTGAGAGATCTACTATTTTGAAAAGTCAGGCCTGGCGCGGTGGCTCACGCCTGTAATCCCAGCACTTTGGGAGGCGAAGGCGAGTGGATCACGAGGTCAGGAGATCAAGACCAACCTGGCTAACAGGGTAAAAACCCGTCTCTACTAAAAATACAAAAAATTAGCAGGGAATGGTGGTGGGTGCCTGTAGTACCAGCTACTCGGGAGGCTGAGCCAGGAGAATGGCGTGAACCCAGGAGGTGGAGCTTACAGTGAGCCGAGATCACCCCACTGCACTCCAGCCTGGGCAGCAGAGTGAGACTCCATCTCAAAAAAAAAAAGAAAAGAAAAGAAAAGTCAGCCAGGCGCGGTGGCTCACATCTGTAATCCCAGCACTTTGGGAGGCCAAGGTGGGCGGATCACGAGGTCAGGAGATCGAGACCATCCTGGCCAACCCGGTGAAAACCCGTCTCACCTAAAAATACAAAAAAGTAGCTGGGCGTGGTGGTGGGCACCTGTAGTCCCAGCTACTCGGGAGGCTGAGACAGGAGAATGGCATGAACCCGGGAGGCGGAGCTTGCAGTGAGCCAAGATCGCGCCACTGCTCTTCTGGTGACAGAGCTAGACTCCATCCCAAAAAAAAAAAAAAAAAAAAAAAAGTCAACAGCCTCAGTGGATTTATAGCTGGCTCCTAATTATCTCTAAAGTCCAGAGCACTTCCCAGCCACTTATTGATAAGAAGGAGACAAGTATAGACTTGAAGGGTTAGATGTGCGTTTACTGCACTGACCAGAGCCTGAGTCAGAAAACAGAGGTCAGAGTGATGTGCACACACTGATGCCATGTTTATAAAAACCAGAAGCCGGCCGGGCACGGTGGCCCCACTCGACTTTGGGAGGTCAAGGCAGGTGGATCACTTGAGGTCAGGAGTTCGAGACCAGCTTGGCCAACATGGTGAAACCCTGTCTCTACCAAAAATATAAAAAATTAGCTGGATGTGGTGGCACACGCCTGTAATCCCAGCTACTCTGGAGGCTGAGGCAGGAGAATCTCTTGAACTCAGGAGGCAGAGGTTGCAGTGAGCCGAAATTGCGGCAGTGCACTCCAGTCTGGGTTACAGAGCGAGACTCCATCTCAAAAAAATAAATAAAATAGGCCAGACACGGTGGCTCATGCCTGTAATCCCAGGACTTTGGGAGGCCAAGGTGGGCGGATCACCTGAGGTCGGGAGTTCGAGACCAGCCTGACCAACATGGAGAAACCCCATCTCTACTAAAAATACAAAATTAGCTGGACGTGGTGGTGCATGCCTGAAATCCCAGCTACTCAGGAAGGCTGAGGTGGGAGAATCGCTTGAACCTGGGAGGTGGAGGTTGCGGTGAGCTGAGATCACGCCATTGCCCTCCAGCCTGGGCAACAAGAGTGAAACTCTGTCTCAAAAATAAATAAATAAATAAAAACATAAATACATAGAACAAATAAATATAAAAACCAGGAGCCACAAAAACTCGACACATGAGCATGTGTGCATCTGAATGAACATGGAGTGGAGGGTAGTGTGTGTCCCCAGGCAGCCCACATGGGGTCCCTCTGGGGATGGCAGTGGCATAAGGGGATAACATCATTCCCTTTTGGCATAGTTGCATATTTGTTTCTTGCAAAGGTGTATAGTGTTCAACTCATGACAAAATTAGAAGGGACGCATATCTCTGCTTACACATCTAAGCTGCCACCAAAAGAAACGAACTGCGAGCGCCTTGTCATGTTCACACCTTCCGAGAAAGGTGAATCTTCTACATAAAAAGGAAAGAAGGGCTGGGAGAGGAGTCCCATATGTGTTCCTTCTGGCCGCCATGACAAAGCACCACAGACGGGCAACAGCCGATTATCCTCTCACTGCCCTGGAGGCTAAGATCAAGGTGTGGCAGGACTGGCTCCTCCGGGGCCTCTCCCCTTGGCCTGCAGATGCCACCTTCTCCCTGTGTCCTCCTGTGGTCATCCCTCTGTGGGTGTCTGTGTCTTCATCCCTTCTTGGGTGTTTTGTTTTGTTTTGTTTTTGAGACAGGGTCTCACTTTGTTGCCCAGGCTGGAGTGCAGGGGCGAGATCATGGCTCACTGCTGCCTTGACCTCCCAGGCTCAGGTGATCCTCCTGCCTCAGCCTCCCAAGTAGCTGGGACCAAAGGCATGCACCACCACACCCGGCTGATGTTTGTATTTTTAGTAGAGGGGGAGTTTCACCATGTTGCCCAGGCTGGTCTCGAACTCCTAAGCTCAATTGATCCACCTGTCTCGACCTCCCAAAGTGCTGGGATTACAGGCGTCAGCCACTGCGCCCAGCCCTCATGTCTTCTTACAGGGACATGAGTGAGGTGGAATGAGGGTCCACCCATATAATCTCATTTTACCTTAATTGCCTCTGTGAAGACCCCATTTCCAGATGCAGATTCTGGGGGCACTGGGATTAGCCTTTAACCTATGAAACTGAGGGCACGATTCAGCCATGAGATACCCTTTGAGCATCAGCGTGGAAGTGGGGTGTCGAGCACAGTCACTGCTCATGACATTATGCATTATCCCCTCCCTGTTCTCCTCCAGGGTGGGGCACCTCACAGACGATGTGCAGTGACTTGTCCAAGGTCACACTGCTGTGAGCAGCAGAGCCACCGTAGGATCCACCACAGGGTGAGTTTCCAATGTGGGGTATCCTTGACCCACCGTGAACACATCTGCATGTCCCAGGGTGAGAAACGCAGTGTGCACAACCGTACCTCGGGCAAACCCCCCGATCCAGGTGCAGAGACCGCCTAAGCCCCTCTCAGGCTCTGTGGCCAGGAAGGGGCACCCAGACATGCCCTGGGCAGGTGGGCAGTCTCTGTCCTGGTCCGGGTTTGCCCCTCAGACACACTCACACTTCCCAGGGAGGCCCCTGGGCTCTTCTCAGTTCCTTGACACCAGCCCAGGAGATTGTGGATTTCAAGAGAGGAGCAAACAGAGGCTGGGGAAAGCCCCAGAACCCGTGAGCCCCCTGATCTTTGAAAGCAGCTCCAGGGCCAGGTCCTGATTTGTACTTCAGAGCTAATGTGATTAGGGCTAGGATTGTCGCCAGAGTATGTTAATGGACTTCAATAGCCCCCAATTACCTGGGGAGGGGGACTGCCTGGGGTGGCTGGAGCCTAGCCAGGGGTCTGGGCAGAGAATGGGCTGGGACCGGGGCTCCATCTGTGCTGAAATTCTTCCTTTGGGGCCTTCTGGAGAGGCCCTGAAGACCCCATGAGTGGCCACCTCATTTCACAGGTGAGGAAAGCCAGGTTAGAGGCAGCTTAAGTTACCTGCCCAAGTTCTTCCTACAGGTAATGCAGGGCCACATTCAGCCCCAAATCTCTCTCTCTTTTTTTTTTTTTTTTGAGATGAAGTCTAGCTCTGTCACCCAGGCTAGAGTGCAGTGGCACGATCTCCACTAACTGCAACCTCCACCTCCCAGGTTCAAGCGATTCCCCTGCCTCAGCCTCCCGAGTAGCTGGGATTACAGGTGCACACCATAGCACCCAGCTAATTTTTGTATTTTTTGTAGAGACAGGGTTTCACCATATTGGGCAGGCTGGTCTCAAACTCCTGACCTCAAGTGATCTGCCCGCCTCAGCCTCCCAAAGTGCTGGGATTATAGGCATCAGCCACTGCGCCCAGCCTCCCAAATCTCTTTAACCCTAAACCCTCCTCAGGCTCCTTCTCTCCAGTGACAGGCTCAAGAGACAGCCCAGGCTGGAAAGGTAAGTGGGTCCAGAGGTGCTTGGGCCTCATTGCCATTGACCAAGTCACAGAGGAGTCAAAGGGCAGCGCAGGGGTTTCCCAGGACTGCCTTAACAAACGTCACAAGCTTGGTGGCTTAAAACATAAAAAATCCGGCAGGGCGAAGTGGCTCTTGCCTGCAATCCCAGCACTTTGGGATGCCGAGGTGGGCAGATCATGAGGTCAGGAGTTCAAGGCCAGCCTGACCGACATGGAGAAACTCCGTCTCTACTAAAAATACAAAAAATTAGCCAGGCGTGGTGGTGGGTGCCTATAATCCCAGCTACTTGGGAGGCTGAGGCAAGAGAATCGCTTGAACCTGGGAGGCGGAGGTTGCAGTAAGCCAAGATTGCGCCACTGCACTCCAGCTCAGGTGACAGTGTGAGACTCTGTCTCAAAAAAACAAACAAAAAAACATCAAAAATCTGTTCTGGAAACTAGAAGTCCAAAATCAAGGCCTGGGCAGGGCTGTGCACCCTCCGAAGGCTCTGGGGGAGGATCCTCCTGCCTCTTCCAGCTCCTGGGGTCTCCTGGCGCTCCGGACTAGGGCTGCATTGTTCCCGTGCCTCCCACCGTCTTCACGTGGGCTTCTCTGCTTCTGTTTCTCTCCTCTGCTCTGAGAAGAGTGCCTACATTCAATTTACGTCCCACTTGAAACTCAAGAGGACCTCATCTCCAGATCCTAAGCTTAATTCCATCTGCTAAGACCCGATTTCCCAGTGAGATCTCACTCACAGGCCACAGGGGTTAGGAAGTGGACATATCTTTTTTTTGTGGAGGGGGACACCATTCTACCTCCTGTAGCTGAGGAGGAACGAGCCCATCCCCACATCACCCAGCCTTGCTGGGTGGGGCCCCCCCTTCTGGGCTCTGGAGACAAGAGGCAGAGGCTGGCCTGGCTGACCCCTCCAAGATCAGGGCCCAAGTCCCGTGAGGACAGAGGAGCCAGCCCGGCCTGGGCTGTGGGTGATTAGAGAAGTGACATAACCCAGAGGAAGGCAGGTCCTTAAAAGCCAGTCCTGAGAGGGTGGGAGCAAGACCTGCCATCCTCCTCACCAGCCCACAGGCTGGTGCCACCTCCCACTCTCTCCCCAGTCCTGGTGGTACGAGCTGCCTTCTTCCTGCAACCCGTCCAGCCCCAGGGCCTTTGCACCTGCACATCCACCTGGAGGGTTTGTGCCCAGATCTTCACAGGTGGGCTCTCCCACACTGGGAAGGCATCCTCCCTAACCCCAGCTACAGCTACAGCCTCCCAGACACTCCCTCTCACAACCCTGGCCTCTGCCCCTCCCTAGCCTGCGTGAACAGCCCAGACCATCGAGTTCCCGTCTACTGAGTGTCTCCTCCTGGACTCCGAGCCCCATGACAGCAAGCCCTTGCCTGTCTCACTTGTCCCTATCACGGCTGCATCCCGTGTCTGTAAGAGCACCCAGCATGCAGCAGGGCCTGGATGAATGCTTGTTGAGTGAATGAGTGAGCACTCACAGAGAGGTGGTTGGTTTCTAGGTTCACCCCCAGCCCTGAAGATCTCTGCCAGGCAGCTGGAGTCTGGGGAGGTGGTTCCAAACTCCACGCCTCCTCCTGTCTGCGGAGAGGGCCATGGGTTTGTTTGGCAACCTCAGGGTGCTGGCTCCTCACAGACACCTGGGTGGCTTCCTCCAGCTGGCTGGGATCCAGGCAGCCCCTGGGAGGGTCCAGCCACCTTCACACCTGGGGCACGGTCAGCCTGGCTCTTTGCTGGAGTCTGTGGTGCCCAGATTTGGAGCCTTTTGGTGAGAAATGTGCATTTTCATGGCAAGATGGTCTCAGGAAATCTCCACCTATTCATGTGCAAAACACAGGGGCGTCTGGGGTCCCCAGGGGCTGGAGCTTTGACAAACAAGGATCAGAGGGAGTGGCAGAGGGGCCTGAAGTCCAAAATCAAGGTGTGGGCAGGGCTGTGTGCCTGTCCTGTGCGGGGCCAGGAGCCAAGGCCAGAAGAGGTGCAGGGCTGGGAGGCTGGCCAGAGCATCCCGGTCTAATTCTGCTGGGCCTGAGGCTGAGGATGACGGGCCTCTCGTCCAGGTCACACTAGTGCTGGGGCCACACTTGCTCCAGGCAGTTGGTCATGTGCAAGACAGCAGGGGTCAGGATGCCTGGATTCAGCCCCAGCGTAGCTGCTGACTCCAAGAGGGGCTTTCAGCAAGTCAGCCCACCGCCCCGGGCCTCAGTTTCCTTCTCTGTGAAATGAAACTTGGTCACTTCTACTGTTCATTTCTGGCTCTGAAAATCTTAGGATTCCAGAAACTCCATCTTCTGCCCAGCGCAGGAATCCTTCTCGTCTTTCCTTGAATACTCTCAGTGAGGAGGCGCTCACTCTCAGGACCAAAGGGGCTGGACGCAGGAGACA
Organism: Homo sapiens; assembly: GCF_000001405.40. NCBI lineage: Eukaryota > Metazoa > Chordata > Mammalia > Primates > Hominidae > Homo > Homo sapiens. The sequence goes on along the minus strand of NC_000011.10, from coordinate 69,749,975 downwards.
GAGCACGGCTGGATTCTCTGCTGGACACTCTGATTGTGGCCAGTCCTCTCTGGGGACTCACACGGGGATCCCTAGAGGCTCAAGCGTCGTCTCCCCCAGGCTGTCAGATAAGATCTGGGATGCCCAGCTAAGTTTGAATTTGAGATAAATGACAATTCCTTAGTGTAAGTATAACCCAACAACTGCAGGGGATATACTTATACTAACAACTTATTCAGTGTTTATCTGAAGTTCACGTTGAACTGGGTGTTCTGTTTTGCTTGCTAAGTCTGGCAACCCCAACATGTAGCTCTTCTTTCTGGAGCCCTGGGGACTCTTCCACACCCCTTTTTCCAGGGTAGGTTTGACAGAGGGACTATGACCCTTTTTTGTGTGGGGGGGATGGAGTTTTACTTTTGTTGCCCAGGCTGGAGTGCAATGGCACCCTCTCGGCTCACTGCAATCTCCACCTCCCAGGCTCAAGTGATTCTCCTGCCTCAGCCTCCCCAGTAGCTGGGATTACAGGCATGCACCACCACGCCCTGCTAATTTTTGTATTTTTAATTTTATTTATTTATTTATTTTTTGGAGATGGAGTTTCACTCTTGTTGCCCAGGCTGGAGTGCAATGGCGTGATCTCAGTTCACTGCAACTTCCTCCTCCTGGGCTCAAGCGATTCTCCTGCCTCAGCCCCCTGAATAGCTGGGATTGCAGATGTGCACCACCACACCCAGCTAATTTTTTGTATTTTTAGTAGAAACGGGATTTCACCATGTTAGCCAGGCTGGTCTTGAACTCCTGACCTCAGGTGATCCTCCCGCCTCAGCCTCCCAAAGTGCTGGGATTACAGGCATCAGCCACCACACCCAGCTAATTTTTGTAGTTTTAGTAGAGACGGGGTTTCACCATGTTGGTCAGGCTGGTCTCAAACTCCTGACCTCAAGTGATCCACCTGCCTCAGCCTCCCAAAGTGCTAGGATTACAGGCACCTGGCCAGGACTGTGACTCTTAAGACGAGGGCAGGAAGGATCGAGGCCTGGCCCTGGCTTTAGGTTGAGCTATTGGGATCCCGCTTCTGCATGGTCCTGACCCGGGGCCATGCATAAGTGGGAGAAATGCGTGCTTCTGAGGGGGGTGTGCTGCGGGCCCCCTAGGATCACAGGCGCCCATGCTGGGGTGCAGCTGACGGTGCCCCAAGCAGTGCCCCTCTGGCGCGCCTCCCTCTCACCTCCAAGACCTCCAGGGACAGCCGCAGGAGACCTTTGCTTGAAAGCTCTGCTAACTGTCTGTTGTCTTCCCTCTTGCCTTCTTCTGCAGTCTAATACACTATCTGGCTGAACCACCACCCTCCAAACCCCAGTGGGAGGTGAACAGGCCAGCCAGTCACCCCCTTGCCCTGAGGAGTTCGGGCTCTGCCCCTGACCCTCCCCTTTCATCCCTGGAGACCTACCTCTCCAATTTAGGATTCTCAGCGAACGGTCCCAAAGCCAACTCTGGAAATTTAACACACTGAGGACCTCCCAGGCCTCCCGGTGCCCACAGCTTATTGCTGTGGTAGTGAATGAACAAACATCCTACTCCAACGGCACTTATGCTGAGGTGGGGGAGAGAAGACAAGTAAAACAAGTAAGAAAATGACACAGTGTCTCAGGAGGTGGGGAGAGGCAGAATGGAGAAGAAAGAAAGGGAGGGCTGCAGGGAAGGCCAGGGAGGGGGCGGGATGGGAGGGGCTGCCACTTTAATTCCAGTGTTCGGGAGAAGCTGTGCTGAAGAAAAAGTGTCCCTTGGGCATCGATGAGAGGGCAGCCTGCAAGTGGATCCAGGGAGGGTGCCTCAGGCAGAGGACTCAGTGGGGACAAAGGCCAGGAGACTGGACTGGAAGAGAGAGGAGGTCAGGGCAGCTGCAGCAGCGGGTGGGTGGAGAGCAGAGAGGGAGCTGCAGAAGCAAAGGGCCTAGGGGGCCATGGCAAGGCTCGAGCTTTGCTTGGAGTGAAGTGGGAGCCACTGGGCCTTTTTTTTTTTTTTTTTTTTTTGAGACGGAGGCCCGCTCTGTCGCCCAGGCTGGAGTGCAGTGGCATGATCTCGGCTCACTGCAACTTCCGCCTCCCTGGTTCAAGCGATTCTCCTGCCTCAGGCTCCCGAGTAGCTGGGATTACAGGTGCCCGCCACCATGCCTGGCTAATTTTTGTATTTTGAGTAGAGACGCAGTTTCACCACGTTGGTCAGGCTGGTCTCGAACTCCTGACCTCGTGATCTGCCCACCTTGGCCTCCCAAAGTGCTGAGATTACAGGCGTGAGCCACCACGCCTGGCCGCCATTGGGGGAATTTAAGCTGAGCAGGAGCCTGATGAGACTTGAGCTGTAAAAGGGTCTTCTGACTGTGGGACTGAGAACAGATCACTGTGGAACAAGGAGGAGAGACCACCTGAAGGCTCCTGTCATCACGAGGGGAGCGAGGTGGGTGCCTGGAATGCCAGGGGAACTGGGGTTGGAGAGAAGAGGTGGCGGGTGAGCCAGGACTCTGCACACGTCATGCTGTCTCAGCTCACAGGGACAGCCAGGCTGCCTCCCTGCCCTTGACCTTGATGACCCCTGACACTTTGGGTTGGAAATGCATTTGTCTCCATTTCAATGAATGATTTATTTTCCGGTTTATAAAATGCACCCACCATACTTGCTCATGAGCTCACAGACCCAAAGAAAGAACGTCAGGAATTTCCCAGCAGGACAGGGGCCGGGCTCGCCCCGCCCCACACGCAGGCATCTCTGCTCAGCCCCCTCACCCCTGCCAGCCCAGCACCCAGAGGCTGAAGCCAGCAGCAGCCCCGTGAGGCCCCACAGGCCCTGTGGGAGCAGATTCCAGGCCCAGCGATCAACCCTCGCCTACGGCCACCCCTTCCTGAAAGGTCCCCTCCTCGGCCGTCGAAATCAGAGACCGCCTTGACCGGCTTGCTCGTGGGCTGGCAGCTGGCAAGCAAGGGGACGCATGGATTTCCAGGGGCAGAAGGCCGTCAGCTGAGAGCTCGGGGGCTCCCAAAGGACAAGACCCAGCAAGCAGAGAGGGAAGGTGGAGGGCACAGCCCAACGCAGCCCTGAGCCTCAGGGGACGGCAGGGGAATCCACTCAGCTTTGCTGTGCAATCCTGGACAAATCACTTAATCCCTCTGTTCTGCATGCATCCAGCTCAAAACGGTGCTTAGGAGGCTGGGGTGCTGGGACCCTTCATTAAGCCATGTTTGCAAAGCCCTCCAAAGGCTGCAGATGAAAGTGCCTATTGAAGTACAAAGCGTGTCTCCAGTAACCCTCTCCGTCCCAGGCGGGACTGGAGACCCATAAAAGAGAAGGAAAGAGGCGGCCAAGGGCATTTGGCCCCAAGCACAGAGGCCACCAAGACTAGACCCTGGCAATGTCGGCCCCTGAGAGGCACCTCTCAGCAGCAGGCTCCTCACCACCGGCTCCTGTCCCTCCTTGTCCCTCACTAGGCAGCACCCCAGCACTCTGGCCTTCCTCAGCAAGCCCATCTGCATGGGGGACAGAGATGGATCAGAACCCTCTGCAACAGCTGCCAGTGGAAGCCTTAGACCAGCGTTCAAGGCTCCAAAGCATGGCCCCAGCCAGCCTGGCCCTCACTGTCCTCACACAGGCCACCTCTGCGCCTCCTCCTGATCTCCTCCAGCCTAGACGTCCTCTCCTCTGCTCGTCTGTGCCTGGAGGTCCAGCCCTGGGGAGGCTCCCTGCCTCCATAGCCATGGTTCGTGGGTGCTCAGGATCCCGGCATGGGAGTCTGGGTGTGCATATCCCCTCACCCCTGGGGTCCTCAGATGTCACATCCGTGGAGCCCACCGACCTCAGGCACTGGGGCTCTTCCCTGACCCCTGACTTCCCCTGCCATCTTTCTACACAGAAACAACCCCATGCCCTCTGTCTGGAATATTCCGAACTGCCCTCCTTCATCTCTTTGCCCCTGCACTTGGGGAATGTCTGCTAAAATGACTCTCACATGTCACTCTGCAGTGGCAAAAAATCAGCTCCAGTCCCTCAGCCACCACCCAGAGGGCCTGCGGACCCTCCCTCCTTCATTCCCCATTCCACGTCCCAGCCCTTCCTAGCCCTCCACATCAGTGATTCACAAAGGACACAGTTCTAGCATGACCAGGGCTTGCTCGGGAAGAGGCTGTGTGGCAGAGGGCCCTTCCTGGCCCTGGCTTCCCTGGTGGGGGCCCTACAGGCCAGCCTTCCCTCCCCCACAGTGCACAGGCCAGTGCCGCCTGCTGGGGTCCTGACCCCACAAGGACAAGTTTTCCCTGAGCTGCCCCCCCAACTCTAGGGGCAACCTCCAGATGTGCCAGGGACAGCCAGGGCCCCCAGAGACTGAAACGAGGTCCCAGGGAGGGAAGGATGTGTCAGTGGTCCCCCCGGGGTGGTCCATGACACCTCAAGGTGCCAATCACCCACATGAGGCCCAGCAGGCACTGAAGCAAGCCCGCACCTGGGTGGGCACGGGACAGGCTTTCTGGAGAGCAATTTGGCAGTGCAAGGCAGTGCAAAGCAAAGCAAGCAAAGCACGGATCCCACCCCTATCTGTCACTCGCCCTCCAGGCCTGGAGCCTGAGAGAGTGACCACGGGCATGCAGTGCGTGCTCACATGGGGGCTGGAGAGGTTGTGGAACGGAGGTTCCTCAAAAACTCAAACTAGGGCTGGGCGTGGTGGCTCAAACCTGTAATCCCAGCACTTTGGGAGGCTGAGGCAGGTGGATCACCTGAGGTTAGGAGTTCGAGACCAGCCTGACCAACATGGAGAAACCCTGTCTCTACTAAAATTGCAAAATTAGCTCAGCGTGGTGGCGCATGCCTGTAATCTCAGCTACTCGGGAGGCTGAGGCAGGATAATTGCTTGAAGCCGGGAGGCAGAGGTTGCAGTGAGCGGAGATGGTGCCACCGCACTCCAGCCTGGGCAACAAGAGCAAAACTCCATAAAAAAAAAAACAAAAAAAAAACAAAAAAAAACCTCAAACGGAATGGCTCATACCATCCCTCAGTCCTACTGCTGAATAACACTCCAAAGAACTCAAAACACACGTCTACACAAAAACCTATACACAAGTGTTCACAGCAGCAAATTCACAAGAACCAAATGTCAACTCGAATACCCGTCAGTGGACGCAAAGATCAACAAAATGCCATCTTCCCATACAATGGGATGTCGTTCAGCACGAACGGGAATGAAGCCGGGACACAGGCCACAGTGTGGGGGACCTTAACAGCATGATGGCCAGGGAAAGAAGCTGGGTCAGGGGCCACACGTTGAGTGACTCAGCTCTATGAAATGCCCAGAACAGGCAGGAAACCAGAGGCTGGGGGAGGGGGAATTAGGAGTGACTGCTAAGGGGTGATGGAAACATTCCAGAAGTAGATGGTGGTGGTGGTTGCAAAACATTGGGAATGTTCTCAATGCCACTGAACTGTAAACTTTAAAAGGGATAAAACGGGAAGTCTTATGTGGCATGTATTTTCTACAATGAGAAAAACTGTTATCCTTGGCTGGGCACGGTAGCTCACACCTGTAATTCCAGCACTTTGGGAGGCCAAGGCGGGTGGATCACTTGAGGTCAGGAGTTCGAGATCAGCCTGGGTAACATGGTGAAACCCTGTCTCTACTAAAAATACAAAAATTAGCCAGGTGTGGTGGTGGGTGCCTGTAATCCCAGCTACTCGGGAGGCTGAGGCAGGAGAATCGCTTGAACCTGGGAGGTGGAGGTTACAGTGAGCCAAGATCATGCCACTGCACTCCAGCCTGGGTGACAGCGAGACTTAGTATCAAAAAAAAAAAAAAAAAAAAGAGAGAGAGAGAGAGAAACAACTTTAGTGTCAATCTAAAGGGGACAGGTGAAGTAACACTGGAATTTATATTCTGCAGCATTAAAAAGGATGCAAAACACTATTCAGTGATGCAGAAAGATGTTCCCAAGCTATTCAGTCAAAGAAGCAGGTTTTTGGGAGGCTGAGGTGGGCGGATCACGAGGCCAGGAGATCAATATCATCCTGGCCAACATGGAGAAACCCTGTCTCTACTAAAAATACAAGAATTAGCCGGGCGTGGTGGCGGGTGCCTGTAGTCCCAGCTACTCGGGAGGCTGAAGCAGGAGAATCACTTGAACCCAGGAGGCAGAGGTTGCAGTGAGCCAAGATCGCACCATTGTACTCCAGCCTGGTGACAGAGCAAGACTCTGTCTAAAAAATAAAAATAAATAAATAAATCTTTAAAAGAGCAGGTTAGAATGGTTTACTAGAAAGGTATTTGAAAAAGATACACATACATGACTGTGCTTGGAAGTTCTGGAAGGACAAACACCACAATGTTCATGCTGGTCATCTCTGGGTAATGGGACACAGAGCATTTTTGTGTGTGCATCTCTGTGCCTGCACATTTGTTCTCAGCTGTTTCTAAAATTTCCACAGCAAACTTTTGTAACCAGAAAAAGTTTCAGAGCAGGAAAAAAAAAAAAAGCAATAAGTATCAGGATTTTTCTAAAAGTCCAGCCCCCCAACCCCCGCATCCCAGCATATGGAGGTGTGGAGTGAAAGCCATCGTGGGCGGCCCCTCTCCAGTCCCTGTGGGCAGTGGACAAGGATGAACAGGCAGGGCAGGGCCCCCGCCCCCCGCCCATATGGTCTGTATATCTCCTGGCCATCATTCCTTCCAGCCAGGACACCACAGGACACCAGCTGAGGAGGAACTTACAAAGAGCAGGGGAAGGTCTTCCAGACCCAGGGGACGCCAGCACCTTTCCTTCCTGGACCAGTAGGACAGCATCACTCATTCATTTCTTCATTCATTCACACCTTTGTCAGACCTAACACCTGGCGAGTGCCCACTCAGGCCCCATGTGAGGGCCTGGGAAGCTCAGGAGACTGGCTAAGGCAGGAAGAGGAGGGTTCAGCCCTTTGCAGCGGCTCGCATTCCCTCTGCAAGCCCTGGTCTCTGTGGTGGTAAGAGCTGGTCTTCCCTTCTGGGCTGGAGGGATACTGGCAGCATCAAGCTTCCTCCCAGAGAGCAGTCTAGTCTTCTCCAAGCCAGCCACATCCTCTTCTGCAATCAGCCTTGGAGGACACTCAAGGCTCATTGGTAACTTTTTCCTCATTGCTGACCCTGATCCTGCAGGCCATCTTATGCTGAAGCCATCCTATGTGCCGGGCCCCAACCTGTGCGCTGGGGCTTCAGATAGGAGTCAGACAGAAGCTCCCTGTGTGATGGTGTGCTCCGGGAAAGCCATCTGAAAAACCAGATGTTCCCAGGTAAGATGCTTAAAACCGAGTCATTCCCCTGCCCACATCGCCAGTGCTACCCCCACATAGAACAAGAGCCACGTGTTCTGCAGGGTGAGGCCTCGGCCATGTCCTCTCCTCCCCTGACCCAGCCACACACTGACCCCTGTCATGCCCACCACCCTGCAGCCCCTCCACCCTTCCAGGCTGGTGCTCCAATGCCTTAAACGCTTCCTGCCTCAGGGCCTTTGCAGTCTCGGGTGCTCTTCTCCAGGTCTCTGCGGGGCTGAGTCCCCATTGCATGGCGATCTCAGCTTAAATACTGGCTTCTCTCACCTCTGTAGCTAAAGTGATTCCCCCTAAACACACCACCATTATCATCTGCTTTTTTGATTTTCCTTTTTTTTTTTTTTTGTTTTTTTTTTGATATGATGTCTCATTCTGTCGCCCAGGCTGGAGTGCAGTGGCACGATCTCTGCTCACTGCAACCTCCATCTCCCAGGTTCAAGTGATTCTCCCTCAGCCTCCTGAGTAGCTGGGATTATAGGCACCTGCCACCATGCCCAGCTAAAATTTTTTTTGTATTTTTAGTAGAGACAGGGTTTCACCATATTGGCCAGGCTGGTTTCGAACTCCTGACCTCAAATGATCCGCCCGCCTTGGGCTCCCAAAGTGCTGGGGTTACAGGTGTGAGCCACCCATACCTGGCCGCTTATTTGATTTTCTTCCAAGCATTTATTACCATCCAAAACCATCTTGTGCATTGGTTCTCTTGCTGATTATTATTTCTCCCCTAGATGCTGTGGCCCTGAAGCAGGGACCATGTGCTTTGTGGCTGCCGTGTCCCCATCCCCCGGCACATGGCAGGTGCTTGATAAGCACTGTGCTGAGTGCATGGGGCAACCAGAAACAGGGGAGCTTGCTGGTCCCCAGCACTCCTGCAACAGGGCTCTGATCAGGGTGGCTCTCTGATGTCAACTGCACATTTTTTTTAAACTGTTGTGAGAATCTGCAGTAATCACTTGGTTCGGCACTAATCCTGAGTTAATGAGGCCACACTGGTTCTTTGGTGTTAATATTCTCTGAAGTTCAGCTCTGAGGAAAATGAAAAGAAAGACCGCCCCACCACTTACCCATCACCAAAGAAAGACACAAGTGAGCATCCTAGAATTTGGGACGCATCAAAATCAAAGAAAAAAGCAGAACCTGCCCCGATGTTTGGCGCAAGCAGCCTCTGAGGGCCAGCCGTGCTCCGAGCGTTTGTTGTGCAGGGGCACAGCCCTCCAGATGTTCCCTGGAAGGACTGCCACTTCAAACACCAGGGCTCAAGCCCATTACCTGTGCAGCCTTTGTGTATTTCAAAGGGGAAGCCAGTTGAACTTTCCCTGTAATCATTGGGCCCCAACTTGCCTTTAATGGACCATCAGGGAACACAGCAAGGAGAAGTCCCCAATCATTACCAGGTTCTGATGGCCTCAGAGCCCACCTGGAGAGGCCCCCGGGGCAGCCACCTGTGGGTCTTGCCACGCCTGCTCCAGGGAAGGCTAGGACTCCATCCAACCGAGCGCTGGACCGGGAGTCAGAAGCCACGACTTTGAGGGCCTAGGCTGCCTGGCCCCCCTTCCCCACTCCCTGTATGTGAACCCCACCTCTGCCGCTTGCTTGCTGTGAGACCTTGGGCAGGTACCCTCACCTTGCTGAGTCCCCGTTTTGCAATTGGCTGTGGAGGATAAAAACAGAACCTACCTCTCGGGTTTGCTCCGAAGCATAGGCATTTTGTAATAAATGACAATACTCTGAAGAAATATGTACTGAGTTGAATTGTGTCCCCACAAAATGTATGTCTGCCTGGAACCTCACAAGGTGAACTTATTTGGGAGAAGGATCTCTACAGATGTAATTAAGGTAAGAATCAAGATGAGATCATCCTGGACTAGGATGGGCCCTAAATCCAGTGATTGGTATTCTTATGAGAGATGGCCGGGTGCAGTGGCTCACGCCTGTAATCCCAGCACTTTGGGAGGCCACGGCGGGTGGATCCTCTGAGGTCAGGAGTTTGAGACTAGCCTGGCTAATATGATGAAACCCCATCTCTACTAAAAAGACAAAAAAATTAGCGGGGTGTGGTGGCATGCACCTGTAATCCCAGCTACTCAGGAAGCTGAGGCAGGAGAATCACTTGAACCCGGGAGGCAGAGGTTGCAGTGAGCTGAGATCAAGCCATTACACTCCAGTCTGGGCAACAAGAGTGAAACTCTGTCTCAGAAAAAAAAAAAAAAAGAAAGAGAGAGAGAGACAGACAGACAAGGGGAAGATGTAGATATTCAGGAGGCCCTGTGAAGCTGGAGGCTGAGGCTGGAGTGATGCAGCCATAAGCCAAGGAATGTCTGGAGACACCAGAAGGTGGAAAGGGCAGCAAGTGTCCTTCCCTGGAGCCTTCAGAAGGAGCAGGGCCATGCTGACTCCCTGATTTTGAAATTTCTGGCCTCCGGAACTGTGAGACAATACATTTCTGATCTTTCAAGCTATCAAGTTTGCCGTTGTTTATTATAGCAGCCTTGGGAAATTAATACCAAATACAAGTCATTGTTCTTGTAGTTGTTACTCTAAAGAATTCCCTGTGGCCGGGTGCGATGCCTCACGCCTGTAATCCCAGCACTTTGGGAGGCCGAGGTGGGCAGATCACCTGAGGTCAGGAGTTCAAGACCAGCCTGGCCAACATGGTGAAACCCAGTCTCTACCAAAAATGACAAAAATTATCTGGGTATGGTGACGTACACCTGTAATCCCAGCTACTCAGGAGGCTGAGGCAGGAGGATGGCTTGAACCCAGGAGGCGGAGGTTGCAGTGAGCCAAGATAGCACCACTGCACTCCAGCCTGGGCGACAAGAGCAAAACTCCATCTCAAAAAAAAAAAAGAATTCTCTGAGCCACTGAAATGTCTCACCAGACACTTAGGCCCACAGTGACCTCTGTAGATGAGCAGCTCCCTCTGTCTCCAAAGCAATTGAAAAAGGAAGAAGCGATGCATAAGGGAAAGACAGACCTTGGTTTGGAATGTGGCTCTGAGCTCCTTCCTAGCTGTAGGACTTTGACAAGTCACTGATCCTCCATGAACCTCTGTCTCTTTATGAAATGGGGACCATTATATCCACCTCCATGAATTCTGTGATGATGAGACTAGGTCAGGATGTAAAGCATTCACACATAAGTGTTCAGTAAATGGGAAGGGTGTCTATATTAGTTTATTTGTTTATTTATTTATTTATTTATTTTTGAGACGAAGTCTCACTCTGTGGCCCAGTCTGGAGTGCAATGGTGCGATCTCAGCACACTGCAATCTCTGCCTCCCAAGTTCAAGTGATTCTCCTGCCTCAGCCTCCTGAGTAGCTGAGACTACAGGCATGTGCCACCATGCCTGGCTAATTTTTGTATTTTTAGTAGAGACGGGGTTTTGCCATATTGGCCAGGTTGGTCTCGAACTCCTGACCTCAGGTGATCCATCTGCCTTGGCCTCCCAAAGTGCTGGGATTACAGGCGTGAGCCACCACGCCTGGCCTATATTAGTTATCTACTGTTACACAGTACATTTCCCCAACATTTGGAGGCTGAAAACAACAATGGACCTTTATTATCTCACATAGTATTATAGCTCTGTATCAGATATGTGGGAGCAGCTTAACTGGATGTTTTTGGCTCAAGACCTCTCATGTTGAAATCAAGATGTCAGCTAGGGCTGTAGTCTCATCTGATGGCTTGACTGGGGCTGGAGCATCCACTTTCAAGGTGCCTCACTCACATGTCTATGGGCAGGAGGCCTCAGTTCCTCACCACTCAGACTTTCCATAGGGCTCCCAACATGGCAGCTGGCTTCCCCCAGAGCATGTGATCCAAGAAAGAGCCAGGTGCAAGTGGTAATGTCTTGGGTGTCATACTCTGCCACTTCACCACATTCTACTGGTCCTAGAGAGCAACCCTGAAACAATGAGGGAGGGAACTCTACACGGGCACTGATACCAGAGAGTAGCCCATTGGAAGCCATTGGGGTGCTGGCTACCACTGTGTGTCAGAGGGCAAGGTGTTCTTGAGGATGCTGCCAGGCAAAAGCCTACCTAACAGGTGGCTTTGCTGTCCGGACTTGCCTCTGGGGCCAGCTGCCTGGGAGCTGGGAGCCTGATCTGGCCACATGCCCAGCAGCTCCCCTGTAATTTCATTTGTCTAAGGCCTCTCCATGTCTCACCGGGGCTCCTTCATGCAGGCACTAAGGGCCAACATTGAGCCACAAAGGCTTCCAACCCAGAGCCCATGTCAGCAGCCCACCCAGAGCCTCGCATCTTCTCCTGGGAGACCAGCCTAAAGATTAGAGCCCCAGAGACACCTCAGGGGCCAATGGACAGGCCTGAGTTCTGGAGGGGGCAGTGTCCCAGACACCCACCAGGGCCCTACAGCAGATCCCTGAGTGTGTTGTATGAGTGCTCACGTGTGGGTGCATCATGAGCAAACCTGTATGTGAAGGTGTGTGCAGGCAGATGTGTGCATCAGCACAACCGGAATCTGTTCATGGGTGACAGAATCTGACATTTCCACACATACAAAACATTGCAAGCACAGCAGTGCTGGAGCTGACAGGAGATCCAGGCCACCACCCCACCTCCCCTGCATCCTGTCACCGGCTGCCTCTGTTCTCAGACATATTCCAACAATTGCTTAAAACATGGTGGATTACTATGATGTTCTAGGCATGCAGAGATGCGCCTCACCCAAGGATAGTAAAAAGGCGTATCGGAAACTGGCACTGAAGTGACACCTAGATAAAAATCCTGAGAACAAAGAAGAAGCAGAGAGAAAATTCAAACAAGTAGTGGAGGCGTATGAGGTGCTGTCAGATGCTAAGAAACAGGACAACTATGACAAATAAGGCAAAGAAGGATGAATTGGTGGAGGAAGAGGTGGAAATCATTTTGAGAGTCCGTTTGAGTTTGGCTTCACATTTTGTGACCCAGATGATGTCTTCAGGGAATTTTTTGGTGGAAGGCACCCATTCTCATTTGACTTCTTTGAAAACCTTTTTGAGGACATTTTTGGGAATCAAAGGGGTTCCCGAGGAAGCAGAAGCTGAGGGACGGGGTCGTTCTTCTCCACGTTCAGTGGATTTCCATCTTTTGGAAGTGGATTTTCTTCTTTTGATGCAGTATTTACTTCATTTAGGTCCCTGGCTCATGGGGGCCTCACTTCATTCTCTTCCACATCATTTGGTGGTAGTGGGATGGGCAACTTCGAATCAATATCAACTTCTGCTAAAATGGTTAATGGCAGAAAAATGACTACAAAGAGAACTGTTGAGAATGGTCAAGAAAGAGTAGAAGTTGAAGAAGACAGCCGGTTAAAGTCCTTAACAATCCATGGTAAGGAGCAGCTGCTGTGTTTGGATAACGAGTAATTCAACGCACGCTTTTAACAGAAATGTTAAACTAAAACAAGTGCCACTGGAGGATTAACGGGAACTTTTTTTTGAAGATTTCAAATGAACTCGACTTTCAGTATAATTGTACCTAATGTAAAGTATTTATAAACAGCTCACTGGAGCCTCTATTTGTCATAGACTTTTGAGTTGATTGTTGGGGCCACATAATAGGACCATTGTTTTCTTGTGGTTTTTTTGTTTGTTTTTGGTTTTGTTTGTCTTTTTTTTTTTTTTTTTAAGATGGAGTCTCACTCTGTCACCCAGGCTGGAGTGCAATGGCACGATCCTGGCTCACTGCAACCTCCACCTCCCAGGTTCAAGCGATTCTCCTGCCTCAGCCTCTGGAGTAGATGGGATTACAGGCGTGTGCCACCACACCCGGCTAATTGTTGTACTTTTAGTAGAGACAGGGTTTCGCAATGTTGGCCAGGTTGGTCTTGAACTCCTGACTTCAGGTGATCCACTTGCCTCGGCCTTCCAAAGTGCTGGGATTACAGGCGTGAGCCACCATGCCCAGCCCATATATTTTTTTTAATTGGTGTAAATCTCTGCATGCACTTTGCTTTTTTATCAAACGTACTGCAAGGTGAGCCTTGATTCTTTAGTGTAGGACAATTAACACTAACACTAACACCAGCATGGATCTGCTTTTCCACGGCGTCTGAAATGTGAGTCACATAGTGTCGGCCTGCTGTGAAGTTAACACTGCCAGGACGAATCTTCTACAGAAATAATTTCGATTTTTTTTTAGTATTTAGTAGTGAAAGATATTAATGCATTAATGGTAATACATTTCTGGTTTAATATAAATTAAGGATGTTTTCTAGTTGTGCATGAATGCTGGCAACTTAAACAATTGTTTAAGTGTTTAAATATGTAATATTAAGCTTAGGTTTAAAAAAGTAAAGCTGGTGGCTTTACAGGCACAGTGGCTCACGCTTGTAATCCCAACACTTTGGGAGGCCAAGGTGGGTGTATCACAAGGTCAGGAGATCAAGACCATCCTGGCTAACACGGTGAAACCCCGTCTCTACTAAAAGTACAAAAAATTAGCAGGGTGTGGTGACAGGCGCCTGTAGTCCCAGCTACTCGGGAGGCTGAGGCAGGAGAATGGCATGAACCCGGGAGGCGGAGCTTGCAGTGAGCCGAGATTGCGCCACTGCACTCCCGCTTGGGTGACAGAGTGAGACTCTGTCTCAAAAAAAAAAAAAAAAAGTAAAGCTGGTAAACTGGGTCTTTGTCATTTGCTTAAAAAAAAAAAAAAGAAAGAAAAAGAAAAGAAATGCAAATGTGTTTGGTGTATTCTTTCCTGAGTGGTATCTGTTAAAAAAAAATTGTGCATGTCACGCCTGCAAAATGTGTAAAAAACACCAACAAAGCAAACACACATAAACCCACCACCAAGCTTCATGAATACAATATCACCTATCACCAACAGTTTGGTGCCCAACGTGCCCTCTCTCCCCAGAGGTAACCATTTTTCTGCATTTGGAGGCTTCCCTTTTTTTTTGAGACAGAGTCTCGCTCTGTGGCTCCAGCTGGAGTGCAGTGGCGCGATCTCGGCTCACTGCAAGCTCCACATGCCGGGTTTACGCCATTCTCCTGCCTCAGCCTCCCAAGTAGCTGGGACTACAGGCGCCCACCACCACGCCCGGCTAATTTTTTGTATTTTTAGTAGAGACGGGGTTTCACCATGTTAGCCAGGATGGTCTCGATCTCCTGACCTCATGATCCACCCGCCTCAGCCTCCCAAAGTGCTAGGATTACAGGTGTGAGCCACTGCACCCAGCCTGGAGACTTCCTTTTTTCACTTCCTATCTTGTGTGGGAGATTTATCTCTACCAATGGCTAAAAATTCTTTTTTCTTTTTCTTTTCTTTTTTTTTTTTTTTTTGAGAAGAAGTCTTGCTCTGTTGTCCAGGCTGGAGTGCAGTGGTGTGATCTCTGCTCACTGCAACCTGCACCTACTCGGGTTCAAGCGATTCTCCTGCCTCAGCCTCCTGAGTAGTTGGGACTACAGGTGCGCACCACCACACCCGGCTTATTTTTGTGCTTTTTAGTAGAGACGGGGCTTCACCATGTTGCCCAGTCTGGTCTCAAACTCCTGACTTCAAGTGATCCACCTGCCTTGGCCTCCTGAGGTGCTGGGATTACAGGCATGAGCCACCACGCCCAGCCTAGAAATTCATTTTTCACCACTGCCTAGCAATCCACCACATGACTATAGCACAAACCATGTGACCATTCTCCTGTTGGGGATGTTCAGATCTTTTCTTGTTATTGTTGTTGCTGCTGCCATTCCCAACAACACTGGCTCCAGCACACACATTTTTCTAGGGTGTATATACCTAGGAGTTGTTTCTGGGGAGGAGGGTGCAGCTTCACCTGTGCCAGCTTCTGCTATCTCTCTCTTGCAGACCCAAGCCATCAGGTAAAAAGGTCCAGCTACCGTGCTGAAAAGACTATGTAGCAAAAGACCATGCAGGAGAACAGAGAGAGAGAGAGAGAGAGAGAGAGAGAATGAATGAATGAATGAATGAATAAGAATGAGAATGCCCAGCCAGCCCCCAGCCTGTCCAGCCAGCCCAGCCAAGGCACCTGGCATGTGGATGAAGCCATCTTGGAACTTTCAATCAACCACGCTCCCAGCTGAATGTACCCATGGGAGTGACCCAGCCCACCACATGGATCCAAGATGAGCCATCCCTGCTGAGCCCTGCCCAAACTGCAGAATTATGAGAAAAATAAAATGGTGGATGTTTTAAGCCCCTAAGTTTTGAAGTGGCTTACCATGTAATAAGAGATCATGGAGAACATTAGCCATCCTATAAATACCCCAAAAGTTTGGTCATAAAATCAAAGCAAACCATGAATCTCATACTGCCCCAGATACGATCACTAACTATATGTAGCCTCTCCCCAGCCCATGGCCAACTTGCTTATGCTCCATCTACACCCCCCACCCCCATAATGAACTCTCCTTTTGGTGGGAAGAGGTGGGTGGGCAGCAGAGCTAGGTCTGGACCTGCCAGGAGGAAATCCACAGCCTGGGCAGGACACTGTTGCTGGATGCTGGCACATTTCATCTTCAAGGAAGACCTGAGAGGGTCCCTGGCACAAACCCCAGCCAAGGGGTCCCCCGACAGGTTTTTCCTCCCAGATATTCCAACTGGGGCGAAAGGAAGTGGTTCACAGGGAATCCCTGGGAAAGCCACAGGAAAAGCCAGCAGAGCCTTGGGCGGGCTGAGAAAGGAGAATTTTTTCTGTAAAAGGTCATCCTGTCTCCTGCATTCCTTCACTGCATTTCCAGCCACCAGAGCATCTATGAAAGTCCTTATTCTTCCTCTCTTGGCTCCAACCAAACATTCACTGCTGTAGTGGAAGATGGACTCTGGCTGCAGGGGGTGGGGAGAAAGAAGCCTCTCTCTCTTTCTTTCTTTCTTTCTTTCTTTCTTTCTTTCTTTCCTTCTTTCTTTCTTTCTTTCTTTCTTTCTTTCTTTCCTTCTTTCTTTCCTTCTTTCTTTCTTTTTCTTTTCTTTCTTTCTTTCCTTCTTTCTTTTTCTTTCTTTTCTTTCTTTCTTTCTCTTTCTTTCTTTCTTTCTCTCTTTCTCTCTTCTCTCTTTCCTTCCTTTTTTTCCTCCTTCCTTCCTTCTTTTTTCTATCTTTTCTTTATTTCCTTTCTCTCTTCTTTCTTTTCTTTCTCTCCTTTCTCTCTTCTTTCTTTTCTTTCCCTCTTTCCCTCTCCTTTCTTTCCTTCTCTCTTTTTCTCTCCTTTTCTTCCCTTCTTCCTTTTCTTTCCTAGGATTTGTAATGTTTATATGGTTCACTGGCCCCCAGGTCAAGGCTTTAGGCACCCACGGAATGTTTCCAGAGATCCACTGACTCCCTTGGGAAGAGCTGGGAGAAAACACAGAGGGTGTCACCAGGCTTATGACCCTGCACCCGCAGGGGATGGGACCCAGTTGGCAAAGTTGGACACCAGCTGTTTGCCAGTGAAGTCTCAGCTATTCCTCGCACTCAGATGCCTGCCGTGGCCCTGCCCACGTGTGTGGGATCACAGCACAGCCCTCAGGATCCTGCCCCTCCTGAAATATCTGCTTAAAGGAGGCCCAACTGCTTGACAGACTCGTCTCCTGTTCTGGCTTCGGATGCCCCACGGAGCCCAGTCATTTGTGCAAGGTACTGGGGCTGTTAGACCTGGCCAGTGAGTCATGGGGCTGATTCCTCTTGGGAGGTGCTCACAAGCCCAACCTCAGAACCAAACACTCTGAGGCTGAAGAGATTGGGCACGTGCCTAACAACTGTCACATCTAGGGGGTCTCTGGGTGGAGTGGGTGGTACTTGGGCCTACCTCTCTATCCTGTAATCTTCCACCTTCTCTCTGAGTGGCCTGGGCAGGTCCCCTCACCTCTCTGAGCCTCAGTTTCCTTACCCGTAAAATGGGCACAAATCACCCCTGCCTCTTGGGTTGTTGACAAGATTTGGGAAAGAGTTTCCAAGGGCCTGCCCATTTTGGGAGCCTCATATAGGAAAGCGTAGATGGACCTTGTCTGTTACTCCAGGGCTGACTCAGGGTGTCCCTGCCGGGGGCTGCAGAAACCCCACAGAGACCCGGTTTTCAATGAGTAGGCATCTCACCCTCATAAGCCACAGTGGCCCTGGCCCCAGCTCCCCATCACCTGCGTCTGACACTTCAGCCATCATTTAACATCAGAAAGTTTATTGCTGGCCCGCAGGGGCTCAGCCCTGCCTTAATGGGCCAACCTCAGGGGTCCTGCCCTTTGAAGAGGGTCTTTATGGTAATTGATGGTAATAGCGGGCAGCCTGGGGCCCCAGGTAGGAAGCCCCCCTGGGGATAATCAAATTAGCCTGGAAAACAAATTACTTTCAGCCAAAACAAATCACTTTCAATCACAGAGCAACATATAAGACCCCCAAACCACAAAGCCGCTCACAGTTCAAGGAACAGACAAGGGGATGAGGGACCCAAGAGAGTGGGCTGACCACAGCGCAGAGATGGGGTCAAGCCAGGCCTCCTTCTCCCTATTCAGTGGCCAGGACTGGGGGCCCCTCTTGAGCTGGGTTTACCTGTGACTAAAGTGTGTGTATGTTTTGTTTTTGGGGGGAGGTGGTGATGTTCCCTGGTTAAGCTGTCATCTAAGTATTAGGTGAGAGGTCCTGTCTGTTGTATACAGATGCATTGAGGGTCTTCCTCTCAATGTAGAGATAGACGTTTCCCAAGGGAATCATAAGCACAGTCCTGAGAGGCAGGTGCACTGATAGAGAGGATCCCACCCAGGCTCACTGGTCATGTCACAAATAAGGTGACCAGTCCCAGCTACTCAGGAGGCTGAGACAGGAGGATCACATGAGGCCAGGAGGTTGAGGCTGCAACGGGATGTGATTGTGCCACTGCACTACAGCCTGGGTGACAGAGCCAGACCCTGTCTCAAAACAAACAAAAACAAAACAAAACAACAACAATAGCAACAACAAAAACCCACAAAAAACAAAGCCCCAGAACCTCTGTGCAGGTGGTACAGAAGGGACCCACTTGGTCCATATCTATAGGATGTGAGTGGTATAAGTAGCCTCACCTGGTGGACCCCCCAAAACCTTCCACCCCTAAGCTGGGGTCTGCCCCATCCCTCCAGGCCTGGCTGATGCTGGGGAACACCAACACCAGAGCTATTTGCCCCATCTCTGCCTCCGTGGATGGCGAGGATGTCGGAGGTCCTGCCAGGAGCAAGGAGACCTAGCCCCAGGTTGACAAACGGAAGCGGGCAGGGCTGACCTCCCACCCAGACACGCTCTGCCTTCTCCACATGGGAGATGCACTGCGGCTCTCACCTGCCCAGCAAGCACTTAGTGAAGCGCCTCTGAGGGCCAGGCCAGCACCCAGCCCAGGTGGGGGGCAGTCATCGAGGTCCCCATGGCCTCGTGAGGAGACAAGGGTGTAACCAGAGGCCAACTGGCCACAGTGGACGTGTGGCCCAAGGACGGAGGGGCACCCTTGAGGCAGCAGCCCCTCGGTTCAGGGGGTCCCTGACAGGACCCAGGTTAGGGCCAGTGACCCAGGGAAGGGGCCTCCGGGGCAGAGACCAGCAATGCCAGGCATAGTCACAGGTGGCCAGATCCAGGGCCCCCCACAGCCATTCCTAGCTGGAGGTCGCCAGTTCCTGCCACAGGTTTGCCATGGGTCTGTGCTCAGCAGGATCTCTGTGGTGGTCAGGACAGGTGGAGGTGAGGCGGGCCTGGAGGCCAGAGCACAGAGAGAAGGAGGCAGCCGCCATGCCTCCACAGGCTTCACTCTGCAGCCCTCAGGGTAAGCCCAGGTTTTCTAGCCCCTGGCCTTGAGGCATGAGGTCCAATCCACACAGAGCCCCTTTCTTGCGATATGACCTTGGACAAGTGGCTTAACCTCTGGTCTGTAGAACCTTCTAGAAGTTTCTTTCCCATTGTGCCTCCTCTCCTCCAAAGAGAGCCTGTATGCACGGCCCCTCCTCACCCCTTGACTCCTGCCCCTGGGCCCAGACGCTTGGCCCCCTCTCTGTCCTGGCTCCTGCCTGTGCCCGGCCCCAGAACACGCCTCCACACTTGCCCCTCTCTCCTGCAGCATTAGGCGTTGTCCTCTGCACTCTCCTTCCCCAGCCCTGTGGAACCCACCCAGCCAGGCCAGCCCCTCCCTGGGATCCTCGACCTGCTCTTGGCACATCTAGCAGCTGCTCCTCCACCTGCAGGACCTCTGATCACCCCTCGCCCCCCAATGTGCTCCACGCCATGTGGGTGCCTCTCAGCCCCAGTCACCTCCTCCTCTGTTCCGCATGCTGCTCTCTGCATTTACTGACCTCCTAAGGCCACAGAGCTGTGGCTCCGTCTGACCCCTCTCCCCCATGCTTACCAGGCAGGCAAGCTCCCTGATGTGGTTTGGCTGTGTCCCCACCCAAATCTCATCTTGAATTGTAGCTCCCATAATTCCCATGTGTTGTGGGAGGGACCCAGTGGGAGATGATTGAATCATGGAGGTGATTTCCCCCATACTGTTCTCATGGTAGTGAACAAGTCTCACAAGATCTGATGGTTTTATAAGGGGCTTCCACTTTTGCTTGGCTCTTGTTCTCTCTCCTGCCGCCCTGTGAAGACGTGCCTTTTACCTTCCGCCATGATTGTAAGTTTCCTGAGGCCTCCCTAGCAATGTGGAACTGTGAGTCAATTAACCTTTTTCTTTTATAAATTACCCAGTCTCGGGTATGTCTTTATTAGCAGTGTGAGAATGAACTAATACACTTCCCAATGCCCTCGAGTTGAAATTCATTGACTCTGGTGACCCAGAACGTCTGTCTCCCTGGACTCCAGACTCTCGCCTCCAGCTGCCCCAGAGACTGCTGCATGGATGTCTCACAGGACCTCCAACTCCACAAGTCCAAACTGTGCCAGGACCTCCCACTCAAACCTGCTCTTTTCACCCACCTCCCAGCTGGGGACTCAGCCACTTCACCCTCCTGCTCCCAGGCCAGAAGCCCCATCTAGCAGCAGGCCCTGTCCCCTTACCCTGCAGGATGGAGGCAGAATCTGACCACCCCTGGTCCCAGCCACCATCGGAGTCTACCTGCGCCCCTTCCCGCTCAGTGCAGCTGCCTTTGTGCTTTTGTACTCTGGGACCCTCTTGCTCAGAGCAAAAGCCAGTGTTCTTACAAGGCCTCCAGGACCCCACAGATCTGTGAGCCGGAGCCCAATCTCAAGCAGCCCTGCTTTGGAGAGAGACATGTGTGCAAGAGCCCTGGGGTCCCTGGTGGAGGAGGGCAGCCACCTCGGACCTCCGACCCAGCCCGGCCTCCTGAGGATGGAAGTCTCAGAGGGAGACCAGCGGGCAGGTAGAGCGGTCGCAAGCTGACCTTGCTGAGTCCCCAGTTCCTGCACACAGAGTTGTGAGCAATACTAGGGTTTTGTGTGAAGCCACTAAGCTTGGGAAGCCGGCAGCACCTGATGTATTGCACACTTAGCTGCTTAGTTATTTTTCAGTCCCCACCCTGTCCTCTAGAATTACAGCTCCTCAAGGGCAGGGACTTGACTTCGCTCCCTGATGAGTCCCCAGCACCTAGACTGGTGTTTGACCAGTGACTGAGGCACTTGGTAGATATTTAGCTTATTTGAGTATTAACTGAAGAAATGGCAATGGGGCATGTTGCCAGGCACTTGGCTGCTGGCAGACCTCAGGAAATGTTGCCATCAGGTCTCTCGGGGGTGCTGACAACAAGGCCCAGCCCCGCCAATGCCAGGGGAGGAGGCAGCCACCCTCCCTCCCAGGCCTGGGCTGGCCGGCAGAACCCATGCCTAGCTCCGATGGCAGAGGCATCAGCTGCCTCTCATCTGTCTCCTCAGTTCACCTTCTGCTTCTCTGACTCTCTAATAGTCCCTTAATTGACCATTTGGCCCCTAAATTAGGGGCGATTAGGATCAACCCCCAAGCATCATTTCAGAAGGCAGCCAGGGGCCTGAAGCCCCTCTTTGGGGTCCTGGGGGTCCCTCGACTTGGTCAAATAAAGGTCAGCCCTCTGGCTTGGCATGGGTACCTTGGTAACCTCTGACCCTCAGCTCTTAAACCTGACCCCTGGTGATTCAGACCCGAGGTACTCACTGCAAATGGCCAACTAGGAAACACCCGAGGATGCAGTATGGAGACAGCTCCTCATGTGCCCGCAACCTGCAGAGCATCCCCCTGCAGCCAGCGTTCTGCTGGTCACTCTTTCTTTATGCACATAAGCTCCCAAGGTACAGAAAGGCATGCAGATACCACAGCCAGCACAGGAGGACCTCAAAACCCCATCTCATGGATTTGAGGCTCATCTTGCAGCAGTCGCTATTGTTGCCGTTCCAACCTCCTACCTGCTGCCTGGACCTAGGCAACTCTGCAAACATCTGCAAGCCTCAGTCTCCTCTTCTGCAAAACACGGACAGTCATAGCACCTGCAGTTTTGTAGTGTTGTTCTGAGGGTCATATGGCACAAGGGGCATGTCATTCTTTCTACACATGAGAAAGAGTGAATCCAAGCTCCTGGGCTCTAGAGCCATTGTCTCTCCCAGTTCCCAAGCCGGCCCCACCAATCAGGCTGGAGAAACCTCGGTGAGCTTAACTGGCCCAGGGAACGTCCAGGGTCCCACTGTTCTGGCAGTCTTTCTCCTGGGCTTGTGTGCAAGACAGTGCGCATAAGTGTGTGCACACGTGGGGGCATTTCTCTGGGCAGCCCGCATCCATATGCACACACACACACACACACACACACACACATGCCCAGGCAGGCCAGCCTGGTACAGCTGTGCAGGTTACACCCTGTGCCAGGGCCCCTCCTGGATGATGCCCATCTTCCCACAGCCTGCCAAGCTGCATGTCCAGAGCAAGGGGCATCTTTTTCTCTGTTGCAGATACTGCAAGTGCAGAGCACCTGCCAGCCTTCCCCTCCTGGTGATGCCCATCTCTCTCAAAGTCTTGACTCTGGCTTCCTCGACTCCCAGTCCCACACCTCACACTTGTGTTTCCAGCTGTAGGATGCTCCCTGGCTCCTGTTCCATGACTTCTCCCTCTCATCAGCTGCCCTCAGTTCAGGGCCCTCAGCCCTAGGGTGTGCCACCCCCATCATGGCTCTGACCGCCCAGTACCTGCCCTGCTTATCTGCGGTGCCCTCCATGGGCAGGCAGGGCCAGTGCAGTGCAGCAGTTGGACAGGTGAAACTCTTGCCCTGGTCTCCACGTCCCTGGGCCTGGCCTGGACAGACAGGCTGGGCCACCCCCTGGGAGCAGGAGGGGCATGTGTTCTGCATCCAGGCTGGCTCTGTCCAGGAGATGCCTCCGAGCCAGGCCCACCACTAGCACCCATCCGGCGCCTTGGAGAGCAGCCCGTCAATCAATGGAGGATGCAGTTGTGTGGTCTTTGAGCTGGCCCAGGACAAACGCCTGACGCAAGGCTAAATGGGGACCATCATAGCACCTGCAATTTTGTCGTGTTGTTCTGAGAGTCATATGGCACGATGGGCATATCATTCTGCCCATATCATTCCACCTCTGAAACATTTCTGTGAGGCAGGGAGAGCCACACGCCCTGTCCCCGGGAGCTCCTGGGCAGCACCCCCTCAGAAGCCAAAAATCCCAGAGAAGATGGATGCCCGCAGTGGGGCAGCAGGATGGCACGAGCTGGAGGCCTTGGGTCCCAGCTCTGCTTGGCCTCGGAGAGTCAGGCTTGCTCTCTGGGCCTCAGTTTTCCCTCAGAAACACAGGGTTCCTTCCCCCTCTGATGGTGGATGTGGCCGGGACATTGCAGACAGTAAGTAGGTGCACCCCAAGCATGAAATGGAGGCCTCAGCTCCCCACGGGAAGGGGATGGGGATGGATATGTCTGTATATTCCAGGTAGTGAGTGCAGGTGTTAGCCAGTGCTTATCGGGTTACCTCGGAATCTAAACCGTTCCCAGGGCCCACGCCCAGCGCCAGCGCTCCCCATAGGTTTATTCACACCTGGAAGCTGCAGGCGCTTGATGTGGTCCCTCTGATGTGCGTGCGCTCTGAAACCTAAACCCCCTTTGCTGCAGGCCTACGGAGACTCCGCAGGTGCCCAGGGAGAGGCCCCGGCAGGGGAGGCACCCTGTCCACCCTGACTCACAATGTCCTGGGGTGCCTGCTGTCCGGCCCGTTCCACTGGGGTCTTGTCTGCGTCCACTTTTCCTCCAGGTTCCTCTCCCTCTCCTGGGGCCCGAGGGCCATCACCCCGTGGAATGCCGCACCTTGGGAAAGGAGCAGCCTCCAATGACCTGGCTTGTGCTTTTCCCGAGCCTCCCAGCTGCCTCCCACCTCTGAGCAATTTATGGGGTCACGAACCACCTCAAGGGTGCAATTCCTTGTCCTGGTGCCAATTGGCCTCCAAAGTGCTTTACAACCTGCTTGTAGCACCGAGAAAGGGAACCAGCCCCCTGGATGGCCCCGAAACCATGGTGGCCCCGCCATTTGGCACCCAGGGCCATGGAGGCCTGGAATCTGCCCTAAGCCCAGCCACTGTGACAGCCGCTTCCTCCTTTCTGACTGCATTCCAGTCATATATGGTCATTCTTTACAGAAAAGCATCGAAGGGCGTAGCTCTTCAGAGGGACAGGAGCGTGAATCCCACTGTCTCTTCCTTCAGGTTTGCAGGTGTGAAAAGGGGACAACAAAAGCTATTCTTCAAAATTGTCACGAGGTTGAAATTAGATGACAGCTGTCAAGCAATGGCCCGTCGCAAACACTTCATAAATGGTGATGGTTTTATTAACATCAAAGTGGAAATGGCCAGGAATCTCACCTTCCAGAGATAGGCATGGCTACCTTTTTATGGTCTCTCCTTGCATACTTTTTCCTTCTTCTGTCCTGGAAAATCTCAGGCATACTGAAAAGTGCAAAAAAAGCACACAGCAGTTTTTTGTTTTTTGTTTGTTTGTTTGTTTTGAGATGGAGTCCTGCTCTGTTGCCCAGGCTGGAGTGCAGTGACACGATCACAGCTCACTGCAACCTCCGCCTCCTGGATTGAAGTGATTCTCCTGCCTCAGCCTCCTGAGCAGCTGGGATTACAGGTACATGCCACCGCATCCAGCTAATTTTTATATTTTTAGTAAAGACAGGGTTTCACCATGTTGGCCAGGCTGGTCTCGAACTCCTGACCTCAGGTGATCTGACCACCTTGGCCTCCCAAAGTGCTGGGATTATAGACATGAGCCACCACACCTGGCCCACACGGTGGTTTTGTGAATAATTTTAAAGTGAAAATTCACAGAACCAATGGCCCTGCAAGAGACAGACCCCAACCAGCATACAGAAGCCTCTCCCATCCCTTCTGAGCCCAGCCGATCCTTCTCTCCTCAAGGGAACCACCGTTCTGACTTAGCTCTGCTTTCTTTATAGCTTTACAGCCTAGATACTCCTCTCTAAAAAATGTCCTTTTTTACTTTTCCCCGTGTGTAGGTCTTGCCTTTTCCCTCTTCATTATATTTGTGAGATTTATTCATGTGAATGAGTGAACTTGTACTTGTTTTCTTTTTCCTTGCTGTATCACATTCCACAGTGTGAATGTGCTATTAGGTTGGTGCAAAAGTAATTGCAGTTTTTGCCATTACTTTCAATGGCAAAACCCACAATTACTTTTGCATCAACCTGATACAATTAATTCAGCCATCTCCCCATAGAGAGACAGGTGGGCTGTCCTAATCTGGAGCTGTTGGAACCTGGCTGCTCAGAACACCTTGGTCCTGAGGGGAATTCACCCAGCAGTCATACCGCACTCAGACCTTCAACTTTATCAAATGATGCCAGCCTGGCTAGGCGTGGTGGCATGCACCTGTAGTCCCAGCTACTTGGGAGGCTGAGGCAGGGGGATCACTTGAGCCTGAAAGGTCGAGGCTACAGTAAGCTGAGATGATACCACTGCACTCTGATTTTTAAGCAGACAATTTTGCTCTGCAGATATGTATAGATCTTTGAAAAGGAAAGTTAGATACAAAAATTAGCCAGACATGGTGGTGGGAGCCTGTAATCCCGGCTACACAGAAGGCTGAGGCAGGAGAATCGCTTGAACCTGGGAGGCGGAGGTTGCAGTGAGCTGAGATCGCACCACTGCACTCCAGCCTGGGCAACAAGAGTGAAATTCCATCTCAAAAAAAAAGAAAAAAGAAAAGAAAAGTTGGGGTTAGTATGTGGCTACACAGATGTCAAACAAAAAGGTTTTCCTATAAATGCTGTGTGTGCAGAGAACACTCTTTTTTTTTTTTTTTTTTTTTTTGAGATGGAGTCTCGCCCTGTCACCCAGACTGGGGTGCAATTGCAATGGCATGATCTCGGCTCACTGCAACCTCCGCCTCCCAGGTTCAAAGGATTCTCCTGCCTCAGCCTCTGGAGTAGCTGGGATTGCAAGCGCCCGCCACCATGCCCAGCTAATTTTTGTATTTTTAGTGGAGACGGGGTTTCACCATGTTGGCCAGTCTGGTCTCAAACTCCTGACCTCAGGTGGTCTGCCCACCTCGGCCTCCCAAAGTGCTGGGATTACAGGCATGAGCCACGGCGACTGGCCCACATAGAACATTCTTAGGCACATACAACAAAAATCTGTTAACAGCAGGGATACTGAGAGCGGTGGGGGAGCTGCTTTCATATTTCATTTTATACCCTCTTCATGGTTTAACATAAATATGGCTCACACTGAGCATGTTTGTTTTGGGCTCATATGGCAGGTGATGTTCTGAAGCCTGGTTTTATGGAATGCCAGGGACATCTGTCTATGTCAGCAAGCACACCTTGCTACTGACTGGCACAGCCACTCATGGTTTGGGTACCAAAGTGTCCCCAGAGACTGGACATTGAGGTTGGTTCCAATGTTTCACTATGATAAACAAGAGTGTAATCTATTTATCCAGACAGACATTTTCACCCACTCAGGTGACCTCCCCCACCCAACTTCCAGGTGTTTTTTTTTTTTCTCTCTCTCTCCTGGGGCAGAGTCTCTCGCTCTGTCACCCAGGCTGGAGTGCAGTGGCGCAATCTTGGCTCGCTGCAACCTCCGCCTCCCAGGTTCAAGCGATTCTCCTGCCTCAGTCTCCCAAGTAGCTGGGATAATAGGTGCGCACCACTATGCCCGACTAATTTTTGTATTTTTAGTAGAGACGGGGTTTCACCATGTTGCCCAGGCTGGTCTCGAACTCCTGACCTCAAGTGATCTGCCCACCTCGGCCTCCCAGTGTGCTGGGATCACAGGCGTGAGCCACCATGCCCTGCTGTATTTTTCAAACATTATAAAAGTTCTGCACAGTCTTTAGAGAAAATTTGAAAATTAGGAAAAAACTAAAGAGAAGAGCCCACCAGGAGCTCCCCACCAATGACCCGATGTGCTGGGCTTGTGTTTTTTCCTGAATTGGGAGCCACTTCTGCACTGAGGTCTGCATTCTAGGTCACAGTCTTCCTCACTGCTCAGAACCCAGGCAGAGTGGCCCTGGAAAACCCCACCATGATCTTCTCACCCGGGGTTAAAGGTAGTCTGGGCTTCATCATCTCTGGTGACAAGCCCAAGCCTGCACCCAGTGCAGTTCACCCTGAGCCCCTCTCCCTGGCGTGCTGGGCTAGCCAGGAGCTCAGAAAGTTTCTCTTTCTCCTACTCCATCTCCCCCGAACCCGACTTCACTCATGCCACAGATAACCATCGATCACCTCCAGTGCTCCAAGCGCTGAACTAATGCTGGAGAAACAGCAGTACTCAGGAGGACAAGGGGCCTGCCTGCCCCTGTGAGGTCACACTCCTGCTTCTCCAGCAGGAGAAGCACAGAGTCACTAAATGCACAAATAAAGAAGTCAGGCCCCCAGCACTTTGGGAAGCCGAGGCAGGCGGACTGCATGAGGTCAGGAGTTTGAGACCAGCGTGACCAACATGATGAAACCCCGTCTCTACTAACAATACAAAAATTAGCCAGGTGTGGTGGCGGGCATCTGTAATCCCAGCTACTTGGGAGGCTGAGGCAGGAGAATCGCTTGAACCTGGGAGGCGGAGGTTGCAGTGAGCTGAGATTGCACCATTGCACTCCAGCCTGGGCGACAAGAGCGAAACTTTGTCTCAAAAAAAGAAAAGAAGAAGAAGAAAGAAGGAGAAGCAGAAGAAGTGGAGGAGGAGGAGGAGGAGAAGGAGAAGGAGAAGTCAGGGCAGGCGCAATGGCTCATGCCAGAACTTTGGGAGACCAAGGCAGGAGGATTGCTTGAGGCCAGGAGTTTGAGACCAGCCTGGGCAACATGGTGAAACCCTACCTCTACCAAAAATACAAAAATTAGCTAGGCATGGTGGCATGCAACCATAGTCTCAGCTATTCAGGAGGCTGAGGCGGAGGATCACCTGAGCCTGAAAGGTTGAGGCTATAGTGAGCGGAGATCACACCACTGCACTCCAGCCTGGGTGGGTGACAGAGCGAGACCCTGTCTCAAAGAAGTCAGGTCATGTAGCATTGGAGCCAGAAGTCAGGCACTCTGGAGTCTGTTCTTTCCCTACCTCTACCCTTTGGTTGAGCCCCCCAGGCCGCCATGTCACACCATCTTCCATCTGTCCACCAACTGTGTAGTTGTGCAGTGCGAAGCCTGTGCCACTGTGCACAGCAGCCTTGTACAAGGGCCCTTGTCCTCCCTGGACCCTTCATCTCGCAGAGACCAGGAATCTGATAAACAAAGGTTCCTAAGGCCTGGTGTCTGCCAGTCCACCCTTCCTGGAAGTTTCTATAATACAGAAAAAGCCCGCTGGAAGGGTACCACTCTGCCCTCTGATGGCCTGTCTGGGTTATGGGGAGGTGCAGCGAGAGAAAAACAGCACCTGCCGCGTGCCAGGTCCAGGGCTGGGTGTTTCCGGGCTGCTTTCATTTACTCTTCAGCGTGGCTCTGCTTTATGGGTGAGGAAACTGAGGCTCAGAGAGGACAAACAGCATCGCAAACCTGGTCAGTGGCAGACCCAGGAGCACAGCAGCTTTGGCAGCCGGTCTGTGGCCTGTAAAGGGGGTGCCCTCCCCCTTTGGCTGAAGCACAGGTGGCGATCCCCAATTTGTTCCCTGCCCATTAACAGCCCGACCTCTGAACCATATTGGGCATTAAGGAATTAGAGCTGAGATTGCCACCTTTTGGGAGCTGACACCCCTATTCTTATGTAACCCCGCCCCGCCTCCTCCGTCCCTCCAAGTGTCGGCTGGCAAACATCTGTCCTGTAAATCAAAGCACTTGCGGACTCGCCAGGTTTGACAGGTCTCCGAGAATTTCATGGAGCCCTTTGGAGAAGACACCATCATGGGCTGCGAACGCATTTGAAAAAGTTAAAAGCCTCCTTCGCAAGCACAAAGTGTCCCAGAGAGCCTGGCTCCAAGAGGTCACAGCCCTGGGCAGCCAAGCCAGTGAGCCAGGGAGCGGTGGATTCCATCCCAGGGGGCAGCTCCTCTGACCCTCTAAGGAAAACATCGGGGAGGTTCCGGCTGGAGGATCTTGAGTAGAAAGCCATTGTGCAGGAGCCCCGGGGATTTGTTTGGGAGGAAGGTGACATTCGGGGACGGGTAAGACAGCGCTGTCTGCACACCTTTGACCACTGAAGCTGCACGATGTCCCTGCATGTGGTCGCTCGCTGCTGACTGATGGGAGTCACTCAACCACACCACAGGCCTCCTTTGTCCTGGCCCCAAGTTAACATTTTAAAAATATCTCTTCCTGGTTTAATAGCTTCTGTGCTGTGATGATAAAAGTGATCCATTTTCAGTGTAGGAAATGCAGGAAAAAAGAGACAGATAAAAATAAGGACAGAATGGGTGTATTCTCTTACTTTTAAAAAAATGGACCAGAATGTGTGTTTTTTTCTTTTCTTTTTTTTTTTTTTTTTTTTTTTTGCTTTTACAGAACCAATTTTACTGTAGAGCTGGGTGTCCTGCTGTTTGTACCTTGCCTCACATGGTGACAATTTTTATCGGGGGCCTAATAGTTTGAATGAACTCTTCTTCATGTAACCCATTGTTCAATGGGTTAAATGGGCCATCCTGGCCAGGCTGGTATCGAACTCCTGACCTCAAGTGATCTGCCCGCCTCAGCCTCCCAAAGTGCTGGGATTACAGGAGTGAGCCACCATACCTGGCCCCAAGTTTCAGTTTTTAGAAATAAAGTTTTATTGGCACACAGACATGCACATTCGTGAATGCATTGCCTGTAGCCACTTTCATGCCCCAACAGCAGCGTTGAGGAGTTGTGAGAAAGGCCTACGGCCCTCAAAGCTGAAATTTACTATCTGGCCCCTTACAGAAAAAAGTTGCACAAAACTGGACAAAACTGGGCCCTAATGAGCATCTTTGCATATTTCTTTAAGGAATTTCTTTTTTTTTTTAGACAGAGTCTTGCTCTGTTGCCCAGTCTGGAGTGCAGTGGTGTGATCTCAGCTCACTGCAACCTCTACCTCCTGGGTTCAAGCTATTCTCCTGCCTCAGCCTCCTGAGTAGCTGGGATTACAGGCATGTGCCACCACACCCAGCTAATTCGTTTGTATTTTTAGTAGAAACGGGGTTTCACCATATTGGCCGGGCTGGTCTCGAACTCCTGACCTCATGATCCGCCCGCCTCAGCCTCCCAAAGTGCTGGGGTTACAGGCGTGAGCCACCGCGCCCGGCCTAAGGACTTTCTTTATGTTAAACTCCTAGAAGTAGAATTGTGTGGTTAAAGAGGATGAACAGTTTGAAGCGTATTCGTTCATTGAATCAGCTCACTTTGTGCTGATCCTGTGCCAGGGTGGGAGCTGCGGCGGACCCCATGAAGCCAGGCCCTGCTCTCCTCAGCTTGTCTCATTCCGAGAAAGCCAGGCAACAGTTGGCAAAGTCTATGGGCATTGGGCAGAGTCTCCTGGGACCTGGCAGGTACTCTGGACTCATCGTGATCACAGTGTGGCTTCCCACAGGAGTGGACTGGGATGGATGCTGCAGGGGTTCTGCCAGGCTGGAGACCCTCGCCGATTCACTCCTCCACCCACTGGCCTCAGGAGAGGCTGCTCCCCCGACACCTAGGAACCTCTACCTAGCAGGACTTCTCAGATAAGCCTCTGTCAGTTTGCTAAGTAAGAGGAAGGCTTCTCCCTCCAGTTTGAACATTCTTATCCTCGTTGGCTATGTGTATTTCTTCTTTTGCAAACAGTTCCTCACGACTTTCCAGGTGAACTTGGGAAGTTGTTGGATGATTTTGCAGAAAATAGGGGTGGGTGGAAAGGAAGCCAAACCTCCATCCTCACCCCTGCTCGATTCTTCATGGAGTTTGTTTCTGGATGCACCGTCCTCAGGAGGGAGAGTTAGCAAACTGCACCACCGTCTCCACTTCCAAGGGAAGTCAAGGGTCAGGTCCCAAACGGGGGTGGTCTCATCCGATGGGAACAACCAGGCTGCAGTTGCTAGGGACCTGGGGAGCAGCTTTGCAAGCCTGCCAGGCCAAGAGGGGATGGTGTCAATGAGCCCATCGGCTCCCGGGGTGCCTGGAGCTGGGCCCCTCAGTGAACCAACATCAAGAAATGTCCCTGGCCCTCTGCTGGGAGGACCCCTCCGAGTCCATCCTCAGGGGCATCTGGACCTGCCATCTCCCTCCAAGCTGCCTCTGTCCAAGGTCCCCCAGGCCCGCTCAACCGGTGTGCTCCCTGCAGATGTGCTCCCCACAGTGTGTGCTCGGTGGTGTAGTTTGCTAACTCTCCCTTCTGAGGACGGTGCATCCAGAGACAAACTCCATGAAGAATCAAGCAGGGGTGAGGATGGAGGTTTGGCTTCCTTTCCGCCCACCCCTATTTTCTGCAAAATCATTCAACAACTTCCCAAGTTCACCTCGGGGACACTGTGGGGACCCACTGCCCACTCCCCCTCTCTGGGGAGCAGAGGAGCTCCTGGGGTTGGGGCCCGTGTGCTGAGAAGGTTGAGCATTGACTCACGGAGTCAGCTGAGTGATGCCCCCCAAGATGTGTGTCCCTCCAGAACCTGTGGGAGTCACCTAACTTGGAAAAGGGTCTTTGTGCATGACATTAAGTGAAGGATCTCAAGAAGAGATGATCCCGGATTGGACAGGGGGCACTGAGTTAGACGATGAGAGTCCTGAAAAAAGAAGATGTCCACAGAAGAGAAAGACGGAGCAAGAGTTTAGACACAGAAAGCAGGGAAGGAGGAGGCCGACACCTGGGGCCGGAGAGCAGGAGGCATCCTCCCTTGGGCCCCAGGAGCCCTGACCCCGCCAACATCTTGATTTCTGACTTGCAGCTTCCAGCTCGGTGAGAGCAGAAATCTCTTGCTTAAGCCGCCATCTGTGATCATTGTCGCAGGAGCCCCAGGGGACTCATCAGAGTCCCGCGGTCGGCTGTGAGTCCCCACCCTGCAGCTGAAGAGCTGTGTGGCCTCAGGCAGGAAAACCTGCCCCCTCGTGGGCTGGTGTGAGACTGGCAGTCATTCGCTTGCTCATTAAAGCCTGAGGGGCCAAGGTGCCCGGTGGGCGGCCCCTGCTGTTCTCACGACCTGACCGGGAAAGCCAAAGCATGCTGCTACTGCTCAGAAGAGCCCTGAGCACTTGATGCCTGGCAGGTGGGGTGCTCCCTTGGGGTCTTCAGGGGTACTGGAGGCGCCCCAGCTGCCACTACACCCCACAAGACCCCAGCTCAGCTCAGCAGAGCCCAGAGCTCAGCTGAGTCTCATAAGGATGTCACATAAAGATTCAGGGTCATTGGTGCCAAGTTCAAGAGGAGCAGAGACTGTGACTCCAACTGTCTTGTGTGGAAGCTTCTAGAAGAAACCCTTAAAACAAACAGAGCCATGGGAATCAGATGCTGGAGATGGAAGAGGAAGCACTGCCCACACAAGCCAGGTTTTCCACACTGGCGGGGTCACCCCATCCTGGCTTGACTCTCCTTGCCAGCCTCTCCACGAGGGACACCCCATAACCCACCCACTAACTGACCTCTGGGAATCAGGCTGGGCACAGGCTGACTGCACCACCATAAATGAGGTTTAAATGGAAATCCACGTGTTTCCCACTCTGGCCATGGGACCTGTGGGAATAAGCCCCTAGCTGCAACCAGGACCATGGACTTAATCCCAGCAAAAGACCCCAAGCCCCAGTAGTGACGGCAATGAGCAGTGTACAGGGAGAGGCAGGAAGGAGGAGGAGGGAGGCGGGAGGAGGAGGAGGGGAGGGTGAGAGTCAGAGAGGGGAGGAGGGAGGAGGAGGAGAGGAGGGAAGAGGAGGGGAGGGAGGAGAGGAGGATGGAGGAGGAGGAAAAGAGGAGGGGAGGAGGGAGGAGGTGAGAAGGGGAGGGGAGAGAAGGAAGGAGACTGGAGGCAGTGAGGAGCAAGGAAGGAGGAGCTCTTTTTCACTCTCCACTGGCCAAGGCTGACAGCCCCTTCACCTCAGTGCTCTCATCTGTAGAATGGGGCTGTGCTAGATCCTGCACACACACAGCCTGGACCAGGCACTTGCATCTGTTCCCTGTCCCATAGAGGGCCTGAAACAAGAAGCATGATGGTGGAGGAGGGATGGCAAGGGTTCAGGGCAGGCACCATCCTGGAGCAGAGGGTTGAGGAGCTGACGGGAGTTCCTTGCAAGGAGGCAAAGCATGGCAAGTCTTGGGGGGACTGGAAGCCCTGGCTGGGGCTTTGGGAAGAGGCCCCTCCTAGTCCAGCCCCCCACATCCCAGCCGCTTGGCCTGGCTCCCTCTGGCCACCCTCTGCAAGCCCGTGTCCATCCTGTTTCCTAGGTGGGGAAACTGAGCCAAGGACTTGTCCCAAGGCACACAGTGGGAGCCTGTGGCAGGAATCCTCCAGCCCCCTTGATCTGTGGTGCATGCAGCCAGAAACCCTAGCCAGAGCTGAGCCCAGAGCATCTGTTTAAATGCCTTAAAGCAGGAACATCCCTGGCCTGCTGGAAAGGCAAAGCTAGAAGGAGGCTGAAGCCCCCTCTTTCTCTGCCCTTCTCTTTCCCTCCCTCCCACCCTTCTCCCCTCTACTGAAGGAGATTCATCACACCTATGCCCTGCCAGGGCTATGCTGGGCCCAGGGGAGGCAGGAGTGACCAAGACACACACACGTGTGTGAGACCATGGAGCTTACAGACACTAGGCAGAGGCAGACCATGGGCAGATAATTCCATAGATGATTATTTTAAGGCAATTATAGCAAGTGCTGCAAAGGAGACAAGGGCTCTTCCTGAGCCTTTCTGAGCTTCTATCTGCTCTTCTGCAACATGGAGAATGAGCCATCAGAGCCGCTGCTGCAAGAACTACGCAGCACACGCATACACACATGAGCACACATTTGTGTATACTCATGCACACACATGTGCACATATGAGCACATGCACTCACACAAATGTACACAATGGCACATACGTACACATACTCAAATGTGCACACACACATGAGCACGCGTTTGTGTATACTCACGCACACACATGTGCACACATGAGCACATGCACTCACACAAATGTACACAATGGCACATGCGTACATATAACCAAATGTGCACACACACACACAAGCATGCACACACACACACACACACACACAGAGTCTGGCCTCAAGAGGGCCTTCAGCTATACGGTGCCTCTCATTAGTAAGAAAACAGTTGCAGAAAGCTCTGGATCACCGGATGCGGGAGCTGGCCTTCTCAAGATCTCTAGTCCTAAAGGGGCTATTCTCTGTGGCCTGGGCGTGGATTGGCCTCTCAGCTTCGTACTTGAGAGTGACTTCAGATGGGACGCTGACTCCTCCATGCTGAAGAAGACCCAACAACCAAGTTTGTAAAAAACTTTTCTGTTAAAAAAACAAAACAAAACACAAAGCATAACTTCTGACCCGAAAGGAAGCTGGCGATTGAGAAAAGACTGAGCCCCCGCATCCTTGATCAGGGCAGGATGAGGACAGAGTGATGAGCTTGGGTCACTCCCCAGGGACCGGCTGCCTCGGAAAATATGCCCTCCGCCTGTCACATTGGGCATGCAATATGAATCCCCTGACATGCCCCACGGGGACCCAGAATAGCTCGACTTTTCTCCTCTGCACCGTCTTTGGTGCTGGGCCTCGCCGCGTGGGTCGGCGTGTAGCCTCTTGAGCCTCGGTTTCCTGCTCTGGGAGCTGGGGCCAGTGACGGTCACCCGAGTGCCGAGTGCCTGCGCAGAGTGTTGCAGGCTTCCACAGGAGCATGTCTGGAAACCAGTGTGTGAGCTGCACACGCCTGCCCATCGCAGCTGAGGGCTCTGGCGAATAAGACACAGGCAGGTACCAGGCAGGTGGGTTGGGTTTCTTCCCCTCCATTTTTTTATTATTTTGAAAAATTTCAAACCCACAGAGGAGTCTCGAGAATAGTCTGACAAAACCTGTACAGCCTCCACCTCCACTCCCCTGCACCCCACCCCTTCTGCGTTCACTCTCATCACACACACCTATGCACACATATGGATTTTCCTGGGCCATTTGGAAGTTAGTTGTGGCATTTTCTCTCCAAATACTTCTCCCCTTCCTTCCTTCCTCCCTCCCTCCTTCCTTCTCCTTCCTTCCTCTTTCTTTCCTCCCTTCCTTCCTTCCTTTCCTTCCTTCCTCCCTCCCTCCCTCTCTCTTTCTTTCTTTCTTTCCTCCCTTCCTTTCTTTCTTTCTTTCTTTCTCTCTCTCTCTCTCTCTTTCTTTCTTTCTTTCTTTCTTTCATTCTCCCTCTCTCTCTCTCTCTCTTTCTTTCTTTCTAGATGGAGTCTCACTCTGTCACCCAGGCTGGAGTGCGGTGGCACAATCTCAGCTCACTGCAATCTCTGCCTGCCGGGTTCAAGCAATTCTCTGTCTCAGCCTCCTGAGTAACTAGGATTATAGGCACCCACCACCACACCCAGCTAATTTTTGTATTTTTAGTAGAGACAGGGTTTCACCATCTTGGCCAGGCTGGTCTCAAATTCCTGACCTGAGGTGATCCACCTGCCTCGGCCTCCCAAGGTGTTTTTTTTTTTTTTTTTTTCTTGAGACGGCGTCTCTCTTTGTCACCCAGGCTGGAGTGCAGTGGCCCGATCTCGACTCACTGCAAGCTCCACCTCCCGGGTTCACGCCATTCTCCTGCCTCAGCCTCCCGAGTAGCTGGGACTACAGGCGCCCGCCACCACGCCGGGCTAATTTTTTGCATTTTTAGTAGAGACGGGGTTTCACCACATTAGCTCGGATGGTCTCGATCTACTGACCTCGTGATCTGCCCACCTCAGCCTCCCAAAGTGCTGGGATTACAGGCATGAGCCACCGCGCCTGGCCTGCACTTGTTTCTTACAAGGACATTCACTATGCCATCCTGATACATACGAGCAGCAAGCCTGCAAGTTCAACCATTATGAGGGCTGCTACCAACTCCCACTCCATAACCAAGCCCCCCTGAGGGTCTCAGTGTCTTAGTGAGGTCCTAGCTGTTTCCTTTCTTTTTCTTTTTTCTTTTTATTTTATTTTCTTTTTTCTTTTCTTTTCTTTTTTTTTTTTTTGAGGTGGGGTCTCACTCTGTTGCCCAGGCTGGAGTGCAGCGACACGACCTGGGCTCACTGCAACCTCCGCCTCCCAGGCTCAAGCGATTCTCCTGCCTCAGCCTCCCCAGTAGCCACCGTGCCCAGCTAATTTTTATATTTTTAGTAGAGACAGGATTTCACCATGTTGGCCAGGCTGGTCTCGTGCTCCTGACCTCAGGTGATCCACCCGCCTTGGATTCCCAAAGTGCTGGGATTACAGGCGTGAGCCACTGTGCCCGGCTGCTTCCTTTCTTTTTATATGATTTCTTTTTATTGAGGTGAAATTCACATAACGTAAAATTAACCATTTTAAAGTGTACAATTCACCATGGCATTTAGTACCTTCCCCCAAACTCCCTTTATCAAGTTTCTAGACTTCTTCATCACCCCAAAAGAAAGCCCCTGACTCATGAAACAGTCACCCCTGTTCTCCTTTCCCAACCTCTGGCAACCTCCAATCTGCTTAGGCAGGGATTTTTCATAAGATCTCTTCTAAGTGTGGGGTTTTATTATTTAAAAATAGTTTACTACAAATTGGCCGGGTGCGGTGGCTCACGCCTGTAATCCCAGCACTTTGGGAGGCTGAGGCGGGCGGATCACGAGGTCAGGAGATGGAGACCATCCTGGCTAACACGGTGAAACCCCGTCTCTATTAAAAATACAAACAA
Organism: Homo sapiens; assembly: GCF_000001405.40. Taxonomy (NCBI): domain Eukaryota; kingdom Metazoa; phylum Chordata; class Mammalia; order Primates; family Hominidae; genus Homo; species Homo sapiens. Next base: position 69,713,557 of record NC_000011.10, on the reverse strand, counting down.
ATTAGCTGGGCGCAGTGGCAGGCGCCTGTAGTCCCAGCTACTGTGGAGGCTGAGGCAGGAGAATGGCATGAACCCGGGAGGCAGAGCTTGCAGTGAGCCAAGATAGCGCCACTGCAGTCCGGCCTGGGTGAGAGAGCAAGACTCCTTCTCAAAAAAAAAAAAAAAAAGACTTTATTACAAATTAAATGTGGAACTCCGCCATGTGTGTGCTTATTTTAGGGGAGGGAAGGGATGCTGTTTTTAAGTACTTCCAGCCTCTTCGCTGCAGCCGGGTGGCTGGACGTCTTCGGGCAAACCCTTTCTTTGCTTATTTTGCTTAGGTGACGATAAAGGGCTTGGAGGAAATCTTTGTTTTGTTTTGTTTTTGAGACAGGGTCTCATCCCATCACCCAGGCAGGAGTGCAGAGGTACGATCATGACTCACTGCAGCTTCGACCTCCCAGCCTCGAGCCATCCTCCCACCTCAGCCTCCTGAGCAGCTGGCATTACAGGTGCACACCGCTACACCTGGCTAATTTTTTAAAAAATTTTGTAGTGATGGGATCTCCCTATGCCCAGGCTGGTCTCAAACTCCTAGACTCAAGTGATCCTCCTGCCTCGGCCTGGCGAACTGCTGGGATTACAGGAGTGAGCCGCCACACCTGGCTGAGGAAATCCTCTTGAAGGTCCTTTCCAACCCTGGAATTCTGAGCTCATCTATTGCAAATGAGCTGGAGTGACACCCTCCAGACTCATACAAGCTTAGCCTCCGGGAATATCTGTCCGGCCTGCTGATCTCTGGCCAGGCCTGGGGGCAGCTGGACAGGGAGGGAAACCCTGTCCATGAGGCTTCTGCTCGCTGAGTGACCGCAGGCCATGCACTTGGCCTCTCGGAGTCTGCTCATGGTCCCCTTACCCACTGGTGGATCCTACAGCCAGGCAGGCTTCGTGGGCCTCTCACCTGTAAAACGGAACAACACCTGGCTCTCCGCCTTGCTGCAGGGATAACTGCAGGCCACTCCCCGGGGTGAGGCCTTGATACCTCCAAGTTGAGGCGAACAGACTGAATGTGACTCAACTGGAAGTCTCTGTCTTGACTCCCCGCCACCAGATACTGGCGGGTGACTTCCTCCCCTATGAGCCGCGGGATACTGGCGGGTGACTTCCTCTCCTATGAGCCGCCACTGGATACTGGCGGGTGACTTCCTCTCCTATGAGCCGCCGCTGGATACTGGCAGGTGACTTCCTCTCCTATGAGCTGCCACCGGATACTGGCGGGTGACTTCCTCTCCTATGAGCTGCCACCGGATACTGGCAGGTGACTTCCTCTCCTATCAGTGTTCTTGATACGGATAGGAGAGAAATACTGGCATTTACAAAGTCACAGTGATCATGCAAGTGGGGGACTCAGCATCTGGAAGCGGCCCCTGAAATGAAACCGCATGCAGGGGTCAGTTCCCGGAGTGTGTTCTGCTGTGGACCTTGAAGAAAGTTGTTGTTTATGGAAGCCCCATTAGCCCAAAACAGCCCTCAGCAGAAACAGGAACATCAGCCCATATGGGACCTCCCTGCCTGCGTCCCCTGCTGCCCCAAACACACCCCTTCTGCCCAGCTAGAAGCCCTGTTGCTAAGATACCACAGGGCTGGAAGAGATTCGAATTCCTTTTCTTTTTCTTTTCTTTTTTTTGAGACAGAGTCTCACTCTGTCACTCAGGCTGAAGTGCAGTGTCATGATCTCGGCTCACTGCAGCCTCTGTCTCCCAGATTTAAGCGATTCTCCTGCCTCAGCCTCCCGTGTAGCTGGGACCACAGGTGCCTGACACAATGCCCAGCTAAGTTTTTTTTTTTTTTCTGGAGACAGAGTCTTGCTCTATCAGCCAGGCTGAAGTGCAGTGGTGTGATCTTGACTCATTACAACCTCCGCCTCCCGGGCTTAAGCGATTCTCCTGCCTCAGTCTCCCAAGTAGCTGGGACTACAGGCACGCGCCACCACGCCCAGCTAATTTTTGTATTTTTTGTAGAGACGAGGTTTCACCATGTTGGCCAGGATGGTCTCAATCTCTTGACCTCGTGATCCGCCTACCTCGACCTCTCGAAGTGCTGAGATTACAGGTATGAGCCACCGTACCCGGCCATTTTTTTTTTTTTTTTAGTAAAGACGGGGTTTCACCATGTTGGCCAGGCTGGTCTCAAACTCCTGACCTCAGGTGATCTGTCCACCTTGGCCTCCCAAAGTGCTGGGATTACAGGTATGAGCCACTGTACCTGGCCTAATTTTCTCGACATGATGTGTGACCCATCAGAAGTGTCTGGAATGAGTTTGCAGGTGGGACGAATGATCAGTTTGGCAATGGAAGTCAAGGGAGGGCAGGAGGAAGGAGAGACGGGATGAACAAGGAAAGGATGGGCAAGGAGGCCAGTGAGTGCACAGCAATGTCAACACCTTCCAGTTCTTTTTTTTTTTTTTTCTTTTGAGACGGAGTCTGGCTCTGTCACCCAGGCTGCAGTGCAATGGCTCAATCTCGGCTCACCGCAACCTCTGCCTTCCGGGTTCAAGTGATTCTCCTGCCTCAGCCTCCCAAGTAGCTGGGATTACAGGTGCCCACCACCACGCCCGGCTAATTTTTGTATTTTTAGTAGAGACGGGGTTTCGCCATGTTGGCCAGACTGGTCTCAAACTCCTGACCTCAAGTGATCCACCCGCCTCGGCCTCCCAGAGTGCTGGGATTACAGGTGTGAGCCGCCGTGCCCGGCCCTTCCAGTTCTTTTAAATGATTCATCCAATATTTCTTGGCAGCGTCAAGTGCCAGGCTGGCTCCGTGCAGGACACCAGGGTCATGCCCGCAAACTGCGCACTTGTATCCTCACTTCCACAGAGCTTTGTCTGAAGAGGAGACATGTAGGGTCAATTTCCACCCCAAGACATGACGTCCAGGTACCACACAGCAGAGCAGGCGGAGCTGAGGGCTGCACTCAGAAGTGGGGGCTCTCTGGCTATCTTGCTAGAGTCAGCCCAGGGTCTCCAGTGACCACTCTGGGAAGCACATGGGCAGGTCATGGGGCCAAGGAATCGAAGAGTAGGGCCAAGCCCCTAGCTGAGGCTCCGAATTTGGTCAGGGCTCTTAACTTTTTGAAAGAGCAGCTGTTTGGGTTTTCCTTTTTTTTTTTTTTTTTTTTTTCAGTGGTGGATCACAGCTCACTGCAACCTCTGCCTCCCAGGCTCAAGTGATCCTTCCACCTCAGCATCACAAGTAGCTGGGACTACAGACTCACGCCACCACGCCCGACTAATTTTTGTATTTTCTGTAGAAATGGAGTTTCGCCATGTCCCCCGGGCTGGTCTTGAACTCCTGGGCTCAAGTGATCCACCTGCCTTGGCCTCCCAAAATGTTGGGATTACAGATGTGAGCCACTGTACCTGGCCTGGTTTTGCTTCTTTTTTAAAAAAATAAAAAGAGAGTAATGATTAAATAGCTTTGTGACTCAAATTCAGCTAGAACTGCATTCAAATCCCAACTCTGCTGTTTATTGGCTTTATTTGTGACTCTGGGCAAGGAGCAGTTTCTGAGCCTCACTTTGCCCCTCTTTAGAATGGGAGCTATGAGACCCAAATACCGTGAGGCATGTAAACTGCCCAGGACAGTTCTGGGCACTTGGTGTCAGCCATCACTACCACCACCACCATGGCCAGAGGATTTCAAGCACTCAGCAAATGGTGCTGGCCAGGCCTGTCCTGGGATTTCCTAACCATCTCGGACAGAAGAAAGAAAAAAGACATTGTGGAAAGGTGGCTGAGCTTTTGGAGAGAAAAGACCCTCCCTTTGGGCATGAAGTTTGAAGAGCCATCCACTTGTGGAGTCTGGGACTCATCCTTCTCCACGAAAGGTTTATGAAGCAGACAGAGGCCAGGGCTTCTGAGAATTTCCAACCTCGATATTTTCACTTTATGGTTTTTCACGAAGTCAGCATGAACACGGTTAATGTTTTCTCATTAAGCTACTTTTTGTTTTCTTTCAGTAGCTGACATTCAAAGCCTGGGCGCATTCTTTCACGACGTTGCTACTCTGACAGCTCAACACATTCGCGATGGGAACTCATATCTGTTTTGATGAGGGAGACCAGAGGGAAAAGAGCATTCACGTACAGAAATACCCTTTGTGGCTACTTCTGTCAGCTCCTGTCCTCACAGGTGAGAAAAGTAAGGCTCACAGCACAAGCAGGCCCTCCCAGCTAGGGGAGCTCACGTCCTGGGCCTTCTGAACCGGCAGTAAAGGGAGGGCTCCGACTCCAGCTTTGCTATGCCTCATGGTGCCTGCTGGTGGTGGTGCTTACACACCAGGAGCCCCTGTCCCGGGATAAGACACAGCACAGCCTGGATTTACAAGCCCCACTGTTTGGGTTCAAATTCCAACTTCACCACTAACAGGGTGTGCGACCTTGGGTCACTCGGCCACTTTTCTGGGGCCCCCATTTCCCTCCTGCTCCATGGGGAAGGGGGAATAGAATACCATGGGGGCTCTTGCGGAGATTTGAGCTGAGAACATCCATGTGTGCTCAGGCTCACCGCAGATGTCTGGAGGAAGCTGTGCTGCCCTTTGTGTGAACAGAAGCAGGGCAGCTTCCTGAATTCCACCCTTTACACAGGGCCAGGGCCTACCTGGGGGAGAGACGACAGGGCTCAGTAATTCCAAGAGCGGACATGCGCGAGATGCGTCTCCAAGAATGTTCTCCCCTGCATGGTCTGGCAGGGGACGTTGGAAACAACCTAAACGTCCAGCAATAGGGGACAACAGATTGTATCACTCAGATGTGCTGGTGTCAAAGGCTGTGCTAGGATATTTAATCCCAAGGAAAGTGTTTACAACTGAGTTGGTGGAAAGGAGGTTACAATTCAAATGATTTTTTTTTAAGATACATACATACTTTTTTTATTATTATTTATTTTTCAGTATCACTCTGTTGCCCAGGTTGGAGTGCAGCGGTGTGATCTTGGCTCACTGCAACCTCCGCTCCCTGGGTTCAAGCGATCCTTCCACCTCAGCCTCCACAGCAGCTGGGACTGCAAGCATGCGCCACCACACCCAGCTAATTTTTGTATTTTTAGTAGAGATGGGGTTTCACCATGTTGGCCAGGCTGGTCTTGAACTCCTGACCTCAGGTGATCCACCCACCTTGGCCTCCCAAAGTGCTGGGATTACAGGAGTGAGCCACCGCACCCAGCTGAATCTCATTTTTCAAGATGAAAAGAGTTCTGGAGATGGATGGTGGCGGTGATCCACACAGCTTTATGAATGTATTAATTCCTCTGAACTGTACATTTAGAAATGGTTAGGATGGTAAATTTTATGTTGTTTATGTTTCAACACAATAAAACAACTGGAAAAAAAGTATCTATTAATGCTTATTTAAAATTCAGACACAATTTACTTTAGAATTTAATAGAAATTGCTCTGAAAAAAATGCACCTTAATTTTAAGGGAACAGCTCTATTAGTTTTGATAAATGTCATTGCCTGTGTATTCACTACCACAATAAAGATAGAGAACATTTTCATCTTCCATTTATCCTTCTCTGCTTTTTTTTTTTTTTTTTTTTTTTTTTTTTTTTTGAGACAGAGTCTCTCTCTGTTGCCCAGGCTGGAGTACAGTGGTGCGATCTCGGCTCACTGCAACCTCTGCCTCCTGGGTTCAAGCAATGCTCCTGCGTTGGCCTCCCAAAGTGCTGGGATTACAGGCATGAGCCACCACGCCCAGCCTTCTATTTACCCTTTTCTAGTGGATCTCCATCCAGCTTTTTGTCACTATATATCTTTTTCTAGAGTTGCCATTAAATTTTAAAATAAGTAATAAATGTAGCAAAGATCGCCAGAGAGCAGCATTTACAACAGTAACAATAGCTACCCTTCTGTTATGTGCTTTACATGTGCCAGGCTGTCTCTATCTTACAAATATTGGTCACTTGATAGATGGGGATGTCTTTTCTAATGCTCGTATTAACCCTGTAAATTAGCGTTCCTTTTGCTGTTTTACAAATGAGGAAATGGAATCTCAAAGAGGTCTTCCTTCTACTCTGTCACAGTCTCTGCCAATTTCTGGGCTAGCTGGGTGGCCTCATTTCAGAATAACGATGCGTATGGGGGAAGAAATGGCTGTTGGTGAATCAGAAAGTCTTGGGGGAAATAATGCATGTTCTAGCAGGTTGTAGCAAAAATACTGGGCTGAGATTCAGGAGTCCCTGGGTCTCAGCCTCCAGTTGGCCAGGAACCAGCTGTGGGGCGTGGCCTCGATCACCTCAGTGTTCACAGCTCTCTCGGTCCCACGCTACCCTGCAGTTCTTATTTTCTGATAAAGACTTTTACCACACCCAGAAGTTTCTCCAATTACAAAATAATTTTCAATCACAAGGTGGGAGCAGGGGGTTTGGGAGGGGCTCTAGGGAGTGCTTATGTAGAAGAATGCACATTTGACAGCAAAACATACATTTCTAACTGTAAAATGAAAGGAAAACTATGATTTTCATAATGTAAAAATTGGAGGTGAAGCCGAATAAGATGTTCTTAGACACTGGGACACGGGTTTAGAAATGGTGGAAATCACTCATTTGCCATAATCAGGAAGAAGGAACCTCTACACCCTCAGATGGAAGAAGGAAGACTCCAGAAAAAGGATTTACGGTTCTACAGGGCAATTAAATAAAAAAATAAAAAATGAATTAAAAAAAAAAAGCTAACATCAAATCCAGAACAAAGCCAAGCCAAGCCCTTCTGGACACCTGGGCTGGAGACCCCCATACCCCTGCATGGGTGAGCGGGACATCCAGGTGCCTTGGACCCTACCTGCTACCCATTGCCCATGCCATTCAATGAATGAAACCCCACCTGGGCGATTCAGCCGGCTTAGCCACCCAGGGGCAAATCAAACACAACCTGAAAAGCAAAGTCAGCCCAATGCAGCACACAGGTGGCTTCAGAGGTCCCGGTGTGCACAGAACAGAGTGGGAGGAGGACCTCAGCCCTTGCCACACCTCTGCTCTCGCCAGGAGAGCCCCTTGCTGGCCAGCACTGCCTTGTCCTCTGCAGGCTTGGCTCCCTCTAACCACACACACCAGGGAGCCCAGCAAACACCCAAGATCGTGTGCCTGGCCCACCTGGGGCAAACCCTCGAGGCCCGGCAGTCCATCTCTGTAACCGTCAGCTACCTCACATGAGCAGGATCCATCCCCTAAGCTCTCAGAGCATTGCTGTGCCTGTGAGATGGCCGGCACACAGCTGACCTCAAGGCCTGCCATCAACACCTTCATGAGTGCTACATCCCAGGCCCTCTCTGTCCCCTCTTCCTTGTCACCCTCAGGACAAGCCTGAGAGCAAGCTGAGAGGGCAATGGGTCAGCGGTCCACGACCTACCCAGGGAGTGGCCGGGTGTGATCCATGCTACAGTGGGTCTGACCCCGGAGCCCCTGTCCCGGGATAAGACGCAGCACAGCCTGGATTTACGAGCCCCACTGTTTGGGTTCAAATTCCAACTTCACCACTAACAGAGTGTGCGACCTTGGGTTACTCGGCCACTTTTCTGGGGCCATTTCCCTCCTGCTCCATGGGGGAGGGAGGAATAGAATACTGTGGGGGCTCTTGTGGAGATTTGAGCTGAGAACCTCCATGAAGCGCTCAGAACAGGGGCTGGGGGACAGCAGCCGCCTTCCTCATTTCCCCACCTCCCTGATCGCATCAGCCACTCTCTTCCCCATGTCCCTGGAAGGGGCTGCAGAGGGGTAGGGGTGGAACCAGAGGCTGCCATCGCCCCCACCCGGTTTGGGTCGTGTCCCCCAGTGCAGCCTCTGCCATCGCCCTCAAGAGCATTTATCACGCATTTACCACGGATCTTTAAAACGAAAGCTGCAGGGGAGGGTAATTAAGTTTAATAGGAGCCGCCGTCGATTTAAAGCCACAGGGGGGAAGTAATTAGATTTAACAGAAGCCACGGCTTTCTGAACCAAGACACACAGCGTGGGGGTCCCTGGTCTAGAAAGCCTTCGGGATGATGTCTTTTTGTAAAGACTTTCCTGGTGACATTTGCTGCGCCCTCAGTCATTAACGCCAGTCACTGACTGGGGAATGAATGTGGCCTCTGCTCATTGAAATTCATTAGGCCTGGCATTTCTCTCGCTGTCTCTCCTGTTTGCCCTCCCCATCGCCTTTGCGCTGGGCCAGGAGGGCTCTGCCCCCAAAACCAGCCTCCTGGGGCCCCACATCCAGGAGCTGGGGGTTTGGAAGAATAACAAGAAATAATTAGAGTTAAACCAAAGCCCCGTAGGAGGACCCCTTTATTCCCCGCCTGGGTATTCTCTGGATGTCGTTTTCTTTATTGGCAGGAACCGCTTCATGGAGCGGCCCCCATTTCTTTCCTCACCTGGCACCTGCCCGGACGCCAGGGGCGCCCATCACCGTTCCTGGGCCCCTTCCCGACCCCTCCCCACCAGGTAAGGCGCTCTCGACCTCCCCGACCGTGCTGTTCCTCCTGACCCCGTGCGCAGGGACTCGGGGACTCAAAAACCAGACCCCCGACACAAGACAGCTCAAAAAACGGGAAACGGAGGCCCAGGCCTCCCTCCCTGCGCCCCTGCCTCCACCACCCTCCAGCCGAGAAGCTGGGGTTCACCAATCCCGCAGCTGGCCCGCCCACCCTGCCCGAGAGCCTCCTTCCCAGTGCCCCCTTTCAGGTTGCATCTCGCGCACAGCCGCGGGGCCGGGGCGAGCGCGGAGCAGGCAGGGGCGCGGGGCCAGGAGCGCAAAGCCCAGGCGGACGCCGAGGCTGCGGCGCCACCTACAGTCCGCGCGGCTTCCATTGTTTCCCCGCCGGCCGAGAGCGCGCCCGGCCCCCCGTCGGGGGGCAATTTACCCGGATAAAAGGGGCGGGGCAGGAATTGCAAGAAGATGAAGCTGAAAGAACCTGAGACTGTCGGAACTGCCGGGGAAAATTCTACGGGACGGCTTTGACGTCAGATGTGCGGGGCTGCGAAAGTCGGGGGAGGGAGTGCGAGTGGGCTTTTAAGGGGAAGGGCACTAAGGCCGAGGTGAGGCTTTTCCCGACAGAGGGTGAAGGGGGCAAAACTCGGTGCCCCCCAACCTCTGGCCCCGGGGTTCCTGACCCCGCCCCCGCTAGTGCCCCACGCCGAGTGCATCCACTGGGAGCCTGAGGCCTGGGGGAAGGGCCCCAGTTGTCGATTGCTTTACAAAGTCAAACTCTCCCAGCCAAGAACCTCGGGGCCGCTGCGCGGTGGGGAGGAGTTCCCCGAAACCCGGCCGCTAAGCGAGGCCTCCTCCTCCCGCAGATCCGAACGGCCTGGGCGGGGTCACCCCGGCTGGGACAAGAAGCCGCCGCCTGCCTGCCCGGGCCCGGGGAGGGGGCTGGGGCTGGGGCCGGAGGCGGGGTGTGAGTGGGTGTGTGCGGGGGGCGGAGGCTTGATGCAATCCCGATAAGAAATGCTCGGGTGTCTTGGGCACCTACCCGTGGGGCCCGTAAGGCGCTACTATATAAGGCTGCCGGCCCGGAGCCGCCGCGCCGTCAGAGCAGGAGCGCTGCGTCCAGGATCTAGGGCCACGACCATCCCAACCCGGCACTCACAGCCCCGCAGCGCATCCCGGTCGCCGCCCAGCCTCCCGCACCCCCATCGCCGGAGCTGCGCCGAGAGCCCCAGGGAGGTGCCATGCGGAGCGGGTGTGTGGTGGTCCACGTATGGATCCTGGCCGGCCTCTGGCTGGCCGTGGCCGGGCGCCCCCTCGCCTTCTCGGACGCGGGGCCCCACGTGCACTACGGCTGGGGCGACCCCATCCGCCTGCGGCACCTGTACACCTCCGGCCCCCACGGGCTCTCCAGCTGCTTCCTGCGCATCCGTGCCGACGGCGTCGTGGACTGCGCGCGGGGCCAGAGCGCGCACAGTGAGTGCCCGCCAGCACCCCCGCCCGCCCCGCCGCGCGCACCCCACCCCGCTGCGCGCGCCCCACCCCAGCGCCCTTCCTTCCTTTGCCACCCTTAGGCTCCTGCGGACCCCTCAACTCCTGGGAACCCCAGGTTTTGGCACCTGGACGTTAGGATCCCTCCGTTAGTCCCCAAACAGCGCGGGACGCTAGGGAGAAGCACAGGCTTGTGGACCGACCGCACCCACGTGGTGCGGGCCCAGCGGTCCTTGCTGCAGCTTCTCGCTTCCCCTGCGCCTAGGTTTGCTGGAGATCAAGGCAGTCGCTCTGCGGACCGTGGCCATCAAGGGCGTGCACAGCGTGCGGTACCTCTGCATGGGCGCCGACGGCAAGATGCAGGGGCTGGTAAGTGTCCCCACGGGGCGGATGCGCCGGGGCGGGGGACCGGCGCCTGTCCCCGGGCGGAGGCCTGAAGGAGAGAAAGGCGCTGGTTCGAATCCAGGGTTTCCTCGCCTCCTCCGCCCAGACCCGCGTGCAACTTCGAGGGAAAGATTGCAAAGACCGATTAAGTGCATGTCCGACGATTTCCTACGGAAATTTAGGGTCTCAGCCAGCAGCCAGAGAATAGGCAAAAGCTGCCTTTGCATTTCCAATTGAGTCAAAGGCCGGCCTAGCCGGACCGAGGAAACCCATTATTCGGCCTCCTTTGATATTAAACAGGAAAACCCACCTCGGGCCTTTTCAGCCTCTGCCTGCGCGTGTGTGGTCCTCGCCTCCGTTTCCCTCCCTCCAGTATAAAAGAAGAAAAAAAGAATGGGAAAGAAAAAAGAGGATCTACCCATAACTTTCCTTTAAAAACAAATCAATTGTCAAGCAAGGCAGAAAACAGTGCATTTGGGATAGGAGAGATTTTTTTTTTAGAATTAATTTTTAATCTACCAGGAGCACGGTGTGGCTTAGACGCAGATGCGCTGGAGTCATGTTGCGCCAGGGGAGTGCTTTTCCTCCTGCGGGCCTCACCTGTCCTGTAAACGCTTTCTGGTGGGGGCAGGGGGTGGGGGCTGGCAGGGAAGGCCCAGGTAACCGCAGAGGTCCCGGGGCCGGAAGTGTACGAGCGCTGGGGCTCTGGTGGCCGGGAACAAAGGCTGGGAGTTCAAAGGAACGAACCCGCGCCCCTCCCGCGGCCCCGCGCGCAGAGGAGGCTGTGTGAGGTCTCGGCCCGCGCAGGCCTCACACGCAGCCCCGGACTCCCTGGCGGAGCAGGGGCCAGGGCGGGGGTGGCCGCGCCTGCCCGGGGCCCCCACCCCAGAAAGGATGCAGAGGCGGGGCCGCCTCCGGCCCAACCAGCTCCTTTGTGAACAGCGGGACAAAGCATTTTAGAGTCTCAAAATTGCTCGGTGCCTCTGCCGTGCTCCGTGTACTCGGAGCGCCTGTTTCAGGTTTTATGGCGGAGTCCTGCGTGAGAGGACTGCAGAGAAAGGGGGTGGTCGGCACGCTGGACGCTGACTCCCACCCAGAGCCGCTCCAAACCCACCCTTGCAACTTTAATTTTGACATTTACTATGGCAGGGGGTGTGGGGGTTCCTAATGATGGGAGGCCAGCAGGGGACGTCAACCTAACCCGCCATTCTGCCCAAATTGGGGGTTGGGTCACCTGAAATCCCTCTGTGCCTTTTTTTTTTTTTTTTTTTTTTTTTTTTGGCAGAGTCTTGCTCTGTCGCCCAGGCTGGAATGCAGTGGCCAGATCTCGGCTCACTGCAACCTGTGCCTCCCAGGTTCAAGCGTTTCTGCTACCTCAGCCTCCCATGGAGCTGGGATTACAGGTACCCACCACCAAGCCCAGCTACCTTTTGTATTTTGGGTAGAGATGGGGTTTCACCATGTTGGTGGCCAGGCTGGTCTTGAACTCCCGACCTCAAGTGATCCGGCCGTCTCGGCCTCCCAAAGTGCTTTGGGATTAGAGGTGTGAGCCACCGCGCCCAGCCCCCTTTGTGCCTCTTGATCCCCTGTGCATGGTCTAACAGAAATTGAGGATCTTTTTTTTTTTTTTTTTTTTTTTGAGACGGAGTCTCGCTTGCTCTGTCGCCCAGGCTGGAGTACAGTGGTATGATCTTGGCTCACTGCAACCTCCACCTGCGGGGTTCAAGCAATTCTCCTGCCTCAGCCTCCCAAGTAGCTGGGATTACGGGCACCGTGCCACCATGACCGGCTAGTTTTTTTGTATTTTTAGTAGAGATGAGGTTTCACCATCCTGGCCAGGCTGGTCTCGAACTCCTGACATCACGATCTGCCTGCCTCAGCCGCCCAAAGTGCTGGGATTACAGGCATGAGCCACCTCGCCTGGCCTCTTTCTTAAATAAAAATGCCACATTCTTCTAGAAACTTGAAGTCATTTCGTTTTCTGTATGGAGAAAGTGATACTAATTTCTCCCAAAGGACAAGCCAAGTAAATAGAAGAAGGTCCTCCAATCATTCGGTTTTGTGTTCCTTGTTTATTGATCATTTGGCATTTTTGGGAGTTTGGGAGAAATCACGCTTGCTGTCCGATGCTTTGTCCCAGCCATCCGTGGGCTCGGCAGGAGCCTGGGTTGCTGCAATGAGCCTCTTATCAGGAGCTTATTAGCACAGGTACCTCGTCACCCACCTGCAGTTCAGTGACCTTTGCAGACTTAGGCAGGAACCTGACTGAGGCCGTCCTGCAGTGTGTTTACTGCCCAGCCCTTCCGGCTCCCGCCTGCGCCTGTCCTGGGTCGCCAAGGGGTAATGACACCGGTGTGGGATGGCACTTGCCCACTGGCACCTCTCAACCCCGTGGACTATGAATGTTCTAAGACAAGGCTTCCCTCAGCACACATTTCCGGCCACCAGCTGGGCGCCGGCCTGGCCTGGCCTGGCCTGGGGGAGGGGCTGCTGAGATCTGCCTCCTGGCAGCCTGCCTGGAAGGCCCTTGGTGACTGAATGGAGGAGACAGCGGGGCTGATGGTTCTCAGAACTGCTGCAGACCAGAAGGCCTTAGAATGATAAAGGCACACAGTGATTTCTGAGATAGGTGGGGAACAGATGCTTTCATCTGGGACCCAGATCGGATCACACGCAATTTATTTAAAAGACCTATCCTAAGATGACAACCCAGTTTATCAGTGTTTCCCAAAGTGCCAATGAAATACCCAGGAACTTTTTAAATGCCAGGAGTTATGTCTGTAATGTAAAGGGTGAGGGAAACACAGACGGCATTCCTGTGGGTTGATGGATATTATTGCTTAGGACAAGGCTCTCGAAAAAGTGAGGTAATTTAGTGGAAATTATTTGGGTCTATATAGAGTGTATATGTAGTATTAAGTATATACATAAAATATACATATATGAAATAATAAACCTCAGTTTTGTCTGTGTGCATGTATATCTATATAAAGATTATAATTTATAAAGGTATATAAATGTATATTTAATTTATTAATGGGTTATATATTAACATAATGTACATATTATATATGCTTACACTTACAGTACATTTATATATGTGTGTGTGTTCTCTGTGTATATATATAGTTGTGGGTTTTTTGTTTTGTTTTTTTTTGAGACAGGGTCTTGCTCTATCACCCAGACTAGAGTGCAGTGGCATGATCATTGCTCAGTGCAGCCTTGACTACCCAGCCTCAACCCATCCTCCCACCTCTCAGCCTCCCGAATAGCTGGGCCTACAGGCGCCCACCTCCATGACCTGCTAATGTTTGTACTTTTTGTCAAGATGGAATTTTACCATGTTGCCCAGGCTGGTCTCAAACTCCTGGATTCAGGTGATCCATCTGCTCTGGGCCTCCCAAAGTGCTGGGACTACAGGTGTGACCTACTGTGCCTGGCCTTAAAGTACATTATATATTATATATACTTACATATATAAAGGTATATTTTATATATACTTACACGTACAGTGTGTACATCAGGAAGTATGTATAAAACATGCAAGTGATGCTTATGTGGAAGGTCACTGCTGGTGGCCACCAGGGACAGTCTGTAGCACAAACGTCCATGTGGACCCGTGTTCCCTGTCCACTGTGGATTGCTCAGAGCTGCCTGTTTTCTCTGCAGCTTCAGTACTCGGAGGAAGACTGTGCTTTCGAGGAGGAGATCCGCCCAGATGGCTACAATGTGTACCGATCCGAGAAGCACCGCCTCCCGGTCTCCCTGAGCAGTGCCAAACAGCGGCAGCTGTACAAGAACAGAGGCTTTCTTCCACTCTCTCATTTCCTGCCCATGCTGCCCATGGTCCCAGAGGAGCCTGAGGACCTCAGGGGCCACTTGGAATCTGACATGTTCTCTTCGCCCCTGGAGACCGACAGCATGGACCCATTTGGGCTTGTCACCGGACTGGAGGCCGTGAGGAGTCCCAGCTTTGAGAAGTAACTGAGACCATGCCCGGGCCTCTTCACTGCTGCCAGGGGCTGTGGTACCTGCAGCGTGGGGGACGTGCTTCTACAAGAACAGTCCTGAGTCCACGTTCTGTTTAGCTTTAGGAAGAAACATCTAGAAGTTGTACATATTCAGAGTTTTCCATTGGCAGTGCCAGTTTCTAGCCAATAGACTTGTCTGATCATAACATTGTAAGCCTGTAGCTTGCCCAGCTGCTGCCTGGGCCCCCATTCTGCTCCCTCGAGGTTGCTGGACAAGCTGCTGCACTGTCTCAGTTCTGCTTGAATACCTCCATCGATGGGGAACTCACTTCCTTTGGAAAAATTCTTATGTCAAGCTGAAATTCTCTAATTTTTTCTCATCACTTCCCCAGGAGCAGCCAGAAGACAGGCAGTAGTTTTAATTTCAGGAACAGGTGATCCACTCTGTAAAACAGCAGGTAAATTTCACTCAACCCCATGTGGGAATTGATCTATATCTCTACTTCCAGGGACCATTTGCCCTTCCCAAATCCCTCCAGGCCAGAACTGACTGGAGCAGGCATGGCCCACCAGGCTTCAGGAGTAGGGGAAGCCTGGAGCCCCACTCCAGCCCTGGGACAACTTGAGAATTCCCCCTGAGGCCAGTTCTGTCATGGATGCTGTCCTGAGAATAACTTGCTGTCCCGGTGTCACCTGCTTCCATCTCCCAGCCCACCAGCCCTCTGCCCACCTCACATGCCTCCCCATGGATTGGGGCCTCCCAGGCCCCCCACCTTATGTCAACCTGCACTTCTTGTTCAAAAATCAGGAAAAGAAAAGATTTGAAGACCCCAAGTCTTGTCAATAACTTGCTGTGTGGAAGCAGCGGGGGAAGACCTAGAACCCTTTCCCCAGCACTTGGTTTTCCAACATGATATTTATGAGTAATTTATTTTGATATGTACATCTCTTATTTTCTTACATTATTTATGCCCCCAAATTATATTTATGTATGTAAGTGAGGTTTGTTTTGTATATTAAAATGGAGTTTGTTTGTATCAAAAGGTGCATTCTATTATCCGCCTAGAATGTTAGGGAGGGTGGGGAAGGGGCTGGTGGGGGGCAGCACCGTCCACGGGAGGAAACCCTCGGTGTGTCTGCCCTGGACACCAAAAGCTCGGGTGGGAAGTTAGCGGGTTTGGGCCAGCCAGCTCTAGTGGTGGAGGCTGGTTTGGGCCCTGCTGTCCTGCCCTTTCCTCATGCCTAGGGGCTTGGCTTCCTCAGTCCACCTTCTCTCTAGCAGTCTCAGTGGTTAGGGCGGCCTCTCTGCCAGGAGTGTTTTTGGCTGCAGGAAACAAACACCAAGGAACAGCGGCCTAAGTGAGGGCCTCTCGCCCTCAGCACTCTTCCCTGGGGAAAGACGTTCCTGCATTTAACAGTGCCCCCCCCACCCCCCACCATTAGATGCCTGTAGAAACCCTCAAGTTGTGACAACCAAAATACCTCCAGAAGTTGTTGCATGTTCTTAGGAGGCAAGATCACCCTTAACGGAGGACCACTGACCGGAGCAAATAGGATTTCTTTTTGTCCAGCCACAAATCCAGAGGGACCCAGTGACCCAGCGATGCCTGGGCTGTGCCCTGTGTGATTCCCTTGGTGTCCCTGTCCTGCTGGGGCCTCGTCTCGCCAGGGCTGCTGTGGCTTCAGCTGAGCGCCCTGTACTCAGGGAGAGGGAATCATTTCGGGCTGGGCCTCTCTCATCAAGAAAGCCAAAACTTCCTTAGAACCTTTCAGCAAATTCCGGCTACATCCTAAGAACCAGGTTTGCGTCACAGGACCAGGCCAGCCCCAGCTGCACGGCAGGCTGGGAAGGCAAGAATTAGCGGTCAGGGTGACCAGATGTGGGCCACATCCTGAGTGCAAGGAGGAGCAGGTGCAACCGGACACCAACGTGTGCATGAAACATGATTCCAAATGAGCATTTGCCAGGGATTAGGGATGGTGGAGGGAGTCGGGGAGGAGGGTTGGGTCACTCAGGGCAGTAGTTCCCAGGTGCTTACGTTGGCAGCGAGGGGGGTAATGTCGTTGTTCAAGTCTACGAAGGCTATTTCAGGTGAAGCCTCCCTGCTCTCCAGTAAAAGGGACCTCCACTTGTCATTCTCACTGATGACATGCCCAGGACATCTAGAGTTAACCCTTGGGGCGTTCCCTGTCTCCATCTGCCAATCAAGATGCCCCTCTCACTCTTTGGTGTCCTTGTCATGTAACCATGCTGATTAGAGAGCTGACAGGCAGGGCTGGATGATGCTTGTGGACACAGCCTTCTCTACCCGTGGCAGGCGCCAGACAGGAAAGGCACTCTCCTGGAGCCACACAGCCTGGAGGCAGCTCAGGGGCTGTGGGCAGGGCCCTTTGATTGCTGTGTGACCTTGAGTAAGTCACATCACCCCTCTGAGCCTGCATCCTTCTGCGGACATGAGGTTAACAGGGTCTGCATGGTAGGGCTATACAGAAATCCAGTGAAATGATGTCTGCGGGATTCCTGGCACAGAGCCGGCTGCCTATCCACAGCAAACCTCACCAAGGATAGAACCATGTGTCCTGAGCTATTATGTCCACTGGATCTCAAATTTGGCTGCACATTGAAAAAAAGATGATAGCTGGAAACCACTCATGGAGATTCTGAGTTTTTTGTCTTTCTTTCTTTCTTTCTTTCTTTCTTTCTTTCTTTCTTTCTTTCTTTCTTTCTTTCTTTCTTTCTTTTTCTTTTTTTTTAGACAGTCTCACTCTGTCATCCAGGCTGGAGTACAGTGCACAATCACTGATCACTGCAGTCTTGACCTCCTGGGCTCAAGGGATCCTGCTGCCTCAGCCTCTCAAGTAGCTGGGACCACAGACCCATGCCCAGCTCATTTTTTTTTTTTTAATTTGTAGCAATGGGGTCTTGCTATGTTGCACAGGCTGGTCTCGATCTCTTGGGCTCCAGAGGTCCTCCTGCCTTAACCTCCCAAAGTGCTGAGATTATAGGTATGAGCCACCGTGCCCAGCTGAGATTGTGATTTAATGGGAATGGGTGTGGTCTGGACACTGGGATTTTTTAAAAGCTCCCCTGTGGGCCGGGTGCGGTGGCTCACACCTATAATCCCAGCACTTTGGGAGGCCGAGGTGGGTGAATCATGAGGTCAGGAGATTGAGAACATCCTGGCTAACACAGTGAAACCCCATCTCTACTAAAAATACAAAAAATTAGCCAGGCATGGTGGCAGGCGCCTGTGGTCCCAGCTACTTGGGAGGCTGAGGCAGGAGAATGGCATGAACCCGGGAGGCAGAGCTTGCAGTGAGCCGAGATTGCACCACTGCCCTCCAGCCGGGGCGGCAGAGCAAGACTCCTTCTCAAAAAAAAAAAAAAATCTCCCCTGTGGTTCTAGTGTGCAGGGAACCAGTTCAAATTCCATCCTTTGTGCTCTGAAGACCAGCACTTCAGGGAGAAAATGAAGAAAGAGGCTTATCAGCACCTCCCTCTCTGGAGTCTTCTCCCTTCTGCACAGCTGAGGATAACAAGTGAATGTACGTAAACTAATTCACACTAGACTGTTGATGGTTAATATGTTTGCTCTCCAGGCCACATTTTTACTGACCTGGCAGCTGCAAAACCCTGATGACAGACCGTGGGTGATGCGGGCATTCTGGCAGGAGATGGGGAAGATTATTTTTCTGAGGCTGCATCTTAGCATCCACCCTACCCCGACTCTTCCCCTACTCCTCATAAAGAGGTAGCCTTGCCCTCTTCCTGCATCCCCTCTCCCTGCTTTAGATAGCGTTGCCAAATACATAAAAATACAGCATCTGAGCTACATTTGAATTTCAGGTGAGCAATGCATTTCTTCAGTAGGAATGTGTCCCATGCAATATTTGGAACATATGTATACTAAAAAGTTATTCATTGCTGATTTCAAATTCAAATCAAATCGGGTGTCCTGTGTTTTGTCTGGCAAGCCGAGCTTTAGGCCCACACCACGGACATGGAGTTAAAAATGAGAGAAGACTGGAGCAAAAAACTGTTTCCGTTGAACAAGACTCTCTGCTGGTGAGACTCCAAAATGGAATTCAAAAGATCCCAGGGACAGGGAGGCCTTGAGTGAATCCCACTCTTTCTTCGGGCCTGTTTCTCCATCTGTAAAGCGAGAACCTTTTCGTCGCCTCAAGGCCTGTTGACTCCTGGGGATTCTGGCAAAGTGCCCAGGGGCTGGGAAAGGCCTCTTAACCAAGGAGGGGGCTGGAACCCGCCACCCCGGCATTAGGACTCTTGTGGTCGCAGGTGACAGAAAACACAACTCAAACTGACTTGAGGTAGGAAAAACAAGGGAACTTATTGGCTCACCTTTACTGAGAAGGCCAGGAGGTGCCGGGCTTTAGGCATGCGGGACCTGGGAACCGGCACCACACCAGGCATCATCTGTCTGTCTGTCCATTTTCAAGCATCTTTTCCCTTTGTAGTGACAAGATGGCCCCAGCAGCCTCAGCCGAGATGATGGACAATTCTCTTCTCTTACCAACAACTCCAGCAAGAGCCCCAGACTGGGTCTCAGGGATCCTTCCTGTGTCCCTTGTTCGTCCCAACTGGGCACAGGAGGCTCTGACCAGCTGGGCTGTGTCCCCTTCTGTAGCCCGGGGAAAAATCAGCCCTCGTGGGATGCTAGGACTAAGAAGGGGAGAGACATTTCCCCAGAGGAAAACCCACGGCACAGGTATTCCCCCAGGTTCCTACAGTTCACTATCCACTGGGCGACCTTCCCTCTTTGGATTGGGAAATGACAGCCAAAAATGTTCTACAAGACCAAAGAGGAGAGGGAGTGGGTGGGGCAGGGCCACCCAGATGCAGAAATTGTCCATTCAGTTATGGAGGACATGAGACAGCATCCTGCCTGCCTTAGTCTCATACTCCCTCCCCCACTGTCAAGGTGACCAAAAAGGAACCTCAATTAGGGGAGCGAGGAGAGAAGGTGTACCTTTTGCCACTAGAGGCAAAGAAAGAGAGACAGACAGACAGACACTGAGTTTTACAATACAGCCATGCGCCCCATAATGATGTTTCAGTTAACGGTGGACCACATATACAATGGTGGTCCCATAACATTAAAACTCCATATTTTTACTATGCCTTTTCTATGTTTTTAGATATGTTTAGATACACAAATACTTACCATTGTGCAACCTTTGCCTGCAGTGTTCAGAGCAGTACCGTGCTGTGCAGGTGTATAGCCTAGGAGCAATCAGCTGTACCACATAGCCCAGGTGTGCAGCAGGCGACACCATCTAGGGTTGTGCGAGCACACTCTATAATGTTCGCACAATGGTGAAATCACCCAGCGATGCATTTCTGAGGACGTACCCCATTGTTAGCATTGCATGGTTGTGTACATACATGACTGCCTGCATAAGGCACCACGGTCTGAGGCTATCAACAGCTCAACATTTTGAGTGAAATGCAAGAGCGTTACCTTTACTTAGGTCTCTTTCTCTCTCCACTTTTAAATTATCATTAAGTCTTTCCTCTGCCTATATTGGGCACCACATCAGATGCCATGATTTTTGGTGTCAGGCATCAAAGATGATTGTTAAAATGCGTAAGAAGGACAATCTTGTATTTTTACCCCTATTTTTAATCAGTCCGATATTCTTCTTTCCTTTCTGAACTTCAAAGCCTATTTAGAGAACTTCCTTTGAACATTTTCTTTTCTTTTCTTTTCTTTTTTTTTTTTTTTTTTTTAAGATGGAGTCTCACTGTGTCACCCAGGCTGGAGTGCAGTGGCACAATCTCAGCTCACTACAGTCTCTGCATTCCTGGGCTCAAGAGATCCTCCCACCTTATCCTCCAGAGTAGCTGGGGCCACAGGCACATACTACCATGCCTGGCTAATTTTGTTCAGAGATGAGGTTTCCCTATGTTTCCCAAGCTGGTCTTGAACTCCTGGAATCAAGCGATCCTTCCACCTTGACCTCCTAAACTACTGGGATTGCAGGCATGAGCCACTGCACCCAACCCTTCAGGCTGGAGTGCGATGGCGTGATCTCAGTTCACTGCAACCTCCGCTCCCTGGGTTCAAGCGATTCTCCTGCCTCAGCCTCCTGAGTAGCTGGGATTACAAGTGCCTGCCACTGAGCTTGGCTAATTTTTGTATTTTTTTTGTACAGATGAGGTTTCACTATCTTGGCCAGGCTGGTCTTGAACTCCTGACCTCGTGATCCACCTCCCTCGGCCTCCCAGAGTGCTGGGATTACAGGCGTGAGCCACCATGCCCAGCCCCCTTCAACCATTTTTTAAACAATAAGTTTGCTAGCAACAACTTCTCTTAGTTTTCCTTCATCTGAGAATATCTGAATTTTCTCTTCAACCCTGAAGGATATTTTCAGAAAGTTCTTCCCCCTTCCCTGCTTTCTACGTATTTGAAAGATGTGCCACTTCCTCTAGCTTCCATGATTTCCAATGAGAAATCCACTGTTGTTCCAACTGGTGTTCCCTATGAGTAAAGGGTCATTTCTCTCTGAGCATTTTTGAGAGTTTGTCTTAAGTTTTCATAAGTTTAACTATGATGTGTCTTGCCATGTATTTCTTTGTTTTGTTCCTATTTGGGGTTGGTTCAGCTTCTTGAATTTGTAGGTTTATGTCTTTCACCAAATTGGGGAAGTTTTCAGCCTCTATTTTTCTGGCTACTTTTTCAGCCCCACTCTTCTATCTTCTCCTTCTGAGACTCCCATGATAGGAATTTTCACTGTTTTGCTGTTGTTCCATAGGCCCTGGGACTGCTCATTTTCTTTCTGGTCTGCTTTCTCCCTGTGGTTCATTACCACAACTTCTGCACTGCTGCATTTTTTTTGATCACTCTGTTCTCAAGTTCACTGACTTCATCCCCCTCATCTCTACTTGACTGTTGAGCCCATCCAGAAAGGTTTTGTTGTTGTTATTGTTATTGGGTTTTTGTGTGTGTGTGTGATTGTTGTTGTTTTTGAGACGGAGTCTTGCTTTGTCACCAGGCTGGAGTGCAGTGCCACGATCTCGGCTCACTGCAACCTCCACCTCCCAGATTCAAGTGATTCTTCTGCCTCAGCATCCCGAGTAGCTGGGACTACAGGTGTGCACCACCATGCCCGGCTAATTGTTGTATTTTTAGTAGAGACAGGGTTTCACCATGTTGGCCAGGGTGGTCTTGATCTCCTGACCTCATGATCCACCCACCTCAGCCTCCCAAAGTGCTGGGATTACAAGCATGGGCCACCATGCCTGGCTGTATTTTTCAATCCTAAATTCTCCATTTGGTTCTTTTCCATAACTTCCATTTCTTTGCTGTGTCAAAATCCAGTAAAACATAGAGAAAAATCTCTGAAATTAAAACATTTTATTTAGGAAGAAAGAATTGCAATTTGGGGCACACATACAGACTAGGGAGTCTTCAATATGTCCAGAAAACAAAGGGAAGGTTAAAGGTTTTGTAAAAAGGAGAAATATTACCTATTGCTCTTCAAGAAAGTTCATTGGCATGAAGGAGGTTTTGGGGAGCTGGCAAGCTCTGATTGGTGAGCAAGGGCGGTGAGTAAACCTAGTCTTAGGGTTGCAGCAGGTTGCATCAGCAGCTATTGGGTAAAACTGATTTCAGGTTATAGCAGGCAGTTTCAGCAACCAGGCTTGCAGAGAATTACATTTTTGAAATACTGTTATGTATCAGGAGTGCTTTTCCCCCCGGGCTTCTGGACTTTGTTTAGTTGGGTATGACAAGAATAATCCAGTTTGTAAGATCAGTTTTCACAGCTAAGATTTTTTTTTTTTTTTTGAGATAGGGCCTAGCTCTGTCACCCAGGCTGGAGTGCAGTGGCTGATCACAGCTCACTGCAACCTCTGCCTCCTGGGCTCAAGGTATCCTCCCACCTCAGCCTCTCTAGTACGAGTAGCTGGAACTACAGGCACATGCCACTATGCCTGGCTAATTTTTGTATTTTTTGTAGAGACAGGGTCTCACTATTCTGCCCAGGCTGATCTCGAACTCCTGAGCTCAAGTGATCCACCTGCCTCAGCCTCACAAAGTGCTGGGATTACAGGTGTGAGCCACCGTGCCTGGCCGACAGCTGAGATTTTTAATGCGTTCGTTTGTTTCAAGGGAATTCATAATTGCAGTTGAAGCATTTTTATGATGGCTGCTTTAAAACCCTTATCCAACAATTTATTAATCATTCTGTCATCTCATTAATCTCCGCATTTGTCGATGATTGTTTATTCACACTGAAGTTGAAATTTTCCTTGTTCTTGATAATGATGTGTGAAAGTTGATACCTTCCTTCTACCCCATCCTACCCACTGTCCCTCCCACCTTCCCTTCCTCCCTGGCCCTTCCTTTCTTTCTTCCATCTTCTTTTTCACTTCCCCGCTAACGTCAAGACTGCCTGCTTGATCTCCCTTGCCTTCATTTATGGCTTAAGGCAAAGCGTCACCCACTTTCATTCTTCCCTGTAAACCTCTCACAGTTCAGGTTTCCCCTTCGTGTCCTCTCTGAGCCACTCTCCTCCTGTGCATTCTCATCACTGAAGTCGAAAATAAAGAGACCCAGGAGACAGAGCCAGCAACTCAACACATGGGCCTTGTTTGGTTTTCAGCTCAACAAAATAGGTGCAAAACCTTCTCTCTTAGTTGTAACCCTTTTCTTCAGTATGAATTTCTTTTTTCAAAAACCATATGTGTGTGTGTGTGTGTGTATAGGTGTGTATACACACACATAAGTGACTGAATTGTGGCCCCAAAACTCATATGTTAAAAACTTAGCCAGGCACTGTGGCTCATGTCTGTAATCCCAGCACTTTGGGAGGCCAAGGCGGGTGGATCACCTAAGGTCAGGAGTTCGAGACCACCCTGACTAACATGGTAAAAGCCCGTCTCTACTAAATACAAAAAAATTAACCCAGCATAATGGCGCATGCCTGTAATCCCAGCTGCTTGGGAGGCTGAGGCAGGAGAACCACTTGAACCCAGGAGGCAGAAGTTGCAGTGAGCTAAAATCCCGCCATTGCACTCCAGCCTGGGCAACAAGAGTAAAACTCCGTCTCAAAAAAAAAAAAAACCTCCAGTGCACCTCAAAGTATGACTGTACTTGGAGATATGACCTTTGAAGAGTTGATTAAGGTTAAATGAGGTCATATGGGTGAGGCTGTTAAAAAAAACTTTAAAAAGACAGTTTTTAACTATTGAAATAAACGGAAATGGTCTGGGTACTGAATTATATCGTTAATTTGCTAGGGGGATCATGTATTATGGTTACGTAAAAAATCTGTATCTGTTAGATATGCACTGAAGTATCTGCAGGTGAAATGATTCAGCAAGAAAAGGTGGGGGTGGGGAATGAGGTCATTGTTGGAACAAGAACAGTGAAATATTGATCCTTGCTGAGGCTGGGTATTGGTATATGGGGGTCTGTTTACACTACCTACACTTGGGTATGTTTGAAATGTCTATAATAGAAACTGAAAAGAAAACCAAAAGCCAAATGTGGATTCTTCACACTCCCTCTTTCTCTACCAAGCCATGTGGAAGAGGTTGCAGTGACTGTGTCACAACCTGGTGAACCTTCTAGGCTTGGGTCCCTGCATGACCACATGGAGCAGAACCTCCAGTGACCTGTGCTGGACTTGGAGGAGAACAGTGGATTAACAAACCTTTGTTATATTGAGTCTTGGCAATTTCACAGTTGGTTTGTTATTGAAGGTATATTGTGGAGTAGAAGAAGTAAATTCAGGACACCAACTATAATGTAATATAATTTGTCATTTAAAAGGGTGTGTACCATTTTGGGAAGCTGAGATGGGAGGATCACTTGAGGCCAGGAGTTCGAGACCAGCCTGGGCAATATAGCGAGATGTCATCTCTACAAAAAATGTAAATATCAGCCAGGTGTGGTGGCGCATGCCTGTAGTTCTAGCTTCTTGGGAAGTGAAGTGGGAGGATTCCTTGAGTCCAGGAGTTCAAGGCTGCAGTGAGCTATGACAGTGCCACTGCATTCCAGTCTGGGTGACAGAGTGAGGCCCCATCTCAAAAAAAAAAAGAAAAAAAAGGCATATACATATGTATGCTTATATATGCAGATAACCTCTCTGGAAGCAAGTATAGAAAACGATAAAACTGTGGGTGCTTCTGGGGACAGGAATTAGAGGACTGGAGACAGGGTAGGAAGGAGAACTTTTACTATAACCTTTTTCTTCAGTTTGAGTTTGTTTTTTCCAAAACCGTGTGTGTGTGTGTGTGTGTGTGTGTGTATACACACACGACTGAATTGTGTACCCAAAAATCACATGTTAAAAACTTGACCTCTAGTACACCTCAGAGTATGACTGTGCTTGAAGATATTACCTTTGAAAGGTGATTAAAGTTAAATGAAGTCTTATGAGTGAGGCTGTTTAAAAAAAAACACTTTAAAAAGACAGTTTTTAACTGTTGAAACAAATGGAAATGGTCTGGAAACTGAATTATATTGTTAATTGGCTAGGTGGGATCATGTATTATGGTTATGTAAAAAAACTCTGTATCTGTTAGATATGCACTGAAGTATGTACAGGTGAAATGACTCAGCAAAAATGGTGGGCGTGGGGAATGAGGTCATTGTTGGAACAAGAACAGTGAAATATTGATCCTTGCTGAGGCTGGGTATTGGTATATGGGGGTCTGTTTACACTATCTACACTTGGGTATGTTTGAAATGTCTATGTAAAAAGGGAACCAAAAACCAGTTGTGAATTCTTCACACTCTCTGTTTCTCTACCAAGCCACGTGGAAGAGGTTGCAATGACTGTGTCACAACCTGGTGAACCTTCTAGGCCTGGGTCCCTGCGTGACCACGTGGAGCAGAACCCCCAGTGACCTGTGCTGGACTTGGAGGAGAACAGTGGATAAATAAACCTTTGTTATATTGAGTCTTGGCAATTTCACAGTTGGTTTGTTATTGAAGGTATATTGTGGAGTAGAAGAAGTAAATTCAGGACACAGTCTATAGTATAATATAATTTGTCATTTAAAAGAGCATGTACCACTTTGGGAGGCCGAGGTGGGAGGATCACTTGAGGCCAGGAGTTTGAGACCAGCCTGGGCAATACAGCAAGATGTCATCTCTACAAAAAAATGTAAACATCAGCCAGGTGTGGTGACTCATGCCTGTAGTTCTAGCTTCTTGGGAAGTGAAGTGGGAGGATTCCTTGAGTCCAGGAGTTCAAGGCTGCAGTGAGCTATGACAGTGCCACTGCATTCCAGTCTGGGTGACAGAGTGAGGCCCCATCTCAAAATAATAATTTAAAAAAGATATATATATATATGCATGCTTATATATGCAGAGAACCTCTCTGGAAAGAAGTATAGAAAACAATAAAACTGTGGGTAGTTCTGGGGACAGGAATTAGAGGACTGGGGACGGGGTAGGAAGGAGAACTTCTACTATAACCTTTTCTTCAGTTTGAGTTTCTTTTTTTCAAAAACCGTGTATGTGTATATATATGTGTGTGTGTGTATAGGTGTCTGTATACACAGTCATATGTGCCTGAATTGTGTCCCTAAAATTTATATGTTAAAAACTTAACCTCCAGTGTACCTCAAAGTATAACTGTACTTAAAGATATGACCTTTGAAGAGGTGATTAAGGTTAAAAGAAGTCATATGGGTGAGGCTGTTTAAAAAAATTTTTTTAAGCCTTGTTTTTTTTTTTTGAGATGGAGTCTCACTGTGTAGCCCAGGCTGGAGGGCAATGGTGCAGTCTTGGCTCACTGCAACCTCTGCCCCCTGGGTTCAAGTGATTCTGCTGCCTCAGCCTCCCAAGTAGCTGGGATTAAAGGCATCCACCACCACACCCTGCTAATTTTTGTATTTTTGCTAGAGACGGGGTTTCACTATGTTGACCAGGCAGTGGAAAGACGTAAGTGAAGTGCAGGCACCTCTAAAATCTCCCCAGAGCCTGCCAAATTACACTCTCTATTTTTTCCCAGGGAAATTTTAATGCATACCTGGGCATGGACCTGACTCATCGGCACCACGTATACTCACCTTACTTTGGGGAAGACCGAGAATGATGGTATCGGTGCCAGGCCTTGAGTTTTCCCTGCCACCGACACCTGCCGGGGCTGGGAGCCCCACCTGTCTCAGAGTCCTGCCTTCCCCAGACACTGGGGTTGGTGGGGTCCCCACCAGGCATGGGAGGCTCAAGGCAGGTTCGGGGTGAAGTGGGGGCCCCCTTCCTTGTCAGCTGTCCTGCCCTGTGGTTCCTGGGGTCCCAAGTGGAGTGACTGTTGCCTGAGTGGCTGGTGGGGAGTCTAGACCTGGCTGAAGCCTGGGCCCCAATGCCAGCCCAGATGAGGAGCCTGAGACTCGGGGGACAGCCCAGGCCCAAGCAGGCTGACAAACAGAAGCACCCAGAACAGGCAGGGCTCCAAGACCTCGCTTTTCCCATCAGAGCCGGGTAACCTGTCACTGGGCCCATGTCTCCTTCTCCCCATGAGTTGTGTGGGGCCTCTGAGCAGGGACCCGGGCAGTGGGCCAGGGCCCCTCTGATCAGCCTCAGCCTAATGGGGTGGAGGAGGCAGGGGCGGGTCTGGTGGGGACTAAGGTGGGAGGGGCACCTGCCCCTAGGAGCTGTGTCTCCCAGAGCGCAGTGTCTTCCCCAGTGAGGCCCGCGATGTCCATCTCCAAAGCAGACTGCTAGGATCTTCAAGTGAGGATCTAAGAAAACAGTCCGGGCCGGGCACGGTGGCTCATCCCTGTAATCCCAGCACTTTGGGAGGCCGAGAAGGGCGGATCACCTGAGGTCAGGAGTTCGAGACCAGCTGGCCAACATCATGAAACCCCCTATCTCTACTAAAAATACAAAAATTAGCCAGGAGTTGTGGTATGCACCTGTAATTCCAGCTACTCGGGAGACTGAGGCAGGAGAATCGCTTGAACCCGGGAGGTGGAGGTTGCAGTGAGCCAAGATCACGCCACTGCACTCCAGCCTGGGCAATAAGAGCAAAACTCGGTCTCAAAAAAAAAAGAAAAGAAAAGAAAAAGAAAAAGTAAACGGTCCGATCTCCCGTAGGTCTGATTATCAGGATGACATCTGGCTGGGGCAGTGGAGATTCAGAAGAGAATTCTAGCGGCCGCAGGGACACCGTCCCAGAGCGGCGAAGAGAGGGCCCGGGAGGGAGGCGGCTCTGCGGCTCCCCGGAGGAGCGGGGCCGTCCGCGGCGCAATGGCGGCCCCCGGTGGCGGTGACTGGAATGGGCCCCGCGCAAGGCCGAGGGTCAGGGAGTGCAGGGCGCGGTCTGCAAGGTGCCTTCGGTGCCCCTTTACCCGCGCGGGGCCGGGGACTCGGAAGCCGCGAGGTTGCCCTGAGAGCACCCAGCAGCTGCTCGCTCACGCTCGCCCCTCCCGCAGTCTGATCTGATGGTTGACTAGCTGCCCTCCACCCTGCCCCCTGCAACTTTTGCAGACAAGCCCCCAGGAAGCAAAAGAACATCGGCTACACACAAACATCAACAAAGCCCCTACTGTGTGTGCCTGGACCTCAGCAAAGGGCAAGGGAGAGGCAGGCTCCATCACCTCCACAACTTCCTGTTCCTGTATTCGAATTTATGTTCACTATATTTATCTATCAATACATTTCTTCTGTTTCCTATATGCAAGTATTCATCCTCATGTCGATCCTGAAAACGGGGTACCAACATCACTCCCATTTTACAGATGAGCAAACTGAGGTGCAGGAACGTGAATTTCACTAACGCTGTCAAGAAACGTTTGGAATTTGGCAGGGCACAGTGGCTCACGCCTGTAGCCCTAGCACTTTGGGAGGCCAAGGTGGGTGGATCACTTGAGCCCAGGAATTCGAAACCCCATCTTTACCAAAAAATATAAAAATTATCCAGGTGTGGTGGCATGCACCTGTAGTCCCAGATACTTGGGAGGCTGAGGTGGGAGGATCGCTTGAGCCTAGGAGGCAGAGGTTGCAGTAAGCCGTGATCGTGCCACTGCCTTCCAGCCTGGGCGACAGAACGCGACTCTGTCTTAAAACAAACCAAAAACCAAAAAAAACATGTGGAGTGGTGGAGACTGCATCTCAGAAGCCAAAAATCCCTGGCTTCCTGGACCAGCACAGCCCACTGACCAGAGGTGGACATGGGAAGGCGGGTAAGGAGAACTGCTCACCCTTTATTGCACCGGACTTCATGCCAGAGACCCCATACTGGGCATAGCTGGGGGCACCAAGGTTTAGAAGGAGCCACCGTCCTGCCTCTGGGATGCTGCTGTCCAGTTGGGAAGGGGGAACGGTCAGTGCAGAAGAAAGAAGATGGAAACAGCAAGGCCACTCCTCACAGCTCTCCCGGTGCGGGGGAAGGAGCCCAGCAAGAATTTCTGCTCCACCAAGGGCGGAAAGGAGGAAGCTCCCCCAGGCTGCGGGGATGAGCCTCGGGAGGTGGAGGGCAGAGGAGAGGAAAAGCCAGGGAGGAGCTTGAGGCCGGATGAAGGGGAGGCCGGATGAAGGCCACAGCCCTTCGAAGACGGACACTGGAGCCCCAGGGCTAGGGCTTTCTTTCTTCTTCTTCTTGCTAGGGCCTTCTTTCTTCTTCTTCTTCTTCTTCTTTTTTTTTTTTTTTTTTTTTTTTTTTAAGACTCTCGCTCTGTTGCCCAGGCTGGAGTGCAATGGCACAATCTTGGCTCACTGCAACCTCCGCCTCCTGGGTTCAACTGATCCTCCTGCCTCAACCTCCTGAGTAGCTGGGACTACAAGCACCCGCCACCACACCCAGCTAATTTTTGTATTTTTAGTAGAGACGGAGTTTCACCATGTTGGCCCCAGGCAGGTCTTGAACTCCTGACCTCAGGTGATCCACCCGCCTCGGCCTCCCAAAGTGCTGGGATTACAGGTGTGAGCCATCACGCCCAGCCGCGCTAGGGCCTTCTAAGAAATAAGGGGTGTAGGTCAAATGGGGGACTCTCTTGGAGCCTCCCGGGGGGGTGCATGAGTCCTACACGCTCCCACCTAGAGGGACAATGCCTCAGGCCATGGCAGGGCTGGGTCCCCGGTAGCCACTATGCGTCCTCGGCTGCCTCACTTCCCTCTCCAGGGTTTCGCCATGCTGGCCAGGCTGGTCTCAAACTCTTGACCTCAGGTGATCCACCTGCCTCGGCCTCCCAAGGTGCTGGGATTACAGGCATGAGCCACTGCATCCAGCAGGTGGCAGCCCAAGCCCAGGTTGGATCCCTCATTCCCCCTTTCCTCGACACAAACAGGGAAATACAGCTAGCCCTAAGGGGCTGGGCCCAGTTTTGGTAAACGGTCTTTGAGCTCTGGAAAGAAAACTGTTTATCCAGGCACCCTCTCTACTGAGATGACCCAAAAGCCATGGGCAAACACCACAGCAAACATGGCCTGTCCCCCTCCCATGGCTCAGAGGGGCCTTCTCCTCCCACTGCCACACTACATTCTCACTTATTCACTCAGCAACCATTTACTGAGCACCTGTTATGTGCTACACCCTGTGCAAAGTAAGATCTACACTTTCGGTATCTGCTAAGATTCAAACTTTCATCATTTATTTTAAATCTTTATTTACTTCAGGAACCACAATTTTGGAGAAATTATTATTTCCAGTAAAATGTGGATATGACATATCTCTTTGACAGCATCTATTGTGTTTTGCATTTTGTTCAACTGGGTGAGGAGAGGTGACTGATATATTCCACCTGTTACATACATAGAATATATAACATAATATATAATATACACATTAGATAACAACTCTCCCTTCTTTCTTTTTACATTGGAGAAGCCACATATTTACAGGGTTCAAAATAAAATCCTAACAGCATTAAAGCATTGTGGCAGAGACAGAGTTGACCAAACGTCCGTGGGCTCATCTCCATTTCCCAGGCTCCCCTACAGTTTGGTTAGGGCCTTGGGACTGGTTCTGGTCAATGGAATGGAAATAAAGTGTTCTCCTGGGACAAGGCAGCTAGGAGCTAGCCTGCTTCCTCTGTCTCTTCCCCTGCTGGGGCAATGAGGGGGCCTTGGTTCCTGCAAGGTGGAGGAGAGCTGCCCCACCCATAGTGGACTTCGTGGAAGTGGGAAATAGCCCTTCCTGGTTAAGCCACTGAGATGTCAGGGCTTATTTCTTATTGCAGCACAGCCTGGCCTAACCTGACTAATGCAAGTTAGACAGTGAAAAGTAGGCCTCCTCTCAGACTTTCAGTCCGCTCCCAATACAGGTACTGTTGCCACATCTTTGTGTCACTTTCCCAAAATGTTATCTCTTCTCTAGAAGCCTGAAGAAGACTCCCCTGGGAGCCTTAGGGATGGGCAGAGGCTGAGCCCTGCTGGCCAGAGCCCTTCCGCAGGCAGGTGGGTGCCCAGAGGAGCCCTGTTCTCAGTTACTGCTCACAGCACCAGACCTCCACCCCAACCCAGGTCTCCTGCGCTAGGGCCACCAGGGAAGCAGGTAGAAAATGGCATTTGACAGGCTCCCAAACCCAAGCACACCTATTAGAGAAGGAGCAGAGAGGAGGCGCAGCTGGAAAGATCGAGTGTAACTCAAGCCTCGCATTCTCCTCCTCCTGCCTACCCCATGGGGTCAAACTTGGATTTGAGGCCTGCCTGCAACTTGCCTCCTTTTCCGAATGTGTTATTTATTTATGATGAATAGAGCATGAGATGAAACTTTAGTTCCTTGAAGTGAACTGTCATTTAATGACTTCCTTTTCAGAATTTAAAACTGCTTCTTTTTCTTCTGGACTGTGAAAGCCGCACTTGCTTCATGCTTTTTTTTTGAAACAGGGTCTTGCTCTGTCACCCAGGCTGGAGTGCAGTGACATGATCGTGACTCACTGCAGCCTGGACCTCCTGGGCACAAGTGATCCTCCCAAGTCAGTCTCCTGAGTAGCTGGGACTACAGGCGCATGCCACAACGCCTGGCTAAGTTTTGTATTTTTTGTAGAGACAAAAACATGGGTTTCACCATGTTGGCCAGGCTGGTCTCAAACTCTTGACCTCAGGTGATCCACTCGCCTCGGCCTCCTCCCAAGGTGCTGGGATTACAGGCATGAGCCACCACATCCAGCAGCTTCATGCTGTAAAAAAAATAAACCCAAATCACAAAATACAGAAACATACAAAGGAAAATAATTAAGATGACACATAATCCATCACCCAAACGTGACCACTGCAACATCAGGGGTTGTGGTCCTTGCAGATTATTCTCTACATAGATAAAAACCTGTTGCTATGCTCGAGGGCCTTTTTCTTGAACCAAAATAAGAACAAATGATATTTTGTTTTTAACTTTTTTTTTTCTAATAAAATGGATGTGTTTCCAGGTTAACAACTATAGATCTATATTGTCAGGTTTGGTTTGGTTTGGTTTGAAAACTACTTAGTATTTTGCTGCTAGAAGAAGTCCACCAAATAGATTTTGGAATTGTCGTAATTTTTTTAATGTCCTCATTTTTTTTTTTTGGAGCATGGGACTACAGGCTAAAAATTTAAATATAAAATTTAAAAAAAAGTATTCTGGTAAGTAAACACTGTTTAGTATTAAACTTCGATGAACTTGTTTTTCACTTTAGTTATATTGACCTGGTTTTTCTTTGAACTCTCACAAGAATGTAAGCAATATTTATACTTTGTTTACTTATTTATTTATTTTTTTGAGACAGAGTTTTGCTTTTGTTGCTCAGGCTAGAGTGCAATGGCGAAGTCTTGGCTCACTGCAACCTCCACCTCCTGGGTTCAAGCGATCCTCCTGCCTCAGCCTCCCAAGTAGCTGGGATTACAGGCGCCCACCACCATGCCTGGGTAATTTTTGTATTTTTAGGAGAGACGGAGTTTCACCATGTTGGCCAGGCTGGTCTCGAACTCCTGACCTCCGGTGATCCACCCGTCTTGGCCTCCCAAAGTGCTGGGATTATAGGCATGAGCCACCGTGCCCGGCCAACATTTCTATTTTAAAAATGCTTTTTTTCTTAATGTGGTAGATTCCTGGGAGGTGATTATATTATCTCCTTTATACCTTTTGTTATAAGTTAAATATTTACTAATAGTGTTTTGAAACCACTGAAATAAATACAATTAGTGAGCCACCACGCCCAGCCAAGGGGGGATATTAATTCAGATTCTTCCTATGCTTTTTATGTGTTCAGTTGCTAAAACATAAAATTTGCAACTTATTTAAGGATGTTGACGTAAATATTTGAACTTTAAAACTTTTTCTACTTTCAAAGGCATGTGTGTGTGCATGTGTGTGTCAGTGTGTGTGTCTCTGTGTGTGTCTGTGTGTGCATGTATGTCTGTTTGTGTGTGTCTGTGTATGCATGTGTGTGTCTGTGTGTGCATGTGTGTGGGTCGGTGTGTGTCTGTGTGTGTCAGTGTGTGTGTCTGTGTGTGCATGTGTGTGTGTTGGTGTGTGTGTCGTGTGTGCATGTGTGTGTGTCTGTGTGTGTGTCGGTGTGTGTCGGGGTGTGTGTGTGTGTGTGCATGTGTTTTTAAACAGCATCTCCCCTTTGTTGCTCAGGCTAAAGAGCAGTGGCACAATCATAGCTCAATGAAGCCTCAGCCTCCCAAGTAGCTAAGACTGCAGGTGTGAGCCACCATACCCAGCTAATTTTTAAATGTTTTGTAGAGACGGGGTCTCACTATGTTGCCCAGGCTGGTTTCAAATTCCTAGCCTCAAGCAATCCTCCTGCCTCGGCTTCCCAAAGTGCTGGGATTACAAGAGTGTGCCACTGCATGCAGCCCCAAAGGCCCTGCTTTAACAATCTGGTCCTTATTTGAAAATAAAGCAATTTGTAAATAAACTATTGGAAATCCAGGATAATGGAATCAGGCTCTTTGCCTTTATTTTTTATTTTATTTATTTATTTTTTATTTGAGACAGAGTTTCACTCTTGATGCCCAGGCTGGAGTGCAATGGCACGATTTTGGCTCACTACAACCTCCACCTCCCAGGTTCAAGCAATTCTCCTGCCTCAGCCTCCTAACTAGCTGGGATTACAGGCATGAGCCACCATGCCCAGATAATTTTGTATTTTTAGTAGAGACAGGGTTTCACCATGTTGGCCAGGTTGGTTTTGAACTCCTGACCTCAGATGATCCACCCACCTCGGCCTCCTAAAGTGCTGGGATTACAGGCGTGAGCCACCACACCCGGCCCTTCTTTGTCTTTAATGCTAAGACAGTCTGGCTTCAAAATAAATATTTTAAGAACAAACCAGATGAACAAATTGATGATTGGGGACAGAAAATCTCCCCAAAGCTTTATTTCAGATTAATAATTTGTATCAATAGTGTTGATTTTTGTAGCACATATAATTGTTCAAGGCTTTGCAAATATTTTTGAAGTTAGAAATTAAAACCTACGCTCTTCTGTATAAGCCTCCATGTCCACGGGCTTTATTCTGTAAGTGGTCATTTATTTTTCTCACCGCGTTATCTATTTTCCTATCCAAAAGATATATTTATTTTATTTTATTTCAGCTAATGAAATTTATGCTCAAAAATGTGTTTTAAATATGTACTGATAAGAGAACAGTTCCCTTATTTGGGAGGTGTTTGTAATCTAATGTTAAGTGGGCAGGGAGAAGGATATTACATTGTTTATATATTAAATTATGTTTATATGAAAATTCAAGGGAAAAATAATAAAATTAGCAAAAATCAGTTGGTGGACAGGGTGAACTGTTTTTTTTGGCTTGCTGTCTTTCCCTTTTTCCTATATTCCAAGTGTTGTGTGATTTCATTTGCTTATTTAAAAAACCTAAAAATTAAAGACATCTTCAGAACAAAATAATACGAAGTCTATTTAATTTCATCCACCAAAAACATTTTTTTATGCTTATAACATAACTTATGTTCATTGTGCAAACAAACATGAGATGTTCCAAAAAATATAAATGAGGACATTAAAAAAATCACTGTCATTCCAAAATCTAGCTATATTCTCTATGAACATTTTGCTGTACTTGCTTTCACTCTTTTTTCTCTTCCTTTTTTCTTTTCTGGTTTTTTGTTTGTTTGTTTGTTTGTTTGTTTTGTTTGAGATAGGGTCTCGTTCTGTTGCCCAGGCTGGAGTGCAGTGGCACGATCACGGTTTACTGCAGCCTCAATTTCCTGAGAACAAGCAATCCTCTCGCCTTAGCCTCCCAAGTAGCTGGGACTACAGGAGCACACTACCGTGCCTGGCTAATTTTTTCTATTTTTTTGTAGAGATGAAGTCTCACTATGTTACCTAGCTTGGTCTTGAACTCTGGGTTCAAGCAATCTTTCCACCTTGGCCTCCCAAAGTGTTGGATTATACGTGTGAGTCACCTCACCTGGCTACTCTCATTCTTTTGAAATAGTGTTTAGTGTGATTGCAATTCGAGTATATGTAGAGTGTTTTTTTTTCTTTTTCTTTTTCTTTCTTTTTATGTTTTTGAGATGAGATTTCACTCTGTTGCCCTGGCCTGGCTGCAGTGGAGTGGTATGGTCATAGCTCACTGCAGCCTCACATAGAGGATTTTTTTTTCTTTTTCTTGAAATATCATGGGCATTTTCCATGATGTTACTTTTGTTGAAATATTATTTGTAATGGTTGCTTAGGAGTCTTCAACATGAATAGCCTACAATACATGTCATAATTCCACCATTTTGTCAATGTAGCTGCTTTCCTTGCCTTGCCTTTTACAAATCGTGTTGCACTGAACAACACTGTACATAATATTTTGACTTGTCTTTGATTATTTCCTAGAGATGAAGTCTTAGAAGTGAAATGACTAGGTCCAGGGGCAAAAAAAAACTTTTTTATTCTATTTTTGAGGCAGAGTCTCATTCTGTCGCCCAGTCTGGAGTGCAGTGGCACAATCTCGGCTCACTGCAACCTCCACCTCCCAGGTTCAAGCAATTCTCCTGCCTCAGCCTCTAGAATAGCTGGGACTACAGGAGCGTGCCACCACACCCGGCTAATTTTTGTTTTTAGTAGAGACGAAGTTTCACTGTTTGGCCAGGCTGATCTGGAACTGGTGACCTCAGGTGATCCACCCACCTTGACTTCCCAAAGTGCTGGGATTACAGGCGTGACCCACCACGCCTAGCTAGTAAAAACAAACAAACAAACAAACAAACAAACAAACAAAATATATATATATATAATGCCCTTCCTATGTTTTTGAACTGCCTGACCAAGAGGTGTCTTCAATGTATGCACTTGTGCTCATTAAGAGTATCTTTTAATTCTAAAAAAGGAGAAAAAGAACTTAAGCTATTTTAAAAGATAAAAAATGCATCTCATTATTCTTTCTCAGCATTGCTTTGGTTACTAGTGAGGCTGCGTCTGCTTTTCCTGATTGGCCAGCTGTTGCTCTTTCTGTGAATAATGTTTCAAGTCCTTTTTTTTCCCCGTTAGGATGTATTTATTTAAATAAATACATGTATTTAAATAAACTCTTTACCAGAATTATTATTTCTTTAGTTACAATATTTATGACAAATATTTCCCCATATTGTTCTTTAACTTTAAATTTTGTTTCTTATCACTTTTGGTACACACAAGTTTGCATTTTTACATGGTAAAATGTTGGTTTTGCTTGCTGAGAATTCCTTCATGGCTTTTATGTGTTAAAAGAGCATCTTCATACTTGTCTGAATGTTCCACCTAGATTTTTTAATGTACTTTATTTTATTTATTTATTTATTTATTTTTATTTTATTTTATTTTTTTTGAGATAGAGTCTCGCTCTGTCACCCAGGCTGGAGTAGAGTAGCGCGATCTCGGCTCATTGCAAGCTCCACTTCCCAGGTTCATGCCATTCTCCTGCCTCAGCCTCCCAAGTAGCTGGGACTACAGGTACACGTCACCATGCCCCACTAATTTTTTTTTTTTGTATTTTTTGGTAGAGACGGGGTTTCACCATGTTAGCCAGGATGGTCTCGATCTCCTGACCTCATGATCCGCCCGCCTCGGCCTCCCAAAGTGCTGGGATTACAGGCAAAATGTGCTTTATTCATTTATTTATTTAGAGATGGAGTTTTGCTCTTGTTGCCCAGGCTGGGGTGCAATGGTGTGATCTCGGCTCACTGCAACCTCTGTCTCCTGGGTTCTCCTGCCTCAGCCTCCCGAGTAGCTGGGCTTACAGGCATGCACCACCACGCCAGGCTAATTTTGTAGTTTTAGTACAGACGGGGTTTCTCCATGTTGGTCAGGCTGGTCTCGAACTCCCTAACTCTGGTTATCCACCTGCCTGGGCCTCCC
Organism: Homo sapiens; assembly: GCF_000001405.40. Taxonomy (NCBI): domain Eukaryota; kingdom Metazoa; phylum Chordata; class Mammalia; order Primates; family Hominidae; genus Homo; species Homo sapiens. The sequence continues at coordinate 69,677,023 of NC_000011.10, read as the reverse complement.
AAAGTGCTGGGATTACAGGCGTGAGCCACCGTGCCCAGCCAATGTGCTTAATTTTTTTAAGTTAACTCTTTAACTCATCTGGAATTATTTTGATGAATGGTGTGAGGCATAAATGGAACCAAGCTTTTCCCAAACAACCAATTTTCCATTATAGTTATTAGTTAATATTTCCTTTCTCCAATTAATTTGTAATTCTTCTTTTTACCACATGAGAAGGCTTTACATCTATGAGAGTCCATTGTCTGGGCCATTTACTTTATTTCACTGGTCTGCCACTTCTTGAACCAACATACCACAATATTTATATTGACACTTTATCTTTTCATATCTGATATGAAAATCATTTTTTTCTAAAACATCTTAGTTATTTTTATTAGTTTATTCATACGGATGAAAAAGTTTAGGATTTTGACACATTTTACCAGATCTCATGGAATTTTCTTTGGTACTGCACTTGTTCAGTTCCCCAATCCTCAATCATGGTAGAGCTGTAGTTTTCCTTATATGGGTCCTGCTCAAATTGTTAGAAATTCTTATTTCTAAGAAATGTATTATGACTATCATAAGGCGATTTTCCCATCACCACCCCTGCTCAGGTTACTACCAATTATTGTTGGAATAACAGAAAGTGTTTTTTTCCCTATTCATCATACACATAGCTACTTGCTGCGATTATGGATTCTGAGAACGTCTTAGGTGACTATTTGGGTTTTCCACGTGGGCCATCATATCTGCAAATAGTAGTATTTCTGCCTTTTTTTTTTTTTTTTTTTTTTTTTGGTATTTCCACTTCTTGCTTCATGTTTTACTGCATTGGCCAGGGCTGGTAGAAAGATGTTCAGTGGTCACGTGAGGTTTTACTACTGACTTTATTAGGAATGCTTCTGGTGTTTCTCATCTGAGTTCCGTTGTCGCTTAGACTTTGAAATCCCTTTTTAAAAATCGTGTTCAGAAAGCACATCTCATGGAAATGACAAATATGAGAACTAAAACCGACAAATTTCTGCCCAAAATCCCACATGCAGAGCCTCCTGGCCTGGAGCCTCCTGAGGCGTCGGTTCTTTGATGACTTCCCATTTCTTTTCCCTTTTTTTTTTTTTTTTTGACGGAGTCTGGCTCTGTCGCCAGTCTGGAGTGCAGTGGTGCGATCTCGGCTCACTGCAACCTCCGCCTCCCAGCTTCCAGTGATTCTCCTGCCTCAGCCTCCCGAGTAGCTGGGATTACAGGCGCCTGCCACCATGCCCGGCTAATTTTTGTATTTTCAGTAAAGACGAGGTTTCACCATGTTGGCCAGGCTGGTCTCGAACTCCCGAACTCAGGTGATCCGCGCGCCTCGGCCTCCCAAAGTGCTGGGATGACAGGCGTGAGCCACCGCGCCAGCTGATGACTTCCCATTTCTTCCTTGGTTCTTTCGGAGCCACTTTGGGAAATTCGGTTCTATCTGCAGTGGTAAAATACAGGTCGGCTCTCCACGCGCGCGGCCAATGGACGCTCCCAGCGCGGACAGACAGGCCCTTTGCTGGAGCTGGGCAGGGCGAAAGGACCCCAGGGCGGGGCTTCAGTCGAGGCCGGCCCCGCCCACCGCTGCAGCCGCGCATGCGCCATGTACAGGCTGCTTTGGGCCCTCCCGCGTGCCGTTCTTACCCGGCCTGCCCCGCGCCGCCGCTTCCGGAAGTGGGTCTCGTCTCCTCCCAAGCGGAGCATTTGTGCCTGAAGCTGCCGGGTCTGCTACGGCACCGCGGGGCTGCAGAAACCCGGGGGCCAAGGGCGGGCTGCTTGCCGCTATGGCTGGCAGTCAGGACATATTCGATGCCATCGTGATGGCGGATGAGAGGTGGGTGGTGAGGCCGGGCCCGCACCCCGCCCTGTCTGGTCGTCTCCCAGCGGCTTCGCCGCCGGCTGCGGCCCAGGGCGGCTGCTGGAGCCTGGCGTCCCTTGGGCGTGCGCATTGGGGAGCGCCTGGTGGCCGTGGACGCAGGGACAAGTGTGGGCCTGATGCTCTGGTCCTCTTCTCCTGGCCCGCTCCGGCGGGGCACGTGCCCAGCTGCTCTTCCAGACCCGCCTTCCCTGTCAGGGCTGCCCCAAACATCTGCTCAGCCTGGTGGTTCCCCTCCTCCGAGGCCGCCTCGTCCTCTGGGAGGACAGACCTTTGCCATCTGGGAGCTGCCTTTTTTTCTGGTTCCTTAATCATAGGACATACGGCAGTATTCATGGATGTGCTGATAGATGTACCCGACCACACCCCTTTTCCCTCCAGAGCCCCTGGGGAGCCCCTCGTGCTGCGACAGTGGGGGAGCTGTGAGTTGCCTCCTGGCTGACTTCCAGTGCCCGGCCCAGAGGACGCGTCCATAGATGTTAGTTAAGAAAGCGGCCGAACATTTAGCAGTCAGGCGCTGACGTTTATTTAGCTCGCGCTGTGAGTCAGACACTGAGCTAAACGTTCCACCCTGGTTATCTACTTCAGCCCTACTTAGTAAGTGGATCCTATTATTCTTCGGAATTTACAGACTAGGAGGCACAGTCACTTTCCAGGGTCACACAACTATTAAGTGGGGAGCTATGCACCCTGCTTCATGGGGCGCTGCAGCCCACTCCTTGCATGTTTGGTGACTGCAGGTTAAGATAGTGGCAGTTCCACTGTTGGGCCTCAGGGTCAGTGCTACTCCGGGTACCAGTCGGAGAACATTTTGTGGTGATCTGATGCCATTTCTCTCTGTTGCCCTACCCATGTGATGTCAAACCCTGTGTATGTTGCAGTTTTTTGGAAGCGGTTGACTTGGGCTAGTGCTACTTGAACACTCACAGAACTTTGGCCCCCTAACTCTGGCTGCAAACCAGACTTATCTAGGAGACTTTGAAAAGTAGATTCCGGGCCAGATGCGGTGGCTGACGCCTGTAATCCCAGCACTTTGGGAGGCCGAGGCGGGCGGATCACGAGGTCAGGAGATCCAGACCATCCTAGCTAACATGGTGAAACCCCGTCTCTACTAAAAATACAAAAAATTAGCCGGATGTGGTGGTGGGCGCCTGTAGTCTCAGCTACTTGGGAGGCTGAGGCAGGAGAGCGTGAACCCGGGAAGCAGAGCTTGCAGTGAGCCGAGATCGCACCACTGCACTCCAGCCTGGGCGACAAAGCGAGACTCCATCTCAAGAAAAGAAAAGTGGATTGCAGGCCAGGTGCGGTGGCCCTCACTTGTAATCCCAACACTTGGAGCGGCCAAAGCTGGAGGATCGCTTGAGCCCAGGAGTTTGAGGCTATAGTGAGCTGTGATCATACCACTGCACTCCAGGCAGGGCAACAGAGACCCTGTCTCAAAAAAAAAAAAAAAAAAAAGGAAGAAAGAAAAGTAGATTCCAGGGCCTTGCTCCAGACGTACTGAATCTCTGGGGGTGAGGCTTTTGAGTTAATATCTTTGAATTTTCCTTGTGTGTTTCTAGTACCCTATCAGGTTTGGGAATCCCTAATTTAGCCCTTTGTTGTAGATGAAGAAACTGGGCTACAAGAGGTACAGTGACTTCCAGAGGCAAATAGGAAGTGGTAGATCTGGGACTGGAATCTGTGTCTTCTGACTTGAATTTTAGGCTTTTCCTCCTTTACTCTGGTTTGTCTTACTGGGTCCGGGTAATACAAGAGAGAGAAGTTTTTCTGGAGAAAGTATTCTTTCTCCTGTTGATTTGATGAAGCATGCTTCTTCTTCACAGGTTTCATGGGGAAGGGTATCGGGAAGGCTATGAAGAAGGCAGTAGTTTGGGTGTGATGGAGGGAAGGCAGCATGGCACGCTGCATGGAGCCAAAATCGGGTCTGAGGTAAGTGGGAACCCCCATCTGGAGATGAAGCCTCTTCATTTACAATTTATAATTTATTTCGATATTCAGTGTGATGGAGTAAGAATTGTCAGGCCTTTTAAAATCACAGTGCCGGATGGGCGCGGTGACTCACACCTGTAATCCCAGCACTTTGGGAGTCTGAGGTGGGTGGATCGCCTTGAGGTCAGGAGTTGGAGACCAGCCTGACCAACATGGTGAAACCCTGTCTCTACTAAAAATACTGAATTAGCTGGGCATGGTGGTGCATGCCTGTAATCCCAGCCACTTGGGAGGCTGAGGTATGAGACTCGCTTGAACCTGGGAGGCAGAGGTTGTGGTAAGCCGGGACCGTGCCATTGCACTGCAGCCTGGGCGACAGGATGAAACTCCATCTCCAAAAAATAAACAAAAAAAATCACAGTGCCTTTGCATGGGAGTTAATGGACTAGATGGACTGTTGCTGGAGAAATATTCTTAGTACAGAACCAAGAGTGCATTTTGCTGTAGGTAGATACAATTAAATTATGCATGCTGGATAAAAGAAAACAAGTCCCTGGTCTCCTTAGTTTACTTGGGAGTGTCATGGTGCTGGCTCATGTACTAAGCCAAAGAATGGGTGCCCTCTGTCATGTGAACATATTCCATTTATGTTTACGTTGAAATTTCATTAACTTTATGATTTTTTTTTTTCTCTTCTTGCCCTTTGTCCTAGATTGGCCCTTACAGATAAGTGGCCCTTAGTGGCAAAGTCTGAGTTGAGGCAGTTATGACTATATTGGATGTTCGATGCTGTGAAACAGATCACCACAAAATTCATGGGCTTAACACAGCAAATATGGATGATCTCACATGTTTCTGAGGGTTGGGAACTCAGGAGCAGCTTTGCTGGGTGGTCCTGGCTCAGGGTGTCAGCCAGAGCCGTGTCACCTGAAGGCTTGACTGGGCTTGGAGGATCTGCCTCCAAGGTGGTGCTGTCACCTGACTGTGGGCATGGACGTCTCCATGGGGCTGCTTGTGTGTCCTCGTGACATTCAAGAGCGAGTGGTCCAAGAGAGCTGGTGAGGCAAGTGACACTGGCTTTTATCCCTAGACTCAGGAGCTTTGTGCTGTTCCTCCACATTCTGTTGGTTACGAAAGCCACCCTGGTGGAGTGTCGAGGGACCTGCACAGGGCATGGGTACCAGGAGATGAGGACTGGGGCATCTGGGAGGCTGGCTGCCCCACCGATGACCTAATTTCCTAATTTCCATTGCCTAATGCTCAACAGGTGCTTCCAGAACAATAGTGTGAGAAGCACCGCTGCCTTCTGCCCCCACCTTTTGTTTTGAGATCTTGGTAATGAAAGTGTAGCTAGTTGCTTATTAATTTCACTCTTAAATATTTTTCACATTCACAGATCGGGTGCTACCAAGGTTTTGCTTTTGCATGGAAATGTCTACTGCACAGTTGCACCACTGAGAAGGACAGGTAAAGGTGGAGATGTCTTTCTTTCTCAGCGTAGGAACCAGGAGTTCTAGTTCCATGGGTTACCAGCATGCCCTTGAGTAATCAATCTGTCTGTTCCTCATCTGTAAAATGGAGAAAATTATCAGTGTCAAGCTTGAGTGTTGTTAGGAGATTTAACGGAAATACTAAATAGAAAGTGCCAGGCACATTTTAGGTGTTTGGTGAACACTGGCTGTTGTTGCTTCTCAAGAGTTCTATGCTCCTGCCTTTTACCTGGAGTCATTAGTGCACCATGTGGCTTTTAGATACCCTACCAATAAAATAATGTTGACATTGATTGTATTTTCTCATTCACCTTTCCCCTGAGCTTCTAATAAACAAATTATAACAGTTTTGTATCACTTGGGCTCAGAGATGAGGACACCAGTGTCATCAGTTTTTTAATGTAGCCAACTAAGTCTGTTAACAAGAAAATGCCTTTAAATGTGTTTAACTCCTTTCTGGAACTTGTCAACACTCAGTAAGTGTTAGCTGTCATTTGAATTGTTTTTAGCCTTTAAAAACTCTTCTCGGCCGGGCGCAGTGGCTCACTCCTATAATCCCAGCACTTTGGGAGGCCGAGGCGGGCAGATCACGAGATCAAGAGTTCGAGACCAGCCTGGCCAATATGGTGAAACCCTGTCTCTACTAAAAATACAAAAATTAGCCGGGCGTGGTGCCATGTGTCTGTAGTGCCAGCTACTCGGGAGGCTGAGGTTGAAGAATTGCCTGAACCCAGGAGGCAGAGGTTGCAGTGAGCTGAGATAATGCCACTGCGCTCCAGCCTGGGCGACAGAGCAAAACTCCTTCTCAAAAACAAACAAACAAACAAAAACTCTTCTTCCTGCATTGTACTTACTGAAGCCCCATGTGACCCTGCTTTATCTATCTTCATTCTGAAGCTGGAAATGAACCCTTGAGATGGTTTGGATACTCTGCTGTTCATGGGCAGCAGCAAGCGCGGGACCTGAGCTGGTGCTCTGCGTCATTCTGACACCTGGTGGCCTTGCCTAGCGTGGGAGGGGCACAAGGAGAGTGGGTAACTCTCTCCCTGACTACGTGACTTGTGCTTTTATTTGAAATATCTTGAATTTCTAGAAATACCTTGAATATCTTGAATATTCAAATGTTTAAGAATGAGGATGCTTGCAACTGATACGGGTAGTTCTTTCTGCTCCGTTTGTACCAGCAGTTGGGAGTCGATGGGATTCTGGGTTAGCAGAGGGGCACTTGAGGACATTTTCCTCCTGGTTCTCAGGCAGCGGCCGGCAGCTGGGGATCCCAGGGGAATCGCTGTTGGCAGCCTGTGCTACCACTAGGTGGCAGTCAAAGCTGAGCCTGGCTCTCAACTCCAGGCCACAAAAGGATGTGTGTTCTTGGAGTTCTCCGCCTGTCTCCCTTCTCCCACAGCGGCAGAATCTGCCGGCTCCTGGAGAAGTGCTCCGCTGTGTGCCAGTGGTCCCATCCCAGGAGGTTGCCAGCCCTTACCCCAGAGCAGGGGTTTGCTGACGTCTGAAAGCAGCACACTCAGTCTAGCTAACAGAGAAGAACCGCTTTGGTTGACGAGGGGCTGGTGGAAGCCCTGCCAGACCCCCCTCGCAGCCGCCCTCATCCCATCCAGTAGTACCCAGAGGTCTCTTTGGAACCTAAGGCTTTATTGTAGAGCAGTGGTTCATGGATGTTTAGATCTTACATGTCAGGTTTTTTTTTTTGTTTTTTGTTTTTTTTTAAATGGTGAAGGGCTGATATTGCATGTTTTACCTGTAAATTTTTCCAAATAAGGATGTTAAGAGAAAAACACCTGCCACCGCATTGTCATTCAGCAAAATGCTGGGCATTGTAACACCAAAGAAACCACGGAGAGCGGCATCTCAGGCCAAAAGATGGTGCTTTCCGTTGAGTAACTAGCTTTCCGGTAAACTGCGTGACACTTCTGTCCCCGGCTTCAGCAGTCTGGTGAAACCCTCCTGCAGACCAGCGCGCACCGGGGCTGAGCACGGGGGCTCTGGCACCATCACTTTTCTTTCATTAGCCCTGAGCTGCTCACACCTGCCTGACGTGTGCCGCCTCTGATGGTGCGCCCGGCTGGGTGTGTCTGAGCAGCATCGCTGACCAGAAAAGTAACCGCTTGCCAAGTGGAAAGTGCGTGGTCCTCTGCA